>NC_000017.11:30685980-31935980 GCF_000001405.40 Homo sapiens
CCCAGAGAGGTCAGGGCCTGGGAGATTTATTCATTTACATATCCCACGCACCTAGTCAGGCATAGCACACAGTAAGTACTTAATATATGTGCCCAGGAGGTTTTCAAATGAATCCCTTTCGGCCAGGCACGGTGGCTCACGCCTGTAATCCCAGCACTTTGGGAGGCCAAGGTGGGTAGATCACTTGAGGTCAGGAGTTCACGATCAGCCCGGCCAATATGGCGAAACTCTGTCTCTACTAAAAATACAAAATTTAGCCGGGCATGCTGGCGGGCGCCTGTAATCCCAGCTACTCAGGAGGTTGAGGCAGGAGAATCGCTTGAACCAGGGATGTGGAGATTGCAGTGAGCTGGGATTGCACCACTGCACTCCAGCCTGGGCAATAGAGCAAGACTCAGTCTCAAAAAAAAAAAAAAAAAAAAAAAGGAATCCCTTTTGTCCAGGCAAGCGGGGTGCACTGGTTCTCTGACCAGCAATTCCCCAACTGGACGGGTCACTTGGTGTCCCAGTGGAATATTCGGGAATCTTCTCTGAGGCAACGGGACACACACACACACACACACACACACACACAGGCACAATCACACACAGACACACACAAAATGAACCCCCCCTCCTCAATTTCTTTACCAACTATTTTTCCCCCAGGCAGAAAATGAACCATTATTAAAACAACACGGCAACCGGCCGGGAAAACCCATTCACAGCGATTTATATCGCGTCGCCGCGGCTGCCGAAAGGAAATGGGAGGAGAAGCTCGAGGTTTAAGCGCTGGGTGAAAAATCACATTCCATCAGAGGAAGAACAGATGGGTGTTTTTTTCCTCCCCTTTCTCCCCCTTGCTTGGGCTCGGAGTCAGGAATCTATGTCAGCCGTGGGTTTGTTCTTGGTGTGATAGGGTGATTCTGGGGAGACAGAGGCCCAGCCAGGCTGCTGGGTCCCAGGGAGCAAGGGGTGGCTTGTGAGCCACTGAGGACCCCCGCTCCGCATCCTCCATCCTCCTCCCCACCGGCTCTGTCTCCTGGGCCTGTAGGCTGCCGATCTGAGCCCCATCCCCCATCCTGCTATTTTAATTTTTACATTTTCTCATCACCCCCTGGAATTACCGTCTCTCCTTATTTCCTTCCTCCTTCACAGTCTTTTTCCTTGAAGGCAGGGCCATGTCTGTCCTGTTCGTCGTTGCATCCTTAGTGCATTGAACACATAGCAGTGGCTCCCATATCTGCAGACAACCACTAACCCTCTGCCACATTCCCACCATCACGCCTGCCATCCTATCCTAACCTTACTAAGGACACCTTCCCCCACTCGCCGGCGGGCTGTGAGCGCGCTGGAAGACGGGGGCTGTTTAGTTTGTTTCCTTCATGGATGGATCTACTGTCCCTCCACCCCCAAAGAAAGCCTGATTCACAGCTTTCTGGGTGTTGGGATTGGGGGATGGGGACAGACAGGCATGACTGAGTCATTCAGCTGTTTAAAAGCTATCACTGACTTCTTCAAAATTGAAAAATGTTATCGTGGCTCCAACCTAGACCCAAAACACCTGTTCAGTTTAAACCACCCCACCCCCGCCCCGCGCCTGCCCCCACAAACATGCTGGCACCCGCCTAGGCACCACCTAGTCAAACCCCCTGGCCCATGTGGTCCCCAACTCACCCATGATGCTTTGCATCGCCTTCACCAAATGCCCCGCCCCTCCCTCTGTGTCCACCCCAGAGCTGAATCCAGCCCACAGATGTAATTGGCTTGGTCCATGCAGGGTTTAAAAACATTTTGTAATGACTTGCTAGCTCTTATTTATTTATTTATTTATTTATTTATTTATTTATTTATTTATTTTTGAGATGGAGTCCCGCTCTGTCGCCCAGGCTGGAGTGCAGTGGCGCGATCTCGGTTCACTGCAAGCTCTGCCTCGCGGGTTCACGCCATTCTCCTGCCTCAGCCTCCCTAGTAACTGGGACTACAGGCGCCTGCCACCACGCCCGGCTAATTTTTTGTATTTTTAGTAGATTCGGGGTTTCACCGTGTTAGCCAGGATGGTCTCGATCTACTGACCTCGTGATCCGTCCACCTCGGCCTCTCAAAGTGCTGGGATTACAGGCGTGAGCCACCGTGCCCGGCCCATGACTTGCTAGCTTTTAAATATAGGCTGCTTTTTCATTGTTGTTGTTGTTGTTGTTGTTTTAGAGATGGCGTCTCGCTGTGTCGCCCAGGCTGTAGTGCAGTGGTGTGATCTCTGCTCACTGCAAACCTCCGCCTCCTAGGTTCAAGCGATTCTCCTGCCTCAGCCTCCCAAGTAGCTGGGATCACAGGCGAAGGCCACCAGGCCCAGCTAATTTTTTTCTATTTTTAGTAGAGACAGGGTTTCACCATGTTGGTCAGGCGGCCTTGAGCTCTTGAACTCAAGTGATTCGCCCCCCTCAGCCTCCCAAAGTGCTGGGATTACAGGCTTGAGCCACCAGTGCCAGACCTCATGTGATTTTTGCATAAAAATCTGGATGCCTGACTTCTCCTAAAGACGAAACCTTGTCTGGGCGTGGTGGCTCATGCCTGTAATCCCAGCACTTTGGGAGGCCTAGATGGGCAGATCACCTGAGGTCAGGAGTTCGAGACCAGCCTGGCCAACATGGCGAAACCTTGTCTCTACTAAAAATGCAAAAATTAGCCAGGTGTGGTGGCACGTGCTTGTAATCCCAGCTACTCAGGAAGCTGAGGCAGGAGAATTGCTTGAACCTGGGAGACGGAGGTTGCAGTGAACCGAGATTGTGCTACTGCACTCCAACCTGGGCGACATAGCAAGACTCGTCTCAAAAAAAAAAAACAAAAAACAAAACAACCAAATTAACTGAATTAAATGAGCTCATGCTATATAAGGAACAGGCTTAGCAAGTGCTGATAAATGTTACTCATTCTTATCATTATTTGCCATAGTCTCAACCTTCCTTACTGTGTCCCTGACACTGAAGTTGTTCCATTGCTGGTGCAGTCAGTCTTTTTATCTTGGCTGCTTGGCATATTTATATTACCTACTGTCTGTCCCTGTAGGTTTGTGGCATGCTTCAGCTCAGTTCTGGGTCATCACCTCTGCTATAAAGAGGTTCCCCAGTCTGGGCACAGTGGCTCAAGCCTGTAATCTCAGCACTTTGGGAGGCCAAGACAGGAGGATCGCTTGAAGCCAGGAGCTCAAGACTAGCCTGGGCAACATAGTGACACCCCATCTCTACAAAAAATAAGTAAATAATTAGCTGTGCATGGTAGCATGTGCCTGTAGTCCCAGCTACTCGGGAGGCTGAGGCAGGAGGATCGCTTTAACCCAGGAGGTCGACTGCACCACTGCATTCTAGCCTAGGTGACGAAGAGAGGCCCTGTCTAAAAAAAAAAGAAAGAAAAAAAGGCTCTCTGGTCTTCCACCTCACTGCCCATCCGTTTCTCAACACTCCCCATTTTCGAGTTTCCCTCCCCCTCCACTGTACCGCGGGCCCCTCCAGATGCTTCATCAAGTGCTCGTGGAATTGGATATCAGGGCCTGTGTTCATTTCCTGGGGCTGCTGAAATACATTACCATAAACTAGGTGGCTGGAAACAACAAGAATTTATTATTTCACCATTCCGGAGGCCAGAGGTTGCAATCAGGGTGGTGCAGGGCTGCAATCCCTCCGAAAGCACTAGGTGAGGATTCGTCCTTTCTTCTTCCAGCCTCTGATGGTTCCTTGCTTGTGTCTGTACTGCTGCAAGCCCTGCCTGTCTTCACTTGGCCTTCTTCTCTGTGTCTAACCCCCTTCTCTTCTAAGGTCATTTATCATTGGATTTCGGGCCACCCTAATCCAGGATGATCTCATTGCAAAATCCTTAACTTAATTACATCTGCAAAAACGCTTTGTCCAAATAAGGTCACCGCTATGGTTTGAATGTCTGTGTCCCTTCCAAATCCATATGTTGGAAGAGTTGGGGTTCTTGGGAGGTGATTAGGCCAAGAGGGCCCCATTCTCATGGGTGAGATTATTGCCCTTATAATTGAGTGTGACAGTTTGGAGATTTCTCAAACAATTTAAAATTCTTCTATTTTATTTGACCCAGCAATCCCATTACTGGGTATATACTCAAAGGAATATAAATTGTTCTACTATAAAAACACATGCACATGTATGTTCGTCGCAGAACTATTCACAATAGCAAAGACTTGGAATCAGCCTAGGCACCCGTCAATGGAGGATTGGATAAAGAAAATGTGGTGCATATGCACCATGGAATACTATGCAGCCATTAAAAAAGAATGAGGCCGGGCATGGTGGCTCATGGCTGTAATCCCAGCATTTTCAGAGGCCAAGGTGGGTGGATCACTTGAGGCCAGGAGTTCGAGACCAGCCTGGCTAACATGGCAAAACCCCATCTCTACAAAAAAATACAAAAATTAGCGGGGTATGGTGGCAGGTGCCTGTAGTCCCAGCTACTCGAGGGGCTGAGGCAGGAGAATTGCTTGAACCTGGGAGGCGGAGGTTGCAGTGAGCCGAGGTCACGACACTGCACTTCAGCCTGGGTGACAGAATGAGACTGTCTCAAAAAAAAAAAAATAGAATGAGATCATATCCTTTGCAGCAATATGGATGGAGCTGGAGGCCATTCTCCTAAGCCAACTAATGCAGGAACAGAAAACCAAATACCACATGTTTTCACTTATAAGTGGTAGCTAAACACTGAGTACACATGGACACAAAGGTGAGAACAACAGGCCAGGCACGGTGGCTCACGCCTGTAATCCTAGCACTTTGGGAGGCTGAGGCAGGTGGATCACTTGAGGTCAGGAGTTCGAGACCAGCCTGGCCAACATGGTGAAACCCCATTTCCACTAAAAATACAAAAACTAGCCAGGCGTGCTGGCACATGCCTATAATCTCAGCTACTAGGGAGGCTGAGGCAGGAGTATCTCTTGAACCTGGAAGGCAGAGGTTGCAGTCAGCCGAAATTATGCCAGTGCACTCTACCCTGGGCAACGAAGCAAGACTCCGTCTCAAAAAAAGAAAAAAAAAAAAAAGATGGGAACAACAGACACTGGTGTCTGTTTGAGGGTGGAAGGTAAAAGGAGGGTCAGGATTGAAAAACTACCTGTTGGGTGTTATGGTGATTACCTGGGTGACAAAATTATCTGTATACCAAACTCCTGCAACACGTAATTTACCCAAATAAAAAACGTGGACATGTGCCCCTTGAACTTAAAACAAACATTGGAAAAATAAATAAATAAATAGGCCAGGCACAGTGGCATACGCCTGTAATCCCAGCAATTTGGGAGGCCGAGGCAGACGGATCACTTGAGCTCACTAGTTCGATACCAGCCTGGACAACATGACAAACCCCATCTCTACAAAAAATACAAAAATTGGCTGGGTGCGGTGGCTCACGCCTGTAATCTCTGCACTTTGGGAGGTCGAGGCGGGTGGATCACGAGGTCAGGAGATCAAGACCATCCTGGCCAACATGGTGAAACCCTGTCTCTATTAAAAATAGAGAAAATTAGCTAGGCATGGTGGCAGGTGCCTGTAATCCCAGCTACTCGGGAGGCTGAGGCAGGAGAATCGCTTGAACCTGGGAGGTGGAGGTTGCAGTGAGCTGAAATCACACCACTGTATTCCAGCCTGGTGACAGAGTGAGGCTCTGTCTGAAAAAAAAAAAAAAAAATCAGTTGGGTGTAGTGGTGCGCACCTGCAGTCCCAGCTGCTCCCTGGGAAGCTGAGGTGGGGGAATGGCTTGAGCCTGGGAGGTGGAGGTTGCAGTGAGCCGAGATCGCGCCACTGCACTCCAGCCTGGGTGATAAAACCAGATCTTGTCTCAAATAAACAAATAAATAAAATAAAAATAACTCGCTTGGCCAGGTGCGGTGGCTCACACCTATAATCCCAGCACTTTGCGAGGCTGAGGTGGGTGGATCACCTGAGGTCAGGAGTTCAAGAACAGCCTGGCCAACATGGCAAAACCCCATCTCTACTAAAAATACAAAAGTCAGCCAGGCATGGTGGCACACACCTGTAATCCCAGCTACTCAGGAGGCTGAGGCAGGAAAATCGCTTGAACCTGGGGGGTGGAGTGGGCTCTCACCAGACACCAAATCTGCTGGTGCCTTGATCTTGGACTTCCTGGCCTCCAGAACTGTAAGCAATACATTTCTACTGGCTGGGTGCAGTGGCTCACACATGCAATCCCAGCACTTTGGGAGGCCAAGGTGGGCAGATCACCTGAGGTCAGGAGTTCCAGACCAGCCTGGCCAACATGGCAAAACCTCGTCTCTACTAAAAGTACAAAAATTAGCTGGGCGTGGTGGCGGTTGCCTATAATCCCAGCTACTTGGGAGGTTGAGACAGGAGAATTGCTTGAATCCGGGAGACCGAGGTTGCAGCGAGCCAAGATCGCGTCACTGCACTCCAGCCTGGGTGACAGAGTGAGACTCTGCCTCAAAAAAAAAAGAAAAAGAAAAAATTCTATTACAGTTGACTTTTGAACAACATGGGCTTGAGCCATAACTGCCTGAGTCCCCTTGTAAGTGGATGTTCTTCCGCCTCTGCCACCCCTGAGACAGCCCCTCTTCTTCCTCTTCCTCCTCAGCCTATTCCATCGGAAGACTCGTGGATGAAGACGGTTATGATAATCCACTTCCACTTCATGAATAGTAAACACATTTTCTCTTTCTCATGATTTTCATAACATTTCTTTTCTCTAGCTTACTTTATTCTAAGAATATTGTGTGTAATATATAGAACATACAGAATACGAGTTCATGGATTGTTTATGTCATTGGTAAGGCTTTTGATCAACCATAGGCTATCAGTGGTTAAGTTTTTGGGAAGTCCAAAGTTATATGCAGGCCAGGTGCGGTGGCTCACGCCTATAATCCCAGCACTTTGTGAGGCTGAGGCAGGAGGATCACTTGAGCCAGGAGTTCAAGACCACCTTGGGCAACATAGCGAAACCCTATCTCTACAAAAAATATGAAAGTTAGCTGGGTGTGGTGGTGTGTGCCTGTGGTCCCAGCTACTCGGGAGGCCTTAACTTTCTTCTTTTTTGAGACGGAGTCTTGCTCTGTTGCCCAGGCTGGAATGCAGTGGCGCCATCTTGGCTCACTGCAAGCTCCGCCTCCCGGGTTCACACCATTCTCCTGCCTCAGCCTCCCGAGTAGCGGGGATTACAGGTGCCCGCCACCACGCCTGGCTAATTTTTGTACTTTTTGGTAGAGCAGAGTTTCACCATGTTGGCCAGGCTGGTCTCAAACTCCTGACCTCCAGTGATCTGCCTGCCTCAGCCTCCTAAAGTGCTGGGATTACAGGCATGAGCCACCGTGCCTCGCCTCCTTAATTTTCTTTCTGTCTCTCTTCACTCATTCAGTTTTTTATTTTATTTTATTATTTTTTGAGTGGAGTCTCGCTCTGTCGCCCAGGCTGGAGTGCAGTGGCACAATCTTGGGTCATTGCAACCTCTGCCTCCAGGGTTCAAGCAATTCTCCTGCCTCAGCATCCCGAGTAGTTGGGATTACAGGCACCTGCCGCCACACCCAGCTAATTTTTGTATTTTTAGTAGGGACAGTGTTTCACTATGTTGGCCAGGCTGGTCTCAAATTCCTGACGCCCGGTGATTCGCCTGCTTCAGCCTCCCAAAGTGCTAGGATTACAGGCGTTAGCCACTGCGCCCGGCCATCATTCAGTTTTTTGAAGCCAATGGAGACTCAGACCCTGCACCCCCAGCTGTGCCCCCAGAAGCCCGCTGTCTTCTCTCTTCCTTGCACCCACGGGAATGGCTCTCCCTCCAGGAGGGATGGGTAGGGGCAAATGCCACCCCGTCCGCCCTTTGTTACCAGGGAGGCCGAACCCACCTCTCTTCACACTGCAGAAGAACTCGGGTGGGCGCCCCCACTTTCCCGCAAGCTCGCAGAGAGCATCCTCCGCCCACCCGGCAAGCACCACTTCATCACGCCACCGCCAGGGTGTCAGGCGGGGCTGAGCGGTTGTCATTTCTCTCTAACCCGTCAGAACTCTGCACTTCCTTGACAGTTCGCTGGCTGGCCTCCGACCCGTAGCTGATTTCTTTCCAGGGCTGGCAGGTTGGGTTAAGAGGGAGCGCTCCCCTGAGCCGAGACTTACTTTCTTTTGCCTCCAAGTTGCTTCATCCCCCACCCTTCACCAAGAACGCCCACAACTCCTGGATGGTGCATTACCCTCCCACCCCTCCACCCCGTCCCCTTCCTTTCCCTCCATTCCCAAATGACGGCAGCCCTGGGGCCAAACTGGCCCCAGATGTGTTGTTTGGCCTGTATGGTTAACTCCTTGTTTTTAAAAAATTCCTTTTTAAAAAAAAATTAAAAAAAAATTTTAAATTCCTTTTTGGAATAAAATTCAGTTAACATAACACTCGTCATTTTATTGTATATTATTTTTAGAAACAGAATCTCTCTCTGTCTCCCCGGGCTGGAGTGCAGTGGTGCAATCATAGCTCACGGCAACCTCAAACTCCTGGGGTCAAGCGATCCTCCCACCTCAGCCTCCCAAGTAGCTGGGATTACAGGCAGGCTCCACGTTGCCCAGCTAATTAAAAAAAATTTTCGCCCGGCACTGTGGCTCACGCCTGTAATCCCAGCACTTTGGGAGACTGAGGTGGGTGGATCACCTGAGGTCAGGAGTTCGAGACCAGCCTGGCCAACATGGTGAAACCTTGTCTCTACTAAAAATACAAAAATCAGCCAGGTGTAGTGGCACGCGCCTGTAATCTCAGCTACTTGGGAGGCTGAGGCAGAAGAATCGCTTGAACCCGGGAGGCAGAGGTTGCAATGAGCCAAGATTGCACCACTGCACTCCAGCCTGGGCAACAGAGCAAGACTCTGTCTCAAAAAAAAAAAAAAATTTGTAGAGCTGGGGTCTTGCTATGTTGCCCAGGCCGGTCTCAAACTCCTGGGCTCAAGCAATCCTCCCACCTCTGCTTCTCAAAGTGTTTGTTAGGATTACAGGCATGAGCCACTGTGCCCAGCCAAGATTAATCGTACATTTTTTTGTTTTTGTTTTTTGAGACAGAGTCTTGCTGCGACACCCAGGCTGGAGTGCAGTGGTGTGATATTTGCTCATTGCAACCTCTGCCTCCTGGGTTCAAGTGATTCTCTTGCCTCAGCTTTCTGAGTAGCTGCGACTAGAGGTGTGCACCACCATGCCTGGCTAATTTTTGTATATTTAGTAGAGATAGGGTTTCACCATATTGGCCAGAATGGTCTTGAACTCCTGACCTCAAGTGATCTGCCCGCCTCGGCCTCCCAAAGTGCTGGGATTACAGGCATGAGTCACTGTGCCTGGCCCCAATTGTACATTTTAAAATGTACAATTCACTGGACTTTTGTATACTAAAAGAGTTGTGCAACTATCACGTCTAATTACAGAACATTTCCATCACCCCCAAAAGAAGCCCTATCCCCACTAGCAGTCAATCTCCATTCCCCATCCCCCATCCCCTGGCAATCACCAATCTGTTTCTGTCTCTATGTGTTTATCTGTTTTGGGCATTTCATATAAAGGAAATTATATACTATGTGACCCTCTGTGTCTGGCTTCTTTCACTTTTCCAAATGTTTTCAAGGGTCATCCATGTTGTAGAGTTAATGCCTTTATGGTGAAACACATAAATCTTAGGGGCACAGGTCTGTGGATTTTTGAAATACATTTCACCCTTATCACTGTCACCTAGTTCAAGATCAAGAACATTCCAGTCTCCCAGGAGGCTCCCTGGGCTATTTTCCAGGAAGTGGGCTGCCTCAAAACATCACTAAGCCAGTGGCTTTTTTTTTTTTTTTTTTTTTTGAGATGTAGTCTTGCTCTGTTACCCAGGCTGGAGTGCAGTGGTGCTATGTTTGCTCACTGCAACCTCTGCCTCCTGGGTTCAAGCGATTCTCCTGCCTCAGCCTCCCACGTAGCTGGGACTATAAGCACACACCACCACGTCTGGCTAATTTGTTTGTATTTTTAGTAGAGACAGGGTTTCACCATGTTGGCCAGGCTGGTCTTGAACTCCTGGCCTCAAGTGATCCACCTGCCTTGGCCTCCCAAAGTGCTGGGATTACAGGTGTAAGCCACCACGCCTGGACCAGTGGCTCCCATCTGATGGTGATTATGCCCCTAACAACAGACATTTGTCACAACTGGGGGGTGCTGCTGGTATGTAATGGTTGGAGGCCAGGGATTCTGCTCAACATCCTACAGTGCACAGGACAGCCCCCATCAAGCAGAATCATTTAGCCACAAATGTCAATGAGGCCGAAGTTAGGAAAACCTGGGCTTCCCCAACTCTTTTCATAGGTTACTTCTGCCTGGCCTTGAACAATACAGGAATGAAATCACTCAGGGTATTCTCTTTGTTATCTTGCTTCTCCTACTGAACATTATGTCTCTGGTATTCATCCATGCTGTGAATGCATCAGTAGTTTATTCTTTTTCATTGCTGCGTTATATTCCATTATATGAATGTCCTCCCATTTCTTTTCCATTTGCCAGTCGATGGTCAACTTAAGGGGTGTCTGGTGTTTGGCGATCATGAATGAAGCTGCTAGGCACATCCATGGATGTGTCTTTAGGTGAACCTAAGCTCCTGTTCCCACTGGGAATCAACCCAGGAATGGAATTGCTGGGTCGTAGCAATTTAACTTTAGTAGATCCCCATGGGATATTTAAAGCTCAGGGAATTTTGTGCAACAACTGTGATTTCTGGCTTCTCTTGAAGAAGCTATTCTGGCAACATTGAGCCTGAGTTCCCACGTGGTAGCGCACAGCTGGAGCTGAGTGGTAGCAAGCGGGTGCCCATGGAAAAGGGGGGGGTGGTGCAACTTCAGCTACCCTGTCCTTCACCACTGCCTCACACCTGCCCAAATTCTGCATTTTCATTCCCTGGTCAGCATTTGGCTTTGTGTCCCCTGAAATGAGCTCATGCAAGGTTAGGAGTCACCTTCTACCTTCCCATGGCCATCACCTCTACCTCTCTGGGACCCACCTATAACCCCTCACTCCTATTCCCAACCCCCTTCCCAACCTATCTCCATTCCACAGAGCCTGCAAGCCCCCACATCCACCTTAATCCCAAACACAGGATCCCTTTAGAGCTGGCAGGCATTTCTGGGTTGCCGCAGACCCCACCACTCCCTATCACACTATTGCAGCTTGGATACTGCCGGCTTTTTTCTTGGTAACAGCCTCAGAGCCTCCATATGAGTGGTCGTCTCTGCCCAGATCACCATGAGGGGGACTGCTATTTAAAGCCAGCAGGTCCCTGCCTCAGTTTACCTGTCACTTCCCCAGGGCTGGGAAGCCTTCTTTGTGCCGGGACTGGCCAGTGCCGGGACTGGATCTGTCTCATTCATTGCTGTTTTACCACTCAATTCATTACACAATGAATCCTGGCCCTGAGGCTTGAAGGAGAGAGAGGCAGAGTCAGTGCCAGGTTGAATAAGCCACTTACTGGCCACACGTTCTGCAGAAGCTAGCTGGTGAACTTGCCAGGCACATCGCACTCCTCAAAGGGGGAGTCCCTCCCCGTTGCTGGTCCGAGGGATCTGGGTCTGAGAAATCCCTCTTCCTCCCCAGAACACACTGGCCAAGTCCAAGTCCAGCAAAGCTTAGGGCTTCTTCCCTGGGATCCTCAACCCCACAGGCCAATCCCACCCCTCAATCGTCCCGGTCTTTTCCATGCATGGTCCAAATTTCCTCCAGTGGAGCCACCAGGGCAAGGCCTTCCGCCTGCCAGACTTTCCCGGACTCCCCAGTTTATCACCCATCTTCCCGCACCTCCCTCAACCCTCCGCTCCTCTCTCCCTAACACCGGGCTGTCTCCTCACCTTCTCACACCTCCCAACCTCCCTACGCATTTTTCCCTTCCTTTAAGCAGTCCCCATCTCAAACACGCTCAGCTCTCTCCCTTCACCCCCACTTTGTCCCCTCACACCCCAACTCCCCCAGCTCTGCGCTCTTCACCCCCCTCCCTTCCCCGGGCTGCCCCTCCTGAGCACCTGGGAAGAAGAGGCGGGGCCCCCTCACCTGGCGGCCGCAGAGCAGCGGGGAAACGGCCCCTAGCGGCCGGGGAAGGAAGCGCAGCCCAGCCGGGCTCCCCTTCCAGCTGGTGCCTAACTAGGAATCCGCCTCCACTTAAACGCCCGCCTGCTGCTCAGGCTGGAACCCGGCGGCTTCCGGGATTCTCGCTTTCCTCCACTCCCCCGCTTTCTCCTGAGCGCCTACTGTGTGCCAGGATCTGTCCTAGGCTCCGGGTAGACAGCAGTGAACAAGAAACAAACATCCCTGGACTGGGGAGTTGGTATTCTAGTGAGGGAGATAGATAAATGAATGAAAACGAAACTAGGTCAGGATATGCTGTGGGGACTAGGAGTTCGAGACCAGCCTGGACAACATAGTGAGACCCCCCCCCCCCCAGTCTCTGGGACTGGAGAGAGATAAAGGGGAGAGGAGATCAAGGGAGTGAGGAGGGTGGGGGTGTTTGCAGTTTTCTTTTTTCTTTTTTTTGAGACAGAGTCTTGCTCTGTCGCCCAGGCTGGAGTGCAGAGGTGTGATCTCGGCTCACTGCAACCTCCACCTCCCGGGTTAGAGCGACTCTTGTGCCTCAGCCTCCTAAGTAGCCGGGATTACAGGCATGTGCCACCACACCCAGCTAATTTTTGTGTTTTGCATTTTCTTTTCTTTTTTCTTTTTTCTTTTTTTTTGTGACGGAGTCTCGCTCTGTCGCTCAGGCTGGAGTGCAGTGGCATGATCTCTGCTCACTGCAAGCTCCACCTCCCGGGTTCACGCCATTCTCCTGCCTCAGCCTCCCTAGTAGCTGGGACTACAGGCGCCCACCACCACGCCTGGCTAATTTTTTGTATTTTTAGTAGAGACGGGGTTTCACCGTGTTAGCCAGGATGGTCTCGAGCTCCTGACCTCGTGGTCTGCCCGCCTCGGCCTCCCAAAGTGCTGGGATTACAGGCGTGAGCCACCGCGCCCGGTCCTGTGTTTTGCATTTTCAATAGAGTGGTCAGGAGGTAACATATAAGCAGAGTTCAAGGAGGGTGCAAAGTAAGGGGTCCTGTTGACTCTGCCCCTAAGACATGCCGAAAACCTAACGTTTTCCCCCAGCATCCCGTTCTGGGCCTCCATCACCTGCCTCTCACCTGCATGACAGTGGTGATCACCTCACGAATCTCCTGGGTCCCTCTCAAATTGACTATATAATTTATTTATTTAGAGACCAGGTCTCGCTATGCTGCCCAGGCTGGTCTCGAACTCCTGGGCTCAAGCGATCCTCCCGCCTTGACCTCCCAAAGTGCTAGGATTACAGGCATGAGTCACTGCGCCCGGCTGACCTGTATAATTAAAAAATAATAATAATCTATAAATAATATATATTTTTTAAGAGATAGGAGTATCGCTCGGTCACCCAGGCTGGAGTGCAGTGTTGCAGTCATAGCTCACTGCAGTCTCTAACTCCCAGGCTCAAGTGATCCTCCCACTTCAGCCTCCCAGGTAACTGGGATTACAGGAGCACACCAGCATTCCTATCATTTTCTTTCCTTCCTTCCTCCCTTCCTTCTTATCTTCCTTCCTTCCTTTTTTTTTTTTTTTTTTTTGGCATCTCACTCTATTGCCCAGGCTGGACTGCAGTGGTGCGATCTCAGCTCACTGCAACCTCTGCCCCTGGGTTCAAGTGATTCTCCTGCCTCAGCCTCTGGAGTACCTGGGACTATGGGCACGTGCCACCACGCCCGGCTTTTTTTGTATTTTTAGTAGAGATGGGGTTTCTCCGTGTTGGCCAGGCTGGTCTCAAACTCCTGGCCTCAAATGATTTGCCAGCCTCTATCTCCCAAAGTGCCAGGATTACAGGTGTAAGACACCGTGCCCCGGCCCCTAGCATTTTTTTTTTTTTTGAGGCAGTCTCACTCTGTTGCCCAGTTTGGAGTGCAGTGGCACAATCTTGGGTCACTGCAACCTCTGCTTCCTGGGTTCAAGCGATTCTCCTGCCTCAGCCTCCCGAGTAGCTGGGATTGCAGGCGCCCGCCACCACGCTGTAGGGGTGGGTTGCCCCTCCACACCTGTGGGTGTTTCTCGTAAGGTGGGACGAGAGATTTGGAAAAGAAAAAGACACAGAGACAAAGTATAGAGAAAGAAATAAGGGGACCCGGGGAACCAGCGTTCAGCATATGGAGGATCCCGCCAGCCTCTGAGTTCCCTTAGTATTTATTCATCATTTGTGGGTGTTTCTCGAAGAGGGGGATGTGTCAGGGTCACAAGACAATTGTGGGGAGAGGGTCAGCAGACAAACACGTGAACAAAGGTCTTTGCATCATAGACAATGTAAAGGATTAAGTGCTGTGCTTTTAGATATGCATACACATAAACATCTCAATGCTTTACAAAGTAGTATTGCTGCCCGCAGGTCCCACCTCCAGCCCTAAGGCGGTTTTTCCCTATCTCAGTAGATGGAGCATACAATCGGGTTTTATACCGAGACATTCCATTGCCCAGGGACAGGCAGGAGACAGATGCCTTCCTCTTGTCTCGACTGCAAGAGGCATTCCTTCCTCTTTTACTAATCCTCCTCAGCACAGACCCTTTACGGGTGTCGGGCTGGGGGACGGTCAGGTCTTTCCCTTCCCACGAGGCCATATTTCAGACTATCACATGGGGAGAAACCTTGGACAATACCTGGCTTTCCTAGGCAGAGGTCCCTGCGGCCTTCCGCAGTTTTTGTGTCCCTGGGTACTTGAGATTAGGGAGTGGTGATGACTCTTAAGGAGCATGCTGCCTTCAAGCATCTGTTTAACAAAGCACATCTTGCACCGCCCTTAATCCATTTAACTCTGAGTTGACACAGCACACGTTTCAGAGAGCACGGGGTTGGGGGTAAGGTTATAGATTAACAGAATCTCAAGGCAGAAGAATTTTTCTTAGTACATAACAAAATGGAGTCTCCTATGTCTACTTCTTTCTACACAGACACAGTAACAATCTGATCTCTCTTGCTTTTCCCCACACACGCCCGGCTGATTTTTGTAGTTTTAGTGGAGACGGTGTTTCAGCATCTTGGCCAGGCTGGTCTTGAACTCCTGACCTTGTGATCCACCCGCCTCGGCCTCCCAAAGTACTGGGATTACAGGCGTGAGCCACCGTGACTGCCGGCCACCATTTTTAATTGAGCTAAAATTCCCACAACAAAAAATTAACCACCAACCATTTTAAGGTGGACGATGTCATGTCATGTCATAGTACATTCATCATGTCTAGTTCCAAGACATTTTTCATCATCCCCTTAAGAAAACTCACACCCGTTAGCAGTCACTCCCCATTCCCTCCTCCCCCAGCCCTGGGCCACCCCTCATCCGCTTTCTGTCTCTCTGGATTTGCCTGTTCTGGACATTTCATATAAATTTCATATAAATAGAACATATAATGGTACACTATGGGAACTTTTGTGCCTGGCTTCTTTTGAGCATGGTGTTTTCAAGTTTCATCCCTGTTGTAGTGTGTACCAGGACATCTTTCCTTTTAATGGTTGGAAAATATTCCATTGTATGAATATACATTTTGTTTATCTGTTCATCTACTGATAAACATTTGGATTGTTTTCACGTTTTTACTATGGTGAGTAGTGCTGCTAGGAACATCTACATACAAGTATCTGTTTAGGAGGCTGTTTTCAATTCTTTCGGTTATACTTAGGAGAGAAATTGCTGAATCATACAGCATTTTTTTTTTTTTTGAGACAGGGTCTTGCTCTGCCGCCCAGGCTGGAGTGCAGTGGTGCAATCATAGCTCACTGCAGCCTCGACCTCCCAGGCTCAAATGATCCTCCCATTTCAGCCCCCGATCCTGAGTAGCTGGGACTATAGGTGCAAGCCACCCTGCCCAGGTAATGTTTGTATATTTTGTAGAAACCGTGTCTCACTATGTTGCCCAAGCTGGTCTTGAACTCCTGGACTGAAACGAACCTCCCATCTTGGCCTCCCAAAGTGCTGGGATTACAGGCGTGAGACACCGTGCCCTGCCTCATATAGTAATTCTGTGTTATAGTTATTGAGGGAGCACTCATATAATCTTTTATTTTATTTATTTATTTATTTATTTTTATTTATTTGTTTTTTTGAGACAGAGTCTGGCTCTGTTGCCCAGGCTGGAGTGCAGTGACATGATCTTGGCTCACTGCAAGCTCCGCCTCCTCGGTTCACACTATTCTCCTGCCTCAGCCTCCCGAGTAGCTGGGACTACAGGTGCCCACCACCACGCCCGGCTAATTTTTTGTATTTTTAGTAGAGACGGGGTTTCACTGTGTTAGCCAGGATGGTTTCGATCTCCTGACCTCGTGATCCACCCGCCTCGGCCTCCCAAAGTGCTGGGATTACAGGTGTGAGCCACCGTGCCTGGCCTATTTTATTTATTCTTATTTTAACATTTTGTTTTAGAGACAGGGTTGGGGGGTTTTAGAGAGGATAGGTTGGGGGCGGGGAATAATTCCAACTGTGGTCTTTTTCTTTTCTCACCCTGTTGCCCAGGCTGGAGTGCAGTGGCTATTCACAGACGTGATTCCACTACTGATCAACACAGGAGTTTTAACCTGCTGTGTTTCCAACCTGGGCCAGTTGACTCTTCCTTAGGCAACCTGGTGGTCCCCTGCTCTTGGGGGGTCACCACATTGACGTTGATGGTCATGGCACACACCACCTCCCGGAAGTCCTAGGATCAAGCCTGTGTGCGTGAATCCTCCTGCCTCAGCTAGGATACAGGATCACACCACCAAGCCCAGCCCTATAATCTTTTAAACATCCAAATAAGATCATGCCACCCACTTCTGAAAGCCCTCTTGGGGTTCCTAGTATCACTGGGAATATAATCTAGACCCTCTCCTGGCCTCCCACCATGCTAGCCTAGCCCTGGTGCCTTTCAAATAGTCCTGCCTAGCTAGGCGCAGTGGCTCACACCTGTAATGCCAGCATTTTGGGAGACCGAGGCGGGAGGATCGCTTGAGCCTGGGAGTTTGAGAACAGCCTGGGCAACATTGTGGAACTCTGTCTCTACAAAAATACAAAATTAGCCAGGCATGGTGGCATACGCCTGTTGTCCCAGCTACTCAGGAGGCTGAGGCAGGAGACTTGCTTGAACATAGGAAACAGGTTGCAGTGAGCTGAGATTGAGCCATTACACTCCAGCCTGGACAACAGAGTGAGAAAAGAAAAAGACCACAGTTGGAATTATTCCCCTTCCCCACCCTATCCTCCCAGCCCAAATCCGGGACCCGGCTCGGAACCTAACTTTTTTTTTTTTAGACGGAGTCTTGCTCTGTCTCCAGGCTGGATTGCAGTGGTGCGATCTTGGCTCACCACAACCTCCAGCTCCCGGATTCAAGTGATTCTCCTGCCTCAGCCTCCCAAGTAGCTGGGATTACAGGCACGCGCCACCATGCCTGGCTAATTTTGTATTTTTAGTACAGACAGGGTTTCTCCATGTTTGTCAGGCTGGTCTCGAACTCCCAACCTCTGGTGATCTGCCCACCTCGGCCTCCCAAAGTAATGGGATTACAGACGTGAGCCACTGCACCCGGCCTATAACTACATTTTTTAACTACTTGGGCATGTTCTGGAGCCTTCGTTGCCCCTTCTGTAAGATGGGGAGAAAGTCCCCCACCCACAGAGTTACCATAAAGTATAAATGAGAGCATTCGTGCTCATTTGAGCCATTTCTCGGCCAGCCTGAACCTCTCCCCGGGCACCAACTTCATGCCTCCACTTGGACATATCAAACCAAAGGCTTGGATCTAACCTACAAAACTGCCCCCTCTCCATCCTCTCCATCCTTCCAGGGGCTCACTCAGCTCACAAATTTTGACTTACCTCTTTCCCTCGTATCCCACTTCCAATCCATCTGCTCCACCTTCAAAATATACCCCCTGAGGACGGGCGCGGTGGCTCACGCCTGTAATCCCAGCACTTTGGGAGACTGAGGTGGGCAGATCATCTGAGGATGGGAGTTCAAGACCAGCCTGACCAACACGGAGAAACCCCGTCTCTACTAAAAATACAAAATTAGCTGGGCGTGGTGGTGTGTGCCTGTAATCCCAGCTACTCCGGAGGCTGAGGCAGGATAATGGCTTGAACCCGGGAGGTGGAGGTTGTGGTAAGCTGAGATCACACCATTGCACTCCAGCCTGGGCAACAAGAGTGAAACTGCGTCTCAAACAAAACAAAACAAAAAACAAACAACAAAAAAACCTGGCTGGGTGCAGTGGCTCATTTCTGTAATCCCAGCACTTTGGGAGGCTGAGGCGGGCAGATCATTTGAGGTCAGGAGTTCAAGACCGGCCTGGCCAACATGGTGAAACCCTGTTTCTACTGAAAAAAAAAAAAAAAATCAAAAATTAGCCTGGCATGGAGGCGCATTCCTGTAATCCCAGCTACTTGGGAGGCTGAAGTAGGAGAATCAATTGAATCTGGGAGGCAGAGGTTGCACTGAGTCGAGATCATGCTACTGCACTCCAGCCTGGATGACACAGAGTGAGACTCCATCTCAAAAAAAAAAAATAAAAATAAAATAAAATAAAATAAAATAAAAGAACACAGTTGGAATTACTCCCTGCCCCCAACCTATCCTCCTAGCCCAATTCTGGGACCTCTTCATCTTGCCCTCCACTTGGCTTGGCAGTGGGGGTGGAACTGAATGGAGCTCAGAAATCGCCCAAGGTTGGCCTGCCACCACGGCTCACACCTGTAATCCCAGCCCTTTGGGAGACTTAGGAAGGAGGATCATTTGAGTCCGGGAGTTTGAGACCAGTCTGGGCAACATAGCAAGCTATGAAAAAAAAAAATACAAAAATTAGCTGGGTGTGGTGGCTCGTGCAGTGAGCTGCAGTGAGCTATGATTTCATCACTGCACTCCAACCTGGGCGACAGAAAGAGACCCTGTCTCCAAAAATAAATAAATAGTGTGGCGCGGTAGCTCACGCCTGTAGTCCTAACATTTTGGGAGGCCGAGGTGGGCGGATCACTTGAGGTCAGGAGTTCGAGACCAGCCTAGCCAACATGGTGAAACCCTGTCCCTACTAAAAATATGAAACTTAGCCGGAAATCACTTGAACCCGGGAGAGGGAGGTTGCAGTGAGCAGAGATCGTGCCACTGCACTCCAGCCTGGGCAACAGAGCGAGACTCCTCAAAATAAATAAATAAATAAAAATATAAATAAATAAATAAAAGAAGTTGCCTAAGATGGGGGTACAGGGAGCCTCTGGAAAGGCCAGGGACACACAAAACTTCACCCACACCTCAAGGCTTGGATAGGTCCATCCTCCACTCCCTGGCACCTGCTGACTTTCCAGGGCTCATTCCATCACACATTCTGTGTCCATCTTCTCCATGACGAAGGAAGCGCCCAGAGAAGGCTCCCTGCCTTGTTCCCTGTGCACTGGAGGCACATCCTCAATGCATCACACTGCACCTGACAGGTAAGGGCATATAAGGTGCGTGCTGTGTGTTTGAGGCGTAAATGGAAGGAATGAATACGTGCACGGAGCAGTGAAATGAACAGCAGGGTTGTGCATCCTATACCGAGTGGGCTCTAGGAAAACACGGGCTGGGGGCGCCTGGTGGGCAGTGGCTGTCTGGCGTTGCGCTGACCTGTCCAGGAGCCTGAGGCAGGGCACCCGGGAACGAGGGCGCTGGGCCTGAGGCAAAGGGAAGCTGAGCACTGGGGCGAAGCAGAGCCTTCAGGACTGTGAGGTTGGGGGCCCAACCGAGGCAGTGGGCGCAATACATGGAAG
Source organism: Homo sapiens (assembly GCF_000001405.40). NCBI lineage: Eukaryota > Metazoa > Chordata > Mammalia > Primates > Hominidae > Homo > Homo sapiens. Next base: position 30,705,779 of record NC_000017.11, read on the forward strand.
GCACAGAGAGGGGACAGACAAGGCATAGGCGAGCCCAGCTGTGTCTGACGCTGGGATGCTGGAGGTGCTAGGCGTACAAAATGTGGGGTCCCAGATACGCAGGAGAACACAGGGTGCCCTAGGCATAGGGCACCCTGGGCGTGCGGGTTCTATAGCACAGGGTGCACAGAAGATGGGGCGTCCAGGTGCAGGGTTCATAGAACATGGGGTACTCGAGGCGCGTGGCACCGTGGGCGTGGAGGTCCCGTGGGACGGAATACACAGAGCGTGGGGTGTCTCAGGCGCGGGGCTCATGGGAATCCCAAGGCGCAAGGTGGGAGGCTGGAAGCGAGGAGCGCCCTGGGAGCAGGGTGTCCGAAGCGCGGGTACCGATCTGGGCAGCGCGGGGCACGCGGCGCGCGGGCGAGTCTGCGTGCGCGCGCGGACGCCTTGGTTCCCGGAGCCCAGTTGCTGGCGCGGCCTCCACTGCGGCTGCGAAGCCGAAGGTCTGAGGTGCGCCAGGGCTCTTTACGCGGCCCCCAGCCTCTCCGCACCCTTTGTCTCCTGAGCACGCCGCTCACAAGTCCAGGAGACATGGATCAGATGGAGGCTGGAGAGCCGATCCCAGCTGGGACCAGTGGGGTTTAGAGGGTCTAGAAAGGGGTGAGGGGCGAGGGTGAGGGGGTTCTGGCTGGGGTTTTCCAAACTGAGCTGAGGGTGCCTTAAAGAATGTCGTTGCTTTCCCTCATATAAGTAAAGGCCACTCCTTCTCGTAGCCTCTGGAGAGTGCAAGTTAGAACCACCTCCTAGGCTAGCTCTGTAGGGGGAAGTGGGTGGGCTGCTCAGGGCTGGAGGGTGGGGTGGGGACAAAGGCCTGGAGCAAGAGAACAAGGAGGTGACAAGCTTTTCCTGAGCGTCAAGTTCTGTTCCCTTTTCGGTACTGCTAGGTTTATAGAAAGCTGGCTGCCTGGAGTGCCCTCCATCTCAAAGCCTTCATGGGTCTTACTTGCTACTGTCAGTATCTCAAACTGGGAAATTGAGGCGTAGAGAGATGGGATGCCCTCCTCCATACCCAGTGGGTCTGCAGTCAACCACAGATGGATGGGATCTGTTTTGCACTCACCAACTCCTACTTTATACCCCTTTGGTCCCCCAGATCCAGGTGTCCAGCCTGGCCACCCAGATTCAAGGCTGGACAGCTCTGCAGCCATGAAATCCTGGGCATGAAGGAGGAACGAAAGTGACCCATCCCTCCATTTTGAAGTTCTCTGGGGCCAGATTTGCCTAGGTTCTGGCTTTCAAGAATCCCTTCCCAGTCATGAAAAGACAGCTGTCCATAGAAGGCGGTGGAGGGTGACAGGCTGCCACAGCTGTGGTGCGTGGTCACCTGGGCAGCCTGGAAGTCTGGTGTCCCTGCCCTTCCTCCAGTTTAGCCACAGCGACGTGCTTCTAGGAAGGGATTCTTAGAGGCCAAGTTAATTCCCGTGCAGCCTATCAATTCAGGCTTTCTTAGATACTCATTTTTCCCATCCAGATATGCCTCAAGTTTTGTGGATTTACCACTCCTACTCAGGAACCCTTTTCCCTTTCCTCATTCATTCTGCAAAGCGCCTGGTTAGCAATGCACTCTCTTCCCTGGACATGTAGGGAATGGGGGTTTCCCCCATCCCCATCCTCAGCCCGTCCCCCTCCTCTAAAACTCAGATCAGGGTTTGTCTGCCCTGCTGCTAAGATGCAGCCCAACTTTGAACTTTGAGCTGTCTGCTTTAACATTTGGGCCTCACTTGAATGGATTCCCTTCCCTGAGGATTCCAAGCCCTCCCCAGCCATCAGTCTTCCCATCTTTCATAAAATGGAGCCAGCAGCCCCGCTTCAGGGACTCCCCCCTCCCCCTGTTCCCTCTACGCCAGGATTCTTCCCCCGACTTCCATTTCCCTCCAGCCCCCACCCTGCACAAAGTTGCCTGTTCTGCCGAAGTGCCTATTTTTGGCTTGGGGCCCAGTTTTATAGCCCCAGCTATAGGTCTTGGCAGTCACAACTTTCGCTCTCCAGACAGCCAAGCCGGGTCCAACAGCCTTCCCCACCCCAGAGAGGGGGTGCGGGGGCTCCCTCTGCAGCCTCAACCCGAAACCTGCCCCTCGCCTTACTTGGTCTGATGCCTGGGAACCCAAGCCTGCTTCTTGCCCTACTTCTTAGAGTCCACCAGCTGCAATGGAGTTGTTAGGTGTTGAAAATCCATGCCGGGTTTTTACTCTTTCAGAGAACATAAAATTCAATTTTTCTCCTCGCACCCCCTCCCCAAAAGCAAGACTTTGAGGCGTTTATAGATACAAACCTTCCCCTAACGCTTCCCTCCGCCCCTGCTACCCGGTCAGCTCCAAGCCCCTGTCCCGGTGGCCCAGGATCTTCTGCTAAGGGTCTCATTCCGTCCCGCGCTCCAGTCCTGGCTTGGCGTGCCTCCCTCGCCTTTTATTGTAGGTCTGGTCTCCCAGGGTAGCGGCCTCATCGCATTCCCTTCGCAGCGCCCCTGGATCCAGAAACCGCTTTTACCTGTCCGCTCCGGTGCAGCCAGCACGCCGAATCCCGTCGTACCCGAGTCCAGCCCTCCTTTTGCCCCTCCCCCTTGCACGTCGCTGCCAGGAAGATGAGGGCAGCCCAAGTCGCCTCAGCCACTAAGCATCCCCCTTCCAGAACTCCCCCCATGCGAACCCAGGTCCCGGGAGTTCCGGGCTGGGTCTTGCTTGTTTTCACTGCGTTAGGCCTGACGCATTACTCCGTCTCCCAAGAAAGAATCCGGCCCGAAATTTGCGTGCCCCGGGTGCGTTTGGCCATGTCGCATCTACCCCCCAACCCCCCGCTCCAACACCGTTTCTCCCATCTTTATCTAATCCAACTCGGGTTTTGCACAACCCTTCCAGATCTCCCCATTTGCGCCCTCCTTCCCCGGGCTCGGCGCCTTTCCTTTTACTTCACTGGAAAATCCGCTCCGGGTCTTCCTTACGCCTGTCTCCCTTCCCCGACTCCCCGCTCCAACGCGGGGGTCCAGCACGTCGCTTTCCCTCTCTCTGCTTTTCCAGGGAGGAGGCGAGAGGAGGCGAAAGGAAGGAAACTCCAGCACGGGTTTTCGGGCCGGCTCCTGGGGCGCTCAAGCGGGTTGCGGCGGCCAGTCCCGGGCGGCGACTCCGGGCCGGATTTTGCGCGCGCCCACCGCCCCCCTCCCGGAGCGGGTGCGCCGGGGAGAGGGGAGAGCTGGCGGCTTGTCATTGCTGGTTCCCGGCTCCGGCTCGGTCCGCGCGTCCTGCGGTGCCCACGGGCCCGGCCTGGCGCCCCCCCCTCCGGCCGCGCCGCCCCTCTCCGCCAGCTCCGCGCCGCCCGCCCCCAACCCGAGCTCCCCGCGGCCACTGCGGGGAGCCCGAGCCGTCGGCGCGGGAGCTGTCGGCGCTGCGGTGCCCCCGCCCCGCCGTCTGCCGAGGAGGCCCCGGCTGAGGGGGCCGCGCGGGCCCCGGAGCGGCGCCGCCGAGCGGCGGGGGCCTGCAGGGGCGCCCCCGCTGCCCCGTTAACCCCTCGTCCACCGCCGCCGTCGGAGGGGGCTGGGAAGTCGCCTGGGCACACACGTGCCGCCTCCGTTGGGGCCGCGGAGCTGCGGGGGAGATGCGGGCCGCTGCCGGCGCCGCCTCGGGGCGCTCCGCCTCGCCCCAGCCCCCGGCGCTCTGACGCCGCCCCCGCCCCACAGCCTCCCTCCCCGGGAGGGGCGCAGACCCGATCGCCCCCAGTCCCGAGCCTCCGCCGCCGCGAGGGGGCCGCCTTTGGATCCGTGTAATCCGCCTCTTTTTTTCTATTTTCTTTTTTTTTTTTTTTTTTTTTTTCTAATTTTTGGTTGGTGGCGGCGGTGCTGGGCCAGGGGAAGGAAGGGACACGGAGGCCGCCCTCGCCCCGCCACCTCCTACCAGCTTCCCCCCAGCCCCGGCTCCGGGAGATGTGCCGGGCGGGGGGCCCGGGTTCGCCGAGCCGCAGGAGAGACACGCTGGGCCGACCCCAGAGCGGCGCTGGACAGGTGAGTGTCTGCGGGCCCAGGGCGAGGGGCGAAGCCGCACCTGGGCCAGGTGTGCGGGGCGCGCGGAAGAGGGGAGGCGGGAAGGATGGGAGGCCGGGGCCTGTCCTGGCCGCGAGGGCGGAGGGGACGCTGGAGCCGCGCGGGGCACCGCACCTGAGCGGGAGGGGCGTCGGGGGCAGCCCGCACCTCACCCCCACTGGCGAGGGGCCCGGGAGGGGCGGCCCCCACGGAGCTCCCGGGGCGCGGGGGTGCGGACGGGCGACCGCAGGGTGCCTGGCGGGGGGAGGGGACAGCGAGTGTGCCCGCGCGCGCGCCAGCCTTTGTGGGGAAGCGGCGCCGCGGTGCCTGCGTGTCCCCGGTGCGTGTGCGCGCGGGTCCTTGGCGCCCTGTTTGTGTAGGTGTCTGGGTGTGAGCGGAGGGGGTGCGTGTGCGTGTGCGCGCCGCGCGCCGGCCCCGGGCCCCAGAGGATCCGTGTCGGGGATTGGCACCACAGGATGCTGGGCGAGGGGGTTGTTTTTCTCTGGGAGGCAGTGGCGCGGGGGATGGGGAGGGGTCCGTCTGGGTGTCAAGCCGGCCGCAGTCCGGGGGGCGCCGCTGTCAGGAAGAGGGGGTGCAGCCAGGCAGCACCTTCTCTCCGTGGTGCCGGGTTAAAGCACGGGAGGCCGGCAGGTTTGATCCACCCGGATTATTCGTGCTTTGAGGACAGCTCCCCACCCCCACCCCAGGTGCGCATTGGATTGAGCTACGAGGGTTCAGTTGTCATCCTCCCATCTGACGGTCCTGGGACCCGAGTCCAGGCCTGAAGTGGTGGGGTGGGGGGGTGCTGTGTTTGCTCCAGCCGTGTCCAGAAAATGCCCTCCCAGGTATCTCTCCAGTGCACCCCCGGCCCCCATCTGAAGACAGCCGCTGGCTACACACACCCCTGTCCCTACACTTCCAGTCCAGGTCCTCACACTGCCCCATCCCTGGCCAGCACCTCACTGTACCTGCCTGGACCCTTTCTTCCTGTTCCAACCCCCATCCACCCCCAGCCATGGCAGCTGCGTGGGGGTTTCTGTATCCCAGTTCCAGGCAGGGCCCCCCTCTTCCGCCTGGCTTCCACTAGACTCAGAGCTGGGGTCTGTCTTCCCACATCCCACATCCCAACATGTGTGCCTGGGGGCAGGAGGGGGAGGGGTTCAAAATGGCTGCCAAGATGGCTGTCTCGCTGTCTCGCGCTCTCTCTCTCGCTGTCTCTCTCTCGCTCTCTGTCTTTCTCTATATCTCTCTCTCTCTCTTCCCCTCTCTGCTTGCCCGGCTCCCTTATCCTGGTAGGGAGTCACTGCTTAGAGGAGGTTGGACCCAGTGGGGCACACCTGAGGGTGAATGTATATTCCCGGCCGTTGACCTCCATGCTGTTTGGGGACAGACCATTGGTTTCTGCTTCTCTCTCCAACACCCCAAGGGCTGCCATGTGCCTAACCTGACCCCAGACCCCACTCCTTCACCCTGGCTCACAGCCTGAAAGCTCCCTGCCCTCCACCTGCTCTCCAGGGCCTGGCCCCCTGAATTGATCAACCCCGCGGAGGGTCCACACCCCTCATTCTCTTCTCCGGTCTGCCCCACGGCCCGGGGGCAGGGGATTGATTCTGCGTGGGCCCCTGTCAGGCCCCAGCTTTGGGGGGCAGGTGACTTCTCCTTCCTCCCTGCTCCCCTTCCATTAATGCCAAATTTATTACTTAAAAGTAGGATGAAAACAGGGAGAATAAGAGAAGGTTTACAATCTTCATTATCATATCGAGAAAATTATCCGTGATTTTCCTAACTAGCAATTTGCCTGCCATGCCGTTCAGAACTGACTTGCCCATTAATTACAGAGATGAAAAATCATCTGGAATTCGGAAAAGGGAACTAATTCCATGGCTGGCAGCGATCGCACCCGTGCACGGAGCCACATACATGTGCGACATACGTGTGCGCTCACATGTAGGTCCCGGCCCTCTTGCTGGTCTTGCCACCATCTTCCTACCCAGCTTGGTGACCTCCCTCATGGCCTTGCTCGGTCCACCCCATGTGTGTGTGGCACCTGCCCTGGGACACCCCTGCAGGCCCTCTTTCTCTCCAAGGGGCGCCCATCTCAATCCCCACTTCTGGGAAGCTTGCGTACCCCGTGATCACCCACGCTGATTCCTGCTCTTGGGGGTGTAGCTGGCGCCCAGGGTTGGGGAGGATGGAGAGCTGGGGACCAGCACACCTGGGCTGTGGAGCCTGCAGGGAGGGGGTGGAAGGGGGGGACTTGAAGCCCAGCTTCTATTCCCAGCCTGCCCAGGGGAGCCCTTTCTCCTGGGGGGCCTAGTAGGACCCTGTGGGCACGTTGGGGAGGAGCCTACAGGCGCCTCAGCTGCACGGGAGTGTGTTTGCATCCAGCAGTTTGGGCCCCCGGCCGGTGGCGTCTCCACCTGCACGTGAGGCTGTGTGATGCTTGCAGGCATCTCGGTGGGGAGGGTGGCAGCGGGTGCCCCTCAAGAGGAACAGGAGGAGTGGGAGCACTGCCATCCCCGCTGGAGCATCGTCTTTGCCCTCCACCCCCTCCTTCCTCCCTGGCGAGACATGTGGCCAGGGACACACAAGGCTCTGGGTTCTGTGTGGGTTCCTCTCACGGATCTGATTTCCACATGCCAGACACTTCCCCTTCTTCCAGCCCCTCCGTGGGGAGGCAGGGAGAGGGGCTCCCGAGGCGGGGGTTCCCTGGGTCTGAAACCCTGACCCCAGTGACCCTGAAGGTGCCATGGCAAGACAGACAGCTCCTCCCAGGCTGGGTTTGGGGCAAAGTGGTTGCTATTGGGCACCCTGATGGAAGGGGAGAGACGGGTCCTGGAGTGAGGTGGGAGGCCAAGTAGAAACATGGAGGGGGTCCCGGTGTCCCCAGAATCCAGATGTCTGTCTGTCTCTCCACCTGTGCATAGGTGTCCTCTGCCTGTGTGGCCTGGATGGTGATCTAGCCAAGGGTGCATGTGGCCACGTGACCATCAGGCACATCCGGTGTTCATAAGGGTCCCTTGTGTGCTGGTGTTTGTGTTTTGCAGAGGGGGTGGTCATGCTGGGGGAGGTAGGGCTGCAAGAAGGAGTAGTTGTCTGTGTGCACACATGGAGCTGTTTGCATCTTTTGTGCACCTGCAGTTGTGTGCTCAGGATTTCTTGGAGCAAGGCTGGGTGCACCTTGTCATGCAATCTGCACACACTTGCCAAGTGCCTTCCCCACCCAGCACCATGCGGGGGGTGCCATGGGGGCTGGTGGCCACGTCCTGTCCTCATGGAGCTCACACTCTAGCAACACATATGGGGTTTCCATCAAAGCTCTCCTATCAGCTGGGCGTGGTGGCTCATACCTGTAATCCCAGCACTTTGGGAGGCTGAGGTGGGTGGATCACCTGAGGTCAGGAGCTTGAGACCAGCCTGGCCAACATGGTGAAACCCCATCTCTACTACAAGTACAGAAATTAGGCAGGCATGGTGGTGTGCACCTGTAGTCCCAGCTACCAGGGAGGCTGAGGCAGGAGGATTGCTTGAATTCAGGAGGCGGAGGTTGCAGCGAGCCGAGATTGTGCCACTGCACTCCAGCGTGGGCGACAGAGCAAGACTCATTCTCAAAAAAAAAAACCCAAAACAAAAAAGCAAAACTCTCCTGTCATGCGAGTTGGGGAGAAGGCATGTGTCTCCTTTTCGAGGGTAGCCCCAAATTCTGACTGCAGTAGCCCACAGGCTTGGACTGTCCTGGGGTCTGGCCCTTCATGGTCTTTCTGGGCCACCTCCTCCCTCCTCGTTGCTCCTCCAGTGTGCTAAGTGTGATCCTACCCCGGGGCGTTTGCACTGCTGTTCTGCCATCTAGGACCCTTCCCCAGATATTTGCGAGGCTTTTTCTCCCCCACCCTCTTGAAATATCACCTCCCCAGTAAGGTTTACTCCCAGGCACCTTCTGCAGAGTCTCAGCTTCCCACACCCCTCCTGATGTTCAGTACAGCAGACGGCTTTTCACATAGGCTGTAATTTCCTGATGTTCTGCGCTTGTTTGTTTACTGTCTGTGTCTGTGAGGAGGATCCAAGTGCGCGAGGATGTTGTGATTTGCTTTGCTTTGGGAATCCCAGGTGTCAGCAGTCATCACTGGCCCACAGTGTGCGTTCAAGAAGTCTTACCTGACCCAGGTGTGGTGACTCACACCTGTAAACCCAGAATGTTGGGAAGCCGAGGTGGGAAGATTGCTCGAGGACAAGAATTTGAGATCAGCCTGGGCAACATAGCAAGACTCGTTTCTAAAAAATTTTTTTAATAGTTGGGCATCGTGAATATGCACCTGTAGTCTCAGCTGCTCAGGAGGCTGAGGTGGAAGGATCGCTTGAGCCCAGAAGTTTGAGGCTGCAGTGAGCTATGATTGCACGAGTGCACTCCAGCCTGGGCGACAAAGCAGGATCCTGACTCTTAAAAAAAAAAAAAAAAAAAAAAGGCCCCTGCCTTCACTGTCTCCTGTTCCAAAATTTGGGGGGAGATAAAAATTCAATAAATAGATGCCCAGGCCAAAAATAGCCTTGCCCCCCCGCCAAAAAAAAAAAAAAAAGCCTCAGAATAGTCAGTGCCCCTCCCTCAGAGGCTAAAAATACCCTGCAGGTCACAAATGATCAGGTCAGGAAGCCAGGTGGATTCTCCTTCCTGTCCTTGAGGAGGTGAGGGGTCCGGGGCTGGCTTTCTCAGACAGGATTTCCCAGATGATTTCCATTACTCCTGACTTTGGCACTGCATCATTCTCTGTGGGAGGCTGTCCTTTGTACTATAGGATGCTCAGAGGCCACCCTAGCCTCTTCCCGATGGATGTCAGTGACACCTCCAGCCCCACAGTTGTAACACCTCGGAACGTCTCCAGACATTGCTAAACATACTGGGATCAGGGGCAGAATTGTCCTGGGTTGGCAGTGATGGCTGTAGAGTAGAGGTTGCCAGTGGGGCAAGGTGGCCCACGCCTGTAATCCTAGCACTTTGGGAGGCTGAGGCAGGAGGATCACTTGAGTCCAGGAGTTCAAGACCAGCCTGGGCGACAAAGCGAGACCCCCTTCTTTACAGAATAAAAAATTAAAAAATTCGTTGGGCATGGTGCTGCACGCCTGTCGTCCCAGCTACTCGGGAGGCTGAGGCAGGAGGATCACTTGAGCTGGGAGGTCAAGGCTGCAGTGAGCTGTGATCCCGCCAGTGCATTCCAGCCTGGGCAACAGAGCAAGACCCTGTCTCAAAAAAATATATACATAAATAAAATAGAGTAGAGGTTGGCTGACTTTCCTGTAGAAAGCCCGATGGTAAATCCTGCAAGCTTTGCGGGCCGCAGACGGGTTCTGTGGCCTGTTCTCTTTTCTCTTCTCTTCAGTCCTTTAAAAATGTAAACACCATTCTTAGCTCACCAGCTGTACAAAAGCAGGCTGGGGCCTGGCCATGGTTGGCCGACCCTGCCCCAGAACGCCCCCTAGTGGCTTCTGGGAGTGAAGGCTGGGCAGAGGGGCGGCCCCATTTGGGGAGCAGTTGTGTGCTTAAAGTACAAGGCGAGTCCCGCGCAGTCTGTTCCCGGCACCTCCCTGCTCTCACCTCCTCCCACTCTCCTCACCAGCTCACGACCCGCTTCCTCGATGCAGCTGCCACCGTTATTCAAACATACAGGCACAGTCCAGCCCCAGGGCCTTTGCACGGGCTGTGACCCTGCCTAGGACGCTCTTCTAACTCTCCTGAACTGATCACCTGCGTGCTCCTCCCTCAAATTCACAGAGGTTTGCTAAAATGTCATCTTCTCCAGGGGAGATGACCTTTCTTGATCATCCTGTTGAAAATTGCAACAGCCGGGCACAGTGGCTCATGCCTGTAATCCCAGCACTTTGGAAGGCCGAGGTGGGTGGATCACCTGAGATCAGGAGTTCGAGACCAGCCTGACCAACATGGTGAAACCCTGTCTCTACTAAAAATACAAAAATTAGCTGGGCGTGGTGGTGGGTGCCTGTAGTCCCAGCTAATCAGGAGGCTGAGTCAGGAGAATCGCTTGAACCTGGGAGGCAGAGGTTGCAGTGAGCCAAGATCATGCCATTGCACTCCAGCCTGGATGACAGAGCAAGACTCTGTCTCAAATAAATAAATAAATAAAAGAAAATAAAATTGCAACAGCCGGGCATAGTAGCTCATGCCTGTAATCCCAGCACTTTGGGAGGATGAGGTGGGAGGATTGCTTGAGTTCGAGACCAGCCTGGGAAACATAACGAGGCCCCCATTTCTACAAAAAAATTAAAAATTAGCTGGGCACGATGGCACACGCCCTGTGGTCCCAGCTACTTGGGAGGCCGAGGCAGGAGGATCCCTTGAGCTCAGAGGCTGTGGTGAGCCATGATCCCACCACTGCACTCCACCCTGGGCAACAGAGCGAGACCCTGTCTTTAAAAATACGATTAAAAAAAAAAAAACACTCCCAAACCCACACACACTCATAGCCACTTTTCCTGGCTTTATCTTCTTTCACAACACTGGTACGCTACAGAGTCGACTTTTTTGTACCCAGCCCCTCAGTGTCTGGCACATAGAAGATGCTCCAAAAAAGATGTGTGGAATTGCCAAAAATTATTTCTAACCCCCACAGCCACCCTGGGATGCTATCGTTCCCCAGCTCCCCCGTGGAGAGACAGAATTGAGAGGAGTGATGTGGGTGTCCTGTCGTGCCGACATGACGGCGCACAGCCTGGATTTGAACCTGCAACTTAAGGGCGCTATGCCCGGGGCCTCTTCTCTCCTGCCCTGCTAGGCACCATGCCCCCGTCTCCTGGTCTCACCCTGCCCCTTAACTGCCGGCATCTGATGAGGCAGGGGGATCCCGCCTCTGTGCCCTCTGCTCGGGCCCTAGCTTCTAGAACTCTTCAGCTCTGCTCTGCTGAGCTCGGAGTGCAAAGCTTGGGGCTGGACAGTGAACACTTTGGAGTGGAAACAGACCACAGGCCACAGGCCACAGGACCTGCCATGATGGTGAGCACAGCAGAGGTGCAAGTCAGGGAAGGCTTCCCGGAGGCGGGGGCTTCCCAGCTGCAACCTGGAGTGGGAGGAGGGGTATGGCGGAGGGGAAAGAGCATCTGTGAGAGAGAGGGGCTGCCCTGAGGTCAGACAGAAGGTGGTGGCTCAAAGGGGAGGAAGGAGAGATGTTTCACAACTGCACATGGAGAGAAGCTGGAGGCTGCTGGCTGGCCTTGTGACTGTGAGTCTGTTTGGTTTGTCCGTGGGGCTGCCAGGGCCTGTGGCAGGGATGGGGGTAGAGGTAGGGGGTTTATGTCAGGATCCAGATGTCAGGGTGAGAATGTTTAGCATGAGCTCCCTCTAGCTGCTACATGGGAGAGAGCCATAGTTGGCAGGAAGGGAGGCCAGGAGGCCAGAAGGGAGGCCAGGAGGCAACCAGCAAGGTGAGGGCCAGAAGCAGCCAGCACTTGGTGGAAGCTTCAGGTTTCTGGCTTTGACAGCCCTGTGGACAAAAGGCAAGGGACAGGTGGGGTAGGGAGTACCCTCCACTCCCAGCAACCCTCCCCACACACAGTCTGATCTCCATCTCTGTGGCCAGAGGACACCTGTGAACACCCGAGCCAGATCCCATCCCTCCTTTGTTCAGGATTCCCAATGGCTCCCACCTCTCTAGAAAGCCAAAGTCCTCCTTGAGGTCCACAAGGCCCTGCATGGCCTCTGTGACCCCCCTCCCCAGCTGCCCTCACCTCCTTCCACTCTTCCCTTGCTTGCAAGGCCCCAGCCACATCTCAGCACATTCCTACCCCAGGACCTTTGCACGTGCTGTTCCCTCTGCCCAGAATGCTCTTTCCACAGGTACCTAGATGGCTCACCTCCTCAAGACCTCTGCCAAAATGTCACTTTTTAGGGGAGGTATTTCCTGGCCACCCTGTCTACAGTTGCACCTACACGTATACCCCCTCTCAGGCACACCTTCCTCCATTGCACTTGTGACCAGTTGGGAACTCGGTAAACATCCACTGAATAGATGATCTGCTTTTTGGGTCTATTTCATCTTCATTCATTAAACAAATGAACAAGCATCCACTCCTTGCCCAGGGCTGGGTATGCAACAAGAGCCAGCCCAACCCGCAATGGTACTTTGCCCTCAGAGTCCCTCGATGGTGGAGAAGACAGACATTAAACAGCTGAGTCCAAGTCCAGTTAGGGGAGCAAAACACAGAGGCCCTGTGTTCTGTGAGAGTGGATATGAGAGATACGAATGCCGTCCTCTGGGCAGAGCCCTTTGGAGGGAGAGCAGAATAAGGAACTGTGTGTGAGAGAGAGACAGACGCTGAGTAGAAGTGATGGGAAGGTGGCAGGACAGCAGGGCCTGAGATGCCATGTTAGAGCATCACAGGCAATAGGGAGCCATGGAGGGTTGTAGGCAGGGAGGGGTGTAATTGGATTTCCATTTTGCAAAGATCATTCTGGCCTCAGGGTAGAGACTGGATGGGACAGGGGTAGCAGATAGATGGGGAGACGAAGGAGAAGGTGTCGGGGGGGTGCAGGGAATTTTTTGAACGACCCCTACCGCTCTGCAGTCTAGTGCTGCTTGGTGGCTGGGGTGACCTTTATTTTATTTAGAGACGGAGTCTTGTTTTGTCACCCAGGCTGGAGTGCAGTGGCATGATCATAGCTCACTGCAGCCTTGACTTTTTGGGCTTGAATGACCCTGCTGCCTCAGCCTCCCAAGTAGCCAGGACCACAGGTGTGTGCCACCATGCCTGGCTAATTTTTAAATTTTTGTAGAGAGAGGATCTCACTGTGTTGCCCAGGCTGGTCTCAAACTCCTGGCCACAAGCAATTCTGCATTGGTCTCCCAAAGTGCTAGGATTACAGGTATGAGCCACTGTACCCAGCTCCAGGGTGACCTTTAAAAGGTTCTTCATTGAACAATTATATTTCAGCTTCCTGCTTGTGCCAGGCACTGTGCTGAGTGTAGTATGCAAACCCCACCCTGCAGAGCCAGCATCTAGTAGCAGAGAGTTCATAAGCAAATAAAACGCATGGCGTGCTGGTGATAGGTATGGAGAAATCAAGTCAGGACACGGCGTAGGAGTGCGGGGGCCAGCAGGACCTTGCCGAGCTAGTGATGTTTGAGGAACGACCAAAAGGAAGATGCAGGAGGAGCTGTGAGGGGATCTGGAGAAGAGAGAAACAGCCCGTGAAGAGGCCCTAAGGCAGAACAGTGCCTGGTGTTTCACATTGTACAGGGCCTGTTTGTTTTTTGTTTTTGAGATGGGGTCTTGCTCTGTTGCCCAAGCTAGAGTGCAGTGGCATAATCTCAGCTCGCTGCAACCTCCACCACCCGGGCTCAAGAGATCCTCCCACCTAAGCCTCCCGAGGAGCTGGGACCACAGGCGTGTGCCACCATGCCTGGCTAACTTTTTGTATTTTTGGTAGAGACAGGGTTTCACTATGTTGCCCAGGCTGGTCTGGAACTTCTGAGCCCAAGCAATCAGCCCGCTTCAGCCTCCCGAAGTGCTGGGATTACAGGTGTGCGCCGCCACATCCGGCCCAGTGCAGAGCCTTTGTATGATACAGACTTTGGCTTTTGGTCGAGTGAGGTGGGAGCCACGGAGGGTTCTGAGCAGAGGAGGGAAGCAGCTGACTTAGATGCTCACAAGCGCCCTCTGGTGGCCATGGGGGAAACATACTGTAGACAGTTTCATTTTGCAAAGATTGTTCTCACCTCGGGGTAGAGATTGGATGGGACAGGGGTGGCAGATAGATGGGGAGACGAGGTGTAGACAGTGAGGTGGGGAAGTGGGGTCCAGCCAGGAGATGATGGGGCTGGACCAGAGAAGCTGAGGAGTGGCGAGAGGTGAGTGGGCTCTGAAGGAGTAGCCACAGGACCTGACGGGGCTGGATGTGATGTGAGGGGAGAGGGATCCAGGATGACTGTCCGGTTCCTGAGCACCTGGAGGGACTGGGCTGCCATCCGCTGAGCTGGAGGATGGGGCAGGGACTGGAGATGCCGCGACAACCCTGCCCTGCCCAAGGACCATGTACCTGGGCCCTCTCTGGGCACGTGCTCTGTCTCTGCGAGGTAGGTCTGTTAGTCCCTGAGCAGCAATGGGGAAATAGGTTCAGAGAGGCCAAGTGCTTGCTCTGAAGCTACACAGCAGATTGAAATTCAGGAGCTTCGACTCTCAGCTGGTCCTTCATAGTCACCCCGGGGCCTGCAGCTTCCTTATGGACCTGCCGGATGCCTGAGGGCTTCCTGGAGGAGGTGGGCTCATGGGCGGCTGGGTTTGGGGAGTGGGCAGGAGGCAGGAGATGCAGCCAGAGGGCTGTGTGTGGAGGGGCCGGCTGCTGCCAAGAAGGGAGAAGACCATGAAGGGGGCTCAGATCCCAGATCCCCACCTTGGTTCCCCGCCACCCCACCCAAGGCACTCAGACTCCCACCCCCTCAAGCGCGCAGAGGGTTGCCATGGCAACTGCAGGCTAGGGCAGGCTAGAGGCGCCCCCTCTCCCCCAGCAGCCACTTCTCCTCCTGTCGCTCTCCCCATCTCCATCCCAGGGCACCCGAGGACAGAGTCTAGGCCTTAGTGGCCCACCCTGCCGCACCGACCCTTGACTTGAGACAGACGTAGGGCTTAGATGCGAACATACAGGCAGGTGTGCAGCCCCGTTTCCCATGGGTGAAATAGGGTCACCTATGGCTGGGTGCAATGGATTCCTGGGTACACCTGTAATCCCAGCATTTTGAGAGGCTGAGGCGGGAGGATTGCTTGAGCCCAGGAATTCAAGACCAGCCTGGGCAACATGGTGAAACCTCATCTCTACAAAAAACACAAAAATTAGCCAGGCGGGGGTTTGTGTGCCTGTAGTCCCAGCTACTCAGGAGGCTGAGCTGGGAGGATCACTTGAGCCTGGGAGGATGAGGCTGCAGTGAGCTGAGAGTGCACCATTGCACTCCAGCCTGGGCAACAGAGCAAGATCCTACTGTCTCAAAGGAAAAAAAAAAAAAAAGAGAAAGAGAAGAAAGAAGGAAAGAAAAAAGAAAGACAAATAAGGTGACTGGAGACTACTGAGGTGCAAGCGGGGGACAGACACAGGTGTGGGCTCACCTGGCTTCCCAGATGTAGAACGTCCAGGCGTGACCAGCTCTGAGGTTGCATAGACACTCAAATACAGTGTGGGCCCGGGGGTGGGGGCTCTTCTGGCCCCCCAGGATACCCCCACAGCTCATCAAGCCCAACCTGGGGAGCCAGCCCTCCCTGGGTTCAAGCCCCCTTACCAGTTGGGTGTCCCTGGGTATATCTCTTCAATGACAGGACCTCACTTTCCTCCTCTGTAAGCTGTGGGTACAAGCATCTCTCCTTCCTAAATGGTTATTAGGATTACATGAGCTACACATGGAAGCTGTTCGGGCTGGGACTTGGAGGTGTCCGCCACTGTCCCAGGCATCTCAGGTGATTCCTTGCTGGAGAGCCCAGCTAGATGCCCTCCCTGTCGTTTGCTGTTTCCTGTAAATGGTTTCTTTAAAGTTCTGCGGCTCAGGCCCTTGCCCCCATCTCTGCCTCCCTCCTCACTCTCTGTGTGTCCTGACTCCCTATATGAATTTCCTAGGCTCCCACAACAAATTACCACAGACGGGACAGCTTTAGCAACAGAGACTTTATTGGTTTTTTTGTTTATGTTTCAGAGATGGGGTCTTGCTCTATTGCCCAGGCTGAAGTGTAGTGGTGCGATCACAGGTCACTGCAGCCTCAACCTCCCGGGCTCAAGTGATCCTCCCACTTCAGCCTCCTGAGCAGCTGGGACTACAGGTGCATCCCGTCATGCCCAGCTACTTTTTTATATTTGTTTATAGAGCTGGGGTCTCACTGTGTTGCCCAGGCTCGTCTCAAACTCTTGGGCTCAAGCAATTCTCCCGCCTTGGCCTCCCAAAGTGCTGGGATTACAGGCGTGAGCCACTGCAGCCAACAACAGAATTGTGTCGCCTCCCAGCTCTGGAGGTTGGAAGTCCAAGATCAAGGTGTCGTCAGGGTTGGTTCCTTCTGGGAGCCTTCAGGGAGAATCCATTGCAGGCCTGTCTCCTGGCTTCTTTTGGTCATTAACTGGCAATCTTCCCTGGCTTCTAGAAGCATCACTCTGATCTCTGCCTTCATGGTCACATGGTCTTCTGTGCATGTCTGTGTCCAGGTTTCTCCTTTGTATAAGGGCATCAGTTGTTGGATTAGGACCCACACTAATGACCTCATTTTAACTTGATTATCTCTGTAAGGACTCCAGATGTTCCCAACACAGTCACATTTGAGTTATCAGGAGTTGGGACTTCAACATATCTTTTGTATTTTTGACATGGGGTCCCACTCTCTTGCCCAGGCTAGAGTGCGGTGGTGCAATCAGAGCTCACTGCAGCCTCAACCTCCTGGGTTCAAGCAACCCTCCCACCTCAGCCTTCCCAGTAGCTGGCACGTGCCACCGTGCTCGGTTAATTTTTGTGTTTTTTGTAGAGATGGGGTCTCACTATGTTGCTCATGCTGGTCTCAAACTCCAAGGCTCAAGTGGTCCTCCCACCTTGGCCTCCCAAAGTACTGGGGTTGTAGGTGTGAGCCACTGTGCACTGTGCCCAGCCTGACATTTTTTTTTTCTTTGGCGGTGGGGGTCGGGGGCTGTAATTCAATCCGTAACACCTCCCCCTCCAGAGGCCTCAGGGATGGTCAGGCCTGGGTCTCCCAGGGGACACCCACCACCTGCCAAGCTGAGGCTGGGCCCTGGGGGTGTCTGGAGCTTCCTAGGGGAGCCACGCTGGGGAGAGGGCGTCGTGCTCCTGGGGAACTCTGTCTGTACCCCTAAGGCAATGGCACCCTGCCTGTGGGGGTCAGGCGTGGCCCGCCAGGTCACAGGGCAGATGCCCCATCTCCAGCTATCCTCACTGCCATCCTTAGTCACTCCCCTGTGACTAAGTAAGTTTTTGCTTGGGGACCCACTGTGTGTTCAGGGGACCAGGAGACAGGAGTCAGGGAAACCAAGTTCCAGCCTCAGGAGTTTCCATTCTCCTGGGAGTAGAAAGAAAATCTAGAAGGCTGGGTGCGGTGGCTCATGCCTGTAATCTCAGCACTTTGGGAGGCTGAGGCGGGTGGATCACCTGAGGTTGGGAGTTCGAGAGCAGCCTGACCAATATGGCAAAACCCTTTCTCTACTAAAAATACAAAAATTAGCCAGGTGTGGTGGCCTGTGACTGTAATCTCAGCTACTCAGGAGGCTGAGGCAGGAGAATCACTCGAGGTTCTTGAATCACTTGAGGCAGAGGTTGCGGTGAGCCAAGATCACGCCAATGCATTCCAGCCTGGGCGACAGAGCAAGACTCCGTCTCAAAACAAAACAAAGAAAAGGCCGGGAGCAGTGGCTCACGCCTGTAATCCCAACACTTTGGGAGATCAAGGCAGGCAGATCACCTGAGTTTGGGAGTTCAAGACCAGCCTGACCAACATTGTTAGTAGAGCAAAACGTCGTCTCTACTAAAAATACAAAAATTAGGCAGGCTTGGTGGCGTGTGACTGTAATCCTAGCTACTCAGGAGGCTGAGGCAGGAGAATTGCTTGAACCTGGAAGGTGGAGGGTGCAGTGAGCCGAGATCGTACCACTGCACTCCAGCCTGAGCGACAGAGTGAGTCTCCATCTCAAAACATAAATAAATAAAATAAAATAAAGGAACTCTAGGAGTGGTCAAGTAAAAGTATAGAGCAGGGATGGGATGGATGAGGTTATGGACTAAATTGTATCTTCCCACCTCCCTCCCAAATGCAGAGGTTGAAGCCCTGACTCCCAGCGTGAGTGTTTTTGGAGGTAGGCCCTTGAGGGAGGTAATTAAGGTTAAATGAGATCTTAAGGGTGGGGCCCCCTACTCTGAGAGGACTGGTATCCCAATAAGAAGAGAGAGGCCGGGGCTTGTGGCTCATGCCTGTAATCCCAGCACTTTGGGAGGCCAAGGCAGGAGGATCGCTTGAGGCCAGGAGCTCAAGACCAGCCTGGGCAACATAGTGAGACCCCATCTCTACAAAAAAAATCAAAAAAGTAGCTGGGCACAGGAGCACGCACCTGTAGCCCCAGCTACTCAGGAGGCTGAGGCGGGAGGATCGCATGAGCCTGGGAGGTTGAGACTGCAATGAGCCGGGATTGTGCCACTGCACTCCAGCCTGAGCAAGAGAGACAGACCTTGTCTCAGAGAAAAAAAAAAAAAAAAAAAAGAGACAGCAGGGATCTGTCTCCCTTTATGCATGTCTAGAGAAGAGGCCCTGTGAGGTTATAGTGAGAAGGCGGAAGAGAATTTCCACAGAAACTGAATTCGCTGGCACCTTGATCTTGGCCTTCTGGCCTCCAGAACTAGGAGGAAGTAAATTTCTGCTGTGTAAGCCGCGCAGTCTGTGGTACTTTGTTATGGCAGCCCGAGCTAATGGAGAAGGTGACAATGGGGACAAGGGATGCTTCACCCTGTCTATGTGCCAGGAGCATCCCGAGTGTCTCATGTGTGTGAATTTGTCCTGTTGCACAGCTGCCCTCTGAGGTATCCCCGTTTTACCAAGAAGAAAACAGAGACACAAGAGGTCACAGCATGGCAAGGGATGCACAGGCAGGTGGTGACTGCAGGGCACTGTGATACAGGGTGGCGGAGGCCCATGTCTGCGTCTCTGGGGAGGACACCTCTGAGTCTGAGGGACACAGATGGGGACAGGCTGAGGCTGCAGGGTGGGAACCCGCATGGCTGGAGGGAGACAAGGCGGGAGTCAGAGGTGTTGGAGGGGTTAAAGCAGAAGACCCACCACTCAACATTGTCTTTTGTTTTTGTTTTTGTTTTGAGACGGAGTCTTGCTCTGTCGGCCAGGCTAGAGTCGGTGGCGTGATCTTGGCTCACCGCAACCTCTGCCTCCCAGGTTCAAGCAATTCTCCTACCTCAGCCTTCCGAGTAGCTGAGATTACAGGTCCCCACCATCACACCTGGCTAATTTTTGTATCTTTAATAGAGATGGGGTTTCACCATATTGGCCAGGCTGGTCTTGAACTCTTTTTTTTTTTTTCTTTTTTTTTTTTTGAGACGGAGTCTCGCCCTGTTGCCCAGGCTGGAGTGCAGTGGCGTGATCTCGGCTCACTGCAAGCTCCGCCTCCTGGGTTCACGCCATTCTCCTGCCTCAGCCTCCCGAGTAGCTGGGACTACAGGCGCCCGCCACCACGCCCGGCTAATTTTTTGTATTTTTAGTAGAGGCGGGGTTTCACTGTGTTAGCCAGGATGGTCTCGATCTCCTGACCTCATGATCCGCCCGCCTCTGCCTCCCAAAGTGCTGGGATTACAGGCGTGAGCCACCGCGCCCGGCCGGCTGGTCTTGAACTCTTGACCTCAGGTGATCTGCCCTCCTCGGCCTCCCAAAGTGCTGGGATTACAGGTGTGAGCTACTGGCCCGGCCAAGATTGTCTTTTAAAACACCCCTCTGGAATGGATGAACCTGGAGGACATTATGCTAAGTGAAATAAGCCAGACACAGAAAGACAGATAGTGCGTGACCTCACTTATCTGTGGAATCTAAAAAAGAATTGAACTCGTAGAAGCAGAGTAGAGCAGTGGTTATGGGGGTGAGGGCACAGGGGAAGGCGGGAGATGCAGGTCAAAGGGTACAAGCTTTCAGCTTTCAGATAAACGTTTTAACCAGGCAGAATGGCTTGGGCCTGTAATCCCAGCACTTTGGGAGGCCAAGGCGGGAGCATTGCTTGATGCCAGGAGTGCAAGGCCAGCCTGAACAACATAGCAAGACCCTGTCTCCACAAAAACATTTAAAATCAGCCAAGCATGGTGGCACACGCCTGTAATCCCAGCTACACGGAAGGCTCAAGAGGGTGAACTCTTGAGCCCAGGAGTTCGAGACTGCAGTGAGCTATGATGGTGCCACTGCACTCCAGCCTGGGCAACAGAGCAAGACCTCATCTCTAAAAAAAAAAAACTTCCAGAGACCTAAGGTACAGCATGGTGACTATAATTAATAATAGCAGGCCAGGTGTGGTGGCTCATACCTATAATCGCAGCACTTTGGGAGGCCGAGGCAGGCAGATTGCTTGAGCTCAAAAGTTTGAGACCAGTCTGGGCAACATGAGACCCCATCTCTACTAAAAATACAAAAATTAACCAGGCACGGTGGTGCCCACCTGTAGCCCCGGCCACTTGGGAGGCTGAGGCACGAGAATTGCTTGAACTGGGAGGGAGAAGTTGCAGTGAGCCAAGATTGTGCCACTGCACTCCAGCCTGGGTGACAGAGCGAGACTCCGTCTCAAAATAATAATATTATTATTATAGCATACTGTTTTCTTGAAACTTGCTGAGGAATTAGACTCAAGTGTTCTCACCACACACACCAGAAAGGTATCTAGGTGAGGTGTTGGATATGTTGTTAGTTAGCTTGGTTGTAGTAATCATTTCACAACACATAATGGATATCAAAATATCATGTAACCTTAAATATATGTAATTTCTATTTGTCAGTGATGCCTCAGTAAAGCTAGGGAGAAAATAAAAAGGACCCTTCTGTGCAACAGCCCACATGTCCATTACCGATGACTGGATAAAGAAAACATGGTCCACCCATGCAGTGGAATACTACGCAGCCATAAAACGGAATGAAGCCCGGATCCAGGCTATAACGTAGGTGAGCCTTGGAAACGTGGCGCTGAGTGAGAAGCTGGACACAAAATAAGGCCAGGAATGGTGGCTCACACCTGTAATCCCAGCACTTTACGAGGCCAAGATGGGCAGATCACTTGAGTCCAGGAGTTTGAGGCCAGCCTAGGCAACATGACGAAATCCTGCCTCTACAAAAAATACAAAAATTAGCCAGGAGTTAATTTAGAGGGGTCATGTGACTATAGTCCCAGCTACTCAGGAGGCTGAGACGGGAGGATCACTTGAGCCTGGGAGGTGGAGGTTACAGTGAGCCGAGATTGGGCCACGGCACTCCAGCCTGGGCAACAGAGTGAGACCCCCATCTAACTGGTGGGGCGGGGGAGGCCACATAGCCTGTGATTCCATTTGTATGAAATGTCTAGAATAGGTAAATCCATGGAGACAGAAAGTAGACTATAAGTTACCAGGGCTGGGCGACGAGGGGAGTGGGCGTTATTGTTCAGTGGGTATGGAGTTTCTATTTGGGGTGATAAAAAAGTTTTGGAGGCTGGACACAGTGGCTCATGCCTGTAATCCCAACACGTTGGGAGGCCGAGGCGGGTGGATCACTTGAGGTCAGGAGTTCCAGACGAGCCTGGCCAACATGGTGAAACCCCGTGTCTACTCATGGTGGTGGGCGCCTATAATCCCAGCTACTCAGGAGGCTGAGGCAGGAGAATCGCTTGAACCCCAGAGGTGGAAGTTGCAGTGAGCCAAGATTGTGCCACTGCACTCCAGCCCCGGTGACAAAGTGAGACTCCGTCTCAAAAAAAAAAAAAAAAAGGAGGTGGTGCCTCTGGCTGCCAGGAGAGCCTGGACATCGGAGGCAAAGGGGCCAGAGGGCACTTGGGGAGTGGCCAGGGCCCAGGACTAGAGGGGCAGATGCTGAAGACAGATGTGTGGACCAACACTGGGGTGTTCTGGAAGTATACACAGCCCAAAGACTTACTCTTGAACTGGATTTAGGGGTGAGAGAAAGAGGAGTCAAGGCTTTCAGCTCCTGGGGTTCTGGCTGGAGGGCCTGGAAGGATGGTGGCACCGTGCACTGATGTAGGGGCTTGTATTGGTCTGGTTGGGCTGAAGATGCCTTGGAGTTCCTGGTGGAAGTATACATGGCTCAGCGGGGGCTCCACTCTGGAGTCTCAGCATTCTAGGGTGCAGCCTGGGAGGAAGAGAGGGACTGCCTCTTCCGTGGGTGTCTTTGTGCCCTGACTGGCGCCAGGCTGTGCATGGCACCCTCTGATGGGGCCTGTGTTGGCCCAGCGTGTACGTGCACTGCTCTCCTTACCAGAACCCTGCAGAATAGCAGCGCAGAGGGAACCAGGGCCAGGGAGGTGAGGAGACCAGCTCAAGGTCACACAGGGCACGTATAAGGCAAAATTGGGATCTAGACCCATGTGGATTCGCTGCCCACACAACTTGGCATCGGGTGGCTTCCCTGCCCTTTTTTTTTTTTTTTAATTAAGAGAGGGTCTTGCTCTGTTGCCCAGACTGGAGTGCAGTGGCAGGATCATAGCTTACTGCAGCCTTGCAAACTCCTGGGCTCAAGTGATCCTCTTGCCTCAGCCTCCCAAGTAGCTGGGCACCACCACGCCAAATTAAAAAACAAAAAATTTGGCCGGGCGCTGTGGCTCACGCCTGTAATCCCAGCACTTTGAGAGGCCCAGGTGGGCTGATCACGAGGTCAAGAGATCGAGACCATCCTGGCCAACACGGTGAAACCCCGTCTCTACTAAAAATACAAAAAATAGCTGGGCGTGGTGGCGCATGCCTGTAGTCCCAGCTACTCAGGAGGCTGAGGCAGGAGGATCGCTTGAACCCAGGAGGCGGAGGTTGCAGTCAGCCGAGATCGTGCCACTGCACTCTAGCCTGGTGACAGAGTGAGACTCCGTCTCAAAAAAAAAAACAAATTTCTAGAGACATGTTGCCCAGGCTGGAGTGCAGTGGCACGATCATAGCTCACTGCAGCCTTGAACTCCTGGGCTGAAGTGATCCACCCACCTTAGCCTCCCAAAGCACTGGGATCACAGGCATGAGTCACCGTACAAATCCAGCCATTTTTACTTCCCCTAACCAGTTCCTCTGCTAGGATGCCTGTTGCAGTGTGAAAGAAAGCGCTTGGAGACCCTGGGAGGGGAGTACTCCTCAGCTTGGGGACACTGCCTCCACTGAACCTTTCTGTGGCTGGACAGTTGGAGAAATGAGGAAGTTGAAATAAGGAAGCCACTCCCCATCCCCAAAGTAACATGCTGGAAAATGATCTGAAAGTGACACCAGCCATGTCTAGTCACAGATGTGGGGGGAGATGCGGACGGGGGCTGGTGGCGGCTGGGGGAGTAACACGCTGTAAAATGATCTGAAAGTGACACCAGCCGTGTCTAGTCAGGGATGTGGGGGGAGATGCGGATGGGGGCTGGAGGTGGCTGCGGGGGATTTAGTGAAGAAGCTGGGGCAGTGGAGAGGGAGCTGGTATCAGGAGTGGGCATGAGAGGGGAAGCGGGCAGAGAGCTACAGGGCTGGAGAGGGGGTGTTCAGGGCTGTCTTGCAGATATTATCCTCCCATTTCCCATGTGAGGAGACTGAGGTCTGGACCAGGTGTCCTGCCCTGTGGGGATCTTTATTTATTGAGGGCCTGTGCCTATTTGTTTTATTTTATTTATTTATTTTTGAGACAGTCTGGCTCTGTTGCCCGGACTGGAGTGCAATGGCACAATCTAGCCTCACTGCAACCTCTACCTCTCGGGTTCAACCAATTCTTGTGCCTCAGCCTCCCGAGTAGCTGGGATTACAGGTATCTGCCACCACGCCCGGCTAATTTTTTGGTATTTTTAGTAGAGACGGGGTTTCACCATGTTGGCCAGGGTGGTCTCGAACTCCTGACCTCTGGTGATCCACCCGCCTCGGCTTCCCAAAGTGCTGGGATTACAGGCATGAGCCACTGTGCCCAGCCGTGTGCTGATTTCTAAGGGCCTCTCTCAAGAAGCTCGTGTTGATAAAAAGGTAATTTCAGGTGCTCACTTGAGAGCTGTGAATTAAAAACAGGGAAAAGATGGCGGGTGAGGGCAGCAGGCGAGGACTGTTTTGTTTGCAGGGGGCCAGGGTAGGTCACTCTGCTGCGGTGACCTTGCGGCTGAGCCCTGAACAATGAGCAGCCGCAGCCAACATGCAGGGATCCTGCTTGGGGGCTGGAACTGGAATGTTGAATGTTTCAGGAACAGGAGGGAGGACAGAATGGGGCTTGGAGAGCTTGGTGGCACCAGTTCACCCACAGCCTCTGGGCTCTAGTGAGGAAATGAGACCCCAGCAGAGACCAGGGGGTCAGTTAATGTTCGGATCAACATCATTATGTGGTCCCTTAGCTCTGAGTGAAGGGCGGATTGGGAGGCGGGCAAGGAGGCCAGGACAACATACAGGTGACATAGGATGGCGGCATGGGCCTGGGTGCTGTGCTTAGAGCCAGAAGTGGGCAGGTCGCGAGATACTTGAGAGGCAGAGCCCACAGGACTTGCTGATGGCTTCTGTGAGGGGGATGACAGGGAAGGTGAGGAATCAAGGCAGAGTCTCAGCTTTGGGATCTGAGATTCATTCAACAAATAATTCAGTGCCGCGTGCCAGGCCTATTCTAAAAGTTGAGGATATGAAGACAACAATGGTGATGGCCTCAAGCAGTAATCCCAGCACTTTGGGATGTTGAGGCAGGAGGATCTCTTGAGGCCAGAAGTTCATGTTCAGCCTGGGCAACATAGCAAGACCTCATCTTTGCAAAATAAAATAAATTAGCTGGACGTGATGGCGCATACCTGTGGTCTCAGCTACTAGGGAGGCCGAGGCGGGAGGATCGCTTGAGCCTGGGAGGTGGAGGCTGCAGTGAGCCATGATTTCACCACTGCACTCCAGCCTGAGTGACAGAGCAAGACCCTATCTCTAAAAAAAAAAAGTAAAATTTGGGGATGCGGCCACCATGAGCAAAACAGTTCAATGATCCCTGCCCCATGAAGAGGACATTCTATACACCAGGTGAATAGTTCCATCTGAGCAATGGCCTGAAGGAGCCGGCCATGTGGACAGTGGGTTGGCAGAAGCTACAGGTGGAGGAAGCGACAGGTGCAAAGGCCCTGGGGCAAGGCCTGCTGTGGTCCAGGAATAGCAGGAGTGGCTGGAGCAGACATGGGGTCAGGGAGCTAACTGGGCCAATTACAAGGGTTTTGGTTTTCAGCAGGGAAATGGTAATGGGGGCTCTGATGAGAAATTCCAGGCTGGACATAAGAGATTTGAAAGTGCTGGCTCAATGATGGTACTGAGAGCCCAGGACAGCCTGAGATGGGACAGGCTGGGATGACAGCTGGATGTGACAGAGCAGGGGTTCCCATGCTGGAGGGCCCGCCTCAGAGAATGTGTGTTTCTGGCCAGCACAGTGGCTCACGCCTGTAATCCCAGCACTTTGGGAAGCCGAGGCAGGCGGATCACGAGGTCAGGAGATCGAGACCAGCCTGGCCAACATGGTGAAACCCTGTCTCTAATAAAAACACAAAAAAATTAGCCAGGCGTGGTGGCGAGCGCCTGTAATCCCAGCTACTCTGGAGGCTGAGGCAGGAGAATCGCTTGAACCCGGGAGGCGCAGGTTGTAGGGAGACGAAATCGCGCCACTGGCACTCCAGCCTGGGCGACAGAGGGAGGCTCCGTCTCAAAAAAAAAAAAAAAAAAAAAAAAAAGCAAGGCTCGCAAAACACCGGATTCCTTCTCAGCTTTCTGAGCTGAAAAGGTATAGATCCTCAAGAAGAGAAGAGTGTATGTAAGTACTTCTCAACCAGTTTACCTCTCTGACCGCTCTTACGGTGTTTGGGGGCAAAAAACTAAGGATCTAGACTCTCTAAACCGCTCGCTGGGTCCTTCTCTCCCCACAATGCACCGGGGCCAGCAGGAAGGCCGCTCCGACCCCTAATTTTCCCGCGAATTCAGTTCAAAGAGGCGGCCGGGCCCGCGATCGGCAGCGCGCACCGGCCAACCAAGCCGCGCCTCCGCGAGAAGCGCCTCCGCGTGACTGACGGGGGAATCCGCGGGCCAACGGGCTGGGCGGCCCGGCGGTGCGCGCTCCCGCCGGCCAATCAGAGCGCCGGGCGGGGGAAGTGGGCGGAGCGAGGCCTGGGTAGGGTGAGCGGCCTCCGAAGCGGAGCGGGGCTCTGAGGAGACACTTTTTCTTCCTCCCTCCTTCCCTCCTCTCCTCCTGCCTTCCCTTCCCCTTTCCTCCCCTCTCTCCTCCTTCTCCCCTCGGTCAGCCGGAGCCTGCTGGGGCGAGCGGTTGGTATTGCAGGCGCTTACTCTCCGGGGCCGCCCGGCGAGTAGCTGGCCGGGGAAGGAGGCAGGAACCGCGATGGCGCCTCAGAAGCACGGCGGTGGGGGAGGGGGCGGCTCGGGGCCCAGCGCGGGGTCCGGGGGAGGCGGCTTCGGGGGTTCGGCGGCGACGGCTTCGAGCGGCAAATCCGGCGGCGGGGGCTGTGGAGGCGGTGGCAGTTACTCGGCCTCCTCCTCCTCCGCGGCGTTACCGGTGAAGAAGTCGAAAATGGAGCACGTCCAGGCTGACCACGAGCTTTTCCTCCAGGCCTTTGAGAGTGAGTGCGTGCGAGGCTTTGAGGGCAGGAAGACCCACTCTGCCAACACCGGGGATGGGACACTCTGCTGGGCCCCCTTCCTCCTCGGGAGTCCACTTGTGTGGTAGTGGAGGGAGGAATTGAGGGGATGTCCCCCTTTCGGAGATTACGTCTCCAGGGGATCCGGAGTCCAGGGCCTTGGGAGAGCTGGAAAAGAGGGTCCGGGCGGGTTCTTGACTCCCCCAAGATTGACGCAAGAGGCTCGGGACTGGGGCCCCACGTTCAGAGCAGGCGGCTTTTAGATGAGGAGGTAGCAGTTGAACTGAGCCGCAGTCACATCCCGAGACTGGTTCTTGTTTTCTTTCATGCCTTTCGGACTCTAGAAATACAGGGGTTTCGGTTGTAGCTTTTGAGGGGCAAAATGAAGCCTGTGAAGGGATGAGTGCAGTGGAACCGAAGAAAGTGTCCTTAGTCTGAAATGCCTTCGCGCTAACTTGGTGCTGCAGGTTCCTATGGCACCTTTGGATGCTTAAAACCCTTCAAATCTATCCACCCATTTTGTGGATATGTAAACTGAGCCAGAGAGTGGTCAAGCATCTTCTCTGGAGACGACCCCAGAATTCTGCTTTTTCTACTCGGCTTACAGGACATTTTCTTGGGTCAATTTCTGTTTCTAAGGTCTGTCTGGTAGGTGAAACTGACTTATTTGGAAAGGAGAGCAAGGTGTCTGGAAATAAACAATAGAATTTATTAAAAACATCGTGACTATGAATAATCCTGATTGTTCTTTAAGGAATGTTATATCCTGATTGGTTTCCTTTTTTGCTTTTGTGTGTTATAATTTGGGTGATCTTTAATAGCTAAGTAATCTTACAGAAACTTGAATAAACTTGGCTCTACCGCCCAGTGTCCTTATTTACAGTTTCACTGTGGCATATATTAAGGGCATGGTATCAGCTGTGCTTAGAAAGACCGTATTATGTTGTTTAATACCCTTCCTTCATTCTCTCTCATTAGTGCTTCATGAAATTCTAATTGGAACTTAATAGAAGGAGTTTCAGTTTTTATCGAAACGAATATTGACCTTGCTTCAGAGAGATTCACATTATTCACATATTTCTTAATATACTTTGAAATATCTAGAGAGGCTTTAATTGGAAATAGGATGGAGAACTGAAGGGCAGTGGTGACAATAATGATACTTGTTTGTACCCCTTCTAAAGTATCTCATCTCCCTTTAGTTAATTTAAGATAAAACTAACCAATTGAAGATTTAGGTGGAAATTTTAAAAGTTCTTTCTGAATGTTAAGAGAAGACACATTCTCCAAGAAAGTTTTAACTATTTGCGTTCTGATGAGTCGACCTCAGGGAAGTCAAGTGTCATTAAGAGCTAGATCTGGTCATAAAACAACTTGAAGTTGTTTACTGGAAAGTTTAAATACTTGAATGTAATTATTCACAGTTATTTCTATTTGGTTTATTCTGATACTGCTGTATAATGACAACGTGATACTAATAGGTCATTAATGTAACTAATATAATAGTATATGTATTTTTCATCCACTTAAGTCCTGTATAACAAATTACATTTTAACTAATTTGAAATTTAATTCAACTCATTTTAAGCGTTAGACGGTTTTGTGAATCTGTCAATTGTGTAAAAAATGTATTGAGGTAATATTTATATTGAACAAAATAGATAAAACTTTAAATTATAATTAGGAATATTTATTGAGAATTTTTTCTGCAGTTTGTGTCCGAGATTTATTTCAACATTGACTGACTTTTGAGTGCAGTGGATCCCACCTGTAATCCTAGCTACTCTGGAGGCTGAGGCAGGAGGATCTGTTGAGCCCACGAGTTTGAGACCAGCCTGGGCAACATATCAAGACCCCTTTTCAAAAAAAGAAAAAAAAAATCTTGACTGACTTTCATCATACCTGTATTAGGAATGTCTGGATCTGTATTAGGATGTCATCATATCTG
This sequence comes from Homo sapiens, assembly GCF_000001405.40. NCBI lineage: Eukaryota > Metazoa > Chordata > Mammalia > Primates > Hominidae > Homo > Homo sapiens. Next base: position 30,734,090 of record NC_000017.11, read on the forward strand.
TATTAGGATGTATTAGGATTCTGTTTTGGCTGACTACAATTTTTTTTTTTTTTTTGAGACGGAGTTTTGCTCTTTGTTGCCCAGGCTGCAGTGCAATGACGCGATCTCGGCTCACGGCAACCTCCGCCTCCCAGGTTCAAGTGATTCTCCTGCCTCAGCCTCCCAGGTAGCTGGGATTACAGGCATGCGCCACTATGCCTGGCTATTTTTGTATTTTTAGTGGAGGCAGGGTATCTCCATGTTGGTCAGGCCGGTCTCGAACTCCCGACCTCAGGTGATCTGCCCACCTCAGCCTCCCAAAGTGCTGGGAATACAGGCGTGAGCCACCGCGCCTGGCCGGCTGACTACAAATTTTTTAAGTGACCATTTAAAAAGTGAAATTTTCATCTTGTTTGGCATCAATCAATAGTTCTTTTGTTGACTCCAGCTACCTATTACAGCTGCTTTTTGGAAGAAAATCGGTTATAAATAGTTTAAATTAAGCTAAGTTAAATGAGTACAACTGCTTCTCTTGAGTTCTGCTCGGTAACAATAACTATCTTAGAAAGGCTTAAGAAAAATATTGTAAAGAACCTTCAGTATAAAAAGCGTAGATGAACTTTGTGAATGTATGCCATTGATTGAATACCTTTTGATCTTACTGTGCATACTAACTTTCTTGATGTAAATATTTAGTGCGATATAAATATTTAGTGCGTGATTTCCATAGCAGATGACAAGTTTATATTGATTATAACATGGTCTCGGTTGATATTTTTCTGACAAGTAAGTTTAGATCATGTTTGGATTTTGTTTCCTATTACCTAGAGCCAACACAGATCTATAGATTTCTTTGAACTCGGAATCTCATAGCAGTAAGTAGTCAACAAAATTCATCAATATTATTTCTCTCTTATAACTGCATCTGTATTCAATTTTAACATTTTTAAAACTCTTTTTGTAGCCAATATTTTTGCACAGAACTCTTACTTACATGTCTCATCGAAACTCCAGAACAAACATCAAAAGGTACATTTTATGAATCTTATTTCAAGCTGATCAAACCATGTTAGTTTTATTTTAAAGTACTATTTCTCAAAATTAAAAAAAAGAACAAAAATAAGTACTATTTCTAACTAAAGATTTAATATGAAAACTGAAGTGAGAGAGTGACTGGTTGAATTGGTTGCACAGTGGTTTTCAATAGTATAATCTTTGTAAGTCTCAGGTTGTTATTAGCTTTTTTTTTTTTTCCCCTAATAGAAATGAGGCTGGGTGTGGTGGCTCATGCCTATAATCCCAGCACTTTGGGAGGCCAAGTTGGGCGGATCACTTGAAGGCAGGAGTTTGAGACCAGTTTGGCCAACATGGCAAAACCCTATCTCTCCTAAAACAAAAATTAGCCGGGCGTGGTGGTGTGTGCCTGTAATCCCAGTTACTTGCGAGGCTGAGGCAGGAGAATTGCTTGAGCCCGGGAGGTGGAGGTTGCAGTGAGCCGAGATTGCGCCGTTGCACTTCAGCCTGGGCAACAGAGCGAGACTCTACCTCAAAGAAAAAAAAAAAAAAGAACTGATTTTAGTAGTTAAGTGAATAAAGTGATTTTACTGATTATATTTTTACTCTGTGCCATGGGTTATTTCTCTTTTTGTTTGTTTGGTTTTTTTTTTGTTTTGTTTTTATTGATCATTCTTGGGTGTTTCTCGCAGAGGGGGATTTGGCAGGGTCACAGGACAATAGTGGAGGGAAGGTCAGCGGATAAACAAGTGAACAAAGGTCTCTGGTTTTCCTAGGCAGAGGACCCTGTGGCCCTCCGCAGTGTCTGTGTCACTGGGTACTTGAGATTAAGGAGTGGTGATGACTCTTATCGAGCATGCTGCCCTCAAGCATCTGTTCAACAAAGCACATCTTGCACCGCCCTTAATCCATTTAACCCTGAGTGGACACAGCACATGTTTCAGAGAGCACAGGGTTGGGGGTAAGGTCACAGATCTACAGGATCCCAAGGCAGAAGAATTTTTCTTAGTACAGAACAAAATGAAAAGTCTCCCATGTCTACTTCTTTCTACACAGACACGGCAACCATCCGATTTCTCAATCTTTTCCCCACCTTTCCCCCCTTTCCATTCCACAAAACCGCCATTGTCATCATGGCCCGTTCTCAATGAGCTGTTGGGTACACCTCCCAGATGGGGTGGTGGCCGGGAAGAGGGGCTCCTCACTTCCCAGTAGGGGCGGCCGGGCAGAGGCGCCCCTCACCTCCCGGACGGAGGCGCCCCTCACCTCTGCACTCTGGGCACTTTGGGAGGCCAAGGCAGGCGGCTGGGAGGTGGAGGTTGTAGCGAGCTGAGATCACACCACTGCACTCCAGCCTGGGCACCATTGAGCACTGAGTGAACCAGACTCCGTCTGCAATCCTGGCACCTCGGGAGGCCAAGGCTGGCGGATCACTCGCGGTTAGGAGCTGGAGACCAGCCCAGCCAACACAGTGAATCCCCGTCTCCTCCAAAAAAATACGAAAACCAGTGAGGCGTGGCGGCGCACGCCTGCAATCGCAGGCACTCGGCAGGCTGAGGCAGGAGAATCAGGCCAGGGAGGTTGCAGTGAGCCGAGATGGCAGCAGTACAGTCCAGCTTCGGCTCGGCATCAGAGGGAGACCATGGAAAGAGAGGGAGAGGGAGACCATGGGGAGAAGAGAGGGAGAGGGAGAGGGAGAGGGCTTGTTTGTTTTTTTGAGACAGAGTCTCTGTTGTCCAGGTTGGAGTGCAGTGGCACGATCTCGGCTCACTGCAAGCTCCGCCTACTGGGTTCATGCCATTCTCCTGCCTCAGCCTCATTTTCTTTTTTTTACTGTTGTTGTTGTTTTGTTTTTGTTTTCTTGAGAGAAGTCTCACTCTTGTCCCCCAGGCTGGAGTGTAATGGTGCAATCTCGGCTCACTGTGACCTCTGTCTCCTGGGTTTAAACAATTCTCCTGCCTCAGCTTCCCAAGTAGCTGGGATTACAGGTGCCTGCCACCACACCTGGCTAAGTTTTGTATTTTTAGTAGAGACAGGGTTTCCCCATGTTGACCAGGCTGGTCTCGAACTCCTGACCTCAGGTGATCCACCCGCCTCGGCCTTCTGAAGTGCTAGGATTACAGGCATGAGCGTGCCTGGCTTTTTTTTTTTTTTGAAAGGGAGTCTCGCTCTGTCTCCCAGGCTGGAGTGCAGTGGCGCAACCTCGGCTCACTGCTACCTCCGCCTCCCAGATTCAAGAGATTCTCCTGCTTCAGCCTCCCGAGTAGCTTGGACTATAGGCGCGTGCCACCATGCTCGGCTAATTTTTTGTATTTTTGGTAGAGATGGGATTTCTCTGTGTTAGCCAGGATGGTCTCGATCTCCTGACGTCAGGATCCGCCTGCTTCGGCCTCCCAAAGTGCTGGCATTACAGGAGTGAGCCACCATGCCCAGCCTGGCCTTCTTTTTCTTTTTTTGAGATGGAGTTTCGCTCTTGTCTCCCAGGCTGGAGTGCAGTGGTGCGATATCGGCTCACTGCAACCTCCGCTTCCCGGGTTCAGGCAATTCTCCTGCCTCAGCCTCCCAAGTAGCTGGAATTGTAGGCTCCCGCCACCACACCCAGCTAATTTTTTGTATTTTTAGTAGAGATGGGGTTTCACTATGTTGGCCAAGCTGGTCTCAAACTCCTGACTTCATGATCTTCCCGCCTTGGCCTCCCAAAGTGCTGAGATGACAGGCGTGAGCCACTGCGCCTGGCCTCCACTGGTTATTTTCAAGTTTGATAGAAGTTGAGGATTTAAATATTTACTAAAGGGCTCAGGGTAACTATATTTGTTATGTAAAATTTAAGTTAACTTTTGATTATTATGTGTAATTTGAATTAGCTCCTGTAATGCTGGGTTCAGAAAGTCTCATTTTATATCTTTGGTTTTTTGTTTTTTGTTTTTTTGGTTTTTTTTGAGACAGAGTTTCACTCTTGTTGCCCAGGCTGGAGTGCAATGGCGCAATCTTGGCTCACTGCAACCTCCACCTCCTGGGTTCAAGGGATTATCCTGTCTCAGCTTCCCAGGTAGCTGAGATTACAGGTGCCCACCACCACACCTGGCTAATTTTTTGTATTTTTCATGAAGTTGGGGTTTTACCATTTTGGCTGGCTGGTCTTGAACTCCTGACCTCAGGTGATCCACCCACCTTGGCCTCCTGAAGTGCTGGGATTACAGACCTGAGCCACAGCACCCGGCCTTGGTGGTGGTCTTATTGAAGGGGAAACGCTTTTTGAAATCAATAGGATGAAGGTTTTTTAAAAACAATGAAGTCTTAAATCATTAGATTTTAAAGTGGGGTCTGGAGGTGGAAGACAGCTTATTTCTGCTGTGTAACATTTAGTACTTAACCATACATAATTATCAATGCAAGTTTTTTGTCCTAGGTGCAAGATTATATTTATTTGAGAGTATCAGGTGAACAAGTTTACATTTAAAGGCGAGAATTGTGTTAAGCATTTGGTATTGACATTATAGTTTTAGTAAAACCATCAAGTTATCTCGATAGAGTTTGAAACTAAGCTCTTTGGTGGACTGCTACTGTTTATTAAGTAGGTATCACATTTCTATAGCAAGACATAGTTGAGTTTTGTAAATCTACTTGTATTTTGAAGGATTGAATTGTGAAAATTATTTGTCTTTTGGCAATCTTTCTGAATAGAGAGCGTGCATGAGCAAGTTTGCATTGCAATTAATAGGTGAAAATTGCTGAGCACCTAAGTAACCAAAAAGGAGGTGATGAATTAGGTTACAGAATTAGTTTTGTCCACCCTTTACCTGTCTACTCCATTATTTGATTTTTGGCAGCATTCAGCATGCTTTTTCTGTAAAGGACCAGTAAATAGTAATTATTTTAGGCTTTGTGGCCAGGATGCAAAATTGAAGATATTATGTAGGTACTTAATATTAAAAGAAAGAAAAAATTTACAGTTTTTTAAAATTTCAGTCCAAAATGTCAATCTGTAAATTTTTTGTTGATAAAAATACAACAATATAAGATACAACATTTTGTAATACAGGCCTACTAATGAGAAATGAGAATTTTATTTTTGTGAGGGTAGGGGAGATAACACTTAGCTGAATTGGGGTTCAGAGTTAGTGTTTTCTATAATCAAATCAATTGCTAATGTTTATCTGTAAAAACCATTCTTACCTTCCAGGCTGTACAAAAACAGGCGATAGGCCAGATTTGACCATGGTCCATACTTTCCCCACCCTTGATTTATTCTATAAAACTAGTAGAATTCGACTAACTGTTTTGTTTCATCAAAGCTTTTTTTTTTTTTTTTTTTTGAGACAGAGTCTTGCTCTGTCGTCTAGGCTGGAGTGCCGTGGTGCAATTTCGGCTCACTGCAATCTTCGCCTCCCAAGTTCAAGCAATTCTGCCTCAGCCTCCTGAGTAGCTGGGATTACAGGCGTGTGGCACTACGCCCAGCTAATTTTTGTATTTTTAGTAGAGACAGGGTTTCACCATGTTGGTCAGGCTGGTCTCAAACTCCTGACCTCATGATCCGCCTGCCTTGGCCTCCCAAAGTGCTGGGATTACAGTCGTGAGCCACCGTCCCTGGCCATCAAAGCATTTTTAATATAGAAGGTCAGTTGAGTTGCTGCCTAGGATGCAACCTGATCTTAATTTACAAAGTAATTAAATTATTATAAAATAAGTTTGCATTCATAGATTAAAAAGTACACATTTATTTTATTATTATTATAATTTTTTGAGATGGAGTTTCGCTCTTGTTGCCCAGGCTGGAGTGCAATGGTGCAATCTTGGCTCACTGCCACTTCCACCTCCTGGGTTCAAGTGATTCTCCTGCCTCAGCCTCCCGAGTAACTGGGATTAGAGGCATGCGCCACCATGCCTGGCTAATTTTGTATTTTTAGGAGAGATGGAGTTTCTCCATGTTGGTCAGGCTGGTCTCGAACTCCCGACCTCAGGTGATCTGCCCACCTCAGAATCCCAAAGTGCTAGGATTACAGGTGTGAACCACCACGTCCTGCTAAAAAGTACACATTTAAAATCTAAGTTCCATTTTCCCGTCATGTTTATTAATTTGTCCCATTGCAAGATATGTTTCTGTTGTCTGCATGGGTAGAGATAATTTTAAAAGCTTGGTTAAGTAAAAACTGATTTTCTTAATTATTGCCCTTTAGGTTAAAAAAAAAAAAAGTCTTTGGGGAATTTTTAAGCCATCTGCCAGCCAAGAAACAAATTTAAGTCCCACCTAGTTTAGTTCCTACAGAAATGGGTAGGAATAGGCTAGGCATGGTGTTTCAGACCTGTAATTTCAGCATTTTGGGAGACTGAGTTGGGAGGATTGCTTGTGTAACATTTAGTACTTAACCATATGTAATTATGAATGCAAGTTTTTTGTCCTAGGTGCAAGATTATATTTATTTGAGCGTATCAAGTGAACAAGTTTACATTTAAAGGCAAAAGTTACAGGTCAGCACTGGCAACATAGCGAGACCCTATATCTACAAAAAATTAAAAAAATTAGCTGGGCGTCGTGGCTCATGACTGTAGTCCCAAATACTCAGGAGGCTGAGGCAGGAGGATCACCTGAGCCCAGAAGTTCGAAGATTGCTATGAATGTGCCAGTGCACTCTAGCCTGGGCAGTAGAGGGAGACGATGTCTCAAAAAAAAAAAAAAAAAAAAGTATGGGAATCATTTAATCATCTTGTTAGATGCCTGATCTTATTACTTATTAGGACTAATTATTAAGAAATTAAAGCACAACTCATTTGCTGTTGTCTTCAGCGTAGTTGGTGACTTTGGAAGGTGGCAGATTTAGCCCAGTGATTGTCGTCTTTTCTCAAAATGTTTTCAGAACTCCTTTTTTACTATTACAACAACATAATATCCATTGTTGGAATAAGCATATCATTCCCTTTAAAGTCATACTCTCAGTCGTGATATTAATTCTGGTATATTTATTAAAGTCAGCTCGTGCTTTACTCTTTTTAGAAGTATTCAACTTCCATAGGCTAACATTGCCCCAACAAAGTAAAAATATAGGTCACGAGAAGGGCATCTTTTACTGAATCCATTTTGCTAGATTTCGTGTGAGCTGTTTCTGAAGTCTCCCAAGAAAATTTTCTGAAATTTCTTGAATTTTTAAATATGCTCCTTTTCGATGACCTTTTGATAGTTATATCCTTCTTTAAATCTGACCTACAGTAACATTACCTTTCTAAAGAACAGAAATCCTTGGTGTTGGGGGAGGAGCGGCTTTTATATAGTTGCTTATGAGGTTTGTTTTGTTTTTTTCCTAAGGAAGGCTGGGTTGCTTTTGTGATTTTATCTGTTTCAAATGGTTAATATTCAGTTCCATTCACTTCTCCTGTATACAGCTTCATAAAGGTAGATGAGATGAACCTTAGAACATACAATCTTTTTCTGCAGACAGAATTTCTTAATCATTACATAAACGTTATTCTGAAAAGTTTTCAGTAATTTCATGGCCCTCCCCAATAGTAACTTTCAGTATTTATACTGAATAGCTCTTTGCAACTAGCCTAAAAGAGTCCTTTATTTTTGTTCTTTTTTCTCTCTTATCTGTGGAGATTGAAAATATATAGCCATCCTTCAGAAAGCACTTCTTACTATACTCTTGGATGAAACTTTAATATTGAAGTTTTCAGTAACTCTAAAGTTAGAGCTTTTTTTCCCTTAAGAGCTTCGCTATGGAGGCTCTTCTCATTCACTTGAAATATAGATTGCATCAATTCTGCTCTAATATCAGTAGTTTACTATAATATATTTACATTAACATTTCTCTACTGATAATTTTTACAGTAGTTGAATACAATAAATAGCTCTTTTTTGGCCAGGCATGGTGGCTCACACCTTTAATCCTAGCACTTTGGGAGACAGGGGTGGATAGATCACCTGAGGTCAGGAGTTCAAGACCAGCCTGACCAACATGGTGAAACCCTGTCTCTACTAAAAATGCAAAAATTAGCTGGGCATGGTGGTGCACACCTGTAATCCCAGCTACTCGGGAGGCTGAGGCAGGAGAATTGTCTGAACCCGGGAGGTGGAGGTTGCAGTGAGCCGAGATCACGTCATTGTACTCCAGCCTGGGCAACAAGAGTGACACTCCCATCTCAAAAACAAAACAAAACAAACAAAAAAAACAAACAAAAAACTCTTTTTGACGAATGAGATTATTCGTAATTTTTGGTGTCTGCATTCAAGCATTATAAAGTAACAAATTGATGTGGAATACATTTGGCTTTTCAAGTCCTAAAGAGGAAGGGACTATATGAGTATAAAGAGAAACATTTTTTCTAATTAAATTATATATGGGTATAGATTTTTAGACTCTATCTCTAGAACATGTCATAGACCACCTTAAGAACTAAGATGAAGCTTGTTTTACAATCCATTCATTCTTTAATTGCTTTGAGAAGTTATACTTAACTTTCAATTTTTTGGGAAATAGATTTTTTCTCTTAAACTTGTCGAGTTAAAAGGTAATAGTTTTGCGATTTGATGGATCATTCCCTAACTTCAAAATTTTTTCATGATGTCAACAACCATCTCTTTAATATGACATATCATTGAGCTTTAGGCTTTGCTGATAATCTTTGAGGATACCTTATGAACTTCAAATATATTTTATAGAATATTTCTTTTTTTATGTGATGGTGCTAGTACATATTTGTTGTGTTGCTTAGTAGACGTATTAAGTGTTTCAGAATACACATAATTTATATTTGTTTGGCTTAATTCAACAGATACTTGAATACCTACCAAGTAGAAGGCACTATGCCAGCACTGCATAGCTTTCCTTGAAGAAGAGCAATTACTGCCCTTCAGGAGTGTATAATCTAGTAGGAGAAATAAAATATTTACATGAGTTTTACATGTAGGAAACTGAATGAAAAGTAAGTGTCAAAATAAATATAAACCAAGTACCATGGGTAAGGAGAAATCACTGGTTTGGGAATAATTGGGTAAAAGGTTTAATGAAAACAAGTTAGCGTTTTAGATGGGGCTTGAAGGCTTGTGTGCTGTATTATACACCGTCTCCATAGTATTCATTGTTATGGCTAATCATCCATAGTTTATCTTACTAAAAATAATCAAAATCTGATTTCCATCTTGCCTATTAGAGTGACAATAAAGTATAATTTGTTTCTTTTATCCAGTTGAGAAGTGATTATTTTGTTTATCTGTTTCTTCCAGGAAAACATTTAAAGTTGATGATATGTTATCAAAAGTAGAGAAAATGAAAGGAGAGCAAGAATCTCATAGGTAAGATAACCTATCAGTTTACATTAAGTGATATACTTTAGGAAAGAGGAAAAATTACAGTGATCATTTTCCTAGTGATCACCTTGATATAAGGAGTTAGAAGGAATCTTAGAGGTCAGTTTGGTCCAAACTCACACACAAGTCAGAAATTAATTTCTGTAGCATTCCTGGCAGAGAATACTTAAGCTGTGGCTTGAATACCTCCAGTGTAGTTGTATTTATTATTCTTTATCTTTATTACCAGTTTCTTCCATTTTGAGTGAAACCTCTGACTTCTGCCGTTGGTCTTAACTCTACCACCTCATTTAAAGAGGGATACTCACATTTATAGTATATGTGCTAGGTACTGTGGCAGGGACTTCACAATATCACGTATCTTGTAAGTTATTCTCAAATATGAGAGGGGTTCTCTTTTTTTCCATCTTTTTCTTCTCATTTAAATCTGTCAGGCAACATATTCATAACTTTTATTTCATATTTGAAATATGTTTCTCACATAGTTTCAGAAACTTGAACATTTGGACAGAATCTACTTATTGTACATTAGCAAATATATACCTAGAACGAATCCCTAAATGTTCTGACTAGTCTGATATCTGTCTACTCTAGATAGTATGCTTCTATTTATTTTTTGATATGTAAACTTTATTTTTTGATATTTTTGATAGAAAATTGAATATTCTAAGGAGAAACAGCAGCTTGGGTGGTGTTTGTTCATTCATTAACTACCTTTAGAGAGAATGCAGAACTAAAAATATTAGATTCTTAAAAAAATAGAGTTGGAAAATTTGTCACAGTGCATTTTTCTTTTCCTTCTAGTTTTAAATCACAGCTTACGAATTTAGATAGGATACACACTTAATGATGCATCATTTATGCATCTCATTGTTTTCCCATTGTTCTGTTAACTGGTAAAAGACTTCCTTTTTTTCAGTTTGGCTTCCTTCTACTTTAAGTTTGGCTTTGGAATTAAGTGATTTTTTTACTTGGATTGTAAAATGATATTTTTTATTTTATATCCTGCAATCTTGTGGGGTTGAAGTATAATTTATATTTCCATGTCTAGGCAGTCCTGACTTGTAAATAAACTGTGATAGTCCATTCTAGAAGCTGAGATCCTGAATTGTTACCTGGTACATCTGTTAATGCCCAGGGAGGACCCTATAAGATAGAACTGAGAATATTCGCAGTGCACACACATTTTTCTTTACTAGAATTTGTATTCCAGATTCTTGTCTGGTCTCCCACCCTAGACAGAGCTCTTGGGATCCTCAGGGCCTTTTTTACTTAAAATACAGACTGTAGTAAGATCCTGGTCTGACCTCCCTGCTTCTTTTCTCCTGACCACATTAAAAGTTTGCCCTATAGTCATTTCAGGGTTCAAGTGAGAAGGAAGCATGAACCAACAACAAGAACACTGGACCCTTCTCTTCATCTTCCTCATCAAGGTTTACCTTCACTACTAAACCCTATTACTATCTCATTGTGACATTGGGTTTGAAATTACAGAGCTTCCCTAAGTAAGAGTGTGTGGGAGATACATACTGTTCAATTCTCTCTGAACAATTGTTTCCCCAGTAATTTTGTTCCTTTTGACCCAGTGGTTCAATAGCAACTCAAAGATTAAAATCAGAGGGTTACATAAATTCCTGCTGGTAGTTTTGGAAGAGAATTTTTTGAGTCTTTAGGGTCTAGCTAGGACCAGTGAGTTGGCCATTTAAGCCTCTCAAGATTCTTATGAATGTCTCAGTATTGCTCCCAGAAGCACTAAGATGAATTAAGAAAGTGTGTCATTTTAAGTTTACTGCTAAGACCCTACATTATTAACTTTCTTTAATCTATTTCTTTTTTTTTTGAGATGGAGTCATGCAGTGGTGCTATCTCAGCTCACTGCAACTGCCACCTCCTGGATTCAAGCAATTATCCTGCCTCAGCCTCCCAATTACCTAGGATTACAGGCGCCTGCCATCACACCCAGCCTTTTTTTTTTTTTTTTTTTTTTTTGGCGACCGAGTCTCCCTCTTGCTGAGGCTGGAGTGCAGTGGTGCGATCTTGGCTCTATAGCCTCCACCTCCCGGGCTCAAGCGATTCACCTGTCTCAGCCTCCTGAAGAGCTGGGAATACAGACGTGCACCACCACACCCAGCTAATTTTGAGTTTTTAGTAGAAACAGAGTTTCACCATGTTGGCCAGGCTGGTCTTGAACTTCTGACCTCAAGTGATCCGCCTGCCTTGGCCTCCCGAAGTGCTGGGATTACAGGTGTGAGCCACCAAGCCTGGCCAATTTTTGTATTTATTTATTTACTTATTTATTTTGAAACGGAGGTTTGCTCTTGTTGTGCAGGCTGGAGTGCAATGGCGTGATCTCTGCTCACTGCAACCTCTGCCTCCCGCATTCTCCTGCCTCAGCCTCCCAAGTAGCAGGGATTACAGGTGCCCGCCATCACACCCAGCTAATTTTTTCTTGAACTCCTGACCTCAGGTAATCTGCCCACCTCAGCCTCCCAAAGTGCTGGAATTACAGGCGTGAGCCACTGCGCCCAGCCTCCTTTAATCTATTTCTTATTTCAAATTAAGGTAATCTTATTTTTCTCCTAAACCTATCACACAGGGTTGTAAGAAGGACCCTAAACACCAGTATGTGATGCCAGCAGTATAAATATTTGCTTCTAAAATCTATTGTTAAATTCTTAAAAGATAACACAGGCCGGGCATAGTGGCTCACACCTATAATCCCAGCATTTTGGTGGCTGAGGTGGGTGGATCACTTGAGGCTAGGAATTTGAGACTGCCCTGGCCAACAGGGGAAAACCCTTTCTCTACAAAAAACACAAAAATCAGCCAGGCGAGGTGGTGTACACCTGTAATTCCAGCTACTTGGGTGACTGAGGCAGGAGAATCCCTTGAACCCGGGAGGCAGAGGTTGCAATGAGCTAAGATTGTGCTGCTGCACTCCAGCCTGGGCAAGATGTGACTCTGTCTCAAAAAAAGAAAAAAGATGATAAATCTTTGTTGTTCCATAACATTAGTTAGTAGAAGTTAATATCTTAAATCATACACAAAAGTATCTCTCCTCCATTTATATTCTTTTTTTTTTTTTTCTTTTTTGAGATGGAGTCTCGCTCTGTCACCCAGGCTGGAGTGCAGTGACGTGATCTCGGCTCACTGCAGGCTCTGCCCCCTGGGGTTCACGCCATTCTCCTGCCTCAGCCTCCTGAGTAGCTGGGACTACAGGCGCCCGCCACCTCGCCCGGCTAATTTTTTGTATTTTTAATAGAGACGGGGTTTCACCGTGTTAGCCAGGATGGTCTCGATCTCCTGACCTTGTGATCCGCCCATCTCGGCCTTCCAAAGTGCTGGGATTACAGGCGTGAGCCACCGCGCCTGGCATATATTCTTTGTACTATTTCAGTTTAACTGGGTCCTGGATCTGTACAGGTCTAGTCTGGGAGTCTTCCACTAGAATTCATGTTCTTTTAGCACTGCCAAAGTTATAGTATGTCTGCTCCTGAGCCCAATATATTTCATTCCTCAAAGTTCAAGGGGTATCAAGATAAAAATACCATAGTAGTATGGCCCAAAAGTTAGTTCAGTCAAATAAATGCCTGAGTTTATTATGACGTTTGTAGTAATTTATAAACTAAACCAAGATATGAGCATTAATCTGTTCAAAAGAAGTTGGTGTTTCAGGGTCTTTTATATTTTAGACCTACAGTTGTCTTAAGTCATTTGCAGAAACTTGTTGGTGGAAGGAGCTGATAGAAAAACATGGGCTATTAAATGGTTATTAGTTCTTTTTTTTCTTTTTTGAGATGGAGTCTCGCTCTGTCACCCAGGCTGGAGTGCAGTGGTGCCATCTCAGCTCACTGCAAGCTCCGCCTCCCGGGTTCATGCCATTCTGCCTCAGCCTTCTGAGTAGCTGGGACAGGTGCGTGCCACCACGCCTGGCTAATTTTTTGTATTTTTAGTAGAGACGGGGTTTCACCATGTTAGCCAGGATGGTCTCGATCTCCTGACCTCGTGATCCACCCGCCTTGGCCTCCCAAAGTGCTGGGATTACAGGTGTGAGCCACCGCGCCCAGCCTTTTTTTTTTTTTTTTTTTGAGACAGAGTCTCACATTGTCGCCCAGGCTGGAGTGTAGTGGTGCGATCTTGGCTCACTGCAACCTCCATCCCCCAGGTTCAAGAGATTGTCCTGCCGCAGCCTCCCTAGTAGCTGGGATTATATGCATGCCCTACCACGTCCAACTAATTTTTATATTTTTAGTAGAGACAGGGTTTCACCATGTTGGCCAGGCTGGTGTCAAACTCCTGACCTCAAGTGATCCTTCCACCTTGGCCTCTCAAAGTGTTGCAATTACAGGCATGAGCCACTGCGCCCAGCCTTCTTTTTCTAAGAGACAGGGTCTTGCTCTGTTGCCCAGGCTGGAGCGCAAGTGGCTGCTCACTACAGCCTCTAACTCCTGGCCTCAAACCATCCTCCCATCTTAGCCTCCTGAATAGCTAGGACTACAAGTGCATGCCACCATGCCTGGCTAATTTTTAAATTTTCGTAGAGGCAGCATCTTGCTATGTTGCCCAGGCTGGTCTCAAACTCCTGGCCTCAAGTGATCCTTTCAGATTGGCTTCCCAAAGTTCCGGGATTACAGGTGTAAGCCACCACGCCTGGCCTTTATTTTCTTTACAGAAGGTCTGATATAATGCCTTACATCCTTTCCAGCTCTTGTTTCTGGTACTCCAGTTTTGAATTTTTCTTGGATTTTGACCAGGCACTATGGCTGATTAGAATAAATCTCTTGCCTTTGTGTAGTTGTATATGCTAGCGATTCTTATGCTGTCCTACCAATTTTGGAATTATCTTTTTTTTATTGCTGTTTTTTTGAGATGGAATGTAGCTTTGTCGCTCAGGCTGGAGTGCAGTAGCGCGATCTCGGCTTACTGCAACCTCCTCTTCCCGGGTTCAAGCAGTTCTCATGCCTCAGCCTCCTGAGTAGCTGGGATTACAGGCATCTGCCACCACGCCCAGCTACTTTCTGTATTTTTAATAGAGACAGGGTTTTACCATGTTGGTCAGGCTGGTCTTGAACTCCTGACCTCAAGTGATCCACCTTCCGTGGCCTCCCAAAGTGCTGGGATTACAGGCATGTGCCACTGTGCCTGTCCCCAATGTTGGAATTCTCTGGTAACAACTCTTGAGTGCTGAGTGCATCTCCATGGACTAAAATGCATCATGAAAAGATTTTTAAAGCTGAGTTGCTTCCGAGTGTTTACCAGGGCTAAACGAAGCAAAATGTCACTTCTCTCTTGTCCTTATTCCTCTTCTATTCCTGGTCTTCTGTTAGTAGCTGGAGAAAAATCCCCTCAAAGGATACCTGAATTAGAACTTTTATTAGGGTTATTTTCAAGCATGTATTTTTATTTTTTGAGACAAAGTCTTGCTCTGTCACCCAGGCAGGAATATAGTGGCATGATCTTGGCTCACTGCAACCTCCGCCTCCCAGGTTCAAACAGTTCTTGAGCCTCAGCCTCCCCAGTAGCTGGGATTACAGGCACCTGCCACCACACCCGGCTAATTTTTGGTTTTTTTTTTCCGGTAGAGACAGGGTTTCACCTATTGGCCAGGCTGGTCTGAAACTCCTGACCTCAGGTGATCCACCCGCCTCGACCTCCCAAATTGCTGGGATTACAGGTGTGAGCCACCATGCCTGGCCTTATTTTTATTTTTTGAGACAAGGTCTCGCTTTGTCACCGAGGCTGGAGTGTAGTGGCATAATGATAGGTCACTGATGGATTGAACTCGTGGACTAAAGGGATCCTCCTGCCTCAGCCTCCTGAGTAGCTGGGACTACAGGCATGTACTGTCACACCACACTAATTTTTTGAATTTTTGTAGAGTCAGGGTCTCACCATGTTGCCCAGGCCAGTTTTGAACTCCTATCCTCAAGTGATCCTCCTACCTCGACATCTTGAAGTGCTGAGATTACAGGAATGAGCCCCCATGCCCAGCCTGAATTTTTATTTATTTATTTATTTATTTATTTATTTATTTATTTGAGACTGAGTCTCGCCCTGTCGCCAGGCTGGAGTGCAGTGGCGCGAACTCGGCTCACTGCAACCTCTAACTCCTTGGTTCAAGCAATTCTCCTGCCTCAGCCTCCGGAGTAGCTGGGGATTATAGGCACGTGGTACCACGCCCAGCTAATCTTTGTATTTTTAGTAGAGAAGGGGTTTCACCATGTTGGCCAGGATGGTCTCGGTCTCCTGACCTTGTGATCCACCTGCCTCAGCCTCCCAAAGTGCTGGGATTACAGGTGTGAGCCACCGTGCCCGGCTCATTTTTATTTTTAGTAGGTTGATAAGTCAATGTGCCTTTTTTGACTATTTATTTATTTATTTATTTATTTTTGAGACGGGGTCTTGCTTTATTGCCCAGGCAAGAATGCAGTGGTGCCATCTCGGCTCACTGCAACCTCCGCCTCCAGGGTTCAAGCTGTTCTCCTGCCTCAGCCTCCTGAGTAGTTGGGATTACAGGCACACACCACCACGCCTGGTTAATTTTTGTATTTTTAGTAGAGTCAGGGTTTCACCATGTTGGTCAGGCTGGTCTCGAACTCCTGACCTCGTGTCCTGCCCATCTCGGCCTCCCAAAGTGCTGGGATTACAGGCGTGACCCACCGTGCCCAGCCGACTTTTTGTTTTTGATGCAACCTAAGCTTTTGAATTAGTAACCTTCCTTTTCTAAACCTCCCCGTTTTTAAGCATTTATTTTTACAATAAGAAGGCCTGCATCTATATTCTTGGTTGCACGTTTCATTTCCGTAGTGTGCAATGTCCTAAGCACTATACTAAGCCCTCGGGTATATAAGGGTGAACAAAATGGATGAAGGCCCTGCCTTTATGGAGCTTAGTGTTTAGGGGAGAAAGACATAATCATTTAATAAATATGAAATAAGTGCTGGGAAGGAAAAGCATAAGAAAACTGTGAGTGTATAAAACAGGAGAACCAGCTTTCATTTGAGGTGTTAGATTTGGGAATAATGATGATCAGGAAAGGCATCTCTGAAGAAATAAGCTGAGATTTGAAAGAAGTGTACAGAAGTAAAATGGGGTGGGAGGATGAACAAATAGGTGGTTCTAGTTAAAGGGAATATTACATATACAGCATTTGATGCCAGAGTAGCTGTGTAGAAAGAGCAAGTCTCCTTGAGAGTGGTATGAGAAGAAGCTGGAGCAGATGGCCAGGGCCAGACAGTGCATTGTCTTCAAGGTAATTTAAGGATGTTGGTCTTAAGAAAGTCGTTCGTTCTTTTTTTTTTGTTCTCTAAGACGTGGGGTCTTGTTCTGTCACCCACACGGGAGTGCATTGATACGTTCATAGCTTACTGCATCCTCGAACTTCCAGGCTCCGTTGTCTTACTTTATTTTTTATTTTACTTTTTAGAGATGAGGATTTGCCCTGTCGCTGAGGCGGCAGTACAGTGGTGTGATCATGGCTCAACTACAGCCATGAGCTCCTGGGCTCAAGTAACCCTCCTGCCTTAGCCTCCTGAGTAGCTGGGACTACAGGCACATGCTACCATGTCCCACTTATTTTATTTTATTAAAAAAAGTTTTTTTAGGAGACAGGGTCTCACTTCATCACCCAGGCTGGATTGCAATTGTGCGATCATGACTCACTTTACCCTTGACCTCCTGGCCTCAAATGATCCTCCTGCCTCAGCCTACCGAATAGCCTAGGACCACAGGCGCAAGATACCATGCCTGGATGATTTTGTAAAATTTTGTAGCCGGGCACGGTGACTCATGCCTGTAGTCCCAGCACTTTGGAGGCCGAGGTGGGCGGATCACGAGGTCAGGAGATTGAGAACAGCCTGACCAACATGGTAAAAACCCCATCTCTACTAAAAATACGAAAATTAGCTGGGCAGAGTGTCGTGCACCTGTAATCCCAGCTATTCAGGAGGCTGAGGCAGGAGAATCGCTTAAACCTGGGAGATGGAGGTTGCAGGGAGGAGAGATCGCGCCATTGCACTCCAGCGTGGGCAACAGAGCGAGACTACATCTCAGAAAAACTTTAGTAGAGATCCATTATCTTGTCATGTTGCCCAAGATGGTCTCAAACTTCTGGCCTCAAACAGTCCTCCTGTCTCAGCCTCTCCAAGCATTGAGATTACAAGTGTGAACCATTAACACCCAGCCTGTTGTTTTAAAAGTTGTATATTATTATTATTATTATTTTTTTTTTTTTGAGACGGAGTCTCGCTCTGTCACCCAGGCTGGAGTGCAGTGGTGCGATCTCGGCCCACTGCAAGCTCTGCCTTCCCAGGTTCACCCCATTCTTCTGCCTCAGCCTCCTGAGTAGCTAGGACTATAGGCGCCTGCCACCACGCCCGGATAATTTTTTGTATTTTTTAGTAGAGATGGGGTTTCACCGTGTTAGCCAGGATGTTCTCAATCTCCTGACCCCGTGATCTGTCCGCCTTGGCCTCCCAAAGTGCTGGGATTACAGGCGTGAGCCACCGCGCCCAGCCAATATTACTGTTTTTTTGAGAGGGAGTCTCACTCTGTTGCCAGCAGTCTCGACTCACTGCATCCTCTGCCTCCTGGGTTCCAGCAATTTTCCTGCCTCAGCCTCTGGAGTAGCTGGGACTACAGGCATGGCCACCATGCCTGGCTAATGTTTTGTATTTTAGTAGAGATGGGGTTTCACCATGTTGGCCAGGATGGTCTTGATCTGACCTCGTGATCGGCCCACCTCAACCTCCCAAACTGCTGGGATTACAGGCATAAGCCGCCGCACCCAGTCAGTTTTTAAATATATATAGTTATTGTTTCTGCATTGTTCTGTTTCTTCTAACATCAGACCAGTAGTACATATGATGGTTAGGATTGTAATCTGAGTTCCAGGAGCAGGATGCTGCTCTTTGGTCACTTCAGAACCTCGAGATATCACCGAAAACCCTCCCTACCCACCTCTGCTATTATTGCACTTCTCGACTAGTATTGTGGTATGTAAAAAAGTCATTAAATTCTTAAATTATTTTTTTCTCTCTATATATACGTGTGTGTGTATATATATGTGTGTATATATATGTATATATATATTTTTTGTTTTTTTGAGACAGTCTCATTCTGTGGCTCAGCAATGTCACCATCTAGGATCACTGCAACCTCTGCCTCCCAGGTTCAGGAGATTCTCATGCCTTAGCCTCCCAGGTAGCTGGGATTATAGGTGTGTGCCACCATGCCCAGCTAATGTTTGTATTTTTAGTAGAGACTAGTTTTCACTGTGTTAGCCAATCTGGTCTTGAATTCCTGACCTCAAGTGATCCACCCACCTCGACCTCCCAAAGTGCTGGATTACAGGCCTGTGCCAGCGTGTCCGGCCTTATTTTATTACTATTATTATTTTTGAGATAGAGTCTTGCTCCATTGCCCGGGCTGGAGTGCAGTGGCACGATCATGGCTCACTGCAGTCTCAACCTCCTGGGATGAAGAGATCCTCTCTCCTCAGCCTCTTGATTAGCTGGGACTACCTGGCTATGTTTTTTGTTTTTTTTTTTTTTCTCTTCCAGATGGAGTCTTGCTTTGTTGCCCAGGCTGTAGTGCAGTGGTGTGATCTCTGCTCACTACAACCTCCACCTCCTGAGTTCATGTAATTCTCCTGTCTCAGCTTCCTGAGTAGCTGGGATTACAGATATGCACCACCATCCCCGGATAATTTTTGAATTTTTTTTTTTGATACAGAGTGTCTCTCTTCTTGCCCAGGCTGGAGTACAGTGGCGTGATCTTGGCTCACTGCAACTTCCACCTCCCAGGTTCAAGCGATTCTTCTGCCTCAGCCTCCCGAGTAGCCGGGATTACAGGTGCCTGC
Source organism: Homo sapiens (assembly GCF_000001405.40). NCBI lineage: Eukaryota > Metazoa > Chordata > Mammalia > Primates > Hominidae > Homo > Homo sapiens. Next base: position 30,753,244 of record NC_000017.11, read on the forward strand.
CACCACGCCTAGCTAATTCTTTTGCATTTTTAGTAGAGACAGGGTTTCACCAGGTAGAGCAGGCTGGTCTCGAATTGCTGACCTCAGGTGATCTGCTCGCCTCAGCCTCCCAAAGCGCTGGGATTATAGCCGTGAGCCACTGCCCCCAGCCGGTTTTTGTATTTTTAGCAGAGACGGAGTTTCACCATGTTGGCCAGGCTGGTCTCGAATTCTTGACCTCAAGTTATCCACCAGCCTCAGCCTCCCAAAGTGCTGGATTACAGGTGTGAGCCACTGCACCTGGCCCTGGATCACCTTTTGTACTTTTTGTTGTTGTTGTTGAGACGGAGTCTTGCTCTGTCACCCAGGCTGGAGTGCAGTGGCGCAATCTCCGCTCACTGCAAAGTTCTGCCTCCTGGGTTCATGCCATTCTCCTGCCTCAGCCTCCTGGAGTAGCTGGGACTACAGGCGCCTGCCATCACTCCCGGCTAATTTTTTTGTATTTTTAGTAGAGATGGGGTTTCACCGTGTTAGCCAGGATGTCTCAATCTCCTGACCTCATGATCCGCCCACCTCGGCCTCCCAAAGTGCTGGGATTGCAGGCGTGAGCCACCGCGCCCAGCCCCTTTTGTACTTTTTGTAGAGATGAGGTTTCACCGTATTGCCTAGTGTGACTCGAAGTACTGAGTTCAAGTGATCTGCCCACTTTGTCCTCCTAAAGTGTTAGGATAACAGGCGTGAGCCACTGCATCCGACCTATTAAATTATTTTTAAGAGAACTATTGTATTAATGATTTTTTCCTACTTTTCTATTTTGTACATTTAGCTGCATTTTAAAATCTTTAGGCTGGCCAGGCATGGTGACTCACGCCTGTATCCCAGCACTTTGGGAGGTCGAGGCAGGCGGTTCACTTGAGGTGAAGAGTTCGAGAGCAGCTTGACCAACATGGGAAAACCCCATCTCTACTAAAAATGCAAAAAATTAGGCCAGGTGCGGTGGCTCATGCCTGTAATCCCAGCACTTTGGGAGGTCAAGGCAGGCGGATCATGAAGTCAAGAGATTGAGACTATCCTGGCCAACATGGTGAAACCCCGTCTCTAGTAAAAATACAAAAATTAGCTGGGCGTGGTGGCACGTGCCTGTATTTCTAGCTACTCGGGAGGCTGAGGCAGGAGAATTGCTTAAACCTGGGAGGCGGAGGTTGCAGTGAGCCGAGATTACACCGCTGCACTCCAGCCTGGCTACAGAGTGAAACTCTGTCTCAAAAATAAATAAATAAATAAATAAAAAATTAGCTGGGCATGGTGGCGTGCACCTGTAATTTCATCTACTCGGGAGGCTGAGGCAGGAGAATTGCTTGAACCCAGGAGGCGGAGGTTGCAGTGAGTAGATACCGCACCACTGCACTCCAGCCTGGGTGACAGAGGGAGACTCCGTCTCAAAATAAATAAATAAATAAAATCTGTAGACTACATCTTAGGTTGGTTGTGTGTCTTTCCCACCATTAATAAGATCTGATGTTTTCCCTTTCTTTTTTTTAATACACTTTGCCTTGACTATAAGCTTTGAAGTTGTTTTCAAATTGTCATCTTTTCAGTCTTGAGTTTTTGTTCTTTTTTCAGAACCTGGCTATACATTTCTTTTTGCATACTTACTCTTGAAGGTGCCTCATCAGTTGCCATTTGAGCATATCTGATTCTTAAAAATTTGAATATTCAAGAACAAATTGTAAAAATATTCCTTGTATAATTTTTTTGGTTTTGTAGTAATTCCTTTGTTTTCTTCACAGTACTTCTGCAGAGTGATCCATTTGTAATTAATAGACACACACACATCATCCACCATTCAGCTTTATCTTCTCATTAGAAAGTGCGTCTAACCCCTATATTTTGAGATCCTGGATTTCAGAATATTGGACTTGATGTAGACACGAGTTTCTCAGCTTTACATATCATAGGATCAAATGTATATAACAAAAGTTGAATAGCTAACATGTAACTATAGAAACCAAGTAGATTATCAGACTTGTCCTGTTTTGAGGTAATACTGCCATACCCTTAAAATGAAGCCTTATGCCTGCCGCTAGCAGATTGATGTATATAAATTAGAGGCACTAATCTTGGTCTCCTGTTGTCATAAAAACTACTTCCTCTGTGGGATCTGGCTGTTCTTAAAATGGGAGGCTCTTCCTTGAATTAGATTTCAAAGTGTTAGTCTCTTATGAATTAGCTTAGCATCATTTTCTGTAGACCGTATCAGAACTGTCAGATGTTTGTGCTTGGAATGCTGAAATTTGCGTCTCAAAATTTCAAATTCTCTACCTGATTTCTTGTTATCATGTGGCTTACTTCCTGAGAAGATACAGGGAGCATGTGACATAGATGAACTAAGTCTCTTATATCTTATTCTGGTCATGTAAACTAGATTTTGTTGTGGCCTAAAACCAAATAGTCCTGACCAACCTTACATGTTTCTTTTCCTCCCGTTCATCTGGTCCAGCCTAACCAATTAAGATGTGGACAAAGTAGCTGCAAGAGAGGGGAGAGGGAAGGGAGAGAAAACTTTGCCCTTTTCCTTGGAACAAACCACCTATGGAAGGGATCATTGGTACACTTTATTCTAGGTACATATCAGAGCGTTTACTTTTTTTTTTTTTGAGACGGGGTCTCGCTCTGTTGCCCAGGTTGGAGTGCAGTGACGCAATCTCGGCTCACTGCAACCTCTGCCTCCCAGGTTTAAGCGATTCTCCTGCCTCAGCCTCCTGAGTAGCTGGGATTACAGGTGCCTGCCACCACGGCCAGCTAATTTTTGTGTTTTTAGTAGAGATGAGGTTTCACCACGTTGGTCAGGCTGGTCTCGAACTCCTGACCTTGTGATCTGCCCGCCTCGGCCTCCCAAAGTGCTGGGATTACAGGCGTGAGCCACTGCGCCCAGCCAGAGTGTTTACTTTTAGGTGAGGAAGGGGAAATCATGCATAGCAAGTCACATTCCCAATGTCACCTTTATTTATTATTTATTTATTTATTTTTGAGACTTGCTCTGTCACCTAGGCTGGAGTGCAGTGGTGTGATCTTGGCTCACTGCAATGTCTGCCTCCCAGGTTCAAGCTATTCTTCTGCTTCAGCCTCCTGAGTAACTGGGATTACACGCAGGTGTCACCACGCCCGGCTAATTTTTTGTATTTTTAGTAGAGACAAGGTTTCACCATGTTGGCCAGGCTGGTCTCCAACTCCTGACCTCAAGTGATTCCCCCTGCCTCCTTCCCAAAGTGCTGGGATTATAGGTGTGAATCACCGTGCCTGGCCCCAATGTTGCCTTTTAAAATTGGTTAATTGAAATTTAGAATTCTTTCTCAAAGTCCGGGCATGGTGGCTCAGACCTGTAATCCTAGCATGTTGGGAGGCTGAGGCAGGTGGATTGCCTGAGCTCAGGAGTTTGAGACCAGCCTGGGCAATACGACGAAACCTCTCTCTACTAAAAAATACAAAAAATTAACTGGGCATGGCAGCATGTGCCTGACTCCCAGCTATTCAGGAGGCTGAGGCAGGAGAATGGCTTGAACCCTGGGAGGCAGAAGTTACAGTGAGCCAAGATCACACCATTGAACTCCAGCTTGGGTGACAGAGCGAGACTCCGTCTCAAAAAAAAAAATTCTTTCTCACAAAGAAACACTAGTATAATAATGGCTGGTTGGCTGGGCCCATTACTCATACCTGTAATCTCAGCACTGGGAGGCCAGGGCGGGTGGATCACCTGAGGTCAGGAGTTCTAGACCAGCCTGGTCAATGTGGTGAAACCTCATCTTTACTAAAAATAGGAAAATTAACCTGGCATGGTGGCGGGCACCTGTAATCCCTGCTACTCAGAGACTGAGGCAGGAGAATCACTTGAACCCAGGTGGGAGGTTGCAGTGAGCTGAGATCGTGCCACTGCACTCCAGCCTGGGCTACAGTGAGACTCCGTCTCAAAGAAAAACAAAACAAAACAAAGCTGGTTATACAGGCTATCCTATGTAAGGTATAATGTACCATTTAAAACTGTCTGAAATCACCTGTGGTGAAAGATCATTTTGTTTATTTGTTAATTTTCAGTGTGTTGTTAGTAGTATTCTCAAGTTCTTGAGTTGTTGTAGAATGGTAACATTTTTCCTAATGACCTCAGTTTGTAGACAACATTTTAAGTAATACTGATTTAAAATATTCTCTGGGGTAAATAAATGTAAGATCTTTCTGGCATTTCAGAGTTGGAGCTTACCCTCACACTTCTCAGAAAAATAATGTAAATAATACTAATAGTACTGCAGTGTAATGGGCCATCATTCCTGACCTTTAAATTTGTATTACTCTAGGAGGACGTTATCTTATGAAAAAAATTTGTTGGGTCATTTTCTGTAAGACACTGCTAGGTGCTAGGGACACTAATAAAAAGATGTATATGGAAAAATAGTGACTAAACAGTGGTAAATAAGAGTGCTTGTAAAGGGATAAAGTGGTCATTTAGCTCTTGATTGATTGGGTTTAGGGTCTTTGTAGAAGAGGGAGAGAGTATTTTGCTGGATACTTTATTACTTTCTGCAAGCCTGACTGCGCAATGGCGCAGTCTCGGCTCACTGTAACCTCTGCCTCCTAGGTTCAAGCGATTCTCCTGCCTCAGCCTCCTGAGTAGCTGAGACTACAGCCATGTGCCACCATACCCAGCTAATTTTTGTATTTTTAGTAGAGTCGGGGTTTCACCATATTGGCCAGGCTGGTCTCGAACTCCTGACCTGGTGATCCCCTGCCTCGGCCTCCCAAAGTGCCAGGATTACAGACGTGAGGCACTGCGCCCGGCCCACACTGTAGTTTTTTTAGCAGACAGTTTCATGGCCTACTTCACTAAGTAGATGGAGATATCCCCCCATCTTCCATGGAAATGACTTTCTTACTTGCCTCTTATTTCTCTATCTTAGAAAAAGAGGAATCCAGTCGGGCTCGGTGGCTCACACCTATAATCCCAGCTACTTGGGAGGCTGAGACAGGAGAATCGCTTGAACTCGGGAGGTGGAGGTTGCAGTGAGCCAAGATTGCGCCATTACACTCCAACCTGGGCGAGAAGAGCGAAACCTCATCTCAAAAAAAAGAAAAAGAGGAGTCCTGGTCAAATTTACAGGGCTAACCTCTTCATAATATGTCCTTATTTCCAGTCATTACTTGCTCCTTAGTACTCTCTTGCCACAATATCTTTCTGTAACTGTTCCCATCTGACTATAAAAATGCCTAGATTGTCACCATCATTTAAAAATATATATATATGCCCTTTACTAGTCCTTAGTGCCCAGCAACTATTTCATTAGTAAATGCCTTATGTAAGGGATCAGTACTGCTTTCCTTTCCCCACCATCTGTTCTGTATAGCCCTCCATAATCTGGTGTCTGTACATGTCACACTATGGAAACTATGCTCAGGAAAGTTATGAATGTCTCCTGATCAACAGCTGTATTCTGTTTTGCAGTTTAAAGGTACTTCAAAAGCTTATTGGTGCTTCTGTTTGTTTTATCCCATCCTTATAGTTTTTTTCTATTGTTAATAGATGTTTGTGAAAATAGAAGGAGCACTAGTTCTAGTTCATGCTTTCTTTTGCTTTTCCATAGCTTCTAAAACTAACAGTGAAAATGATATATTGAAACAGTAAATTATAGATCTATACCAGATTTGTAATTGTGTATTTCATTGCTATTTGAAGTATAAAGTAATGGTTCTGTATAATTTATTGGGAAGGTTGAATTTCCATAGCTTCAAAATATTCAAATTTTTTTGCATGGATTTAGCTACCCTTTTCAAAATTTCCTTTTGATGAAGTCATTGACTAAAGCGTCATTAAAACAGAACAAGAAAAGAATTCCAAAAACCCTCCAAAATTCCTTTTTAAAGATAGGAAGGCATACCTGCTGTCATTTTATAGGTAGAACACTAAAACACAGTAAATTACCTGGCCTCCAACTTGGTAGTCTGATTTTTTCTGCCTTGCTCTGGTGTTTTTGTGGTTTTGTTCTTACTTTTTGTGAGTTGTGAGGGATTTTTTGTTGTTTATTTTTTGTTAGGTGTATAGACAAACTTTTGGATGTCATATTTAACAGGGAAAGCATAGAGTCATGGGCCTGAATAACAATTGAGTACAAATATTTATAAATTAGTTGAAGTAACTTTGATTTCAATGTTATATTTTAAAGTCTAGGTTATTTTACTACAGAGCATTAAAATGATAAAATATTTCCTTTTTTTTTTTTAGCTTGTCAGCTCATTTGCAGCTTACATTTTTGGTTTCTTCCACAAAAATGGTATGTACTTAAAAGTAAATAAAGTGGCATTTTAATAGCAAGATACCTTTGTGAATGTAAAAAAAAAGTGGGGCTTCTGAGTGTAAATTTATAAAATTAAGTTTAATGGAAAAGATGTTGATTCTGATGTTTTTGAGCTTTAAGGTATGAAGGCTAATGATGAAATTTGTTTTTGGTGGGTGGGTGGTGGGGGAGGCAGACTCTTGCTCTGTCGTCCAGGCTGTAGTGCAATGTTGTGATCTTGGCTCACTGCAGCCTCCGTCTCCCGGGTTCAAGCAATTCTCCTGCCTCAGCCTCCTGAGTAGCTGGTATTACAGGCACGCGCCCCATGCCTGGCTAATTTTTTGTATTTTTAGTAGAGACAGGGTCTCACCATGCTGGCCAGGCTGGTCTTGAACTCCTGACCTCGTGATCTACCCGCCTTGGCCTCCCAAGGGGGCGTGAGCCACCACGCCTGGCTAATGATGAACATTTTAACAAATTGTCTTAGAACTTCAATAGGTAAAGAATCTCCTCAGTAGAACCTTTTATGCATAAACATTTTGAATTACTGATAATGTATCATGTTTTTAAAAAACACAGTAAAACAACTGAAATAACCACTATTACCAATGGCATATATTAATATTTTAAATATTATTCAAAGGAAATTATATAGTATATTACTCCCGTAAAAGCTCAAAGCATGCTGGAAAGAATTAGAGTTGTTTTAAAAATGGAAAAATACGGCCAGGTGCAGTGGCTCATGCCTGTAATCCCAACATTTTGGAAGGCTGAGGCGGGTGTATCATGAGGCCAGGAGTTCAGGACCAGCCTGGCCAATATGGTGAAACCCCATCTCTACTAAAAATATAAACATTAGCCGGGCGTGGTGGTGGGTGCCTGTAGTCCCAGTTACTTGGGAGACTTAGGCAGAAGAATCGCTTGAACCTGAGAGTCAGAGGTTGCAGTGAGCTGAGATTGTGTTACTGCACTGCAGCCTGGGCGACAGAGCGAGACTCCATCTCAGAAAAAAAAAGGGGGGGAAAATTACTTATCAGCTTATCCATCATAAGTCTGTGTATATGGCATATATTTTTATTATGCAATGGAATAAAACCATTATTAGAAACATGCCAGGTTGGTTGTCTTGGTATCGTTTAGTAAGAAACAAAGATTGAAAATGAGTCCTGGTGGGCCGGGCACGGTGGCTCACGCCTGTAATCCCAGCACTTTGGGAGGCCGAAGCGGGTGGATCACAAGGTCAGGAGATTGAGACCATCCTGGCTAACATGGTGAAACCCCGTCTCTACTAAAATACAAAAAAACTAGCTGGGCGTGGTGGTGCACACCTGTAGTCCCAGCTACTTGAGAGGCTGAGGCAGGGGAATCGCTTGAACCCGGGAGTTGGAGGTTGCAGTGAGCCAAGATCATCCCACTGCACTCCAGCCTGGTGACAGCGAGACTCTCTTAAAAAAAAAAAAAAAAAAAGAAAAGAAAAAGAAAAGAAAATGAGGCCTGGCTTGGTGGCTCATGTCTGTAATCTCAGCATTTTGGGAGGCTGAGATGGGAAGATGACTTGAGGCCAGGAGTTCAAGACCAGCTTGGGCAACACAGACCCCATCTCTACAAAAATTAGCCAGGTATGGTGGGTATGTCCTGTAGTTCTAGGTACTTGGAAGTCCAAGATGGCAGGATGGCATAAGCTCAGGAATTCAAGGTTACAGTTACCTATGATTGCACAACTCTACTCCAGGCTGGGCAACAGAGTGAGACTCTGTCTCCAAAAAATCCCAAATATTAGACTGGGCATGGTGGCTCACAGCTATAATGTCAACACCTTGGGAGTCTGAGATGGAAGAATTGCTTGAGGCTTGCCTGGGCAACATAGGGAGAACCTATCTGTAAGAGGTAAAAAAAGATTAACTGGGCACAGTGGCACATGCCTGTAGTCCCAGCTGTTCTGTAGTCTCAGCTACTCAGGAGGCTGAGGTGGGAGGATTGCTTGAGTCTTGGAGGTTGAGGCTGCAGTGAGCCAAGATCACACCACTGTACTCCAGCCTGAGTGACAGAGTGAGACACTGTCTAAAGAAGACAAAAAGACAACCTTGCCAATTGGCCAGTTGTCAAAATGCTCTAATATAACCATTTTTTAATGACTCTTTGGGGTTGTTTGTTTGTTTAGACAGAGTCTTGCTCATGTCACCCAGGCTGGAGTGCAGTGGTGTGATCAACTCCTGGGCTCAAGTGATCCTCCTGCCTCAGCCTCCTGAGTAGCTGGGACTACAGGCGTCCCCACCATGCCTGGCTAATTAAAAAAAATTTTTTTTGTTAAGATGGAATCTCACTACATTTCCCAGGCTGGTCTCAAACTCCTGGTCTCAAGTGATCCTGTCACCTCAGTCTCCCAAAGTGCTGGGATTACAGGTGTGAGCCACTGAGACTGGCCCTAGTTAGGGTTTTTATGTAAGAAATTTGAAATCTCGTATTTGTATTAGCAGCTAATGTAACTTCTAGTTTTTACCTTAGATCTGGTCTATTTTTATATAGAAGTAACCTGGGTAGCATTATGATTTTTGTTTTCCTTAAATTATTTGTAATGGTCTGCTTAGAGTCCTTATCTCTAGTCATCGTATTTTGTTTTCTGTGGTACTTCTGACGTGTCTAGACTTTAATTCTTCAGAAGCTTATAATTTGAAATTTATACATTCATTAGCCCTTTGTTCTCAGGGACCTGTGTAGAACACATAGTTTATCCATCACTGAACTTTTTGGAAAGTAGTCATATTAAGCTTTTTTCCTATCTACATGACAAAATATATAAAGTTCAACAATTGCTCAGATTTACTTTGTTTTTATTTTTCTTGATATTGAAGTAAAAGAGATAGTGAACTCTGTTGATATCTGTTTCCAGAAAATAATTCCTCTGTCACCCAGGCTGGAGTGTAGTGGTTTGATCTCAGATCACTGCAGCCTCTGCCTCCAGGTTCAAGTAATTCTCATGCCTCAGCCTCCCAAGTATCTGGGATTACAGGCGGGTGCCACCACACTAGCTAATTTTTTTTTTCTTTTTCTGAGACGGAGTTTCGCTCTTGTTGCCCAGGCTGGAGTGCAATGGCGCAATCTCGGCTCACCACAACCTCTACCTCCTGGGTTCAAGCAATTCTCTTGCCTCAGCCTCCAGAGTAGCTGGTATTACAGGCATGCGCCACCATGCCCCGCTAATTTTTTGTATTTTTAGTAGAGATGGGGTTTCTCCATGTTGGTCAGGTTGGTCTCTTGAACTCCCGATCTCAGGTGATTTGCCCGCCTCGGCCTCCTAAAGTGCTGGGATTTCAATAGGCATGAGCCACCGAGCCCGGCCCCTAATTTTTGTATTTTTAATGGAGACAGGATTTCATTTCACCATGTTGGCCAGTCTGGTCTCAAACTCCTGGCCTCAAGTGATTCGCCCACCTCGGCCTCCCAAAGTGCTGGGATTATAGGCGTGAGCCACCACGCCTATGTTGAAAATAATTTCTATTATAACTTTGAAACTAGTAGAAGTTGGAAGTAGATATATTGTGTTTCTTTTCCATCCAAGGTTTATTTGTACCTTTTTTGTTTTCAATAATATTTTTAAGAAACCAGGATAGAAAACCAACATCAAGTTCTCTAAAATGTACCAGCAGCAGTGATGCTTGCCTGTATTTCCAGCTACTGAGGAGGCTGAGCTGGGAGGATTGCTTGAGCCCAGGAGTTTGAATAGAGTCTGGGCAACATAGTGGGACCCTCTCTCAAAACAAGGAAAAAAAATTTTTAATTCTTAAAATGTGATTTTTTCTTCTTATTTTCTTACTATTATTTTTTAGACAGAGTCTTGCTCTGTCACCCATGCTGGAGTGCAGTGAGCAGTCTTGCTTCCTTGCAGCCTCCCGGGCTCAAGCGATCCTCTCACCTCAGCCTCCCAAAGGGCTAGGATTACAGGCATGAGCCACTGCATCCGGCCTCTTTTGTTTTTAAATGAAAACTTTTGTTTGGCAATTAATACTTGAAACTGCTTCTTAGAATGAATACACAAAGATTATTTGGGTACTATTTTCATGGTGAGTATTGTTCGGCAAATATTTTTGTTACTGCATTTAGACATTGGACTATTTTTTTGCTGTATTAAGGTGTTTTTATCCTGGATGCAACTTCCGAAGAAACTGATCAAATGTGTTTTACACACACACCCCCAATAAGAATGTTTTTAAGTAGAAAAAAAGTGTTGCCGGCCAGGCGCAATGGCTCAGGCCTGTAATCCCAGCACTTTGGGAGGCCGAGGCAGGTAGATCACCTGAGGTAGGGAGTTTGAGACCAGCCTGGCCAACATGGTGAAGCCCCGTCTCTACTGAAAATAACAAAATTAGCTGGGAATGGTGTTTCATCCCCGTAATCCCAGCTACTCTGGAGATTGAATCATGAGAAGTGCTTGAACCTGGGAGGTGCAGGCTGCAGTGAGCCGAGATCGTGCCACTGCATTCCAGCCTGGACAACCGAGTGAGACTGACTCAAGAAAAAAAAAAAAAATTACCCGGGCTTGGTGGCGTGTGCCTGTAGTCCCAGCTACTCGGGAGGCTGAGGCAGGGAGAACTGCTTTAACCCAGGAGGCGGAGGTTGCAGTGAGTCAAGAACATTCCATTGCACTCTAGCCTGGGCAACAGAGCAAGACTCTATCTCTCAAAAAAAAAAAAAAAAAAAAAGTAAAGAAAGAAAAAATGTGTTGCCCAATGCCTTAGAACAAAAATTTTTTTTTGTATGTTCATGGATTCATCTATTATAATAGTTCTGGATGTTATTGAAGCTATTTGATGAATTATTTATTAAATATTCAGTTATGAACTGTTAATACCTTTGGGACTTTAAAAAAAAGTTATGGAGGACTACTCTAGAACCTTAATTTGTAAAGCCTTTGTTAGTTAATTTACATAGAGAATATAGACTATGGTATTCAAAATTAACACCCCTAAATTTTTTGTAAGCCAAGATATTCTTCTAGATAGTAAATAATATCTTGATTTTTGTTATCCCATTTAAACTGTAGAGAAATTCTGGGGAAAGCGTCTAAAAATAGCTCTGTCTCTACGTTTTATAATGTTTAATGTTTTTTGAAATCCATTTTTTATCCTTTTGGCCACAAGTCTTGGTCAGATCAAGAACTTTTTAGTTTAGTTGTCTCTATGCATTCATAATGAAACATGTATAATAGTAACTGATTTAATTCAAATGTTATCTTAATAATTTTTCTAGTAGATTTTAGGAGAAGAAAAAAATTGAAGATGCTTATTTTGAATGTGGTTGTCTCCTGCAACTTTTTTTTTTGGAGATGGAGTTTCGCTCTTGTTGCCCAGGCTGGAGTGCAATGGTGTGATCTCGGCTCACTGCAACCTCTGCCCCCCACCCCTGGTTCAAGCAGTTCTGCCTCAGCCTCCCAAGTAGCTGAGATTACAGGCGTGCACCACCTGTAATCTGTTGTTGTATTTTTAGCTGTAGGCTGATGTTGTATTTTTAGTAGAGACGGGGTTTCTCCGTGTTGGTCAGGCTGGTCTCGAACTCCCGGCCTCAGGTGATCCACCTGCCTTGGCCTCCCTAAGTGCTGGGATTACAGGCGTGAGCCACCACACCTGGCCCTTCTGCAACTATTTTCATTTATGCTTTCTGCCAAGAAGCTTTAACTGTATTTGTCAAAATTACTTTTGACTAGCAGTGTATTATCATAAATGTTGAATCTTCAAGCCGGCCCAGTTGCATGTGCCTGTAGTCTCAGCTACTTAGGAGGCTTAAAATGGGAGAATCACTTGAGCCCAGAAGTTTGAGACCAGCCTGGGCAACATAGCCAGACCCTTGTCTGAAAAACAAACAAAAATATTAAATCTTCAAATTAGAAATATTCAGTAAATATGGCCAGGTGTGGTGGCTCACACCTTTAATCCCAGCATTTTGGGAGGCCAAGGCAGGTGGATCACTTGAGGTCAGGAGTTCAAGACCAGCCTAGCCAACATGGTGAAACCCCATCTCTACTAAAAATTAAAAAAATCAGCTGGGTGTCGTGGTGCGCACCTGTAGTCCCAGATACTTGGGAAGCTGAGGTAGGAGGATCACTTTAACCCGGGAGGCAGAAGTTGCAGTGAGCCAAGATCGCCCTACTGCACTCCAGCCTGGGTGACAGAACGAGTCTCTGTCTCGAAAAGAAAAAAGGAATTAGGAAGTATATATATATATAAATGGAAATGTGTAGATGTGTTTTAGAGACAGGATCTCACTCTTTCGCCCAGACTAGAGGGCAGTGACAGGATCATAGCTCACTGCAGCCTTGAACTCCTTGGCTCAAGAGATCCTTCCACCTAGCCTCTGAGGTAGCTAGGACTACAGGCACATGACACCCACCACACCCAGCTAATTTTTTGACATTTTGTATAGACGAGGTCTCTGTGTTGTGCAGGCTGGTCTTGAACTCTTGGCCTTAAGTGATATTCTTGCCTTGGCCTCCCAAAGTGTTGGGATTACAGGCATGAGCCACTATGCCTGGCCAGTGAATATTTTTTATACTTACAACCTGGGCATGGTGGCTCACGCCTGTAATCCCAGGTACTCAGGAGGCTGCCGTGCTGATGTGTGAGGATCACTTGATCCCAGGAGCTTGTGATTGCAGTGAGCTGTGATTGTGCCACTGCACTGTACCTTGGGCAACAGAGCAAAACCTATATCTAATGGAAAAAAAAATTACAGCATATAGGACGGTAATTATATTTGTTTTGTGAGTGGTTTATTTACACTATATATAAAGGCTTTTAAAGAGTTTGCTGTAAGTTTGGAACTGATTTGAGGAAAAAAGAATGAGTGAACTTTTGAGAAGTCTTATTATGGGAAATCTCTGTTTGAAGTTCCCTGACTTGTTAGCAAAATGAATACCGTGTTCATATATTTTTAAAATATATTTTAAAATACTGATTTTCTATTTAGATAAGCCATCACCAAACTCAGAAAATGAACAAAATTCTGTTACCCTGGAAGTCCTGCTTGTGAAAGTTTGCCACAAAAAAAGAAAGGTAATGTCAACAAAATGATATTGGTAGATTAAATGGAATAATTTGCTTAATTGGACATCTTTATGCATATATATTGTATTTTAAAGCTGAGTTTTAAATTTTGAAAGCTTAAGAAATGTGTTGATGGCCTAATTATAAAACTGATAACCTCTTTTGCCAACTCGCATATCTGTGTAGTTTTTCTAGTCTTTTAATAAGTGTCTGTACAAAACTTTTCTCATAGGAGTCTGGAAATGGAGAAGCTGTGTTTTAGCATCTGGCATAAATTCAGTTGCTTTTCTACCATTTCAATCTGTTAGCGTATTTCTTAGCTATTTGTACCCATTGACATTTTAGATAAGAGCTAAGAGAGAGTTTTTTCCACAAGATTATCCTTTGTAACACTGCTCTCAGGCAAAGAAATTTTGTTGTCAGCGTTATTAGCCATTCACTTATTAGTACATTGCTTCAAATTTTTATAAGGTGAAGTTATTTCACCATAGAAACAAGTGTTAAGATGTTTCCTGGTCAACCGATCAAAGCCAACATATGTACCTTTAGTTGCCTCAAGTCCTCGAGTGTTTCAAGAGGAGTAGGAACTGGTCTGGGTCCAGGGTCCCAGTGCTGATATTCTTCCAAGACCATAGGCCATAAGGGCCTCAGTCACAGGGAGGGAGTAGACTAAGGCACCATGGAGGCAGCAGTGGAACTTTATTTTTGAAAGTTTATGTAAAGGCCGGTTGCCGTAGCTCACACCTATAATCCCAGCACTTTGGGAGGCAGAAGTGGGCAGATTGCTTGAACCCAGGAGTTAAGCATCCTGGGCAACATGGCGAAACCCTGTCTCTACCAAAAACACGAAAATGAGCTAGGCATGATGGCCTGTGCCTGTAGTCCCAGCTACTTGGGAGGATTGCTTGAGCCCAGTAAGTCGAGGCTGCAGTGAGCCATGATTGCACCACTGAGCTCCAGCCTGTGCGACAGAGTGAAACTGTCTCAAGAAAAAAAAAAATGTATGTAAAGTTAGGAAATATCACTCCTTGCCAGGTGCTGGTGGCTCACGCCTGTAATCCCAGCACTTTGAGAGGCCAAGGTGGGCAGATCACGAGGTCAGGAGATCGAGTGGCTAACATGCTGAAATCTCGTCTCTGCTAAAAATACAAAAAATTAGCCAGGCGTGGTGACGGGCGCCTGTAGTGCCAGCTACTCAGGAGGCTGAGGCAGGAGAATGGTATGAACCCGGGAGGCGGAGCTTGCAGCGAGCCGAGATCGCAAGACTGCACTCCAGCCTTTATCGCTTCTTACTCCTACCTAACCACCATACACATTACAAGTGATGATATGAAAATCCAAGATACATTACTTAGAATAAGATATGAATATAAATATAGTCATTCTTATGTTCAAAAAAATGTATCGGGGTAATCATTTTCCTGGAAGAATATACACAGCCAACTGCTAGTATTAGTCATCTCTGGAGCGTAAGACCTGGGGGTGGGTGAGAATTCATAGTTTTCACTTTATAGTCTTATAAAATAGAAATTTTTTTAGACTGTATGTATTCTATTTATTTTAAAAGAAGTAGCTGCTGTAAGATACTGTCATAAAAGTCTTCTGATCCTTCCAGTTTTTCTAGTATGCATTTTCAGTGTAACTAATCATACTATAACAGAATATTACTCAGAATATGATCATTGGTAGATAAAACCAGTTTTGTTTTTGTTTTTTTAAGGATGATGATCCTTTCTGTTAAACAACATATTTTAACTATATGGATTTACTGTTTCATAATGTAGTTGTTGACCATGGGATTATTAGTCATTTTTTTAATTTCTAATGGTCCTATTAGTCATTGTCATGTTAAAATAGAACATTTAAGAGATTTGATAAAAGTACATGAGTTTAACATTTTAGCCTGGTTTTTTTGTTGTTGCTAAAAAGCCTTACCAGAGAGATTTAGCATGCTTTTAATTCTAAATTTCTAATATACAACTGTTTCAGATCACTGTTAGCTAAATATTAGATGTACTGTATCATAATTTCATTATGTTGGAGAAAACCTCAATTGCTTTAATATTTGGAATATAGGTATTTCAAATGTTTATTTTTGCTTCACAGTTTTCAGAACTATGGTTAGAATTTTAACATTCCATTTGGTGATCATGGCCTATCTCCTGTGTTTCCTATAGCTGTGATTAGAATTTTTATTATAATTCTTATTGCTTATATACAAATAAATATAAATTAATAATCTTTACCTTTGCAGGATGTATGTTGTCCAATAAGGCAAGTTCCCACAGGTAAAAAGCAGGTGCCTTTGAATCCTGACCTCAATCAAACAAAACCTGGAAATTTCCCGTCCCTTGCAGTTTCCAGTAATGAATTTGAACCTAGTAACAGCCACATGGTGAAGTCTTACTCGTTGCTATTTAGAGTGACTCGTCCAAGAAGAAGAGAGTTTAATGGAATGATTAATGGAGAAACCATGAAAATATTGGTAATTTTTTTTTTTACTAGATTTTATCACTGGAGATTAAGATGGTCATTGAAAATGATTGTACCAGTGTTCCTTCATGATAGTCATGGTGCTGAGTCTTAAAGCAAACAGTGAATTCACCTCCACCTCAACATTTTGTTGTGCAAATTTTCAAACATAAAGGACAATGAGAAGTATTTTATAGTGAACACTTATCTACTTACCTCTTAGATTCAACAATGAATATTTTATTATACTTGTTGCATATTTATCCCCCTACCCATCCCTCTTTTCTTCCAACAATTGTGAATTCATCTTTGAGGTATTCATTCAACAAACACATAGGTGCTGGGGATGATTTAATTTAATCGAAGATGATTAAAGCATTCAGTCCTGTCCTCCAAAGTCTCACAACCTAGTGTAGGGAAATAGACATGAAATATATCATTGCTGCAAAATGATGAGTGGCATAATACAGGTATATGTGAAGTTCAGCAGAGAAACACGTTGGAAGAAATAATCTTTGACTCTTGAAGTATTGTTTGAAGTTTTTGGGAGTTACCACGAGTGAGAAGGAGTTTGCCTAGCAAAGATAATTCTAAACAGAAACATTAGCATTTGCAAAGATGTGGGGTTAATGTTGTGAGTGTTAAAAAGAACATATAGTAAAAATGCAAAATTGGAAACGTGGTCTGTATATTATTGCAACTTTAGTGTAATTCCTACCTCATTTGGGATAAATGTAGCATGTTTTATGTTAAGGGACCATATATCGTAACACATTTTTGTTCTAATATTTGATTTATGAGAAATGTTTGTTAAATTTAGATGTCAGTGAAGAGCTTCCAGCCAGAAGAAAATGAAATCGTGAGGATGGGGAAAAGACATTTGTTGCACAAATGACAGTATTTGATAAAAACAGGTAATGTTGATGAACAAGCGAGGCTCCCACAATGTTCTGGAAATGTTTTCATTCTGAAGCAGAATATAATTATTTATATTGATTATTTCATTGCCTTTGTTTCTTTTTATTCTTACGGATGAAAAAACAAATTTGCAAACACTGAATTTTTGTCTGTTTCATAGAAAACAATAATTAAGGAACTATTTGCATAGATAGCTCAGTTAAACTTACTTATTTGGCGAATATTTTGAGTGTCTGCTCTTTTCCAGACACTGTTCTGGACATTAAGGCAACAAAATCCCTGCCTTCACCATGGAGCTTAACTTTTAGTGGAGGAAACAGACCACCACCCAAAAAATCAACTGATGTCACTTAGTGATGAGTGTTGTGAAGAAAAATAGAGAATAAATGGTTACTGTTTTAGAGCGATATCCTCTGGGAGGAGGTAGTATTTGAGAAGAGACTTAAATGGACTGGGCCGTACGTAAATCTTGGGGTTATGTGTTTATTAAAAACTAAGGAAGAGGAGCTGGTCATGGTGGTATGTACCTGTAGTTCCAGCTACATAGGAGGCTGAGGTGGGAGGATTGTTTGAGCCCAGGAGTTCAAGGCAGCAATGAGCTATGATCATGCCACTGTACTCTGGCCTGAGTGACAAAGTGAGATCCCATCTTTTTTTTTTTTTTTTTTTTTTAGGCTGGAGTCTCACTGTGTCACCCAGGCAGGAGTGCAGTGGCGCAATCTCTGCTCACTGCAACCCCTCTGCCACCTGGGTTTGAGCAAGTCTCCTGCTTTAGCCTCTGGAGTAGCTGGGACTACAAGTGCGTGCCACCACGCCCGGCTAATTTTTTGTATTTTCAGTAGAGACGGGGTTTCACCGTGTTAGCCAGAATGGTGTCGGTCTCCTGACCTCGCGATCCGCCTGCCTTGGCCTCCCAAAGTGCTGGGATTGCAGGCGTGAGCCACCATGCCTAGGCGAGACCCCATCTTTTTTAAAAAAAGAAAGAAGGCCGGGCGCAGTGGCTCACGCCTGTAATCTCAGCTCTTTGGGAGGCTGAAGCGGGTGGATCACGAGGTCAGGAGTTTGAGACCAGCCTGGCCAAGATGGTGAAACCCTGTCTCTACTAAAAATACAAAAATTAGCCGGGCACGGTGGTGTGTGCCTGTAATCCCAGCTACTCAGGAGGCTGAGGCAGGAGAATCGCTTGAACCCGGGAGGCAGAGGTTGCAGTGAGCCGAGATCACACCACTGCACTCCATCCTGGGTGACAGAGCAAAAGTCTATCTTAAAAAAAAAAAAAGAAAATCATGTATAATCATTGTGTACCTCTGTGCATTTGGTACAGGATGGCAAGAAACACAGACGTACAATAATTTCTGCAATTTCTTTTTGGAAACGAAATATTTTAGTGAAAATATCACCAGTGAAAGAATGTCTGGGAAGCAAATCCAGCGTTTTTTCTTTTTGGGATTGGAGAAAGAAACCTATGCCGTCATTTCTTGTACCAGGCTGCGTGCTGGTAGTTAACAGTTTATTGTCAGGTATAGGACAAAGAACCAGGGAAAGTAACTAGGCCATTCCTCCTATTGTTTATTTTTTATTTATTTATTTGTTTATTTTTGAGACGGACTCTCGCTGTGTCACCCAGGCTGGAGTTCAGTGGCATGATCTCAGCTCACTGCAACCTCTGTCTCCTGGGTTCAAGCGATTCACCTGCCTCAGCCTCCTGAATAGCTGGGATTACAGGCACCCGCTACCATGCCCAGCTAATTTTTGTGTTTTTAGAGAGATGAGGTTTCACCATGTTGGCCAGGCTGGTCTGGAGCTCCTGACCTCACATCATCCACCTGCCTAAGCCTCCCAAAGTGCTGGGATTACAGGTGAGCCACCGTGCCCGGCCAGTGTCTTTTTAAAGTCAGAAATTTTATTGTGGATCGAAGATTTAAATGGAAAACAATAGAACCATAAATGTACTAGAAAATAGTGGTCATGTCTGTGGGGGAAACAATTAGAATGAGGCGCATTGGACTTCATCGATGCTGTTAATTGTTCTATTTTAGGCAGCATGGGGTATGTTCTGTTTTCTTTTTTAATCACTGTACCTGACACATATGTTTACACATTTCTTGTAAGAAAAAGATAATGCTTTTATTTTAAAGAAAAAGTGCCAAGAAGAAACTGGGAGAATTTCCCCACAGCAGCTTATTTTGAAAATACTCATCCGGGCATGGTGGCTCACGCCTGTAATCCCAGCACTTTGGGAGGCTGAGGCGGGCGGATCACGAGGTCAAGAGATCGAGACCGTCCTGGCCAACATGGTGAATCCCCATCTCTACTAAAAATACAAAAATTAGCTGGGTGTGGTGGTGCGTGCCTGTAGTCCCAGCTACTCGGGAGGCTGAGGCAGGAGAATCGCTTGAACCCAGGAGGCGGAGGTTACAGTGAGTTGAGATCGTGCCACTGCAGTCCAGCCTGGTGACAGCGAGACTCTGTCTCAAAAAAAAAAAAAAAAAATTCAAAACTATAGGAAAGTTGAAAGAATACTAAAGTCATTTAATATCCACATACCCTTCATCTAGATTGTATCTGTTGTTAACATTTTGCCACATTTGATTTATTTATGAGTATATATTTTATTTTTGTGCTGAACAATTTGAAAGTTTGCTTTATTCCTCATTTATAAACTCTCTTGCATGTATCTCCTAAGAACGAAGACATTTTCTGGTATAACCACCATACACTTATGAGGAATATTAAAATACAAATACAATACTATCTCCCCAGTTGACCTCAATAATGTCCTTTATAATTTGTCCTGTCCCCACCCTGATTCCATAGCTAGATGTCATAGTTCTTCAGTCTCCTTCAATTTGGAATAGTCCCCTAGCCTTTCTCCCTACCTTCTGTGACATTTTTCCCCCAGTATAGGCCTGTAGTTTTGCAGAATGTATCTCAATTAGGACATCTGTGATGATTTCCTCTTGATTAGCTTCAGGTTAAACATTTTTGGCAGGGATTCTAATGAGTGATGTGTTTTTTACGTACTACATCACAGACGAAAGGTAATGTTAGGTTTGATCACTCCGTTAAGATGCTGTTCACAATATTTCTCCATTGTAACTACTTTTTTTCCCTTTTATATAAATCAGCATATAATTCTTATGCTAATACATGAAGCTGAGTAAATATCCATTTTCTTCCCATAGCCTGTCACCCAATAGTTTTAGCATTGATTATTTTTGCTTGAATAAATTATTCCTTTGGCAGTTGGAAAATGGTAATTTTCTAACATTTCTTCCACATTTATTTGCATTTTTATATAAAGAAGAGCATTCGTTCTCTGCTCCCACTGCTTCACTTGACTAACCCTAAAAAAATATATATATGTGTGTATATATATATAGAGAGAGAGAGAGAGAGAGAGAGAGAGAGAAACAGGCAGGCATGGTGGCTGATACCTGTAACCCTAACACTTTGGGAGTCCAAGGTGCGAAGACTTTGAGCCCAGGAGTTTGAGACCAGTTTGGACAACATAGCAAGACCTCGTTCCTAAAAAGAAAAAAAAATTTTAGAAAAAGTTACATGTAAATTTAAAAAGAAGAGCATTCCTTTCCCCAGCTTTGATATTTTAAAATCAGTATGGATTAACAAATTCTATTTATTCAATTAGTTTTAATCTACTGATACTGTTATTTTAATGCTCAAATTGTCTCATATTTTGTCAGGAGGAGCCCTTCTAAGTAGGCTTCTGTGTCCTGTTTTGTTGCTGCTATTTTTTCCTGATTTTCTAGAATAGTAACATATACCAGAATCACCTTCTCCTTTTTTTTTTTTTTTTTTTTTTTTTTGAGACGGAGTTTTGCTCTTGTTGCCCAGGCTGGAGCGCAAAGGCACGATCTCAGCTCACCGCTACCTCTGCCTCCCGGGTTCAAGCGATTCTCCTGCCTCAGCCTCCCGAGTAGCTGGGATTATAGGCATGCGCCACCATGCCCGGCTAATTTTGTATTTATAGTAGAGACAAGGTTTCTCCCTGTTGGTCAGGCTGGTCTTGAACTCCCGACCTCAGGTGATCCTCCCACCTCAGCCTCCCGAAGTGTGGGGATTACGGGCATGAGCCACTGCGTCGGGCCAACCTTCTCTTACCTCTGCTCTGAAGTTGTGATTTCTTCAAGGAGTCCTGATTCCTTATAGAAGAATAGTATTTTTAAGCCAAAATCTGCATGTTAGATGTGTAAAAATTGTTTTTAAAATCTCACAGAGGGCTGAGTGCAGTGGCTCACACTTGTAATCTTAGTACTTTGGAAGACCAAGGTGGGAGGATCTCTTGAGCCCAGGAGTCTGAGGCTGTAGTGAGCTATGATTGTGTCACTGCACTCTAGCCTGGGTGACAGAGCGACTGTCAAAAAAAAAAAAAATCCAGTTAATTCCTTGAAATAATAACCAGTATTCAAAAGCCATATAGGAAAAGAATGCAAAGTTGAACAAAATAAAAATCAAAAACTTCTTCAGAAAACAAAAATGCCACCATAACCAAAGTCAAAAATGACAAGATGGGGAGAAATTATTTTCAACTTGTCTTTCAGGTAGATGTCTCATACTTGAATGTAAACAGGTCATACTAATTTTAAAGTTGCCCAATAGAAGAATGGGCAAAGGAAACAATAAGAAGTTTACCAAAATAGATATATATGGTTCTTAAACAATTAAAACGATAAAACATCTGAATTAAAAGTACACTGAGATGCGTTTTTTCACTTATCAGATTGACAGAGACCAAAAAACTTGATAAAGCACTTGATCAGGCTGTGGGGGAAAGGTCTCCACATACATTACAGATAGGAGGGTGCATTGGATTGTAGGTATCAAATGTACACCCACAAAATGGAATAGTATGTATCTACGTAAAAGCATAAGGAAGCTCCTTTTTGATTTAGAAATATATGAATTTATTACCTATTTGAATAAATAAATTAGTTTTTAAAATAGTTGAATGGCTTTGCTGATGTACTATTGAAGTTGACTAAATTTAAGTAGTACAGCATAGAGAAAAGACAAAAATTCTTAAGTGTCAATCATTTGGTTTTAAGAGACTTTAGAGACAGACACCTGGATTCATTTGCTAGATCTGGCTATTTATGGTTTGATTTTAAGGCAAGTTATTTAAGCTTTTCTTGCCTCAGTTTTCTCTTCTGGCAGTGGAGTAATAGTACATAGTTCATAGTATTGCTGGGAAGATTAAATGAACCATGTAAAATGTTTATAATAGTGCCTGGCACATAGTGAACACTCAATAAATGTCAGCTGTTTTTACCTAATAGAATTTCTCCAAGAGTGATGAAGAGAAGCCAGTTGCTTGATATATACAGTTAATTACTGAGTATGGTTGAAGAATGGTGTTTAGTAGTGGTTACTAGTGTTTAAAGTATGGAAAAATAAGTTATACATAGACACATATGTACACACACCTTAAAACTATATTGTGTGAATATATTTGAATTATTTGATTCAATTAGTATTCCATGAAGTATTTATTGAGCACCTATATGTGCCAGGTGCCCCCAGAATTCCATAGTTACCAGATTCATCATTATAATAATCAGTTTACTGGTCAAGTATACAAGTAAAGGATTCTAGTTCAAACAATTACAGTAGTTAAAGGTAACAGAATTCTTAGTGTTTCCCTAAGACAAGCATTGTAACACTGTTATCCTATTTTTAAAAATATAAAGCCTGGGCTGTGCGCGGTGGTTCATGCCTGTAATCCCAGCACTTTAGGAGGCTGAGGTGGGTGGATCACGAGGGAAGGGGTTTAAGACCAGCCTGGCCAAGATGCTGAAACCCGTCTCTACTAAAAATACAAAAATTAGCCGGGCATGGTGGCACGCGCCTGTAATCCCAGCTACTCGGGAGGCTGAGGCAGGAGAATCGCTTGAACCTGGGCAGCAGAGATTATGGTGAGTGGAGATTGCACCACTGCACTCCAGCCTGGGTTGCAACAGAGCAAGACTCCATCTCAAATAAATAAATAAATAAAGCCTGTACTTATGCTTTATATTTAATGTTGACAACGTACCAGGTTTTGAGACCTCAGGCATATTATACTTTACATGTTTAGAGTTATATCTGAGTAGCTACAGTAATGAATTCCTAGTAATACAGTTTTTAGTGTACATCATTAAAATTGCTTTCATCAGGACTGCAGTGTAGCTGTATTTTTAAAATCTTGTTGAGTATGTAAGCTAGTTTATAAATTTAATAAATGGTTTTAGTATAAATCTAAAGATGTAGAATTTGTGTACTTATAGTAATAACACAGGTTACTTTAAAGTATATGTGTTTGTCTAACAGGCGCTTACAGCTTTTAGATGGGGAATATGAAGTAGCCATGCAGGAAATGGAAGAATGTCCAATAAGCAAGAAAAGAGCAACATGGGAGACTATTCTTGATGGGAAGCTATGGACTACTTAGAAGGTTGAGCACATTATAGTTATGAACTCCCATTTTTGATTGATGTTTTCTTCCCCAAATGCTAATTCATGTTGGAAGTAGAGGCCTTTGTTTTTTATACTTTAAAAAACACAAGTAAATGATCTAGTCAGAGCATTTAACGGAAGGTATCATTCCTTTTTTTTTTTTTTTTTTGAGGGGGAGTCTTGCTCTGTTTCCCAGGCTGGAGTGCAGTGGCATGCTCTCAGCTCACTGCAACTTCCACCTCCCGGGTTCAAGCGATTCTCCTGTCTCAGCCTCCCGAGCAGCTGTGATTACAGGTGCGTGCCACCACGCCTGGCTAATTTGTTTTATTTTCAGTAGAGACGGGGTTTGACCATGTTGGCCGGGCTAGTCTGGAACTCCTGACCTTGTGATCCGCCCACCTTGACCTCCCAAAGCGCTGGGATTACAGGCATGAGCCACTGCACCCGGCCACACGGAAGGCATCATACTTTGAGAGCCAGACTGCCTGATTGAAATCTCTGCTCCTAGCTATGTGGCATTTGGCAAGTTATTTATCCATGTCTCAGTTTCTTCACCTGTAACATGAGACATAGAATTGATGGATTAGATGAAATAATAAAATATTTAGTACAGTGCCTGGCATACAATAAGTGCTCAATAAATGTTAACGGCTATTTTAAATTCTATTCATTGTAATGGCAGATAATAAGGGATGACTAGTAATACATTTATCAAGAAATCTGCAGAATTTAGATTAAGCATACTTAAAATAACTCTTAAGAGATAAAGAGGAATCCATACATTTCTTAAATAGGGAGATTCAAAACTGTAATGATGTCTTTTATTTCTAAATATGTTAGGTCAGTGTACCATCCGATGCAAAATCTCATAAGGATTTTTTTAAGTCTTAAAATTAGTTCCTAGTTAATCTAAAAGGATAAGTATTTAGTAATACTAAGGGAAATTTTAGAAAAATATTTTGAGAATTTTTACTTACCAGTTTTAGTATGATATACAATATACCGTTGTACATACCATAAAGTTAAGAGAACTTAAACCCTATGGTATAACCATAGGAATAGATATGCTTATCTATTCAGGCATAGTCCTGAAATAGTTTATGATAAAGGTGTTGGTATAGCTATGTGAGAAAGAGAAACTGTTCATTAATTGTGACAACTCTTCTCCAGTCATCTGGAAATAATCTTAGGCCTAATACATTCTGGAAGGCTCATAAACATGTAAAAATGAACATTCATAAGCATGGAAAAAAAAATAGGTGAATGTTAATATATTTAATATATTGCAGTGAGGAAGACCCTTCTAAGGATGATTGAAAAGTAAGAAAGCATAAAGTAAAAATTGTCGGGTTAAAATTAGTCATTTTTATACTGCAAAATATCTAAAGTTAGAAACAAATTATGGAATGGGGGAAATATCTGTAACACAAAATGCTAATATGAATACATAATATTGTGAATTATGAAACAAAAAGATACACAGTCTAATAAGAAATATGTGTGAAGGACTATCACGCAGTTCTTAAAAAAACAAAGAGATGGCCAGCAAACTTTTAAAGCAGTACTCAACCTTATTAGTACTCAAAGGCATGCAAATGCAGAGATACTACTTTTGAGAGTTTGACAAAGATTAAAAGTTTGACAGTTTCTAGTGTTTTAGGGACGTGAGGACACATATACTCTCAAATAATATTTTGATGTAACAGTTGGGGGCCGGGCTCAGTGGCTCATGCCTGTAATCCCAGCAGTTTGGGAGGCCAAGGCGGGTGGATCACCTGAGGTTATGAGTTTGACACCAGCCTGGCCAACATGTCAAACCACATCTCTACCAAAAACACAAAAATTAGCCAGGCATGGTGGCAGGTGCTTGTAGTCCCAGCTACTTGGGTACTTGGGAGGCTTAGCAGTATTACTTGAACCTGGGAGGCAGAGGTTTCAGTGAGCTGAGATTTTGCCACTTCACTTTATCCGGGGAGACAGAGCAAGACTCTGTCTCAAAAAAAAAAAAAAAGGTTGATACAGTCTTACTATAGGGCAGACTGGCAATATATATAAAGTTAAAATTGTATATATAGTCTTTAACAATTCAAATTTTATATTTTTGTCACAATGTAACTTGTTAACAAAAGATGTAGGTAACAGGTTTTCTCAGCATTTTTTAAATAATGAAACGTTAGAAACACGTTAAATCTAAAAAGCTATTAAAAAGGATGATAGTTTGACAAGATTTCCATATTAAATTTTTACATAAGTGTGTATATATATATATATATATATTTTCCCTCTTTCTAAAATTTATAATCGTGGTTAACTCCAGGTGATGAGATTTCAAATAATTTTTATCTATACTCTTTGGGTTTTCTGTATGGATTTATCTTTATGATCTTTTTCATTTTAAATTTCTTGTTTTAAAGTATGTTTTTATTCATGAGACTATAAGGATTATATATATGAAGGGTTTTTGTTGTTGTTGGTTTTGTTGTTGTTTTTGGATTTTTTTGTTTGTTTGTTTTGTTTTTGAGATGGAGTTTCACTCTGTCACCCAGGCTGGAGTACAGTGGCACGATCTTGGCTCACTGCAACCTCCGCCTCCCAGGTTCAAGCGATTCTCCAGCCTCAGCCTCCTGAGTAGCTGGCATCACAGGCGCGCACCACCATGCCCAGCTGATTTTCGTATTTTTAGTAGAGATGGAGTTTCACCATGTTGGCCAGGCTGGTCTCGAACTCCTGACCTTGTGATCCGCCCACCTCGGCCTCCCAAAGTACTGGGATTACAGGCATAAGCCGCCGTGCCCGGCCTGGCCTTTTTTTTGTTTTTTTCTGTTGAGATGGAGTCTCGCTCTGTCACCCAGAGGTGGAGTGCAATGGCACGGTCTCGGTTCACTGCAACCTCTGCCTCCTGGGTTCAAGCAATTCTCTTGCCTCAGCCTCCTGAATAGTTGAGATTACTGGCATGCGCCACCACGCCTGGGGGTTTCACCATGTTGGCTTGGCTGGTCTCAAACTCCTGACCTCAGGTTTTCCACCCACCTTGGAGTCCCAAAGTGCTGGGATTACAGGTGTGAGCTACTGTGCCCGGCCTATCTGGAAGCTCTTAACCCTGTAAAATGGGCATCCTTTTAAGTCAGAGCATATAGATTTACTTCTTTTTAAACGTTCTGAGTTTTTTTGTTTTGTTTTGTTTTTTTGGGTTCCTTAATTGACTAAACCAGTGCTGGTCTAATAGATAAGTGGGTTATTTGATTTTTTAAAATCTTGTCAAAAATGTTAATAGTGATTATACTTGAACCTGTATCAAGTATTTTATAAGATAAATTCCTGTGGAGTGCTGTGTCCAAACTAGTCTCTGAACACACTTTTACTACATTCTAGTCTAAATAGTTTTTTGAGATGGAGTCTTGCTCTGTCGCCAGGCTGGAGTGCAGTGGTGCAATTTCGGCTCACTGCAACCTCTGCCTTTCAAGTTCAAGCAATTCTCCTGCCTCAGCCTCCTGAGTAGCTGGGATTACAGGCGCCTGCCACCACGCCCGGCTAATTTTTTTGTATTTTTAGTAGAGACGGGGTTTCACCGTGTTAGCCAGGATGGTCTCCATCTCCTGACCTCGTAATCTGCCGGCCTCGGCCTCCCAAAGTGCTGGGATTACATGCGTGAGCCACTGTGCCTGGCCATTTATTTTTACAGCGAACTACATTTGCCACTGTACTCCAGCTCGCTGTAGCCTCAAGCTCCTGAACTCAAGTGATCCTCCCACCTTAGCCTCCTGAGTAGCTGGCTAATGCCTGACTATGCCTGGCTAATTAAAAAAAATTTATTTTGGTAGAGATGGGGGTCTCATCATGTTGCCCAGGTTGGTCTTCAACTCCTGGCTTCAAGCAATCCTCCCACCTTGGCCTCCCAAAGTACTGGGATTACAGGTGTGAGCCAGCAGTCCCGGCCAAACTTGCTAATTTTAATTTGTGTCTTTTTGCTTTACTAAATAGTAACCATGAGTGTTCTGAGCTTTTCTGAGTTCTGTGAGTCCTGGCAAATAATTGAAAGTGAAAGTGATCTTAAGCACCCCTGAACACATTTACCACGCATGGCCCACTTGCATTCATCTGGTATTGGAGGGAAACAAATTTCTAGAGTTTCAGTTGCTACTTTTCAGTTGTTCCATGGTGCTTTCCAGGAGTTCCAGTCGATGATATGGGGTTTCGCCTGTCATCACATCTGTCAGGCTTTGCGCCTTCTTCATCCTGCACAGACACTGAGATCATGCAGGTCTTGTATCTGTTTGTAGTTCGTCTTCACTAGCTTGTATTTTGGGATTTGAGGGGGTAAGTGGTCACCTAGTCTTACTGTAGATATTATCCAGGGGATTTTGCTTTTGTTATCTATCTAGTTGCTCTATTTCTTTGTTTTGTTTGTGTTTATTTATTAAGAGATGGGGTCTACCAATGTTGCCTAGGCTCACTGCAACCTCGAATTCCCAGGCTCAAGCAATTCTCCCACCTCAGTCTCCTGAGTAGCTTTGGAACTACTGGTGGGCACCACAACACCTGGCTAAATTTTTTTTTTTTTTTTTTTTTTTTTTGAGACAGAGTCTTGCTCTGTTGTCCTGGCTGGAGTGCAGTGCCAAGATCTTGGCTGACTGCAGCCTCCACCCCCCGAGTTCAAGCAATTCTCCTGCCTCAGCCTCCCATGTGGCTGGGACTACCAGCGTGCGCCACCACATCCAGCTAATTTTTGTAATTTTAGTAGAGACAGGGTTTCACCATATTGGTCAGCCTGGTCTCGAACTCCCGACTTCAGGTGATCCACCAGCCTAGGCCTCCCAAAGTGCTGGGATTACAGGTGTGAGCCACCACACCCAGCCAAATTTTTTTTTTAAGTGAATAAAAAATGGCTAGGCATAAGCCACCATGCCCAGCCAAAAAATCAATTCTTGTGATCATATCATCACACAAACTCTTCCCTCCTAGCACATAGGTTTGGAGTACTAGGTTCCCTTACTTACTTGAACAGAATGATTTTTTTTTTTTTTTTTTTTTTTTTTTTTGAGACAAAGTTTTGCTTTTGTTGCCCAGGCTGGACTGTAATCATGTGATCTCAGCTCACTGTAACCTCTACCTCCCGGAGGGTTCAAGTGATTCTCCTGCCTCAGCTTCCTGTGTAGCTGGGATTATAGGCATCTACCACCATGCCCAGCTAATTTTTGCATTTTTAGTTGAGACGGGGTTTCACCATGTTGGCCAGGCTGGTCTCAAAACTCCTGATCTCAGGTGATCCACCTGCCTTGGCTTCCCAAAGTGCTGGGATTACAGGCGTGAGCCATCACGCCCAGCTAATGAGTTCATTTTTTTAAAAAAAATCTTCACAGTTCAAGAAAAAAAGTCAGTATTTAAATTAGTTTCAAGGACAGACACAGTGGCTCACGGCTGTAATCCCAGCACTTTGGGAGGCCAAGGTGGGAGGATCACTTGAGGCCAGGAGTTCAAGATCAGCCTGGCCAACATGGCAAAACCCCATCTCCACTAAAAGTATAAAAATTAGCCAGGTGTGGTGGTGCACACCTGTAATCCCAGCTACTTGGGAGACTGAGGCAGGGAAATCCGTTTAACCCAGGAGACAGAGGTTGCAGTGAGCCAAGATTGCACCACTGCACTCCAGCCTGGGTAACAAAGTGAGATTCTGTCTCAAAAAAAATTAGTTTCAGAGTTCCAAATATTACCACTCCTGTCTCAAATTAGGTTTAAGGCACTCCTGTGAACAGGCAGATTCTATAGGTATAAATTAAGATGTCATTTCCCTAGAGAGGCTAAGAAATAAATACATTCAACAAATATTTGATGAATTAAAGGAATGAGATGAAGATATCTGGAGAAAACGACTCATTCGATCCACCATTCATTCTGCACACATTGTGTCAGGCAAGATGCTCAGTATCAGACACAGAATATAGGAAAGTACAAGTAACCAGCTGGGTGTGGTCACTCATGCCTATAATCCCAGCACTTTGGAAGGCCAAGGCTGGGGAGGACTGCTTGAGGCCAGGAGTTTGAGACCAGTCTGGACAACACAGCAAGACCCTCATTCTCTACAAAAAATATTTTTAAAAAAGTTTTTAAAAGAAAGTACAAGAAGGTACACATACCCTTTCACAAGTCACAGTGATATCTTACTAAAATGCCTGGAGCCACAAGAAGCCTGTTTTCCCTTCAAATGAAAAGTAGGTTAAAACTGGATTCACCAAATCTCACAGAAGAAAAAAGTACACACACTGAACTTTTTTAGTTTTTTATTTTGATTCCTATGGCTGGACAAGGTATCTACATTCTAGAACATCTTCTTAATCCCTAAACAAGTGGAAATCTACTACTTATATATAAAAAGACAAGTAGAAAAGGTCATGATTGTCTAACAGGGAACATGAATCCCCAAATAAATTATCTTACAAAAATATCATACTTGCTTTTCTACTTTTTTACTATACTGGTAAAAATGAAATGAAAAAAATAATTCACATTAAAATAAAATCTGTAGGGTGGCATAGAAGACAATTATTTTTACATATTAAAGTCCTTCAAATAAATATTTTACACACAAATTTAAGTAAGTTTTTAAAAAAAATAAGTATTTACGCTATATTTTTTTGCTCTGCTAAAAAGAGACCACTTATTAAACTGACATTAAACTGGACTGCAGCTCATTCTCTGCAAAGAGTAAAATGCATGTCACAGGCAGATTGGATACACACGTGCATATTACATACATATGAAATGGCTAACACTGCTGTGCATACTACTGCCATAACTAGTTTTACCCTGTAAAAATACTGTAGCCTATACTGTATCAAATTGCAATGAAAGAACAAAAGGTACTACTTGCCTATTTTAGACACTTGGTCAAGCATTTAAAAAAATACAAAAATTGGTCCACTGCAGTGGCTCACACCTGTAATCCTAGCACTTTGGAAGGCTGAGGTGGGTGGAACACCTGAGGTCAGGAGTTCAAGACCAGCCTGGCCAACATGGTGAAACCCTGTCTCTACTAAAAATACAAAAATTAGCCAGGTGTGGTGGCCGACGCCTGTAATCCCAGCTACTCAGGAGCCTGAGGCAGGAGGATCGCTTGAACGTGGGAGGCAGAGGTTGCAGTGAACTGAGATCACACCACTGCACTCCAGCCTGAGTGACAAGAGTGAGACTCCGTCTCAACAAAAAAAGAAAAAGTTATAATGTTTTGGGGACTTAAAGATTACTGAAGAGGGGATAAAAGTCAACACTGCTTACAAATACCTGAACATGGAGAGCACAGTCAACACATTCATGTGGACAGCACATGAACGGATGTATTAATACATTACACAGCTTCTTCTATCTGACCTATTCCTCTTGTTCTAAAGAGTTACATGGACTTGGATCCTTTAAGATGATTTTAAAAATAATATTACATTAAGTTTTCCTGGTCTAATAACCAACTTTGAGAAGTACAGTGGAAGGGTATAGAACTTCCTATATCTTCTATACTTTTAATGCCAATTTGATTTTTATTGTGATGTGATATTTAACAGTATGCTAAAAATAAAATTGACTGAATTGTATGATTTTGTCCACAACATTGAAGTCTCTTTTTGCTAAAATATTACAAAATGAATCCAGTAAACACTTTCCAATGGCCTAAGTTAGAGATGAATTCAACTTTTTTTTTAAAGCAATTACAACTACGCTGGGCTGAGGACAGCTACGTTAGACCCTGAAAACCAAAGCCAAGCACCCAAACATCTAAAACACTAACACTTTCCATCCAGGATAGAAAAATGAGCATCCAAAGTAAAGAGAACCACAAGACTGATCAAGTAACCAGTCAAAAACCACTTCTCTATTATTTGAACTTATAGTTACTCGAAGCTTGAAGTGTCCACCTTCATTATTACTGGTGGTTCCTAGAGTCACGGCTTCAATGTCAAACGTGACAGTGGACCCAGAAGTAACTGCGGGTAACTGATTTGTCATTTCTTTTCCATTGACAAAAACTGCACCTAAAATGTTAAGGTAAAGAGTCATTTACATGTGAGCAATAACTAAGAGATCTGAAATAGTTTCTAGATTACTGGTAACACAGCTCATTTCCTAATTCAGATTTTAAAAAATCTGGAATGCCAACTGGACATAGATTTTAGAGTTCTGTCCAGGGTTGTACTCTTCCAGCAGAGACTATGAGTTTCCCATATCAGTGTCATCAAAAGAAACTTGACAGTGTTACAAAATTACCTCCTGTGAAATAGCAAGACTATTTCTTATGGAATAAACAAGAAAGAATCTTGTTCTACCGAATTCTTGACTCACCAACACAATTTTTTTTTTTTTTTTGGAGACAGAGTTTCACTCTTGTTGCCCAGGCTGGAGTGCAGTGGCATGATCTGGACTCACTGCAACCTCCACCTCCCAGGTTTAAGCAGTTCTCCTGCCTGAGCCTCTCGGATTACAGGTATGTACCACCACGCCCAGCTAATTTTTGTATTTGTAGTGGAGACAGGGTTTCACCATGTTGGCCAGGATGGTCTCGATCTCTTGACCTTGTGATCCACCCACCTTGGCCTCCCAAAGTGCTAGGATTACAGGCGTGAGCCACCGTGCCCAGCCAACACCACAAAATATTATTAACATGTCTTGCTAGTGAATTTTTTTTTTTTTTTTTTTTTTTGAGACGGAGTCTCACACTGTTACCTGGCATGATCTCGGCTCACTGCAACCTCCGCCTCCCGGGTTCAAGCGATTTTCCTACCTCAGCCTCCCAAGTAGCTAGGATTACAGGCACCCGCCACCACACCTGGCTAATTTTCTGTATTTTTAGTAGAGACAGGGTTTCACTATGTTGGCCGGGCTGGTCTTGAACTCCTGACCTCGTGATTTGCCCGCCTTGGCCTCCCAAAGTGCTGGGATTAGAGGCGTGATCCACCGCGCCCGGCCTCTGGCTAGCGATTTTTAAAGAGCACTAGGGATGTAGACTGAATGATTTATTATTTGTAGAATTTAGAACAATGCCTGGTACATGGTAGTCACATAAATTATGTCATTAAGACCAAAACTTTCAGCCAGCCACGGTGGCTCACGCCTGTAATCCCAGCACTTTGGGAGGCCACCAAGGTGGGAGGATTGCTGGAAACCAGGAGTCAAGACTCACCTGGGCAACAACTTATCTTTACAAAAAAGTAAAAATAAAAAAAATTAGCCAGTCACAGTGGCATGCACCTGTAGTCCCGGCTACTCAGGAGGCTGAAGTGGGAGGATGGCTTGGGCCCAAGAATTTCAGGCTGCAGCGGGCTACGATCATGCCACTGTACTCCAGCCTGAGTGATGGAGTGAGACTTCATAATAAAAAAAAAAAAAAAGAAAAAGAAAAATACCTAAATTTTCTCATCTCCTACTATAAATGTATGGAACTGGAACAGATTCACATATTACTAAAATAATTAATATATTTCCAAGAGAATGACAGTTATTTATCTCTTACCATTTGTACTAATGCACACAGCTTGATCCCGCTGCAGAGAGTCATATCCATCCTGTTTTTCTGCACACACTCCTATGCTATCTCTTCTGTCTGGCTGTCCCACAGTTTCAACTCTGTAAATGAAGTAGAAAGGTCATTTCATACTTTTAAAAATATAACATGAATGATACTTAACAGCCACTAGCTTAAAAAGAGCAATCTCACCACAATTGTTTTTTTCTAAATAGTACAGCAACCATGATTGAGTTCTTGCTATACTCCAGGCACTGTTCTAATTATTTTATATCTATCTATCATTCTTACAACAATCTATGAGGTAGGTGCTTTTTCTTTTTTGTTGAGACGGAGTCTCGCTCTGTCACCCAGGCTGAAGTGCGGTGGTGCGACCTTGGCTCACTGCAACCTCCGCCTCCCGGGTTCAAGCAGTTCTCTGCTTCAGCGTCCCAAGTAGCTAGGATTACAGGTGCCCGCCACCATACCCGGCTAAGTTTTCTATTTTTAATAGAGATGGGGTTTCACCATCTTGGCCAAGCTGGTCTTGAACTCCTGACCTTGTGATCCACCCACCTCGGCCTCCCAAAGTGCTGGGATTACAGGCGTGAGCCACTGCGTCCAGCCGGTAGGTGCTATTTTTAACATACCCATTTTATAAGTGAGGAAAATGAGGCACGAAAAGAAAAAAAGATTAAAAATAGCTAAATAACCTGATCCCGACTACCTGGCTGATGACTGGTGGAACCAGGACTCAAACACAGGCATTCTGACTCTAGAATCAATCAATCTATCTATCTATTTTTTTGAAATGGAGTTTCATCCTTGTTGCCCAGGCTGGAGTGCAATGGCGCGATCTCAGCTCACTGCAACCTCTGCCTCCCTGGTTCAAGCGATTCTCCTGCCTCAGCCTCCTGAGTAGCTGGGATTACAGGGATGCACCACCATGCCCGGCTAGTTTTGTATTTTTAGTAGAGACGGGGTTTCACCATGTTGGTCAGGCTGGTCTCGAACTCCTGACCTCAGGTGATCCGCCTGCCTCGGCTTCCCAAAGTGCTGGGATTAGAGGCGTGAGCCACCACACCTGGCCTAATTTTGTATTTGTAGTAGAGACACGGTTTCACCATGTTGCTCAGGCTGGTCTTGGAACTCCTGACCTCAGGTGATCCACCCTCCTTGGCCTCCCAAAGTGCTGGGATTACGGAGTGAGCCACCGTGCCCGGCCTAGAATCTATATTCTTAACCATTTGTAGCCATGATGGCACACTTCTATTTTATATTCTAGCTCTAGACACATAGAAGGTTTGTCATAGTTGACATTATAATTTATGTAACTATTGCTGCCAGCGCCTAAATCTTCCATATAAGAATTTGCAATGATTTGATTACTATTTGTTAAGTAAATAAAGCATTTAAAAAGAACTATTATAATCCTAAAAAATCCCATTATGGTTATGAAGACACTATTCAAGCATGAAGAACTTCCTATGTGGCAAGTTTAAGCTTTTCCTTTTGTGTTTTCATTTCAGATGTCAGTACTTTGTGTGCTCTTGAAATAGGAAATGTACAGATCCCTATTGCCAGACACATCATTCTCTCCATCCAGAAAGCCAACTTTGCAAGGACAAAAAAAAAAATTAGTGTGAAACAAAATGTGGCTTTTCCAAAGACAGATGTGATTATTTATAGTCAATGTGGCCTCAAAATGTCATTGATTGTGAAATAGCAAACATGCAGGATCATAATATTTGGGTAGGTTTCTGAAGTTATTTCATATCTGAGCAGTCTAAAGAAGTATGGGGAGGAGGGGCCGGGCATAGTGGCTCACACCTGTAATCCCAGCACTTTGGGAGGCCAAGGAGGGTGGATCACCTGAGGTCAGGAGTTCCAAGACCACCCTAGGCAACATGGTGAAACCCCGTATCTACAAAAAATACAAAAATTAGCTGGGTGTGGTAGTGGCTCCTGTAATCCTAGCTACTCAGGAGGCTGAGGTGAGAGGGTCACTTGAACCTGTGAGATGGCGATTGCAGTGAGCTGAGATCATGCCACTGCACTTCAACCTGGGCGACAGAGCGAGACCTTGTCTTAAACAAAAAGAGGGGGAGAGCTGGGGAGGGGAATGAGAAAGAAAATAGGCCGGGTGCAGTGGCTCACGCCTGTAATCCCAGCACTTTGGGAGGCCGAGGTGGGCGGATCACAAAGTCAGGAGATTGAGACCATCCTGGCTAACACGGTGAAACCCCGTCTCTACTAAAAATACAATAAATTAGCCGGGCGTGGTAGCAGGCGCCTGTAGTCCCAGCTACTCAGGAGGCTGAGGTGAGAGGGTCGCTTGAACCTGAGAGGTGGAGGTTGCAGTGAGCCGATTGTGCCATTGCATTCCAGCCTGGGCAACAGAATGAGACTTTGTCTCAAAAAAAAAAAAAGAAAAGAAAAGAAAAGAAAGAAGGAAACCTTAAAAAAAATCAGAAAATCTTAGAAGCAAGGAAAGAGCAGGAATGTTCACATAGGAAGTGAGGGAGACCTGGAAGGAGGGGGTTGCTAGCAGACCTGGGCATCTAATGAGAGTGGGTCTAGAGACTGTTAAAATCCAGCCAGTATCACAGGTTTCTCTGGCTTCAGCAGCTCCAAGCCTTCCAGAAGCTTCAGCAGGGACTGACTGGGATAAATAACAAAGTAGTGCCTTCTTTTTTTTTTTTTTTTTTTTTTTTTTGAGACAGCATCTCACTCTGTTGCCCCGGCTAGAGTACAGTGGCGTGATCTCGGCTCACTGCAACCTCCGCCTCCTGGGTTCAAGCGATTCTCCTGCCTCAGCCTCCTGAGTAGCTGGGATTACAGGCACACACCACCACGCCCGGCTAATTTTTGTATTTATAGTAGAGATGGGGTTTCACCATATTGGCCAGGCTGGTCTCGAACTCCTGACCTCGTGATCTGCCCACCTCAGCCTCCCAAAGTGCTGGGATTACAGGCGTGAGCCACCGTGCCCGGCTAACGTAGTGCCTTCAAGAGTATAGTCTCCCTTCTAACTACTAGGCCCTTAAGTACCCTCAAAAAACTAAATATTGTTTCTCTTGATTCAAGTAGGCGCACTTGCTCCTCCCTTATGCCCTTATGCATGGAGTCCCCCTTGCATTCACATCTCTGGCTTCACTGCTGATGCCTGAAATTCCTTTAAACAAGGGGAGAAAACATTTCATTCCACAAAGAAAAAAATGACAAAAATGCAAAAGGCTGGCTACCATTATATTGAGTTTAACTGAATTTCAGTTAATCACCCTGCCAAGTGGGGCCTGGTGATGCATCTTTAGGAGATGCAAGAGAGACTCAACAGTTTATTGAGACCTAATGTGTCTTTCACATCACGGTCAGCAGAGGTGAATTTAAATCAATTTGTATAATTTCCAATGTCTTAATAAATATTTACTGAATGGTCTAAGAAATAAACCTAACTATGCAATCTATCAGACATTACCATGTGTCCAAGGAGGAAGAATTTAAAAAGCAGGAGAGCATCAGATCAAGTGGTGAAAGGTCATAAGAGGTAAAAGTTAAAGAGCTAAGGACACAGTAATAGAGAAACTGTAGACTTCAACACTAACTAGAATCATGTTAACTCTCCCATGAAAAAGAAGCAATACAGACCAGTCTGGAGTCGAACTGCCTGGATTTAAACCCTAGTTTTGGCATTTACTAGCTGTGTGACACTGGGTAAATAACTTCTCTATGCCTCAGTTTCCTCATCCCTAAAATAAATAACCCATCTATCTCACTGGGTTACCATGAAAATCAAATGAGTTAATACAAGTAAAATACTTAAGACAGTACATGGCACATAGTAAATACTGTTTAAATATTAACTGCAATTATTATTATTATCATCATTATTGCAGTCTGAGATATCTGGCCTGAATTTATCAAGTTAGGAAGCTCTGTCATTGCACAGAAATACCTTGTTCTCAGGAGAGTCACTAACCGAAGTGCTTCTGTAAACAAGGGACATAAGCAGAGAAGGGGTATGTAAGTACAGAAAACTCATGATTACCTGGGGAATAGTTAAATAGATTTTAGGTATTAGTTGTTTTTTTTTTTCCTCTCTCTCTCTTTGTTGGTATTTTTCTGTTTACTGAGTCATTCTTCATTAAGGGGTGAGGTGTCAAAAATTAGACAAAACAAACTAGTATAATCTGACAACCGCTGACAATTCAAATTACTTAGCTGGAGAGGAATACAGCAACACTGGCTTAGATAAAATATTCAGATATTCTCCATGCCTTAAATAATAAGGGCCTGAGAACAAAAGGAACTTGGGTCAAGCATTCACAATAAAATCCCATCTCAAGACTTAAAACTTAGAGGAGAGCTTGTTACACTAAGGTGAGTATGGTGAAAATCAGGCAAACTTTACTTCTCTAAGTCAAAACTGGTCTTTAGTTTCTACGAAGAGCTATTCAGAAACATGACTATAAAGAATACATCTCAGATAACATGAAAACAAGAAAAAAGAAACTTTTCCATTACAGAAAGAAATGGGTAGAGAAACAACATTAATTAGTGGTAGGGGAGGCTTGCTTTCAGTTTTACTTTAGAGAGTAGCATATACATAATATGTTTACAGTGTTGTCTCTTACAAAGACTTGCTGTTAATGATTCACAAAGGACAAAACAAATTCTTGGCCAGTAAATTTTTTTGCTTTTTTTTTTTTTTTTTTTTTTTTTTTCCAGACGGAATCTTGCACTGTCTCCCAGGCTGGAGTGCAGTGGCACGATCTCTGCTCACTGCAACCTCCGCCTCCAGGCTTCCAGTGATTCTCCTGCTTCAGCCTCCCGAGTAGCTGGGACTACAGGCGCACCTCACCACACCCAGCTAATTTTTAGTATTTTTAGTAGAGACGAGGTTTCACTATGTTGGCCAGGATGGTCTCGATCTCCTGACCTCGTGATCTGCCCACCTCGGCCTCCCAAAGTGCTGGGATAATATGCATGAGCCACAGTGCCCGGCCTATGCTTTTTTTCTTTTTTTTGAGACGGAGTCTCGCTCAGTCACCCAGGCTGGAGTACAGTGGCGCGATCTCAGCTCACTGTAACCTCTGCCTCCCAGGCTCAAGCAATTCTCATGCCTCAGCCTCCTGAGTGGCTGGGATTATAGGTGTGTGCCACCACACCCTGCTAATTTTTTTTTTCTTTTTGAGACGGGTCTTGCCCTGTTGCCAGGCTGAAGTGCAATGGCTCACTGCAACATTTGCCTCCCGGGTTCAAGTGATTCTCCTGCCTCACTCTCCCTAGTTGCTGGGATTACAGGTGTGCACTACCACATCCAGCTAATTTTTGTATTTTTAGTAAAGATGGGGTTTCACCATGTTGGCCAGGGTGGTGTCTTGATCTCCTAACCTTGTGATCCACCCACCTCAGCCTCCCGAAGTGCTGGGATTACAGGCGGGAGCCATTGCGCCTGTCCTAATATTTGTATTTTTAGTAAAGATGGGGTTTTACCAGGTTGACCAGGCTGGTCTCGAACTCCTGACCACAAGTGATCCAACCGCCTCGGCCTCCCAAAGTGCTGGGATTACAAGTGTGAGCCACTGCGTCCAGTCTCTTGGCCTCTAAAATTTTTTTTTTTTTTGAAACGGAGTCTTGCTGTGTCGCCCAGGCTGGAGTGCAGTGGCGTGATCTCGGCTCACTGCAAGCTCCGCCTCCCGGGTTCACGCCATTCTCCTGCCTCAGCCTCCCGAGTAGCTGGGACCACAGACACCCACCACCATGTCCGGCTAATTTTTTTATTTATAGTAGAGATGGGGTTTCACCATGTTAGCCAGGATGTTCTCAATCTCCTGACCTCGTGATCCGCCCGCCTCAGCCTCCCAAAGTGCTGGGATTACAAGTGTGAGCCACCGTGCCTGGCCAGGCCTCTAAATTTTTAAGATTTACTTTTTAATTTTGTGTGTGTGTTTGAGACACAGTTTCGCTCTTGTTGCCCAGGCTGGAGTGCAATGGCATGATCTCAGCTCACTGCAACCTCTGCCTCTTGGGTTCAAGCAATTCTCCTGCCTCAGCCTCCCAAGTAGCTGGGATTGCAGGCATATGTGCCACCATGCCCGGCTGATTTTGTATTTTTAGTAGAGATGGGGTTTCTCCATGTTGCTCAGGTTGGTCTCGAACTCCCGACCTCAGGTGATCCACCTGCCTCGGCCTACCAAAGTGCTGGGGTTACAGGTGTGAACCACTATGCCCAGCCTAAGATTGACTTTTGAGAGATACTCTACTTACCTCTACTTACCAAGAGGAAAAGAGATATAAACATATTAAATAACAAGCATTTTATATACATTTCCCAGTTAATCTACGTAATAACCCTGTGAATACAGATGAGAAAACTACAGCTACAGGAAATAAAGAAGCCTTCCCACAGTAACACTGCCTATAAATGACGGAATAAACTCAGGATGTTTTGAATTCAAAGCTTATGTATGCTCTATGCACTTCACTCTGCTTCCTGAGGCAGGTGAGATGTTTTAATATCTACTTGCCTGAATGTTAATGTCTGCCCACAGAAATAAGTCGGAGCTCTGGAGTAGAGAACACCCGATGATTCAGAATCGTTCCGAAGTGCTATATTTCTTCGACTGCTCAGACTGTACCCCTCAAAACCAGCTGTCCACTCTTTTTCAAAGCAAAGATATTGAAAACTGTTAGAATCTCTTGAGGGATATCTTCAATACAGACACGTTAAATAAAACATGGAAATGGGAGACTACTCTTAGGGGCCATGGTCAAGTTCAATAAAATAAAAGATTCCATTAACAGGGTATCATGATCAGTCCCACAAATTACAAAAGATTTTAGTATATTCCTGCATAATTTTGACATAATAA
Organism: Homo sapiens; assembly: GCF_000001405.40. Lineage (NCBI taxonomy): Eukaryota > Metazoa > Chordata > Mammalia > Primates > Hominidae > Homo > Homo sapiens. Next base: position 30,792,785 of record NC_000017.11, read on the forward strand.
ATCACACAAGTGTTATCTCTTATCTAATAAAATCATTGTACAAGCATAATTGCTTGAACTTATTCCAACCTGATAAAAATCTAATTAATAGGCCAGGCGCGGTGGCTCACGCCTGTAATCCCAGCACTTTGGGAGGCCGAGGCAAGAGGATTGCTTGAGCCCAGGAATTTGAGACCAGCCTGGGCAACATAGCAAGACCCAGTCTCTAGAAAAAAATAAAAAATTAGCCAGGTGTGGTGTGCATGCAGGTGGTCCCAGCTACTTGGGAGACTGAGGCAGAAGGATCTAGAGGTCAGGCTGCATGATTGCACCACCACACACCAGCCTGGGCGACAGAGTGAGACCTTGTCTCAAAAAAACTAACTAAATAACATTCAAATATAAAAAAAAGAATAAAAAGGAATATCAGTGCCCTACATAATATTTTCAATCTTTGGTTTTCAATGAGGCTAAAAATCTTGTCCAGCATTTTTTTTGGACTCTGAAGAACTGATGAAAACAAAAATCACATGAGGTAATCTGAGTAAAAGACATGGTGCATGTTGTTCTTATCAATTCAGGATCTATGCTTAGAATAGCTGGTTGTCAGTGTGCTGCCCTTAGCACAGAATACAGGTATTCTAATATATAGTTAGGCTTCAGGAGAGAAAAGGTTAGCAGCATACCATGAGGCACCAATGTGGAATGACCTATCTGGGGGACACTCCAAGGACTCCACTCCTGTCGGCCATCTCCTCGGGCGCAGACTCTGAACTGGTAATCAACGTTGGGGTCTATGTGCAATACTATGAATTCAGTTTCAGAACCTACATATACATCCTCAAAATGATTTGAAGTACATTTACGAAACTGGAGCCTGTAATCTTGGGCTGTAAAGTCATCATCCACCTAGGGAGAAAAGCTTTATGTTAGGTAAAAAACAGAAAATGACTTCTCTCAGCATCACTGCTTAAAAATTTTGAACGGAGCCATTTTGGACCAAGCAGACAGGCCCACATGCTGAATATGGGGTATTCTTGGGAAGGCCATAGAAAATATGCCATCACATCATTATCTCCCTTCTTTTTTTTTTGAGAAAGGGTCTCACTTTGTCACCCAGGCTGTAGTGCAGTGGCGTGATCTCGGCTTATTGCAGCCTCCACACCCCGGGTTCAAGCCATCCTCTTCCTTCCACCCCACAAGTAGCTGGGATTTCAGGTGCACACCACCATGTCCGGCTAATTTTTTGTATTTTTTGTAGAGACTGGGCTTCACCATATCTCAGATCTTTAACTCCTGAGCTCAAGCAATCTTCTCGTCTCAGCCTCTCAAAGTGCTAGGACTATAGGCGTGAGACACTGCGCCTGGGCTCCCTTCTTTTCTTTATTGAACCATGTGTTCTGTATTTCCCAGTCTGATATAAAAAAGTCTGCCTCCTTTGAAGAAATGGCATGTTTTTTAATCAATGCCAAAGATAAAACATTCAAGATTCAGTAAGTCTCCCACAACCATACATCATTCATAATAACCAAGAGATAATTAACATACAGTATACAGAACCCCCATTAATTTTTAGGGGTCCTGCATATATTCTGTATGTTAATTAGCCACCCAATAGAAAAATGGGTAAAAGACATAAATAAGCGTTCTACAGGAGAAGAAACATAAATAGCCAAAAATGTATATTATGAATATTCAACCTAATTTGTACCTAATTTGTAATATGGCAAATACGATCTAAAACCACAACAAGGCCAGACATGATGGCTCATGCCTATAATCCTAACACTTTGAGAGGCCGAAGCGGGTGGAGCACTTGAGCCCAGGAATTTGAGGCCAGCCTAGGCAACACAGCAAAACCCCATCTCTACAAAAAATTACAAAACTTAGCTGGCTGTGGAAGCACATGCCTGAAGTCCCAATTACTTGGGGGCTGAGGCGGGAGGATCACTTGAGCCCAGGAGATTGAGACTGGAGACATGATTGTGCCACTGTACTCCAGCCTGGGTGACAGAGTGAGACCCTGTCTCAAAAACAAACAAATAAATAAAACCACAACAAGGTACATTTAGGCAAAAATATAAAGTCTCACAATGCCAATTATTGGTCAAGATATGGAATAACAGAAACTCATATACTCCTTGGAAGGCTAAATTGATAGAATCATCTTGTGGAAAGTTTGTTATTACCTATCAGCGTATGGATCCAATACTCTAAGAAGACCTCATAATTTTACACCTAGGTAAATATTAATATTTTACAAACTTCACATATGTCCATAAAGAAACACAAGTAAAAATACTTATAGCAAAAAACTGGAAATAACTAGGTCCACTGATAGGAAAAATAATAAAAATGGAATGACAGTCCTGTTAGAAAATAACAACAGCATGTTTATAAAAAAAGAAAAAAAAATTTCCTTTTAATAAAATCTCAGCTGGGCACAGTGGCTCACACCTGTAATCCCAGCACTTTGGGAGGCCGAGGTGGGCAGATCACCTGAGGTCGGGAGTTTGAGACCAACCTGACCAACATGGAGAAACTCTGTCTCTACTAAAAATACAAAAATACTAAAAATACAAACTTAGCCAGGTGTGGTGGCGCATGCCTTAATCCCAGCTACTTGGGAGGCTGAGGCAGGAGGATTGCTTGAACCCGGGAGACGGAGGTTGTGGTGAGCCAAGATCGTGCCATTGTATTCCAGCCTGAACAACAACAACGAAACTCTGTCTCAAAAAAAAAAAAAAAGAAAATGTCAGCCAGGCGGAGTGGCTCACACCTGTAATCCCAGCACTTTGGGAGGCCAAGGTGGGCAGATCACCTGAGGTCGGAGGTTGCATCGCTGCACTCCAGCCTGGGCGACACAGCAAGGCTTCATTTAAAAAAAAAAGGCCAGGCACGGCGGCTCACACCTATAATCCCAGCACTTTGGGTGGCCGAGGCGAGTGGGTCACCTGAGGTCAGGAGTTCAAGAACAGCCTGGCCAACATGGTGAAACCTCGTCTCTACAAAAAATACAAAAATTAGGCAGGTGTGATGGCAGGTGCCTATAATCCCAGCTACTCAGGAGGCCGAAGCAGGAGAATGGCTTGAACCCGGGGGAAGCGGCAGGCGGGGGAGGGCATGGAGGTTGCAGTAAGCCGAGATCACGCCACTTCACTCCAGCCTCGGTGAAAGAGCAAAACTCTGTCTCAAAAAATAAATAAATAAAATAAAAATAAAACTGGAAGAGCTACCTCAGTGTTCCATGTGACTTCATTTTAACTGTAAAGTAAAAGAGATTTTTGTTTGAGAAGAAAAGAATGTATTTAAAAGTAGTCAACGAAAAAATCTGAAAGGCCTCCAAATCGCAAACCCATAATGTGGAAGTCATTTCTAGAATTCTGAATTACATACCTTACACCATCGTACAATGATGCCTCCAGGTTTCTCTATTAGTTCTTCTATCTGTACTGGTGGGCGAGATGCTACTGTTCCATGCTTAAAAATGTGGTCTTTCACTATGTTAAGAATTGAGTCATCCAACTGAGCAGATAAACAAGGCACATCAACCAGTAAAGGTACTTCTGGTAAGCTGAGGAAACAAAGCTCATGTGTTATGAGACCTCTAACTGAGAGTTAAAAAATACAAGAAATATTTTAGAGCAGTCACATGCTTGAAAGATCCTGAAGCCCCCAGTAATTAATTCTCATGGCAGTAGGGGATTTGCAAGATGTTACACAAAGATTCTCTTTTCAAATAAATATAAGTAAGACAGAAAATTGGTAGGATCATAACTGTCCAGTTTAAGCCAAAAGATCTGGTTTACTGGAATATGACTCCATTTCAACAATACATTGATAATTTCTAAAATTTAACAATTCTTTTATATATTGGATTGAAAAAATGTGTAGTAATACTATACCAAGGATTATAATCACAACTATTTCATTAGTAACAGTGGTAATGGGCAGTGAAACGCTTTTTTTTTTTTTTTTCAGACAGAGTCTCACTCTGTCCCCTAGGCTGGAGTGCTGTGGTGCGATCTCAGCTCACTGCAACCTCCACCTCCCCGATTCAAGCGACTCTCTTGCCTCAGCCTCTCGAGTAGCTGGGACTTACAGGCGCACGCCACCATGCCCGGATAATTTTTTATTTTATTTTATACTTATTTTGAGATGGAGTCTTGCTGTTGCCCAGGCTGGAGTGTAGTGGTACAAACTTGGCTCACTGCAACATCTGCCTCCTGGGTTCAAGCAATTCTCCTGTCTCAGCCTCCCCAAGTAGCTGGATTACAGGTCCATGCCCGTCTAATTTTTATATTTTTAGTAGAGACAGGGTTTCAACATGTTGGCCAGGCTGGTCTCAAACTCCTGGCCTCAAGCAATCCACCCGCCTTGGCCTCCCAACGTGCTGGGATTACAGGTGTAAACCACCACGCATGGTCTGAAAACCTTGAAATATATATTCTCTATCTCCCTTAATGAGAATCTTGAACAGAGGGAGGAAAAAAGCAGACATAGTTTAAATGCTTAAAAGTAAGTCAAAAAGGCACAAACTCTTTTACCTGTCCAACTGAATGTGCGAGGCCTTTTTGGTAAAGCTCCACAGTTTCTCATTCTCTTCTCCCACACCACCAAGCATGGCGATTTCACCTACAATCAAGAATAAGAGAACTAGAACAATGAAAATGGTCACATATAAAGTAATCAACACAACTCATGTCTGGGTGGGTCTCTAGCGTTCTTGCAAATAAGTTCTTAAGTGATGCCACAGTCAAATTCCCAAAAAGTTAAAGTAGAAACTATTTTAGACGTGACTCTAAGATCAAATCCAAGAGGAAAAGGGATATACAGTGGCAACATTTTGCCAGAGATGAAAAATCTATCTACTCTATACAAGGAAATCAACCAATTTTAGGCAAAGCAGAAAGCCCAGGGACTTCTTTCCATCTCTCCTACAGAATCATTATGAACTTCAATAGGAGCCAGTACAAAATATTGCCCTGAGAGGTGCAACAGGGGATAGGGTGTTTTTTTTTTTTTTTTTGAGACTGGGTCTTGTTCTGTCACTCATGCTGGAGCACAGTGGTAGGATCATAACTCACTGCAGCCTTGAACTTCCAGGTTCAAGCAATCCTCCCATCTCAGCCTCCCAAGTAGCTGTGACCACACGTGCACGCCACCATGCCCAGCTATTTTTTTTTTTTTTTTTTTGGTAGAGATGAGGTCTCACTATGTTGCCCAGGCTGGGCATAAGGCTTGAAAAGCCAAATGATGCATCTATGTTTTCCTAAAAGAGTATCATATATCAGATTACAAATTATTCAACAGAACAATAAAAAGAAAATGTCAGGCTGGGTGCGGTAGCTCACGCCTGTAATCCCAGCACTTTGGGAGGCGGAGGCAGGTGGATCACGAGGTCAGGAGATCAAGACCATCCTGGCCAACATGGTGAAACCCTGTCTCTACTAAAAATACAAAAATTAGTTGGGTGTGGTGGCAGGTGCCTGTATTCCCAGCTACTAGGGAGGCTGAGGCAGGAGAATCACTTGAATCCGGGACATGGAGGTTGCAGTGAGCCGAGATCACGCCACTGCACTCCAGCCTGGGCAAAAGAGCGAGACTCCGTCCCCCCCGCCAAAAAAAAAAGTTACATAGAGGCATATGATATGAAAATGACCAACTTCTATGTCCTTCCACAGCCCTGAAGAACACTGCCAGAACTCTTTTCCATCTAAATGTGCCCTGTAGTTACTCAAGTTTTTTGAGACCATATGACCTTCTCCTTCACCAAAAGAAAAACAGAGACATGGCCGGGTACTGTGGCTCATGCCTATAATCTCAGCACTTTGGCAGGCTGAGGCTGGTGGGTCACCTGGGGTTGGGAGTTCAAGACTAGCTTGGCCAACATGATGAAACCCCGTCTCTACTAAAAATACAAAAAGTAGCTGGGCATAGTGGCACGCTCCTGTAGTTCTAGCTACTAGGGAGGCTGAGGCACTAGAATCGCTTGAACCCGAGAGGTGGAGGTTGCAGTGAGCCAAGATCGTGCCACTGCACTCCAGCCTGGGCAACAGTGTGAGACTCTGTCTCAAAAATAAGTAAATAAATAAATAAAATCCTCAAAATTCCATAAGTAAGTTTCTATCCCTCAGGAGAATAGGAAAGAGTTTGACATTAAAAATATTCCTAAAGTTTCCTTCTGCTGCTGAGATGTATAATAATTTTTTTTAATTAAAAAACATAGGCCAGGCACAGTGGCTCACGCCTGTAATCCCAGCACTTTGGGAGGCCGAGGTGGGCAAATCACGAGGTCAGGAGTGCTAGACCAGCCTGGCCAACATGGTGAAACTCTGTCTCTATTAAAAATACAAAAAATTTGCTGGGCGTGGTGGCGGGCGCCTATAATCCCAGCTACTCGGGAGGCTGAGGCAGGAAAATCGCTTGAACCTGCGAGGCGTAGGCTGCAGCAAGCTGAGATCGTGCCACTGCACTCCAGCCCAGGCAACAGTGCAACACGCCATCTCAAAAATAAATAAGTTAATTAATTAAATTAAATTTTGGACATACAAAAATATTCAAGTATCAAATGCTGTAACACTCACACTGCCTCAAAGGGATTTTTTCTTTTTGAGACAGAGTCTCACTCTGTCACCCAGGCTGGAGTGTGATGTATAATCACAGCTCACTGCAACCTCAAACTCTGGGGCTCAGGGGATCCTCCCGCCTCAGCCTCCCAAGTAGCTAGGACTACAGGAATGTGCCACTATGCCCAGCCAGGATTTATCTTTTTTTTTTTTTGAGATGGAGTCTTGCTCTTGTCGCCCAGACTGGAGTGCAATGGTGCAATCTCAGCTCACTGCAACCTCTTGCCTCAGCCTCCCGAGTAGCTAGGATTACAGGTGCCCACCACCATGCCCAGCTAATTTTTGTATTTTTAGTAGAGACGGGGTTTCACCATGTTGGCCAGGCTGGTCTTGAACTCCTGACCTCAGATGATCCGCCCCCCTCGGCCTCCCAAAGTGTTGTGATTACAGGCACGAGCCACCGCGCCCGGCCAGGATTTATCTTCTAAAATAAAAACAAATGATCAGTCCTCAGGGTGATGAGTGTACACTCCTGGCCCGTGGTGCACTGCTTCTGGGTTTGTTTCCAAATGCAAAGCCACCAAGGAAAGACATTTCATGGTACTGCTAGAATTTTCTCAAAAGTACTGTTATGGTCAGTGGCAAATAAACACTTCTCATTGAAGACAAGACAAAAATGTAACCAGCAATGTCAAGATAACACCCATACTATATTCTAAGTGGGACCAAAAGAAGATTAACTTCCAGGTGGAGTGACAGCCATGTGAATCATCCACGCCTTTTTCCCACACCACTCCCAGCACTCATTCTGCAGAAGAGATGGAATTCAGTCTCCTTCCCTAGCTCCTTTTTCCTCAAATGACTTTTAAATGTTGGTGACCCTTAGCGTTCTAATCTCTTTCATCTGCTCTTCTCACATTACACGGTGTCCCTTGATGATTGTACTTATTCCAATAGATTCAGATTTGATATATATGCCATTAACTGCCATACTGACATCTCCTGGTATGATCTCTCTCCTAAGAATCATACCCGTATTTCCATCTTAAGCACCTCAAACTCACCATGCCCAAGCCAAATGCCTAACTACGTACTAAGCACCCGCCTTCTCCTTCAATTCCTTTGTCAAAAACAGCACCACTATTTATTCAGAATCCAAAAGTAGGCTGATTTTTGTTATCACAAATCCTTTCCTTTCCCCTCCATCACATATGTAGGTAATCATCTACAGATAACAGTCACTGCTCAGTAAAATCATCAATAATTCTACTTCTTAAAAAAAAAAAAAACTCTGTCTTGTTTTTTTGTTTTTATTTTTAAGAGACAGGGTCTTGCTCTGTTGCCCAGGCTGGAGTGCAGTGCTGCAATCATAGCTCAAGCTCTCCCACCTCAGCCTCCTGAGTAGTTGGGACAACTTGTGTGTGCCACCATGCCTGGCTAATTTTTTTTTTTTTTTTTTTGAGACGGAGTCTCGCTCTGTCGCCCAGGCTGGAGTGCCATAGCACGATCTAGGCTCACTGCAAGCTCCGCCTCCTGGGTTCACGCCATTATCGTGCCTCAGCCTCCCGAGTAGCTGGGACTACAGGCGCCTGCCACCATGCCTGGCTAACTTTTTGTATTTTAAGTAGAGATGGGGTTTCACTGTGTTAGCCAGGATGGTCTTGATCTCTTGACCTTGTGATATGCCTGCCTCGGCCTCCCAAAGTGCTGGGATTACAGGTGTGAGCCACTGTGCTCAGCACGCCTAGCTATTTTTTTTTAAAAAAATTAGAGACAATCTCACTACATTGCCCAGACTGGTCTCGAACTCCTTACCTCAAATGATCCTCCTCTCCTGTCTAGGCTCCCAAAGTGCTGGGATTACAGGTGTGAGCCATTGTGCCTGGCTCAAAATCTCTTAAAATCAGCCCTGCCTCATCTTTACCAGCCACCGCCTTTACCATTCCTACCTGGATTACTTTCTAATAACTTTTTTTTTGAGATGGGGTCTCATTATCTTGCCCAGGCTGGTCTTGAACTCCTGGGCTCAAGTGATCCACCCGCCTCAGCCTCCCAAAGTGCTGGGATTACAAGCATGAACCACCGTGCCCAGTTTCTAATAATTTTTTTTTATTTTGAGACGGAGTCTCACTCTGTTGCCCAGGCTGGAGTGTAGTGTTGTGATCTTGGCTGACTGCAACCTTTGTCTCCCAGGTTCAAGTGATTCTCCTGCCTCAGCCTCCCGAGTAACTGGAATTACAGGTGCCCACCACCACGTCTGGCTAAATTTTGTATTTTTAGTAGAGATGGGGTTTTACCATGTTGGCCAGGTTAGTCTCAAACTCCTGACCTCAAGTGATCCTCCCATCTTGACATCCCAAAGTGCTGGGGTTATAGGTGTTAGCCTGGCCTCGGCCTCTAATAACTTTTTAATCAGTCTCTTTTCCCTCTAGTCTTACAATCTCTAACATAGTCTCCAAATAGGCAGGGTCATTTTTTTTTTAAATGCACATCTGATCCTGTCACTCTGCTGCTTAAAATGCTTCAACTAATCCTTGAATATGCCATTCACTCCACTTATGATAATGTTACTTCTGCTTGGAATCATGCTGTTACCTCCTCTTTTTCCTATGTCTGCTGGATGAATTGCTTCAAGCCTCTGTGGAACTCTTCCTACAGAAAGCTATCCCACACTATTCCAGACAAAGTTAAGAACTTCCTCCTCTATGCTCCAATAAGGTCTTGATCTCTTAGCATGTATCTCTCTCTCACTGGGCTCTGAATCCCAAAGGAAAGAACTCTCACCTATTTTATTCTTTTCTTTTTTTTGAGAGGGAGTCTCACTCTGTCACCCAGGCTGGAGTGCAGTGGTGCAATCTCGGCTAACTGCAACCTCCGCCTCCCGGGTTCAAGCAATTCTCCTGCCTCAGCCTCCCGAGTAGCTAGGACTACAGGCATGCGCTGCCACGCCCGGCTATTTTTGTATTTTTAGTAGGGACGGGGTTTCACCATGTTGGCCAGGATGGTCTTGATCTCCTGACCTGATGATCCGCCCACCTCCACCTCCCAAAGTGCTGGGATTACAGGCGTGAGCCACCGTGCCCGGCCTTTATTCTTAGTCTTATTTTATATTTTTTGAGACAGGGTCTTACTCTGTCACCCAGGCTGGAGTGCAGTGGTGCAATCACGGCTCACTGCAGTGTCAATCTCCTGGCCTCAAGGGATCCTCCCGCCTCGGCCTCTTAAGTAGTTGGGACTCCAGGTGCATGCCACCATGCCCAGCTAAGTTTTTTTTTTTTTGTAGCGACAGGCTGTTGCCCAGGCTGGTCTTAAACTCCTGACCTCAAGTGATCCACTTGCTTCAGCCTCCCAAAGTGCTGGGATTACAGGCGTGAGCCACCACACCTGGCCCCCTTGTTTATGTTATGTGCCTGACAAAGATCTCTGTTGAAGGAAGGTGGTATAATGAAGAAAGGAAGGCAGCAGGGCATGACTCAATGGAAATAATTGGCAAAGATAGGAGTAAACACCAATCACATTTTTTTAAACTTTCTAAATAAAACAATGGAGACTGTAATTGTGGTGGCTTTTGCCTGTAATCCCAGCACTTTGGGAGGCCAAGATGAGAAGATTGCTTGAGACCAGGAATTCGAGACCAGCCTGGGCAACATGGTGAAACCCTGTCTCTACTAAAAATACTAAAAAATTACAGGCATGGTGGGACGCGCCTGTAATCCCAGCTATTTGGGAGGCTGAGGTGGGAGGATCACCTGAGCCAGGGAGGTCAAGACTGCAGTGAGCTCTGACAGCACCACTGCACTCCAGCCTGGGCAACAGAGCAAAACCCCTGTGTCAAAAAAAAAATATATATATATATATAATTTGATTGACTGTAACACAGAAGATAAATGCTTGAGAGAATGGATACCCCATTTTCCACAATGTGATTATTACACACCGCATGCCTGTATCAAAACATCTCAATGTGCCCCATATCATTTATTCTTTCTTGTTTTATAACTAATTATAACTAACACTTCAACTGCACTTGCCATGCGATACCTAACGGTATATCTGTCATCCTATATTACAAACTGTCTCTAGGTAAGAACATTCTAAGAACCCCACAGCTGGCAAGAAGCCTGCTGCTATCCTGAGAAATCAGCAAAATGTCAATCTGAACGAACCACATTTAACCTGTGATATAATTTGGCTCTGTGTCCCCACCCAAATCTCATCTCGAATTGTACTCCCATAATTCCCATGTGTTGCAGGAGGGACCCGGTGGGAGATAATTGAATCATGGGGGCAGTTTCTCCCACACTGTTCTTGGTAGTGAATAACTCTCATGAGATCTAATGGTATTTTAAGGGGAAACCCCTTTCGCTTGGCTCTCATTCTCTTCTCTTGTCTGCCGCCATGTGAGATGTGCCTTTCACCTGCCATGATTGTGAGGCCTCCCCAGCCACATGGAACTGTAAGTTCATTAAACCTCTTTCTTTTGTAAATTGCCCAGTTTCAGGTATGTCTTTATCAGCAGTGTGAAAATGGACGAATGCACTAATACAACAGGCTCCCTGGTCCCCCACCTTCTCGGACTAAGTCCTCTGCAGTGTTGACTCCGTGTTCTATGAGCTTCTGGCAGTCATCTAGTGGTTTAATGGTCTCCTGTTCAATGGTGTCCACCTCTTGCAAAAGGGTCACCAATCGCTCATCCAGGAGCTTTCCAAGGGTTCCCTTTAAATCATTAAAATGCTGTTTGAGAACATCCCTTGTCTGTGATGCACTTTCTTTGATCTAAAAAGAAATAACAAAATACTCAAAATCAGAATCTTTAAAAAAGGCTAATCCAAAGGTATAATTCACATGAATCTAAAAGCACTGTATAACCATCTTCTTCAATTTAGTAAAAAAAAGATTAACTGAAATTATATTTAAGGTGTGATATTTTGATACACATATACATAGTGAACTGTTAACTATAGTTAAGCTAATTAACATGTCCATCTCTTCACATGGTTACCTCTGTGTGTGGTGAGAACACTTATGATCTCTCCTAACACATTCCAAGTATACATTACACTATTATTAACTATTGTCCCTATCCTGTACTTGAGCTCTCTAGAATTTACACATATTAAATAACTGAAACTCTGTACCCTTTGACCAACATCTCCCCATCCCCAACTCCATCCCTGGCAAGCACCATTCTACTTTCTGCTTCTATGACTTCGACCTTTTTAGATTCTACATATGAGATCGTGCAGTATGTTTATTTCTGTATCTGGCTTATTTCACTTAGCATAGTGTCCTTCAGGTTCATCCATGCTGTCACAAATGACAGAATTTCCTTCTCTTTTAAGGTTGAATGGCATTCCATTGTATATATACATCTTCCATTCATTGATAAACCAAATGTGATTCATTTGCACAAACAGACAGAAGTACACAGAACTGCCCTTCAAGTCAGATAGAATAAGCCAAATCTTGGTTTCATCATTCACAAACTATGTCAATTTGGTTAAGTTAATTAAGTATTCTATGCCTCAATTTTCTTATTTGTCAAATGAGCATAATAATAGTTATTTCAGCCGGGCGCAGTGCCTCATGCCTGTAATCCCAGCACTTTGGGAGGCCGAGGAGGGCAGATCATTTGAAGTCAGGAGTTCAAGACCAGCCTGGCCAACGTAGTGAAACCCTGTATCTACTAAAAATACAAAAATTAGCTGGACGTGGTAGTGCGGGCCTGTAATCCCAGCTACTTGCGAGGCTGAGGCAGGAGAATTGCTTGAACCTGGGAGATGGAGGTTGCAGGGATCCAAGATTGCGCCACTGCACTCCAGCTGGGCAACAGAGTGAGACGCCATTTCAAAAAAGAGAAATAAATAATAGTTACTTCATGGAGTTGCTGTGAGGATAAATTAAAATAATCTAGGTACTACAGTGGGTAAAATAAATGGCACATTGTTATACTCGCTAAAAAAAGTTATAAATTATTATCTATACAAAGTTGTTCTTGAAAAGTGTACGTTTCAATACTGAAAATTGTTTAATTATGAGGGGATTAAAATTCATTTTACTGAAAAGCAGCAAAGAAGTGGTAGATTAAAAAGCTATGGTCAGCTGGGCATGGAGGCTCATGCCTATAATCCCAGCACTTGGGAGGCCGAGGTGGGTGGATCATGAGGTCAGGAGTTCAAGATCAGCCTGACCAACATGGTGAAACTCCATCTCTACTAAAAACACAAAAAAATTAGCTGAGTTTGGTGGTGCATGCCTGTAATCCCAGCTACTTAGGATGCTGAGGCAGGAGAATCGGTTGAACCCGGGAGGCGAAGGTTCCAGTGAACTGAGATCGCGCCATTGCACTCCAGCCTGGGCAACAGAGTGAGACTCCGTCTCAAAAAAAAAAAAAAAAAAGCAAGCCATGGTCAGGTGCAGTGGCTCACACCTATGATCCTTGCACTTTGAGAGGCTGAGGCAGGAGGATCACTTGAGCCCAAGAGTTTGAAACCAGCTTGGATAACATGGAGAAATCCTGTCTTTACAAATAATACAAAAATTAGCCGGGCATGGTGGCACATGCCTGTAGTCCCAGCTACTTAGGAGGCTGAGGTGGGAGGATCACCTGAGCCCAGGGGGTCGAGACTGCAGTAAGCTGTGACTGCACCACTGCACTCTAGCTTGGGTGACAGAGTGAGACCCTGTCTCTAAATAAAAATGAAAAGCCACAATACAAACAAACAAACAAACAAAAAAACTCATGGATAAAATGCCCTCATTATGCTAAAAGAAAACCAAAAATTATTTAAAAACCAAAGAGGCCTGTAGGAGGCAGAGCTGGGACAATGACTTAATCCTTTTTGAATTATAGTGCTCTTTGTCAATCTAAATGAGAGGTTTATAAAGCCTCTTCCTTTCAAAGTTATTGAAAGAGAAGAAAAAGCCTCTTCCCCAAAAAATACATAATCTATACCCTAAAAAATTATTCAATTGCAGAAGTTTACAAATTCCCTCAGAGCCAAACCATGGCTTGCCTGGAGCAGTAATTATGAAACTTCGTTTGCAGAAGAATCATGTAGGCTACTTGTTATAATTCAGACTGCAGAGTTCCATCCCAGACCTACTGAACCAGAAAATGACAGGAGGGGCTAAAGGAGTGTATGGATGGAGTTCTCATTTTTTCCAAGCACACCTGTGATTCTGTAGCCCACAATTTGAGAAACATTGCCCTAAATCTACTGATCTCAGATTAAGAACCCATATTCTAGGGGATATGACAGGAAAATCTTCATGTCAAATATATTATGAAGATAAATAGGTTGTTTATACAGACACCAGATTTTTCTTCTTTTATTTCAGAGACAGGGTCTCACTCTGTTGCACATCCTAGCTCACTGCAGCCTTGAACTCCTGGGCTCAGGTGATCCTCCTGCCTCAGTCTCCTGAGTAGCTGAGCTTATAGGTGCGGGCCACCACACTTGGCTAATTTTATTTTTCACTTTTTGTAGAGACGAGATCTTGCTATGTTGCCCAAGCTGGTCTTGAACCAGCTTCAAGCAATCCTCCCACCTTGGCCTCCCAAAATGCTGAGATTACAGGAGTGATCCACTGCACCTGGTCCAGATTTTTATTTTAAAGACTTCAGATAACAGGCCAGGCATGGTGGCTCATGCCTGTAATCCCAGCACTTTGGGAGGCCAAGGTGGGAGGATCACCACTGCAACCTGACCTGGGCGACAGAGCAAGGCCCTCTTCTCAAAAAACAATTCAGGTAACATATAATTCATTTTCTCTCGCTTAATGGGAAAATTCTAACTATAAGCCACTCCGATAAGTTAAAGCAAAAACATACTTTGCTTTCTAGATATTATTATCTTAGTTTCATATGACATATTGTTTACCACCATAACCCTTTTGTTAACTTTCTCTTATCAAGAAAGTTTAAAGTATAAGAAAAATCCACCAAGAAAGAACATATCAAAATATGAATAAAGGACAATATTTCAACAGTTAATATAGAGATTTAAAAACTTTCTATTTATTCTCTAAATTCTCTCTAAATTTAAAAAGCAGAATACAATATTGTTTCCCAGCAATGTTCACGACCATGTAAAAACAAAAAATGCCCATGCCCAAGGACTAAAACAGAAAAAGAGCAGTATCATTTACTGGGTGGGCAGACCATAGAAACAATTTTCTTTCCTTTTTTTTTTTTTTTTTTTTTTTTTTTTTTTTGACACAGAGTTTCACTCTTGTGGCCCAGACTGGAGTGCAGTGGCGCAATCTCGGCTCACTGCAACCTCTGCCTTCTGGGTTCAAGAGATTCTCCTGCCTTAGTCTCCTGAGTAGCTGAGATTACAGGCGCATGCCACCACGCCTGGCTAATTTTTGTATTTTTAGTAGAGACAAAGTTTCGCCAAGCTGGTCTTGAACTCCTGATCTCCGGTGATCCACCCACCTTAGCCTCCCAAAGTGCTGGGATAAGGCGTGAGCCACCTCATCCAGCCCTTTTCTCTCCATTTGACATTAACGCAGTTATAATAATATTTATGCAGTTAGTAAAATAATTCTTTAAATCACAAAGAGAAATCCTAAATTAATTGTTAACTAATTTCTGTATTTACCAAAGAATTTCTGTGAAATAAATCCAAGTAAAAATTTTAAAAAGAAAGAAAGGCCATAAACCCAAATTGCACTTGATTCAGCTCACCATTCAACTATGAGATCTTTGCAAACTGGGCCCTCATCTACATAGCATCTGGTAAACAAATGCTGTTGAGTGAAAACGCAGTTAATCATGTGTGTTTCAAAGAACTTTCTAAAAGAACCAAAGAGAGAATACCTTATGATTTTAACACAACCCCTGGGATACTGTTAGAAATTCAGAATCTCAGGCCCCACCCAGAACTGCTAAATCAGAACATGAATTTTTTTTCTTTCCTCCTCCTCCCCTAGAACCTATATTTTTTTTTTTTTTTTTTTTTTTTTTGGAGATGGAGTTTTGCTCTTGTTACCCAGGCTGCAGTGCAATGGAGCAATCTTGGCTCACTGCAACCTCCACCTCCCGGGTTCAAGTGATTCTCCTGTCTCAGCCTCCTGAGTAGCTGGGATTACAGGCGCATGCCACCATGCCTGGCTAATTTTTGTATTTTTAGTAGAGATGGGGTTTCATCATATTGGTCAGGCTGGTCTCGAACTCCTGACCTCAGGTGATCCTTCTGCCTCAGCCTCCCAAAGTGCTGGAATTACAGGCGTGAGCCAACGCGCCCAGCCAAACCTGTATATATATATATTTTTTTTTTGAGTCTTGCTCTGTCGCCCAGGCTGGAGTGCAGTGGCGCCAACTCGGCTCACTGCAACCTCCGCCTCCCAGGTTCAAGCAGTTCTCCTGCCTCAGCCCCCCTAGTAGCTGGGATTACAGGCATGCGCCACCAAGCCCAGCTAATTTTTTTGTATTTTTAGTAGAGACGGGGTTTCACCATTTTGGCCAGGCTGGTCGCGAACTCCTGACCTTGTGATCTGCCCGCCTCAGCCTCCCAAGGTGCTGGGATTACAGGCATGAGCCACCGCACCCGGCCAAATCTGTATTTTTAACAGGACCCTCAGTTGCTTTGTATACATATTACAGATACCAGAATAAGTGAAGACCTTGTGTCAGAACGCTGTAATACATTTCGAATGGCCAAGAGGAAATTCTGCAGTTGAGCACTGTGCCTCTGAGGTCCTGTCTTGCTCTTTAGCGGATATAGCATACACAGGAAGTGCATTGGTTAGGTAAAGTCAATTTCCTCTTCAGAAAGAATTCAAAAGCTCCTTCAGCTGTTGCAGAGCCTACGTTTTGTTTTTGTTTCAGAACCTCAGAAAAAAGGAAGTAAGTGAACACAAAACAGACAGAGGGCTAAAAAAATGAGACTCAATTTCCAAATTCACCTCCTGTACTCTCATTGTAAATTTGGTCCCTTTTGCTCATAGAATCCCAACCACTGCCATTTGAAACTTGATACCACCATGGGATCATTTTCTTTTCCTTGAAATATTTCATGATTTAAAGCCTAGTCACCTTTAATCCAATCATGTAACTAATCAAGTTCATTTGCTTGACTTTATGAAACTAATTTAAAAATGCAGCTCCACTGCTGAGTGAATTTCTTCATATTTGATGTGGTACCAATGGTTCCATGCGTTCACTGTTAACTCAATAAATCTTCACAATGCACTTTCAGAAAGTGAGGACCAAAGAAGAGAAAGAAGACAACTTACCCAAGGCTTCGCAGTGCCAGAAACAGTCTAACTCCAAAGACTATGCTCTTTCATTACACCATGCTGTTTTGTACTTACAGGACACTTTTTTTTTGAGACAGGTTCTCACTTGGTCGTCCAGGCTGGAGAGCAGTGGTACAATCACAACTCACTGCGGCCTCGAACTCCTGGGCTCAGGTGATTCTCCCACCTTAGCCTCCCAGGTAGCTGGGACCACAGGCATGTGTCACTACACCCAGCTATATTTTGTATTTTTTGTCGAGACGGATTTTCATCATGTGGCCCAGGCTGGTCTCGAACTCCTGGACTCAAGCAATCCTCCTGCCTCGGCCTCTCAAAGTGCTGAGATTACAAGTGTGAGCCACCGCGCTCGGCCATAGAACACTATTTTAAAAGAGCTCCCAGATAAATCTGTAAATTATGTATTGGCTAAAGACACTTCTTGGTATAACACGTAGTATTTCCTGTCCCTGTGTAAAGAATTGTGTGGTGGACAACCAATCAGCTTCAAATGCTACCTAGTCATTCAAGGCAAAAACAACTGTGGTGATTTGTAACAAAATAGATTTAAGAATACAAATGACAGACAAGATTTCAAACAGGAAACTGTAATATACATTGTTTATGTTGATCAATAATATTTTGAAATAATCTGCCACTAAAACCTTTAATGTAACAGACCATTAAAACTTACAAAGTTTTGGCCTGAGCACATTGGCTCATGCCTGTAATCCCAGCACTTTGGGAGGCCCAGGCAGGTGGATCACAAGATCAGGTGGTCAGGAGTTCGAGACCAGCCTGGCCAACATGGTGAAACCCCGTCTCTACTAAAAATGCAAAAATTACCCAAGCGTAGTGGTGCACGCCTGTAGTCCCAGCTACTGGGCTGAGGCAGGAGAATCACTTGAACCCGGGAAGCGGAGGTTGCAGTGAGCTAAGATAGTGCCATCGCACTCCAGCCTGGGCAATAGAGCAAGACTCCACCTCAAAAAAAAATAATAAATAAATAATAAAAAACAAAACTTACAAAGTTTCCACTACAGCTGAATATAACCCCAAAGCAACTGTTTTAAAATTTTAACATGATTAAGAGCTCACAAAATGCCAAAAATTCATCAAGTTTGTATTTCAATACTAAGCCACCCAAAAGCTTAGGGAGTATTTCCTTCACAACCCTCCAAAACAACAGTGACTGATATATTTTCCTCCAGAGTTTAGTTACTAAAAAGACATATGTAGAGGCCAGGTGCGGTGGCTCATGCCTATAATCCCGGCACTTTTGAAGGACGGATCACTTGTGTCCAGGAGTTCAAGACCAGCCTGGGCAACATGGCAAAACTCTGTCTCTAGTAAAAAATACAAAAAATCAGCTGTGTGTGGTGGCATGGCTTGTAGTCCCAGCTGCTTGGGAGGCTAAAGTGACAGGAACACTTGAGCCTGAGAGGTTGAGGCTTCAGTGGGTGGTTTTTGCACCACTGCCCTCCAGCCTGGGTGACAAAGTGAGACCCTGCCTCAAAAATAACCAAACAAACAAAAAAGAAAACCACATATATAAAACACAAAACTATTTGCTAACAAGAACATACTGATTAAAAACTGGCCAGGTACAGTGGCTTACGCCTGTAATCCTAGGATTTTGGGAGGCTGAGGCAGGTGGATTGCCTGAGCTCAGGAGTTTGAGACCAGCCTGGGCAACATGGTGAAACCCTGTCGCTGCTAAAAACACAAAAATTAGCTGGGTTTGGTGGTGCCTGCCCGTAATCCCAGCTACTCGGAGGCTGAGGCAGGAGAATCATTTGAGCTCAGGAGGTGGAGGTTGCAGTGAGCCGAGATCACGCCACTGTACTCCAGCCCAGGTGAGAGAGCAATACTCTGTCTCGAACAAACAAACAAACAAAAAACACCACAAAAAAAAACAGAAAAACATATTTATCAAAAATAAAAGACAGCCGGGTACAGCGGCTCATGCCTGTAATCCCAGCACTTTGGGAGGCTGAGGCAGTTGAATCACGGAGTCAGGAGTTCAAGACCAGCCTGGCCAACATGGTGAAACCCCGTCTCTACTAAAAATACAAAAAAATTAGCTGGTCATGGTGGCGGGCACCTGTAATCCCAGCTACTCAGGAGGCTGAGGCAGGAAAATTGCTTGAACCTGGGAGGTGGAGGTTGCAGTGAGCCGAGGCCGTGCCACTGCACTCCAGCCCAGGGGACAGCACGAGACTCTGTCTCAAAAAAAAAAAAAAAAAAAAAAAAAGGCCAGGTGCGGTGGCTCACGCCTGTAACCCTTGCACTTTGGGAGGCCGAGGCGGGCGGGTCATGAGGTCAGGAGATCGAGACCATCCTGGCTAACATGGTGAAACCCCGTCTCTACTAAAAATACAAAAAATTAGTTGGGCTTGGTGGCGGGCACTTGTAGTCCCAGCTACTCGGGAGGCTGAGGCAGGAGAATGGCGTGAGCGGGGGAGGCGGAGCTTGCAGCAAGCTGAGATTGCGCCAGTGCACTCCAGCCTGGGCGACAGAGCGAGACTCCGTCTAAAAAAAAAATAAAAATAAAAATAAAAATAAAGACAAAGATAAAAAATAGTCAACTGAAATTGAAAACGCTAATCAACATATTTTTTCTCAGTTTCTGTGAAATGTATATTACATTAGCTATTTGTCTTTGTACTGACACCAAGACATCAGTCATTAGTAATAATGGAAACAGCAACAATACAGCAGCAGCTATTATCTACTGAGTACCTGTATGCCAGGTAAATCTGTACCTATGGTCTCATTTAAACTCTACCATAACCCTGTGAAGAGAACCTGTGTAGATGAGTAACATGGGAGTCAGAGAGATGAAACTGGCCATATCACAAAGTTAGTGAAGTGGCAGAGATTTTGAATTCAGTCTGACTCAAGAATGGACTTGTAAGCACTGCTATGTTTCTCCTTGTTTCTCTTACACTTAAGACTTTTTTAGAAAAAAAAGTGCTTAATTGAGAACTTTCAAACAGAAAACGTATATTATATGATTTGGTAATCTGTTACAGTAGTGGCCCCCAATGAACCAGGAATTCACATTTCCAACTACTCGTGGCCTTGTGTGGTCCTCTCCCCTAGAATCTGGGCTGGGCCTGTGACTAGCAATGCAGTCACACGTGCACAGCAATAGAGTGAAACTGATCCTGTGCCAGTTCCAGGCCTCATCCTTCAGAAGACCTGTCAACATCTGCTTTTTGGAGGCCACCATGAAAGAAGTATGTCTATCTTTCTGGAGAGGACAAGGGGAAAGAGACAGGAAGGTGAAAAGGCAGGAAGGGAGGAAGACAGGGAGAGAGACTGGCACCAAAGCCCAGGTATGCCAGTGTTCCAACTGAGACTAGCTAATACTAAGTCTCCAAATATAAATGAATGTTCTCTGTCAGACATTCCAGCCACAACTGCAACCACAAGAGTGTTGCCAAGCAAAACCAGGAGAACTACCTATCTGAGCCCCAGTCAACTTCCAGAATTGTAAGCAAATAAAATGGTTGCTTTTTAAGTCATTAAGCTTTGGCACAGTTTTATTACGTAGCAGTAAACAAATCATATAAAAAAATACACGCTTAATTCTTGATTATCTATACTAATAGAGTGCACATCATCAAGACCAAGACAATCGAAAAAAGAATGTCTGCCAAATTACACCCACAACATTCATAAAGGCATTCATTCAACATTTATTGAGGCCTAGTATGTGTCAGAAATTAGGGTTATAAAGATGAATAAAGCATGGTCTTCACCTCAAAAACTCTCATTCTGGTAAGGGGGATGGCAAGCAAAAGTAACTATAATGAAATGAATTATGTTCTTACATATCTGGGGCAGCCACAAACTGCCATCAGAGCATAAAAGAGCATTATGATGGGAAAGAGAGTAGGAGACATTTAAAGAATAAGTTGTCAGTTGGAGGAGCAGGGGATGTCACCTTGAATAACAATAATATTTAGTATTATTATGGCTGACATTAATTAAGAATCTCCTATGTCCTAGGCACTGTGCTAAGCGTTTTTTTTTTAATAACTATAAGTTTTAGGGTACATGTGCACAACGTGCAGGTTTGTTACATATGTATACATCTGCCATGTTGGTATGCTGCCCCTATTAACTCGTCATTTAACATTAGGTATATCTATCTCCTAATGCTATCCCTCCCCCCTCCCCACACCCAGTGCTAAGCATTTTAAATAAGTTTCTCATTTTAATTCCCACAATGGCCAGGTAAAGCAGATACTACCCTTATCCTCATTTTACACAGAAGGAAACTGAAGATTAGGAAAATTTAGTTTCTCAAGCTTTCACAGCTAATACGAACAACTAAAATAGCTGCAAATATTAGTGACTCACTGATAGCCCTCAATAATAAAAAAAGGCTGGGTTGGGTGTGGTGGCTCTCACTTGTAATCCCAGCACTTTGGGAGGCTAAGGCGGGCAGATCACTTGAGGCCAGGAGTTCAAAACCAGCCTGGCCAACACAGTGAAACCTCGTCTCTATTAAAAATACTAAAATTAGCTGGCCTTGGTGGCGCATGCCTGTAATCCCAGATACTCGGGAGGATGAGACAGAAGAATTGCTTGAATCCAGGAGGCAGAGGTTGCAGTGAGCCGAGACT
This sequence comes from Homo sapiens, assembly GCF_000001405.40. NCBI lineage: Eukaryota > Metazoa > Chordata > Mammalia > Primates > Hominidae > Homo > Homo sapiens. The sequence goes on from NC_000017.11 coordinate 30,814,212, forward strand.
GAGACACTGCACTCCAGCCTGGGTGACAGAGCAAGACTCCGTCTCGAAAAAATAATAATAATAGTAATAACAATAAAAGGCTGTCTTATATTTGTTTGGCTTTTTAGATGACAAATTAGTCATATTCTTTACCAGATTTATAGCAATAAGAATAGTTATCGGCCAGGAGCAGTGTCTCATGCCTGTAATTCCAGCACTTTGTGAGGCCGAGGCAGGCGGATCACCTAAGGTCAGGAGTTGGGAGACCAGCCTGGCCAGTATGGCGAAACCCTGTCTCTACTAAAAATACAAAAAAATTAGCCGAGCGTGGTGGTGGGAGCCTGTAATCCCAGCTACTCAGGAGGCTGAGGCAGGAGAATCGCTTGAACCCGGGAGGCAGAGGTTACGCTGAGCTGAGATCGTGCCACTGCACTCCAGCCTGGGTGACAGAGCAAGACTCCACCTCAAAAAAAAAAAAAATAGTTCTCTATCAAAATTATATACATTACAATCTACACTAAAACAAAATTGCCGGGCATGGTGGCTCATGCCTGTAATCCCAGCACTTTGGGAGCTCGAGGCAGGTGGATCACCTGAGGTCGGGAGTTTGAGACCAGCCTGACCAACATGGTGAAACCCCATCTCTACTAAAAATACAAAATTAGCCGGGTGTGGTGGCACATGCTTGTAATGCCAGCTACTCGGAAGGCTGAAGGAGGAGAATCACTTGAACCCCCGGGAGGCGGAAGTTGCCGTGAGCCAATATTGCGCCATTGCACTCCAGCCTGGGCAACAAGTGCGAAACTCCGTCTTTAAAAAACAAAAAAATCTACACACAAAAACATACCTCTATAACATTCACACACATTTTTTTCTTTCTTTTTTCTTTCTTTCTTTTTTTTTTTTTTTTTTTGAGATGAAGTCTTGCACTATTGCCCAAGCTGGAATGCAGTGGCGCAATCTTGGCTCTGTGCAACCTCTGCCTCCCAGGTTCAAGCAATTCTCCTGCCTCAGCCTCCCGGGTAGCTGGGATTACAAGCACCCACCACCAAGCCTGGCTAATTTTTGAATTTTTAGTAGAGATGGGGTTTCAGCATGTTGGCCAGGCTGGTCTCGAACTCCTGACCTCAGGTGATCCACCCGCCTTGGCCTCCCAAAGTGCTGGGATTACAGGTGTGAGCCATTGCGCCTGGCCAACTTTTTGTATTTTTAGTAGAGATGGGGTTTCACCATGTTGGCCAGGCTGGTCTTGAAACCCTGACCTCAGGTAATCCACCCAACTTGCCATCCCAAAGTGCTGGTATTACAGGAGTAAACCACCCTGCCCGACCAGAAAATGGCTAGTTTCTTCTTTTTTTTTTTTTTTTTTTTGAGATGCAGTCCCACTCTGTTGCCCAGGCTGAAGTGCAGTGGCGCAATCTCGGCTCACTGCAACCTCTAACCCCCAGGTTCAAGTAATTCTCTTGCCTCAGCCTCCTGAGCAGCTGGCATTACAGGCGCACCACCACACCCACCTAACTTTTTTGTATTTTTAGTAGAGACGGGGTTTCACCATGTTGGCCAGGCTGGTCTCGAACTCCTGACCTCAGGTGATCCGCCCGCCTTGGCCTCCCTAAATCCTGGGATTACAGGTGTGAGCCACTGAGCCCGGCCAGAATGGCTTGTTTTAATTCTCCTTGACCTCCTTCTATATTTCTGGGGAGTTTTAAACTCAACCAGCAGCTTTCAGAGTACCATATTTAAAGATGATTTCTGTACATTGGTGTTGTTCAGGAAATAAAAAGTTAAAAAAAAAAAAAAGACAATTTGTAGGCCGGGCATGGTGGCTCACACCTGTAATCCCAACACTCTGGGAGGCCAAGGCGGGCAGATCACGAGGTCAGGAGTTCGAGACCAGCCTGGCAAATATGGTGAAACTCCGTCTGTACTAAAAATAGAAAAACTAGCCGGGCATGGTGGCATGCACCTGTAGTCCCAGCTACTCGGGAGGCTGAGGTGGGAGAATCACTCGAACCCGGAAAGCAGAGGTTGCAGTGAGCCGAGATCGCACCACTGCACTCTAGCGTGGGTGACAGAGCAAGACTCCATCTCAAAAAAAAAAAAAAAAGACAACTTGTAAAAAGATTTATTGGTGAAAAGACTGACTCAAAAACCAATGTAAATATGTGGTCTTTTGCAAACAAATACAGTCAAGCATCACATAATGATGTTTTGGACAATGACAATCACATACATAATGGTAGTCCCATAACATTATATTACTATATTTTTATGTCTTTACTGTATCTTCTTTCTTTCTTTTTTTTTTTTTTTTTTTTAGACAGGGTCTAGTTCTGTTGTCGAGGCTGGAGTACAGTGGTGTGATCATGGCTTACTGCACCCTCAGCCTCCTGGGCTCAATAAATCCTCTCACCTTTGCCTCCCGAGTAGCTGGGACCACAGGCATGCACCACCACACCTGGCTAATTTTTAATTTCTTTGTGGAGATGGGGGTCTCCCTATATTGCCCAGACTGGTCTCAAACTTCTGGGCTCGAGATCTTCCCGTCTTGGCCTCTCAAAGTGCTGGGACTACAAGTGTGAGCCAGCATGCCTACTGCACCTTTTCTATGTTAGATGCACACTTACAGTTATGTTACAACTATCTACAGTATTCAGTATAGTAACATGCTGTACAGACTTGTACCCTAGGAGCAATAGAATATACCATATAGCCTAGGTGTGTAGCAGATGATACCATCTAGGTTTGTACAATGACAAAATCGCCCAATGACACATTTCTGAGAATATATCCCTGTTGTTTTGACTGTATATGTGTGGCTTTTATTTTTACCCCCCTTATTTGCAATTAGTTTTGCTTCCAGTATTTTGGGGTACCAGAATCAATACATTGCAACCTACCACCAACAAATGTTCCTTTAAATATCTACAATAGACTCCACCTCTGTATTAAAAATGAGGCTGTGGGACAGGCACAGTGGCTCACGCTTGTAATCCTAGCACTTTTTGAGGCCGAGGTGGGTGGACAGCCTGAGCTCAGGAGTTCAAGACCAGCATGGGCAATATGGTGAAACCTCCTTCTACTAAAAATACAAAAAATGAGCCGGGTGTGGTGGCATGCGCCTATAATCCCAGCTACTCAGGAGGCTGAGGCAGGAGAATTGCTTGAACCCGGGAGGTGGAGGTTGCAGTGAACCAAGGTGGTGCCACTGCACTCCAGTCTGGGTGACAAAGTGAGACCGTCTTCAAAAAAAAAAGCTTTGCATGGGAAAAATATTCTTGTAAATGCTTATGATGTTACCAAAATTCTTATAATGCTAACAAAATGCTTATAATGTTAATAAAAATTAAAAATTGATACAAAGTTGCATATACAGTAGTCTCTCAACTTTGCAGAATAATATGTATAGAAAGATACATCAAAATGTTAACTGCAGGCCAGGCAGGGTGGCTCAAGCCTGTAATCCCAGCACTTTGGGAGGCCGAGGAAGGTGGATCATGAGGTCAACAGATGGAGACCATCCTGGCCAACGTGGTGAAACCCCATCTCTACTAAAAATACAAAAATTAGCTGGGTGTGGTGGCAGGCGCCTGTAGTCCCAGCTACTCAGGAGGCTGAGGCAGGAGAATGGCTTGAACCCAGGAGGCAGAGGTTGCAATGAGCCGAGATGGCGCCACTGCACTCCAGCATGGCGACAGAGTGAGACTCCATCCCAAAAAAAAAAAAAAAAAAAAAAAGTTAACTGCAGTTGTCTGTAAGTAGTAGGTTATTTTAAAACTATTTCATCTGGGCTGAGTGTGGTGGCTCATGCCTGTAATCCCAGCACTTTGGGAGGCCGAGATGCGCGGATCACCTGAGGTCAGGAGTTTGAGACCAGCCTTCACCATGGTGAAACCCCGTCTCTACTAAAAATACAAAAATTAGCTGGGCGTGGTGGCGGGCACCTGTAATCCCAAGTACTCAGGAGGCTGAGGCAAGAGAATTGCTTGAACCTGGGAGGTGGAGGTTGCAGTGAGCCAAGATTGAGCCATTGCACTCCAGCCTGGGCGACAAGAGCGAAACTTCATTAAAAAAAAAAAATTATTTCATCTGTTCTTGGTTTTCCCTGTATCTGGATTTAACCTTTTCTTAGAATACTATAATAGGGACACTTTAAATACTACTACTGTAACAAATTATACACAGATTTTTGTAGTGTTTTCAAAATGGGTAACAGAAGGGGAAGTGGGAGATAAAAGGAGCAATAATGGCTTTCTTTTCTTTTCCTTTTTTTTTTTTTTTTGAGACAGTTTCACTCCTGTTGCCCAGGCTGGAGTGCAGTGGCATGATCTCGGCTCACCGCAACCTCCGTCTCCTGGGTTCAAGCAATTCTCTTGCCTCAGCCTCCCGAGTAGCTAAGATTACAGGCGCCCACCACCACACCCGGCTAATTTTTGTATTTTTAGTAAAGATAGGTTTTCATCGTATGGGTCAGGCTTGTCTCAAACTCCTGACCTCAGGTGATCCGCCCGCCTCAGCCTCCCAAAATGCTGGGATTACAGGTGTGAGCCACCACGCCTGGCCAACAGCTTTCTTTTCTTTGCTAAGCTACTGAGACTTCCTGTCTTGGTTTTTTGAAATAACTTTTGAGTGTTTTTTTTTTTTTGAGACAGTCTTCTTCTGTTGCTGAGGCTGGAGTGCAGTGGTGCCATCTTGGCTCACTGCAACCTCCATCTCCCAGGTATAAGCAATTCTCCTGCCTCAGCCTCCAGAGTAGCTGGAATTACAGGTGCATTCCACCACACCTGGCTAATTTTTTTTACATTTTTAGTAGAGACAGAGTTTTGCCATGTTGAAGGCTGGTCTCAAACTCCTGATCTCATGTGATCCACCCGCCTCGGCCTCCCAAAGTGCTGGGATTACAGGCGTGAGCCACTGAGCCCAGCCACCAACTAGTATCTTAATTAGGTACCAGGATCTTACCATTTGCTCTTGAAGGAGCAGAGACTTGCTTTTGTCAGTGTCCTGAGAAATACTGAATCAGAATACCAAAAGGTACATGAAAGCCAACATAGTCATTTTATAGAGTGAACTACAACACACAGACTAAAATACTGGCATTTCTCACTGTAGACACCTCCAGTACCTCAACTAATTCCCCTTTGATAATGTACCAAGATGAAGTTTTTGGACTTACAAAGATTAAAGACCAGGCCCTGACTTTGGCATTGTCATCAAGGTGGTGCCACTCTGTGAGGCCTGAGTGGCCAGCTGACATCACTACGTGACATTTTGATCAGTTATCTCTACTTACGTTTTTGTTTTTGAGATGGAGTCTCGCTCTGTCGCCCAGGCTGGAGTGCAGTGGTGTGATCTTGGCTCACTGCAACCTCCGCCTGCCCGGCTCAAGCAATTCTCCTGGCTCAGCCTCCTGAGTAGCTGGGACTACAGGTGCACGCTACCACACCTGGCTAATTTGTATTTTTTTAGTAGAGACGGGGTTTCACCATATTGGCCAGGCTGGATCTCTACTTATAACAAACAGAAAGGCCAATGCTGTAGAAATAGGACAAGTGATGAAAGATATAATAGAAGTGAAATATAAAAATGAATACACAAATAGAACTTATATTTTTCTTACTTGTTTTGTTTTTAGGGGTAGTAACCTAAGTATCAGCCACCAAAGGAAAGAGGAAAGCATAAATCCATGAGGGCAGTGATCTATTTCCTTGAACACAGAATCTAGGACCTAGAAGTTTCTCAGCCCTACAGTAGGCACCCAATAAATATTTATTGAGTGAATGAACAAATGAATATTTAAGGACAGTGGGAGTTAATTTCTTTGGTATTTACATCTTAGTACCAAGGATTCCAGTGAGCTATAGAGAACTATTCTTAATGATTTCAACATCAGCTAGGCCAAGTTGGCTGTAAACATTATCTGATTTCCTGAAGACAATGAACAGCTTTCTAGCCTTTAACTTATTCAAACATTAAGAGTTAACAGACAATCCTTGCATTCCTACACAGAACTTCCTTTTCTCTGAAAACAGAGGGTAGAGCCCAAACTTAACCACAAGAGGAGAAACTGCTACATGTTGGCAGTTTTGACAGAATAACTTAAAAACATTTTTATTCTTCTTCCTTCTAAATGTTCATACAACATGATTTCTCAATACGAGACAAATTTCATGCTAGAGTTTAAAGGATAAGAAACTAAAGCAAAGACAAAAGGTAGGCCAGATGCAGTGGCTCACACCTGTAATACCAGTACTTTGGGAGGCCGAGGCAAGAGGATTGCTTGAGCTCAGGAGTTAGAAATCGGCCTGGCAGCTGGGCACGGTGGCTCACCCAGGCACGGTGGTAATCCCAGCATTTTGGGAGGCTGAGGTGGGCAGGATCACCTGAGGTGAGGACTTCGAGGCCAGCCTGGCCAACATGGTGAAACCCTGTCTCTAGTAAAAATACAAAAAGTAGATGGGCATGGTGGCAGACGCCTGTAATCCTGGCTATTCGGGAGGCTGAGGCAGGAGAATCTCTTGAACCCAAGAGGCGGAGGTTGCAGTGAGCCTAAGGTTGCAGTGAGCTGAAGGTTGCAATGAGCCAAGATTGTGCCACTTCACTCCAGCCTGGGCAAAAGAGCGAGACTCTCTCAAAAAAAAAAAAAAAAAAAAAGGAAGAAACTGTCTGGGAAACACAGGAAGACATCATCTCTACTAAAAAAAATTAAACAAAATTAGGCAGGTGTGGTGGTGTGTACCTATAGCCCCAGCTACTTGGGGATCTGAGACAGGAGGATGGCTTGAGCCTAGGAAGTCGAGGCTGCAGTGAGTTCTGATCATGCCACTGCACTCCAGCTTGGGTGACAGAGCAAGACTCTGGCTCAAAAAAAAAAAAGAGGCTGGGTGCGGTGGCTCAAGCCTGTAATCCTAACACTTTGGGAGGCCAAAGTGGGTGTTCATCTGAGCCCAGGAGGCTGGACAACATGGCAAAACCCCATCTCTACCAAAAATACAAAAAATTAGCCAGGGGTGATGGCACGTGCCTGTAGTCCCAGCTACTCGGCACACTGAGATGGGAGGATCACTTGAGCCTGAGAGGCAGAGCTTGCAGTGAGCTGAGATTGTGCCACTGCACTCCAGCCTGGGTGACAGAGTGAGGTCCTTTCTCAAAAAAAAAAAAAAAGAAAAAAGGAAAAAAAGTATGCCAAGAGTTTCTGAAAAGGTTAAACAAAAAGTTACCATGTGATCCACCAATTCCTAGCTATATTCTAAAACAACTGAAAACATGTCCACACAAAAAGTTGTCTACAAATTCTTTACAGAAGCATTATTCATAATAGTCAAAAGTGGAAATAATCCAAATGTCCATTAATTGATGAATGGATAAATAAAATGTGGTATATCCACATAACAATTATTCAGCCATAAAAAGGTTTGAAGTACTGTTACATGCTACCACATCAATGAACCTTGAAACATTATTCTAAGTCAAAGAAGTCAGTCACAAGGGGCTACATACTGTATGAGTTCATTTATATGAAATGACCAGAATAGGCAAATCCATAGAGACAAAGTAGTTTTGTGGTTGCCAGGGGGTATGGGAGTGACAGCTAAGGAGTTCTTTTGGGGGTGATGAATATATACTTGAATTAGACACTGGTGATGGTTGGACAACTCTATGAATATACTAAAAACCACTGAATTGTAAACTTTAAGGCATGACTTTTACGGTGTGTGAATTATATCTCAATAAAAAAAGTCACATGCCAGGCAGCACAGTGGCTCACACCTGTAATTCCATCACCGGAAGGCAGAGGTGGGAGGATCTTTTGAGCCCAGGAGTTGGAGACCAGCCTGGGAAACGTAACAAAACCCTGTCCGCACCCCCGCCAAAAAAAAAAAAAAAAAAAGAAAAGAAATCATCTGCCAAAAAGATATAAAATCAGCAAGTAAAAAATACAGACGACAGGTGGCATCCCTTCCTCTCTGCTCTTCTCATGCTTCTCCCATGCAAAATCCTTGACTAAAGTGCCATATATTTTACAGTTATTCTGAAAATGACTGGAACCCTAAAAATATCCAAACCACCAAACAAAAGCAGCTGCTTACTTTGATAATATTTTTGTACCATAGACCTTCCTTAAAATGCAAGTTGACAGAGGACTTATGCCACAAACCCAAACATGCACAATCCACTAGAGTTAGCTTCGAGAGATGCTGTTGTAACTGCCACTGGCACAAAACACATTCCCAAAAGAGACTCACACTCACAAAAGAGAACTACATTATTACTCAGTCTAGTCAGAAGGCAATGTCATCAGGAACCTAATTGTGATCGATGTTCATTTAGTGTTTTCTGTCTGAAGCCCAAGACAATGGGCCTCAAAAACAAAACAAAACAAAGCTCATAATAAACTAAACCACAGAAAAGCATGTCCTGTATTTAAATTGTTGGATATAAAATTGAAAAAATACAGGTTTGAAAATTGAATACTGAACCATCTAGGGTGTAATCACGATTTTTTTTAATGCATCCAATATCAAGAGAAATTAATTACTCCCAGGTGCTAAACTCACTCATTTAGTGTCAACTCTGATTCTTAATTGCTAATACAAAAACAATAATCATGGTCATATAGAATACATCTTAACTGACTGAAATGTTAGATGGTATTTTAATATCTTTCTTTTCATACAATGTCTTACATCTAGAGTCCCTATTTCAAAATAGCAGAAGGAATAATGCAGATATTTTCAAAGAGAAATAGAGATGAGTGCATTGAAAGGCCTTGAAAAGTATTCACCAAATCAGCATAATCATATCTAGATTCTGCTTCCGGTTTCGCCACTAAAATGCAAATGATGTCTGGCCTACACTGGCTTTACAAATATTTTTAAATATATAAAACCCGGCCGGGCGCGGTGGCTCACGTCTGTATCCCAGCACTTTGGGAGGCTGAGGCAGGTGGATCACGAGGTCAGGAGTTCAAGATCATCCTGGCCAACCTGGTGAAACCTCCTCTCTACTAAAAATACAAAAATTAGCCGGGTGTGGTGGCGCAGACTTGTAATCCCAGCTACTCAGGAGGCTGAGGCAGGAGAATCGCTTGAACCCGGGAGGCGGAGGTTGTTGCAGTGAGCCGAGATAGTGCCACTGCACTCCACCCTGAGCGACACAGCCAGACTCCGTCTCAAAAAAAACAGATTATATATATACATACTTATATATGTTTGTATATGTTTTATATATATATATAAAACCCAAAACATGTTGAGTCGTTAATGATGAGAATATCCAAAGACACTGTTAGCACAGCACTTTTCTACCATTTTCAGGTTATATGCAGCAAGGAAGTGCTAAGACGACCAACTAGATTAATATCAAGTATGACCCAGAGAAATTCAGATGGAATCCCACTCACTCAAAAAGCACTTATTAAGCAGTTGCGTTAATAGTACTCTGAAGATTATCCGTCCTATCGCCAATTGGCAGCGGGTTATATCTTTTTCTATATATATTCGAGGGTATAGAGAAACCATATGGCTTTCCTGTATCTTTGATAACTCTTGCCCTGTGAAACAGATAACTGCACCACTTGAAATTATATTTAGCTTTTCCTTTCAGCACTCCTCTCTTAAAATCTATTTTTCCATTTCTCTATACCTTTGTATTCCCTCTCTCAAGGAAAAGGAAATCATTTTCCTTCTGCTCTTCCAACATAGCTTCACCTTCACCTTAAATTTTAAACCTTCTAGAACAGGATTACTCTAAATGATTTTTTAAAAAGCATTCAAGATCGTATGACATATTATTCAGGCATTAACCGCATTTATTGTCAAATGCTACTGCTTCTCAATCCCTACCTCTCCCTCACTCTCGCCCCTTAGTCCTCCCCTTCCAATATCCATTTTGTCTCCACTTTCAGCTCTCCCAGGTCACTGTCCCACCTCTTCCTCAGGCTCTCTAAAATCAATGCCTCCCCGCCTACCCACCGCAGGTTTTTTACCAGTCTCCTCCTCCCCCGACTCATCACTACCCGCATGACCCCCTCGGATTCTGCTCTGGTCCCTCACTCTCCCAAACTTCGGAGGCCACCGCTACTCCCATCGCTGCCCCACAGTTTAGTGAACGCTCCTCACACCCTCCCTCCACCCCCAAAACTTCCCCTTACGACCTCCCCAACTCCCACCTTCCCCGTTCCCAGACTCCATTAGGTCTCCTTTCAAATGAATGCCTCTTCCCTACTCCAGAGTTTTCGGACAGTCCCACCCCTCAAAGCCCTCCCAGCCTTCGCCCGGCATCCGCGCCACCCCCGGGCCCACAGCGCCCCTGTGGGTGTGGCCCTCCGACCTGCCTCCGCGCCTCACGCAGCCCCTCAAGCCGGTGACCCAGCTCCCGCCGGTAGCTCTGCGCTGCCTCCACGTTCTCGCGGGCCTCCTGCAACAGCAGCTCAGGCTCCAGCTCCATCGCCCCCCTCATCTGGCCGCGCGGCCGGCGAAACCTAGCGCGGGTTCCCGACTGCACCGGGCGCCTCCAAGCGGCCCGGCGCGGCCTCGCGCAGGCGGAAGCACCGCCCAGCCCCGCCGCCCCATGCCCCACGACGACCTTGATTGACGGGCGCACGGCGGCGCCTCGCGCGGGTGGCGTCCGGGTCCCAGCGCCGCCCGCCCCGCGGCTCACCCCGCCTCTTCCGTGCTGCGGCACAGCGCCGCTGGTTGGGCCTCCTTGGGAAACGTGCTGAGGCCTGGCAAGGTTGATAACCCGCACCTTGCCAAGTGCTTCTCACAGCTCATCGCATTCTTGCCTGACCTTCAGCCCTACCTGTATCTCCATTGCTCAGATGAGGAAATTGAGGGATAAAGGGGGGAATCGGCCGGGCGCGGTGGCTCACGCCTGCAGTCCCAGCACTTTGGGAGGCCGAGGCGGGCGGATCCCTTGAGCTCTGGAGTTCGAGACCCAGCCTGGGCAACACGGCGAAACCCTCTCTCACCAAAAATACTACTACTATTACTATTACTACTACTACTACTGCTACTACTAGCAACACGTAGTGGAGCACGCCTGTGGTCCCAGTGGATCGCTTGAGCCCGGGGGCCGAGGCTGCAGTGAGCTGTAATGGAGCCACTGCACTCCAGCCTGGGCGACAGAGCGAGACCCTGTCTCTAAATAAAAAATACTTTTTTTTAAATTAAAAATTTTAAAAAATAGCGAATCGACTTTTCCAAGCCGCAGAATTTGAGCCCAGATCTGATGACAAAAGCCCTGGTCCTTAAGAGCAGAGCAGGCCTTAGGGGAATTTACTAAGACCCAGGTGTCAGCGGGGAGCAGTGGCTCACGCCTGTAATCCCAGCACTTTGGGAGGCCGAGACGGGTGGATCACTGAGGTCAGAAGTTCAAGAGCAGCCATGGCCAACCTGGTGAAACCTCATCTCTACTAAAAATACAAAAATTAGCCGGGTGTGGTGGTGGGCGCCTGTAATCCCAGCTACTCGAGGGCTGAGGCAGGATAATTGCTTGAACCGGGAGGCAGAGGTTGCAGTGAGCCAAGATTGTGCCACTGCACTCCAACCTGGGCAACAAAGCGAGACTCGGTCTCAAAAAACAACAACAAAACCCAGGTGTCACCACCCAGAAGCTCGTGGACGAATGGGGGATCCAAGAGAGAGGCCCAAGAGATGACCAGCAGGACAGCAATTCTGGCACAAGTCCAAGAAGGGTGTTGGCAAGTGTTATCTGTAAGGACCGTAGTGAATAAGCTGGGCTTGGGCTTGCCAGACCGGAAGGTATCTGTCACAATAGGTGTGACTGTATGTAATAAAACCTTATGGGCAGGGCATGGTGGCTCACACCAGTAATCTTGGGAAGCTAAGGCAGGAGGATTGCTTGAGCCCAGGAGTTTGAGACCAGCCTTTGCAACATGAGGAGACCTCCTCTCTACAAAAAGATTTAAAAAAAAAATTAGCCGCGGGTGGTGGCGCCCTCCTGTGGTCCCAGCAATTCAGGAGGCTGAGGTGGGAGGATTCCTTGAGCCTAGGAGTTAGAGACCAACCTGGGTAACATAGCAAGACCCTATGTCTATAAAAATAAAAATAAATAAATAAATAAGTAAAATTACAAGGAAAACTTCCATAAAACCAGGACATGAATCTTGGTCTCATTCAACTTTGTTTTCTTAGTCTGATGGAAGGCAAGAAGTGTGTATCTAACATATCTACACTATACCCAAAAACAAAACAAATAAGAAAATTGAAGGAAATATTCTAAAACTGCTTACCCCTAGACTTGACATTTTTAGATGCATTGTTTTTAAATTTAGAGCATGAATTCCTAAAGAGTAAATGTTCTCGAGGAAACTGGTTTAGAAGTAGATGTCAGCTAGCCATCAGACAGAGTTTTACAGAGATATCTCCATGGCATCACATTGGTCCAGAACTGACTTTTCAAGTGTACCCAGAGGATTCCAGGGAACAGACTCTTGCTAATAAGACTCACAAGAAACAAACTAAGCAGCTTGCCAATTTATTTATTTACAACAGGAATATAATTGTTGAAAAAAATCACAATAGCTGGAAAATCAAGTTATAACCAGAGAGTTGGATTCAGATCAGAATACGTTGGTCATCTGGTCAGCAAAGGCTTTTTCCCTCTCCTGTCTCCAACCTCTTCTCAGAAAGCTCCTAACTGGGCTGGGTGTGGTGGCTCATGCTTGTAATCCCAGCACTTTGGGAGGCCTAGGTGGGTGGATCACGAGGTCAGGAGTTCAAGAACAACCTGACTAACAGGGTGAAACCTCATCTCTACTAAAAACACAAAAAATTAGCCGGGCTTGGTGGTGGCGCGCACCTGTAATCCCAGCTACTCAGGAGGCTGAGGCAGGAGAATTGCTTGAACCCAGGAGGCAGAGGTTGCAGTGAGCTGAGATAGTGCCACTGCACTCCAGTCTGAGCGACACAGCAAGACTACGTCTCAAAAAAAAAAAAAAAAAAAAAAAAAAAAAGAACGCTCCTAACTGTACTGGACACATAGTTGACAATTTTTTGCTCTCTGACTCCACCTTTCATTCCAGCTTTTTTTTTTTGAGACAGGGGCTTGCCTGTCACCTGTCACACAGGCTGGAGTGCAGTGACACAATCAGGGCTCACTGCACCCTTGATCTCCTGGGCTCAAACGATTCTCCCACCTCAGTCTGCCTAGTAGGTAGGATTATAGACACCTGCCAGTAGACCCAGACACTTCTTTAATTTTTTTGTTTGTTTGAGACAGAGTCTCCCTCTGTCGCCCAGGCTGGAGTGTAGTGGCACCATCTCGGCTCACTGCAACCTCCACCTCCTGGATTCAAGCAATTCTCCTGCCACAGCCTCCAGAGTAGCTGGGATTACAGGCGCCCACTACCACACCCAGCTAATTTTTGTGTTTTCTTTTTTTGTTTTTGTTTTTTTGAGATGGAGTCCTGCACTGTCACCCAGCCTGGAGTACAGTGACATGATCTCGGCTCGTTGCAACCTCCGCCTCCCTGGTTCAAGCGATTCTCCTGCCCCATTCTCCTGAGTAGCTGGGATCACAGGCACTGGCCACCACGCTCAGCTAATTTTTTGTATTTTTAGTAGAGACGGGGTTTCACTATGTTGGTCAGGCTGGCCTTGAACTCCTGACCTTGTGATCCGCCGGCCTCAGCCTCCCAAAGTGCTGGAATTATGGGCGTGAGCCACCACACCTGGCTCTAATTTTTGTATTTTATTAGACATGGGATTTCACCAAGTTGGCCAGGCTGGTCTTGAACTCCTAACCTCAAGCAATCCATCCACTTTGGCCTCCAAGTGTTGGGATTACAGGTGTGAGCCACTGCACCTAGTCTTAATTTTTTTTTTTTTTTTTTTTTTGAGATGGAGTCTTGCTCTGCTAACCAGGCTGGAGTACAGTGGCACGATCTCGGCTCACTGCAACCTCCGCCTCCCGGGTTCAAGCAATTCTCCTGCCTCAGCCTCCCAAGTAGCAAGGACTACAGCTGTGAGCCACCACTCCCGTTAATTTTTGTAGTTTTAGTAGCGACTGGGTTTCCCCATGTTGGCCAGGCTGATCTTGAACTCCTGACTCCAGATGATCCACCTGCCTCAGTCTCCCAAAGTGCTGGGATTATAGTTGTGAGCCACTGCTCCCGGCCTCAGCCTTACATTTTTTTTTTTTTTGTAGAGGCAGGGTCTCTGTATGTTTCCCAGGCTGATCTAGAACTCCTGGGCTCAAGCAGTTCCCTGCCTTGGTCTTCCAAAGTGCTCTGATTACAGGCCTGAGCCACCATGCCCCACCCATATTTTTTCTTTATTTTCTTCCTTTCTTTAATTTTTTTGAGACAGAGTCTCACTCTTATGTCATCCAGGCTGGAGTGCAGTGGCGCGATATCAGCTAACTGCGACCTCTGTCTCCCGGGTTTAAGTGATTCTCAGCCTCCTGAGTAGCTAGGATTACAGGCGTGCGCCACCACACCCGGCTAATTTTGTATTTTTAGTAGAGATGAGTTTTTCACTATGTTGGTCAGGCTGGTCTTGAACTCATGACCTAAGGTGATCCACCTGCCTTGGCCTCCCAAAGTGCTGGGATTACAGGCGTGAGCCACCCCGCCCAGACAACAATAACGATTTTTAAAAGTAGGTGTTAGACACATGGGGAAGATAATCTGAAATGACATGGGCACTCTGTAAACTGTGAATTGCTTTACCATGTGAGAGTTCATTTAGATTAAAATTGATAAAAGCCATGAGCTCCTAAATAAGGGTTGGTAAAATACTATGTATCTAAAACTACTCAGTGGAAATGCTTAACAACTTAATGCAGTTTAAATGCTTTGTAACTCAGAAGAATAAAAAGCACTAGAGAACACCGTATATAACCCAACAATCCCATTTCTAGATGTGAATCCTAGAGAAACATTACACGTGTTGAAGAAAACATGGACAAGACTGTTCATTGCCTCAGCATTTGAATAACAGAAAATTGGAGACAATTTAAATATTCATCAGTAAGGAAATGGATACAGGTGGCTCACCTGTAGTCCCAGCACTTTGGAAGGCCAAGGAGGGAGGATTGCTTGAGCCCAGGAAGTTCCAGACCAGCCTGGGCAACATGGCAAAACCCTGTCTCTACAGAAAATACAAAAATTAGCCGGGCATTATGGCGAACGTGTTGTCCCAGCAAATTGGGAAGTTGAGGTGGGAGGATCTCTTGAGCCAGGGATGTGGAGGCTCCAGTGAGCAGTGATCACGCTACTGCACTCCAGCCTGGGTGACAGAGTGAGATCCTGTCTCAAAAAAATAATAATAATACAACCTGGGCAACATGGCCAAACCTCTTCTCTACAAATACAAAAAATTAGCCGGGCGTGGTAGCGCACTCCTGTAGTCCCAGCTACTTGGGAGGCTGAAGTGGGAGGATTGCTTGAGCCCAGAAGTTTGAGGCTGCAGTGAGCAGAGATCATGCCACTGCACTCAAGCTTGGTGACATAGTGAGACCCTGTCTCAAACACAAAAACAAAACAACAACAATAAAAATGATAATAATAAGGAAATGAATAAATAAAATGAGTTGCATAAATAGAATGTTCAGGAAAGAAAGGGAATGAATCAAATCTATATGTATCATGGATGGCTTTTGAAAAAAGTGTTGAATGAGGCCTGGTGTGGTGTCTCACGCCTGTAATCCCAGCACTCTGGGAGGCCCAGGCGGGCAGATCACGAGGTCAGGAGTTCAAGACCAGCCTGACCAACATGGTGACCCATCTCTACTAAAAATACAAAAAAAAAAAAAAAAAAAAAAAAAAAGCCAGGCATGGTGGCACGAGCCTGTAATCCCAGCTACTCAGGAGGTTGAGGTAGGAGAATCGCTTGAACCTGAGAGGTGGAGATTACAGTGAGCCAAGATCGCGCCATTGCATTCCAGCCTGGGCGACAGAGCCAGACTCCGTCTCAAAAAAAAAAAAATAAATAAATAAATAAAAAGTTGAGTGAAAAAAAGCAAATTGGCTGGGCACAGTGGCTCACTCCTGTAATCTCAGCACTTTGGGAGGCCAAGGCAGGTGGATCACCTGAGGCCAGGAGTTCCAGACTAGCCTGGCCAAGATGTTGAAACCCTGTCTCTTAAAAATACAATTAGCTGGGCATGGTGGTACGCACCTGTAGTTCCAGCTACTTAGGAGGCTGAGGCAGGAGAATCGCTTGAACCGGGGAGGTGGAGGTTGCAGTGAGCAGAGATTGCGCCACTGCACTCTAGCCTGGGTGACAGAGCCAGACTCCACCTCAAAAAAAAAAAAAAAAAAAAAAAAAGCGCGGTGCCGGACGCAGTGGCTCAAGCCTGTAATCCCAGCACTTTGGGGAGCCGAGTTGAGCAGATCACCTGAGGTCAGGAGTTCGAGACCAGCCTGGCCAACATGGCGAAACCCCGTCTCTACTACAATACAAAAATTAGCCCCGCATGGTGGCACGCGCCTGTAGTCCCAGCTACTCGCGAGGCTGAGGCAGGAGAATCGTTTGAACCCGGGAGGCGGAGATTGCAGTGATTCGAGATCGTGCCACTACACTTCAGCCTGGTGCAACAGAGGGAGACTCCGTCTCAAGCAAACAAACAAACAAACAACAACAACAAAAACGATGCACTCAAACAAATGTAACATGCTGTATTTAATGTAATTGCAACTTTAACGTAAAAAAAAAAGAGCTATTTTACCAAGGACCCACCAACATGGGGCGCGTTCGCACCAAAACCGTGAAGTAAAGAAGGCGGCCCGGGTCATCATAGAAAAGTACTACATGCGCCTGGGCAAAGACTTCCACACGAACAAGCGCGTGTGCGAGGAAATCGCCATTATTCCCAGCAAGAAGCCCCGCAACAAGATAGCAGGCTATGTCACGCATCTGATAAAGCGGATTCAGAGGGGGCCAGTAAGAGAGAGGTATCTCCATGAAGCTGCAGGAGGAGGAGAGAGAAAGGAGAGACAATTGTGTTCCCGAGGTCTAAGCTCTGGATCAGGAGATCATTGAAGTAGAATCCTGACACTAAGGAAATGCAGAAACTTTTGGACTTCGGCAGTCTGTCCAACCTGTAGGTCACTCAGCCTACAGTTGAGATGAATTTCAAAACGCCTCGGGGAGCTGTTTGAGTCTTTCTGTAATGCTGTAATATTTTCGATAAACCTGGGACAGTGAAAAAAAAGAAAAGAGAAAAAGTAAAGGCTAACCAAACCCATGAAAACAATGCAAATGATGCATGAGATCAGAAACCAGCAAACTACTGGTAGGTACCCTGCGAGGACTGAACGCAGGCCAACCAGATGAAGCAATGACTCGGCTGTTCGAGAGGATGGAATCCACAGAAAGAAATGCCTTCTTAGTCGAATAGGTACTTCGACTTTTATAGGTATAAAAGTCGAATTTCGGATCCTGAGAGGACGTATATTGAGGTGGAAAGCTCGCCCAAATATTAGCATTTTATTGTGCATGGTAACAATGTAAATCAATTATTTCCTTTTTCTGCATTTTTCAAATTTCGCCTTTAAAGAGGGGCTAGCCTAGGGCGTTAAAAGTCTAAATTTTAATTCTGTCAACAACTGACTAGGTGACTTAGTGAAATCACGTCCTCAACGGTGAAACTGATAGGACAGAAATTCAAATTTCCAAACTCCCGGGTTGGCTTTCAATTCCACGGTGCAATGGTTCCGCCTCCCGCGGGTTCGCCGAGGGAGTCATTTTGGCCCTCTCGGCTCACCGTCCGCGCAGCCTCCTGAAGCAGCCGTAAACTCCGCCCCTTGCGCGCAGGACGGCGCGAAAACCCAATTGACAAGAATTCCCTCCGAAGCTCTGTGGTCCGATCTGCGGTCCGCTTGCTTTCCCTGCCCGGTCCCGAGCGCTCAGCCTGAAGCGCCGCTTTCGAGGGCACCCTGCATACACTGGCCGCGCCTCAGGGATCTCATTGCCCGCGCTTTCTCATTGCCTCTTTCCGTGTTCGATTCGGCTGATCTGGGCCCAGCCTCCGCTCCCGCTCTCTGTCGGTGGGCGCGGGGGAATCCGAAACGGCTCAGCAGAATCCCAGCAGCTTGCTGCTACTGGAGCGGGCCGCCTCCATGGCCTCCAGGCAGGCCGGGCTGGACCGCGTGAGGTCCTAGGAGACGGGATTCCGGGAAGCGGGGAGTATGGTGGGGGTCCTGGCCATGGCGGCTGCAGCTGCTCCGCCTCCCGTGAAGGACTGCGAGATTGAGGTGAGGTTGAGTCGAGGATCTGTTGAGTTCCTTCCTCTATCTTTTGGGGGATTGGAAGGTGGGTCTTGGCGGAAGGTGATCCTGACTTTGTAAGGGGAAAGGTGGGACATTGTGAGGACCCACAGCTGTGACACATTGTGTGCAACAGTTGCCAGAGTGTGTCGTTTAGAGTCGTGTCAAGTCCTGATAAACATTTGGATTCTGAGATATTTGCGGGGTCACAGTAAATTGGGGACTTAAGATAACACGGCCAGTTCCCAGATCCCGAAATGTTGGTGGAACGTGATGTTTTGGACTTCCGACATGTCACAGAGGATCCCAGGGTCAAGTTCTGGGTTCGTGATACGGAATCACTGAACTTTAGCGCTGAAGAAGATCTTTAAGTTAAACTAGTTCATACATCCACCTGTGCTTGGAATGCCACTTTAGAATGTCACTACAGAAATCAAGCAAGGTACTTAAAGAAAACAGTTTCTCATGGCTTAGTATCTGCGGTTAGGAATCGCAGTGTAACATGTTCTTTTGGGTTTATCAGGTTTCAGTGACAGGCACTAAGCGGTCATTATAAAGAGATTCTAATGCCATGAAGTAGTGGGCTAGCATCTTAAGGTAGACTTGTTATATTTTACACCTTTTCATCTCAGACTAGCATTCTAACTGAAGCATGTATCTTGGCGTCCTTGAAGAGAGTTAAGATGTATGTATGTTCATTTAACTGCGACCAGTTGTTTTTTTCAGAATCTGGTGACTTGTCTACTTAGTTTTTGTTTTTGTTTTTTTTTGTCTACTTAGTTGTTATGCTGATATTCCTTTGCTAAATCAAGGCAGTTAGTTACTCAGCTTGTCTTCTGGTACTTGATGTACACAGTTCTTGATTTCTATGTGGTCTGTTTTATCAATCTTTCCGTTACAGTTTCTGGTTTTGGTGCCCTAATGCTAAGAAACCCTATTTCATAATAATGATACTTACCATTTAATATGTTAGGGGTAAGAACCTTAAACACATTATTTTGCTTAATAGCAACCCTATGATCTATTGTCTGTATTCTACAAATGAAAGAAGGTAAAAAGTAGCTAAAAGTAAGTTAAATTTTTTGAAAAATTAAATGGAAAAGTTAAAAGTAATTTGCTTAACGTTTTACACCAGTAAATGTCAGAGCCAGCATTTAACTTAGATTTGCCTGACTCCAGAGCCTATGTATGTTGCCTTTGATACAATTGCAGCTTTATAAATAATAACTGAATGGCGTTTTTCTAATACATGTATGGTTTCTTTTTGTTTTTTGAGACAAGGTCTTGCTCTGTCACCCAGGCTGGAGTGCAGTGGCACAATCTTGGCTCACTGCAACCTCCGCCTCCCAGGTTCAAGTGATTCTCCTGCCTCAGCCTCCGGAGTAGCTGGGATTACAGGCGTGCACCACTATGCTCAGCTAATTTTTTGTATTTTTAGTAGAGACAGGGTTTCACCACGTTGGCCAGGCTGGTCTCGAATTCCTGACCTCAAGTGATCCACCCGCCTTGGCCTCCTGAAGTACTGGGATTACAGGCGTGAGCCACCGCACCTGGCCTGGTTTAACTTTAAAGCCTATTTTCTTTCTAATATATCACGTTTTTCACCTAAAGGAGGCTTCCTTTTTTTAATCCTATTATGTAAACTATTAGATCCATGTTTAAAATTTATATTTTGTATTATATTGCTTGAAATAAGTGCCTTTTTCTCTTTTAAATTGCCAGCCATGCAAAAAGCGAAAGAAAGATGATGACACATCTACCTGCAAAACAATTACAAAATATTTATCACCACTAGGGAAGACTAGAGACAGGGTTTTTGCTCCACCAAAACCTAGTAATATTCTGGATTATTTTAGAAAGACTTCACCCACAAATGAGAAGACACAATTAGGGAAAGAGTGCAAGATAAAGTCACCTGAATCAGTACCTGTTGACAGCAACAAAGACTGTACGACACCTTTGGAAATGTTCTCAAATGTAGAGTTTAAGAAGAAAAGAAAGAGGGTTAATTTATCTCATCAACTAAATAATATTAAAACTGAAAATGAAGCTCCAATTGAAATTAGTAGCGACGATAGCAAAGAAGACTATAGTTTAAATAATGATTTTGTGGAAAGTAGTACTTCTGTTTTACGTTACAAGAAACAAGTAGAGGTACTTGCAGAAAACATTCAAGATACAAAAAGTCAACCAAATACTATGACCTCCCTGCAAAATTCTAAAAAAGTAAATCCTAAACAAGGGACCACAAAAAATGACTTCAAAAAGTTGAGAAAAAGGAAATGCAGAGATGTAGTAGATCTATCTGAAAGCTTACCCTTGGCAGAGGAACTAAATTTGCTTAAAAAAGATGGTAAAGATACTAAACAGATGGAGAATACTACAAGCCATGCAAACTCTAGAGATAACGTAACTGAAGCAGCCCAGTTAAATGATAGTATAATAACTGTCTCATATGAGGAATTTTTAAAAAGTCACAAGGAAAATAAAGTGGAAGAGATACCAGACTCTACAATGTCAATTTGTGTTCCTTCTGAAACTGTCGACGAAATAGTCAAAAGTGGTTATATAAGTGAATCAGAAAACTCCGAAATTTCCCAGCAGGTACGCTTTAAGACAGTTACTGTTCTTGCACAGGTTCACCCTATTCCGCCCAAAAAGACAGGGAAAATACCCCGAATTTTCTTGAAACAAAAGCAATTTGAAATGGAAAATAGTTTATCTGATCCTGAGAATGAACAGACAGTTCAGAAAAGAAAATCTAATGTTGTTATACAGGAGGAAGAATTAGAATTGGCTGTTTTGGAAGCTGGAAGTTCTGAAGCTGTGAAACCAAAATGCACTCTAGAAGAAAGACAGCAATTTATGAAAGCATTTAGGCAGCCAGCATCAGATGCACTTAAAAATGGAGTTAAAAAGTCTTCTGATAAGCAGAAAGACCTTAATGAAAAATGTCTATATGAAGTAGGAAGAGATGATAATTCTAAAAAAATCATGGAAAATTCTGGTATCCAAATGGTTTCAAAAAATGGCAATTTACAGTTACACACTGATAAAGGAAGTTTTCTGAAGGAGAAAAATAAAAAGCTAAAGAAGAAGAATAAGAAAACATTAGATACTGGGGCTATTCCAGGCAAAAACAGAGAGGGAAACACTCAAAAGAAAGAAACAACCTTTTTCTTAAAAGAGAAACAATATCAAAATAGAATGAGTTTAAGACAAAGGAAAACAGAGTTTTTCAAAAGCAGCACTTTATTTAACAATGAAAGTCTTGTTTATGAAGATATAGCAAATGATGACCTTCTAAAGGTTTCCTCTCTGTGTAACAATAATAAATTGTCAAGAAAAACCAGCATACCAGTTAAAGATATTAAGCTTACACAGTCTAAAGCTGAATCTGAAGCCAGCTTGCTAAATGTTTCCACGCCCAAGTCAACTAGAAGATCTGGAAGAATTAGCAGCACACCTACTACAGAAACCATTAGAGGTATTGATTCTGACGATGTACAAGATAATAGTCAACTAAAGGCTTCCACTCAAAAAGCAGCCAACTTATCGGAAAAGCACAGCTTATATACAGCAGAATTAATAACAGTACCCTTTGATTCAGAGAGCCCTATTAGGTAAGGTTTGTTTTTGTTCTAACGTTCTAGTATTCTGCATGTATTATTAGCTGGGGACAAAAATGCTTCAAGTATTGGAGGGTATTTTTTTTTCTAGAACACAGCTGTTTAAAAGAAAAAGAACAGGATTTCTTTTTTTTTTTTCTTTGAGATGGAGTCTTGCTGTGTCGCCCAGGCTGGAGTGCAGTGGGGCAATCTCGGCTCACTGCAACCTCCACCTCCCAGGTTCAAGCAATTCTCCTGCCTTAGCCTCCCAAGTAGCTGGGACTACAGGCACCCGCCACCACGCCCAGCTAATTTTTGTATTTTTAGTAGACATGGGGTTTCACCGTGTTGGTCAGGCTGGTCTTGAACCCCTGACCTCAAGCAATCCACCCACCCGGCCTCCCAAAGTGCTGGGATTATAGTCGTGAGCCACTGCGCCCGGCCTGGAAGAAAAAGAACAGAGCTTCAAAAATGCTTCTTTGTTTGCCACATGTAATTAAATTTTTTTTTTAATTTTAATTTTTAATTTAATTTAATTTTATTTTATTTTGAGATGGAGTCTCACTCACTGTTGTCCAGTCTGGAGTGCAGTAGCACAATCTCAGCTCACGACAACCTCCACCTTCTGGGTTCAAGTGATTCTCGTGCCTCAGCCTCCTGAGTAGCTGGGATTACAGGTGCGTGCCACCATACCCGGCTGATCTTTGTATTTTTAGTAGAGACGGGGTTTTACCATGTTGGCCAGGCCAGTCTCGAACTCCTGACCTCAAGTGATCTGCCTGCCTCGGCCTCCCAAAGTACTGGGTTTACAGGTGTGAGCCACCACACCCGGCAAGTTTGATTACTTTTGAATCAGTGGTTTGAAACTGATGGGAATTATTTTTTTCCTCCTGTTTCAGAACATTCCAGAAATTGGAGCCCTAGTTGGTTCTTTGCTGTCTATCTATCTGTCTATGCATCTCTATCTATCTCTCTGGAAACAAGTTCTCACTGTGTTGCCCAGGCTGGTCTTGAACTCCTGGGGTCAAGCAATCCTTCCATATTAGGGTCCTGAGTAGCTGGGATTACATGCAGATGCCACTGCACCAGCTCTATTTTATCTATATTTAATTGAGATTCTTGTGTATGTTATAATCATGAAAATGTTTCTGAATACCTTATTTTTATTTCAGAATGAAATTCACCAGAATTAGTACTCCCAAAAAATCTAAGAAAAAATCTAACAAAAGATCTGAGAAATCTGAAGCAACTGATGGAGGTTTTACTTCTCAGATTAGAAAGGTAATTAAAATATTAGAGAGTCCTATAAGTGCCATTCTGTTTCCTTAAAAAACAAACAAAAAACCCCCACATTACTATGGGAAGTAATGAGCCAAAATAAAATTCATGTATTTCATAAATTGGTTAACTACAACCCTATGATATTTTTCACTATTATCCTGTTCCTCTAGTTAATTAAGATATCTTATTGTGAGGTGAAAGCAATTGATAAAGGCAGAGTATAATTTACTTATAAAAAGCTTTCTTAGTGAGTTTACATCGTGATCATTTTTCCTAACACTGCCGATCTTAGTTTGGGCTCCTGTAGCAAATTACCATAGACTGAGTGGCTTAAACAACAGAAACATATTTCTCACAGTTATGGGGATTGAGAAATGCACGATCAAAGCATCAGCTATGCAGTGTCTGGTGAAGCTGTCTTCTTGTTTTCTCACATGGTAGAGAACAGCTAGAGAGAGGGGTCTCCACCCTCATGACCTAATCACCTCCTAAAGGCCCTACCTCCTAATACCATTACATAGTGGGTTAGGATTCCAACATATGAATTTTCAGGGGATGTATTCAGTCTGTAACACTGCCTATAGGTCATGATTGAATTTTTCATTTATTTCTATAGATTATAGAGACTGAAAAGCAGAGTTTCTCAACCTTGCTATTATTGACATTTTGGCTGGATAATTCTTTACTGTGGAGGGCTGTCCTGTGCATTGTAGGATGTTTAGCAACACTCTGGCCTCTATCCATAAGATGCCAGTAGCACCCAACTAACTCCTGTATAATGACAACCAAAAATGTGTCCAGACATTGCTAAATATCCCTCGGAGGGGAAAATAATCACTTCCACTTGAAAAACTACAGCTCTAAAGGGAGAAGTAAGATACATAAGAATGGTTTAGTTGTTTCGGCAAAATAAGCTCCTTGTCCCCACCATGGCAGAATTGGAGTAGGTACAGGTATGTGTATTTCGAAAAAGCCACCAAGGTGACTCTGAATTAATCCTTGAGTGAAAACCACTGCTACATTGGTATCTCCTTTGGTTTTATTTAACAGCTGTCATTTTTTGGCATCTTACCACATTCTAGGCAGTGTGCTTAGTACTCACATCATTAATCTCATAAAGTAAATATTATTTAACCCTTTTTTATAGATGAAGAAACTTGCTGTTAGTTCATAGGGTGAGGAAACGTGTTTTTATTTGTGATTCTGGGAAGTGTCTTTCCTAGAGTTATACAACTACAAGCAGTTAGAAAGACGGTCTTTAGTCTTTTGGAAAACATGCGAGATGCCAGCTGATTGTACTACAGCTAAAGGTTGAAAGTCTCTTTGGTGAACTTTGTCCCACATATTTTATTCTTCTTGATTTCATTCTAGAGGACAGCTTCAACTTTAATTTTTTTAGAGATAATTATACCTTGGTTTGCCTCATGTACTACTTAAAATTGGGATTTAATAGTAAATTTTCCAGCAAGAGAAGTCTCAAAATTAAATGTATCCAAATTGGGACCTTTATCCAAACTTACTTAGATCAGTTATTTTATCTCATACTCTGTCAATGGACTTCTTACCACAGGGCCCTTGTTGTTCACTGAAGACTTATCCAGCCTTGTGTACTAGCTCTAGGAGAAAATCTTAGTAATTTTCTGGGTGAGATTTTTCTTTTTTATTTCTTTTTTCTTTTCGTTTGTTATTTTTGTAGAGACAGGGTCTTGCTATTTTGCCCAGGCTGGTCTCGAACTGCTAGCCTCAAGCAATCCTCCAGCCTTGGACTCCCACAGTGCTGTGCTGGTTGGTATTCAGGCATGAGCCACTGTGCCTGGCCAGATTTTTAATGTTTCTATGAGAATAAGGAGTAAACTGGTTCCCCTAAGAGCCCCATATTCATAACAGCTTATTGTTTATCCTTTCAGATAATAGTTTAATAGTTAGATTTTTTTCTCTCCAGATATTTTTTCTCTGCTTAAATAGATATATCTTTTTTTTTTTTCTTTTTGAGACGGAGTCTTGCTGTGTTGCCCAGGCTGGAGTGCAGTGGCACGGTCTCGGCTCACTGCACTCTGCTTCACGCCATTCTCCTGCCTTAGCCTCCTGAGTAGCTGGGACTACAGGCACCCGCCTCCATGCCCAGCTAATTTTTGTATTTTTAGTAGAGATGGGGTTTCACCGTGTTAGCCAGGATGGTCTCCATCTCCTGACCTTGTGATCTGCCCACCTCGGCCTCCCAAAGTGCTGGGATTACAGGCGTGAGACACTGCACCCGGCCATCTTCTTTTTTTTTTTTTTTTGAGATGGAGTTTCCCTCTTGTTGCCCAGGCTGGAGTGCAATGGCGCGATTTTGGCTCACTGCAACCTCGGCTTCCTGGGTTCAAGCGGATTCTCCTGCCTCAGCCGCCCCAAGTCGTTGGGATTACAGACGCCCGCCACCAAGCCCAGCTAATTTTTGTTATTTTTAGTAGAGACGGGGGTTTCGCCATGTTGACCCAGGGATGTCTGGAACTCCTGACTTCAGGTGATCCACCCACCTCGGCCTCCCAAAGTGCTGGAATTAGAGGCATGAGCCACTGTGTCCAGACTCTTTCTTCTTTATCATATATAAGAAGCTTGAGGCTGGGTGTGGTGGCTCACGCCTGTAATCCCAGCACTTTGGGAGGCTAAGGCAGGCAGATCACCTGAGGTCAGGAGTTTGAGACCAGCCTGGCCAACATGGCGAACCCCATCTCTACTAAAAATACGAAAATTAGCTGGGTGTGGTGGTGTGCACCTGTAGTCCCAGCTACTTGGGAGGCTGAGGCAGGAGAATCACTTGAACTCGGGAGGCAGAGGTTGCACTGAGCCGAGATCATGCCACTGCACTCTAGCCTTGGCAGCAGAGCTAGACTCTGTTAAAAAAAAAAAAAAAAAAAAAAAACAACCTTGAGGCCAAGGTCCATGTATTATAATACTGTTTTCTTTATAGTATCCAGCCTAGAGCCATTCATATAGTAGGCTGGGTAACTGTTTGGATTTGGAAAGTACTTTGCCTGAATTTGGTGACTAAAATTAAAAAATAGATTGCCAAGTCTATACTACAGACATCCTCTTGGGTGTTTTGCTCACATGTAAATATATTTACCTGGATGATTTCAAGTAAGAAATAAAGGCAAACTAATGATAACTAGACACATTTCAATTTAAGGCCCCTGGTAAGATTTGAATAACCATTTCTTTGTTGATTATTTAATGTGATTTGTGATTGTATTTTTTTCTATTATTAAATATAAAATATTTTCTTGTGATGTAAATTAATGTTTCAATTTTTTGTTTAGGCAAGCAATACTTCAAAAAACATATCAAAAGCAAAACAATTGATTGAAAAAGCAAAAGCTTTACACATCAGTAGGTCAAAGGTGACTGAAGAAATAGCGATACCCTTAAGGCGCTCCTCTAGACATCAGACACTTCCTGAAAGGAAGAAATTGTCAGAAACAGAAGTAAGTATTATAAATATCTGTTGGTATAAATTCTCTCCTATTTTGCTGTTTGGAGTGGGAGAAGGAAACCATTATAAAGTTATAAGGTAGGTTTGTGTGATAGCTTGAAGTGGTAGAGAGAATATCATTTTCAGTTTTGCTTTAAAAGCCTTCTGCTTTTTTTTGTCTGCAGAATACAGTTTGAATCCTTCTTAAGTCACTCAAGATCTTTCATAAGCTGAACTACCTCTTCCTTTTTTTTTTTTGAGACAGAGTTTCGCTCTTGTTGCCCAGGCGAGAGTGCAATGGCTGGATCTCGGCTCACTGCAACTTCTGCCTCCTGGGTTCGAGCGATTCTCCTGCCTCGGCCTCCCAAGTAGCTGAGATTACGAGTGTGTACCACCATGCCCGGCCAGTTTTGTATTTTTGGTAGAGACAGGGTTTCACAGTGATTGGCCAGGCTGGTTTTGAACTCCTGACCTCAGGTGATCCACCTGCCTTGGCCTACTAGGGTGCCAGCCCTCTTGCCTTTCTTCAAAACGACTCTTTGCTCTAGTCACACAGAATTGTTCATTTCTCCCTAAATGGTGCAGTTTTCACGGTATTTGTTTTATTGTTATCAGCTTGAAATATACGTTCCAAGTACTCTCTTCTATGTGAGGAATTCCTACTTAAACTTTGAGATCCTGCTAACTGCCAGTACCTCTTTCTAATAAAATAGTTTGAGATATAATTCATATACATGCATTTCACCATTTAAAGTGTACAATTCAGTGACTTTTGTATATTGGAAGAGTTGTGCATCCATTACCGTAGTCAATTTTGGAACATTTTCATTTCCCCAAAAATAGACTCTTTTCTTCTTGGTTGTCACCCCCCAATCCCCTCATTCCACCAGCCATAGCTAACTACTAACCTGCTTCTGTCTCTGTAGATTTGCTTGTTCTGGACATTTCATATCAATGGTATCATATAGCATGTGGTTTTTTGTGTCTGGCTTCTATTACTTAGGATGTGTTTTCAAGATTTATGTTACAGCCTCAGTATTTCTTTTCTTTCTGTTGCCAAATATCCCATTCATCACCTGATGGACATTTGGGTTGTTTTCACTTTTTGGCTATTCTGAACATTTTACCCCCTCCTCTTCAAAGCTGTGCTTGTATTCAAGACTCTTCTGGTTGAATATATAAAAAGAAAAATAAAAACAAATTAAAAAAATAAAATAATGGGATGGGCACAGTGGCTCACACCTGTAATCCCAGCACTTTGAGAGGCTGAGGCGGGAGGATCACGAGGTCAGGAGTTTGAGACCAGTCTGACCAACATGGTGAAACCCCGTCTTTACTAAAAATACAAACATTAGCCGGGCATGGTGGCGCGAGCCCGTAATCTCAGCTACTCAGGAGGCTGAGGCAGAAGAATCACTTGAACCCGGGAGGCGGAGGTTGCAGTGAGCTGAGACCACACCATTGCCTTCCAGCCTGGGTAACAGAGTGAGACTCCATCTCAAAAATAAATAAATAAATAAATAAATAAATAATAAATAAAATAAAATAGTGAAAATAATGAATACTGTGCTTGCTGATGCCTTCAAGACAAATATTTTCTTTCCTGATATGTACTTTTGTATATTTTTTTGTGTTGATGGTGCACTCACCATGCTGTATTATAACTAGTTAAACTATCTGCTCATGGGCTAGCTCTCCCTCTCTCCCCTACATTCAGATGTAACATTTGATGCCAATTCTTGAATTTTGTCTGTGTATTCCCAATTTCTTCTATATTGCTTCACATATGGTAAGTGCTCGGTAAATCTATGCTGATGACAGGAAAATCACAGACTTCATTACATTTCTAGGATGTACAGTTCCAACAGGGCTATAACCAGACTTTTTATAGCTTGGTCATATTGACTGTTTTATTTGGAGTACAGTCTGTTAGTTGCTTTTTAAAAATTTTCTGCATATGAATACCAGGTCATATGTTAGTTGCTTTATTTTTTAGACAGAGTTTTGCTCTTGTTGCCCAGGCTAGAGTTAATGGCGCGATCTCAGCTCACTGAAACCTCCACTTCCTGGGTTCAAGCGATTCTCCTGCCTCAGCCTCTCGAGTAGCTGGGATTACAGGCATGCACCATCACACCTGGCTAATTTTGTATTTTTAGTAGAGACGGGGTTTCTCCATGTTTCTCAGGCTGGTCTTGAACTCCTGACCTCAGGTAATCCCCCCTGCCTTGGCCTCCCCAAGTGCTGAGATTACAGGCGTGAACCACCGTCCGGCATTAGTTGCTTTTTCAAAAAAGAAAGCCTTTTTGGGCCTGGTGGCTCACGCCTGTAATCCCAGCACTTTGGGAGGCCAAGGTGGGAGGATTGCCTGAGCCCAGGAGTTCGAGACCAGCCTGGTCAACATAGGGAGAACCTGGCTCTGCAAAGAACACAAAAATTAGCCAGGTGTGGTGGTGTGCGCCTGTAGTCCTGGCTTCTTGGGCAGCTGAGGTGGGAGGATGGCTTGAGGTCGGGAGTTTGAGGCTGCAGTGAGCCATGATCATGTTACTGCACTCCACCTTGGGTGGCAGAGTGAGACCCTGTCACAATTTAAAAAAACACATGAGGCCAGGTGCGGTGGCTCACTCCTGTAATCCCCGCACTTTGAGAGGCTGAGGCAGGCGGATCACCTGTCAGGAGTTCGAGACCAGCCTGGCCAACATGGCGAAACCCCATGTCTACTAAAAATACAAAAATTAGCTGGGCGTGGTGGCGCGCACCTCCAATCCCAGCTACTTGGGAGGCTGAGGCAGGAGAATCACTTGAACACGGGAGGCGGAGGTTGCAGTGAGCCAAGAGTACACCACTGCACTCCAGCCTGGGCGACAGAGAGAGACTCCATTTCAAAAAAAAAAAAAGAATAAAAATAAAAAAGAAAGCCCATGGTCATAATAAACGTACCCTGATATCATATAAACTTGTTTGATGTAAGCATGGACTCCTGCTATTCTATTGTGTGTTTTCTGTTTCAATGAGATAATATCTGATGGGAGGTGTATGGAGCTGCTAATTATGTTTTCTGTGGTTTCTATCACTGTGATTCTTTTGAAATTTCAATGATATTAATTATATGATTTAATTAAAATTTATTCTCTTATTTTGTCTTAGGATTCTGTTATAATAATAGATTCAAGTCCTACTGCTTTAAAGCATCCAGAGAAAAATCAGAAGAAACTTCAGTGTTTGAATGATGTGCTAGGAAAAAAACTTAACACATCCACTAAAAATGTACCTGGTAATCAGAGTTAATAATATTTATGATGTATATTAGAATGTTTTGGGGTTTTTGTTTTGTTTTGTTTTTGTGTTCTGGGGTATTTATTTATTTATTTATTTATTTTTGAGACGGAGTCTCGCTTTGTCACTCAGGCTGGAGTGCAGCGCCGGCGGGATCTCGGCTCACTGCAGCCTCCACCTCCTAAGTTCAAGTGATTCTCCTGCCTCAGCCTCCTGAGTAGCTGGGACTACAGGCACCCACCACCATGCCCGGCTAATTTTTTGTATTTTTAGTAGAGACGGGGTTTCACCATGTTAGCCAGGCTGGTCTCGAACTCCTGACCTTGTGATCTGCCTGTCTTGGCTTCCCAAAGTGCTGGGATTACAGGCATGAGCCACTGCACCCGGCCTGTGTTTTGGGGTATTATTCTGAACGTGCTTATGATTGAAATTTAGTATCTTATGTAAAATTTTAACTGTATTATATTTCTATTTTAGTAAGTAAAGTTATGGTATAGTGAAGAGTTTTTCTTTTTTTTTTTTTGTGACAGAGTCTTGCTCTACTAAAATACAAAAAATTAGCTGGGTGTGGTGGTAGGTACCCGTAGTTCCAGCTACTCGGGAGGCTGAGGCATGAGAATCACTTGAGCCCTGGAGGTGGAGGTTGCAGTGAGCCAAGATCGTGGCACTGCACTCCAGCTTGGGCTACAGAGTGAGACTCCATCTCAAAAAAAAAAAAAAAAAAAAAAAAAGAAAGTAGCTGAAGGTGGAGATGGTAAACATTGATACTAACCCAAGTATTTATTTTTCTAAGGAAAAATGAAAGTCGCTCCTTTATTTCTTGTCAGAAAAGCACAAAAAGCAGCTGATCCTGTCCCTAGTTTTGATGAAAGCAGGTCAGTCCAATACAAATTTTTAAATGCCAAAATATTTTATAGAATGTATTTGTATTGATGTGTTTACTTTGATGAGAAAGCATGTGAATTATCATTTGAAGCTCTAGTAAGTCCAGTTTCAAAGTTGACAATATTGACAGTGCTGCAACTGCTATTTGAATATCTTGGTTTTTTGCAAGTGCTTTGGCCATCGCTAGACAAAACAGAAAAATAAGCAAACCAAAAATACAAAAAAGCTGATAATGAATTTTATTCAGTAAATATTTAAATACCTACTAGTATGTACCAGGTACTGTTTTTGGTATCAGAGATATTATGGGGATAAGACAGGACACATTCCCTGTCCTCCTGTGGCTTAAGTGGAGATGGAAGATGGTCTATGATTAAACATTCATTGGGTCAACAAATGAAAAATTGCAGTTGTGCTAAGGAGAGGTATAATTCATATTGAGGAGGGTTGGTCTGATTAAAGAAGACTTCAATGAGGAAATGATGTCTGAACTGAAATCTGAGGGATGAGCAGGAGTTCATCAGGAGGAGGAACTGTGTTTCAGCCAGAGAGAACTGTCTATGTAAAGTCTCTGTAGCTGGAAGGAACTTGCTAAATACCAAAAACTGATAGAATGCTAGTGTGACTAGAGCACAGAGAACAAGGGTGAGAGGTGGGTGCCAGCCAATGTAGGACCTAGGAGGCCATGTTAAGGGATTTTATCATTATATTAAGAGCAAATAAGAAGCAGCCAAAGGGTTTTAAACATAAATATAGACCTAAACAGATTTGGATTTTAGAAGTTTAATTGGCCTGCTGGATAAAGAATGGAATGGAAGAGGGGTTAGAGTAGATGTAGGAGTCCAGGTATTGTGAGATGATGGAGGTAAGGACTAGGTTGTTGGGAATGACATATGAAAAGATTTTAGGAGATGAATTAAAAATCCCTCGATGATTAATGAGATTTGTGGGAGTGAGAGTGTGGGAGAGGAAGGTATAGGATGACATGTAAGTTCTAGTTTATGCGCCTGGGTGGCATGATGGAAGGTCAGGTCTAGGAGCAACATGGGTTTAGATTATCTTTTTTTCTGTTCAAGTTTTACTGAGGTGTAATTATATATTGTTAAGCACACATATCTTAAGTATGCAGTTTTGACAAGTGCATCTTATCAAGAAATAACAATCTTCTTTTTAGCTCAGAAAGGTTTTGTGTGCTCTTTCCTATTATCCCCACCACCACCATCACCACAAGATTACCAAAATATTCGATTTCTATTTCCATCAATTAGTTTGATTTCTATTACCATAGATTAATTGTGTCTATTCTAGAACATCACATAAACTTCATATATATATTATTTTGTGTCTGGCTGCTTTTGCATAGTATACACGCCCACAAACAAATGCACACATACATATTTTTAAATCAACTTCATTCAGTTATATTGTCCATATAATAATATGTGCCCATTTTAAGTAAAGAGTTTGAGGTTTTTTTTTTTTTCTTTTTTTTTTTTAGACGGAGTCTCACTCTGTCACTAGGCTGGAGTGCAGTGGCGTGATCTCGGCTCACTGCAACCTCTGCCTCCCGGGTTCAAGCGATTCTCCTGTCTTAGCCTCCTGAGTAGCTGGGACTACAGGCACGCACCACCATGCCCAGCTAATTTTTGTATTTTTAGTAGAGATGGGGTTTCACCATGTTGGCCAGGATTGTCTCGATCTCTTGACCTTGTGATCCGCCTGCCTTGGCCTCCCAAAGTGCTGGGATTATAGGCGTGAGCCACCGTGTCCAGCCAACAGTTTGAATTTTTCTCTCTTTTTTTTTTTTTTTTGAGACGGAGTTTCGCTCTTGTTGCCCAGGCTGGAGTGCGATGGTGTGATATCAGCTCACCGCAACCTCCACCTCCCAGGTTCAAGTGATTCTTCTGCCTCAGCTTCCCGAGTAGCTGGGATTACAGGCATGTGCCACCACGCCTGGCTAATTTTGTATTTTAGTAGAGATGGGGTTTTTCCATGTTGGTCGGGCTGGTCTCTAACTCCTGACCTCAGGTGATCTGGCCCCCTCAGCCTCCCATAGTGCTGGGATTACAGGTATGAGCCACCGTGCCTGGCCCACAGTTTGAGTTTTGACAAATGTACATACCTGTAATTACCACCACAATAAAAATATAGAACATTTTCATCACTCTCAAAAAAAAGTCTTCTTGTGCCTCATTGCAGTTAATTTCTGCCCAATCCCATGCAATCTCTTATCTGCTTTCTGTTGGTATAGACTAGTTTGCCTTTTCTAGACTCTCATATAAATGAAATCCTGCAGTAGGTATACTTTTGTCTCTAGTTTCTTTGGCAAGGTAGCATATCAGTTGTCTGTTCTTTTTCGTAGTTAAGTAGTACTCATATGAATATGCCGCTATATATATATAGAGAGAGAGAGAGAGAGAGAGAGATGGAGTCTTGCACTGTCGCCCAGGCTGGAGTGCAGTGGCGCGATGTCCGCTCACTGTAACCTCCGCTTCCTGGGTTCAAGCGATTCTCCTGCCTCAGACTCCCGAGTAGCTGGGATTACAGGCATCCGCCACCACGCCTGGCTAATTTTTTGTATTTTTAGTAGAAACGGGGTTTCACTATGTTGGCCAGGCTGGTCTTGAACTCCTGACCTCGTGATCCGCCTGCCTCGGCCTCCCAAAGTGCTGAGATTACAGGCATGAGCCACTGTGCCTGGCCTACTGCAATATTTTTTATTTATTCTTTATTAATGGGCATTTGGGTTATTTTCAGTATTTGGCTATTATTAAATAGACTGCTATGAACATTTTTTTTTTTTTTTTTTTTGAGACAGAGTCTCACTCTGTCGCCCAGGCTGGAGTGCAGTGGCACAGTCTAGGCTCACTGTAACCTCCGCCCCCCGGGTTTATGCCATTCTCCTGCCTCAGCCTCCCGAGTAGCTGGGACTGCAGGCGCCTGTCACCACGCCTGGCTAATTTTTTTGTATTTTTAGTAGAGATGGGGTTTCACCATGTTAGCCAGGATGGTCTCGATCTCCTGACCTCATGATCCACCCACCTCGGCCTCCCAAAGTGCTGGGATTACAAGCGCGAGCCACCGCGCTCCGCCTGACTGCTATGAACATTCTTATACACATGTATGGACAAGTGTTCTCATTTTTCTTGGGTAAATAAATACCTAGAAGTGGAATTGCTCTGTCATTAGGGAGGTACATGTTTAACATTATAAGAACCTGGCAAACTGTTGTCCCAAGTTGTTGTTCGGTTTTACACTCCCACCAGCAATGTATAAGCGTTCTGGTAGCTGCCTATCTTTGATAACACTTGGCATTATCAGGCTTTTTTTTTTTTGAGACGGAGTCTCACTCTGTCATCCCCAGACTGGAGTATAGTGGCGCAATTACAGCTTACTGTAGCCGTGACCTCCAAGGGTCAGGTGATCGTCCCTCCCACCTCAGCCTCCCAAGTAGCTGGGACTACAGGCATGTGCCACCATGCCCCACTAATTTTTTGTATTTTTTTTTCTTTGGTAGAGACAGGGTTTTGCCATGTTGCCCAGGCTGGTCTCAAACTCTTGGACTCAGGTGATCTACCCACCTTGGCCTCCCAAAGTGTTGGGATTACAGGCGTGAGCCACAAGGCAAGGTCAATTCTATCAATTCAAAGTGTGTATTTTGGTGAGCTTTGTCAGTTGTACACCCAGTGAAACCACCATAATCAAGATACCAAGTTATTTCCATTGCCTGCCTCAGACTTGTCATGCTCTTTTGTAGTCTGTTCTCTAAGTGGCCCCAACCCAGGCAAACGCTAGTCTCTTTTCTTTATACTAATTTATATTTTCTAGAATTTTATATTAATGAAATCATATAGTATATGCTCTTTTGTGTCTGGCTTCTTGTAGGTGGCATGATGATTTTGAGATTTATTCATGTTGTCAAATATATCATTAGTTTTCTTTTTCTTTTCTTTTTTTGTTTTGAGACAGAGTCTCGCTCTGTCGCCCAGACTGGAGTACAGTGGCATGATCTTGGCTCACTGCAGTCTCCGCCTTCCGGGTTCAAGTGATTCTTGTGCATCAGCCTCCTGAGTAGCTGGGACGACAGGCCTACGCCACCATGCTCGGCTAATTTTTGTATTTTTTGTAGAGGCAGGGTTTCACCATGTTGGCCAGACTGATTTCGAATTCCTGACCTCCAGTGATCTGCCTGCCTCGGCCTCCCAAAGTGCTAGGATTACAGGTGTGAGCCACCGTGCCTGGCTATATTTTTGCTCAGTAGTATTCATTGTATGGATATACCACTTTTTGTCTCTCCATACACCTATTAATGGACATCTGGATTGTTTCCTTTTGTCTTTTCCCTCCACTATAAGAGATGGAGTCTTGCTGTGTTTCTCAGCCTGGCCTTGAACTCCTGGGCTCAAGCAATCTTCCTTCCTCAGTCTCCTGAGCAGCTGGGACTCAAACGTGCACCGCTGCACCCAGCTGTTTGCAATTTGAAGCTATTGGGAATAAAGCTGCTATGAACATTCATGTATAAGTCTTTGTGTGGATATACATCTTCATTTCTCTTTTTAATTTTATATATTTGAATGGCTATGTAGTCATATCTCATAGTTTTAATTTTCATTTTTCTCATGTCTACTGATGGTGAACATCTTGTGATTATTGGCCTTTTGTATGTCTTCCTTAGGGAAATCTTTTGCCCCTTTTCTTACTGACTTGTCTTTCTTCTTGTTGAGTTGTGAGGATTCTTTATATATTCTGACTACATGTCCTCTGTCAGATACATGTTTTGCAAATATATTACCTTGCCTTTTTATTTGTTGTGTCTTTTGAAGTACAGAAGTTTGATGACGTCCAGTTTATGGGTTTGACAAACCTAACATTTAAAAGACACAAAGAACCTAGAATAGACAAGATAATCTTGAAAAAGAAGAAAAATTTGAAGGCCTCTACACTACCTGATTTCAAGACATTGAACAAACCTACAGTAATAGAAGTGTGTTGTATTGGTATAAGAACAGAAAAATACCAGCCTGGGCACCACTGTGGGACTCCATCTCTTTAAAAAAGTAAACAACTAGCCAGGCATGGTGGTGTATGCCTATAGGCCCAGCTACTTGGGAGTCTGAGACAGGAGGATCACATGAGCCTGGGAGGTCATGGCTGCAGTGAGCTGTAATCATGCCACTGCACTCCAGCTTGGGTAACAGAGCAAGATGCGGTCGCTAAAAAAAAATTTTTTTTTTGCTCTTCTTCAAAATTTGAAAATATATAATAAATTTTTGTTTATTATGGTGACCATATAGTACTGTAGAACACTAGAAGTTATTCCTCCTATCTAGCTATACTTTTATATCTGTTAACCAACCTCTGGCTATGTCTCCCTCTCCCCTCCCCTCTCCCACCTCTATTAACCACTATTCTACTCTCTACTTCTATGAGACTTCTTTTTTTTTTTTTTTTAAAGGCAGCAACTTGCTCTGTTGCCCAGGCTGGAGTGCAGTGGTGTGCTCACAGCTCACTGCAGCCTCAACCTCCTGGGTTCAAGTGATCCTGCCATCTCAGCCCCTCAAATAGCTGGAACCACAGATGTGCACCACCATGTCCAGCTAATTGTTTTTTTGGTAGAGACAAGTTGTTGCTGTGTTACCCAGGCTAAGGTTAACTTTTTTAGTCTCCACATAAGAGTGAGAACATGGGGTATTTATCTTTCTGTGTTCAGCTTATTTCACTTAACGTAATATCCTCCAAGCTCTAAGACATCTCTTACTAGAGGTCCTGGATAGTTCAATTAGGAAAGAAGAATATATAAAAGGACATAAAGGTTTGGAAGGGGAGAAGTAAAACTATCCTTATTTGCAAATCATATATTAAAAAATCATTATTTTAAAGAAATTATTATTTATATTTATATATTTTTATATATATATATATATATATATATATATATATATATTTTTTTTTTTTTTTTTTTTTTTTTTTTTTTTTGAGATAGAGTCTTGCTCTGTCAGCCAGGCTGGAGTGCAGTGGCACGATCTCGACTCACTGCAACCTCTGCCTCCCAGGCTCAAGCAATTCTCCTGCCTCAGCATCCCGAGTAGCTGGGATTACAGGGGTGTGCCACCACACCCCGCTAATTTTTTTTTGTATTTTTAGTAGAGATGGGGTTTCACCATGTTGGCCAGGCTGGTCTTGAACTCCTGACCTCAGGTAATCCACCTGCCTCGGCCTCCCAAAGTGCTGGGATTATAGGCGTGAGCCACCGTGCCGGTCTCTAAAAATATATATTTAAAAATTCTGAGCTGGGTGCGGTGGCTCACATCTATAATCCCAGCACTTTGGGAGGCCAAGGCGTGTGGATCACGAGGTCAGCAGATCAAGACCATCCTGGCTAACATGGTGAAACCCCATCTCTACTAAAAATACAAAAAATTAGCCAGGCGTGGTGGCGGGCGCCTGTAGTCCCAGCTACTTGGGAGGCTGAGGCAGGAGAATGGCGTGAACCTGGGAGGTGGAGCTTACAGTGAGCCGAGATCCCGCCACTGCACTCCAGCCTGGGCAACAGAGCAAGACTCTGTCTCAAAAAAAAAAAAAAAAAATCCTAAGGGTAGGCCAGGCATAGTGGCTCACACCTGTAATCCCAACACTCTGGGAGGCCGAGTTGGGCAGATTGCTTGAGAGCAGGAGGTCAAGGGTCAAGACAGGAGGACTGCTTTGGAGTGCAATGGCACTATCTTGGCTCACTGCATCCTCCGCCTCCCGGGTTCAAGTGATTATCGTGCCTTAGCCTCCCAAGTAGCTGGGATTACAGGTATGCACCACCACACCTGGCTAATTTTTGTACTCTTAGTAGAGACGGGGTTTTGCCGTGTTGGCCAGGCTGTCTCAAACTCCTGGTCTCAAGTTATCTGCTCGCCTCAGCCTTCTAAAGTGCTGGGATTACAGGCATGAGCTATCTTGCCTGGCCTCTTTTGCTTTTTTAAAAATAGAGACTAGATCTTACTATTTTGCCCAGGCTGGTCTTGAACTCCTGGCTGGGGTTACAAATGTGAGCCACCCACCTGGCCAAATGCCAAAATCTTGTTTCTCATCAAACCTGCAATTATGGGCCTTAATATTGACGAATTCCAATGGAATTAACCACATGATGATGGTTTCCAAATGGCAATTCTCTATTGCAGTCATTCTTTCTTTGTTAGTTGGCTGCTATAAGAGCTTTTTTGTCTCCTCAGTTTATCTATTTATTCACTTATTTCTTCATTTTTATTATATTCAGTGGATTGTAATCCATTCATATTAGTTATTTTGATGCTCAAATTGTTTTTAATTTGGCCAGTGTGAGCTCTTCAGCTTGGTTTCTATGTCCCTTTGACATGTCCTCATAATTTATGGAGCATTTCTTAATTTCTGGAACAGGAAGATATTCTAGGCTTCTATTTTACTTGCCTTGTCTCAGCTCTGCAGTTAGCCATTTCTCTGTGGACCCCTGGTTCCTTTTCGTGGAGGATGGTATTTAGAGACGAAGGTCTAGCATTAAATTCATTGCTCCTGATGTGGCAGTGCTTCTAGGCCTTTTCAGTAGATAAAGTTAGGATACTGTGTTTGTCTGTTTTGCATTCCCATAAACGAATACCTAAGACTCGGTAATTTATAGAGAAAAAGAGGTTTATTTGGCTCACAGCTCTGTAGATTGTACAAGCATGGTTGTACAGCATCGGCTTGGCTGTTAGTGAGGCCTCAGTAATCTTCAACTCATGGCAGAAGGTGAAGGGAGAGCAGGCCTGTCACATGGCGAGAGAAGTGGCAAGAGAGAGGAGGAGGTACCAGCCTCTTTTAAACAACCATCTCTCGGGTGAACTAATAGATGGAGAAGTTACTCATTACTGTGAGGACAGCACCAATCCGTTCATGAGGGATCTGCCCCCATGACCCCAAACACCTAGGCCTGCCTCCAACATTGGAGGTTATATTTCTTTCTTTTTTTTTTTTTTTGAGACAGAATCTCCCTCTCTTGACCAGGCTGGAGTGCAATGGCATGATCTCGACTCACTGCAACTTCCGCCTCCTAGGTTAAAGCAATTCTCCCTGCCTCAGCCTCCCGAGTAGCTGGGATTACAGGCGCCTGCCACCACAGCCAGCTAATTTTTGTATTTTTAGTAGAGATGGGGTTTCGCCATGTTGGCCTGGCTGGTCTTGAACTCCTGACCTCAGGTGATCTGTCCATCTCAGCCTCCCAAAGTGCTGGGATTACAGGCATGAGCCACTGCGCCTGGCCTGTATTTCAATATGAAATTTGGAGGGGACACACATCCAAACCATACCAGCTATATATGTATGTATATGTGTACACACAAACATTTAAAACTATTTATATGTGTGTAATATATGTATATGCATGTAATATATATGTAATATATGATACATTATATATAATATGTATATTTTTTATTAGTACCTTGTACCCCTCTCCTTAACACCTACCTTCTGCTATAGAGACATACTAATTTAACTACAACTTTACCCATCTTCCTCCTTCCCGCCAATTAACAGTTAAAAAAAATACACTTCTTCTTTTCTAAAAAAGAAAAGAGATATCTCATTTAGTATCTATCTGGCTTCATAGCTTATTTTCCCTTCATTTCACTCAAAGAGGAAAAGAAAACAGAAATACAGAAAAAGTTTTTGTAGTCTCTTTTGAATTACCAGCCCAAATATCTAATTGCACAGAATATTGTGAGTCTTGTTCTTTCTACAGGCAGGCTAGGAAGGACATATAAGCTGTGACACACCATCTTCCACTACTCCAACCTCCCATTCTCCCCACCCTTTTGCCTCTGTCCCACTCCTGCCACTGTAGTCAGCCTCCCTATGATTTGCAATCTGAAGATAAACTGGGCAAAACTGAGACAATAATAAGGACCCTACTCTTCCTCCTGTTACATTGGGAACAATATTACATCAGAAGTTCTTGTATTAACTTTTTGAAATATGACAGTGATTTTTTTTTTTTCTGATTGTTTAGCAAGAAAACAAAAGACAAGAGGGAAAAAACTCACCTACCACCCAAAGATAGCCCCTGTTAACATTTTGGTGGATGTCCTTTAAGTCACTTTTTTCTATACATATTTATTTTTATTTAATTTCTTAACATGGGTAGACTTTCATTTTTGTGATGAGCAAAAAAGAATTTGATCAGCTAATATTTTAGGTAATTTTATTACCTAAATGTATTAAATAAATTTTAAAAATTAATATTTGTCAATATCTTATATAAAATCTAAAACAAAATTTTTATATAATTATATATAAATTATATAATTATATTTTATAGATAAAGCTAATATTTAAGCATTTTATATTAATTACCTAATATATATTTTATATTTAGGTAAATTTATTACCTAAAATACTAATTTATTGAATTTATTTAATACATTTTATTAAATTAATTTAAATTTTTTTTTTTTTTTTTTTTGAGATGGAGTCTCCCTCTTTCACCCAGGCTGGAGTGAAGTGGCATGATCTCGGCTCCCTGTAACCTCTGCCCCCTGGGTTTAAGCCATTCTCCTGCCTCAGCATCCTGAGTAGGTGGGATTACAGGCACCCGCCACCATGCCCGGCTAATTTTTGTATTTTTAGTAGAGATGGCGTTTCGTCATGTTGGCCAGGCTGGTCTCAAACTCCTGACCTCAGGTGATCCACCCTCCTCGGCCTCCCAAAGTGCTGGGATTACAGGCGTGAGCCACCATGCCCTGCCAATTTATTTAATTTTTAAAAATTAAATTTAAAGGTGTTTCTTCTCTTTTCTGGTTTTTGTTTTGTTTTGTTTTGTTTTGTTTTTTGTTATTTTTTGAGACAGTCTCACTCTGTTGCCCAGACTGGAAGGCTAGATAGAGTACAGTGGCGCGATCCTGACTCACTGCAACCTCTGCTTTCCAGGCTCAAGTGATTCTCGTGCCTCAGCCACCCAAGTAGCTTGGATTACAGGCATTTGCCACCACACCTGGCTAATTTTTGTATTTTTAGTAGAGATGGGGTTTCACCACGTTGACCAGGCTGGTCTGGAAATCCTTGCCTTAAGTGATCCGCCCACCTCTGCCTCTCAAAGTACTTATATTACAGGCATGAGCCACCATGCCCAGCCCTAAAAATGTTTATTTTCCAGATAGTTTATTCCTTTAAATGTTTATAACCTTAGCTTTTCTTTTTCAAATCATTTTCTTAAAAGTCAAGATACATCTGAAAAATCTCAGGATTGTGATGTTCAATGTAAAGCAAAGCGTGACTTCCTAATGAGTGGTTTGCCAGATTTGTTGAAACGGCAAATTGCAAAGAAAGCTGCTGCGCTGGATGTGTACAATGCAGTGAGTACCAGTTTCCAGAGAGTCGTACATGTGCAACAAAAGGATGATGGTAAGTTTGTTTTTTATTATTGAATATTTACTCTTCAGCTGTTAGCAGGAACATTAAACTATGTAAGTTTCTTAAAGATGAGGCTGAAGTTTAATTATCATTCTTATGGTGACTTTAGTGGGAATTTTAAGGACAATTTCTCTCACTATCCATGGGGTTTGATTCCAGGACCCCCTTGTGGATACTAGCACTCATGGATGCTCAAGTTTCTTGTATAAAATGGTGTAGGCTGGGTGTGGTGTCTCATGCCTGTAATCCCAGAACTTTGAGAGGACAATGCAGGAGAAGAGCTTGAGCCCAGGAGTTCGAGACCAGCCTGGGCAACACAGCAAGATCCTGTCTCTAAACTAGCTAACTAACTTAATTAATTAATTAATTAAAATTTGCTGGGCATGACGGTGTATGCCTGTAGTCCCAGCTACTCGGGAGGCTGAGGTGGGAGGATCACTTGAGCCTAGGAGGTCAAGGCTGCAGTGAGCCATGATCATGCCACTGCATTCCAGCCTAGGTGACAGAGCGAGACCCTGTCTCAAAAAAAGAAAAAAAAAAAAAAGTTTAGCCTTTCTTCTGTACGTGGGAATTTCCCAGCTAGTCTTTTCAGTAATTTATTCTACTTTTTCTTATTTCCCATCTCTGCCACTGGCCATTCAGTTGATGAAGGCTTTCTTGTTATTTTTACTAGTACAGCTTTATATAGCATTTTCCAATAGTATGTTCAACTGTAGAAATTAGTTATGCTTTTCTTGACTCATTTTGATAAACTCATTTTCACAGGAGTGCTGCCATAAAACTTAGCATATCTATTTGTAGATGAGCAGAGAGGCAAGCACAGAGGGAACCTCTCTCTCTTACAACCTTCAGAATTATTGAACGCTTACTATTGTCTGGAATTCTGCTGAGCAATTCATATACATATCTAGTTTAATCCTGATAACAACTCTAAGAGGTTGAGTATTATAATTATCACCCTCACTTTGAATGTAAGGATGAAGAAACTAAGATTTAGGATCTCGCCAGTGCTCACAAGGTTAGTAAGTGGCAGAGGTTGGGTTTGAATCCAGGTCTAACTTGAAAGTTTAGACTTTAGACCAGGTTGCTAACTGCCTCTTAAAAGGTTTTTGTTTGTTTGTTTGTTTGTTTTGACAGAGTCTTGCTTTGTTGCCCAGGCTGGAGTGCAGTGATGAGATCTCAGCTCACTGCAACCTCTGTCTCCTGGGTTCAAGCAATTCTCTTGCCTCAGCCTCCTGAGTAGCTGGGAT
The DNA here is from genome assembly GCF_000001405.40 of Homo sapiens. Lineage (NCBI taxonomy): Eukaryota > Metazoa > Chordata > Mammalia > Primates > Hominidae > Homo > Homo sapiens. Next base: position 30,856,587 of record NC_000017.11, read on the forward strand.
TGCTGGTCTCGAACTCCTGACCTCAAGTGATCCACCTGCCTTGGCCTCCCAAAGTGCTGGAATTACAGGCGTGAGCCACCACGCCTGGCCCTCCTAAAAGTTTTAACCTGAGTATCAAGGTTGATTTGAAAAGAAAGGAAAGTTTGTTAATATTTGTTTGTTTTAAACAACTGGAAGGGAAGTCTAGGTGATTTTTATTAATTCTATTTGTTGGAGGGTAGGATTTTGTTCCCTTTATAGTCATGTGGTTTTTGGTATGTTTGTGTTAATTATGTAGTTGTCAACTTTTCATGTTTACGTATTTGACATTCAGTAAATGGATAGTGTATAAATAAGGTTTATTAAGATATTTGTCTATTTTTCTTTAGGGTGTTGTTTGTGGCATTTGAAACCACCCTCTTGTCCTCTCTTAACTAAATTTAAAGAACTGAACACTAAAGTAATAGATCTCTCAAAATGTGGTATTGCTCTTGGTGAATTTTCAACATTGAATTCAAAGTTGAAAAGCGGTAACTCTGCTGCTGTGGTAAGTATTAAATAGTTCATCCATTGTAGAGTGTTTCCCTTACATCTTGCAGAGGAAAAACATTTTTGGATATCTACTCTTATAGCCTCGAGTGTTGTCCTAGAGTTTAATTTTTTTTTTTTTTGAGACAGAGTCTCCCTCTGTTGCCCAGGCTGGAGTGCAGTGGTGCAATCTTGGCTCACTGCAACCTCTGCTTCCCGAGTTCAAGCAATTCTGCCTCAGCCTCCCGAGTAGCTGGGACTACAGGCACACACCACCATGCCCGGCTAATTTTTGTATTTTTAGTAGAGACGGAATTTCTCCATGTTGGTCAGGCTGGTCTTGAACTCCCTACTTCAGGTGATTCCCCCGCCTCGGCCTCACAAAGTGCTGGGGTTACAGGCGTAAGCCACTGTACCCAGCCTAATATTTAAAAATAAATCCTAATTGTAGTACACATTTCTTTTAAATACCCATAGAGCTTTAAAAACATTTTAAGAATTAATGATTGCCAGTTCTCAAAGAATGTTAGATTACATAGCACATTTAGATACTTTATAAGTAGGTCATATAATCTAATAGATATAATTAGTTCAAAGGGAGAAAAATAAATTAATTCTTCATAAGCTTTATATTTAGTGACTAAAGCTATTTTTTTTTTTTTTTTGAGTTGGAGTCTCACCCTGTTGCCCAGGCTGGAGTACAGTGGCACGATCTCGGCTCACTGCAACCTCTGCCTCCCGGGTTCAAGCGATCCTCCTGCCTCAGCTCCCCCTAGTAGCTGGAATTACAGGCACACGCCACCATGCCCAGCAAATTTTTGTATTTTTAGTAGACACGGGGTTTTGCCATGTTGGCTAGGCTGGTCTCAAACTCCTAACTTCAGATGATCCACCTGTCTCTTGGCCTCCCAAAGTGCTGGGAATATAGGCGTGAGCCACCACGCCCGGCCTAAAGCTAATCTTACGTTGATACTGATTTATGATGGACAGAAAGTGGTTGGTAGTATTGTAATTAACATGAATAGATGATGTTGGTCTGTTATTGTGCATTTTATTCTTTATTGCAGTTCATGAGGACAAGGAAGGAATTTACTGAAGAAGTAAGAAATCTTTTGCTTGAGGAAATTAGGTGGTCAAATCCTGAATTTTCATTGAAAAAATATTTTCCCTTACTCCTAAAAAAACAAATTGAGCACCAAGTACTTTCTTCCGAGTGTCATAGTAAACAAGGTTAGTGATAATTATTATCATTTATGTTAACATACCAGTTTTGGGTTTTTATATTATTTATTATTTTATTTTTATTTCTGAGACGGAGTTTTGCTCTTGTCGCCCTGGCTGGAGTGCAGTGGCACAAACCTGGCTCACTGCAACCTCTGCTTCCTGGGTTCAAGTGATTCTCCTGCCTCAGCCTCCTGAGTAGCTGGGATTACAGGCACCCACCATGACGCCCTGCTAATTTTTGTATTTTTAGTAGAGATGGGGTTTCACCATGTTGGCCAGGCTCGTCTTGAACTCTTGATCTCAGGTGATCCATCTACCTCAGCCCCCCAAAATGCTGGGATTACAGGCATGAGCCACTGCGCTTGGCCTATTTTTTCTTTTTTTTTAGAGTGTTGCTCTGTCACCCAGGCTGGAATGCAGTGGTGCAACTTTGCCTCACTGCAACCTTCGCCTCCCGGGCTCAAGTGATTCCTGTGTCTCAGCCTCCTGAGTAGCTGGGACCACAGGCTTGCGCCACTGCACCTAGCTTATTTTATTTTTTAATTTTTACTTATTCTCTTGAGACTGGGTTATGAGACTGGCTAGTTTTTGTATTTTTGGTAGAGACCAGGTCTTGCCATGTTGCCCAGGCTGGTCTTGAACTCCTGGGCTCAAGTGATCCTTTCGCCTTAGCTTCCCAAAGTGCTGGGATTACAGGCATGAGTCACCACGCCCAGCCTAACGTGTCAGTTTTGAAAAACACTAAGACTTAACCAATGACACTTGGAAGTGTTCACCACAGACAACATTGCTTACACTTGGCAGGGAGAATTGTTCAGCTGAAGTAAAAGTATCTTGTACAATGCAATGTGCAACATTAATCCCCGCCAGTTTCCAAAAATGCCAACTCAAAGATAGCTTTAATTATGTTAAAATATTATGTACTTAAGGAATGCCTTAGATAATTTTAGCTTATATAGCTTGTATAAAAGACAGTCTAAGTATTAAAATCTCCAGCTTGCTTTCAGTATGTTATATTTGATTCTTGCCTTTTTATTTTATTTTATTTTATTTATTTTTTGAGACAGAGTCTTGCTCTGACACCCAGGCTGAAGTGCAGTGGCGCGATCTCAGCTCAGTGCAACCTCTGCCTCCCAGATTTGAGTGATTCTGGTGTCTCAGCCTGCCTAGTAGCTGAGATTGCAGGCACCTGCCACCATGCCTTTCTAATTTTTGTATTTTTTAGTAGAGATGGGGTTTCACCATGTTGGTCAGGCTGGTCTCGACCTCCTGACCTCAAGTGATTCACTCGCCTCAGCCTCCCAAATTGCTGGGATTATAGGCATGAGCCACCATACCTGGCCTATTTATTTATTTTTTAAGAGACACGGTCTCACTTTGTTGCCCAGGCTAGAATACAGTTTGTTTGTTTGTTTATTTATTTTTATTTTTTGAGACGGCGTCTTGCTCTGCCGCCCAGGCAGTGGTGTGATCTCGGCTCACTGCAGCCTCAGCCTTCTAGGTTCCACCGATTCTCCTGCTTCTGCCTCCTAGGTAGCTGAGATTACAGGCACACGCCACCATGCCTGGCTAATTTTTGTATTTTTAGTAGAGATGGGGTTTCAACATGTTGGCCAGGCTGGTCTTGAACTCCTGACCTCAGGTGATCCACCCACCTTGGCCTCCCAAAGTGCTGGGATTACAGGTGTGAGCCACCGCGCCTGGCCTATTTATTTATTTTTTAAGAGACAGGGTCTCACTTTGTCGCCCAGGCTAGAGTACAGTGGTGTTTTCATGGCTCCCTGCAGCCTCGATCTCCCGGGTTCATGTGATCCTCCCACCTCAGCCTCCCAAGTAGCTGGGACTACAGGTGCATGCCACCACCCCTGGCTGATTTTTGTATCTTTAGTAGAGATGGAGTTTCCCCATGTTACCGAGGCTGGTCTTAAACGCGTAGACTCAAGCAATCCGCTCACCTCAACCTCCCAAAGTTCTGGGATTAGAGGCCTGAGCCACTGCACCTGGATTGCCTTTGCATTTTAAAGTTACAAGACTATTGGATACTTGGAAGTGATATTAATATTACTGGTTTTTGTTGATTAGTAAGCACATGCACTTCTTTAATTCCCAAAGCAGAACTGGAGGCTGATGTCAGCCATAAAGAAACCAAAAGGAAACTCGTAGAAGCAGAAAATTCTAAGTCAAAAAGAAAGAAACCAAATGAGTATTCAAAAAATCTGGAGAAGACCAATAGGAAGTCAGAAGAACTTAGCAAAAGAAACAACTCTTCTGGGATAAAGCTAGATTCTTCCAAAGGTATATTTTCTAAAACATCCCAAAAGAAATAGATTGCTTTGAGGACATGCAAAGTGGAAACCAAAGCAGTAGAAGATTTTGATATGCTTTTTAAAAAATTTTAATTCAATTGTATTTTAATTTTAGATTTTCTTTTTCTTTTTTGAGACACAGTTTCTCTCTTGTCACCCAGGCTGGAGTGCAATGGCACGATCTTCGCTCACTGCAACGTCCCTCCACCTCCTGGGTTCAGGTGATTCTCCTGCTTCAGCCTCCCGGGTAGCTGGGATTACAGGCACCCACCTGCACGCCCAGATAATTTTTTTTTTTTTTTGAGATGGAGTCTTGCACGGTCGCCCGGGCTGGAGCCCACCATCATGCCCAGCTAACTTTTTGTATTTTTAGTAGAGACGGAATTGGCCAGGCTGGTCTCGAACTCCTGACCGCATTATTCACCCACCTCGGCCTCCCAAAGTGCTGGGATTACAGGTGTGAGCCACCGTGCCTGGCCACGCCCAGGTAATTTTTATATTTTTAGTAGAGACAGAGTTTTACCATGTTGGCCAGGCTGGTCTCAAACTCCTGACCTCAGGTGATCCACCCCCCACCCCCCTCCCCGCCCTTGGCCTCCCAAAGTGCAGATTTTGATATTCTAATAGATGATGACAGTCTGCACCAGAAATATTAACATCTTCCATTCCTGGTAAATTCGAGTTTTTCCTTCTAGTCCTAGAACTCTTTTTGTTTTTTAACTTTTCATTCTTTCTCCTTCTCTCTCTTTTTTTTTTCTTTTGCTCATTGCAACTTTCAAACAATAAATATGTGTTTGAAATAAATAGAACCTCACGGATTATGGGCTTACAAATGACCATATTAACAGATAGGTGTTCAGTCTTTGATTTTTCTGTGCTTCCATAAATACATGTGCTTTTATTTTTTTATTTTTTATTTTTTGAGACAGCATCTCTCTCCGTCGCTTGCCTGATCTCAGCTCACTGCAACCTCTGCCTCCCGGGTTCAAGTGATTCTCCTGCCTCAGCCTCCTCAGTAGCTGGGACTACAGGCGCACGCCACCACGCCCAGCTAAATTTTGTATTTTCAGTAGAGACAGGGTTTCACTGTGTGGTCCGGGCAGGTCTTGAACTCCTGACCTCAAATGATCTGCCCACTTTGGCCTCCCAAAGTGCTGGGATTACAGGCATGAGCCACTGCACCCGGCCAATATATGTGCTTTAAAAAAAATCTGGTATTGTGCTCGCTTTGGCAGCACATATACTAAAATTGGAATGATACAGAGAAAATTAGCATGGCCCCTTGTGCAAAGATGACAATTTTTTTTTTTTTTTTGGTATTTTTAGTAGAGATGGGGTTTCGCCATGTTGGCCAGGCTGGCCTCAAACTGACCTCAAGTGAAGGGATGACAATTTTAAAATTAAAAAGTAAAAAAAAAAGTAACACAGTGTCCGGGCATAGTGGCTCATAACTGTAATCCCAGCACTTTGGGAGGCCGAGGTGGGTGGATCACCTGCAGTCAGGAGTTTGAGACCAGCCTGCCAACATGGCAAAACCCTGTCTCTACTAAAAATACAAAAATTAACCAGGTGTGGTGGTGCGTGCCTGTAATCCCAGCTACTTGGGAGGCCGAGGCAGGAGAATCGCTTGAACCTGGGAGGCGGAGGCTGCAGTGAGCCAAGATCTCGCCACTGCACTCCAGCCCAGGAGACAGAGCAAGACTCCGTCTAGGGGGCAAAAAAAAAGGTAACAAAGTTGAAAAAAAAATATGGTCTTATCCCATACATACTATTTTACACCATGTTTTACATATCTCTGACATGTTCTCATTCAGTTTATTTATTTACTTTTTTTGAGACAGTTTTGCTCTTTTTGCTTAGGCTGCAGTGCCATGGCATGATCTTGGCTCATTGTTGCAACCTCTGCCTCCCGGATTCAAGCGATTCTCCTGCCTCAGCCTCCCGAGTAACTGGGATTATAGGCATGTGCCACCACGCCCGGCTAATTCTGTATTTTTAGTAGAGACTGGGTTTCTCCATGTTGGTCAGGCTGGTTTTGAACTCCCAACCTCAGGTTATCCACCCGCCTTGGCCTCCCAAAGTGCTGGGATTACAGGCATGAGCCACCGTGCCCAGCCCCATTCAGTATATATAGCTTTTCCAAAGTATGCTATTGATTTATTCATTTATATAGCTTTATACAGGATGAATATCCCTAATCCAAAAATCTGAAATTTGAAATGCTCCAAAATCCAAAACATTTTGAGTGCTGACATGGTGCCCTAAGTGGAAAATTCCATACCTGGGGCCAGGCACCATGGCTCATCCCTATAATCCCAGCACTTTGAGAGGCCGAGGTGGGAGCATTGCTTGAGCCTAGGAGTTTGAGGCCAGGCTGAGCAACACAGGGAGACCACACCTTTACCAAAAAAAAAAGAAAAAAAAATTGGCTAGGCATGGTGGCACATGCCTGTAGTCTCAGCTCCACAGGAGGCTGATGTGAGAGGATCACTTGAGGTTAAGGCTGCAGTGAGCCATGATTGCACCACTACTCCAGGCTGGGTAACAGAGCAAGACCCTGTCTCAAGAAAAAAAGAAAATTCCACATCTAACCTCTGGTCATAGTCAAAATGCCCAGGCTGGACTGTGGTAGCATGATCTGGACTCACTGCAGCCTCCACCTCCTGAGTTCAAGCGATTCTTCTGCCTCAGCCTCCTGAGTAGCTGGGATTACAGGAGCCCACCACCATGCTCGGCTACTTTATGTATTTTTTTTTTTTTTGAGACAGAGTCTCACTCTGTTGCCCATGCTGGAGTGCAGTGGCGCGATCTCGGCTCACTGCAAGCTCCGCCTCCTGGGTTCGTACCATCCTCCTGCCTCAGCTTCCTGAGTAGCTGGGACTACAGGTACATGCTGCCACGCCTGGCTAATTTTTTGTATTTTTAGTAGAGATGGGGTTTCACCGTGTTAGCCAGGATGGTCTTGATCTCCTGACCTTGTGATCCACCCTCCTCAGCCTCCGAAAATGCTGGGATTACAGGCGTGAGCCACCGCGTCCGGCTTTTTTTTTTTTTTTTTTGAGACAAAGTCTCGCTCTGTCACCCAGGTTGGAGTGTAGTGGCACAATCTCGGCTCACTGCAACCTCCACCTCCCAGGTTCAAGCTATTCTCCTGCCTCAGCCTCTTTAGTAGCTGGGACTACAGGCGTGTGCCACCACGCCTGGCTAATTTTTATATTTTTAGTAGTGACGGGGTTTCACCGTGTTGGCCAGGCTGGTCTCGAACTCCTGACCTCAAGTGATCCTCCCACCTCGGCCTCCCAAAGTGCTGGGATTACAGATGTGAACCACCGAGCCCGGCCTACTTTTTGTATTTTTAGTAGAGATGGGGTTTCACCATGTTGGCCAGGCTGGTCTCGAACTCCTGATCTCAAGTGATCTGCCCGCCTCGGCCTCCCAAAGTGCTGGGATTACAGGCATGAGCCACTGCACCCATCCCGATTATTGGTTTTATGCCACAAATTATTTCTCATCATTCATGTTTCTTCAGTGGTTATTAAAAATTTAAATATTGCTGTTTGTGGTGGCTCACATCTGTAGTCCCACCTACTCAGGAGGCTGAGGTGGGAGCTTGAGTCTGGAAGTTCAGGAATGCAGGGAGCTGTGTTTGTGCTTGTGAATAGCCACTGCAGTCCAGCCTGGGCAGCATAGCAAGACCTCATCTCTTAAAAAAAGAAAAAAACTATTTATTTTTAATTTTCAACTCAAGGGGCACATATGCAGGTTTGTTACATGGATACATTCCATGATGCTGAGATTTGGACTTCAATTGAACCTGTCACCCAAATAGTGAACATACTGCCCAATAGATAGTTTTTCAACCCTTGTCCTCACTTCTTCCCTCCTCCCTTTTGTAGTCCCCAGTGTCTTTTTTGTTGTTGTTAAGAGACAGGGTCACACTATGTTGCCCAGGCCAATCCCGATCTCTTGGGTTCAAGTGATCTACCTGCCTTGGCCTTCCAAAGTGCTGGGATTATAAGTGTGAGCCACCACATGTGGCCTCCAGTGTCTTTTGTTCCCATCTTTATGTCCATGTGTACCCAGTGTTTAGGTTCAGCTTATAAAGGAGAACATGCATTATTTGGTTTTCTGTTTCTGCATTTATTCACTTAGGATAATAGCCTCCAGCTGCAACCATGTTGCTGCAAAGGATATGATTTTTTTCTTTTTTATGGCTGCATACTATCCCATGGTGTATATATGTCCTACAAATTCTTTATCCAATCCACCATTTTTGGGCACTTAGGTTGATTCCATTTTTGCTTTTTTTTTTTTTGAGATGGACTGTCACTCTGTTGCTCAGGCTGGAGTGCAGTGGCACAATCCTGGCTCACTGCAACCTCCGTCTCCCAGGTTCAGTCTCTTTGCTGTTCTAAATATAAACATGTGAGTACATGTGTCTTTTTGGTAGAACAGTTTATTTTCCTTTGGGTATATACCCAGTAATGTGATTGCTGGGCCAGATGGTAATCCTAAAAAAAAAAAAACCAATGTTTAAGTGTGCACTTTAATTTTTTTTTTTTTTTTTGAGACGGAGTCTCGCTCTGTCGCCCAGGCTAGAGTGCAGTGGCGCGATCTCCGCTCATTGCAAGCTCCGCCTCCCGGGTTCACACCATTCTCCTGCCTCAGCCTCCCGAGTAGCTGGGACTACAGGCCCCCGCCACCACGCCCGGCTAATTTTTTGTACTTTTAGTAGAGACGGGGTTTCACCGTGTTAGCCAGGATGGTATCGATCTCCTGACCTCGTGATCCGCCCACCTCAGCCTCCCAAAGTGCTGGGATTACAGGCGTGAACCACCGCGCCTGGCTAACACTTTAATATTTTAATAAGATTATGGTGGTTATTTTTTTTTAGGGGGAAGGGTTTGGTGTGAAGAATTTTAAATGTAATGTTGTTTTAAAAGTACCTCTGGCATTTTGTAAATATAAATATTTCTGCAAATACCTACTGTGACATTGTAACAATAATGTAAATGACTAATAATTCATATATGTTTATGTCAAGGAATGAATACCTTAATTTTTTTTTTTTTTGCTTTAGATTCTGGAACTGAAGACATGCTTTGGACAGAAAAGTATCAACCTCAGACTGCCAGTGAACTTATAGGAAATGAGTTAGCTATAAAAAAGTTACATAGGTTGGTAAAATGTGTAAGGAATTGAGAAATAGTTTACAAACTTAGTTTTACTGTTTTTGTTTCGAAATTGTAGTTACAAAGTAATATATCTCATGATAAAATCTTCAAAAAACTGGTAGAAGTTTAAGTGAAAAGTAGCCCTCTTTTCTTACATTTCTACTTCTCAGAGATAATCATTGAAAATTTTTTGTAAAAGCTTCCAGAAAAATATTTTTATGCATATGTTAGTTCCTTCCTTTCTAACAAATGGGATCACATTACTACTAATTCAGGTCCCCAGTCCTTCATCTTCAATTCTCACATCCAAAAAATTCTGAATAATGAAAGTTTATTGACTTTATTACATGAAATTTGTTACACCTTTACACTTAGTAGAATTTACAAATTTTTTTTTTTTTTTTTTTTTTTTTTTTTCAAGACAGAGTCTCACTCTGTTGCCTAGGCTGGAGTGTAATGGCACGATCTTGGCTCACTACAGTCGCTGCCTCCCAGGTTCAACAGATTCTCCTGCCTCAGCCTCCTGAGTAGCTGGGACTACAGGGGTGCACCGCCATGCCAGGCTAATTTTTGTATTTTTGGTAGAGACAGTTTCGCCATGTTGGCCAGGCTGGTCTCAAACTCCTGACCTCAGGTGGTCCACCCGCCTTGGCCTCCTAAAGTGCTGGGATTACAGGTGTGAGCCACTGCACTTGGCCAGAATTCATATATTTTTTAATAAAAATATTAAGTGATGGCCCAGTGCAGTGGCTCACACCTGTAATCCCAGCACTTTGGGAAGCTGAGGCGGGCAGATCACTTGAGGCTGGGAGTTCGAGACCAGCCTGGCCAACATGGTGAAACCCCATCTCTACTAAAAATACAAAAATTAGCTGGGTGTGGTGATGCACGCCTGTAATCCTGGCTACTGGAGAGGCTGAGGCATGAGAATCGCCTGAACCCGGGAGGTGAGGATTGCAGCGAGCCGAGGTCGTGCCAGTGCACTCCAGCCTGGGCAACAGAGTAAGACTCTGTCCCAAAACAAAGCAAAAAAACAAACCAAACCAACTTAAATGATTATGGGTGTACTGCCTAGACCCCATTAGGGGTATTATGTAATATGCAGTATATGTACCAAATAACCTTTTAAGTATCTGAAAAATTAATTCTAAAACAATCTGGTCCAAAGGATTTCATATAAGGATTTACGGACCCATAATTACAGTTAATAGCGTGAACTTGGTACTACTGTTCTAAGTACTTGTATTGTTCCTTCTTTCTTTTTTTTTTTTTTACTTGTACTGTTCTTAATTCATTTTATCCTTAGAATGGTACTGTGAGCAGTGGGTACAGTGGCTCAAGCCTGTAATCCCAGTGCTTTCGTAAGCTGAGGCAGAAGGACTGCTTGTGGCCAGGAGTTTGAGAGCAGCCTGGGTGAAATAGGGAGACCCCATCTCTACAAAAAATAAAAAAAATAGCTGGGAATGATGGCGCCCACTTGGATTCTGAGCCACTCAGGAGCCTGAGGTGGGAGGGTCACATGAGTCCAAGGATTCGAGGCTGCAGTGAGCTATGATCGCACCCCTACACTCCAGTGACAAAGCAAGACTGTCTCAAAAAAAGAAAAATACTATGAGCATAAATACTGTTGTCCTCATCTCATAGATGAAGAAACCAAGGCCTAGAGAGGCTGAGTTATTTGTCCAAAGTCACACAGCTAGAAAGTGATGGAACTGGGATTTAAACTCAGGCATTCTAGCTCTAGACTAGAACTTAATCTTTCTGTTGTACATTGTATATTAGGCATCTTTCATGGAATTACACAACATACCGCAGTTCTTTTTTTTTATTTTGAAACAGGGTCTTGCTCTGTTGCCCAGGCTGGAGTGCAGTGGTTGAATCTTGGCTCACTGCAACCTTCGCCTCTCAGGCTCAAGCCATCCTCCCACCTGAGCCTCCCAAGTCGCTGGGACTACAGGTGTGCACCAACATGCCTGGCTAATGTTTTTTGTAGAGACAGGTTTCGCTGTGTTGCCCAGGCTGGTTGCAAATTCCTGGGCTGAAGCAATTCACCTGCCTCCGCCTTCCAAAGTGCTGGGATTACAGGCCTGAGCCACTGTGCCTGCCCTGCCACCTCAGTTCTTTTTAATTGCTGTATACCAGTTTCTAAGTGAGTGTACTATAATGTATTTTTCCCAATGGTGTATTTTTATGTTTTTCCTGTTAGAGGCTAATATGAACAATGCTACAGTGAATATTCTTACACATATAGTCTTGTATATTTTGGCAGAAACTACTTCATTTAAAAATGTTCATGTCCATGTAAAACTATTTTACTCTTTAGTTGATTCACAAGCACTGTGGAGTGTTTAGAAACTAACAATATGCCATATAAAGCTGTACTAGTAAAAATAACAAGAAAGCCTTCATCAGTTGAATGGCCAGTGGCAGAGAAACTAACAATATGCCATAACTTCCCCCGATAATCATTTTAACATAAAGTCTAAGGCATAGCTATATTCTGTGAATTATTTTTATTATGTTTTCTTGTGGCAGTTGGTTGAAAGACTGGAAAAGAAGAGCTGAATTGGAAGAAAGGCAGAATCTGAAGGGAAAAAGAGATGAGAAACATGAAGGTATTTTGTGTGTCTTTTTTTTTTTTTTTACCATTTCACTGAACATTTTTAGAGTTACATTAACTAAAACTTTCTATAAAATTTCTTTTTTTTTTAATTTTTTTTTTTTTTTGGAGACAGAGTCTTGCTCTGTTTCCCATAGTGGAGTGCAGTGGCGCAATCTCGGCTCACTGCTACCTCCGCCTCCCGGGTCAAGTGATTCTCATGCCTCAGCCTCCTGAGTAGCTGGGATTACAGGCGCCTGCCGCCACGCCCGACTAATTTTTGTATTTTTAGTAGAGATGGGGTTTCACCATCTTGGCCAGGCTGGTCTTGAACTCCTGACCTCGTGATCCACCCACCTTGGCCTCCCAAAGTGCTGGGATTAAGCAGTGGCATGAGCCACTGCACCTGGCCTATAAAATTTCTTAATTGGTATTTTATATTTGATTTTCTACTTTTTTTTTTTTTTTTTCACTCTGTCACCCAGGCTGGAGTGCAATGGTGTGATCTCGGCTAACTGCAACCTCCACCTCCTGGGTTCAAGTGATTCTCCCATCTCAGCCTACCGAGTACCTGGGACTACAGGCATGTGTCACCACACCTGGCTAATTTTTGTATTTTTAGTAGAGATGGGGTTTGGCCAGGCTGGTCTCGAACTCCTGACCTTGTGATCTGCCCGCCTCAGCTTCCCAAAGTGCTGGGATTACAGGCATGTGCCACTGCGTCCGGCCTGTATAAAGTAATTTTTCAGCATCTATTGCAAGAAGTTTGTGGGATTTGATCACTGGGTTTCATAAGGTAGAATTGCTTCCTCAGCAATTGTCATTTTATATGCATTTGAATAATTTTTCAGATTTCTCGGGTGGCATAGACTTTAAAGGCAGTTCAGATGATGAAGAAGAGAGTCGTCTTTGCAATACTGTCCTTATAACAGGGCCAACAGGAGTGGGAAAAACTGCTGCAGTGTATGCTTGTGCCCAGGAGCTTGGATTTAAGGTTAGTAACAGCTATGATGAGAGAATGTTAATGTAATAATTACCCTTGGATTAAAAGGAAACATAAACCATTCTCCCTTCGTTTTTTCTTATATTCTTCTTTTAGATATTTGAAGTGAATGCCTCTTCCCAGCGCAGTGGTAGACAAATTCTATCTCAGTTGAAGGAAGCTACTCAGTCCCATCAAGTAGACAAACAAGGTGTAAACTCACAAAAACCCTGTTTTTTTAATAGCTACTACATAGGCAAGTCACCAAGTAAGTAAACTATTTTCCTTAAGCCATAATGTTTTGAAAAAAATAAAATCTAAGAAAGTAATGTTAATTATCAGCATTTTGCCATTTATTTTTTATCTTCTACACGTACACGTTTCCTGCCCACCCCTGCCAGATTATTTTAAAACAAATCTGAAGACCATCATATCATTTCACCCATACCTTCTTCAATATTTATCTCTATCTGATAAGGACTTTTAAAAAAGCATAACTATAATATCGTAATCAGACCCAACAGAGTTAACAACCAGCCTAAGCAGCATAGCGAGACCTTGTCTCTACAAATAATAAAAAAAAAAAGTAGCTAGGTGTGGTGGTGTATGCCTGTAGTCCCAGCTACTCTGGAAGTTGATGTGGGAGGTTCACTTGAGCCTAGAAGGTTGAGGCTGCAGTGAGCTGTGATTGGGCCACTGCACTCCAGCCTGGGTGACAGAGTGAGATCCCATCTCCAAAAAAAAAGATCTATTAACTATATTTCTTCATATAATCTCATACACAGTCTAATGTCAATTTTCTGTTGTTTCAAATGATTTGTTCAAATCTGGATCCAAACAAGGTTCATATCTTACATTTGATTCAGTTCTCTTAACTTTCTTTTAATCTCGCTAACAATTCACTCACCTTTCTTTTCATGTCATTAATTTGTTGAAGAATCTGAGTCATTTGTCATGAAATTCTTCACATTCTGGATTTGTCTGCTGATTATATCCTCATGGTGTCAGTTAGTATAGTCCTCTTCCCTATATTTCTTGTAAACTGGCAGTTAGATCTATGGGCCTTATTAGATTCAGGTTCTGTTCTGGGTCTGGCATACATATACAGGTGGCCTGTGTACTTCCTATGACATCATAGCAGATTATCCCTTGTAGATTACAAAATGATAATTTTATAATTCTCTTTTTTGCATTTATTAGAATTTTAAAAGGAAGCACTATTCCTCATCAACTCTTTGGATGCTTTGGAATACAGTTTATAGGCACCAGAAATGCTTCATTCATTCCTTTATTTATTAGTACTTAGAGTGATGGTGTCCTAGCAACCTTGACAGTTGACCAGTGAGTTTTTGTGTAGTTTAATTTTTTAAGTATTATTATGAACTCATGGATTTTTATATATATAATATGTTTCACCTCTTTGTGTTTATTATTTCTTTGTTGCTTTGGAGATTTTCTCACTGGTTTTAAGTAATTTGATTATGATGTGCCTTGGTGTACTTCTCTTCATGTTTCTTGTGCTTGGGATTTGTTGAGTTTCTTGCATATATGAGTTTATAGTTGGGAAGATCAAAGTTGATAAAATTTCAACCAGTATTTCTTAAAATATTTTTTCTGTCCTCCCCTTTTCCTTTGGCAACTCCAGTTATTATTATAGGTATTTTAGACCACTTGAAATTGTCTCCTGGCACACTGATGCTTTGTTCAATTTTTCAGTCTTTTTCCTCTTTTTGTTTCAGTTTGGTTAGTTGTTATTACTATTCAAGTTTACACATCTTTTCTGTAGTATCTAGTATGCTGTCACTGCTATAAGTATAGTTTTCATTTCTAGAAGTTTGATTTGGGTCCTTTTTATATCTTCTGTGTTTCTACTTACCATGTGCCCAGTCTTTCCTGTAGGTTTTTGAACATATGGAATACAGTTATAACAACTGTTTTAATGGTCTTGGTTATTAATTCTATCATCTGTGTAATTTTTGTTTTTTTGAAACGGAGTCTCGCACTTGTCGCCCAGGCTGGAGTGCAGTGGCACAATCTTGGCTCGCTGCAACCTCCACCTCCCAGGTTCAAGCAATTCTCCTGCCTCAGCCTCCCGAGTAGCTGGGATTATAGGCAACCGCCACCACGCCCAGCTAATGTTTTTGTATTTTTAATAGAGACAGGGTTTGACCATATTGGCCAGGCTGGTCTCAAACTCCTGACCTCAGGTGATCCACCCCCCATGGCCTCCCAAAGTGCTGAGATTACAGGCATCAGCCACCACGCCTGGCCCATCTGTGTCATTTCTGAGTTGTTTTTTCAATTGATTGATTATTCCCTCTTTCATTATGGATTGTATTTTTCTGATTCTTTGGATGCCTGATAATTCTGATTGCATGTCAGACTTTGTAGAGTTTGCCTTCTTGGGTGCTGGATATTTATGTATTCCTGACTGTTCTTTTTTTTCTAAATTTATCAATCCTGCACTTTTTGTACCTATAACTGTTCGTTAACTTTCTTCTGTGATGTGGTTAAGTTAGTTGGGAAAAGTTTATCTTCAGGTCTTGTGTATGTGTTTGTTTTTGAGACAGTCTCAATCTGTTGCCAAGGCTGGAGTGGAGTGGCACGATTATGGTTCCCTGCCACCTCGAAGTGGGCTTGGGCAATCCCCCAACCTTAGCCTTTTGAGTAGCTAGGACTACAGACCACCGCACTCAGCTAATTAAAAGAAATTTTTTTTTGTAGAGGGGGTCTTGCTGTGTTGTCAGGCTAGTCTCAAACTCCTGGCCTCCAGCAGTCTTCCTGCCTTGGCCTCCCGTAGTGCTAGGATTACAAGTGTGAGCCGTCACCACGCCCAGCTTTTTCAGGTCTTTTAAACTGTAGTAGGCAAAAAAGTAGCAGCATTTAGTCTAGGGCTAATTTTGCCCCACTCCTTAGGCAAAACCTTTCTGAGTGCTTCAATATTCCATTAGTTATGTTTGCCAGTCTACCTGATGGGAAGACGAATCATTCACAGCTCTCTGTGAGCCTCAGAGATTGTTTCCTCTGATCTTTCACTGATGAGTACTCAATTTTAGACTTGAGAGGGACTCTGCAAATTTCCAGAGCTTTGCCCAGCTGTTTCTTCTGTATTCTTCCCCACATCTCTGTCTGCTTGGCCTCCTCAGGTTTCTTTTTCTTTTTTTTTTTCTTTTTTCTTTTTTTTTTTCTTTTTTTGAGACGGAGTCTCACACTGTTGCCTGGGCTAGAGTGCAGTGGTGCGATCTTGGTGCACTGCAAGCTCTGCCTCCCAGGTTCAAGTGATCTTCCTGCCTCAGCCTCTTAAGTAGCTGGGATTACAGGCGCTCGCCATCACGCACAGCTAATTTTTTTGTATTTTTAGTAGAGACAGGGTTTCACTATGTTGGCCAGGCTGGTCTCAAATTCCTGACCTTGTGATCTGCCCGCCTCGGTCTCCCAGAGTGCTGGGATTACAGGCATGAGCTACTGCACCCAGCCAACCTCCTCAGGTTTCTAGTGCAGTCTCAACTCAGAAAACATGGATTGACTTTCCCCTCACTATGGAAATTTTCTCAGGGCAATAGGCTGGGCAATCCTAGTGTTCACCTTATTTGTTTTTATATCTCAGAGATTACTGTCCATTGTTGCATCATGACAAAAGTCTTGAAAAGTGTTATTTCATATATTATGTCCAGTTTTCTTGTTCTTATTTATGATGGGAGGATAAATCCAGTGCCAGTTCTATACCTTGACTAGAAGCAGAATCCCATCTTATTTTCTTTTGGTGCTCATATTTTTCCATCTTTGACTAGCAAGGAACTATTTTAATTGGTTTGTGTCCTTTTGACATTACCCCAGCAATAGTTGATATTTTACTTGCTTTCTGGCATGTCAGGATGTCCCAGACCTACAGTTAGCTGTTTCTGCAAGAAGGTAGTTCTTTTGGTGTGAAATTTCTTTTTCTTTTTTTTTTTTTTTTGAGACGGAGTCTTGCTCTGTCACGAGGCTGGAGTGCAGTGGTGTGATCTTGGCTCACTGCAACCTCCGTCTCCCAGGTTCAAGTGATTCTCATGCCTCAGCCTCCTGAGTAGCTGAGACTACAGGTGTGCGCCACCATGCCTGGCTAATATTTGTGTTTTTAGTAGAGACACGGTTTCACCATGTTGGCTAGGCTGGTCTCGAACTCCTAACCTCAGGTGATCCATCTGCCTTGGATTCTTGAAGTGCTGGGATTACAGGCGTGAGCCACTGTGCCTGGCCAATTTTTTTAGAAAGAATATATTGATATAGTTTAGCCAGCTACTCACAGAGTATCTTAAAATAAAAATTGCCTTTTTTTTTTTTTTTTTGAAAAGACGGGGTCTTCCTCTGTTGCCAAGGTTGGATTGCAGTGATGCAATCATAGCTCATTGCAAACTTGAACTCCTGGGCTCAGATGATCCTCCTGCTTTAGCCTCCCAGAGTGCTGGGATTGCAGGTATGTGCCACTGCACTTGGCTAAGCATGTATTTTTAAAACCAGTCTTTGGGCCGGGTACAGTGGGTCATGCCTGTAATCCCAGCACTATGGGAGGCTGAGGCAGGTGGATCACAAGGTCAGGAGTTCAAGACCAGCCTGGCCAACATGGTGAAATGCCATCTCTACTAAAAATAGAAAAATTAGCCAGGTGTGGTGGTGCACACCTGTAATCCCAGCTACTTGGGAGACTGAGGCAGGAGAATTGCTTGAACTTGGGAGGTGGAGGTTACAGTGAGCTGAGATTGTGCCACTGCACTCCAGCCTGGGCGACAGTGTGAGACTCCGTCTCAGAAAAAATAAATAAATAAAACCAGTCTTTGGACTGGTATTCATACATGATCAAGCAGTCCTTGGTCTATATCAAAATAAGAAAAATAAGGACAAAGGCCAGGCACGGTGGCTCATGCCTGTAATCCCAGCACTTTGGGAGGCTGAGGTGGGCGGATCACGAGGTCAGGAGATTGAGACCATCCTGGCCAATATGTTGAAATCCCGTCTCTACTAAAAATACAAAAATTAGCTGGGCATGGTGGCGTGTGCTTGTAATCCCAGCTACTCGGGAGGCTGAGGCAGGAGAATTACTTGAACCCGGAAGGCAGAGGTTGCAGTGAGCTGAGATTGTGTCACTGCACTCCAGCCTGGTGACAGAGTGAGACTCCATCTCAAAAGAAACAAAAAAAAAAAAAAAAAGAGGAAAAAATGGTGTTTTTTATAAATTGATATCTGTTCAACTATTTATTTATTTATTTATTTATTTATTTATTTATTTATTTGAGATGGAGTCTTGGTCTGTCGCCCAGGCAGCAGTGCAGTGGAGCGATCTCAGCTCACTGCAACCTCCACCTCCCAGGTTCAAGTGATTCTCCTGCCTCAGCCTCCCGAGTAGCTGGGATTACAGGCACCTGCCACCATCCCCAGCTAATTTTTGTATTTTTAGTAGAGACACGGTTTCACCATGTTGGCCAGGCTGGTCTCAAACTTCTGACCTTGTGATCTGCCTGCCTTGGCCCCCCAAAGTGCTGAGATTACAGGCGTGAGCCACTGTGCCCTGCCAAATATTTTTATATTTTAAGATATTGCATCTCTTACCTGTGGTGTTGAAATGTTCTATATTTTTGAAATGATGGTCATGTCTGTGACAGCTTTTTTAACCTCGAGATTTTCAGTAAGCTTATTGAACACCTCTAATATACAAGGGCTATGATAAGATCTATGGAGATAGAGGGTAGAAAAAAAGAATAGGACACAGATATGGAACTGTGATCATGAGATGGTATGTGAGGAAGATCCTGTTCTGAGGCCATACAGTAATTAGGATTTGTAAGGACTAAATCCAGGTACCTAGAGGGGAAGAGAGGATGTATTATGTGGAAAAATGCCATGGGGCTTTTGGAGAATAGAGGTGAACTATTTATTTTTTAACTTCGTATCTATCTTCCAAAGCATCTCTAAAAATACATTTTATTGGCTTGCAATATTAATTTACTGCAGGTCTAAATTAAAGTTGAACAACAAAGTTCTGTAATGTGCTCAGTGTATACTGTTATTTTCCCTCCACCCTCTTCTTTCTTTAAGCAGGTGTAGAAAAAAATGAACAGAGGTACTGTGAACAGTATTTGTTGTAAGAATGTGTATTTCTGGCTGGGTACAGGGGCCCACGCTTGTAATCCTAGCACTTTAGGAGGCTGAGGCAGGCGGATCGCTTGAGCTCAGGAGTTTGAGACCAGCCTGGACAACATGGCAAAACCCATCTCTACTAAAAATACAAACGATTAGCCAGGCGTGGTGGTGTGCTCCTGTAGTCCCAGCTACTTGGGGGGCTGGGCAGGAGGATCACTTGAGCCTGGGAGGTGGAAACTGCAGTGAGCTGAGATCATACCACTTCACTCCAGCCTGGGTGACAAAGTGAGACCCTGACTCAAAAAAAAAAAAAAATGTGTGTTTCTTTGGAGTAGAGTGTCTTTTCTAAATGACTGGCTTGGCCGTGTGCGGTGGCTCATGCCTGTAATCCGAGCACTTTGGGAGGCCGAGGCGGGTAGATCACGAGGTCAGGAGATCGAGACCATCCTGGCTAACACGGTGAAACCCCGTCTCTACTAAATATACAAAAAATTAGCTGGGCGTGGTGGCGAGTGCCTGTAGTCCCAGCTACTCGGGAGGCTGAGGCAGGAGAATGGCGTGAACCCAGGAGGTGGAGCTTGTAGTGAGCCGAGATCATGCCACTGCACTCCAGCCTGGGCGACGGAGCGAGACCCTGTCTCAAAAAAATAAAATAAAATAAAATAAAATAAATAAATGACTGGCTTAACCTTCTGTACTGGTAGAATAAATAAATATAGTAATATTTGGATGTACATAGTATTTTTAAGAATGAAAGAAAATTTCTGTGTCTTTGATTTTTAACTGTTAAGAGTAGAAATACAGAATGTGGCTAACTGTCTTGCTACCTGTATGATTTTTAGAATATTTATCTTTAAGTGCAATTTGTTTTTGGGCAGAAAAAATAAGCTCCCCTAAGAAAGTTGTTACATCACCAAGAAAAGTTCCTCCACCATCACCAAAAAGTAGTGGACCAAAGCGAGCACTTCCTCCCAAAACCTTGGCAAATTATTTTAAAGTATCTCCCAAACCTAAAAATAATGAAGAAATAGGAATGCTTCTGGAAAATAATAAAGGTAAGACATTAAATTGACAAATTTTATATTTTTTAATAATAATGACCCTTATACCTAAAAATGTGAGCACATTTTACGAGTTCCTGTTGCTATTTATTAAATCTCAGCTACACTGAAGGTTCTACATGTAGAAGTGTTAATATTTTGTTTCCTTTTTTTTTTTTTTTTTTTTTTTTTTTTGAGACAGAGTCTTGCTCTATTGCCAGGCCAAGCTGGAGTGCAGTGGCACAATTTTGGCTCACTGCAACCTCTTCCTCCTGGGTTCAAGCAATTCTTCTGCCTCAGCCTCCCGAGTAGCTGGGATTACTGGTGCACACCACCACTCCCAGCTAATTTTTGTATTTTTAGTAGAGACGGGGTTTTGCCATATTGTTCAGACTGGTTTTGAACTCCTGACCTCAAGTGATCCACCCACCTTAGCATCCCAAAGTGCTGGGATTACAGATATGAGCCACCACGCCCAGCTTGTTTCAGTTTTTGTTTGTTTGAGACAGTCTCACTCTTTCATCCAGGCTGGAATGCAGTGGCGCAATCTTGGCTCACTGCAACCTCCGCCTCCTGGGTTCAAGTGATGCTCCTGCCTCAGCCTCCCGTGTAGCTGAGATTACAGGTGTGTGCCACCACACCCAGCTAATTTTTGTATTTTTAGTAGAGTTGGGATTTCGCCATGTTGGTCTCGAAACCCTGACCTCAGGTGATCCACTTGCCTCGGCCTCCCAAAGTGCTGGGATTACAGGCATGAGCCACCGCGCCCGTCCTGTTTCAGTTTTGATAATGGATTTCAGTTTGAGCTTATTCTGTGGACATATCCAATGTCTTAGCAAAAGTTGATTTTACCTAAAATATTAATATTGTATTTATGCAGGAATAAAAAATTCTTTTGAACAGAAACAAATTACTCAGACTAAATCTACAAATGCAACTAATTCAAATGTCAAAGACGTTGGAGCTGAAGAACCCAGCAGAAAAAATGCAACATCTCTTATTCTTTTTGAGGAGGTAGGCTTATAGAAGTATACATTTGTGAGAGCTCATGATAAAGACTTACTTTAAAGAATACTGTATGTTTTCTTATAAAGAATTGTAAAATAGCTAAGGAGGTCAGGAATACGTGTATCTATTTGAAATTAAAGCAAATTAAACTGTCCACTCTAGAATAATTTTTCAGGAAGATGATTAATGTAATTCACGGCTGCTAATTATTGTTAAATGATTGTATAAATTATTCTGATCCATATCTGTCTAGTTATAGGTGGCTGCGTTTGTTTTTAACATTTGATAGTTGATAATTTTAAAATTCATTATAGTGTATGACATAAACTTTCAACATGAGCTGAATTCACACTTCATAAATTCATAAATTTTGTCTCTAACAGACATAGAATATTTACTATGTATACATAACTGATATTAGTAAGTGTATTAATATATTAATATTCTAATAAACTGTAGGTTGATGTAATTTTTGATGAAGATGCTGGGTTTTTGAATGCAATCAAAACATTCATGGCAACAACTAAACGACCTGTAATCCTTACTACAAGTGGTAGGTAACAATGATTTTACTTCAGTTAAACAGTTACTCAAATCTGTAGTTCATCTGCAGACTGGAGTAATTATAATTAACTCACAAATAGCAATTACTTTTTTAAAATTGATACTACTTTGGGTTACTATGTTGGGTATTAGATATTTAGGAATTGGAGAACAATCTCTAGAATGCAAATAAGAAATCTAGTAATGGTATTTTGGTAGGGAAAATACTAGATTCTTCTCCTGGTGTCCTTATCATACCTATAATCAGATCACTAAATCTGATTTAGTGGTCAGGATTTTTTATGGAACCCAACCTTTCTGCTGTTCCTTAATCCTGAACTTAGCCACTCTTTTGCCCCTGATAACACTTTCTTATGAATTATTGTATATTTAGCTATCATCAGCCTAATAGAATTGATCCATCTTCTAAAGAATTATCACAGAATGTTTCATTTTAAAAACTCATTCAATTTCTTTTTCAAAAAATTGGAAATACTATAATAATTTTCTAATATTTTTCCAATTATAAATATTCATGAGGCTAGTCTCTACTTACAAATTAATGCCCATTTGGTAGTGATTGTACTCTTAAAATATTGAGAAAAATCTTATTAATCAGAAGTTAGGTGGTGTTTTTTTTTTTTTTTTTTTTTTTTTTTTTTGGAGACAGAGTCTCACTCTGTTGCCCAGGCTGGAGTGCAATGGTACCATCTTGGCTCACTGCAACCTCTGCCTCCTGAGTTCAAGTGATTCTCCTGTCTCAGCCTCCTGAGTAGCTGGGACTACAGGCACACACCACCACGCCCAGCTAATTTTTGTATTTTTAGTAGAGACAGGGTTTCACCATATTGGTCAGGCTGGTCTCGAACTCCTGACCTCATGTGATCCACCTGCCTCGGCCTCCCAAAGTGCTGGGATCATAGGCATGAGGCACTGTGCCCAGCTGGTAGTTTTATTAGAAGATCATAGTTGGCCAGGTGTGGTGGCTCATGCCTTTAATTCCAGCACTTTGGGAGGCTAAGGTGGGCACTTGAACCTGGGAGTTTTGAGATCAGCCTGGGCACTATAGTGAGACCCCCATCTCTACAAAAAAACTTAAAAATTATCTGGGCATGGCAGCTTGAGCTTATAATCCTAGCTGCTTGGGAAGCTGAGGCAGAGGATCACTTGAGCCCAGGAGTTTGAGGCTGCAGTGAGCTATGACTGCACCACAGCACTAGGCAGTGGTGGGGAGGCGGGTGCTGAATATTTTCATAGAAAAGTATAACTTGAAAAAGTTATTTATTGGTCTTAGTGTTTAAGAATTTTTTTTTTTTGTGTGTGTGTGTGTGTGTAGACCCAACATTTAGTTTAATGTTTGATGGCTGCTTTGAAGAAATCAAGTTCAGTACTCCTTCCCTGGTAAGTTTTAAATTTTGATAGCCACAAATTACATATCACCATCATGTAAAAGTAGTTTATTATTAAATACAGCTATAATTTTTTTTTTTTTTTGAGACGGAGTCTTGCTCTGTCGCCCAGGCTGGAGTGCAGTGGCGCGATCTTGGCTCACTGCAAGCTCCGCTTCCCGGGTTCACGCCATTCTCCTGCCTCAGCCTCCGAAGTAGCTGGGACTACAGGCGCCTGCCACCACGCCCGGCTAATTTTTTGTATTTTTAGTAGAGACGGAGTTTCACCATTTTAGCCAGGATGGTCTTGATTTCCTGACCTTGTGATCTGCCCGCCTCGGCCTCCCAAAGTGCTGGGATTACAGGCGTGAGCCACTGCGCCCGGTCCAATACAGCTATAATTTAGCCAGGTGTGGTATCACGCCTGTACTCCCAGCTACTTGGGAGGCTGAGGCAGGAAGATCACTTGAGCCCAGGAGGTGGAGGTTACAGTGAGCTGAAATTGTGCCACTGTACTCTAGCCTGGTCAATCAATCAATCAATAAGGCCAGGCACAGTTGCTCATGCCTGTAATCCCAGCACTTTGGGAGGCTGAGGAGGGCAGATTGCTTGAGCTCTGGAGTTCGAGACTAGCTTGGGCAACATGGCAAAACCCTGTCTCTACACAAAAATACAAAAAATTAGCCAGGTGTGGTGGCACATGCCTGTAGTCCTACCTACTCAGGAGGCTGAGGTGGGACAATTGCTTGAGCCCAGGAGGTCGAGGCCATGGCTGCAGTGAGCTGTGATTGTACCACTGCATTCCAGCCTGGGTGACAGAGCAAGATTCTGTCTCAAAAAAAATAAATACCTGGCCGGGCGTAGTGGCTCACGCCTGTAATCCCAGCACTTTGGGAGGCCAGGTAGGGTGGGTCACCTGAGGTCGGGAGTTTGAGACCAGCCTGACCAACATGGTAAAACCCCATCTCTATTAAAAATACAAAATTAGCTGGGCGTGGTGGCGCATGCCTGTAATCCCAGCTACTTGGGAGGCTGTGGCAGGAGAATCGCTTGAATTTGGGAGATGGAGGTTGTGGTGAGCCTAGATCGTGCTATTGCACTCCAGCCTGGGCAACAAGAGTGAAACTACATCTCAAAAAAAAAAAAAAAGAAAAAAGAGCTATAATTTAAATGTGGTTTCTAAGGAATATGTTAAAATTTTTAAGTTTTAGGAAACTTCTGATTATTTCTCTTTTTTTTGCTTTAAAAATGTGTTTTCTTAAATTTAAAATAATTTTTACTAGGCTTCAATGTTCACTAGGTTTTTTGCCTAGTAAAAGTGCTTTTCTGAGGTAAAATTTAAATGGAGTTAAAATGCCCTTACATGAATAACTTAATGAATATATTTTGTACATATAACATATGTAAAAATCAGTGTCATCATTATGCAGATCAGAATATAGAGCATTTCCATTACCTCCTAAAGTTCTCATGGACCCTTTCTAGTAAGAATCCCCTTTTCCACCAGAAATAGCCACCTTTTTTTTTTCTTACGATGATGAACAAGGCACTTTTTTAACCTTTAAAAAGATAGTGTTTTTGTGTATATGTCTTTTTTTCTTATTTTTTCCTTTTTCTTTTTTTTCATTCTTCTAAAAAAAAAAAGTTTTTAAAATTAACATTGAGTTGCTGGGCATGGTGGCTCATACTTGTAATCCCAGCACTTTGGGAGGCTGAGGTTAGAGGATTGCTTGAGGCCAACAGTTCCAGGCTGCAGTGAGATAATTGTGGTCAGGTCAATTTTACTGTATGGGTTATTTTATTTTTTTAGGTGAGGTCTCACTCTGTTACCCAAGCTGGAGTGTAGTGGCACAATTGTCCTGTTGCCCAGGCTGGAGTACGGTGGCACGATCTTGGTTCACTACAACCTCCAACTCCTGGGTTCAAGCAATTCTCCCACCTCAGCCTCCCTAGTAATTGGGATTGGAGACGCACACCACCACGCCTGGCTTATTTTTTTTGTATTTTTAGTAGAGACGGGATTTCGCCATGTTGGCCAGGCTGGCTTTGAACTCTTGACCTCAAGTAATCCACCCACCTTGGCCTCTTAAAGAGCTGGGATTACAGGCGTGAGCCACCGCGCCCGACCCTGTTCTTACTTTTAAATTGTGTTTCTTAGCTGGAGGCAGTGGCTCACACCTGTAATCCCAGCACTTTGGGAGGCAGAGGCAGGCGGATCACTTGAGTCCAGGAGTTTGAGACCAGCCTGGGAAATGTGGTGAAACCCTGTCTCTACAAAAAATTAAAAAAATTAGCTGGATGTGGTAGCGCACACCTGTAGTCCCAGCTACTTGGGAGATTGAGGTGGGAGGATCACTTGAGTATGGGAGGCAGAGGTTGCAGTGAGCCAAGATCATACCACTGCACTCCAGCTTGGTGACAGAGCAAGACCCTGTCCCCCCCCCAAAAAAATAATTGTTTCTTTTAAATAACACATAATTGAATATTTTTAAAAATTTGTCTAGGCCGGGCGCAGTGGCTCACGCCTGTAATCCCAGCACTTTGGGAGGCTGAGGTGGGCGGATCACCTGAGGTCAGGAGTTTGAGATGAGCCTCAACATTGAGAAACCCCGTGTCTACTAAAAATACAAAATTAGCTGGGCGTGGTGGTGCATGCCTGTAATCCCAGCTACTCGGGAGGCTGAGGCAGGAGAATTGCTCGAACCTGGGAGGCAGAGGTTGTGGTGAGCCAAGATCGCGCCATTGCACTCCAGCCTGGGCAACAAGAGCGAAACTCCATCTGAAAAAAAAAAAAATTGTCTAAACAGGCTGGGGGCTGTGGCTTATGCCTATAATCCTAGCACTTTTGGAGGCCAAGGTGGGTGGATCCCTTGAGCCCAGAAGTTCAAGACCAGCCTGGGCAACATTGGCGAAATCCTGTCTCTACAAAAAGCACAAAAATTAGCTGGATGTAAAAAGAAAAAAAATTAACTGGGTGCAGTGGCATGTGCCTGTAGTCCCAGCTACTTGGGAGGCTAAGGCAAGAGGATTGCTTGAGCCTGGGAGGCAGAGGTTGCAGGAAGCCAAGATTGTGCCACAGCACTCCAGCTTGGGCAACAGAGTGAGACTCTGGAAGAAAAAGAAAAAAAAAACAATTTGTCTAGACAATTCTTCATTCTTCCTTTTCTGCAGTCTTTTGGATTAACCAAGTATATTATTTCATTTCACCTTCACTGTTGGCTTTCAGCTATATGCTAATATGGTCTCCACTACCCAAATGAAGCTATTGAGCTTTTAAAATGTGGCTAGTCTACAGTTAATAAAAGATCACATTTTGTATGATAATAATTGTATGAAATGTCCAGAATAGGCACATTTATAGAGACAGAAAGTGGATTCATAGCTGCCTAAGGCTAGAGGAGCTAGGTAGAAATAGGGAGTGACTGCTGATTGGTCTGGGGTTTCTTTTGGGGATGATGAAAATGCTCTGTAATTAGATAGTGGTAATGGGTGCAAAACTCTATAAATATACTAAAACCATTGAATTTTACATGTTAAGTGGGTGAATTGTATAGTATATGAATTATATCTAAATACGGCTTATTATCTATTTTTAAAATGTGGCTAGACCCCATCTCTACTTTGTGCTAAAGTGTAATATAAACACCAGATTTTTTTTTTTTTTTTTTGAGATACGGTCTCACTCTATCTCCTAGGCTGGAGTGTAGTGGCTCAGTCTCAGCTCACTGCAACCTCTACCTCCTGGGCTCAAGCAGTCCTCCCCTCTCAGCCTCCTGAGTAGCTAGGACCATAGGCATGTGCCACCACGCCCAGCTAATTAAAAAAATTTTTTTGTAGAGATGAGGTCTCACTATATTGCCCAGACTGGTCCTGAATTCCTGAGCTCAAGTAATACTCCTGCCTCAGCCTCCCGAAGTGCTGGTATTACATGCGTGAGCCACAGTGCCTGGCTAACACCAGATTTTGAGGACTCAGTGCAAAAAATAGGAATGTAACACATCTCACTAATTTTTATATTGGTTACATTTTGCAATATTTGGATATATTGTTGTAAAAGAAATGTAGTAAAATTAATTATTATTATTTTTTGAGATGGAGTCTCGCTCTGTTGCCCAGGCTGGAGTGCACTGGCGCAATCACTGGCTCACTGCAAGCTCCACCTCCCAGGTTCATGCTATTCTCCTGCCTCAGCCTCCCGAGTAGCTGGGACTACAGGCGCCTGCCACCATGCCCGGCTAATATTTTTTGTATTTTTTAGTAGAGATGGGGTTTCACCATGTTAGCCAGAATGGTTTCGATCTCCTGACCTCGTGATCCGCCCGTCTCGGCCTCCCAAAGTGCTGGGATTAGAGGTGTGAGCCCCCGCATCTGGCCCTAAAATTAATTTTACTTGTTTCTTTAATTTTTTAATGTGACTCCTAGACAATTTAAATTACATATATGGCTTGGTTTTTAAAATTTTTGTATTAAAAAATTTGCTTTTGGTAAAGAACACGTAACAGTGTACAGTTGAATAGTGTTAAGTATATTCACATTGCTCTTGCAAAACTGAAATTCTACGCTTGTTAAATGAAACTCCCTGTTTCCTCCTGTCCAGTAGTTGCTGGCAACTACCATTCTACTTTGTTTATATGAATTTGACTATGCTAGATATAAATGGAATCATACTGATTTGGCTTGTTGTGACCGGCTTTTTTTTTTTTGAGATGGAGTCTCCCTCTGTTGCCAGGCTGGAGTGCAGTGGCACGATCTTAGTCATGCAACCTCTGCCTTTGGTTTCAAGCAATTCTCCTGCCTCAGCCTCCCAAAGTGCTGGGATTACAGGCATGAGCCATCGCGCCAGGCTGTGACTGGCTTATTTCACTTAGCATAACATCCTCAAGGTTCATCTAAGTCGTAGTATGTATATAGCTTACAGTGTTTTACTTGCATTATATTTCTTTTCTTTTCTTTTTTTTTTTTTTTTTTTTTTGAGATGTAGTCTTGCTCTGTCACCTGGGCTGGAGTGCAGTGGCACGATCTCAGCTCACTGCAACCTCTGCCTCCCGGTTTCAAGCAATTCTCTTGCCTCAGCCTCCCGAGTAGCTGGGACTACAGGCACGTGCCACCATGCCCTGCTAATTTTTGTATTTTTAGTAGATATGGGGTTTCACCATGTTGGCCAGGCTTGTCTCGAACTCCTGACCTCAAGTGATCTGCCCGCCTCGGCCTCCCAAAATGCTGGGATTACAGACGTGAGCCACCGCACCTGCCCCTTTCCTTATATTTCTTTTTCTTTTTTTTTTTTTTTTGAGACAGAGTCTTGCTGTGTCGCCCAGGCTGGAGTGCAGTGGTGCAATCTCGGCTCACTGCAAGCTCCGCCTCCTGGGTTCACGCCATTCTCCTGCCTCAGCCTCCCGAGTAGCTGGGACTACAGGCGCCCACCACCACGCCTGGCTAATTTTTTGTATTTTTAGTAGAGACGGGGTTTCACTGTGTTAGCCAGGATGGTCTGGATCTCCTGACCTTGTGATCCACCCGCCTTTGCCTCCCAGAGTGCTGGGATTACAGGCGTGAGCCACCGTGCCCAGCTGCCTTTGCCTTATATTTCTAATGGACAGTACTGCTGTAGATTCTAGATGTTCTTTTCCTTTGTCGTTGCTAAATTCTCTTATTAGTTATAGTAGTTATTTTGTTGGTTTCTTAGGTTTTTCTTTGCTTTTTTTCTATTTTTTAAATTTTTATTAGAAACAGGGTCTCTCTGTCACCTAGGTTGGAGGGCAGTGGTGTGATCATAACTCACTGTAACTTCAAACTCCTAGCTTCAGGTGATCCCCCAACCTTGGCCTCCCAAAGTGCTGGGATTACAAGCATGAGCCACCACAACTGTCAGTTTCTTAGGTTTTTCTGTGTACTCAATCATGTTATCTGCGAACAGAGATAGTTTTCTTTCCTTTGTTTTTTCTGCCTTTTATTTCTTTTTGTTGCCTTATTTCATTGGGTAGGACCTTCAATATGTTAAGTAGAAGTGGTAACAATGGATATCCTTAGCTTGTACTTGATCTTAGATGGAAAGTGTTTACTATTTTACTGTTGAATACAAAGTTAGCTATAGGCTTTTCATACCTTCTTTTTATCAGATTAAGGAAATTTCTTTTATTCCAACTTTCTTTTTTTTTTTTTTTTTTTTTTTTGGTTGAGATGGAGTTCGCTCTTGTCGCCCAGGCTGGAGTGCAGTGGGGCAATTTCGGCTCACTGCAACCTCCACCTCCCGGGTTTGAGTGATTCTCCTGTCTCAGCCTCCCGAGTAGCTGGGATTATAGGCAAGTGCCACCATGCCTGGCTAATTTTTTGTATTTTTAGTAGAGATGGGGTTTTGCCATGTTGGTCAGGCTGGTCTTGAACTCCCGCCTCGCCCTCTCAAAGTGCTGGGATTACATGCGTGAGCCTTGGCCCCCAGGCTATTCCAATTTTCTTAGAATTTTTATCAAGAGTAGGTGTTGGATTTTATCAACAGCTTCTTTTGCATGTGTTGAAATCATATTTTTCTACTTTTATCTATCTCTATGGTGAATTATACTGACTGATTTTCTAATGATAAACCCCCCTTGGTCATGATGTATTATCCACTTTATATATTGATGGATTAGATTTGTGATTAATTTATTAAGGATTTATATGTTTATTTTCTTGAGGAATACTACTTTGTAACTTTTTTCTTTTTTTTTTTTAAGAATTGTCTTTGTTAGCTTTAAGTATTAAGGTTAAGCTGCCCTCAAAAAGAGTTGAGAAATGTTTCCTTCTCTTTTTTCTAAGAGTTTGTATAGGGTTGATATTCTTTATTTTTTGGTATTTGATATACTTCATCAGTGAATTTATGAGTTTTCTTTGTGGGAAAATCTTTGATAAATTGAATTATTTTATTTATTTATTTATTTATTTATTTATTTATTTATTTATTTTCGAGACAGAGTCTTGCTCCATCGCCGAGGCTGGAGTGCAATGGTGTGATCTTGGTTCACTGTAACCTCCACCTCCCAGGTTCAAGCGATTCTCCTGCTTCAGCCTCCCGAGTAGCTGGGATTAGAGATGGGGTATCACCATGTTGGGCAGGCTGGTCTCAAACTCCTGACCTCAGGTGATCCCCTTGCCTCAGCCTCTCTCAATTTCTTGGCCAGGCACAGTGGGTCATGCCTATAATCCTAGCACTTTGGAAGGCTAAGGCAGGAAGACTGCTTGATGCCAGGAGTTTGAGACCAGCCTGGGCAATATAGTGAGACCCTGATCTCTACCAAAAAAAAAAAAATTAATTAGCTTTATGCACTAATTAGTGCAATTTCTAACCTGGTTTTTAAAAAATTGTGTATTTTTCAGTGTTATAGTATTCATATTTATAATTTTGTTGTAAGATATTCTATCAAGCTATACTGTTACTTAATCCTAAGGGGTTTTATCAAGGTTTATAAAACTGCCTTCAGTGTTCAGGTTGGAGAATCTCCTATAAAAGTTTCCTTGCTGTCTTGCACAATATACAGTTAATAAAAGAAATACATGTAAATGCTTTTAATTTAATGGTATATTCCCTTATATTTTTAAAGCAGTTTCATCCTCAAGAAGAGCATTTAAGATAATGTGAATTTTAGCAAAATTTGTCTCACTTTTAGATACTATTTGTATGTATTATTGCTGTATCTATTTGAACTCAGCAGTTAACCACATTTCTCTCTCTGTTTTGAAGCTAAATGTTGCCAGCTACCTACAAATGATTTGCTTAACTGAGAATTTTAGAACTGATGTAAAAGACTTTGTAACCTTGTTAACTGCAAATACTTGTGATATCAGAAAAAGTATCCTTTACTTACAATTCTGGATTAGAAGTGGAGGTGGAGTTTTAGAAGAACGACCATTAACCCTTTATCGTAAGTTGATTTGTTATTAAAGAAATTTCTATTATGGGACCCTATTTAAAAATCTGTGCTATGGCTGGGTGCAGTGGCTCATGCCTGTAATCCCAGCACTTTGGGGGAGTGAGGTGGGAGGATCTCTTGAGGCCAGGAGGTCCAGATCAGTCTGCTGAACATAGTGAGACCCCTGTCTCTACAAGAAAATTTATGGGAGGCCAAGGTGGGAGGATCACTTGAAGCCAGGAGTTCAAAACCAGCCTGCGCAAGAAAGCGAGACCCCTGTCTCTACAAAAAAAATTTGCAAAAATTAGCTGCGCAGGGTGGCATGTGCCTGTAATACTGGCTACCCGGGAGGCTGAGGTAGGAGGATCACATGATCCCCGAAGAGTTTGAGGCTGCAGTGAGCTATGATTATGCCACTGCACTCCGGCCCAGACAATAGAGCAATACCCTATCTCTAAAAAAAGAAAAAATTATTTATTTATATTTTTTGAGATGGAGTCTCGCACTGTTGCCTGGGCTAGAGTGCAGTGGTGCGATCTCGGCTCATTGCAACCTCTGTCTCCCAGGTTCAAGCAATTCTCCTGCCTCAGCCTCCCGAGTAGCTGGGATTACAGGCCCCCACCATCACGCCCAGCTAATTTTTTTTGTCTTTTTAGTAGAGATGGGGTTTCATTATGTTGGCTAGGCTGGTCTCGAACTCCTGACCTCATGATCCACTTGCCTCGGCCTCCCAAAGTACTGGGATTAGAGGCGTGAGCCACCGTACTTGGCCCAAAAAAAAATTTTTTTTAATTAAAAAAACTCTGTGCTATGCTAGAATAGTTGAAAGATTATAAAAATTTTAAGCAACTTGTTATATTAATCTTCAAAATAAATATGCACATGTCAACTTTGTTCATAAAACATTTTGGCCTGGCACAGTGTCTCACAACTGTAATCTCAGCACTTTGGGAGGCCAAGGGGCATGGATTCCTTGAGCTCAGGAGTTTGAGACCAGCCTGGGCAACATGGCGAAACCCCATCTCTACAAAAAATTGGCTGGGCATGGTGGTGCGTGTCTGTGGTCCTAGCTACTTGGGAGGCAGAGATATGAGGATCACTAGAATCTGGGAGATCGAGGCTGCAGTGAGCCAAGATCACGCCACTGCACTCCAGCCTGGGTGACAGAGTGAGACTCTGACTAAAAAAAAATTTTTGCAGTCAATGTGAGTAAATAGAATTAAACTGGATCTAGAAAGTTGGATTTTTTTCCTGGCTATGCTACTCTTTACAATTAATATATAAGCTCCAAAATTCACTTTACCTTTTTGAGCCTGTTTTTTCACCTAAAAAAGGAGAGATCTGAACTAATCTATAAGTTACTTATTCTTTTGTAGTTGAGCTTTTAAGATGATCTCATTGTTTAATTTTAAAAAAACACACACAGGCTGGGTGCAGTGGCTCACGCCTGTAATCCCAGCACTTTGGAAGGCCGAGGCGGTTAGATCATGAGGTCAGGAGATCAAGACCTTCCTGGCCAACATGGTGAAACCCCATCTCTACTAAAAATACAGACATTAGCCGGGTGTGGCGGCACATGCCTGTAGCTACTCGGGAGGCTGAGGCAGGAGAATTGCTTGAACCCAGGAGGCGGAGGCTGCAGTGAGCCAAGATCGCACCACTGCATTCCAACCTGGGCGACAGAGTGAGACTCTGTCTCAAAAAAAAAAAAAAAAATTAAAAAACACACACACAAATTAAAAAACAAACACAAAAAACCTCCCACCCTGTTCCCCCTTTCCTCTTCAAAAGTTTTTCTTTTCTTTCTTTTTTTTTTTTTTTTGAGGTAGGGTCTCGCTATATTGCCCAGGCTGGAGTATAGTGACTCTTCATGGGCAGGATCATAATGCACAGCCCTGAACTCCTGGGCTCAAGCGATACTCCTGTCCTAGCCTCCTGAGAAGGCCACTGTGTTCAGCTTCCTCCCCAGAAATTTGACTCTTAAATTTTCAAACTGTTACTTATACATGTATTAACATATATAAGTACTTATAACATAGTACTTATAAACAAATGATACTATAATTATTATTTAACAACTTTTTCACTTACTAAAAACATTAATTTTTCTATATGAGTATATATATATATAGGTATATAGTATTCTTATGTAACTATAACGTACAATCACTTTTAGCTTCAGGAGTCTTTAAATTCTGTCTTTCCTAAATACTTTATTATTTCAGAAATGCTTTTATTTCTTATTTTTTTTCAGTCATCATTGTTACCTAATTCAAGTGAGTACCTTCTCCATGCCAGGTCTTGTGTTTACATGGTTAAGACATGGTTCCTTGCCTGAAGAAGTTTTAGTTTGGTTTCCATGCTCCATAGTCACGGTTTTGTAGTTACAGATCCTATTCTGGTAAATACACAAATATTTCAAGGAAACCAAGGTGAAATTATGTAATATTTATCCTTATCAGTTTTTTCTTCTAATGAGTTTAACATTTTAACGTATTCTTTTTCTTTTTTCTTTTCTTTTCTTTCTTTTTTTTTTTTTTTTTTTTTGAGACAGTGTCTCATTCTGTTGCCCAGGCTGGAGTGCAGTGGCAGTGCAGCATGGCTCACTCCAGCTTAATCTCCTGGACTCGAGCCGTCTTCCGCCCTGAGCCTCCTGAGTAGCTGGAACCACAGGCGTGCACCACCACAGCTAACTTTTTTAATTTTTTGTAGAGACGGGGATCTCACTATGTTGCCCAGCCTGGTATTGAACTCCTGGGCTCAAGTGATCCGCCCCTCTTGGGCTCCCAAAGTGCTGGGATTATAGGCATGAGCCACCTCACCCAGCTTCATATTATTCTTTTTCAAAGTAGATATGCCTATATATTCTATTCAGTGTAAGCCCATAGCTTTAACCATTTCTCAAAAGTAAATATAATACATAACACATGGAAAATATCCTGGTGTAACAAATTAGTTAATAACTTTTTGATATACCACTAGATATAAATTGTTACAGCAAGAAACTTTAGAAGACACAAAATAACAAAATAAGTACAGCATAATTTCTCTTCTTTTCTTTTTTTTTTTTTTTTTTTTTGAGATGGAATCTGGCTCTGTCACCCAGGCTGGAGTGCAGTGGCACGATCTCGGTTTGCTGCAACCTCTGCCTCCTGGGTTCAAGGGATTCTCCTGCCTCAGCCTCCCAAGTAATTGGGTCTACAGGCGTGTACCACCACACCCAGCTAATTTTTTGCATTTTTAGTAGAGACAGGGTTTCACTGAGTTAGCCAGGATGGTCCCGATCTCCTGACCTTGTGATCCGCCTGCCTCAGCCTCCCAAAGTGCTGGGATTACAGGCATGAGCCACAGCACTTGGCTGGGGCCAGTTTCTCTTCTTAAAAATCTTTTTTTATATACATTTCATCCCTGCCCTTAAAAAAAAAACAGATACATAAAACAATATTCCCCTACTTCTTGAAAGTAGCCACAGTTAGACCTTTATGCATGTAACATAAAGATACATACTTATTTAGCAAAATTAACCAGTATTATATATGTTGTTATTTTTAAGTTTATTGTTAGCACATACGATCCTATCCCACTGTCTTTCACAGCTGCATGCTTTTCTATAGAATAGAATGGATGTACCGTAATTTAACCGTTACTTACAGACATTTACATTATCTTCAATTTGTCATTAAAATACAGTGAATATCTTTATACATATATCCTTGAAAATGTCTGTAATATTGATGGAGAGAATTCTAGAAGTATGACTGCTGGGTCACAAACGGTGTATATACTTTACATTTTGATAGTTGTTGTCAGACTGCCCTCTGATGATAATTGTACCAACTTATGCTCCCATGAATAGTATATGATGGTTTTTTTATGTGTACTGCTGACAGAACTACATTATAATTCTTTTAATTTTGCCAATTTAAAAAGTGAAACATGTACAGTATCTTATTTTAAAATTACATTTCCATGCTTAGTGGTGAAATTGCATATCTTTTTATTAGGTCTTTGAAATTATTATTATTATTTGAGACGGAGCCTCACTCAGTCGCCCAGGCCAGAGTACAGTGGCGTGATCTTAGTTCACTGCAGCCTCTGCCTCCCGGGTTCAAGTGATTCTCCTGCCTCAGCCTCCCAAGTAGCTGGGATTACAGGCACGCACCACTATGCCCAGCTAATTTTTTATATTTTTAGTAGAGATGGGGTTTTGCCATATTGGCCAGGCTGGTCTCGAACTCCTGACCTCAGGTGATCCACCCGCCTCGGCCTCCCAAAGTGCTGGGATTACAGGTGTGAGCCACTGCACCCGGCTGAAATTACTGTTTCTTTTTTCTTCCCCCTTTGAGTTGGAGTCTCGCTCTGTTGCCGAGGCTGGAGTGCAGTGGCGTGATCTCGGCTCACTGCAACCTCCGCCTCCCAGGTTCAAGCTATTCTCCTGCTTCAGCCTCCCTAATAGCGGGGGCTACAGGCATGCGTCACCACGCCTGGCTAATTTTTGTATTTTGAATAGAGACAAGGTTTCACCATGTTGCCCAGGATGGTCTCGAACTTGCCCAGGATGGTCTCGAACTCCTGAACTCAAGTGATCCACCTGCCTCAGCCTCCCAAAGTGCTGGGATTACAGGCGTGAGCCACCTCACCTGGCCTGAAATTAATATTAGGTATTTATTTTTCTTCTGTGACTTGCCTGCTCACAGTCCTTGCACTTTTTCTGTTGGATGGCTTTGAAAGTCCCCCACCATCACCTCACTTAATTTATCTCTTGGTAGAAATAATGCTTATGGCCAGGCGCAGTGGCTCACGCATGTAATCCCAGCACTTTGGGAGGTCGAGGGGGGTGGATCACTCGAGGTCAAGAGTTCGAGATCAGCCTGGCCAACATGGTGAAACCCTGTCTCTACTAAAAATACAAAAAGTAGCCGGGTGTGGTAGCGCGTGCCTGTAATCCCGGCTACTCGGGAGGCTGAGGCAGGAAAATCGCTTGAACCCAGGAGGTGGAGGTTTCAGTGAGCTGAAATTGCACCACTGCAATTCAGCCTGGGTGATAGAGTGATACTCTGTCTTTAAAAAAAAAAAAAAAAAAAGAATAATGCTTATATTGTACTCTTAATGAATTAAACACATATGTAGAGAACTAAATGGGGGTATTTGTCCAGAAGATGTCAAAGGATCTCAGGCTTTAAATAATTGTTTGATACAATTTGTTTAATACATATATAGAGCTAAGATTTTCTTTTATTTTGTAGGTGGAAATAGCAGAAATGTACAACTAGTTTGCTCTGAACATGGCCTTGATAACAAAATTTACCCTAAAAATACTAAAAAGAAACGTGTAGACCTTCCAAAATGTGACAGTGGCTGTGCTGAGACCTTGTTTGGCCTTAAGAACATTTTTTCCCCATCTGAAGACTTATTTTCATTTTTAAAGGTATTTTCAATGTCTGTTTTGCAATGTTGAATTTATATTCCTTTTCATATTCCCAACATTAGCCTCCTATCTTTTGAATCTTAAGTTTAACTTAAATGTGCCTATAATTTGTATAAGCCTTAGGTCTCTGATTTTAACACATCCTACCACTTTGACAAATGGTGCATAGGCATTGCTCTGAATGCATATTATAGGATTTAGAATAGCATTTAGAAAATTTTTCAGATAGACTATTTCAGAAAAGTGGTTTTAAATAAATGAGCTTCTAATAATATTGGAGTATATACTAAATACATAGAGAATTTAATTCTCCAAATTAATCGTCTAAATTTAATTTTTAGACATAGTACTATTTTGATATATTAAATATAGATAAATAAAATTATGAGGGGTAGTGACTCAGTACTTTGAATTTAGAATAGGGATAACACTATATTCATACAGGTAGAAAAGTATTCA
Organism: Homo sapiens; assembly: GCF_000001405.40. Taxonomy (NCBI): domain Eukaryota; kingdom Metazoa; phylum Chordata; class Mammalia; order Primates; family Hominidae; genus Homo; species Homo sapiens. The sequence goes on from NC_000017.11 coordinate 30,893,248, forward strand.
AACTATGTACTGCTGTAACATTTCTTTACTCAAAATTGTTTTTCAGCACAAAATCACAATGAAGGAAGAATGGCATAAATTCATCCAGCTTCTTACAGAATTCCAAATGCGGAATGTAGATTTTTTATATAGTAATCTTGAGTTTATTCTACCATTACCAGTTGATACCATTCCAGAAACTAAAAACTTTTGTGGCCCATCAGTAACTGTGGATGCCAGTGCAGCAACAAAAAGTATGAATTGTCTTGCTAGGAAACACTCTGAAAGAGAACAGCCATTGAAAAAGTCCCAGAAAAAGAAACAAAAGAAAACATTGGTAATATTAGATGATAGTGATCTATTTGACACTGACTTGGACTTTCCTGATCAATCTATTAGCCTGTCCTCTGTATCATCTTCCTCAAATGCAGAAGAAAGCAAAACCGGAGACGAAGAAAGCAAAGCCAGAGACAAAGGAAACAATCCAGAGACAAAGAAATCTATTCCTTGTCCTCCTAAAACAACTGCAGGAAAAAAATGTTCTGCCCTTGTTTCTCATTGTTTAAATTCTCTCTCTGAGTTCATGGATAACATGTCCTTCTTAGATGCACTTTTAACTGATGTAAGGGAACAAAACAAATACGGTAGAAATGACTTTAGTTGGACAAATGGAAAGGTTACAAGTGGACTTTGTGATGAGTTTAGTCTTGAGAGTAATGATGGATGGACTTCTCAAAGCTCTGGAGAATTAAAGGCAGCTGCAGAAGCTCTCAGCTTTACTAAATGTTCTTCTGCTATTTCAAAAGCATTGGAAACCTTGAATTCTTGCAAGAAATTAGGAAGAGATCCAACCAACGATCTTACTTTTTATGTTTCACAAAAGCGCAATAATGTATACTTTAGTCAGTCAGCAGCTAATTTAGAGTAAGTCTTACTTCCTTTACTTTTTATTTTTTGGTAATAAATCGTAAAGGGGAAATCAATAGAGTTTTTTCTTAATTTAAAAATGCTGTACTATTGATCATGGTAAGCCCTTAACATTAATAATGTAGCTTCTAATGAGATAGCTAAAGAGACCAGCTTGATCGCTGGGAAGAGAAATAATGAGTGATTGGGGTGGATTTAGGTAATGCTTGAATGACCCAGGAAGGAGTTTGGTCTTGCTGTATAGTTATTGAGATTTTTTCAGTATGGGAGTGATTGATGTGTTGACAGGAAATTAATCTGGAAATGTCATCTGGTCTAGACCAGAGGCAAGGAAACTAAACTGGTTGTGATTGGGATTACTGCATTTTTCTTGGGCATTAAAAATTAAAAACAATGCATTACTTTTACAGCAATGCTTGGAAGAGGATATCAGTCATTAAAAGTGTATTTTCGAGTCGATCTCTTCTCTATGTGGGTAATAGACAAGCTAGTATAATTGAATACCTGCCAACCCTTCGAAACATCTGTAAGACTGAGAAGCTAAAAGAACAAGGAAAAAGTAAAAGAAGGTAAAGGCTTTATTAAAAACAACATTTTAGATAGCTTTTTCAAGATTAATACATATTTTCATAAGATGAAAATGTTAATATTAAATTGTATTTTTCTTTGTAATTTTGACAGATTCCTGCACTATTTTGAAGGAATTCATCTTGACATTCCAAAAGAGACTGTGAATACTTTGGCAGCTGACTTCCCTTAATGTTCCATACTAACAATGCTTTGTATAGATTATCATGTGGTCCTTAAGATACATTTTTATATTATGTGGATCTTCATGGAAAAGTATATTTCTCGATGTACATTTTAAACAAACAATTTGTATATTTTTTTATTGGCGGGTAAATATTTAAAATATTTGAGTTACAAATTTTATATATGATTGTAATTTTTTTTCTGAATTTTTTGTATTATCTGATTTAGCTTTGTTGGAGTATTTTTTGTATGTGAGTGAACTGTTTCTGGAAGGTAGAGTTCATTAAGATGAACTCCCTATTTCAAGTGTTTATATTATATATTAGCTTAATATTCAGATACATTATCTTGGCTGCTAACATTAGTGTCACTAAAGTTGGTATACAATCTCCCACTGCTAAATTTGACTGGCTTTACAAAAACAAAAACATTATCTGGTGAATTATATTTTTAACCTAAAAGTTAAGGATCCTCATATTGTACAGTTTTTTTTGTGTGCTTTTTTTTTTTTTTTTTGAGACGGAATCTTGCTCTGTCACCCAGGCTGGAGTGCAGTGGCCTGGTATCGGCTCAGTGCAACTTTTGCCTCCCGGGTTCAAGCGATTATCCTGCCTCAGCCTCCTGAATAGCTGGGATTACAGGCATGTGCCACCTTGCCCAGCTAATTTTTGTATTTTTAGAAGAGACAGGGTTTTACCATGTTGGTTAGGCTGGTCTCTTAACTCCTGACCTCAAGTGATCCATCTGCCTCGGCCTCCCAAAGTGCTGGGATCACAGGCGTGAGCCACCTCACCTGGCCTATATTGTACAGTTTTGAACAGTATAGATGCATACCTGTTTACAAATGTGTATGAAGATAGATATTTTTACCTCTTATTTGTTCAATTTACTTTTTCTTGTATTAATTAGTATATTGATCTAATTAAAGGTTAAAGCTAAAGGCTTTATGAAATGTTTAAAAAAGAGTTCAGATGTAATCATCTTGATAAATATGTATATTGTATGGGTTTGAATATAGGATATAACTTAAAGATTTCATCCCTGTACAGAAGAGAGAATAAGATCTTCTGAAGTTTTTTTTTTTTTTTTTTTTTGAGACAGAGTTTCACTCTGATTGTCCAGGCTGGAGTGTAATGATGTGCTCTCGGCTTACCACAACCTTCGCCTCCCAGGTTCAAGCGATTCTCCTGCCTCAGCCTCCCAAGTAGCTGGGATTACAGGCACCCGCCACCATGCCCAGCTAATTTTGTATTTTTAGTAGAGACAGGGTTTCTCCATGTTGGTCAGGCTGGTCTCCAACTCCCGACCTCAGGTGATCTGCCTGCCTTGGCCTCCCAAAGTGCTGGGATTACAGGCATAAGCCACTGTGCCCAGCCTGAAGTATTTTAAAAAATATTTTTAAAATACTGTTCTTTTTTTCTCCTCTTAAAAAAAAAAAGAAAATAATGGGAGTATTTTCCTCCCTAATATGGACACATTTAATATTTTATTTATTTTTAGGTTTATAATAATTCAGGGAAAAAATCTTTATCTTTTTTTTTTTTTTAAGAGGTCTCACTCTTGATCTCACTCTTGTTGCCCAGGTTGGAGTGCAATGGCACAATCATAGTTCACCATAGCCTCAAACTCCTGAGCTCAAGTGATCCTCCTTCCTTGGCCTCCCAAAGCATTGGGATTACGGGTGTGAGCCACTGCACCCAGCCTTTTCATTTATGTTTGTTTGTTTGAGATTGAGTTTCGCTCTTGTTGTCCAGGCAGGAGTGCAGTGGCATGATCTCGGCTCACTGCAACTTTCACCTCACAGGTTTAAGCGATTCTCCTGCCTCAGCCTCCTGAATAGCTGAGATTACAGACATGTGCCACCACGCTCAGCTAATTTTGTATTTTTAGTAGAGACAGGGCTTGTCCATGTTGGCCAGGTTGGTCTTGAACTTCTGACCTCAGGTGATCCACCCGCCTTGGCCTCCCAAAGTACTGAGATGACAAGCGTGAGCCACTGCGCCCAGCCCTTTTCATTCTTAAAGATGATAGTAAATTCCTGTAAGATTTAGATTCACTTTTGTGATAATGCCATGTTTCCGTTATGAACAACTAGGTAGTTGGAGAAACTATTAAAATAGAAAACAGTGGCAAAGGAGATGGTTTGGATGGAAAGAGAATGATTTCCTTTTTAGACATGCATAGTTTGAGGTATCTATATTTCCAAAGTGGAGATGTTTAGGTACACAATGACATATGTAAATGTAGAAACTTTATTTGTGTGTGGCAACAGGTCTAGAGTGTATACCAACTCTAGGGAGTTGGAGGTGCTAGAGAAGGGAGGGCTTCAATTTCTTGCTTTATGTTTCAGATTATTTGAAGTTTTTTCAACAAATATATTTCACTTTTAGATTATAGAAAATGTTTATGTTACAGAAAATATTTAATACTTTTTTTTTTTAAGACATGGGGACTTGCTACATTGCCCAGTCTGGCTTCAAATCCTGGGCTCAAGTGATCCTCCCACCTCAGCCTTCCAAGTAGCTGGCAGGCATGCACCAATGATATTTAATACTTTGACATCAAAGAGACTTAGGTTCATAAAGAAGATATATTGAGGACCTCAACTAATGTAGACAGTGGTAAAATGGACATCAAACGATGGTCTGTCAAGTTAAAATATTGCAAAGTTAAAAAATGAGCCTGCTGGGCACGGTGGCTCATGCCTGTAATCCCAACACTTTGGGAGGCCGAGGCAGGAGGATCACAAGGTCAGGAGTTCGAGACTAGCCTGGCCAATATAATGAAATCCCGTCTCTACTAAAAATACAAAAATTAGCCGGGCATGGTGGTGCATGCCTGTCTGTAGTCCCAGCTACTTGGGAGGCTGAGACAGGAGAATTGCTTGAACCCAGGAGGCAGAGGTTGTAGTGAGCCGAGATCATGCCACTGTACTCCAGCCTGGGCAACAGAGCCAGACTAGGTCTCCAAAAAAAAAGAAAAGAAAAAAAAAAAGAGCCTATTAGACAAAGCTTGTTTGTTTGTTTTTGGGTAATAAGAGTTGAGCTGATGAAAGTCATCTTTTGGGGCTGGGTATGGTGGCTCACACCAGTAATCCCAGCACTTTGGGAGGCTGAGGCAGGAGGATTGCTTGAGGCCAGGAATTTGAGCCCAGCCTGGGCAACAAGGTAAGACCCTGTCTCTACAAAAAATAAATTAGCCGGGTATGGTGGCATGTGCCTGTAGTCCTAGCTATTCAAGAGATAGAGGCAGGAGGATTGCTTGAGGCCAGGAGGTGCTGCAGTGAACTGTGATTGTGCCATTGCACTCTAGCCTGTGTGACAGAGTGAGACCCTGTCTCAAAAAAAGAAAATCAGCTTTTGGAGGCAGTGTAGCAAACCACATTCTACACACACAATCGTCCTCTAAGAGAGGACGATTCTATAAGCTGTATTATCAGTTATCTTTAGCTTTATTCTTTCTTTTTGAGACGGAGTTTTGCTCTTGTTGCCCTGGCTGGAGTGCAATGGCACGATCTCGGCTCACTGCCACCCAGTTCAAGCGATTCTCCTGTCTCAGCCTCCTGAGTAGCTGGGGCTACAGGCATGCGCCACCACACCCGGCTAATTCTGTATTTTTTTTTTAGTAGAGACAGGGTTTCTCCACTTTGGTCAGGCCAGTCTCAAAACTCCTGACTTCAGGTGATCCACCCGCCTCAGCCTCCCAAAGTGCTGGGATTACAGGCGTGAGCCACCATGCGTGGCCAGCTTTATTCTTATAATAAGTACCACCTAGGAAAACCATTATTCCCTATTTTAACAATATGATAATAATGCAAATGTTTAGTATAGATAGTATTTGCTTTTAAAGGGAGATAACTTTGTTTCTTGTTTTGTCAATTTGGCATCTTACTGTTTCTTTTTTTTAATGAAAAATGTTTAAAAATTATGTGGTCTTGCTATGTTGCCCAGGCTGCTCTTGAGCTCCTGGGCACAAGCAGTCCTCCTGCCTCAGCCTCCCACAGTGCTGGGATTATCGGCATAAGCCACTGCACCAAGCCCCATGTTACTGTTTAACACATTAACCTGAGAGGCACAGAATCTCATAAAATGTTTATTGATTTGGTCTTGGCTTATTGTGTAAACCATTTAATAGCCAAAAGTCAGAATTTAAACATCTAAAATACACTGAAAATGTGTTCTTTTCCAATAACATGGATGTTCACAACAGTTGGTGTTACGTTAGAGCTAATAATTATACTTTAGCACGTTAACCTCAGAATTCTAAGGCTGAGAGTCAAACACTGCTAATTCATAGAAGGCAATAGCTTGTAATAATGAATCATAAAGCTCTTCTACTCTTTGTAGTTCAGTAGATAAAAACATCTGTCTGTAGTGAACTATTTTATCTGATGGGAAGAACACCCGAGGATCCGCCTTCAGTATAGAATCGAAGAGAAACTGCTTCACTAGCTCTTTTCCACTAGTCCGGGAGTCACCAATCATCAGTTCAAAATGCTTCCCCACTGCATTTCGATTCATGCTCAGCACCTGATGCTGCCCATCCTGGGCAAAAGTTTTATTTAATAAGGCATACAGCATGGCTTCCATGATATGAAAATGTAACAGTATTGGAAACAGAGATGAGTTCTGAATGGAAAGTCCTGTTTTTTCCAGAACATAGAAATCTGCTTTAGGCATCTTTGAAATGATCGAGGAAATCTTTTTAAAAAAAGACAAAATAAAGGAACAGAAATAATTCATTACATTTTATGTTTGGTCCCCTCTCTGTCCCACTTCTATTTAAAAATATTATAATTAGTTAATTTATACTATATTGACAATTTTGAAATAACTGAAAAAGCCATTTTATGAGCAGTCTGGTTCTGGTCATGGTTATGTCACAACAACAGCTAAGCTAAGCTGTTTAGTCCTCCTAAGTACCAGTTTCTTGATCTGTACAGTGGACTTCATAATTTCTAAAATATGTATTGGCTTTAAGGTTAGACAACTTAAAACTGTTTTACTAAACCTTCAAACATTTTCTGGGATAGAGCATACGGTTAGAATAACTAGCAAGAATCAATCACCTCTGCAACTGACTAATCACATCAGATGCTTGACTGAACCACAGATTTCATATGTATAATCAAGGTGGTAATTCCTGACCATTAAGGTGATAATTCCTGACCATTTCGCAAGGTTTTGAAAACTCAAATGAGACAATGTGATGGCATTTTGAAAAATAAGCTTTATAAATAAAAGAGTGATAATGTTCTATAACATTTAGAATGAAATACCATTGATTTTCTCAGTATCTGCCTTCGATGCATAAGGCATTTCTTGAACTAACTAAAGGTTGAATTTTTAAAAATCAAAGGTGATGGAAAACATAATAGGAATAAGTGAGTAACAAGTACCAGAAGAAAACCCATCTTTACTATTTTATTACATTCCTTTTGGGACCAGAAGATTAAACTACACAAGGAGCTCTAGCAGGTAGGAATCTGGAGGTGCAACTGCCTTACCTCTTCTAAATAGACTGATGATGAGTATATTCCTCTCATTAAACTCCAACGGTCACTTTGCTGCCAGTCCAGCACTGTCAACTTACGATCAAGGTGAGCCCAGGCAATTCTTCGAGTACCAAAAACGATAGATATGATACTATTAACTGCCTAAAAGAAAAGACTGATTTAATTAGAAGTATAAACATTTTAGTTTTTTCTTTTTTTGAGACGGAGTCTCGCTCTGTCTCCCAGGCTGGAGTGCAGTGGCGCGATCTCAACTCACTACAAGCTCCACCTTCTGGGTTCATGCCATTCTCCTGCCTCAGCCTCCCGACTAGCTGGGACTACAGGCGCCCGCCACCACGCCCGGCTAATTTTTTTATTTTTTTTTTTAGTAGAGATGGGGTTTTACTGTGTTAGCCAGGATAGTCTCGATCTCCTGATCTCATGATCCACCTGCCTTGACCTCCCAAAGAGCTAGGATTACAGGCATGAGCCACCGTGCCTGGCCAGAAGTGTAAATATTTTAGATGCAAACATAATCTACAAATTCAGAATGCCTAACTAGTTTATGTAATATAAACTTATTTATAGTTTATGAACTGAGAATTATTAAAGAAATGCAGGAGTAATTATTATTTTGTTTGAGATGGAGTCTCGTTCTGTCACCCAGGCTAGAGTGCAGTGGCGCAATCAGCTCACTGCAACATCCACCTCCCAGATTCAAGCAATCCTTCTGCCTCAGCTTCCTGAGTAGCTGGGATTACAGGTACCTGCCACCACACCCAGCTAATTTTTGTATGTTTAGTAGAGACAGGGTTTCACCATGTTGGCCAGGCTGGTCTTGAGCTCCTGACCTCAAGTGATCCACCTGCCTCTGCCTCCCAAAGTGCTGGGATTACAGGTGTGAGCCACCAAGGAGTAATTATTATTAAAAGGTAACCAGCAGCAGTCAGTTTATAGATAAAGGACCTATACTCATTCTCAGCACCTTGCCCAAAGTAGGCATTCAAACTCAAGTGTAGCCAAGGTCTGCACTAGATACTAGGAAACAACAAACGTAACTGTACATTATAAGAAATGCCACCATAAAACTATTGTAGAGAGAAGTGGTCAGGGAAGGTTTACTGGAGGACTAGGAGAATGAGACAGTAAATGGGAAGTTATTTCACCCAGATGTCTGGAAAGATAGGCTGTTTGACATCTCACACTCTGGCAGTAGAATAAAGACTGAATAGGAAAAGGGCAGAGGACAAGGCAGATGTCTATAAAGGTAAGTAACTTGCTTTATCCTGAGTGCTACAGGGGCCACTAAAAAAACAGAATTTTAAGGAATAACATAAGATTTACATTTCAGAAAAATCACTGATGGTGTAAAAGATGGGCTGGAGGGAACTAAAGGTAGGGATCTGTGTTAGGTACCTGTTACAACATGAGAAAGTGTTAAGAATTGAAGACAATGACAGAAGGAAAAGAAACAGATAGTGGGAGCAGAATTAATACATAGGTTTAACGAGGAGTCTAGAATAATTCCAGTTTTATATCAGTGACTGAATGGCATCATTAATGATGACGAAGATAGGAGTCACATGACCTAGGGAAGGTGGGAAGAAATTTTTTTGTTTTGTTTTGGTTTGTTTTTAATGCATTAAGTTTGGGTTGCCTATAGGGCTTCTAAGAGGAGATATATAATAAGTAATTGAATATTTAGATTTTGCTTCCTATCAAGTCTGGGCTGACGATGAAGTACAATGCTATCACCTTTCCCCAACATGGCTCACTTAGTTATATTAACAAACTAATATGTTCTATAGATACAGAGGCAAATAAACAGGAACAATTAGTTGTATACCCATCTCCCTTTCATTGCTAAGGACTGGATAAATATCTTAAAGACAAAATAGTATAGATGCCCAAAATACAGACTTCCTTTTGGTTTTCTTTAGCTAAGTGACTCTCAAGCTTTACTGTGCACAAGCATTACTGAACCAGACTACACACAATACTTCGTCGGCAATCGATTTTTTCTTAAAGGATTTTACTGCATGACTTATATCTCCATAAAAACTGACTTAAAATCCAGCCCCCTAAATAAGATGCAACTCCACTCTAATCTGGGTATAAATAGTTTTGGCCATGAATCTGGATGAGAATCCTCCCTGAAGAATTTGGTTAAAATATGTTCCAGATCAATTGCAGCAGTTCTACTTGGAGTCCATGAGTGGACTTAACAGAATCTGCCAGTCCTCTGAAACTGTGTAGTATTCTGTGTATATGTGCTATATCTTTTTCTATGGGAAGAGGGTCCACAGCTTTCATCAGGTTTTCAAAAGTACCCATATTCCTCAAAAAACGGACCCACTGGTCCAGAAAAAAAATGGTGCTTATGATTTTTATGAGATAATGATTATCAAGCAATGTTACACAGGACATGAGTTCCTCTAAAGTTTAATACTTGAGTGCTGTGGCCGGGCGCAGTGTCTCACACCTGTAATCTCAGCACTTCGGGAGCCCGAGGCAGGTGGATCACGAGGTCAACAGATCAAGACCATCCTGGCGCCAACATGGTAAAACCTCATCTCTACTAAAAATACAAAAATTAGCTGGGCGTGGTGGCATGTGCCTGTAGTTTCAGCTACTCAGGAGGCTGAGGCAGGAGAATCGCTTGAACCTGGGAGGTGGAGGTTGTTGTGAGATCATGCCACTGTACTCCAGCCTGGCGACAGCACAAGACTCTGTCTCAAAAAAAAAAAAAAAAAAAAAATTGGCTGTGTCAAATATTTCTAGTATTTATTTTTTTAAGACAATAGAAAAAGAATTGCTTTTAGAATGGTGTTTTTTTTTTTTTTTTGAGACAGAGTCTTGCTCTGTAGCCAGGCTGGAGTGCACTGGCGTGATGTCAGCTCACTGCAACCTCTGCCTCCCAGGTTCAAGAGATTCTCCTGCCTCAGCCTCCCGAGTAGCTGGGACTACAGGCCCACGCCACCATGCCCAGCTAAATTTTGTATTTTTAGTAGAGATGGGCTTTCACCACATTGGCCAGGATTGTCTGGATCTCTTGACCTTGTGATCCGCCCGCTTTGGCCTCCCAAAGTGCTGGGATTACAGGTGTGAGCCAGCCGCTTTTTTTTTTTTTTTTTAATCTTACCTATAGACTTGCATGATTCAAGATAAAATGCTTTTTAAAGGAGAAAAGGTACAGAAAATAATTTTAAATTCTGCCGGAAAGACTGGTATAATGTTCTAAAGTCACTCACTGGCCATAACCTATCTTTGCTCCTTAATTTCTCATTAATCCTAACATCACCCTTAGACACAGCCTGGTATCTCCAACGACACTCCTCTTAAATAAGCCTTGCCTAGACCTGCTTCTCAGCATCAACTGTTCTTTCTACCTACAATGCCCTCCTCTCCCATCCAAAGGATCTCTCTTTTAAGACCTAAATTGAGTTCTTCCAGTAAACTTTCCACAACAGTCACAGCCCATTGTTTTCTCTCCTCTCAACTGCCAATTTACTATCTGTACATCTCATTATTTGGTAGTGATCATATACTTGCCAACTAAACCTGAAGAACCCTGTCTTAGCCACTTCCCAACCCAATGCCCAGAAGAGTGCTTTCTAGAGTAGGTTCTCAAATATTAGGCAGTATAGCAGACATGAAGAATATACCTTAAGTCTTTCTCTTTCTATGTCTGGTTTGAGGAGCTTTCTCAGGAACCGGTTTTCCGGTGACTTTCTTTTTTCCCGTCCAGTCTTTGGACAAAGTATGGAGTTACAAACTTGAACTGTACTTTTATACTTAAACAAGGGCACATTCATTAAACTCTCTAAATTCTGAAATGGCCCAAAGTTTTCTCTGTGCTCTACGATATTGATGGACCTTCTTCCACGAAGCAATCGGAAAGCTTCAAGTTCTTTAGTAGATGCTGTATTCAACACATGCAAGATGGAAGCCTGCTGTTCTGAAGAGAAGAGCTTGTCAAGTGCATTTTCGGGCTCCTTTGCATTTTCATCACAAAAAGTAACATTGGGAGTAATTTTCTTAGGTGTAGTGGATTTTTTCCGACAGCAGAAATTATGTAAGGCCCAGTACAGGGATGACCTCGACGGGGTCAGAAAGCATCTCCACCTCTCTAAAAGGAAAATTTAGCAAAATATAAGTTGGATGTCCTACTTCCTTTGGGGTTAGTTGCAAGCTTGACTAGATCCTTTGCAAAGTCACAAATACTTTCCTGGAATTTAAGAACTAATAGAGGACAATATTAAATTGTCTTGGAGAATCATCTTTTTTTTTTTTTTTTGAGACGGAGTCTTGCTCTGTTGCCCAGGCTGGAGTGCAGTGGCCGATCTCGGCTCACTGCAAGCTCCGCCTCCCAGGTTCACGCCATTCTCCTGCCTCAGCCTCCCAGGTGGCTGGGACTACAGGCGCCTGCCACCACGCCCGGCTAATTTTTTGTATATTTAGTAGAGACGGGGTTTCACAGTGTTAGCCAGGATGGTCTCCATCTCCTGACCTCGTGATCCGCCCACCTCAGCCTCCCAAAGTGCTGGGATTACAGGCGTGAGCCACTGTGCCCGGCCCGAGAATCATCTTTAAAAGAGGATTAGTTTTTAAACTATATTATATAGAGTTTTAAATAGAGCTTTTGTTGTTTTCAAGTCACGAGAGATGTCTCCCGATATTTATGGATCAGTCCGAAGTTTTACTACCTAGAAAATTGTATTTTATACCCATCAGGAAGCAAGTAGTTGAAATAATTATTCCAACTGCTTAAAGTTTCTGATATTTTTAATTTAGAGGAATCTTTTTGTAACTAATATTTCCTGTTAAGGTTTGTCTTAGGCCGGGCGCGGTGACTCACGCTTATAATCCCAGCACTTTGGGAGGCCGAGGTGGGCGGATCACCTGAGGTCGGGAGTTCGAGACCAGCCTGACCAACATGGAGAAACCCTGTCTCTACTAATAATACAAAATTAGCCGGGCGTGGTGGCACATGCCTGTAATCCCAGCTACTCGGGAGGCTGAGGCAGGAGAATCGCTTGAGCCCGGAAGGCGGAGGTTGCGGTGAGCCGAGATCGCACCATTGCACTCCAGTCTCGGCAACAAGAGCGAAACTCCGTCTCAAAAAAAAAAAAAAAAGGGTTTTGTCTTCACTTCCATTTTCACATTTTAGTATCTCATCTGGTGGAACTAAATAAAATTAAATTTTGTACGTTTATAAGAAATGTTTCAGCTAAGTGATAGATTTAAGGGCAGTTTTACTTTCTTCCGTACACTTTTCAAGACTTCTACATGACGTTTTTGCAAGTATGAGAAACACCATACAATGCATAACTTTGTAAAACCAGTGGGAAGTCACTCTAACATCGCAGCCACAGGAAAGTAATGTGGCCAGAGGTAAGCAAGCGGCTGTGAGAATGTGAACCATCCGCCCACTCTGAGGAGCCACCCGTGGACCCTGAGGCCGGGGAAGCACAAATGTTCCGAAAACTGCCCCGTCAGCTAGGCTGGGGCCCCAAGAGAGGGGCCTGAACAAGGGACATGAGGAAGGAAACACTCTAGGACATGAGGGACATGAGGAAGGAAACACTCCAGGTTCCTCCAGAATACCTCCAGCCGTATTCCATTAGCCTCTAGGGTCAGAGGCTAATGACAGACGGGAAATCACCCCAGTGTTCCAAGCACCCTACCTCCCGCCGTATTCCATTAGCCTCTAGGGTCAGAGGCTAATGACAGACGGGAAATCACCCCAGTGTTCCAAGCACCCTACCTCCCGCCGTGAAGAGGACAGACCCGCTCATCTCCAAGTTGAATCAGTAGGTCCAGTCTTCCTCCATTGACTTCCGGTTCCTGCGTGCTGCGCCCAAAAGCGCTCGGCCTGCACTCGGCGGAAAGGTTGTTGTCCAAGCGGCGTTCCGGGGCAAGGCCCGAGGTGTGTCCCGCTGAGCAGTGGGTCGTCCGCGTCTGGGCTGCGGGCTTCCAGGCGGGCGCCTGCCGAGGCCCTGTCCCCGGATCCCGAGTCCCTGGCTGGCCCGCAGTCTTCTTCCACTGCACCGGGGAAACGTTCTTGCCCCTACCGACTCCTGAGAGCCGCTGGGCCGAATCTCCAGGAAGGCGATTCCGAGGCCAGTTTTAGTCTGTAGTGGGTAAAGTGCCTCCTTCGTGGAGACTCCCTGGGTTTCTCCTAGACACTTAGATTGAGGAGCTCCTGTTGGGGCCCAGCCTGTGGCGCCGGGAGCGGGATCAGGTAGGGGCAGCGTAGACAAGGTCCTCAAATAACCTTTTCACCAGGTAGACTGGAATAACGGGGAGAGATGCGAAGTGTTTGAGGAGCTCAGCGGGGAAACAGGGCAGGCAAGGGATTAGGTAAAGGCGAGGGAGGAGGAGATTGCGTTGGCGCTGGAGCGGTATTCCTCTTAGAAGGGATAAAGGGAGATGAATGTAGCGCCGAATTTAGTTGGTCCTTGAATAATGGGTGGAGCAGTTGAATACTCCACCAGATAGGAAGCCTGAAGTCCCCGAGGTTTATGATTTGCAGTCAGACTGGAGAGTGTTCCTAGAAAATTGGCCATATACTGTATAGCGAATGTGAGGCTGGATTGCAGGTGAAGAGCCTGGGAGCAATGAGAAGTCGCGAAGAGAGTGTATCTTCCCAGGTGAGAGGCAAGCGTAAGGAATTTTTTTTTTAACAGTCTTGCTCTGTCGCCCAGGTTGGAGTGCAGTGGTGCGATCTGGACTCACTGCAAACTCCGCCTCCCGATTTCAAGTGATTCTCGTGCCTCAGCCTCCCGAGTAGCTGAGATTACAGGCGAGCGCCACTACGCCCGGCTAATTTTTGTATTTTTAGTAGAGACAGGTGTCACCATGTTGGCCAGGCTGGTCTCGAACTCCTGACCTCAGGTGATCCGCCCGACTCGGCCTCCCAAAGTGCTGGGATTACAGGCGTGGGCCACTGCGCCTGGCCAACCGTAAGGAATTGAACCTAGGAGATGTAAGGAGAGTGGAAAGAAAAGAATTATTTCTGGAAGATGGGGAGCCAGTTTTGTGAAAAACGGGGAATTCAGGAGGGAGGGAAAGGTGATGAGTTTGCGTTTTTATGAGGCAGCAATGGGTTGATTGTTTGTGTCTGGAAGGCAGTGGGGATGTAGGGGAATCATAAGTATTAATAAAATGTGCTGGTCGGGAGCAGTGGCTCCCAAAGTGTAATTCCAGCACTTTGGGAGGCCGAGACGGGCGGATCGCTTGAGCTCTTGAGTTCCAGACCACCCTGGGCAACATGGCGAAACCCCGTCTCTACGAAAAAATTAGCCGGGTGTGGTGGAGCACGCCTGTTATCCCAGCTACTCAGGAGGCTGAGGTGGGAGAATCACCTGAGCCCGGGAGGTAGAGGTTGCAGTGAGTGGAGATCGTGTCACCACACTCCAGCGTGGGGGACAGAGCCAGACCTTGTCTCAAAAAAAGAAAAAAAATTGCTCATAGGAAGTCTAGAAACCTTGGCAGTTTCTGGGGAACTTAGGAATCTAACAAGAAATAACATCAACTTTTTTCTGCAAAATCCTCCAAATCAGGAGGAAATAATTTCCTCAACTGTAGGGCTTATTCAGTTTACTGAGATGTTATGATTGAATTGCATCCCTCAAAACAGATTTGTTGAAGTCCTAACCCCCAGTACCTTATTATTTCCAAATAAGGTCATTGTAGATGTAACTAATTAAAATGAGGACAGGAAGGCCGGCACGGTGGCTCACGCCTGTAATCCCAGCGCTTTGGGAGGCCGAGGAGGGGGGATTACGAGGTCAGGAGATCGAGACCATCCTGGATAACACGGTGAAACCCCGTCTCTACTAAAAAATACAAAAAATTAGCCGGGCGTGGTGGCGGGCGCCTGTAGTCCCAGCTACTCAGGAGGCTGAGGTAGGAGAATGGCGTGAACCCGGGAGGCAGAGCTTGCAGCGAGCTGAGATGGCACCACTGCACTCCAGCCTGGGCGACAGAGCGAGACTCTGTCTCAAAAAAATAAGTAAATAAATAAAATAAAATGAGGACACGCTGGACTGGGGCAGGGACTAATCCAACATGGCTGCTGTTCTTATGAGAAGATGACTCTGTGAATGCCATGTGAAGATGGAAGCGGAGATTGGAATGATGCTTTCTACAAACCCAGAAAGGCCAAGGGTTGCCAATAGTCACTAGAAACTAGGAGAGAGGCATGGGCCAGAGTCCCCTTAGAGCCCTTTGAAGGAACAAGCCCGGATAACACCTTGATTTTGGGCTTCCAGCCTCCTGAACTGGAGAGAATAAATGACCAGTTTGTGGTCATTTGTTACAGCAGCCCTAAGAAACTAATACAAGAGGCCATAAGGATTCCTGGTGTTGCTTTCAGAGATGGTCTGGTTCGCTAGCAAGACACAGTTTATCACTTAGTAACTGCATCACCATAGTCAGTTTCTTATCCTCTCTGAACCTCACCTTCCTCATTTGTAAAACGGAGTTAATGGTACCTACCTCACAGGGCTGCTTGGAGGATGCATGAGAAACTGGATGCAAAGAACCCAGCATAAGATAAGAGTTCAATCAATGTGGTTTTGCCCAGTAAAGCATCCCCCCTCTTCCTGAGAAATGATTATGAATGACCTATAGGGGAATCACCCTCCTTCCTGAAAGCATTTATTCAGAAATATGCTTTGACCAGAGCCAGAAATACAAAGGAAAGAGATAAGTATTGCCTGATTTACTGTAAACCAGAATTGATGCCTCCAAAATGAAAGTCACCGTCTTCCCCCAAAAACTAGCTCCTTCTCACTTCCCTGTTTTTGTCACCCAGATGCAGGTGTCTCTGGCTCTTTCTACTCCTTCCATCATTATGTCTAGCCTGTTATCTAGTTTCTGTGTTTTTAAAACTTTTGACTGATCCAGGATACATGTGTGATACAAAAGTTTCATTAAAAAAAAAAAAAGGCCAGGTGTGGTGGTTCAACACTTGTAATACCAGCACTTTGGGAGAGCAAGGCAGGCAGATTCATTGAGCCCAGGAGTTTACGACCAGCCTGGGCAACATGGCAAGACCCCATCTTTACCAAAAATACCAAAAAAAATTAGCTGGGCATAGTGGTATGCGCCTGTAGTTCCAGCTACTTGGGAGGCTGAGGTGGGAGAATCCCTTGAGCCTGGGAGGTGGAGGTCGTAGTGAGCAGAGATTGCACCACTGTACTCAAGCCTGGGTGGCAGAGTGAGACCCTGACTAAATGAAAAACAAAAACAACCATTGTATTTTTGCATGTGATACAACCTGATATTTTCTATTTCCTTCTTTTTTTTTTAAGTTAGGAGTGCAAAAGGTTTATTGAAAAAAACAAAAACAAACTAAAATCTGTTTTGAAGCCTGCAGGACATTAGAGGGTGATGTCCAATAGATAGAGATGCACATCTGAAGCTAAGGAGGAGCACTGAGCTGGGGTGTATGTTTGGAGGCCGTCAGCCTGTAGAGATGGTACTTTACTCATGAGAACAGATACGAGGAGCCAGGGAGAGGGGGTAGGCGTGAGAAAAGCACAGTGAGATAAGGAGAGAACTCCTTGGGAGCACCACCATTAGATGTGGTTAGAGGATTCCGATTCCCAAGAAGATTGAGAAACAATGTTCACATTTAAAAGGAAACAGGAGGCTGGGCACTGTGGCTCACGCCTGTAATCCCAGCACTTTGGGAGGCCAAGGCAGGCAGATCACCTGAGGTCAGAAGTTCGAGACCAGCTTGGCCAACATGGTGAAACCCCATCTCTACTGAAAATACAAAAATTAGCCGGGCGTGGTGGTGGGCGCCTGTAATCACAGCTACTTGGGAGGCTGAGGCAGGAGAATGGCCTGAACCTGGAGGCAGAGGTTGCAGTGAGCCGAGATTGCACCACTGCATTCCAGCCTGGGCGATAAGAGAGAGACTCCGTCTCAAAGAAAACCAAAAAACAAAAAACACCACATTGCAATACCACTACACACCCATGAGAATACCTACTGGAAATCTCATACATTGCTGATGGAAGTGTGGGTTGGTTGAATCACTTTGAAAAGCTGGCAATATCTACTAAAGCTGAAGATTTGTATATCCTATGGTCCTGCAGTCCAACCCCGGGTGTATATCCAACAGAATGCAAACAAATGTGCACTAAAGGACATGCAACTAATGGAGCTATATGTATAAAATTGCCAGTATTTGCCAGTTGTCTATTTGCAAAAATGGCAATTTCACATGGTTAAACCTGATTACAAGAATGCTCATAGCAGCACTATTTGTATTAGCCAAAACCTCAATGGCAGATTATTGTGTATATATTGAATAAACGTTTCACCCAGTAACATGGGTAAATCCCACAAATATGATGTTGAATGAAAGAAGCCACACAGCTATATATAAAGTACAAAAACAAGCCGGGTGCGGTGGCTCACGCCTGTAATCCTAGCACTTTGGGAGGCCAAGGCAGGCAGATTGCCTGAGCTCAGGAGTTCAAGATCAGCCTGGGCAACATGGTGAAACCTGGACTCTACTAAAAATACAAAAAATTAGCCAGGTGTGGTGGCAGGAGCCTGTAGTCCCAGCTACTCGGGAGGCTGAGGCACAAGAATTGCTTGAACCCAGGAGGTGGAGGTTGCAGTGAGCCGAGATTGAGATCGTGCCACTGCACTCCAGCCCAGGCAAAAAAGTGAGACTGTCTCCGGGAAAAAAAACAGACTAAACTAATCTATCATGATAAACATGAGATTACCTTTGGGACTAGTCACTAAAGAGAGAATGGGAATGTTTTGGGATGCTGATTATCCTCTTTTTTAAAAAAGCTCTATATGCTAGTTAAACACGTGTGTGCACTTTGTAAAATTCATTAAGCTGCATACTTGTGATTTGTGCACTTTTCTGTATTTGTTATACTTCAGCAAAATATTACTTAAAAGTTTAATTCTTGGATGGGCATGTTGGCTCACGCCTGTAATCCTTACACTTTGGGAGGCTGAGGTGGGAAAATTGCTTGAGACCAGGAGTTTGAGACCAGCCTGGGCAACATTGTGAGACATCGTCTCTATGGAAAAATCTAAAAATAGCCAGGTGTGGGCTGGGCACGGTGGCTCACACCTGTAATCCCAGCACTTTGGGAGGCCAAGGCGGGCGGATCGCGAGGTCAGGAGATCGAGACCATCCTGGCTAACACGGTGAAACCTCGTCTCTATTAAAAATACAACAAATTAGCCAGGCGTGGTGGCAGGCGCCTGTAGTCCCAGCTACTCAGGAGGCTGAGGCAGGAGAATGGCGTGGAGCGGGGAGGCAGAGCTTTCAGTGAAACGAGATTGTGCCACTGTACTCCAGCCTGGGCGATAAGAGCGAGACTCCGTCTCAAAAAAAAAAAAAAAAAAAAAAGAAAGCCAGGTGTGGTAGCACATGCCTGTAGTCCTACCTACTAGGGAGGCTGAGGTGAGAAGATACTTAAGCCCAGGATTTTTTTTTTTTTTTTTTTTGAGACGGAGTCTCGCTTTGTAGCCCAGGCTGGAGTGCAGTGGCGCGAACTCGGCTCACTGCAAGCTCCGCCTCCCGGGTTCACGCCATTCTCCTGCCTCAGCCTCCCGAGTAGCTGGGACTACAGGCACCAGCTACCACGCCCGGATAATTTTTTTTGTATTTAGTAGAGACGGGGTTTCACCGTATTAGCCAGGATGGTCTCGATCTCCTGACCTTGCGATCTGCGCGCCTCGGCCTCCCAAAGTGCCGGGATTACAGGCGTGAGCCACCGCGCCCGGCCAAGCCCAGGATTTGAGGTTATAGTGAGCCATGACTATGCCACTGCACTCCAGCCTGGGCGACAGAGTGAGACCCTGTTTCCAAACATAAAAAATAGAAAAGTTGTCTGGGGCTTGGTGCAGAGGGTAATGCCTGTAATCCCAGCACTTTGGGAGGCCGAGGCAGGCGGATCATTTGAGGCCAGGGTTTGAGACCAACCTGGCCAACATGGCGAAACCCCGTCTCTACTAAAAATACAAAAATTAGCCAGGCATGGTGGTGCTCGCCTGTAGTCCCAGCTACTCAGGAGGCTGAGGTGGGAGGATTGCTTGAGCCCGGGAGATGGAGGCTGTAGTGAGCTGAGACTGCGTCACTGCACTCCAGCCTGGGCAACGGAGCAAGACCCTATCTCAAAAAAATAAAAATAAAATAAAATAAAAAATAAAAAAGTTGAAGTCTTCAAATTATTTTGAATTAGATTTGTATCATATAAGGTTTGAATGTTTATTTAGTGACATAGTCTACTTTATTTAGTCCTCAAAGTCATTCATCACCTTATATACAGACTCCCGAGAAAAGGGCTGCTGATCCTTGAATAGATCATTCAGGGTAGCGAGCACGTGATGTATTTCTCTGAGTGCTCCACCCCCAACTCTCAGGGATATTTTGTAAAGGAAAGATAATTGTCCTACTAATCTTCGTCTCGGTAAAGTTTTGGATTTTTTTCCTGCTTTTATGTTACATTTTATTATTATTTTTTCAGTATTATACACAACTAAAATGATTAGGCAAATGATCAAAATAAAACACAGCACTCACAATTTGAGACCCAGAATCAGAAAACTTGGCTCATGCTCCAATATTGCTACATATTTCCTATGTATCTCAGTTTATTTCTATAAGAATAGTTTTCTCTTTTGCAAGACAAAATTCAAAGTACCCCTCTTACAAGGTTGTTACTGAAATAAAATGATGTAAAATAGAAAGTCTTATACAATGAGAGGTTTTTTTTTTTTTGACACAGAGTCTCGCTCTTGTCACCCAGGCTGGAGTGCAGTGATGCCATCTCAGCTCACTGCAACCTCTGCCTCCCAGGTTCAAACGATTCTCCTGCCTCAGCCTCCCGAGTAGCTGGGACTACAGGCACCTGCCACAGTGCCCTGGCTAATTTTTGTATTTTTAGTAGAGAAGGGGTTTTACAATATTGGCCAGGCTGGTCTTGAACTCCTGACCTTGTGATCCGCCCGCCTCGGCCTCCCAAAGTGCTGGGATTACAAGCATGAGCCACGGCGCCCGGCCAAGAGATATTGTTAATTGGCAAATTGATTCTATATATTAAAATGAGGTGTGATTGGCCAGGTGCGGTGGTTTATGCCCGTAATCCCAGTACTTCGGGAGGCTGAGGTGTGCGCATCACCTGAGGTCAGGAGTTCGAGACCAGCCTGGCCAACATGGTGAAACCCTGTCTCTACTAAAAATACAAAAATAAGCCAGGCATGGTGGTGCACTCCTGCAATTCCAGCTACTTGGGAGGCTGAGGCAGGAGAATTGCTTGAACCCGGGAGGCGGTGGTTGCAGTGAGCTGAGATCACGCCATTGCACTCCAGCCTTGACCCCAGAGCGAGACTTTGTCTAAAAAAAAAAAAAAAAAAAAAGAAAAGGTGTGATTGTCTAAGAGGAAAATACCCAGATGCTTGGTAAGACAATCCCTTATATGATTTATTTTAGGTATAACTAAAGAAAATAGAACTTTTGGATTTTGGGTTTTTATTTTTATTTACTTATTTATTTTTAATAGAAACAGAGTTTTGCCATGTTGACCAGGCTGGTCTGGAACTCCTGGGATCAAGAGGTCCTCCCTCCCTGGTCTCCCAAAGTGCTGAGATTACAGGTATGAGCCACCATGCCCAGCCAAACTTTTGGATTTTTAAACCCAGTTTTAAAACTCAAGTTCCATAAAGGAGCACCCCAGTGTTCCAATCCAGTTTACAACAGGTGTCACTCTAACCCCTTCAATTATAGTTGTGCCTAAACCTCTATAACTAACTTCTCATTTAGTGTTGCAGGTAATGATGTAAAATGCAAACAATTATCTTGGGTCTATTTAGGACCTCTTTTCTGGCTCTTCAGTTTTCACAAATGGATACTTCATCTCTCTGGATCTCTATTGGATCATTGCATTTTATTCAGAATGCAAACTCCTACAAACTCCTGGACTACCTGTGTAATGGGGGTCTCAATTCCACTCAGTTCACCACCATTTTAAAACATTGTTGCAAAATCCACATAACAAAAAATTCATAATTTTAGGGTTCAATTCAGTGACATTTAGTACATTCACAATGTTGTGCACCTATCACCATTATCTAGTTCCAGACTTTTTTTTTTTTTTTTTTTGAGACAGGGTCTCACTCAGTCGCCCAAGCTGGAGTACAGTGGCACGATCTCGGCTCCTAGCCTCCACCTCCTGGGTACAAGCGATTCTCCTGCTTCAGCCACCCGAGTAGCTGGGATTACAGGCGTGCGCTACCATGCCTTGCTAATTTTTGTGTTTTTAGTAGAGACGGGGTTTCACCACATTGGCCAGGCTGGTCTCAAACTCCTGAGCTCAAGCAATCTGCCTGCCTCGGCCTCCCAAAGTGTTGGGATTACAGGCGTGAGCCACCACGCCCAGCCCTGGTTCCAGAACATTTTTAACACCCTAAAAGGAAACCTTACCCATTAAGCTGTCTCTTCCCAGTCCCTCTGCCCCCAAGCCCACTCCCTCCAGCTCCTGGCAACCGCTAATCTGCTTTCTGTCTCTATGGATTTGTCTGTTCTGGACATTTCATAAAACTGGATCAACCAAAATTTTTCAGGCCCAGCATTTGCTAGGCACCAAGGATACAAAGATCAATATGACAATCTGCTCTTAACCAAATCACGCTGACTGGGACAAAACAAGTTAAAAAAAAACAACCATAGTCCAACGTGATGACTATTGTAATGGAAATATGAACATTTTGGGAACATAGTTCAGGGGGATGAGGGTGAGCTGGAAGAAGTCAGATTTCTTTGAGGAGTCTCGCTTTGTCTCCCGGACTGGAGTGCAGTGAAGTAATCTCAGCCCACTGCAACATCCACCTCCCATGTTCAAGCGATTCTCATGCCTCAACCTCCCAAGTAGCTGGGACTACAGACACATGCCACCATGCCCAGCTAATTTTTCTATTCTTGGTAGAGACAGGGTCTTGCAATGTTGGCCAGGCTGGTCTCGAATTTCTGACCTCAGGTGATCAGCCCACTTCGGCCTCCCAAAGTGTTGGGATTACAGGCGTGAGCCACTGCACCTGGTCAAAAGTAAGACTTGAATTTAGGCATGGAGGCAGGAGTTTGCTCCACCAACCAATGGAGGCTGGGCTGGATGATGTTGTAGAGGAGAGAGCTGGGGTAGGAGAAGGGGCAGCATGAGCGAGATACAATGGCATGGAGTTGGATAGCTCTGTGTTCAAAGGATGTGGACAGATCACACACCAAGCACATCCCAGGGCCTTTGCCCAGGTTGTTCTCTTCCCCTAGGACACTCCTCTCTCAAATTGCTGCTGGTTGGCTTGACCCCTTCCTGCAGATCTTAAATGTTAGATCTGAGCTTAAATGTTACCTGCTCAGAGAGGACTTCCTTGACCTCTCTATTGAAATAGCAACTTTCATTCCTCTCTATCCCCTCACTTGTTTCTTTTTCTTTATAGCACGTATCACTCTTGCACTATATTGTATATTTGTTTCTCTGTTCATTTCCTGTCTCCCTAACTTGAAGGTAAGCTCCACAAAGGCAGCTATTTCCCCAGCTATGTGGCCATATCTCAGTACCCATAACAGTATCTGGCACATAGTAGGTGCCCCATAAATAATGAACGAATGAGCAAACCCTGAGGCAGTACTGCAGTGGGG
This sequence comes from Homo sapiens, assembly GCF_000001405.40. NCBI lineage: Eukaryota > Metazoa > Chordata > Mammalia > Primates > Hominidae > Homo > Homo sapiens. The sequence goes on from NC_000017.11 coordinate 30,916,086, forward strand.
AGTCCCTTTGAGATCTGAGTGGTTCCAGTTGCTGAAGACAAGGTGATATTAAACACACAAATATGTTGGTCAACTCAATCACATTATTTACTCTGCATGGCTCCTTATCAGCTGTTTCACTTGCCTTCAAAAGGAATTATTTGTTTCCTTCAAAAAGGAAAACACTTTGTGATCCCAAGTCCTCTCACTTTATTGATTATTATTTTTTACCGATCCTCATTTCTTTGTTTATTTAGCAAACATTTGTTGAAACCCTGCTATGTGGCATGCAGGTGCTAGGGATACAACAGAGAACACAACTGACCCTGTCCTCATGAAGCATAGAAGTGTGACAGACCAGTAAACCAGCAAGCAATTACAGTAGAGTAGTAGAATATAATGCTTGAAAATACAGTTTTTTGTTTTAGTCTGTTTTGTTTTTTGAGACAAAGTCTCACTCTGTTGCCCAGGCTGGAGTGCAGTGGTGTGATCTCGGCTCACTGCAACCTCTGTCTCCTGGGTTCAAGCGATTCTCCTGCCTCAGCCTCCCGAGTAGCTGGGATTACAGGCACACGCCACCATGCCCAGCTAATTTTCTTTGTATTTTTTTTTTTTTTAGTGGAGACCAGGGTTCGCCATGTTGGCCAGGCTGATCTCAAACTCCTGGCCTCAGGTGATCTGCCTGCCTCAAACTTATGCCTGTAATCCCAGCACTTTGGGAGGCTGAGGCAGGCAGACCACTTGAGGCCAGGAATTCGAGACCAGCCTGACCAACATGGTAAAACCTCATCTCTACTAAAAATACAAAAATTAGCTGGGCGTGGTGGCACATGCCTATAATCCCAGCTACTTGGGAGGCTGAGGAACAAGAATTGCTTGAACCTAGGAGGCAGAGGCTGCGGTGAACCAAGATCGTACCACTGCACTCCAGCCTGCGAGACGGACAGAGGCTGTCTCAAAAAAAAAAAAAAGAAGCATAATGTTAGGTTGAACTTTATGGCATTGCTATTGCCATTTTTGTAAGTCAGTTTCATGTGGTTCAACCTAATATATTGGTGAAAAGAGTCCAAGGCAGACTTGAATTCAAATCCCAGCTTCAGTATGCATGATTCAGTATACAACATCTCAGTTGTGTAACCTTGGACAAATGTACTTACCCTCTCTCTGAGCCACAGTAGTCTCATCTGTAAAATGGGCATAAACATAGTCTGTACCTCAGGGTTATGGCTAAGATTAAATGGAATAATGCATGTAAGGGGTCTGGTGCACTGCAATCCCAGAATAAATGGTGGCCATAATTGTGGGTGGTGGTTTTTTCTTTAGTTACTGTATTTTTCAAATTTCCTGTAATATAGCTTTTTTTAATTCTAAAGCTAATAAACATAATTATTTAATTTTTTTGTTTGTTTTTGTTTTTTGAGATGGAGTCTCATCCTGTCACCTAGGCTGGAGTGCAGTGGCACAATCTTGGTTCACTGCCACCTCCAGCTCCTGGGTTCAAGCAATTCTCCTGCCTCAGCCTCCCGAGTAGCTGGGATTACAGGCACCCACCACCACGCCTAGCTGATATTTGTATTTTTAGTAGAGACGGGGTTTCACCATGTTGGCCATGCTGGTATTGAACTCCTAACCTCAGGTGATCTGCCCGCCTCGGCTTCCCAAAGTGCTGGGATTACAGGTGTGAACCACTGTGCCCAGCCAATTATTTAATTTTCAAAGGAATTGTGTTCTATGCCCTGAAGATCTTGAGTGGGGACCTTGAGGCTGTTACTGGGAATGTGGTTGAGGGCTTTCTTCCAGCCCTGCTGCAGCTTGGCTTGGCTGGACAAACACAGTGACCTGAGAACAGGGCTAGATGTTTCTTCTTGGTGGGACCCTGGGAGCTTTATTTACAAAGGACATTCTGTCCCACAGCCCAAATTGCTCCCTCACTCCAGCATCTGCTGTATTGACTGAGCCCTTTAGAGAGGCTGCTTTGACCCATCCTGTCCCTCAAACTCTGGGTCACAGTGCTCAGTGTCCACCTTGGTCATGACAGCCTTTGGCATGGTCCTCTTCACTTAGAAGTAGCTTCTGGGTCCTGAGCACAGAAGCTGAGCTCAATTTTCATAATGTCCAGTATCCAGGAGTGGGCTACAGAGTTTTGTTTTATTTTTGAGACAGAGTCTTGCTTTGTTGCCCAGGCTGGAGGGCAGTGGCGTGATTGTGGCTCACTGCAACCGCTGCCTGCTGGACCCAAGCGATCGTTCCACCTCAGCCTACTGAGTAGCTGGGACTACAGGCATGTGCCACCATAGCCAGCTAATTTTGGTAATTTTTGTAGAGACAGGGTTTCACCGTGTTGCCCAGACCGGGGCTACAGTTTCTGTTTAGGTTGATGCAAAAGTTTTGGAAATAAATAGTGGAGGAAATATAGGGTACAGACTTTCAATTATAAGAAGAATTCTGGGGATCTAAGGTGCAGTATGGATGGGGATGGATGTGTTCATTAATGCGATTGTGGGAATCATTACACAATGTGCACATATGTCAAATCATGTACACATTGAATATATACAATCTTTCTTTGTCAATTAAATATTTGTTAAAATAGTGGGGATAATTGCACAACATTGTGAATATAATTGAATGCAATCGATGACATAGTATTGTACACTTAGAAATGATTAAGATGGGTGGGGCATGGTGGCTCATGCCTGTAATCACAAAGCTTTGGGAGACTGAGGCTGGAGGATTGTTTGAAGCCAGAAGTTGGAGTCCAGCTTGGGCAACAAAGCAAGCCTCTGTCTCTGTGAAAATAGAAAAATAAAAAAATTAGCCAGGTTTGGTAGTACGTTCCCATAGTCCCAGCTACTCAGGAGGCTGAAGCAGGAGGATCACTTGAGCCCAGGCATTCAAGGCTGCAGTGAGCTCTGATTGTACCACTGCACTCAAGCCTGAGTGACAAAGTGACCCCCTTGTCTCTAAAGAAAAAAATGGTTAAAATGGCAAATTTTGTGTTTAGATTTTATCACAATTTTTTAATTTATATATATTTTTCTTTTTTTTTTTTTTTTTTGTTTTTTTTTTGGAGCAACCTTATTAACCGAACCACAATTTAAGTAAAAAAAGAAAAAAAAAAGTCCAGAATGCACTAAAGGGAGGTTTCATGAAATCACCTGGGACTGACTGAGCCACAGTAGGAGATCTGGATTTAGGCCCTGTTCCGCTTCTTATTTGGCTCCATGACCTTGGGTAACTTAAATCCTCTGAGGCTCAGCTTTCTCTTCTGTAAAGTGGCCTGATGTGATGCTGCCCTCTGAGGGTGTCATGAAGCTAAAATATGATCAAATGTGTGACGCTCTTGTAAAAAAAACACTCAGTAATTGTTCATTAGCATTGTCCTACAACCACCACCACCAAAAAAAAAAAAAAAAAAAAAAAAAGAAAGAAACAAAGAAAAGAAAAAAGAAGGGAAAAGAAAAGAAAGCATTATAAACAAAATACCAGAGTACATTGTTTTGCTCTGAGGATGCCTGAAATGCCACATTAAGGCTGTTTGATGGGAACCTCCAGAAATAAGGAAGGGAAGAGGGGAAACTAAAGGAATCTCTCAATCTCTGGCTCCTCACTATGAATGAGATACTGTATGTTCTCTTGGATTGGCTATTTTTTTTCTTTTTCTTTTTCTTTTTTTTTTTAATTTTTTTTTTTTTTTTTTGAGACAGAGTCTCACTCTGTCGCCCAGGCTGGAGTGCAGTGGTGCGATCTCGGCTTACTGCAAACTCCGCCTCCTGGGTTCATGCCATTCTCCTGCCTCAGCCTCCCAAGTAACTGGGACTACAGGCGCCCACCACCACACCCAGCCATTTTTTTGTATTTTTAGTAGAGACGGGGTTTCACCGTGTTATCCAGGATGGTCTCGATCTCCTGACCTCGTGATCCGCCCCCCTCGGCCTCCCAAAGTGCTGGGATTACAGGCGTGAGCCACTGCGCCCGGCTTTTTTTAAAGTTTCTGAGATTCAACCAGAGCCTACTTAGAACTGGGTTGGCTTTTGTGGGACCTACAGGGAGGTGGCAGTGAGACCTAAGGTGTCAGAGAAGCAAAGGAGCACAGACTGGTGAAGGCTCGGGTGCCGAGGAAGCACCCCCAGCATCACAATTTTGTCCCAGTGTTGGGCAGAGGAGAAATGTCCTTAGCTTGTCTCCTCTTCTCCCTCTCTCCCTCTTTCCTTTGCCTTCATACCTTAAGTTGACTTTCCCATCTTTCTCCTGGGAGATTTATTTCTGTCCCTTTTTTCATCTAAAGCAACGGAAATGAATCATCTTTCAGCCGGTTTAATAAACAGCCCCATGCCCCCTGACCCCAGCTGACTCTCTCACTGGTTCCTCTGTGGCTGCTCCTGGGCTAGGCCTCACCCCCTCACAGGCAAGACCCCCTCATGGCTGGCTATTCTTGGTAATACTCTCCACCCTCCCTTCCTGCTCAGTCCTGGCAGCTTGACCTCCTCCACCCCAGGGATGACGGGAATCACACACAGCATTCCAAGCGACAATTCCACAAGCTGACCATAGGGGCAGGGGAAGCAAGGAGGCCACCATGTTTGGAGGGTTTCTTTGTGCCATTTCAATGACCCTATTAGTGGATCTTACGCTCTCCATTTAACAGTTGAGGGTTTGGAGGCTCAGAGAAGTGAAGGAACTTGCCCAGAGACAAACAGTTGGGAAATGTGGAAATGAAGGAGTCAACATTTAAAGCCTGAATTTCTGGATTCCTGAATTCATTCCATTACACCATATTGCTGTGCGTGTGTGTGCACGTGTGTGCTTGCGCCCGCATGTATGTTGAATGGGAGTGTGGGCAGGTCAGCTAGAACATCAGCTGCAATTCACCAGGATGGAAACCTGATTTTATCCTGAAGGTTAACACCTGTCTATCATATGCATATGGCTTAATGCATCTGTGTGCATTAAGGTATTAACCTACATAGAAGATGGCAAGTATGTACAGTATATATTTCACCAGGAGGCCCATGAGTCATTGCAGATGATGTCAAGGAGTAACGAAGATGATGTCAAGCAGTAACAAAGATGGGAGAGAGGGAAAGAGGAAATGAAATGCCCACATTTAAGACCACCTATACCCTGCCTTCACCTCGCGGTGATGGAACTTCACAGGTTAAAGTGCCTGGCTGTGTCCACCTTGGTGAAACCACACTTTTCTGGTGAACAAAATCATGCAACTATTAGTTGGACTTCTAAAAATGTGCAGGTATCATTTATAGGAGCAATATGGAATACAGACATAAAACTGCTGACGTCAAACTCCCTGGTGTGGACATGTGTATGTGTCTGCGGTCAGAGAGTGGAATTAACACAAGTATATAAATAACCGTGATGCAAGGTAGATAGAAAGTGCTCAGGTCCAAAACAAATAGACAGATACTACAAGAGTATTCTTGGAGACCCAGAGGCTGGAAAGATTACTCCAGGCAGGGTATCACAGAGGGCTTCCTGAGGAGGTGGCATTTGCATATAAATACGTCTCCAAATAGATGTAAGATCTTACATTAACAGAACGCTTTAACAGAAGTTAGATTCTGGTTAATTTTCCAAGAAGCGCTGAGATGCAGACATATGCCCTTGTTCCTCTTTCATAGACGCGGAAACTGAGACCCACAGAGGTTGAATAGGTTGTCCACAGTCTCGTAGCTACCAAGTGACAGGCCACGATTTGATCTCAGGCCAGTGTGTTAAACTCCAATTTGCGTGCTCCTGTCCCTCCCCGCGCGTCGGCGGAGCTCGGGGCCGGACTGGACCTGCCGAGGGAGGGGCGGACAGTCCTGACGGTGCGGGGCGGGGCTGGCGGCTGCCCAGGCCTGGCTGAGGCGCCGCGGCCGGGTCCCTCTCCACCTGCCGGGCGGAGCGCACGGGCCATGGGCTGAGCCCCGCTGAGCCCGCCGGGCCGGCCATGGGCGATCGCGAGCGCAACAAGAAGCGGCTGCTGGAGCTGCTGCGGGCGCCGGACACAGGCAACGCGCACTGCGCCGACTGCGGGGCGGCAGGTAAGGGCGCGGCGGCGCGGGCAGCGCGAGACCCCCGGCCGGACCCCAGGCCCACCCGACTCCTCCCCTCGGCCCCACCGGGTCCCGCCCTCGGCCCCCTGGACCCAGACGTGGCACCTGCGGGCCCCGACCCCTCCCACCCACACCGTGAACCTCTCACCCGAGCCCCGAGGGCCGTCTCCACCACACCCTGCCCCGGCCCCTACGAGCCCAGGCTCTGCTCCCCTCGCGGGACCAGATGCGCATCTTCCCACGTGCTTGGACCCGGACACGAGAGCCGGCAGCCTAGAGCCCTTCCAGTCCCGCTCTCTTCCCTGGCCAGGCACCCGACCGCCCGAGTCCGGGCTCTCGATGTCTGCGCACCCAGGCGCGCCCCACGCCCTCGGACTCAGACATCCCAGCCAGGGCTAAACGTCGGGCCCAGGCCGCCGACAGTCCTGTGCCCCCTGCCCGCTCCCAGACGCCCCCCGAAGGCCTCCCCAGCGCCCCACCTCGGGGACGCCGAGGGCCCCCTAACTCAGCCTCCCCACCTGCAGCTCCGCGCCGAGCCCCGCGGTGCGCCCCCCGCGCCCTCCTCTCGGTTCCTTCTGAGTCCCTTCACTTCCACGTCGCGCAGCCTCAGACTCTCTCCCCGGGCCCTGAACTGCCTCCAGGATCTTCACCCCGGTCGCCGCGCAGCGGCCGGTGGGCTAACCAGAAGGTGCCAGGCTGGCCGCTTAGTTCGCCTTAGGTGGGAGAAGGGGCGCCCCACCTGCCCCAGTGCCCCGAGCCCAGCCCTGGTTTCTTCACCGCGCTTTCCGCTCAGCTCCTCTCCTGCCTCATCCCCTGCAGATCCCGACTGGGCCTCTTACAAGCTGGGGATCTTCATCTGTCTCAACTGCTGCGGCGTCCACCGTAACTTCCCTGACATCAGCAGAGTTAAATCTGTGCGACTTGACTTCTGGGACGACAGTATTGTGGAGGTAGAAAGGCATGCCCGTGGAGAGCCATGGAACTGCGGGACTGGAGTAGAGGCAGCGGGCAGGGGGCTCCCATTCTACAGAGGGGGAAACTGAGAACCAGAGAGGGGCAAGTCTAGCTAGAGGAAACACAGCTTATAAGATGGCAGCTTAGACAGAGGCCGAGAGTTCAAATTCTGGCTCTATCATTTGCTTACTTTTTTTTTTTTTTTTTTGAGACGGAGTCTCGCTGTGTTGTCCAGGCTGGAGTGCAGTGGAGCAATCTTGGCTCACTGCAACCGCTGCCTCCCGGGTTCAAGTAATTCTCCTGCCTCAGCTTCTCAAGCAGCTGGGATTACAGGCGCCTGCCACCACACCCGGCTAATTTTTTTGTACTTAGTAGAGACGGGGTTTCACCATGTTGGTCACGCTGGTCTCGAACTCCTGACCTCAGGCGATCCACCACCTCAGCCTCCCAAAGTGCTGGGATTACAGGCCTGAACCATCCTGAACCGCTCCTGGCCATCATTTGCTTACCTATAAGCTGGGAGGCCCTGAGCTAGGTACTTTGACCTAGCTGTGGACCCTCAGTTTCCACATCTGTATTCAAGGGATACCACCACCATTTCTCTTTTTTTCTTTCTTCCTTTTTTTTTTTTTTTTTTTTTTTTGAGACGGAGTTTCACTCTTGTCGCCCAGGCTGGAGTGCAACGGCCAATCTCGGCTCACTGCAACCTCTGCCTCTTGGGTTCAAGCAATTCTCCTGCCTCAGCCTCCTGAGTAGCTGGGATTACAGGCACCCACCACCATGCCCCGCTAATTTTTGTATTAATTTTTAGCAGAGACGGGGTTTTGCCATGTTGGTCAGTCTGGTCTCGAACTCCTGACCTTGGGTAATCCACCCTCCTCGGCCTCCCAAAGTGCTGGGATTACAGGCGTGGGCCACTGTGCCTGGCCACTACCACCAATGTCACAGCACTGTTGTGAAGATGATTGTAGGCTCAGTCCAGACACAAAGAAAGCTGTCAGTTAACAGTTGCTGTTGTACGGGTGTGGTGGCTCACACCTATAATCCCAGCACTTTGGGGGGCTGAGGCTGGTGGATTGCTTGAGCCCAGAAGTTCAAGAGCAGCCTGGGCAACATGGTGAAACCCCGTCTTTACAAAAAATACAAAAATTAGCTGGGTGTGATGGCATGCGCCTGTCGTCCCAGATACTTCGGGGGCTGGGGTGGGAAGATCACCTGAGCCTGTGAGAGTGTGGCTGCAATGAGCTGAGATCGCACCACTGCACTCCAGCCAGGGTGAGAGTGAGACCCTACCTCAAAAAAAAAAAAAAAGTTGCTGTTATCATTAGTGAAGTCTTGGACTGGGGGAAGGGAAATAACCTGATTTGTGGTCTAAAGTCCTCCTTTCCCCCTAGGCAGAAAGAGGACCACTTTGCTCTCCTGCCCTCTGGGGGTGGAGGATACCCTCAGCCTGCATGGTAATTCCATTTTGGTCAGAAAACCTCCAGAGAGCAGGCAGTTCTGCACTGTGCGGGTTGGCTGAGGGTTTCCAGGACTATTGGGGAAGCAGGCTGACATTTACTGAATGCCTACTCTGTGCCAGGTACTGTGCTAGACAGCACCGGACTGGAGGCTTTAGTGTGACCTTACTAAGTGCTGGGTCTTGGGAGAGAACAATGAACAAGATAAGGTCCCTGGCCATACAGAGCTTACATTCTAGTGTGGGAGAAAGGCTGGAAACCAGTAAACCAGCACATAAACCTGAAGGATTTTATTTGCACCTTATAACTCCCATGTTATATTTTCTTTTTTGTTTTTTTTGTTTTTTTTTTTTTTGAGACGGAGTTTCACTCTTGTTGCCCAGGCTGGAGTGCAATGATGCGATCTTGGCTCACTGCAACCTCTGCCTCTGGGGTTCAAGCGATTCTTGTGCCTCAGCCTTCTGAGTAACTAGGATTACAGGCATGCACCACCATGCTCGGCTAATTTTGTATTTTTAGTAGAATTTTTACTAGAGACAGGGTTTCACCCTGTTGGTCAGGCTGGTCTCAAACTCCTGACCTTAGGTGATCCACCCGCCTCGGCCTCCCAAAGTGCTGGGATTACAGGCGTGAGCCACCGTGCCCAGCATTTTTTTTTTTTTTTTTTTTGAGATGCAGTCTCACTCTGTCACCCAGCCTGGAGTGCAGTGAGTGGCACGATCTCGGCTCACTGCAACCTCCACCTCCTGGATTCAAGCGATTCTCCTGCCTCAGTCTCCTGAGTAGCTGGGATTACAGGCGCCCGCCACCATGCCCGGCTAATTTTTTGTATTTTTAGTAGAGATGGGGTTTCGCCATGTTGGCCAGGCTGGTCTTGAACACCTGACCTGAGGTGATCCACCTGCCTTAGCCTCCCAAAGTGCTGGGATTACAGGTGTGAGCTACAGCGCCCAATCCTCTGTTATATTTCCTTCTTCTTCTTCCTCCTCCTCCTCTTCTTCTTCTTCCTTCTTCCTTCTTCTTCTTCTTCTTCTCTTTTCTTTTCTTTTCTTTTCTTTCTTTCTTTTTTTTTTTTGAGACGGAGTCTCACTCACTCTGTTGCCCAGGTTGGAGTGTAGTGGTGTGATCTTGGCTCACTGCAACCTCCTCCTCCTGGGTTCAAGCAATTCTTGTGCCTCAGCCTCCTGAGTAGCTAGGATTACAGGCGTGCACCACCATACCTGGCTAATTTATTTATTTATTTGAGAGAGAGTCTTGCTCTATTGCCTAGGCTTGAGGGCAGTGGCAAAATCTCGGCTCACTGCAACCTCTGCCTCCCGGGTTCAAGCAATTATCCTGCCTCACCTTTCTGTGTCCTGGCTAATTTTTGTATTTTTTTAGTAGAGACAAGGTTTCACCATGTTGGTCAGGCTGGTCTCAAACTGCTGACCTCAAGTGATCCCCAGCCTTGGCCTCCCACAGTGCTGGGATTACAGGTGTGAGCCACTGTGCCTGGCCATTTTCTTCATTTTTACGGGTGAGATTCCAAGGGTCACTCATCAAATAAATGGCAGTCAGGATCTGAATCCTGCTCTGTTGGGATCCAAAGCTGGCGACACAGCCTAGCGGCCCCTGCAGAGGAGAAGAGGAGCAATGCTCCTCTCCTGCAAAGGAGATGCCCAAGCGATGTGAATTGAAAACCTGGTGTTTCTTCCCACTTCTGCCCTCACCCTAGCTATGCCACTGCTGCCAGGGCCACTTTTGGTGCATCAGCCTCTGGGTCTCTTGGGTGCCAAAGGGCCCTACTAATCATCCTGACCTATGCACTCCATGAGGCGAGCACCCACTTCTTCCATCCTCCAGGTACATTTATCTCCTGCAGACTTTCAGGGCTGCTAGGGGTCCTGGCCATCTGTGGAAGGCATGATAGGAAGAATATGAGCTTTGGAGTCAGGTCTGGGTTCAAATCCCAGTTCTCCACTTATAGCTGTGTTTCCTTGAACAAGTAACCTAACCCGTCTGAGCCTCAGTTGACTCATCTGTAAAATGAGTACAGTGATATGAAAATGGCTGAGAGGACCCAGTGAGCTGATGTGTGAGCACTGTGGAGTCCTGTGCCCATATGAGGCATGGTTATATCTGCCCATGATTGTTACAGGCTGGGGCTTCCCAGCAGTATGGATGACCAAGCCCGGTGGGACATCTCCTTCTTGGAGGCAGTTTCTTCTGACTCAGCCTAAGTCAGTGGCCTCATAGTTTCATTTCACGTTTTTTCAAGTTCTAATATTACCTCAGGTTGCTGTTGTCTTGCAGTTTATGATCCACAATGGAAACCTCCGTGTGAAGGCCAAGTTCGAAGCCAGAGTCCCAGCTTTCTACTACATCCCCCAGGCCAACGACTGCCTGTGAGTGGGTGATTCCTTAGGGACTGGGTGAGGGGTCTGTCCTGGTTCCACCTCCTCCCCCTCTCCATCTTTGGTGTCTTCATCTGTGGTGGTCTCTTCTATGGGCCTGGTGCGCAGGTGGATCCAGGAAAGCACTGGATACCATCACAGAGAGCACATGGGAAGACTGGTATAAGCCTCTTTCTGCCTCTGTTGCTTGGGCGTGTCTCTTCCTTTCTCTGGGCCTCAGTTTCCACAGCTCTTAAATGGAGGATTTTTCTGTATGATCTCTATGATTTTTCTCTATGATCTCTGCCTGTGACATTCTTGTAGCTTACAGATGGTGGCTAACTTGATAAGAGGGGGTAAACACTAGTATCTTACTAGACCAAGTGTGTTTCAGCTACTTCCTTTAGAGAAATATGTCTAGAGCTGGCCAGGCACGGTGGCTCAGGCCTGTAATCCCAGCACTTTGGGAAGCCGAAGCGGGCAGATCACGAGGTCAGGGGATCGAGACCATTCTGGCTAACACGGTGAAAGCCTGTCTCTACTAAAAATACAAAAAAAATTTAGCCGGGCGTGGTGGCGGGCACTGGAGTCCCAGCTACTTGGAAGGCTGAGGCAGGAGAAGGGTGTGAACCCGGGAGGCAGAGCTTGCAGTGAGCCAAGATGGCGCCACTGCACTCCAGCCTGGGCAACACAGCGAGACTCCGGCTCAAAAAAAAAAAAAAATAAAAGATAGAAATATGTCTAGGGCTCTGCCACCTAAGCTCGGGCTGGCTCTAAACAACTTGCCTGAGCTGCAGATCCCTAAATACTAACCATAAAAATAAGAATAACAGCCAGGCACAATGGCCAGTGCCTGTAATCCTAGCACTTTGGGAGGCTGAGGTGGGAGGATCGCTTGAAGATAGGAGTTCAATGTCAGCCTGAGCAACATAGCAAGACCCTGTCTCTACAAAAAATAAAATAAAATGAACTTAGCCAGGGCATAGTAGCACGTGCCTGTAGTCTGAGCTACTAGGAAGACTGAAGTGGGTGGATTGCTTGAGCCCAGATTGCAGTGAGCTAGGATCACATGTGTCACTGCACTCTAGTATGAGTGACAGAGTGAGACCTAGCATTAGAAAAAAAAAAAAAGTAGCTACTGGCTGGATGCGGTGGCTCATGCCTGTAGTCCCAGCTACTCAGGAGGCTAAGGCATGAGAATTGTTTGAACCCGGAGGCAGAGGGTGCATTGAGCCAAGATCACGCCACTGCACTCCAGCCTGGGCAACAGAAGGAGACTGTCTCAAAAAAAAAAAAAAAAAAAAAAAGGCCGGATGTGGCGGCTCACACCTGTAATCCTAGCAATTTGGGAGGCCGAGGCGGGCGGATCACTCGAGGCCAGGAGTTCAAGACCAGCCCGGCCAACATAGTGAAACCCCGTCTCTACTAAAAATTAAAAAATTAGCTGGGCATGGTGGTACATGCCTGTAGTCCCAGCTACTCGAGAGGCTGAGGGAGGAGAATCGCTTGAACCCGAGAGGTGGAGGTTGCAGAGATTGCACCACTGCACTCCAGCTTGGGCAACAGAGTGAGACTTTGTCTCAAAAAAAAAATTGCTACTAATATTATTGAGCTTTGCTTAAGTACTACGCCCTGTGCAAAATGCTTATGTGCATGTATTTATTTAATTCTTTCAACAACCCTACAAGTACTGCTACTATCCCTATGCTATAGATGAAAAAACCTGAGGTTTGTGGAGGCAATACTGGTCTAGCCTGTCTGACACCAGGGCCAGGGTGACTGTTTCATGGAATTGGGATAATTTTATATAAGAGGGGGGCTTTGAAGCAGCAGGAGGGTTCAGGTCCCCTGGAGGTGAGGGTTAGTGTGGCACTGGTACCTAGTGGCCCTGGACCTCTGCAGATCTGACTGCCTGAGCCTACGACTCCTTCCCAGGGACTTAGACTCCCCACCAGGGCTGCTAGACAGTATCTTGTGTAAATGGGGAGAAGGAATCCCTTTAGGCTGACCCAGCCTCATAGCGGGTATGTCTGGCAAACAGAAAGCAGCTGCATTTCAGCTGCCGAGCCTCAGCAAGGTGCTTTTGGGCAGTACACAGACTATATAACCATACCTAGTGGTCTTGTAATTTCTCAGTGCTTAGACAATTAAGAGCTAGTAATGTACTCTGGAGTGGCTGGGGAAGCACAGCTTTCTACTTGGAAGACCTCAGTTTTGTTTCCTAGCTCTACTGTGACCTAGCTGGGAGGACGTGGGCAAGTCAGCAAATCTCTCTGATTGTCAACATCCTCATCTCTGAAATGTAGGCAATGATGCCTGCATCATAGCATACTTGTAGAGATTACATGAGATAACTTATGTAGAACCTTTCACATGCCACCCGACACACGGGTTTGAATCCATTTCACTGTGTCTGCTTCAGAATGCTACCTGTCCATGGCCAGCTGTGGGGTGTGCTGACTCGAGAGGGCCTGTCTCATCCTGGCTCGCTGCTGCCACTCTGTCCTTTGCTCCAAGTGCTCAGTGAACACGTGCGCTGTGCTAGGCTTCCTGCCGGCACTAAACAGACATTACCCACCATGACTCCAGCAGCAGCCCTGCACTTTAACCCTTTTTGTCTGAGTACTAATGGCCACCTTCAGGACCAACATGGGTGGCCCTTGGTCTCCATTCCTTCTCCCTGCTCTGATCTTGTGTCCCAGGGTTTCCACCCTCATGGTGGGCCAGGTGATTCTCCTCAGTGATCTGTGGGCTGTGCACTAGGAATGACTCTCTCTCTCTTTTTTCTTTCTTTCTTTTTTAAATATAGAGACAAGGTTTCACTCTGTTGCCCAGGCTAGAGTTCAGTGGCACAATCATGGCTCACTGCAGCCCCAACCTCCTCGGCTCAAGTGATCCTCCCACCTCAGCCTCCCAAGTAGCTGGAACTACAGGTGCATGCCACCATGCCTGGTTAATTTTTGTATTTTTGTTTGTTTTTATTTTTGTAGAGATGAGGTTTCATCATGTTGCCCAGGCTGGTCTCAAACTCCTGAGCTGAGCTCAAGCCATCTGCCTGTGTTGGCCTCCCAAAGTGCTGGGATTACAGGCATGAGTTACCATGCCCAGCCTGGACTCTTGATTGTAAGCGACAGAAACCTTATTTATTTATTTATTTATTTATTTATTTATTTATTTATTTTTGTGACAGAGTCTTGCTCTTTCACCCAGGCTGGAGTGCAGTGGCACAATCTCAGCTGACTGCAACCTCCACCTCCTGGGTTCAAGCGATTCTCCTGTTTCAGCTTCCCAAGTAGCTGGGATTACAGGCACGTGCCACCATGCCCAGCTAATTTTTGTATTTTTGGTAGAGCCGGGGTTTTGCTATGTTGGCCAGGCTGGTCTTGAACTCCTGACCTCAAGTGATCTGCCTGCCTTGGCCTCCCAAAGTGCTAGGATTACAAGTGTGAGCCACTGCGCCTGGCCAGAAGCCCAGTTTAAACCAGCATTAAAAAAAGAGGATTTTATGGGTTCTGGGGATCAGACTACCTGAAGGACAGTGGTGGAGCTGGCCTCAGGAAGGACCAAGCCAGGAGCTCACACACCATCAGGTCTCTCATACTCTCTCTGGCTCTCTTTCCTCTTTCTCTCAGACAGGCTTCCTTCACACAGCTGGCAGCAAGGCCACAAGCAGGTGCCAGGCTATACCTTCCAGCGTGACTCTGGAGAAAGCTCCATCAATCTCTCCTTCACTTTTGACCCTCTCAGTCCACACAGCCCAGAGCAGCAAAGAGCTCTGAATGACCAGGTTGGGCCAGATGCCCAGCTCTAGGTCATTCCTGTGGCTATGGGGTAAGGTCATATATACCTTGGAACACTTCCCTGGAAAAGGTGAGCAGGAACCAAACAATTAAAATAACTCCACTCTCGGCTGCATGGTTTTTCTGCAGGACTCACGGATGACAATCTCTGATTGAGATCACATTAAACACCTACTATGTGCTGAGTAGGTGCTAGGCCCTTTATATACATTTAAACCTCTCAACAACCCTGAGGGCTAAGTGAGTATAACAATAGAGGTCTATTCCCCAAATTCAGAGGAGTTGGGTAACTTGCTCATGGTCACACAGTGGATAAATGATAGAGTGAGACCAGGTCCCAGGTGGTCAGATCCTAAGACGACTGCTTTGTCCAGTGTAGCCTGCCCAGACTTCATGGGCAGGTACAGGAAGAGGCTCCTGGACTCTCCTGCCTAAGCTCATGAACACACAGTGGGAGCAGGTGGTGTAGATGGTCCAGAGGAGCCAGTATCTGTCTCATTGACCTAGAGAGCTGATACTGGGATTGGAACAACTCGGTGGTTCTCATATAGCCCACTGGGAGAAATATTTCCCCCAGAGGACATTTGGCAATGCCTGAAGACATTTTTGGGTGCCACAACTGGGGAGGGGGTGCTACTGGCATCTAATGGGTAGAGGCCAGAAATGCTGCTAAACATTCTGTGGAGCATGGGACAACCCATAAGACAACAGAACAAGGAATTATCCAACCCCGAATGTTAACAGTACTGAGGCTGAGGAATCCTAGGTAGCTGGAGCAGGCAGTGAGGCACTGCTGTGATGTTCCCACCCTCAACTGCAGGGTCTTGGAAAAGAATGCATCAGTCCAGGCATGGTGGTAATCCCAGCACTTTGGGAGGCTGAGGCAGGAGGATCGCTTGAGCCCTGGAGTTCAAGACCAGCTTAGGCAACATAGGGAGACCCCCATCTCTACAAAAATTTAAAAATTAGCCAGGTGTGGTGGTGCCTGCCTGTGATCCCAGCTACTTAAGAGGCTGAGATGGGAGGATCGCCTGGGCCTAGGAGGTCTAGGCTGCAGTGAGCCGTGATCACGTGATCACACCACTGCACTCCAGCCTGGGCAACAGAGGGAGACCCTGTCTCAAAAAAAAAAAAAAAAGAGAATGCATCAAACGCAGCTGACCTCAGGCTCTCTCTTTTTAGGGTCTTAAAGGAACAATGGATTCGAGCTAAGTATGAGAGACGGGAATTTATGGCTGATGGGGAAACCATCTCGCTCCCAGGTAAAGTTATTTCCATCACCTTTTGAAATCTATGTTTTAATGAGCTCTAGAAAAACCAAGTGCCTAAATATTAGGAGCAAGATCCATCCAAGAGATGCCTGCTGTTCTCACTGTGGCCGCAGAGGCCAAGGTGTGGGTTCTTCTGACTTTGAAATAACAACACATCAGCTGGTGGGGCTTTATGCTCTGAGCAGCAGAGAAGCTCAGAGCTTCTATGGTCTTTGTCTCAGGTCTTTGCAGGGTCACAAGTGTGTACAGACTCTTTTTTTTTTTTTTTTTTTTGAGACAGGGTCTTACTCTGTTGTCCAGCCTGGAGTGCAGTGGCACTATCACAGCTCACTGCAGCTTCAATCTCCCGGGCTCACATGATCCTCCCACCTCAGCCTCCCAACTAGCTGGGACTACAGGCACATGCCACCATACCTGGCTAATTTTAGTGGCTTTTATTTTTTTATTTTTATTTTTTGTAGAGATGGGGTTTCACCATGTTGCCCAGGCTGGTCTTGAACTCCTGAACTCAAGTGATCCTTTCGCTTTGGCCTCCCAAAGTGCTGAGATTACAGGCATGAGCCACTGTGCCCAGCCAGACTCTTTTTCTTTTTCTTCTTCTTCTTTTTTTTTTTTTTGAGACAGAGTCTTGCTCTTGTTGCCCAGGGTGGAGTGCAGTAGCATGATCTCAGCTCAGTGCAGCCTCTGCCTCCTGGGTTCCAGCGATTCTCCTGCCTCAGCCTCCTGAGTAGCTGGGATTACAGCATCATGCTTGGCTAATTTTTGTATTTTTAGTAAAGACGGGGTTTTACCATGTTGGCCAGGCTGGTCTCGAACTCCTGACCTCATGATCTGCCCACCTTAGCCTCCCAAAGTTCTGGGACTACAGGCATGAGCCACCGCGCCCAGCATCAAACACTTAATGTAAATTGCAGAAAGACTCCTCCACTGGACAGACCAATTAGGAAAAGATATCCCTGCTCCTGGTGAGCTTTATTCCTGGTGCAGCTCAAGACTTGGTGAGGAGGATGGGCTTAAATTCAGCCTCCCTTTCGACCATTGTGCAGGGTACAACCTCTTCTGTGGCCCTGGACCTGTGGCAGTTTCACCCCCACGGTCCTGAGTCCAAGCTGACTCTGACCCAGACAGTAAAGTATAAAAAATCATTCTTAGAGGGCCAGAGGCAGTGCTCAGCTATCCTGGCTACCAGGACCACAAATTATTCTATTTATTTATGTATTTATTTATTGAGTCAGGGTCTCACTCTGTTACCCAGGCTGGAGTGCAATGGCGTGAACTCGGCTCACTGCAACTTCCACATCCCAGGTTCAAGTGATTCTCATGCCTCAGTCTCCCGAGTAGCTGGGATTACAGGCATGCACAACCACACCTGGCTAATGTTTATATTTTTAGGAGAGTCAGGGTTTTGCCATGTTGGCCAGGCTGATCTCAAACTCCTGACTTCAAGTGATCTGTCTGCCTTGGCTTCCCAAGGTGTCAAGATTACAGGTGTGAGCCATTGCACCCAGCCCATAAATTATTCTTCAAACCAGCAGATGCCCGGAGGGAGTCTCACTGTGTCACCCAGGCTGGAGTGCAGTGGCACAATCTCGGCTCGCTGCAACCTCCCCCTCCCGGGTTCAAGTGATTCTCCTGTCTCAGCCTCCTGAGTAGCTGGGATTACAGGCACGCGCCACCATGCCCAGCTAATTTTTGTATTTTTAGTAGAGACGGGGTTTCACCATGTTGGTCAGGCTGGTCTTGAACTCCCGACCTTGTGATCTGCCCGCCTCGGCCTCCCAAAGTGCTGGGATTACAGGCGTGAGCCACTGCGCCCTGCCTTACTTCTAAAGTTTCATTAGGTTGATGTCAGCATGAAGTTGGGCAGGACCATATGTATTTAGTATGTATTTAAGTGTCTTTCAGAATCAGTCCAGTTTCTCAGGACTTTGCCTTCTTAAGGGTCTTCTTATGAGACAGCCTGATACACAGAAAGTCAAGGA
Source organism: Homo sapiens (assembly GCF_000001405.40). Lineage (NCBI taxonomy): Eukaryota > Metazoa > Chordata > Mammalia > Primates > Hominidae > Homo > Homo sapiens. The sequence goes on from NC_000017.11 coordinate 30,933,960, forward strand.
AGAAAGGTTTTAGGCAGTGGGAAGTGCCCCTGAAGTGAAAAGACATCACAAAGTTGGCCACAGATGGGATCCTTGTGTTCTGCAGCTGAAATAGGGAAGTCTGAGTGGAGATACTTTGGCAGCAGATGGAAGGCTTATTCCACCCTTGAGAACCTCAGAGGTTCCTGAGCTGCTTGTGATCTTAAGGTCACGTGTGTTCACGCTTTGTCATCCTTGCTGCTTAAGGTAACCGAGAAGGATTCCTGTGGAAGCGAGGAAGGGACAACTCACAGTTTCTGAGAAGGAAGTTTGTACTTCTGGCAAGAGAAGGCCTCCTGAAGTACTTCACAAAGGAACAGGTAAGATGCCAGACCAATGAGAGCAGGTCCCTTCCTGAGCACTCTCACCCGACTAAGGTCTACATTCTAATCAGTGGTGCCCTTTTCTTGTAGATAATCTCAGCCCCTGAGAGTTAGGCACAACATTTGGCTACTTTTCCTTGGCTATACAGTAAATCCAGTCCACCAAAAATCATACTTTCTGTCCACCTAGAATCAGCTTAGATAGGTCCATGTTTAAGCCTTTGATGACCACTTGGTTTTGCTTCATTTATTCATTCACTTAAGAAACATTTATTGAGTACCTACTGTGTGCTAGACATTATTCCAGGCACTGAGGATACAGCAGGGAACTAAACAAAACTCTTGTTCTCAGGGAGCTTTCAGTCTAGTGAAAGGAAAGAGCTCCGTAATCAAAACATCAATATATAATATACCAGGAGGCAATAGTTTTATAAAGTAAAATAGAAGTGGCTGCGCACAGTAGCTCACACCTATAATCCCAGCACTTTAGTAAGAGATTGAGGCAGGGGGATTGCTTGAGTTCAGAAGTTTGAGATCAGCCTGGGCAACATGGTGAAGCCCCATCTCTACAAAAAATACAAAAATTAGCTGGGTCAAGCACATACACCTTTGTATGGTGGCACATGCCTGTAGTCCCAGCTACTAGGGAGTCTGAGGTGGGAGAACTGCTTGAGCATGGGAGGTCGAGGCTGCATTGAGCCGAGATTGTGCCACTGTACTCTAGCATGGGTGACAGAGTGAGACCCTGTCTCAAAAAACAAAACAAAACAAAAACAAAAACAAAAACCGGGCATGGTGGCTCATGCCTGTAATCCCAGCACTTTGGGAGGCCAAGGCAGGTGGATCACTTGAGGTCGGGAGTTTGAGACCAGCCTGACCAACATGGAGAAACCCCATCTCTACTAAAAAAATATAAAATTAGCTGGGCGTGGTGGTGCATGCCTGTAATCCCAGCTACTCGGGAGACTGAGGCAGGAGTATCACTTGAACCTGGGAGGTGGAGGTTGTGGTGAGCTGAGATCGTGCCATTGCACTCCAGCCTGGGCAACAAGAGTGAAACTCCGTCTCAAGAAAAAAAGAAGTAAAATAGCGGAGAGTGAGAAGATAGACAACAATGAGAGTGTGTTAGGGAGTCAGGGAGTGCTGCTGCAGAGTGATCAGGGAAGGCCTCTCTGGTGACATTTGAGCAGATAACTGAACAAATGTGAGCACTGAGTTACATGGCTATGTGGGGGGAAGAATAGAAGAAAGGGGAGGAACAGTATGTGCAGAAGCCCTGAGCACAGGTATGGTCAAACACATACACCTTTGTACCGATTTGAGAAAGATGATCCCTTTAAGAGGGTGCAGCCCCTGGGCCCCAGTCTCGAAAATCAGAAGCCTGGTTTGCAGTTACCAGTCAGCTAGGAGCTTTTTATGCAGTGCACAAACGACTTAACCATAAGCTGCAACCCTGGCCCTGAGCTAGAAGTGTGTTTGGTGGGTGTAGGGCATCAAGGAGGGCAGAGCGACTTGTGCAGAGTGAGCAAGGAAAAGTGTGGAGGGAGATGAAGTCACATGGTGGAGGGCCTTGTAGGTCATAGCAAGACTTGGGATTTCTTTTGGTAACAGTTTATTGAGATACAATTCACATACCATATAATTCACCCATTAAAAGTATGCAGTCAATTGGCTTTTAGTGTATTCACAGAGTAGCACAACTATCACCACAATTCAGTTAAAAACTTTAAACACCTTATCCCTTAGCTGTAATCCCCCACCCCACCCCACCACTAGCCCTAGGCAACCAACAACTTACTTTCTGTCTCTATGGATTTGCCTAATCTGGTTATTTTTATTTTATTTTACTATTTTATCTTATTTATTTTTTTAGAGACAGAGTCTTCCTCTGTTGGCCAGGCTGGAGTGCAGTGGTGCAATCATAGCTCACTGCAACCTTAAATTACTGGCCTCAAGCACTCCTCCTGCTCCGGTCTCTCAAAGCACTGGGATTGCAGATGCATACCACTCCACCCAGCTAATTTTTATTTACTTATTTATTTTTGTAGAGATAGGGTTTTGCTTTGTTGTCTACGCTGTTCTCAAACTCCTGGCTTCAAGCAATCCTCTGCCTCAGCCTCCCAAAGTACTAGGATTATAGATGTGAGCCACTACGCCAGGCCCATATCTGTCTTTTTTATAATAGCCGTCTTCATGGGTATGAAGTCGTATCTCATTGTGGTTTTGATTGGCGTTTCCCACATGGCAAATGATGTTGAGCATCTTTTTAATGTGCTTATTGGCCATTTGTATATCTTATTTGTAGAAATGTCTATTCAGATCCTTTCCCATATTGGCCGGGCGCGGTGGCTCACGCCTGTAATCCCAGCACTTTGGGAGGCCGAGGTGGGCAGATCAGGAGTTCAGGAGATGGAGACCATCTTGGCTAACACAGATACTTTCCCCATATTTTAATTAGGTTATTTGTCTTTTTATTATTAAGTTGTAATAGTTCTGTATATATTCTAGATACAAGTCACTTATACATGTAGGATTTGCAAAAATTTGAGCTTTTGGATTTTACTGAGTGAGATGGGAAGAAATTGGAGGATTTTGAGCTGAGAAGTGATATTATTTGACTTAAGTTTTTGATTGATTGATTGATTTGAGATGGAGGCTCACTCTGTCACCTAGGCTGGAGTGCAGTGGCGTGATCTCGGCTCACTGCAACCTCTGCCTCCCAGGTTCAAGCAATTCTTTGCCTCAGTCTCTCGAGTAGCTGGGATTACAGGCGCGCACCACCATGCCTGGCTAGTTTTTGTATTTTTAGTAGACAGGGTTCCACCATCTTGGCCAGGCTGGTCTTGAATTTCCGACCTCGTGATCCACCCACCTCACCCTCCCAAAGTGCTGGGATTACAGGCGTGAGCCACCGCGCCCGGCCTATTTATTTATTTTTTGAGATGGGATTTCACTCTATTGCTCAGGTTGAAGTGCAATGGTGTGATCTCGGCTCACTGCAACCTCCACCTCCCGGGTTCAAGTGATTCCCCTGCCTCAGCCTCCCCAGTAGCTGGGACTACAGGCGTGCACCACCACACCCGGCTAATTTTTGTATTTTTAGTAGAGACAGGGTTTCACCATGTTGACCAGGCTGATTTAGAACTCCTAACCTCATGTGATCTGCCCACCTCAGCCTCCCAAAATGCTGGGATTATAGGCATGAGCCACTGCGCCCAGCCTGACTTAAGCTTTTAAAAAGCAGCACGCTGGCTGCTGCTAGGGTGAGTAGGGAGGAAGGAGGCCAGAGCAGAGGCAGAGAAATTAGTCAGGAAGCTGTTGCAATAACCCAAGTGAAGAAGAATGGTGGATCCGACCAGGATGGTTAGAAGTGGTCAGATTCTGGATATATTTTGGAAGTAGAGGCAATAGAATTTATTGAAGGATTGGATGTGGGGTGTGAGAGTAAGAGGAATCAAGGATGATTCCCAGATTTTTGCTCTATAAAACTACAAGAATAGATTTGCTATTTACTAAGGTGGCAAAGACTTAGACCCCTAAGGGGATGCTCAAAAGTCCTTTTTATTTTGAGATGCCTATGAGTCATCCAGTAGAGACATGGGGAAAGAAGTTGGATGTATGTTTCCTGAATTCTAAACCCAAGTGGCAGAAGTTGGATGTCTGATTTGGAGGCTTGGAGAGAGTTTGGAACTGGAGTCGTCAGCATGTAGACTGGTTTAGTAATGGGACTGGCTAGGATCACCTAAGCAGGAAAAAGGTGTTCAAGGACTGAGTATTTTGGTTATGTGTTGCTGAGTAACAAACCATCCTAAAACTTAATGGCTTAAAATATCAATTTACTATTTCTCACAATCCTATGGGTCAGGAATTTGAGGAGGCCTCGGCTGTTCTGGTGTACTCCATGTGGCATCAGCTGGGCTACTCTGCTGCCCTTAGCTGGCCAGAGACCCAAAGAAGCTTTCACTCATGTCTGGTGCCTTGGTGTACTCTATATGGGGGCTCTGTCTTTCTCATTCAGGAGTCTAGCTTAAGCTTTCTTGTGGCTTGGCTGCTGACTTCCCTAAACAAAAGCAAATGCTACCAGACCTCTGGAAGGCTAACCAGGAGCTGCATTCTGTTGGTCAAAGCAAGTCATGCAACAAGCCCTGATTCAAGGGGAGGGGAAATAGATTCAACCTCTTCATGGATAGAGGGTCACGTATACACTGGGAGGGAAAGACTGGGTGAGCGCCATCTTTGGAGACCATCTACCCCATTGAGCCCTGGGGCATTCCAGTATTTAAAGGACAGAAAGATAAGAAGTTTTCAGCAAAGAGAATGTGAAATTGTGGCCAACAAAGTAAGAGAAGGATAAGCTCTGAGCACTTTAGCCTTCACCTTACTCTATTTCCTATATGTAGAATTATTATATATTCCCCCTGTTGCTTTTCTAGGCAGACCAGAGCAATGCTAAAAGGTCTGTCTATGGGGAGGAGAAGGGAGGATGAAGAGAAGTGGGTTAAAGGGTACAAACATTGTAAGATGCAAGGAATAAATTCAATATTTGATACCAGAGTGGGGTAACTATGCTTAACAAAAATACTCTGGTGACCAACACCCTAAATATCCTGGCTTGATCACTACACATTATATACATGTAGCGAAATTTCACATGTACCCCATAAATTTGTATAAATAATAATATAAAAGGTCTGTCCAATGTGGCCACAGTCTGGGACCAAGTAAAAAGTGTTAAGGGATGAAGAATCTTTACCCTCCAAGTTAGAGGAAGAATTTTTTCCCAGTCTTCAATGTAAAGCACTGAAAAATGTGGCTTTTTCAACATTTTTGCTGAAATGGTACAAAAGGCCGGAAGAGAAAGCGCTACTGCAGTTAGGAAAGGTCACCAAACCCCAGCAGCTGCTGCGAGTTGGTCTCTCGGACAGGGCCTCATCATTGGTTGAAAAAAGTTGATCTGTTTTTCAGTCCTACGCCAGTTCAGTCTAGAATAGTCCAAAAATAGAATGGGCTCCCTATGTTCTTTTTTATTTATTTCCCAAAGTGGATATTTTAAAATCATAAAGGTAACTAATTTTTAGGTAAAACTTTTGGGTAATACAAAAAAGGAAATGAAGTATAAAGAAAGTGAAACTGAAAAAAAAAAAAAAAAGCCCCAAGCTCTATACAAAGCACTTCAAAAAGTTCTTGGAGGCCAGGCTCGGAGGCTCACACCTGAAATCCCAGCACTTTGGGAGGCCGAGGCAGGCAGATCACGAGGTCAGGAGATTGAGACCATCTTGGCTAACACGGTGAAATCCCGTCTCTACTAAAAATACAAAAACTTAGCTGGGCGTGGTGGCAGGCGCCTGTAGTCGCAGATACTCAGGAGGCTGAGGCAGGAGAATGGCCCGAACCTGGGAGGCGGAGCTTGCAGTGAGCCGAGATGGCGCCACTGCACTCCAGCCTGGGCGAAAGAGCAAAATTCCATTTCCAAAAAAAAAAAAAAAAAAGGTATTGGACAAATGAGATTAAAATTAAAGATATAAACTTTATTTCTCAACATAAGCTCCATCAAGGTCAAGACACTTTTATAAGTGATGACACCAGCCATTTAGTCCATCCCCTAGCAATTGAGGGTCCTGGGAATTTAACCATGCCAATGCAGTCTTTTTTACATTTTGTTTTTTTATGCTGTTTTCTGAGACAGGGTCTTGCTCTTTCACCAAGGCTGGAGTACAGTGGTGCAATTCTAGCTCACTGCAGCCACAACCTCCCAGGCTCAAGCGCTCCTTCCACCTCAGCCTCCCGAGTAGCTGAGACTTCAGGCACACACCACCATGCCTGGCTAATTTTTGTATTTTTTGGCAACGACAGGATTTCATCATGTTGCCCAGGTTGGTCTTGAACTCCTGAACTCAACCGATCTACCAGCCTCAGTCTCCCAAAGTGCTAGGATAACAGACATAAGTCACCACGCCTGGCCTTTTTTTTTACACTATTAACTGAAGAAAGATGGGTACCCTTTACAGATTTTTTTTTTTTCGAGATGGAGTCTCGCTTCATCGCCCAGGCTGGAGTACAGTGGCACGATCTCGGCTCACTGCAACCTTCGCCTCCCAGGTTCAAGTGATTGTCCTGCCTCAGCCTCCCCAGGAGCTGGGATTACAGGCGTTGGCCACCATGCTGGGCTAATTTTTGTATTTTTAGTAGAGACGGGGTTTCACCATGTTGGCCAGGCTGGTCTCGAACTCCTGACCTCAAGTGATTCGCCCGCCTTGGTCTCTGAAAGTGCTGGGATTACAGGCGTGAGCCACCATGCCCGGCCTCCTTTACAGATTTTTTAAGATTAGAAAACAAAAAGAAGTTAGAAGGAGCCGAATTTGGACTGTAAGATGATGCATAATCACTTCCCATTGAAACTCTCACAAAATTGCCCTTGTTTGATGAGAGAAATGTAGTTGAAGCATTGTCCTGGGGGAGAAGGACTCTCTGGTGAAGTTTTCTCAGATGTTTTTCTGCTGAAGCTTTGGCTAACTTTCTCAAAACACTCTCATAATGAGCAGATGTTATTGTTCTTTGGCCCTCTAGAAAGTCAACAAGCAAAATACCTTGAGCATCTCCCAGAAAACTTTACCATGGCCTTTGTTCTTGACTGGTCTGCTTTTGCTATGACAGGACCACTTCAACCTCTCGGTAGCCATTGCTTTGATTATGCTTTGTCTTCAGGATCATACTGGTAAAGCCATGTTTCATCTCCTGTTACAGTTCTTCAAAGAACTGCCTCAGGATCTTGATCTCACTTGTTTAAAATTTCCATTGAAAGCTCTGCTCTTGTCTGCAACTGATCTGGGTGCAATGGCATTGGTACCCATTGAGTGGAAAGTTTGCCCAGCTTTAATTTTTCAGTCAGATTTGTGTGAGCTGCACCAATTGAGGTATCTGTGGTGTTAGCTATTGTTTGTGCTGTTAATTATTGCTTCTCTTCAATTAGGGCATGAACAAGATGATTTTTTTCATTGTAAATTGATGTAGATGGTCTGCTGCTGCAGGCGCCATCTTCAACATCATCTTGTCCCTCCTTAACAAGTTATCCATTTGTAAACTGCTAATTTTGTTGGGGATTTGTCCCCGTAAACTTTTCTGAAAGCACCAGTGATTTCACCATTCTTCCATCCAAGCTTCACCATAAATGTTGATGTTTGTTCTTGCTTCAATTTTAGCAGAATTCATGTTGCTCTGAGAGGGGCTGTTTTCAAGTTGATGTCGTATCCTTCTTAGTGCCTCAAACAAAATCCCACTCAGACATGTTATAACAAGTTAGTATGAGTTTATTTTGGTGCAAAACAATTTGAAATCCATGCATAGCTTTTTCATACTATGTGTTTTCCATGAACTTTTCTAAGTCACCTTGTATAAGAGTATTATATGATCTCATTTATATGAAATTTTAGAACAGGCAAAACTGTACTGATAGAAGACAAATAAGTGGTTATCTGGTGTTGGAATGGGGTAGAGATTCTGCGAAGGGGGATGAGTGAAGTCTTTTGGGGTGACATTTAGGATGATAAGTAATGTTTTATATCTTGATTGTTGTGGTTACATGGGTATATACATTTGTCAAAAATCAAACTATTTTTTTTTTTTCGAGATGGAGTCTTGCTCTGTCACCAGGCTGGAGTGCAGTGGTGCGATCTTGGCTCACTGCAGCCTCCGCCTCCTGGGGTCAAGCGATTCTCCTTCCTCACCCTCACTAGTAGCTGGGACTACAGGTGTGTACCACCACTCCCAGCTAATTTTTGTATTTTTAGTAGAGACAGGATTTCACCATGTTGGCCAGGATGGTCTCGATCTCTCAACCTCGTGATCCACCTGCCTCGGCCTCCCAAAGTGCTGGGATAACAGGTGTGAGCCACAGTGCCCGGCCCAAACTTAATACGGGTACACTTTATTGTTTCTAAACTACACCTCAATAAATGTTGATTAAGTGAAAATTAACAATGAGATACAATTCCATACCCATCATATTGGCAAAAATTTTGTAATCTGGTAGTGTCAAGTGTTGGTGAGTATATGGGGAAAGGGGAACTATTCTATTTCATTGATGGAAGTAAATATTGGTACAATCACTGTTGAGCCATTCAGCAGAATAATTTGGCAGTCTCTAGTAAGTGAAGATGTATATAACTGTGATCCAGCAATTCCATTTCTAAGCATACGCTGTGACCTACAGATGCACTCACATATGTGTACCAGATGCACAAACTGACTGCAACATTACTTATGATAGCAAAAAATCAGGAACAATCTCAATATATATATCGGAACAATCTATTAACAGAAAATAGATTGATAACTTTTGGTATAGTCATTTACAAGAGCAAACTAGACTGGTGTATCTCAGCATGGGTAGACCTCAAAAATATAATGTTGAAAGCAAAAAGAACCTCATTAAAATGGGCAAAAGATGTGTACAGACACTTCTCAAAGAAGACATACACGTGGCCAACAAGCAAATGAAAAAATGCTCAACATCACTAATCAGAGAAATGTAAGTCAAAACCACAATGAGATACCATCTATACCAGTCAGAATGACTGTTATCAAAAAGTAAAAAAGTAACAGATACTGGTGAGGTTGTGGAGAAAAGGGAATGTTTACACACTTGTGGCAGGAATGTAAATTAGTTCAGCCACGGTAGAAAGCAGTTTGGAGATTTCTCAAAGAACTTAAAACAGAACTAACATTTGACCCAGCAATCCCATTACTGGGTATATACCCAAAGCAATAGAAATAATTCTACTATAGGCCGGATGCAGTGGCTCACGCCTGTAATCCCAGCACTTTGGAAGGCAGAGGCCGGCGGATCACCTGAGGTCGGGAGTTCGAGATCAGCCTGACCAACATGGAGAAACCCTGTCTCTACTAAAAATACAAAATTAGCCAGGCGTGGTGGCGTATCCCTGTAATCCCAGCAACTTGGGAGGCTGAGGCAGAAGAATCGCTTGAACCCAGGAGGTGGAGGTTGCAGTGAGCTGAGATCACTCCATTGTACTCCAGCCTGGGCAACAAGAGTGAAACTCAGTCTGAAAAAAAAAAAGGAAAGAAAGAAAAGAAAAAAGAAAGAATTCTACTGTAAAGACACATGTACATGTATTTTCATCGCAGCACTATTTACAATAGCAAAAACATGGAATCGGCCCAGATGCCCATCAATGGTGGACTGGATAATGGAAATGTGGTACATAAACATCATAGAATACTACACAGCCATAAAAAAGAATGAGATTGGCTGGGCACAGTGGCTCATGCTTGTAATCCCAGAACTTTGGGAGGCCGAGGCAGGTGGATCACGAGGTCAGGAGTTCAAGAACAGCCTGACCAACATGGTCAAACCCCATCTCTACTAAAAATACAAAAATTAGCCAGGCATGGCGGCACGTGTCTGTAATCCCAGCTACTCAGGAGGCTGAGGCAGGAGAATGGTTAGAATCTGGGAGGCAGAGGTTGCAGTGACCTCAGATCACGCCATTGCACTTCAGCCTGGACAACAGAGCAAGACTCTATCTCAAAAATAAATAAATAAATAAATAAATAAATAAATAAATAAATAAATAAATAAGAACCAGATTGGCCGGGGGCGGTGGCTCATGCCTGTAATCCCAGCACTTTGGGAGGCCGAGGCGGGCAGATCACCTGAGGTCAGGAGTTTGAGACCAGCCCGGCTAACATGGTGAAACCCCGTTTCTACTAAAAATACAAAAAATTAGCTGGGTGTGGTGGCACACGTCTGTAATCCCAGCTACTCGAGAGGCTGAGGCAGGAGAATCGCTTGAACCTGGGAGGCGGAGTTTGCAGTGAGCCGAGATCACGCCGTTGCACTCCAGCTGGGCAGCAAGAGCAAAACAAAACAAAAATAAAAACAAAGAAAAGAATGAGATCATGTTCTCTCAGCAACGTGGATTGATCTGGAGAACATTATCTTAAGTAACTAACAAAGGAACAGAAAACCAAATGTTCTAACATATAAATGGAAGCTAAACATTGAGTACACATGGACACAAAGAAGGGAACGATAGGCTGGGCTCAGTGGCTCATGCCTATAATCCCAGCACTTTGGTAGGCCAAGGCAGGTGGATCACCTGAGGTCAGGAGTTCATGAGCAGCCTGGCCAACATAGCGAAACTCTGTCTCTACTTAAAAATACAAAAATTAGCCAGGTGTGGTGGCTAGAGTGCAGTGGCACGATCTCAGCTCACTGCAACCTCCACCTCCCAGGTTCAAACCACTCTCCTGCCTCAGTCTTCCGAGTTGTTGGGATTACAGGTGTCTACCACCACGCCCAGCTAATTTTTGTATTTTTAGTAGAGACGGGGTTTTACCAAGTTGGCCAGGCTGGTTTCAAACTCCTGACCATAGGTGATCCACCCACCTCAGCCTCCCAAAGTGCTGGGATTACAGGCGTAAGCCACTGCGTCCGGCCAGTATCTGAATTTCGATATGAGAGCAAGAACATTTAAAACCCATATATTTACAGATTGATGCTTGTTTGCATGAAGGCCTTGGTGAAGGTTGACCAGAAGTCACCCTGTGGACTGTCAGCGTCTTTCTTTCTCTTTCTCTCTTTCAGGGTAAAAGCCCCAAAGCTGTCATCAGCATTAAGGACTTGAATGCCACCTTCCAGACAGAGAAGATAGGGCACCCCCATGGGCTGCAGATCACCTACAGGAGAGATGGCCACACCAGGAACCTGTTTGTGTATCATGAAAGTGGGAAGGTGAGATGCCTGGAGTTGCCACCTCCGCCTCCAGCTCGCACCCCAGGACTTGGCAGGTGCAGCTCACCACCTCCCCTGCTCACTGGTGCTGTGCTCAGCTGCCTCTTGAGATTTTCTGCTACCATTTGCCTTAATCTATCATTGCCTCCCAGTCTGAGATAAAGATATGAGGAGGGCAGGGTGAGATCAGGGAGAGGAACCTGGCAAGTACCATGGCTATATCTGGACAGTGCACAGCCACCAATGAAAGTCCAGTTACAGAAGGGACTATGCCCAGGGATGCAAAGCCAGGTAGGGCCAGAGGTTCTGAATACGGGGGAGGAACTGATGGACAGTCAGGCAGCAGTGCACCCCGGGACCCTGCTTCTCAACATGTGGTCCTGGCCCAACAGCATTGGCATCACCCAGGAGCTCAAGGCTGAGCATGGTAGCTCCTGCCTGTAATCCCAGAACTTTGGGAAGCCAAGGCAGGTGGATCACTTGAACCCAGGAGTTCGAGACCAGCCTGGTAGCATAGTAAGACCCCCATCTTTACCCAAAAATACCTCCAAAATTAGCTAAGCATGGTGGCATGCACCTGTAGTCCCAACTACTTGGGAGGCTGAGGTGAGAGGATCGCTTGAGCCTGGGAGGTCGAGGCTGCAGTGAGCCATGATCATGCCACTGCACTCCAAGCCTGGGTGACAGAGCAGGACCCTGTCTCAAAAAACAAAACAAAACAAAACAAACCAGAAAGAAAGAAAGAAAAATAGAGTCTGAGGCCCACCCTGGAGCTACCAAATTAGAAACTGCATTAAAAAAAAAAAAAAAAAAGAAGAGGCCGGGCGCGGTGGCTCACGCCTGTAATCCCAGCACTTTGGGAGGCCGAGGCAGGCGGATCACGAGGTCAGGAGATCGAGACCATGCTGTCTAACACGGTGAAACCCCGTCTCTACTAAAAATACAAAAAAAATTGGCCGGGCATGGTGGCAGGTGCCTGTAGTCCCAGCTACTCAGGAGGCGGAGGCAGGAGAATGGCGTGAACCCAGGAGGCAGAGCTTGCAGTGAGCCGAGATGGCGCCACTGCACTCCAGCCTGGGTGACAGAGTAAGACTCCACCTCAAAAAAACAAAAAAAACAAAAAAACTGCATTGTAACGGGATCCCAGGTGAGTCTTGTGCACATTAAAGTTTGAGAAGCACTATTTTTTTTCCTTTGGAGATGGAATCTTGCTCTATTGCCCAGACTGGAGTGCAGTGGCGTGATCTCGGCTCACTGCAACCTCCACCTTCAGGGTTCAAGCGATCCTCTTGCCTCAGCCTCCCGAGTGGCTGAGATCACACCCAGCTAATTTTTTTGTATTTTTAGTAGACACAGAGTTTCACTATGTTGGCCAGGCTGGTCTTGAATTCCTGACCTCAAGTGATCTGCCCACCTTGGCCTCCCAAAGTGCTGGGATTACAGGGGTGAGCTACTGCGCCCGGCTGAGAAGCACTATTTAATAGTCCAGGAAATCTGCCCAGTCAGAGATGAATAAGCCAATATAACAGAATAAGCTGGGTCAGGTCCTGAGCAGGGTCACATAACTAGGCAGGGGACAGAGATGCTGAGTGGGGGTGGATGAAGGTGGGTGCTGACATTTTGTGACCATCTATTAACTCCCCTGGGCACTGCTTTTGGTGATTGCTGTCCATCATTTCTTAATCCTGAAAACAAGCCCCACATTATTGAGTCACGGACATGTTAGTAACTTGCTCAGGGTCACAGCCCTGCACCCACTTTACCTGCCATGTGCCTCTGCTGTAGGAAGGACACTTGGCAGCAGGAGCCAGGAACCAGATGCAGGGACTAGACCTTCCTAAGGGGCCCCTAGCACCATGGCCCTAGCCCCCTCTCCATGCCAATCACTGCCATAAGGACTTTTACTGAGGCACCCAAGGTCTCTGGCACTTAGGATACCCAGCTCCCTCCTATCTGCCCAGTATGGTGCATCTGACAACCTGGGTCTGGCCATTCTTCTCTTTTGCTTGATGCCCCAGCCTGTCTGTTAGATGGGCATAAATGAGGGCTCCAGATTCCTGCCTGCAGGAGTCAGGGGGTGATTTAAAAGCTAAATGGACAGGCATAAGGGATGGGGAGGGGGCTGTGGCAAACAGGAAAACCTGCATGGAGGATTGAAACAAACAAAACTTTAGGAGCAAACAGACATGTATGCAGGTTGGATTTGGCACCAGGATCACCAGATTATGACTGGAGAGACCTTCCAAGGTGAAGGCCTAGGTGTGTCTTTTCTGGACTGGCCCCATTCCCTTAGTGTCTGAGACCTAAGGTTTTTTTTTGAGACAGAGTCTCGCTCTGTCACCCAGACTGGAGTGCAGTGGTGCAATCTCGGCTCACTGCAACCTCCACCTCCCAGGTTAAAGCAATTCTCCAGCCTCAGCCTCTTGAGTAGCTGAGATTACAGGCATGTACCACCATACCCGGCTAATTTTGTATTTTTAGTAGAGATGGGGTTTCACCATGTTGGTCAGGCTGGTCTCAAATTCCTGACCTCAGGTGATCCACCCGCCTCGGCCTCCCAGAGTGTTGGGATTACAGGCGTGAGCCACTGCACCTGGCCAGAGGGTCCTTAATGAACCCCAGGACAAGAGAGCACAGATCCCTGGAATACTAGGCCTGTGTGCTTCGCCTATGAGAGAGAAAGAGAAATGGTTTCATTCCTTTTAAACCATATTCAGATGACTTTCTCAATCACCACATTATATCAAAGTCACAAACTACCACTATTTGAACAAGCCTTTAGCCTCCCAATTCCAAATTCCTGGGAGAAGGAATCTGATAAGCCCAGTCCAGCCTCTGTGTTGCTCCAGGCCTGGTCCAGTTGCTGTGGTTAAGCAGGGGCAGGATCACAGCAGTAAATGGGGCTGCAACTGGGGTTGGGTGAAGATAGGCGGGGTAGTTCTCACAGAAGCAGGGCTTGGGCTGAGCAAGCACCAAAAATCTATCTATTACAACATCAAAACTAACCTGCGGGATAAGTGGAATGTTTTGCGTAAAAGGTGTGTGTGGGATGGAGCGGGCTAAGCAGAATGTCCCGAGAGGAAGGAACAGTAGGTGTTGGGAGAATTGCAAATAGTTTTGCATGGAAGGAGCTCAGACAGCAAAATCATAGTAAAGAACTTAAGACTTTTTTTTCTGAGGGTAGTAGACAGGACTCCAAGCCAGACTGATTAGATTTGTAATTAGAAAATCACTCTGGCTACAGGCTGGGCGCTGTGGCTCACGCCTGTAATCCCAGCACTTTGGGAGGCCGAGGCGGGCAGATCACGAGACCATCCTGGCTAACGTGGTGAAACCCTGTCACTACTAAAAATACAAAAAAAAAAAAAATTAGCCGTGTGGTGGTGGGCGCCTGTAGTCCCAGCTACTCGGGAGGCTGAGGCAGGAGAATGGTGTGAACCCAGAAGGCGGAGGTTGCAGTGAGCCAAGATCGCACCACTGCACACTCTAGCCTCGGCGACAGCATGAGACTCCATCTAAAAAAAAATAAATAAAGGAAAATCACTCAGGCTGCCATGAGAGGGCCAGTCAGAGAGCAGCTGATCAAGGCCAGCTAGATACATGGTTGTCTATGTGGGAGATGAAGGTGGCCCAGGCTGCTGAGGGACATGTTCTCTCAGAGTGACAGCAGAAGGGGCCAAGCCAGCTTTGGCCTAAGTTGCCATGAGCATCCTCATTAGAGGAGCATCCCCAGGCATAACTGCTCCCCACCCAAATGCCAATCTTTGACATCTGAGGACAATGATTTCCTAGAGCCTTGCTCCTTAGAGTGCATTCCACTGACTAGCAGCATCATATCACCTGAGAGCGTGTTAGGAATGCAGAGTCTTGGGCCCCATTCCAAACCTACTGGATATGCCTCTGCATTTTAACAAGAGCCTCAGGTGATTTTGCACGCATTAGAAGGTGAAAAGCACTGTCCGAGGCCATTGCAGAACTCCCATGCAGTTCACTCAATCCTTTTCCAGGGCTCTGGGGTTATCCCTGTCAGAGGCTTCCTGCTTGCCCGGGTTAGCCCACGAGGCTCTGACACAATCCTCCCTGGATGCCCCTGAGCCGAGCTGTGGGGTGTGTGCAGGTGCTGAATATATGTGCCCCACACCCAATGCCCAGCTAGCTTCCCGCCACCAGAGGTAGCTTCCCACCCACCCCATCTCACTGCTGTGTGTGTGTCCTGTGCACTTCTCTCCGCAGGAGATAGTGGACTGGTTCAATGCCCTCCGTGCAGCCCGTCTGCAGTACCTAAAAATGGCCTTTCCTGAACTCCCAGAGTCTGAGGTGAGCTAAATGCGGACCCCAATTTCTGAATCTCCTCTTGGCCATCTCCTTCTTTCCCTGTCTGTTGACCTCGAAGACACTCAGAAGCCAGACTAGGGCTGGGCGCGGTGGCTCACGCCTGTAATCCCAGCACTTTGGGAGGCTGAGGCGGGCGGATCACAAGGTCAGGAGATCGAGACCATCCTGGCTAGCACGGTGAAACCCCGTCTCTACTAAAAATACAAAAAAATTAGCCAGGTGTGGTGGCAGGCGCCTGTAGTCCCAGCTACTTGGGAGGCTGAGGCAGGAGAATGGTGTTAACCCGGGAGGCGGAGCTTGCAGTGAGCCCAGATGGCGCCGCTGCACTCCAGCCTGGGTGACAGAGTGAGACTCCGTCTCAAAAAAAAAAAAAAAAAAAAAGAAGAAGAAGCCAGACTAGTTTTGTTTGCAGGCAAGACCTCGAGGTTGAGGGCTGGGCTGCTCAGAGGGAAGCCCAAGGCATTCTCCAGGGGAGCCTGCGGGGGTTACAGCCTCACATACGACAAGGCGGCCTCCCAAAAGCTGGTCAGTGTCTCCCCTTCAGAAGAGTGTCAAGGGGCTCAGCAATTGGTCATCTCTTTCTGAACCCTTCTCCCTCTAAAATGTACAAATGATCCCTAACATACTGCTTACAGAGTGCTTTGAGCCCATTTTGTCTTGTGAAATGGCAGCCAGGCAGGGGTGATTATTTCCATTTCACTGATGAGTTATACAGTCCCAGGAAGGGCAGGTGAATAACCAAAGGTGTGCTTCCCTTTCTAAAATCCCCTCTTTGCCCTGTGATGCTCTGGGCTTGGGAAAGCCTGGGATCCTCTCCATTACAGTTGTAACAGGAGCAGGTATGCCCTTCATGGCCAACATCATGGGGAGCCGAGAACTTCATTTTGATTGTCTCCAGACTTCTGGGGCCTTCATCTCCCTATCTCAGGCTGGGCCAGGGAGACCCGCATGGTGTAGGGCAGAGGATGCTGTCTCGAGCCAGGAAGCCTGGGCTCTCAGGGATGCTCTATTGCTCACTTGCTGTGTGACCCCTGCAGGTCCTGGCACCCCTCTGAGCTTCTATTTCCATATGGGTAAGATGGCGGTTAGTCCAGGTCATCTTCAGGGTCCCTTCCGCCTCTGAGATTCTATGCTCTGGTCCTCTTCAAGAGGCTCCCCTCCAAGAGGATTTTATAAGTGATGGGGCTGGAAAACCATTTTAATGCTGGGATTTTCTTAATCTCAACCATTAGAGTTTCCTTGAAAGCCTAAATGCTCCTTAATTCCAAGGTTTGTAGGGAGCCAGTTGTCTGGAATAGGGTCCCCTCCAGGCCCAGGGATGTGCTGAGATGGCAGCTCTCTGGGAGCAATTCCAGCAAGGCCCGAGTCAGAGCCCTTGAGTCAGTCTGCTGAGTTTGCACCCAGAACTGGTTAATGCTGGCTCCCATGGGCGGGGAGTGGAGACTGCTGACTGCTGACTATGAGGAGGGAGGACAAAGTGCAGATGCTCAGCCTTATTTAATCTGGGCAAGCTGCCCATCTTTGCTGACATGTGTAAAGGAAATTGCTCTTTGGTCAACATCCTCAATGTTCCCCTGCCTCTCTCATCCACTGTCGGTACCTGATATCCATCCCGTGTCTTTCCTCCCATTTAATGTCTGTGTATGGTGTGAGGTTCTGAGCAATCACCAGGCCTGGCTCAAGCTTTAGGGGTCCACATGTTGGAAACCCAGGGCATCCCAGTGGGGTCTGTGGTCCTGTAATAAATGCATATGGTCTCTTGGACTTCAGAGAAAGTAGGTTTTGTCGCCATGGTGACAGATGAGTGCATCGAGGCTCAGAGAGGTGAGGTGACTTGCCTAGGTGATAGTACCTACTTTCTAGGGCTATTGTGAGACTCCAGCGAGCCAAGGCATCAGAAGTACAGGAAGCAGTGCTCCAGCCATGTGACTTTCCTTTTTTTCCCAATGGTTTCCCTAGGCCTCTGCTTGCTCTGTGCTGGCTCAAATTCCGAATATTGAGCAGTTCGGGACTCCATCTGTTTTCTCCAAATGGAACAATTAAAGCCTAGTGAATGTATTTTAAGAGAAGGGGAGTAGTACAGTTTATATCTTGTTTCTTACATTAAAAATTTTTTTTTAATTTTTTATAGAGATGATGTCTCACTTATGTTGCCCAGGCTGGTCTCGAACTTCTGGCCTCAAGCAATCCTCCTACCTCGGCCTCCCAAAGTGCTGGGATTACAGGTGTGAGCCACTGCATCTGACCAATATTTTCTTTTCTTTTCTTTTTTTTTTTTTTTTTTTGAGACAGAGTCTCGCTCTTTCGCCCAGGCCAGAGTGCAGTGGCGCCATCTTGGCTCACTGCAAGCTCCGCCTCCCAGGTTCACGCCATTCTCCTGCCTCAGCCTCCCGAGTAGCTGGGACTACAGGCGCTCGCCACTGCACCCGGCTACTTTTTTGTATTTTTAGTGGAGACGGGGTTTCACCGTGTTAGCCAGGATGGTCTCGATCTCCTGACCTCGTGATCCACACGCCTCGGCCTCCCAAAGTGCTGGGATTACAGGCGTGAGCCACTGCGCCTGGCCTAATATTTTCATTTTTGGCTCACAAATTTCCCCCTTTTAAACTTCCCATAGCTGTTCCCCAGACCTCACTTCCCCTGTGCCTCTGCCCTGGGCCCTGGAGCTCTGGAGAAGCCTCTCTGTTCTTTGAAGCCTGGACTGTCATTTGAAGCTCTAGACTTTCCAGGTTGATGCCTAGGAGCATAGGAGGCCATCATCAACCCCTGGAAACATCTCTGGGCGTAGGCTGCCAGGCTGGAAGGGATGCTGGGGATCACATGATCCAGGCTGTTTATCACACAGGGGAGACATAAGGCCTCGAGAGACAGAAGGTCTTAACAAAGGTAATGCAGCTGATGGAGGCCAGAACTGGAATTAGAACCAGGTCTCCCGACTTCTGCTTCAGAACTTTCTCTGTCCACTCTGGCATCATTTTCTTTTCTTTTTTGTTTTGTTTTGTTTTGAGATGGAGTCTCCCTCTGTCACCCAGACTGGAGTGCAGTGGCACTATCTCAGCTCACT
The DNA here is from genome assembly GCF_000001405.40 of Homo sapiens. Lineage (NCBI taxonomy): Eukaryota > Metazoa > Chordata > Mammalia > Primates > Hominidae > Homo > Homo sapiens. The sequence goes on from NC_000017.11 coordinate 30,952,453, forward strand.
GCAACCTCTGCCTCCCAAGTTCAAGGGATTCTCTTGCCTCAGCCTCCTGAGTAGCTGGGATTACAAGCGCGTGCCACCATGCCCAGCTAATTTTTATATTTTTGGTAAAGGTGGGGTTTCGCCATGTTGGCCAGGCTAGTCTCAAACTCCTGGCCTCAAGTGATCTGCCTGCCTTGACCTCCCAAAGTGCTGGGATTACAGGTGTGAGCCACTGCACCCAGCCTCTGGCCATTATTTTCTTGTTGCTTGGTGTCAGAATCCTGACCAGGCCTTTCCCAAGGTCCTGCTCAGAGGGCCCTGGCATATTTATACTTTAGCACCTAGTGTAGTGGTAGGAGTACAGTCTAGTGTCATTGGCCCTGGGCCTGAATCTCAGCTCTTTGTGCTACCAGTGATGTGACTTTGGGAAAATCCCCAGCCCCTTCTCTGTGGCCTGGTTTCTTCAGATGTGTAATGAGGCTGGTGATACCCACCTCGCAGGGTGATTGAGAATTGCACCTGGAGCCTGATGCAAAGTGGACCCTCAGAACATGTTGCCTGACACCAAGAGGGTCTCTGCAGAGCCTTGCCTATGTCCACACCCTGGGGTTACTGAAGGAATCCTTAAACCAAAACTCGGCCGTGCCACTAAGCTCTGCAAACATCTGGGGTGCTGTCGACTGGCTTTGTTGAAATATTAATATTATGACCATTGCACTTTCCAAATATAATACTGTGAGCCATGAGCGTACATCCTTCCCCATTTCAAACTTCCCCTTTGTCGGGAGCCAAGCTCGGCGGGAACCTGGAGCCTTGGGGTGTGAGTTGGGGGTCAGTGTCTGTCTCTCTTCCCCAGCTCGTGCCATTCCTCACCAGGAACTACCTCAAACAAGGCTTCATGGAAAAGACTGGGCCAAAGGTACCTTCTATCACTCCCTGGGGAACTTAATATGGTTTAATGTATATAGAAGGTTTCATGTGTTTATGGGATGATTGTTAAGAGGACAGTGAAAGGTGTTAGGCCAAGCTTGTCCAACCCACAGCCCATGGGCCACATGCAACCCAGGACGGCTTGGAATGATGCCCAACAGAAATTCATAAACTTTCTTTTTTAAATTTTTTTGAGACAGAGTCTTGCTCTGTCACCCAGGCCAGAGTACAGTGGTGTGATCTCGGCTCACTGCAACCTCCGCCTCCCAGATTCAAGCGATTCTCCTGCCTCAGACTCCTGAGTAGCTGGGATTACAGGTGCCCACCACCATGCCCGGCTAATTTTTGTAATTTTAGTAGAGATGGGGTTTCACCATGTTGGCCAGGCTGGTCTCGAACTCCTGACCTCAAGCGATCTGCCCACCTCAGCCTCCCAAAGTGCTGGGATTACAGGCATGAGCCACCATGCCCAGCCAAATTCGTGAACTTTCTTAAAACATTATGAGATATTTTTGCGATTTTTTTTTTTTGGCTCATCAGCTATCATTAGTGTTAGTGTATTTTATGTGTGGCCCAAGACAATTCTTCCAATGTGGCCCAGGGAAGGCAAGAGATTGGATATTCCTGTGTTAGGCAATCATGAAAGCAAGCCTTGGGCAGGTGGAAAAAGCAGTCAAAGGGTTGTTTTCAGAGAGGCGCAGCCCCTCCGCCTGGTTCTTGTTGCTGGGCTTTCTCTCCCTGACCTAGGTTAGAATTTGGCCAAGGCCAGCACTTTCAGCCTTGCCAAGCAGTAGCCACTTCTGATTTTTTCCAACTTCCTTTCCGGCTTCTTTGTCTACAGCCTGAAAAAGAGGAAGGTGCCTCTTCCAAGTTGAGGCAGCAGGGTGAAGCTGGCAAAGGGTATGGTGGGGTTGGAAGGGGAATGGGCAGAACCTTCAGAGCCTGAGGGCTCCTATCCAGGCCCCAGGGAGAAGCACTAGGATGTCTGACTGAGGAGGCTGGGCTGGAGAACCAGTGGGACTGGCCAGCTCCTTTGGTTTGGGCTGGGCTGGCCCCTGACCTCTATCCTCAGAAACTGACCTGGTCATCTGTGGTAAGAAGTTCCCTCTTTTGCAGCAGAAAGAACCTTTCAAGAAAAGGTGGTTCGCCCTGGATTGCCATGAGCGGAGGCTGCTCTATTACAAGAACCCACTGGTAAGAGCCACTCCTGCTCCCTCCCCAGGGCTTCCTCAAACATTGCTGGGTGGTGCTTGTCTGGAACTATGTGAAAGCTACAGATAAACACATCTCCCAGAGCCCCAGAGCTAGAGAAACCTTGAGAGGAAAACCTCTACCCCTTGTTTTTGTTTCTCTTGAGTAATCTCCTATGGCATGAAGCTTCTCCTCGCTTTCAGGAAGTCTATTATGAGTATCCAAAATGCTGCCCATGGTAGTTAAATATGGTGTATCTCTTCCTCTAGTCTCCAGGGCTCACTTCTAACCAAGAGGCCGTGATGTGTAGTAGTTAGGAGTGTGGTGGACTCTAGAACCCCACCGTCTGGGCTCTGGTCTCAGCCCTGCCACTTGTAGTAGTGTTGCCTTGAGCCGTGTACTTAGTGCTCTGTGCCTCGGTTTCCTCCTCTGAAAAACAGGCTTAATAAGAATGCCTTCCCCAGAGGTTGCCATGATGGTTATTTAAGTTACTATATATAAAGCATTGTAATTCCTGATGCTGATTTTAATAAGTGCTCCGTAAATGTTAGGTATCACTTATTTTTTTTTTTTTAGAGACAGAGTCTCTCTCTGTCACCCAGGCTGGAATGCAGTGGCACAATCACAGCTCATTGCAACCTTGAACTTCTGGGCCCAAGTTATCTTCCTGCCTCAGCCTCCTAAGTAGCTCAGAATACAGGCATGCATCACCATGCCCAGCTAATTAAAAAAAAAAAATTTAGGGCTGGATGTGCTGCCTTTTGTCTGTAATCCCAGCACTTTGGGAGGCTGAGACAGGAGGATCGCTTGAGCCCAGAAGTTCGAGACCAGCCTGTGCAACATAGTGAGATCCCATCTCTACAAGAAACTTAAGGCCAGGCACGGTGGCTCACATCTGTAAACCCAGCATTTTGGAAGGCTGAGGCGGGGCAGATCACGAGCTCAGGAGTTCGAGACTAGCCTAACCAACATGGTGAAACCCTGTCTCTACTAAAAATACAAAAATTAGCCGGACGTGGTGGTGCGTGCCTGTAAGCCCAGCTACTCAGGAGGCTGAGGCAGGAGAATCGCTTGAAACCGGGAGGCAGAGGGTGCAGAGGGTGCATGCCATTGCACTCCAGCCTGGGTGCAGAGTGAGACTCCGTCTCAAAAAAAAAAAAAGAAAGAAAAAAAAAGAAACTTAAAAATTAGTCAGGTGTGGTGGTGCATGCCTGTAGTCCTAGCTGCTTGGGAGGCTGAGGTGGGAGGATTGCCTGAGCCTGGGAGGTTGAGGCTGGGATGAGCCATGATTGTGCCACTGCACTTCCAGCCTGGGTGACAGAGTGAGGCCCTGTCTCCAAAAACAATTCATAATAATAATTAATAATTTTTTTTTGTAGAGAAGGGGTCTCACTATGTTGTCCCGGTTGGTCTCATATTCCTGGCCTCAGGCAATCCTCTGCCTTGGCTTCCCAAAGTGCTAGGATTACAGGCATGAACTACCAGGCCCACCCTCGGTATCTTTTCAATAGATGATGTGTATGATTTATTTTAGGGTTTTGATCTTTCAAATTCTGGGTCCCACTTAGCAGAAATCCCAGCAGGGACCTCATACCCCTTTCCCAAAATAAAGCTTGGAGGCTGTCAGGGCTGCAGGGCCCCTCTGCCCTGGGGGCACCCTCTGATGACCCTGTACTCTCCATTTTCAGGATGCCTTCGAGCAGGGCCAGGTTTTTCTTGGGAACAAGGAGCAGGGATATGAAGCCTACGAAGACCTGCCCAAGGGCATCCGAGGAAATCGCTGGAAAGCCGGACTCACCATTGTCACCCCAGAGCGGAGATTTGTCCTCACTTGCCCCAGTGAGAAGGAACAGCAGGAATGGCTGGAAAGTTTGCGGGGTGTCCTGTCCAGCCCCTTGACGCCCCTCAACCGGCTTAGTAAGAAGCAGGAACTGAGGGGTGTTCTTTTGGACAAGGGCAGAGGACAGAAAATTGCTTCTTCACTTAGGTTCAGCTTTGATACCACAAAAGATTCCTGATTCCTGACTATGCTCTTTTCATTGTCTTCTCTTCCTGCAAAAGAAAAGCACAGACATGCCATTATTGCCAAAAGGTCTCCTCTGTCCACTCTGGGTTCCCCTAACCGAGCCCTTCCCCAGGAGCTTTTAGAGGAGTTTGGCCCTGGCAGAACCCCTGGGTGCTGTCTGTACCCCTTGCGGTGTGGGGGCTAAGCAGCTTCTCTTTCCCTCCACCGTGCTCTATGCTGATCCTTTTTCTCGTGAGAAAACGCTGGCCTGTTATTATTAGCTAAGGTCACACCCGCTGGGCAGCTCCTGGGATTTTTGGATTCCTCCCCACTCCAGAGGGAAGGCTATTTCTAGTGGCTTCTTTTCTTTGAGTCCTCCCTTCTGTCTGCCTCTCTCCTGTTCCTCCTCTTTACCAGTAGGGCTTCCTCAATGCTGACAGCCCTGTGAAAAAAGGGGAGACATGCCGAGCTCCGGCAGGAAACTGCTGGCCCAGGACCTGGCTTCTGGGGCACAAAGGAGAATTTCTGTGTTTGGAAAAGTACAGACTGAGCAGGTGACCCCCGCACAGCCCCTTGGGGGAAACACTTGTGCCCTTTGAGTCTGACTGATATAAACACAGACTCTCTTGACTGTCCCATAAAGGCCAAAGCCAGAGAACCTCAGAAAGGGACTTGCAAATTGTGAGTGAGGCATATCAGCTGGTGCTTTCTTTTCTCTGTGGGCTGCCATTTATGAATCTCTTGGTTTCTCTCTGTCTCTGTCCCTCCACTTTTCTCTCCTTTGCTGGTGTGTGCATTCCCTCTGACGCCCTGGCTCTCACTCTTTCATTCTGTTTTTTATTCTGGCTCCCTCTGTCTTTGTGTTTTTTTTTTTAATTTTCTTTTTTTGAGGTGGGGTCTTGCACTGTCACCCAGGCTGGAGTGCAGTGGTGCGATCTCAGCTCACTGCAACCTCTTCTTCCTGGGCTCAGGCAATCCTCTCACCTCAGCCTCCCAAGTAGCTGGGACTACAGGCTCGTGACACCACATCTAGCTAATTTGTTTTGTATTTTTGGTAGAGACAGAGTTTCACCATGTTGCTCAGGCTGGTCTCGAACTCCTGAGCTCAAGTGATCCACCTGCCTCGGCCTCCCAAAGTGCTGGGATTACAGGCATGAGCCACTGTGCCCGGCCATGGCTCCCTCTGTCTTTGTACGCCTGTCCCTTTGCTGTCCCTCTCCTCCACAGGACAGCATTGGCATGGCCACCTCCCTCAGCCCTCTTCATTTCCCTTGCAGCTGCATCAACAGAGAGTGGCCGCAGCAGCAGGTGACCCATTAACTGAGGAACTGGCTGCCACTGAACACCTGGAACTCCTTGTGGGAAGAAGTTTGCACCTCGGCCCTGGCTGCCCACCATCAGTGCCCCGCAGTCAGCAGCCATTCCTGGCAGTGAACTCTGCCAGGACTGAAGCTGTGGCTTTATCCATCAGCTCCCTGGGCCTTCCCCGCAACCCACCTCGGGGATCTGAGGATCTGGTGCATAGATGAACATCTATCCCCTCCTCCCCCATACACACCTAGGCTTGAAATGCCCTACAGGCCCAGAACTTTCTCACATCTGAAATGGAGGCATTGCAATGAAAAGGCACCCACAGCATCATGCAAGTGGCATCTTGTAAAAAAAAAAAAAAAGTTTAATCTGAATCTAACCATGAGGAAATAATCAGACAAATCCACATTAGGGGCATTCTGCTAAACATCTGACCCAGACTCTTCAAAAATGAAGAGTGAAAGATAAAGTAGTCAATGGCCGGGCGCAGTGAGATTGCGCCATTGCATTCCAGCCTGGGTGACAGAGCGAGACTCCGTATCAGAAAGAAAAAGAGGAACTGAATGAAATCTCAGATGGCTGAAATGTTAGAGAAACAGAGCACCAAGTCCCCTGCTCTGTGACTCGTTGTTCCTTTCCTCTGTCTTCAAGCACCACGCAGAAATACACTGGATGTTCTCTCTTTGCTTCAATGGAGACCCAAGGAGCTGGGAGGTCTCTTAAGAGACTCTCTGATTCTCCGTGGCTGGGTGTGATGGCTCATGCCCATAATCCCAGCCCTTTGGGAAGCTGAGGCAGGAGGATTGAGACCAGGAGTTCGAGAAGAGCCTGGGCAACATAGTGAGACCCCATCTCTACAAAGAAAAAAAAATTAGCTGGACATGGTAATGAATGCCTGTAGTCCCAGCTACTCCGGACACTGATGTGAGAGGATCACTTGAGCCAGGGAGGTCATGGCTACAGTGACCCCTCATTGCACCACTTTACTTAGCCTGGGTGACAGAGTGAGACCCTATCTCAAAAAAAAAAAAAATCTATGCATTGTATGGGACTTTCCTTTGGATCCCCCAATCAAAGGATAAGCAATGCGTAAGCCTGTGTCCTTCCTGAAGCTTCTCGACTGCCCAGATAGGGAGGTGAGTCCTCTCTATCTCCTCTGGCTCTGGAAGCACCTTGAAAATGTGCATTTTCAAGGACACTTGCTGGGTTGTGCATTAAGGGCCAGTTTACTTGTCTGCCTCTTTGACCACCTGTGAACTCTGTTGGGTGTACTCTGCTAAGTTCTGGGGATGAGGAAATTAATAAAGGTACAGTCTTGCCTTCAAGGAACTTATGGTCTAGAGGAGAAGAACGAGAAGTATAGATAGGCAGTAACAAAGCTACTTGAAGAGGCCAACTGGGATTCTAAGGGTGGGAAAGAACAGACACAAGAGATAAAGTCCTAATGAAATGGAGTGCTTGGTTTTGGATGATTCCTTCCTCAAGGAAGAGTATGCTTCTATACTCTTATATTAAATCCCTTTTTCCCTTTTTGGCTTGTTAGTGCAAGGAAGTTTCTATTACTTGAATCAGTCCTGACAGATAAAGTTCTCTAAAAGAGATGATACCTATGCTGAATCCTGAAGAAAGAGTAGAAGATAGTTGGGTTGGGGTGGGAGGAGGCAGAGAAAGAAGCATGTGTAAAGGCTCAGAGATATCAGGTGTGCACGTGCCTGTAGTCCTAGCTACTGGGGAGGGTGAGGTGGGAAGATCATTTGAGCCCAGGAGTTCTGGGCTTTAGTGCACAATGCTAATTGGGTGTCCACACTAAATTTGGCATCAACATGGTGACCTCCCAGGAGTGAGGAATCACCAGTTTGCCTAAGGAGGGGTGAACTGGCCCAGATCAGAAATGAAGCACTTCCGTGCTGGTCAGTAGAGGGATCATGCCTGTGAACAGCCATTGCACTGCAGCCTGGGCGACAAGAGGGAAACTCCGTCTAAAAAAAGAAAATAGCTAGGCATGGGCACTGTAATGCATGCCTGTAGTCCCAGCTACTCAGGAGGCAGAGGTGGGAGGCTTGCTTGGGCCTGGGGGGTTATGCACTCCAGCCTGGGTGACAGAGTGAGACTCCGTCTCCAAAAAAAAAAAAAAGAAAAAGAAAAGAAAATTTGAATCACACTTCACTTGTATTAGCGTTCTCCAGAGAAACAGAACCAATGATATACATATATATATATATGGCTATAGAAAGAAATTTATTGGCCGGGCACGGTGGCTCACGCCTATAATCCTAGCACTTTGGGAGGCCGAGGCAGGCAGATCATGAGGTCAGGAGATCAAGACCATCCTGGCCAACATGGTGAAACCCCGTCTCTACTAAAAATACAAAAATTAGCTGACTGTGGTGGCACGTGCCTGTAGTCCCAGCTACTCAGGAAGCTGAGGCAGGAGAATCGCTTGAACCCGGCAGGCGGAGGTTGCAGTGAACCAAGATTGCGCCACTGCACTCCAGCCTGGCGACAGAGTGAGACTCCGTCTCAAAAAAAGAAAAAGAAAAAGAAAAAAAAAAAAGCCAGGCATGGTGGCATGTGCCTGTAGTCCCAGCTACTCAAGGCTGAACTCCCACTTAAGCCTGAGATTTCAAGACTGCAGTGAGCTATGGTCTCACCACTGCACTCCAGCCTGGGTGACAGAGTGAGACTCTGCTTCAGCAAAGAACAGTTATGTCACACCCCAAAACTCCCTTGTAGCCACACCCTTCCCCTGCCCCGTGGCAACCATTGATCCGTTCATCATTATAGATTGTACTTTCAAAAATGCCATATAAATGGAATCATTTAATATGTAATTTTTATTTTATTTTATTTTATTTTATTTTATTTATTTTATTTTATTTTTTTTTTTTTGAGACAGAGTCTTGCTCTGTCGCCCAGGCTGGAGTGCAGTGGCGCAATCTCGGCTCGCTGCAAGCTCCGCCTCCCGGGTTCACGCCATTCTCCTGCCTCAGCCTCCCGAGTAGCTGGGACTACAGGCGCCCGCCACTATGCCTGGCTAATTTTTTGTATTTTTAGTAGAGACAGGGTTTCATCATGTTAGCCAGGAGGGTCTCGATCTCCCAACCTCGTGATCCACCTGCCTCGGCCTCCCAAAGTGCTGGGATTACAGGCATGAGCCACCACGCCAGGCCTGTAATTTTTAAAGACTGGATTCTTTCACAGCACATGATACCTTTGAGATTCATCAAAGTCACTGCATGTGTCAATATGTCTTTCCTTATTGCTAAGAAGTATTCCACTATATGGCTATACCATACCTTGTTTATCCAGTGGAATGCTGCTTAGCAATAAAAAGGAACAAATTATTCATACATACAACAGTCCCCAGGTATGGGGCTTCTGGTTCATACTGATGCAGGGTAGGTAGTCAAGGAAGTAACCAGGGTCTCAGGACACAGCAATCATGCTGACCATTCAGTCAACACAATAAGCCTCAGCATTCACAATGCAACTGAGCTAATTCAAGCAAAGCTATCTGCAGTAGGGAATTTCCCATGTAGACAGCATGCAAACTTTGCGGTTCACCTCCCCTCCCCTCCTCTCCCCTCTCCTCTCCTGTCCTTTCCTTTTTCTGAGATGGAGTCTTGCTCTGTCACCCAGGCTGGAGTGCAGTGGTGTCATCCCGGCTCACTACAACCTCTGCCTCCCAGGTTCAAGCAATTCTTCTGCCTCAGCCTCCTGAGTAGCTGGGACCACAGGCACATGCCACCATGCCCAGCTAATTTTTGTATTTTTCTGTAGAGATGGGATTTCATTATGTTGGCCAGGCTGCTCTCAAACTCCCGACCTCAGGTGATCCACCCACCTCAGCCTCCCAAAATGCTGGGATTACATGCGTGAGCCACCGCGCCCGGCCCTGACAGCATGCACACTTTGATTTTACCTGGTCTCAAACTGACCCTTTGCTTATTTTAATAGTAAAAAATACACCCCTGGGTGGAAATTTAAGATGGTAATGAGACATGTGGTGTATGAACAAGCATGTAAACTACTGTGCATGTGCACCCAGAAGACCACCCAGAACATGCTTACTAGTAACTCCTCTTTCCACTTCCTTATGAATAATCACATAAGACTCCCATAAAGGGAGTCTCCTTAGTGCCAGTTTTTGCTGTCTCATCCTTAAATGAGCAGCCTACCCTGAATCCTCTCTCTGAGTGTGCTGCCCATTCTGCACTTAATTTTCAAAATCCTCTTTCTCCTTTACAATAAATAACTCTATGCTGCACTTTTTTTTTTTTCCCGAGATGGAGTCTCTCTGTGTCGCCAGGCTGGAGTGCAGTAGAGTGATCTTGGCTCACTGAAACCTCTGACTCCCTGGTTCAAGCAATTCTCCTGCCTCTGCCTCCCAAGTAGCTGGGATTACAGGCATGCACCATCACATCCAGCTAATTTTTGGTATTTTTAGTAGATATGAGGTTTCACCATGTTGGCCAGGATGGTCTTGAATTCTTGACCTCATGATCCACCCACTTCGGCCTCCCAAAGTGCTGGGATTACAGGCATGAGCCACCGCGCCTGGCCTATGCTGCACTTCTTTTGCTGTGTGTCTCTTGTTTACATTTTTGTTTTTTTTGAGATGGAGTCTCGCTCTGTTGCCCAGGCTGGAGTGCAGTGGCACGATCTCGGCTCACTGCAAGCTCCGCCTCTTGGGTTCATGCCATTCTCCTGCCTCAGCCTCCCGAGTAGCTGGGACACAGGCGCCTGCTACCACGCCCGGCTACTTTTTTGTATTTTTAGTAGAGGTGGGGTTTCACCACGTTACCCAGGATGGTCTCAATCTCCAGAATTCGTGATCTGCCTGCCTGGGCCTCCCAAAGTGCTGGGATTACAGGCATGAGCCACCGTGTCCGGCCTAAATTCTTTTAAACTAAGAAGACAAGAACCAGGGTATCACAATAGCCATCAACATTTGGTTAGATATATGCTTAATTTTATAACAAACTTTCCCGGTGGCTGTACTACTTGACATTTCACTAGTGATGTATGAGAGTTCCAGTTACTCTATCACCAACAGTTGGTGTTGTCAGTATTTTTTATTTTAACTGTTCTGATAGGTATGGAGTGGTATTTTATTATGGTTCTAATACGCATTTCCCTAGCGGTTGACAATGTCGAAGTCCTATTATGTACTTATTGGCCAATCTTATATCTTCTTTGATGAAGTGACCATTTGATTCCCTAGCTTTTTTTTTTTTTTTTTTTTTTGAGATCTGGTCTTGCTATGTTGCCCAGGTTGGAGCACAGTGGCTATTCACAGATATGACCATGGCATACTACATCCACAGACCCCTCACCTCAAGAGATCCTTCTGCCTCAGCCTCCTGAGTAGCTGGAACTACAGGCATGTGACACAGTGCCCTGCTTGCCTTTTTAAAATATTGGGTGGTTTGGGCTGGGCACAGTGGCTCACACCTGTAATCCCAGCACTTTGGGAGGCTGAGGTGGGCAGATCACGACGTCAGGAGATCGAGACCATCCTGGCTAACACGGTGAAACCCTGTCTCTACTAAAAATACAACAAATTAGCCGGGTGTGGTTGTAGTCCCAGCTACTCGGGAGGCTGAAGCAGGAGAATGGCGTGAACCCGGGAGGTGGAGGTTGCAGTGAGCCGAGATCGCACCACTGCACACTCCAGCCTGGGTGACAGAGTGAGACTCTGTCTCAAGAAAAAAAAAATTGGGTGGTTTGCTTTTTCTACTGTTGAATTTTGAGAGTTCTTCATATATTCTGGATACTAGGAATACAGACTTGGATTTGTAAATATTTTCTTCCAGTCCATAGTTTTTCATTCTGTAAGAGTGTCAGTGAAGGCTTCTTTAATCAAGGTATTAAGGTTAGGGTTCATGACTTTCTTCGTTTTTTGCTGACTTTTGTTGCTGACAAAGTTTGGCATTAATAATGGGGTGAGAAAAAAATGGGGTGAGGCCAGATGTGATGGCTCATGTCTATAATCCCAGCACTTTGGAGGCCAAGAAGGGAGGATCACTTGAGGCCAGGAGTTTGAGACCAGCCTGGACAGCATAGCGTTCAAGATCTTCTCTACCAAAAAAGTTTTTAAGCAGTGTTTTGGCTTATGTTTGGGCATTTGAATCATTTATTATGAAGTGGAGTGGAAGTAAGAATAATGGAAATTTAATGATCTCTTCCGTCCCTTGACAAAAAGTGCTTTGTCCCTGAAAGAATTTAGCAAAAACAGGCTGGGCTCGGTGGCTCACGCCTGTAATCCTAGCACTTTGGGAGGCTGAGGCAGGCGGATCACCTGAGGTCAGGAATTTGAGACCAGCCTGGCCAACATGGTGAAACCCCGTCTCTACTTAAAACACAAAAAATTAGCTGGGCGTGGTGGTATGCACCTGTAATCCCAGCTACTTGGGAGGCTGAGGCAGGAGAATCGCTTGAACCCGGGAGGCAAATGTTGCAGTGAGCCGAGATCGTGCCATTGCACTCCAGCCTGGAGGACAAGAGTGAGACTTCATCTCAAAAAAAAAAAAAAAAAAAAAAAAGAATTTAGTAAAAACAAAGAAAAGAAACTGATAGGACATGTTAGGCCGAGCGTGGTGGTTCATGCCTGTAATCCCAGCACTTTGGAAGGCTGAGGCATGAGAACCGCCTAAACCCAAGAGGCGGAGTTTGCAGTGAGGCAAGATTGCGCCAGTGCACTCCAGCCTGGGCAACAGAGGGAGACTCTGTCTCAAAACAAACAAACAAAAACATGTTAATGGCAGTGTGCCTTATTTCATCCAGCACACAAACTCAAGCACCTCATCATTTCTTATCTTTTTTTTTTTTTTTTAGATGGAGTCTTGCTCTGTTGCCCAGGCTCGAGTACAGTGGTGCAATCTCGGCTCACTGCAACCTCCACCTCCTAGGTTCAAGCCATTCTCCTCCTCAGCCTCCCAAGTAGCTGGGATTACAGGTGTGTGCCACCGCACCGGGCTAATTTTTGTATTTTTAGTAGAGATGAGGTTTCACCATGTTGGCCAGGCTGGTCTTGAACTCCTGGCCTCAGGTGATCCGTCCTCCTCGGCCTCTCAAAATGCTGGGATTACAAGCATGAGGCATTGCTCCTGGCTCTGATTTTTTAAATCTAATTTAGCATTAGAACCTAGTGTCACAGGGATGGGTGTTAACACATGTACTTGAATAGAAAAATTTCAGGGCTGGACGTGGTGACTCATGCTGTAATCCCAGCACTTTGGGAGGCTGAGATGGGAGAATTGCTTGAGTCTGAGAGTTTGAGATCAGCCTGGGCAACACGGTAAAACCTGGCCTCTATAAAAAATACAATAACAGGGCATGGTGGCATGTGCTTGTAGTCCCAGCTATTTGTGGGACTGAAGCGATGGCTTGAGCCTGGGAGCTCCAGGCTGCAGTGAGCAGAGATCACACCACTGCATTCCAGCCTGGGCAACAAAGACCCTGTCTCAAAAAACAAAACAAACAAACAAAAAAACCCAAAAATGTATATATATATGTATACATATATGTATGTGTGTATATATATTTCAAATACATAACATAAAAGCACCTTTCCAAAAAATATTAGATTGACAATGGTGTATTAAAATAAACAATATTCTAATTTTCCCAGTCCTTTCTGAGTATATCAGTAAACAAGCTGTCTCTAAGTTAAAGTGTAATTGCTTTTAATTGATAGTCATTTGCTAAACCTTGGCAAAGTCTTTTTGGCATACTGTAATCACCCAACGGGTTCTTCCTGCCCACTGCACAGGCAAAACAGTAAAGAAAGAGTTTAATTAACATTAAGGTGAGGTTGGCCATGTGGGAGAAGTGGAATTATCAGTCAAATCAGTCTCCCCAAAGGCTGGAGGTTATGGTTTTTCAGTTTGGTGGGCAGGGGACTAGGGGATGGATGCTGCTGATTGGTTGGGGATGCAGTCATTACGGGTGTGGAAAATCGTCCTCATGAACTGAGTCCACCTCTGGTTGAGGCCACATGGCCAACTGAGTCACAAGTCACCAGTCCTGGTGGCGTAAGTCTGGAAAACATCTCCACCAATCTTAGATTCTACAATAGTGATGTTATCTATAGGAGCAATTGAAGAAGCCACAAATCTTGTGACTTCTGGCTACATAACTCCTGAAGGTAAGGGATTATAGAAATTGTGTCAACATCTCAGCAGAATTCAGGCCCCTCCCATAAACTTAATTTTGTGGCCTTTCAATGGTTTTACAAAGGTGGTTTCAGCCCCCTGAATAAGGAAAGGATTAGTTTTAGGGAGGGACTATTATCATCCTGGCTTCTAATTTAAACTATAAACTAAATTCCTTCCACGGTTAGCTTGGCCTACCCCAGGAATGAGCGAAGACAGCCAGCCTGTGAGGCTAGCAGCAAGATGGAGTCAGCCACGTTACAATAACACCCAGAAAATGAGAAAGTGAATACTTCTTTTTTTATTTGATCTTTTTTAATTTATTTTTATTTTATTTATTTATTTATTTAATTTTTAAGTTTTATTTTATTATTTTTTTATTTTATTTTATTTTTTTATTTATTTTTATGTATTTATTTATTTATTTTTAAAGTGAATACTTCTAACGACTTTTGTAACACAAGTGTTTCAAATTCTTTTTTTTGTTTTTGAGATGGAGTCTCGCTGTCGCCCAGGCTGGAGTGCAGTGGCGCGATCTTGGCTCACTGCAGGCTCTGCCTCCCAGGGTTCACACCATTCTCCTGCCTCAGCCTCCCGAGTAGCTGAGACTACAGGCGCCCGCCACCGTGCCTGGCTAATTTTTTTTTTTTTTTTGTATTTTTAGTAGAGACGCGGTTTCACCGTGTTTGCCAGGATGGTCTTGATCTCTTGACCTCGTGATCCACACGCCTCGGCCTCCCAAAGTGCTGGGATTACAGGTGTGAGCCACCGCGCCCGACCTCAAATTCTTGCTTTCAACAAAAATTAAAGAAAAATCAAATCAAGTTGTTAATTGAGAGATTATCACTATATGACTTTTTTGCATATATCTCAAAAAGTATTCAACAAAATGAGTGACAATTTTGTCATCTATTTATACATGTGAACAAGATTTCTCGGCACACATAAAAACATAAAAGAAATAGAATTTATTGCAAAAGTTTGTCTATCATTAAGTAATGTTCATTCATAGATAAATGCTTCTTTTTTTGACAGAGTCTTGCTCTGTTGCCCAGACTGGAGTGCAGTGGTGCCATTTCAGCTCACTACAACCTCCGTCTCCTAAGTTCAAGCAATTCTCCTGCCTCGGCCTCTGGAGTAGCTGGGACCTCAGGCCACCATGCCCAGCTAATTTTTGTATTTTTTGGTAGAGGCAGGGTTTCACCAGGTTGGCCAGGCTGGTTTCAAACTCCTGACCTCAAGTGTTCCGCTCACCTTGGCCTCTCAAAGTGCTGGGATTACAGATGTGAGCCACCGTGCCTGGGCATAAATGCATTTTTGAAAGAAATGAGCCCATCTGTCTTATTAATAGCTATCATTCCAATAAAATGTTTACTGTCTTTAAAAGTTATTTTATTTATATAAAAGTTATAAATTGCAGCATACTTTTCTTTTGTTTGACTGCTAATAGTAATTATATTGATAATTAAATCCAGGGGAAAAAATTTACCAAGAGCCTTTTTGTCACAGGAAGTTAAGAAGAATTAAAAATTTAATACACATACATACTTTTGTTGTAGAGAAGTATTACAAAGTGATAAAAGACTTTCATGCATGAAATATATTGCTTTGGAATGTAATTCTGTGGAGGAAATGGAATGGAAATACAAGTTCAGAAAGATAAAAGAATGACAAAATTTCTTTTTTTTTTTTTTTGAGACGGAGTCTTGCCCTGTTGCCGAGGCTGGAGTGCAATGGTGCCATCTTGGCTCATGGCAACCTTCACCTCCCGGGTTCAAATGATTCTCTTGCCTCAGCCTCCTGAGTAGCTGGGATTACAGGTGCCTGCAACTACGCCCAGCTAATTTTTTTTTGTATTTTTCGAACTCCTGACCTCATGATCCGCCTGCCTCGGCCTCCCAAAGTCCTGGGATTACAGGCATGAGCCACCGCACTCGGCCAAGAATGACAAAATGTCTGATGTAGGCTGAGCGCGGTGGCTCACCTCTGTAATCCTAGCACTTGGGAGGATGAGGTGGGCGGATCACCTGAGGTCAGGAGTTCGAGACAAGCCTGGCCAACATGGAGAAACCCTGTCAACATGGGGAAACCCCATCTCTACTAAAAATACAAAATTAGCCGGGCATGGTGGCGAGCGCCTGTAATCTCAGCTACTCCGGAGGCTGAGGCAGGAGAATGGTTTGAACCCGGGAGGTGGAGGTTGCAGTGAGACGAGATTGTGCCACTCCACTCCACTCCAGCCTGGGCAACAAAGTGAGACTCCATCTCAAAAAAAAAAAAAATCTGATATAAATGAAGAATTTGCTAATATATTTTTACTACCAGAGCTGACCACTCTCCCCCTTCCCCCTTTCTTTCTTTCTTTTTTTTTTTTCTTTTGAGACAGAGTCTTGCTCTGTCGCCCAGGCTGGAGTGCAGTGGTGCGAACTCAGCTCACTGCAAGCTCCGCCTCCTGGGTTCAGGTCATTCTCCTCCCTCAGCCTCCTGAGTAGCTGGGACTACAGGCTCCCGCCGTCACGCCCGGCTAATTTTTTTTGTATTTTTTAGTAGAGACGGGGTTTCACCGTGTTAGCCAGAATGGTCTCAATCTCCTGACCTCATGATCCGCCCGCCTCAGCCTCCCAAAGTGCTGGGATTACAGGCGTGAGCCACTGCGCCCGGCCCCCACTTCCCCCTTTCTTATAACCACTGCATGATTTTGCATAAAACTTTTAGGGCGTGTCCAAGAAAAAAGTTTGAAAACTACTGGTTAACTCACTCTTTCCAGAAACTTGGCTGTGAAATGGAGAAGAGGAGAGCTGGTTCCAGGGAGGCTCAGGTCAAAGGTGATTTTATTTTATTTTTTAATTTTTAATTTTTTTGAGACTAGGTCTAGCTCCTTCCCCAGGCTGGAGTGAAGTGGTGTGATCACAGCTAACCACAGTCTTGACCTCCTGAGATCTCATGGCTCATTACAGCCTCCACCTCCCTGGCTCAAGCAATCCTCCCACCTCAGTCTCCTGAGTAGCTGGGATCACAGGCCTGCGCTACCATGTCTAGGTAGTTTTTGTATTTTTTTTGTAGAGGCAAGGTTTCACCATGTTGCTCAGGCAGGTCTCGAACTCCTGAGTTCAGGCAATCCACCTGCCTCAGCCTCCCAAAGTGCTGAGATTACAGGCATAAGCCACCACGCCCCGCCAGTGATTTCATTTTTTAAGTTGGAAGATCTGAGCATGTTTAAGTGTTTAGTATCATGCCCGTTTTACAGAAAAAAAGAGGCTCTTAGAAACTACGATTTTACTCCGATGCGGAGATTCTAGAACAAGATCCAGGTAATACATCAGTCAGGATAGGCTAGGTTATGCTGTAGCAGCACACACCCACTAAATCTCAGTAAGCTGAATACATCCTAGTTTTCTTCTCCCTCTTACTACGTATCCTAGGGTGCGTTGGCAGGGAGTCTGCTCATCTTAGCCACTCAGTGACCCAGGTCACCGGATGATGGTTTCATCTCCATAATTGGGGCAGCTGGCAGAAAGGGATACAATGGCCGGCTCAGTCGCCTTTAAAGCTGGTGGGAAGTAACATATTACCTCTGTGTGTTTCAAGTGGGTCAGGGAAGTGCCAGTCCTACCATGTGCCCAGAAAGGGAAAGCACTGGAAACGTTGATGAGCAGCGCTGCCTACTCCATGACACTTCCAGTATTAGAAATAACCACAAACGCTTTTTTTTCTTTCTTTTCTTTCTTTTTTTTCTTTTTTTTTTTTTTTTTTTTTTTGAGACGGAGTCTCCCTATGTCGCCCAGGCTGGAGTGCAGTGGCGCAGTCTTGGCTCACTGAAACCTCCGCCTCCCGGGTTCAAGAGATTCTCCTGCCTCAGCCTCCCAAGTAGCTGGGATTACAGGCATGCGCCAGGGCGCCTGGCTTTTCTTTTCTTTTCTTTTTGTATTTTCAGTAGAGATGAGGGTTCACCATGTTGGCCAGGCTGGTCTTGAACTCCTGACTTCAAGTGATCCAAAGGTCGGCTACAAACTTGTATTATCTGATACCTACTTTGAGCCCAGGCCAGAAAGGATAAAGTAAAGCATGAGACGTTGTTAGTTCATTTCAACAGATTGGGGAGTTGTGGGTTTTAGTCTCTGACGCTTCATTGTTACCATGAGAGCCTGCAAGTTTTTCTTTTTTCTCTTTTTTTTTTTTTTAACCTCTTTGGGTCATCTGGGAGGACGTGGTGCTCTTTTAGCTCTAACATTTTCTGGTTGCAATGCGTTTAGGACTGGGATGCGAAGTGAGTGAGTGAGTGAGCCTTCTCAGGAAAACACTTTCTAGAATTTTGTCCGAGTGTCTGTTGGGAAACGCGCTTACATCCCGCAGAAGGCGGTAAGGACACAGCGCACAACTCTGCATTATACCTGCGAGTTAAAAAGCCAAGGGTTCGCTCACTCAACCTTGAATGCGCGTCAGAATCACCTGGGGGAGGTTTTACAAAATACCCGTGCTCCACCCAAGACAATGAAATCAGACTCCCTGCGAGCGGGGCCGAACATCAGCATTTTTGAGGACGCTCCCTGTGGCTGTGCATCGGTGATCTTTAATCCCCTGCTACTTGTTAGAGGAGCTGGATGACACTTCGTGGGCTCATTCTCATAAATAAGCTGCTGAATGGAGTCCTCTCCTCCCAAGAGTTGTCGGTGTTGCATCTTTTTTGTTGTTTATTTTTTTTTAAGCCAACGGACGAAGACATCCAACGGTGCTGCATCTTAATGGAGGGACATCCAGCTAAAGGGAATCTTGGAGACCTCCGCGGGTTTCTAGCAGCTCGCGGCATGTTGGTTTCCCAGGGCAAGAGGCCGCCACTGAAGGTCAGCTCTGTCTTTCCAGCTGGGCACTGGAGGCTCTAAGTCTGTTTTCAGCAGGATCGGAGGAAGGAGACGGGGTGGCGCCAAGGAAGGAGGAGAAAAGGCGGCCGAGAAAAGGAGGAGGGCAAGGGGAAGAGGAAGGGCGAGGGAGGAGCCTGAGGAGACTCGCCCGGCTCAACCCCGACGTCCGCGCCCCGGCCGCCTGTTGGCCATGGCGGGCCTGGGCCTGGGCTCCGCCGTTCCCGTGTGGCTGGCCGAGGACGACCTCGGCTGCATCATCTGCCAGGGGCTGCTGGACTGGCCCGCCACGCTGCCCTGCGGCCACAGCTTCTGCCGCCACTGCCTGGAGGCCCTGTGGGGCGCCCGCGACGCCCGCCGCTGGGCCTGCCCCACTTGCCGCCAGGGCGCCGCGCAGCAGCCGCACCTGCGGAAGAACACGCTACTGCAGGACCTGGCCGACAAGTACCGCCGCGCCGCACGCGAGATACAGGCGGGCTCCGACCCTGCCCACTGCCCCTGCCCGGGCTCCAGTTCCCTCTCCAGCGCGGCCGCGAGGCCCCGGCGCCGCCCGGAACTGCAGCGGGTAGGGAGGCCGGGCCCGCAGCTCCCCTGGCTCCCCCGGGCTGCCCGCCGCCTGACCCTTTCCCATGTGGCTCGAACCCCTTTCCTCAGCCGTTCTACTTTTACGTTCCTTTTCTCAGTCTAAAAGTCGAGTTCCGCTCTTCGGAGGCACTTTGGAAAGTTCATAAAAGTATGAAGAAGTAGAAAAAAACAAATTCCCCATCTTCCGAAAGCTTGTCAACTTAGCTGTTACACAGCTTGGCATATTTCAACTTCTTCCCAATCGATCTTCGGTCTCTTTCTCTGAAACTTGTAAAATTGTGGTAAGATCTATATAACATTAAAACTGGCCATTTTAACCTTTTTCTTTATTTCTTTGAGACGGAGTCTCGCTCTGTCGCCCAGGCTGGATGGAGTGCAATGGCGTGCGTGATCTCGGCTCACTGCAACCTCCGCCCCCCAGGGTCGAGTGATTCTCTTGCTTCAGGCTCGAGAGTAGCTGGGATTACAGGCGTGCGCCATCACGCCCGGCTAATTTTGGTATTTTTAGTAGAGACGGGGTTTCGACATGTTAGCCAGGCTAGTCTCAAACTCTTGACCACAGATGATCCGTCCGCCTCGGCCTCCCAAAGTGCTGGGATTACAGTCATGAGCCACAGCGCCTGGCCTCATTTTAACCTTTTATTTTTTTGAGACGGAGTTTTGCTTTGTGGCCCAGGCTGGAGTGCAGTGGCGCCATCTTGTCTCACTGCAAGCTCCGCCTCCCGGGTTCACGCCATTCTCCTGCCTCAGCCTCCCGAGTAACTGGGACTACAGGCGCCCGCCACCACGCCTGGCTAATTTTTTGTATGTTTTTTTCTTTTTTTAAAAAATAGGGACGGGGTTTCACCGTTGTTAGCCAGGATGGTCTCGATCTTCTGACCTCGTGATCTGCCCGCCTCGGCTTCCTAAAGTGCTGGGATTACAGGTGTGAGCCACCGCGCCCCGCCTATTTTAACCATTTTTAAGTGTACAATTCAGTGACAAATTAGTTACATTTCCTGTTGTGCAACTATCACTTCTGTTTCCAAAACTGTTTCATCATCATAAACAGAAACTTTGTACTCATTAAGCAGTAACTCCTCATTTCTCCTCCCTCTAGCCCCTGCTCACATCTAAGCTACTTTCTGTATCTGAGTTTGCCTGTTCTAGATATTTCATATAACTGGAATCGTTCAATGTTTGTCCCTTTGTGCCTGGTTTCTTTCACTTAGCATAGTGTTTTCAAAGTTCATTCATGTTGTAGCATGTGTCAGAACTTTATTCCTTTTATGGGGCTGAATGATATTCCATTGGGTGGATGTGCCACATTTTTTTTGTTTGTTTTGTTTTGAGATGGAGTCTTGCTCTGTTGCCAGGCTGGAGTGTAGTGGCATGATCTTGGCTCACTGCAACCTCTGCCCCCTGGGTTCAAGTGATTCTCCTGCCTCAGCCTCCCAAGTAGCTGGGACTACAGGCATGCACCACCACACCCAGGTAATTTTTGTATTTTTAGTAGAGACGGGTTTTCACCATGTTGGCCAGGATGGTCTCGATCTCTTGACCTTGTGATCTGCCCACCTCGGCCTCCGGAAGTGTTGGGATTACAGGCGTGAGCCACCGCACCCAGCCTCACTGTGATTTTGATCTGGATTTCCTTAATGACTAATGATGTTGCCCATCTTTTCTTGTGCTTGTTGGTCATTTATAGATCTTCATTGCAGAAATGTCTATTCAAGTCCTTTGACCATTTTAAAATTGGGTTGTTTATCTTTTTGTTGTTGAGTTTTAGAGATTCCTTCTATATTCTGGATATCAAATTAGATATGACTCACAGATATATTATAAAATATATATTCTCCCATTCTAAGCGTTGTCACTTTCTTGATGGTATCCTTTGATGTGCAAAAGTTTTAAATTTAATTTTTATCTGTTGTTTTCTTTTGTTGCTTGTGCTTCTGTTGTCATATTTACAAATCCATTGCCAAATCTCAGTTCATGAAGATTTACCCCTATGTTTTCTTCTAAGAGTTTTTTTTTTTTTGAAACGAGGTCTCGCTCCTTTCCCAGGGATGGAGTGCAGTGACACGATCTCAGCTCACTGCAGCCTCCACCTCCCGGGTTCAAGCAATTCTCCTGCCTCAGCCTCCAAAGTATTTGGGATTACAGGCGCCTGCCACCACACCTGGATAATTTTTGTATTTTTAGTAGAGACGGGGTTTCACTGTGGGCCAGGCTGGTCTTGAACTGCTGACCTCAAGTGATCTGCCTACCTTGGCCTCCCAAAGTGTTGGGATTACAGGCATGAGCCACTGTGCCAGCCTCTTCTAAGAGTTTTATGGTTTTAGCTTACGTTTAGGTAATTGGTCAATTTTAAGTTAATTTTTGTATATGGTGTGAATTAGGGGTCCAACTTCATTCTTTTGTATGTGGAAATCCAATTGTCTTGGTACCATTTGTTGAAGAGTCTATTCTCCATTGATTAGACTTGGCATCCTTGTCAACAATCATTTGGCTGGGCCAGGCATGTGGTTCACACCTGTAATCCCAGCACTTTGGGAGGCCAAAGTTTCATCTAGAGATGAAACCCCATCTCTAGAAAAATACAAAAAATTAGCTGGGCATGGTGGCATGTGCCTGTAGTCCCAGGTACTTGGGAGGCTGAGGTAGGAGAAATCACCTGAGCTGGGAGTTTGAGGTTGCAGTGAGCCGTGATTGTACCACTGCACTCCAGCCTGGGTAATGGAGTGAGACTCTGTCTCAAAATAAATGTATAGTTTTATTTCTGTACATTCCATTTTATTCCATTGGTCTATATGTCTGTACTTATGCTGGTACCACACTATTTTGATTACTATAACTTTGTAGTAAATTTATAAATAGAGAAGTGTGAGTTCTTTGACTTTGTTTTTTGTTTTTTTTCCCCAAGATTGTTTTTGTTATTCAGAACCCCTCGCAATTCCATCTGAATTTGAAAATTGGCTTTTCCATTTCTACAAAGTAGGCTGTTGGAATTTTGATAGGGATTATGTTGAATCTGTAGATCACTTTGGGTAGTATTGACATCTTAACAATATTAAGTCTTCTTTCCCTAAAACACAGAATGTCTTTTTATTTATTTTTATTTGGGTCTATAATTCCTTCAGTGATTTTTTTTTTTGTAGTTTTAAGTGTATAAGTCTTTCACCTCTTTGATTAAATTTATTCCTAGCTATGTTATTCCTTTTTATTATTATTATTATTATTATTTTTTTTTGAGACAGAGTCTTGTTCTGTCACACAGGCTGGAGTGCAGTGGCACGATCTTGGCTCACTGCAACCTCCATCTCCCGGGTTCAAGTGATTCTCCTACCTCAGCCTCCCGAGTAGCTGGGGTTACAGGTGCCCATCACCACCCAGGCTAATTTTTATATTTTTGTAGAGATGGGGTTTCACCATGTTAGCTAGGCTGGTCTCAAACTCTTGACCTCAGGTGATCTGCCTGCCTCGGCCTCCCAAAGTGCTGGGATTACAGGCATGAGCCACTGTGCCAGGCCCATTATAATTTATTTTAAGAAATTTTTCAGGCAGATTGTCATGGCTCACACTTACAATCCTAGCACTTTGGGAGGCAGAAGCAGGAGGATTGCTTGAGCCCAGGAGTTCAAGACCAGCCTGGGCAGCATGGTGAGATCCAATTAAAAAAAAAAGAAAAAAGAAGCTATGAGACCCAATGAAAAAAAAAAGAAAAAAGAAGCTGGGTGTGATGACACATGGCTGTGGTCCCAGCTACTTGCGAGACTGAGGTACGAAGAACACTTGAATCCAGGAGGTTGAGGCTGCAGTGAGCTGTTTTCATGTCACTGCACTCCAGCCTGGGCAACAGAGCAACATCCTGTTTCCCCTTAAAAAAATATTGCTACTTATGCCTGCACCTGAGCCCAGGCACACATCTGGATTAGAAGATGCCAGGCTCAGAGGATCTTCCTAAAGGCAAGGACCAGATGCATTCACACAGGAAATGAACTGTGTTCACTGAGAAGCAACTGGAAGATCTGAACATCTTGTTCAATGAGAACCCATACCCAAACCCCTGCCCTCAGAAATAAATGGCCTCGAAAATAGACATACACCCAACAATACTCCAGGTCTGGTTCAAGAACCACAGAGCAAAACTCAAGAAAGCCAAATAAAAGCATATTCAGCAAAAACAAGAAACTCCACAACCGCCAATACCGGAGGGTGGAGTCACCACCAGTGTCGGCCTGAGAAATGCAGACACACTACCCAGATTGCCCAACACTGCTCACCTGATTGGCCTGGTGTACATGGGTCATCGGGTACCCTCTTTCCAGCTCATCCTGTACCCCAACATCAAGGTCCCTGCAGATGACTTCGTTGGCCACAGAATAGTCCATTTTGGCTGCTGCCAAGCTCCTAACGTATATGGCTTCTACCCCATTTTGGAATCCCAAGTTTGGGCTCCAAGCTTCAATTCTGACTCTTCTGCCTGTTCATCTCTACAAAGTTGAGAGATGATAAATACAAAAAGTCACATGTAAAAAAAAATAAATACTAAAAAAATTTTTTTTGTTTGTTTTTTTGAGATGGCGTCTCGCTCTGTTGCCAGACTGGAGTGCGGTGGCGTGATCTCTGCTCACTGCAACCTCCGCCTCCCTGGTTCAAGTGATTCTCCTGCCTCAGTCTTCCCAGCAGCTGGGATTACAGGCACACGCCACCACACCTGGCTAATTTTTGTATTTTTAGTAGAGACGGGGTTTCACCATGTTGGCCAGGATGGTCTTGAACTCCTGACCTCGTGATCCACCCGCCTCGGCCTCCCAAAGTGCTGGGATTACAGGCATGAACCACCACGCCCAGCCTATTTCAATTTTTTTTGAATGTTTTAAGACTTGTTTTTGTGACCTGACATATGTTAGGTCTTAGGTTTTGTGACCTATCCTTGAGAATGATCATGTGCTGAGGAAAAGATCCATGTGTATTCTGTAGCGTGGATGTAAATGTTCCATAAATATCCATTAGGTCCATTTGATCTACAGTACAGATTAAGTCCAATATTTCCTTGTTACTTTTCTGTCTGAATAATTTGTTCAATGCCAAAAGTGGGTTGTTGAAGTCTCCAGCTGTTATTGTATTGGAGTCTGTCTTCTCTTTAGCTCTAATAATACTTGCTTTACATGTCTGGGTGCTTTAGTGTTGGTGCATATATATTTACAGTTGTTATATCTTCTTACTGAATTGACTCCATCATTATAAACTTTGTCTTTTATTATAGATTTTGTTTTGAAATCTATTTGTCTGATATATGTATAGCTAATCCTGCTCTTTTTTGGTTTCCATTGGCATGGGATATATTTTTCCATCCCTTTATTTTCAGTCTATATGTGCCTATAGATGAAGTGTGTTTCTTGTAGGGAATAGATCATTGGGTCTTGTTTTTTTATCCAGTCAACCACTCTGTGTCTTTTGATTGAAGATTTTTGTTCATTTACATTCAATGTTATTGATAAGTAATTCTTGCCATTTTGTTATTTGTTCTTTGGTTGTTTTGTTTTGTGGTCTTCTCTTCCTTCTTTCCTTCTTTTCTGTCTTCCTTTAAATGAAGATGATTTTCTCTGGTGCTATGATTTAGTTTCTTGCTTTTTATTTTTTGTGTATCCATTATATGATTTTTGATTTGAGGTTACCATGAGCTTGCAAGTAGTATCTTATAACCTATTGTTTTAAGCTGATAACAACTTGACACTGCTTGCATGAACTACCTAACAAGCAAAAAGAAAACTAATAAAAACTCTACACTTCAAATTCATCCCCTGCTATTTAATTTTTTGTTATTTCTGTGTATATCTTATACTATCTATATGTTTGAAAGTTGTTGTAGTTATTTTTTATTGGTTTTCTGTGACCTTACTATTACTAGTGAGGTTTTTGTTTTGTTTTGTTTTGTTTTGAGACAGAGTTTTACTCTGTTGCCCAGGTTGGAGTGCAGTGACGTGATCTCGGCTCACTGCAACTTCCACCTCTTGGGTTCAAGAAATTCTCCTGTCTCAGCCTCCCGAGTAGCTGGGACTACAGGCATGCGCCACCATGCCCAGCTAATTTTTGTATTTTTAGTAGTGACAGGGTTTCATCATGTTGTCCAGGCTGGTCTTGAACTCCTGACCTCAAGTGATCTGCCCACCTCAGCCTCCCAAAGTGCTGGGATTACAGGCCACCTCCTGGGTTCAAGCGATTCTCCTGCCGCAGCCTCTGGAGTAGCTGGGATTACAGGCGCCCACCACCACGCCCGGCTAATTTTTGTATTTTTAGCAGAGACGGGGTTTCACCATGTTGGCCAGGCTAGTCTCGAACTCCTGACCTCAGGTGATCCACCCGCCGTGGCCTCCCAAAGTGCTGGGATTACAAGTATGAGCCACTGCGCCTGGCCTTCTTTTCTTTTTGATTGAAGTATTCCCTTTAGCATTTCTTGTAGGACAGGTCTGGTGTTGATAAAATCCCTTAGCTTTTGTTTGTCTGGGAGAGTCTATTTCTCCTTCATGTTTCAAAGCTATTTTCACAAATTATAGTTTTCTAGGGTAAAAGTTTTTTCCTTCAGCACTTTACATATGTCATGGCACTTTCTCCTGGCCTATAAGGTTTCCACTGAAAAGTCTGCTGCCAGATGTATTGGAACTCCCTTGTATATTATTTATTTCTTTTCTCTTGCTGCTTTAGGATCCTTTCTTTAACCTTAACCTTTGGGAGTTTTATTATAAATGCCTTCACATAGTCTTCTTTGGGTTAAATCTGCTTGGTGTTTTATAACCTTCTTGTATGTAGATATTGATGTCTTTCTGTAGATTTGGGAAGTTCCATGCTATTATTTCTTTGAATAAACTTTCTACCACTATTTCTTTCTCTACCTCCTCTTAAGGCCAATAATTCTTAGATTTGCCCCTTTGAGGCCATTTTCTAGATCTTGTAGGCATGCTTCATTCTCTTTTTTCTTTTGTCTCTTCTTACTGTGTATTTTCAAATAGGCTGAATTCAGGCTCACTAATTCTTTCTAATACTTGATCGATTTTGCTATTGAGAGACTCTGATGCATTCTTCAGTATGTCAGATGCATTCTTCGATTCCAGAATTTCTGCTTGATTTTTAATTATTTCTTTTTTTTATTTATTTTTTATTTTTTATTTTTTTTTTATTGATCATTCTTGGGTGTTTCTCGCAGAGGGGGATTTGGCAGGGTCATAGGACAATAGTGGAGGGAAGGTCAGCAGATAAACAAGTGAACAAAGGTCTCTGGTTTTCCTAGGCAGAGGACCCTGCGGCCTTCCGCAGTGTTTGTGTCCCTGGGTACTTAAGATTAGGGAGTGGTGATGACTCTTAACGAGCATGCTGCCTTCAAGCATCTGTTTAACAAAGCACATCTTGCACCGCCCTTAATCCATTTAACCCTGAGTGGACACAGCACATGTTTCAGAGAGCACAGGGTTGGGGATAAGGTCACAGATCTACAGGATCCCAAGGCAGAAGAATTTTTCTTAGTACAGAACAAAATGAAAAGTCTCCCATGTCTACTTCTATCCACACAGACCCGGCAACCATCCGATTTCTCAATTTTTTCCCCACCCTTCCCGCCTTTCTATTCCACAAAACCGCCATTGTCATCATGGCCCATCCCCAATGAGCTGCTGGGCACACCTCCCAGACGGGGTCGTGGCCGGGCAGAGGGGCTCCTCACTTCCCAGTAGGGGCGGCCGGGCAGAAGCGCCCCT
This sequence comes from Homo sapiens, assembly GCF_000001405.40. Lineage (NCBI taxonomy): Eukaryota > Metazoa > Chordata > Mammalia > Primates > Hominidae > Homo > Homo sapiens. Next base: position 30,979,202 of record NC_000017.11, read on the forward strand.
CACCTCCCGGATGGGGCGGCTGGCCGGGCGGGGGGCTGACCCCCCCCCCCACCCTCCCGGACGGGGCGGCTGGCCAGGCAGAGGGGCTCCTCACTTCCCAGTAGGGGCGGCCGGGCAGAGGCGCCCCTCACCTCCTGGATAGGGCGGCTGGCCGGGCGGGGGGCTGTCCCCCCCACCTCCCTCCCGGACGGGGCGGCTGGCCGGGCAGAGGGGTCCTCACTTCCCAGTAGGGGCGGCCGGGCAGAGGCGCCCCTCACCTCCCGGACGGGGCGGCCGGCCGGAAGGGGGGCTGACCCCCCCCACCTCCCTCCCGGACGGGGCAGCTGGCCGACCCCCCCCCCCCGCCTCCCTCCCGGACGGGGCGGCTGGCCCGGCAGAGGGGCTCCTCACTTCCCAGTAGGGGCGGCCGGGCAGAGGCGCCCCTCACCTCCCGGACGGGGCGGCTGGCCAGGCGGGGGGCTGATCCCCCCCACCTCCCTCCCGGACGGGGCGGCTGGCCGGGCGGGGGGCTGACCCCCCCCACCTCCCTCCCGGACGGGGCGGCTGGCCGGGCAGGGGGCTGACCCCCCTCCCCCCTCCCGGACGGGGCGGCTGGCCGGGCGGGGGGCTGACCCCCCCACCTCCCTCCCGGATGGGGCGGCTGGCCAGGCGGGGGGGCTGACCCCCCCACCTCCCTCCCGGGCGGGGCGGCTGGCCGGGCAGAGGGGCTCCTCACTTCCCAGTAGGGGCGGCCGGGCAGAGGCGCCCCTCACCTCCCGGACGGGGCGGCTGGCCAGGCGGGGGGCTGATCCTCCCACCTCCCTCCCGGACGGGGCGGCTGGCCGGGCGGGGGGCTGACCCCCCACCTCCCTCCCGGACTGGGCGGCTGGCCAGGCGGGGGGCTGACTCCCCCACCTCCCTCCTGGACGGGGCGACTGGCCGGGCAGAGGGGCTCCTCACTTCCCAGTAGGGGCGGCTGGGCAGAGGAGCCCCTCACCTCCCGGATGGGGCGGCTGGCCGGGCGGGGGGCTGACCCCCCCACCTCCCTCCCGGACGGGGCGGCTGGCCGGGCAGAGGGGTCCTCACTTCCCAGTAGGGGCGGCCGGGCAGAGGCGCCCCTCACCTCCCGGACGGGGCGGCCGGCCGGGCGGGGGGCTGAGCCCCCCACCTCCCTCCCGGACGGGGCGGCTGGCCGGGCAGAGGGGCTCCTCACTTCCCAGTAGGGGCGGCCGGGCAGAGGGGCTCCTCACTTCCCAGTAGGGGCGGCCGGGCAGAGGAGCCCCTCACCTCCCGGACGGGGCGGCTGGCCGGGCGGGGGGCTGACCCCCCCCACCTCCCTCCCGGACGGGGTGGCTGCCGGGCGGAGACGCTCCTCACTTCCCAGACGGGGTGGTTGCCGGACGGAGGGGCTCCTCACTTCTCAGACGGGGCGGTTGCCAGGCAGAGGGTTTCCTCACTTCTCAGACGGAGCGGCCGGGCAGAGACGCTCCTCACCTCCCAGACAGGGTTGCGGCCCAGCAGAGGCGCTCCTCACATCCCAGACAGGGCGGTGGGGCAGAGGTGCTCCCCACATCTCAGACGATGGGCGGCCGGGCAGAGACGCTCCTCACTTCCTAGATGGGATGGTGGCGGGGAAGAGGCGCTCCTCGCTTCCTAGATGGGATGGCGGCCGGGCAGAGACGCTCCTCACTTTCCAGACTGGGCAGCCAGGCAGAGGGGCTCCTCATATCCCAGACGATGGGTGGCCAAGCAGAGAAGCTCCTCACTTCCCAGACGGGGTGGCGGCCGGGCAGAGGCTGCAATCTCGGCTCTTTGGGAGGCCAAGGCAGGCGGCTGGGAGGTGGTTGTAGCGAGCCGAGATCACGCCACTGCACTCCAGCCTGGGCACCATTGAGCACTGAGTGAACGAGACTCCATCTGCAATCCCGGCACCTCGGGAGGCCGAGGCTGGCGGATCACTCGCGGTTAGGAGCTGGAGACCAGCCCGGCCAACACAGCGAAACCCCGTCTCCACCAAAAAAAAACGAAAACCAGTCAGGCGTGGCGGCGCGCGCCTGCAATCGCAGGCACTCGACAGGCTGAGGCAGGAGAATCAGGCAGGGAGGTTGCAGTGAGCCGAGATGGCAGCAGTACCGTCCAGCTTTGGCTCAGCATCAGAGGGAGACCGTGGAGGGAGAGGGAGAGGGAGAGGGAGAGCGTGGTGATGACTCTTAACCGATTTTTAATTATTTCAATCATTTTGTTAAATTTACCTGATAGAATTCTGAATTCCTTCTCTGTTATCTTGAATGTCTCCGAGTTTTCTTAAATCAGCTATTTTGAATTCTCTGTCTGAAAGGTCACATATTTCTGTTTCTCCTGAATTGGCTCTTGGTGACTTATTTAGTTAGTTTGGTGGGGTCATGTTTTCCTGAATGGTCTTGATGCTCGTGGATGTTTGTCAGTGCCTGGGCATTGAAGAGTTAGTTATTTATTGTAGTCTTCACAGTCTGGGCTTGTTTGTACCTGTCCTTCTTGGGAAGGCTTTCCAGGAATTTGAAAGGACTTGGGCGTTGTGATCTAAGCCGTATCTGCATTAGGGGGCACCCCAAGCCCAGTAAAGCTGTGACTCTTGCAGACTACTAGAGGTACCACCTTGGTGGTCTTGTATAAGATCCAGAAGAATTATCTGGATTACCAGGCAGAGATTCTTGTTCTCTTCTCATACGTTCTCCAAAACAGTCTGTCTGTGTGCTGAGCTGCCTGGAGCTGGAGGTGGGGTGACAGAAGCACCTTGTGGCCATGACCACTAGAACTGCACAGGGTCAGACCTAAAGCCAACACAGCACTGTGCCTTACCCAAGCCCCTTGTTAACCACTATCTGGCTACCACCTATATTGACTCAAGGACCTAGGGCTCTATAATCAGCAGATGGCAAAGCCAGCCAGGCTTGTGTCCTTCCCTTCATGGTGGCACATTCACCCAGGCTCGGGGCCGGTCCAGAGACCCATCTCAGCACTAGGACTTGCCTAGGAGTTGCAGTCCTTGTGGCCTAGACTGCCTTTCAAGTTTATTTAGAGCCCCAGAGCACTTCAGCCCACAGTGGAGAGGCTTGCCAGAACTCAGGTTCCAATAACTGGGGTGGGTGATTTGATTCCTCTCTGGCTAGGACTGATCTAAATGCTCCCTCTGTGGGTAGGCGTCAGCTGAATTCAGCCCAGTTTTGCTTTGTGAAGCGACAAGGCAAAGTCTTTCTATTCTCTTTATCACCATGCTCTCCCTTTCCTGAGTGCACAGATTCTCTGTGCATGTGGCCCCTGACACATGGGATATGGGTTGCATTGGCAATTCAAGACTGTTTCTCCTACCCTCTTCAGTGCCTGTTTCAGTAATATAAAGTTAAAACCAGGTACTGTAAGTACCCCTGATTTTTGGTTCTTATGAAGGTGCTTTTTTGTGTAGTTGTTAAATTTGGTGTTCTTGTGGGAGGGATGATCAATGGAGCCTTCTATTTGGCTATCTTGCTCTGCCCTCTCCACCCTTAAGTCTTCTGGCTTTCCCCCACTTCTCTCTGGCCCTAAACCATTTTTAAGTATACAGTTTGGTGATATGAAATACATTCACAATGTTTTGAAACCATCACTACCATCATTTCCATAACTTTAAAAAATTTTAAATTAACATGACTGGTTCTTCAGGGTACCATAACTCTTTTCAACTCGCAAAAGTGGAATTCTAGGAGGACATTAAAATTCTCCATTTCCTCTTCCCCCAGCCTCTGGCAACCATCATTCTAATTTCTGTCTCTGATTTTGACTACTCTAAATACCTCATATAAGTTGAATCATACAGTATCTGTCTTTTTGTGACTGGCTTATTTCACTTAGCATAATGTCTTCAAGGGTTATTTATGTTGTAGCATGTGTCAGAGTTCCCTTCCTTTTTAAGGCTGAGTAGTATTCTATTGTATGTATATGCCACTTTTTGCTTATTCATTCATTTGTCTGCAGATACTTGGGTTGCTTCCATGTTTTAGCTAGTGGGAATAATACTGCTATGGGCATGAGTTTATGAATCTCTTTGAGATCCTGTTTTCAATTCTTATATATCCGGAAGTGGAATTGCTAAATCATATGGTAATTCTAATTACATATATGTACATATATATATATATATATATATATATATATATATTTTTTTTTTTTTTTTTTGAGATGGAGTCTGGCCCTGTCGCCCAGGCTTGAATGCAGTGGCATGATCTTGGCTCACTGCAACCTCCATCTCCTGGGTTCAAGAGATTTTCTTGCTTCAGCCTCCCAAGTAGCTGGGATTATAGGTGCCTGCAACCACACCTGGTGAATTTTTGTATTTTTAGTAGAGATGGGGTTTCACCAGGTTGGCCAGGATGATCTCGAACTCTTGACCTCAGGTGATCCACCCGCCTCGGCCTCCCAAAGTGCTGGGATTACAGCCATGAGCTATTGCGCCTGGCCTATTTTTAATATTTTGAGCAGCCACCATTCTGTCTTCCATAGTGGCTATATCATTCCCACCAACAGTGCAGAGGGTTCCAATCTTCCCACACCATCAACATTTGTTATTTTGGTTTTTTTTTTTTTGATAGTAGCCAACCTAATGAGTGTGAGGTGGTATCTCACTGTATGTTTTGATTTGCATTTCCCTAGTGATTAGTGATCTTGAGTGTCTATTCATGTGCTTATTGGTGATTTGTATATCTTCTTTGGAGAAATAGCTATTCAAGTTCTTTGCCCATTTCAAAATTCAGTTGTTTGTGGGTTTTTGCTTGTTTGTTTTACCAACCAAACAAGCGGCAGTGATATGTTTTTATTGTTGAGTTTTAGAAATTCTCTGTATATTCTCAGTATTAATGCCTTATCAGATGTATGACTTGCAAATATTTTCTTCCATTTTTGTGGATTGCCTTTTTACTCTATTGTTCGTGTCTTTTGATGCACAAATGTTTAAACATTTCATGTAGTCCAATTTGTCTCCTTTTTTCTTTTGTTGCCTGTGCTTTTAGTGACATATACAATAAATCATTGCCAAATCCAATGTCATAAATTTTGCCCTATGTTTTCTTCTAACAGCTGTATTATTTTAGGTCTTACATTTAGGTCTTTGATCCATTTTGAGTTAGTTTTTGTATATGATGTTAGGTAAGGGTCCAGCCATATTCTTTTGCATATAGATATCCAGTTTTCACAGTACAATTTGTTGAAAAAACTGTCCTTTCTCCATTGAATGGTCTTGGCACCTTCGTCAAAAATCATTTAACTATATATGTGAGAGTTTATTTCTGGGTACTCTATTGTATTCCATCGGTCTGTATGTCTGTTTTTATGCCATTACCACAGTATTTATGATTCCCTCTGTCTAGTGGTGGTTCCTGGGTCCAGTTTTATAGAACCCAGGACCTGAACTTTGCTATTTTGAAGGTGGCAGTAGAGAAGAGCATCACAGAAGTTGCTCAGGAGCTGACAGAGCTGGTGGAACATCTTGTAGACATTGTCAGAAGCCTGCAGAATCAGAGGCCCCTATCAGAATCTGGACCAGACAACGAACTGAGCATCCTGGGCAAGGTAGGCTCCACTGGGAGAGGAAAGGATGTGGAAGGGAATAGGGCTAGGGATTGCTTTCAACTGGAACAACATGAACATATTTGAACCTGAAGGATACAATAAGTCTCAATCTTTTATTGTTCTCTTTACTACCAGACATGGATGATTGGACATTTGGAATGCTTGAGGTAAGGTTGGGAAGCTTCAGATGGGCTAGGATCACTCCACCTAACAAGCTGTCTCTAAGATCACCAGTGACCTCTGTGTATAACGTTCTGGTGCCTGTCTCTATAAGCGTTCTGGTGCCTGTCTTCATTGACCTTTCAGCAGCCTTTGACACTGTGGACCACACCTTCATTCTTAGCTTTTGGGACAGGAATCTTTTGGCTTTCCCCCACCTCTCTCTGGCTGATCCTTCTCAGTCTGTTTACAGGCTCTCTCTCCTCTGCTTAGGAATTAAATGCTGGAGTTCCTCAAGGCTGAGTTGTAGGTCCCTTTGTTTCCCCTGCAGGTAGTCTTCCCTGCATCCATGGCTTTAATGACCACCTCTATGCACAAATAATAGCTCCAGGCTGGAGCCTTCTCTGAGCACTAGGCTGCTATGTCTTCCTTCTCATCTTTTCTTCTTGGGTATCTCAAAGCATCACACTTAATGCGTCCTAAACTGCTCCTCTTCTGGGATTTCTCATCTCAATGCTTGCCCCATTATCTTTCCAAGTACAGAAGCCAGAGACCTGGAAATCATGTTACCTTCTTCTCCCTTACCCTAATATGCAGCATATTGTAGCTTTAAGACCTGCCTAATTACCTCTCAAATCTATTTACTTATTCTTGAGCTCCTTTGAGACTTGCTCTAATCCAAGCCTCTGATAATTTCATGTCTGGATTGCTGTCATAGTCTTCCAAATGCTCCACTCTCCCTCTTCTAGTCTGTTTTCCTCATGGTCATCACAGTGACTACCACAAACATCAATCTGAAAATGTAACTCATCTGCTTAAAACATTCAAATTACATCAGTTTGCTCAGGAGTAAGACCCAAATCCTCACAGGACCAGCAAAGCCCTGTAGGATCCCATCTCTGTCTGCCTCTCAAATCTCATCTCTGCTCATGCTGCCTGGCTCTGTGCGCTCTAGCTACACTGGCCGCACAGTCGCTCTAGTGTGTCTCACGTCTTCCCACTACAGGGCACCCTTCATGGAATGCTCTCCTTTCCCTCCATCACTTAGGTAATACTTGCTCATCCTTCAGATCCTAGCTAGAACGTCATTTCTTCAGAAAGAAGCCTTCAATGATTTCCTTGAACAAATCAAATCTCCCCATTAGAGGCTCTGAGGACTCCATGTACCTTTCATTTGTAGTGGTTATCACCATTGCACCTTTGTAATGTCTTGTGCCATACTCTATATTAATGTCTGCCCCCCTCCCTTTTCCTTCACTGGACTCTCAACTTCAGGAGGATAGGGACTTTTGATGCTTTTTTTTTTTTTGAGACAGAGTCTTGCTGGAGTGCAGTGGCGTGATCTCAGCTCATTGCAACCTCCGCCTCCTAGGTTCAAGTGATTCTCCTGCCTCAGCCTGCCGAGTAGCTGGGACTACAGGTGTCCGCCACCACTCCTGGCTAATTTTTGTATTTTTAGTAGAGACGGGGTTTCACCATACTGGCCAGTCTGGCCTCAAACTCCTGACCTTGTGATCCACCTGCCTCGGCCTCCCAAAGTGCTGGGATTACAGGCGTGCGCCACATTGCCTGGCTGATGCTTTTGTTCTTTTGTCCACCATTGTGTCCCCAGGCGCTAGCACAGTACCCAAGTACCCACTTACAGTAGGGGTTCAACAAATACCCACTGAATGTATGGATAAATCCATCTTTAGGGATGCGATGTGTTGGGATAGAAACGCTGAGAGTCTGACTTTCAGAATTGACATTGTCACTCACTAGTATTATGACCTTGGGCAAGTCATTTCATCTATCTGCGTCTCAGGTTCCTATCTGTAATATAGAAATAATGATACAGGGCCTGCCACATCATTGGTTTATTGTGAGGATTAAAAGAGGTATAAGAAAGTGCTTGAGCAATGTTAAAATGTGGGATGTTATAATTAACTGTGGCAATTTAGTTAACCTTCATGAATTTCATCTTCTTTTGTAAAACGGAGATTTTTTACAGGTTGATAAACCTACTTTGTGAGGTTGTTATGCAAATGAGAGAAAGGCAATATCTAGCATGTAGAAAACACTCAATAAGTGTAATACTACCGTATTTTGATTGGTGGAAAGAATGGGGAGTGGATTATGCAAAGGTGGGAAGGAAAGGGGTTGAAGTTGGTGAGCAGATAAAGGGCTGTATTGGGGAAGAACAGGACCTGAGGCTAAAGAAAATCAGGGAGCATGTGTTGAAGGCCCTAGAAAGCAGGACCTGGATGCAGGCAATTTGAGAGGGAGCTCTTGCGAAGTGAAATGATATAATGATAGAGGTGGGAAAAGGTTCCTTTTTTTTTTTTTGTGAAATGGAGTCTTGCTCTGTCGCCCAGGTTGTAGTGCAGTGGCATGATCTTCTCAGCTCAGTACAACCTCTACCTCCCGGGTTCAAGTGATTGTCCTGCCTCAGCCTCCCATGTAGTTGGGATTACAGGCACTTGCCATCATGCCTGGCTAATTTTTGTATTTTTAGTACAGACAGGGTTTCACCATGTTGGCCAGGCTGGTCTCGGATTCCTGACTTCAGGTGTTCTACCCTCCTCAGCCTTCCAAAGTGCTGGGATTACAGGTGTGAGCCACCACACCTAGCCGAAAAGGTTATTCTGACCTCCATGGTTTATCTCAGTAACTATCTGTAGTATTTATTTTATAAAGCCCCTATAAGATGCGCCTAGAAATGTTAAACTTTTTTGGTATTACCTAAGAAATCCATGTTTATTGTGCAAAATATTAGAAAGCACATAGCATTAAATAAAGCAAATTAAAGTGCTCCATAACTCCATCACCCAGAAATAACCACTCTTTGATATTTTTGCTGTACTATGTACAGCAAATTATTCCAGATTTTTTTCAAGGCATATTTTTTGAGGGCCTAATTTTGTTTTTAAAAACTTGCTGGGAATTAAATAGAAAATTATAGATGAATAGAAAAACTTGAATATAATAGTTGATAGACTGCATAGGGGACTTCCATTTATTCAGTTTTAAATGGTTTATCAATAGGCTTTTTCTTCTGGGGTGGATCTTTCCATGGCTTCTCCAAAGCTGGTGACTTCCGACACAGCTGCAGGGAAAATCAGAGATATTCTCCATGACCTAGAAGAAATTCAGGAAAAATTACAAGAAAGCGTCACCTGGAAAGAGGCTCCTGAAGCACAAATGCAGGGTGAGCTGATCTTATTTATTGGAGGAGGATTAAATATGGAAGTTGGGGGGAGTAGCAGAGTGCTCTATGGCTTTGTTCTCTGGGGATAGGATCCCAGAGTCCAGCTGTATTACCACTGTGGTGTCGTGAATCAGGTAGGGGTGGGCTGAAGTGATTTTGTGGCTGAATATGTTTTTGGCAATGACTGAAGGTGTGATGTATCACAAGTCCTTAATAGATAGAAACTCATTTTTGAAGATCCATGCACACAGGTCCTTACTGATCAAGTGTGTTATCTTACTGCAGAGATTCTGAAATAGGCCACTTTTAATTTTTTTTTTTTTTTTTTTTTTTTTTTTTGTGATGGAGTCTCACTCTGTCGCCCAGGCTGGAGTGCAGTGGCACCATCTGGGCTCACTGCAAGCTCTGCCTCCTGGGTTCATGCCATTCTCCTGCCTCAGCCTCCCCAGTAGCTGGGACTACAGGTGCCCGCCACCATGCTGGCTAATTTTTTGTGTTTTTGATAGAGACGGGGTTTCACCATGTTAACGAGGATGGTCTCAATCTCCTGACCTTGTGATCTGCCCGCCTTGGCCTCCCAAAGTGTTGGGATTACAGGCGTGAGCCACCGTGCCTGGCCTTAAATTTTTAACTAGTAAATGTCTTCTTCTTTTTTTTTTTTTTAATAATTTTGTTTTGTTTTTGTTTTATTTTGAGACAGAGTCTCACTCCGTCACCCAGGCTGGAGTGCAGTGGTGCGATCTTGGCCAGAATTACAGGCGTGCGCCACCACGCCTGGCTAATTTTTGCGTTGGTTTTTTTTTTCTTTTCTTTCTTTCTTTTTTTTTTTTTTTTTTTTAAGTAGAGACAGAGTTTCACCATGTTGGACAGACTGGTCTCAAACTCCTGACTGCAAGGCTCACCTCAGCCTCCCAAAGTGTTGGGATTACAGGCGTGAGCCACTGCACCTGGCTGTAAATGTCTTTCTTAACAAAGCATATAGGCCAAGTGCAGTGGCTCACGCCTGTAATCCCAGTGCTTTGGGAGGCTGAGGTGAGAGGATCTCTTGAGGCCAGGAGTTCAAGACCAGCCTGGACTACAGAGAGAGATCCTGTCTCTACAAAAAATAAAAAGTAACCAGATGTGGTGGTGCACACCTGTAGTCCCAGCTACTCTGTAGGCTGAGGCTAGAGGATCACTTGAGCCACGGGTTCAAGGCTGAGTGATCATGCCACTGCATTGCATCCTGGGCAACAGAGGGAGATCTTGTCTACAAACAAAACCAGCATGCCACTTTGTAACTAGTTCTTGATACAGTCTATTAAAATATAATCTCTGGGGAGTGTGTTAATGTTAATATTAAACAGTACCATATAGAAAAGAACCTTTCTGTCCTGATCCTGTAGTTTCTCTGTTGTTCTTCCAGAGTTATTGAAAAATAACTAACACCTTCCTGTCAGACATTAGACGTTAGCTCTGTCTGGTCTCCCAGGGTTCTTCCTCCTGCTCTGGCCACTGCTATCTTCATATGCTTTAGAGGCATTTCTTCTGTAGCTTTTCCTCTTCTGATAGCTTTTATATCCTTTATATTTTCATATTTAAACAATCTTATGCTACTTAAAAAATCATTTCTGGCCAGTGCAGTGGCTTATGCCTGTAATCCCAGCACTTTGGGAGGCCGAGGCGTGTGGATCACCTGAGGTCAAGAGTTCAAGACCAGCCTGGTCAACCTGGCGAAACCCTGTCTCTATTAAAAACACAAAAATTAACTGGGCATGGTGGTGGGTGCCTATAATCCCAGCTACTCAGGAGGCAGAGGCACAAGAATCACTTGAACCTGGGAAGCAGAGGTTGCACCATTGCACTCCAGCCTGGGCAACAAGAGTGAAACTCTGTCTCAAAAAAAAAAAAAAAAAAAAAGAATCATTTCTTATGTAAGTGGAGAAGCATGATTCCTTGGAAAAAGTTTCTTTAGGAAAACAATTAGAGAGCAGTTTATTGTTCCAAAAATTATCTGAGAAAGAAGCACCTTTGTATTCTGTGTGCTTCTAAACTTAGGTTGGGTTCCTTAGTGATTTTATTTATACAAATTTAAGATCAATTTTTAAATTTTGGGGGGTTAAATTTAAAATTTCATATTCAAAAATCAAAACAGGGCTGGGCGCGGTGGCTCATGCCTGTAATCCCAGCACTTTGTGAGGCCAAGGAGGGTGGATCACCTGAGGTCAGGAGTTCGAGAGCAGCCTGGCCAACATGGTGAAACCCCGTCTCTACTAAAAATACAAAAAATTAGCCGGGCGTGGTGGCACACTCCAGTAGTGCCAGCTACTCCAGAGGCTTAGGCAGGAAAATTGCTTGAACCCGGGAGGCAGAGGTTGCAGTGAGCCACTGCACTCCAGTGTGGGTGATGAGCGAAACACCATCTCAAAACAAACAAACAAACAAACAAAAACAGTATAAAAAGGGCATACTGCCCAGTCTCTCTTCCATCCTTGCCAATTGCCCCATTCTCTCTTCTCAGTGCACCACTTTTATTACCGTTTTTTTGAGTGTCTGTTCAGAATTTATTTATGCAAATGTCAGCGAATATGAATTTATATTTTTATTTCTCCCAATCTTTTTTTAATACACAAAAGATAGCACATTATATACATTGTCCTGCATTTTGCTTTTGTCTTTTACTTTATACATCTTTATTTTATAGTACAGTAGTTAGGACATTTTTCCTTGCTTTTGTTAGTACCTAGGGCATTTTCTCTTACAGTTGCTCAGTATTCCAATATCTGGGTATGCCAACATTTATTTACTCCATCCTCTGCAGATGAATACGTGATTGTTTCCAATTGTTTACAATGACAAATAATGCTAAAATCAATAACTGTGTATGTACATTGTTTCATATGGGTGTAGATATATTTGTAGCTCAAATTGCCAGTGAAGGTTGCTGGGTCATAGGGTAAATTCATTTGTCATTTTGATATACATTGCCAAATCACCCTCCAGTTGGGTTATACCAGTCTTCACTCCCACAGAAGAAGTGTGTGTCCCCAACCTGCCAACTGAGTATGTTGTCAAACATTTGTCTTTTTTTTTAAACCAATCTCATGGGTCAAAATATTGATGTGAAATTAGCCAGTCTTGGTGGTGGGTGCCCGTAATCCCAGTTACGTGGGAGGTTGAGGCAGGTGAATTGCTTGAACCCGGGAGGCAGAGGTTGTAGTGAGCCAAGACCGTGCCATTGTCCTCCAGCCTGGGCAACAAGAATGAAACTCTGACTCAAGAAAATACATTGACGTGAGAGTATACTGCGCGTTTTTTTTCTCTTTCTCTTTCTTTTTTTTTTTTTTTGAGACTGAGTCTCGCTCTTGTTGTCCAGGTTGGAGTGCAGTGGCCCGATCTCGGCACACTGCAATCTCCGTCTCCCAGGTTCAAGTGATTCTCCTGCCTCAGCCTCCTGAGTAGTTGGGATTACAGGCACCTGCCACCAGGCCTCACTAATTTTTGTACTTTTAGAGATGGGGTTTCACCATGTTGGTCAGGCTGGTCTCAGACTCCTGACCTCAGGTGATCTGCTTGCCTCGGTCTCCCAAAGTGCTGGGATTACAGGGGTGAGCCACCGTGCCCGGCCTATACTACACTTTTAATTTGTGTTTCTCCATGAATTGTCTTTCATATCTTGTGTTATTGGTCTTTTAAAAATTGACATTTAGGAGCTCTTTGTAAATTAAAGAGATTAAACTTTTGTCTGTTATATGAATTGCAAATTTTGTTCCTTAATATGTCATTTGTCTTTTTATTTATCTTTTATGGGTTTTATAATGCCATATAGACATTTTTAAATTTATGTAATTTTTTTTTTTTTTTGAGAAGCAGTTTCGTTCTTGTTGCCCAGGCTGGAGTACAAAGGTGTGATCTGGCTCACTGTAATATCTGTCTCCTGGGTTCAAGTGATTCTCCTGCCTCAGCCTCCCAAGTAGCTGGGATTACAAGCCTGTGCCACCACACCTGGCTAATTTTTGTATTTTTAGCAGAGACAGGGTTTCCCCATGTTGGTCAGGCTGGTCTCAAACTCTTGACCTCAGGTGATCCACCTGCCTTGGCTTCCCAATCTGCTGGGATTACACAGGAGTAAGCCACTGCGCTCGGCCTTTACATAATTTTTTATAGAGATGAAATCTCACTGTTTTGCCCAGGCTGGTCTCAAACTCTTAGGCTCAAGCAATCCTTCTGTCTCTGCCTGCCAAATTGCTGGGATTACAGGTGTGAACCACCATGTCTGGCCTCAATTTTTTTTTTTTTTTTTAGAGACAATAGACAGAGTCTTGTTCTGTTGCCTAGACTGGTTGACTAGAGTGCTGTGGCAATTCCTGGTCTCTAAATGTTTCTTTTTTATTTTTTGAGACAAGGTCTTACTTTGTTTCCCAGGGTGGAGTGCAGTGGTGCGATCATGGCTCACCCCAGCCTTGACCTCCCAGGCTCAAGTGATCCTCCCTCCTTAGCCTCCTGAGTAGCTGGGACTGCAGGTGCGTGTCACCGCACCTGGCTAATTCTTGTATTTTTGGGTAGAGACAGAGTTTTGCTATGTTTCCTAGGCTGGCCTGGAACTCCTGGGCTCCAGCAATTAGTTCACCTTAGCTGCTTGAGTAGGTGGGACTGCAAGGTGGCGCTACCACACTCAGTTAATTTTTTGTTTATTTTTTTTGTGGAGAAGAGGTCTTGCTTCTATTTTCATGTAGTAAATTTTGTTCATTTTTTCTTTTATGCATTGTAGATTTTAAGTTTTAGTTAGAAAACTCAACCCCCTGAAGTTTAGAAAGGAATTTTCTCAGGTATATGTGTGTGTTTGTACTTACACAGTTTACATTTAAATCTTTGGTTTCATGTTTTACATTTAAATCTTTGACTCACTTCAAGTATATCTCAGCATGTATCCTAGTGCATTTTGTTTTATTTGTTTATTATTATTATTATTATTATTATTATTATTAATTTTGAGACAGAGTCTCACTCTGTTGCCCAGGCTGGAGTGCAGTGGCGCGATCTCGGCTCACCACAACCTCCGCCTCCCGGGTTCAAGCAATTCTCCTGCCTCAGCCTCCTGAGTAGCTGGGATTATAGGCTCCCGACACCACATCTGGATACTTTTTGTATTTTTAGTAGAGATGGGGTTTCGCCATGTTGGCCGGGCTGGTCTTGAACTCCTGACCTCAGGTGATCTGCCTGCCTTTGCCTGCCTTGGCATCCCAAAGTGCTGGGATTACAGGCATGAGCCACAGCACTTGGCCTTATTTATTTTTTAAATAGAGACAGGGATGTCACTTTATTGCCCAGGCTGGTGTTGATCTCCTAGCTTCCAGCAATCCTTGTGCTTTGGCTCCCAAAGTGCTGGGATTACAGGCATGAGCCACCATACCGAGCCCCTAGTGAATTTTAAGTAAGATTTGTGTAGTGCCACTTTAGAGACATATCTCATAGCATTTTCATGTTTAATGATATTGCTCTGCTTAAAATGTTGCTCTTAACTGGAGAACCATGATTCTTTGGAAAAAATTTCCATGGTTAAGTGTAGATTATTTCTCTCATCAATAGAGATAAAAAAAGTATTAGGGAGTGTTAATTTAAAAAAAAAAAGTAAATAACTTCAGTAGGTTTTGCAAATGCTTTTTAAAAAATTTTTTTCCTTTCTTTTTCTTTTGTTTATAATCTGCATTCTGCTGAATTAATTAATTAATTAATTTTTTTATTTTGACACAGGTTCTCTGTTGCCCAGGCTGGAGTGCAGTGGCACAATCACTGCAGCCTCGATCTCTCAGGCTCAGGTGATCTTCCTTCCTAAGACTCCCAAGTAGCTGGGACTACAGGCATGTGCCACCACACTCAGCTAATTTTTTGTACTTTTTGTAGAGATGAGGTTTTGCCATGTTGCCCAGGCTGGTCTCCCACTCTTGGGCTCAAGCGATCCTCCTGCCTCAACCTCCCAAAGTTGTTGGATTACAGGCGTGAGCCACGGTGCCCAGCCAAACATTTTTTAAAAACCTATTAACAATAAGTAATAATCGTATCAGCAAAATAGGAGAACAGTGATATTCATCTGAATTTTGTGTTTTTCTAAATTGTAGTGAAAATACATACAACATAAAATTTACTATCTTAACTATTTTTAAGTAGGCAGCTCAGGCAGGTGCAGTGGCTCATGCCTGTAATCCCAGCACTTTGGGAGGTTGAGGTGGGCAGATCAGTTGAGTCCAGGAGTTCAAGAGCAGCCTGGGTAACATAGTGAGACCCACTTCTCTACCAAAAATACAAAAACTAGCCTGCTATGGTGGCACACACCTGTAGTCCCAGTCCCAGCTACTTGGGAGGCTGAGGTGGGAGGATCACTTGAGCCTGGGAAGCAGAAGTTGCAGTGAGCCGAAATCAGGCCACTGCACTCCAGCCTCGGCAACAACAACAAAAAAAGTAGCAGCTCAGAGCTCAGTACTGTTAAGTATGTTTACATTATCATATAACCAATCTCCAGATCATTTTCTTTTTTGTAACTTTATTTTATTTTATTTTTTTTTTTGAGACAGAGTTTCACTCTTGTTGCCCAGGCTGGAGTGCAATGGCATGATCTCGGCTCACTGCGACCTCTGGCTCCTGGGTTCAAGCGATTCTCCTGCCTCAGCCTCCCAAGTAGCTGGCATTACAAGCATCCACCACCACACCTGGCTAATTTTTTTTATATTTTTAGTAGAGACGAGGGTTTCACCATGTTGGCCAGGCTGGTCTCAAACTCCTGGCCTCAGGTGATCCACCCGTCTCGGCCTCCCAAAGTGCTGGGATTACAGGTGTGAGCCACCACGCCTGGACTGTAACTTTAATTTTAATTTTTTAGGATCAGGTCTTACTTTGTTGCCCAGGCTAGAGTACTGTGGCACAACTATGGCTCACTGTAACCTCAATCCTCCTGCTTCAGCCTCCCCAGTAGCCAGGACTATAGGCCCACACCACCATGCTCAGCTATTTAAAGAATTGTTTTGGCCGGGACAGTGGCTTACGCCTGTAATCATAGCACTTTGGGAGGCCGAGGCGGGTGGATCACTAGGTCAGGAGATCGAGATCATCCTGGCTAACACGGTGAAACCCCGTCTCTACTAAAAATACAAAAAAATTAGCTGGGTGTGGTGGTGGGCGCCTGTAGTCCCAGCTACTCAGGAGGCTGAGGCAGGAGAATGGCGTGAACCCGGGAGGTGGAGCTTGCAGTGAGCTGAGATTGCGCCATCGCACTCCAGCCTGGGCGACAGAGCGAGACTCAGTCTCAAAAAAAAAAAAAGAATTGTTTTGTAGAGACAGGGTCTCATTATGTTGCCCAGGCTGGTCTGGAACTCCTCCTGGCCTCAAGTGAGCCTGCTGCCTCAGCCTCCTAACTAGCTGGGACTATAAGCATGGGCCACCATGCCTGGTTTCATGTTGCAGAATTGAAACTCTATACCCATTAAGCAACAATTCCACATTCCTTCAACCCCCTCCTACCTGGCAACCACTATTCCACTTTCTGTTCTATGAATTTGACTATTCTAGATACCTCATGTGAGTGGAATCATACAGTATTAGTGTGTGAGAGGTTTATTTCACTTAGCATAATGTCCTCCAAGCTCACCTATGTTGTAGCATATATCAGAATTTGTTACTTTTTTTTTTTTTGAGACGGAGTCTTGCTCTGTCACCCAGGCTGGAGTGCAGTGGTGCGATCTTGGCTCACCGCAACCTCTGCCTCCCGGGTTCAAGCAATTCTCCCACCTCTGCCTCCCTAGTAGTAGCTGGGATTACAGGCATGTGCTACCACCCCTGACTAGTTTTGTGTGTGTGTGTGTGTGTGTGTATTTTTTAGTAGAGATGGGGTTTCGCCATGTTGGCCAGGCAGGTCTCGAACTCCTGACCTCAGGTGATCCGCCCGCCTCAGCCTCCCAAAGTATTGGGATTACAGGCGTGAGCCACCACGCCCAGGCAGAATTCATTACTTTTTTTTTTTTTTTTTTTTGAGATGGAGTCTCACTCTGTTTCCCAGGCTGGAGTCAGTGGTGCGATCTCGGCTGACTGCAAACTCCGCCTCCCAGGTTCAAGTGATTCTCCTGCCTCAGCTTCCCAAGTAGCTGGGATTACAGCCATGTGTCACCACACGCAGCTAATTTTTGTATTTTTAGTAGAGATGGGGTTTCACCATATTGGCCAGGCTGGTCTTGAACTCCTGACCTTGTGATCTGCCTGTCTTGGCCTCCCAAAGTGCTGGGATTACAGGTGTGAACCACTGCGCCCAGGCAGTATTCGTTACTTTTTAAGGCTAAATAATATTCCATTGTATGTATATATCACATTTCTTTATCCATTTTTCTGTCTCTGGACACAGGGATTGCTTCAGTTCCGAGTTGAATTTTGAGACTGGCCTCTTTACAGGCAGCTCTCTTGCTCTCATGACCTAAGTTACCACAGGCACACCCTAGACAAGGTCTTTCATCTCTTCTCAGGTGGAGTCTTAGATTCACTGCAGCTGCTGTCACTTCAAGATACAAGTAGGACAAGATTTTGCCTTCAAAGTCTGCACTCTAGGACTTCCCTTACTTATCATCTGCCTGACGTGGTCATTGCACTCTAGCACACATGACTGCTTTAAGTTAATAATTAAACTTTAGCACATCGAGAGGGAATTAGGAGGTGTCAGCAATGGTGATGAATCTCACCCCAACTCATGTTACCCAGTTTATGTAACAACAGTTTAAAACATTGACTTGGGGGTCCTGGATATTCTAGGTGTTAGGGTGCTGCAATCCCCTGGAACTGTATTAGTTGATTTTATTTCATGAGTGTGCATAAAACACCTTCTATCTATGGGACTGGCATGGGGCTTGGTGCTTAGAACATATAGATGAACAAGATCTTTGCTAGCAAGGAGCTGAGAGCTTAGTGAAGAAAGAGTGAAAAGTCCACAGTGAGAACATGGAGGTGCACATACCTGGGCTGCAGGCACACTGCCTCTGCCTGATCCAGTCCTGACACTGAAAAATGTGTAGATGATAAGAAGACAAGCCAGCCATGTGCCTTGACCATGATGTTTGGAGACCTTCAGTTTGCCTTTTTCTGATGGGACTTTCCTCTGTTAATTTTTTTGTTACTTAGGAGAACTCCTGGAAGCCCCGTCTTCCTCCTCATGCCCATTGCCTGACCAGAGCCACCCTGCACTCAGGAGAGCTTCTCGGTTTGCTCAGTGTAAGTATGTGGTCCACTTTAAACATGGGTTTGGCTTGCCGCAGAGCGGGCTTCGAGAATATCCTACATCCATCTCCCTACTGCTAGGGCCACTCCTTGGCTTACTGCACATGGATTTGTTCCAGGTCCCTCCACGGGGGGAGCTGATTGCAAAGGCAAAGCAGGTTGAGACTCTAGACCCAAGAGCACTCAGAGTCCCGCCAACCTTTGAGCATCTCTGCTGTGGCCACCAACTACAGCCAACTGCCTGTTCCCAAACCTGCTGAGGTATTTCTGCATCTGTGCTGTGGCCACCAACTATAGCCAACTGCCTCTTCCTAAACCTGCTGAGGTATTTCTGCCATCTCAGTCTGGGATAGTCCTTAAGAGCATGGATCCCAGAGCCAGACTGCTTGGGTTTGACTCCCAGCAGCTCCACTAACTAGCTGTGTGATCTTGGGCAAGTCACTTAAGCTTCCTAGAGCCTGGGTTTCCTCATCTGTAAAATGGAGATAATATAGTACTTCTCTTGCGGGATTGCCATGAGGGTTAAGTGAGTGAGTATGAGTAAAACACCTAGAGTAGTCATGCTGTATAAGTGTTAGCAATTTATTCACTCAATAGGAAACCAAATGAAATATACAAAGTGAGTAAGACATGGTCCTCAATCAGGAAGTTTCAGTTTAACTGGGAAGGTATAAACAGCTGTGGTCATAAATCACCATAAGACGGGCGTGAGCCACCGCACCTTGCCTACGCCCAGCTAATTTTGGTATGTTTAATAGAGACAGGAGTTGGCCATGATGGCCAGGCTGGTCTTGACCTCCTGGCCTCAAGTGTTCCACCTGCCTCAGCCTCCCAAAGTGCTGGGATTACAGGGGTAAGCCAGTGCACCTGGCTGAAGGAGCTGGCCTGATTTTTAAAATTGACATATAATAATTGTATAGTCTGGGTGCAGTGGCTCATGCCTGTAATTGCAGCACTTTGGGAGGCTGAGATGGCAGGATTGCTGGAGCTCAGGAGTTCGACACCAGCCTAGGAAGCATGGCAAAATCCTGCTTCTTTTCTAAATAAATTTTAAAAATAAATAAATATAATAAGTGTACATATTTATGGGATACATAGTGATGTTTCAATACATATGGTGCATAGTGATCCGATCAAGGTAGTTAGCATATCTATCATCTGAAACATTTATCATTTCTTCCTGTTGGGTGATGTAGCAATTTTAATGCTAGTGTGAGTGAAACATCACACCAAAAGATACAAAGTTGCTATTTGAAGACTTCTTAGCATGGACCATCAAAAGATGACCGGCCATGTTCTTATTGTTCTTTTTTTTTTTCCAAAGGGGCCATCCATCCAACCTTTAACTTGAAGAGCCTTTCCTGCAGCCTGGAGGTGTCCAAGGATTCCCGTACAGTGACTGTGTCTCACCGCCCACAACCCTATCGCTGGAGCTGTGAGAGGTTTTCTACCAGCCAGGTCTTATGTTCCCAGGCCCTGTCTTCTGGAAAGCATTACTGGGAAGTGGACACTAGGAATTGCAGCCACTGGGCAGTTGGGGTGGCTTCCTGGGAGATGAGCCGCGACCAGGTCCTGGGAAGGACTATGGACTCTTGTTGTGTGGAATGGAAGGGGACTAGCCAGCTCTCTGCATGGCACATGGTCAAGGAAACTGTCCTTGGCTCAGACAGACCTGGGGTGGTGGGCATCTGGCTGAACCTTGAGGAGGGAAAGCTTGCCTTCTATTCAGTGGACAATCAGGAGAAGCTTCTGTATGAGTGTACCATCTCTGCCTCCTCTCCTTTGTACCCTGCCTTCTGGCTGTATGGCTTACATCCTGGAAATTACCTGATAATAAAGCAAGTAAAGGTGTAAGGTTTCCTAAGGGATTACAACACAGTGGTTTCCTGGTCTCTCTCCCTGTCATCAATCAGGGTAGTAACTTGACTTAAGAATACCACTTTTTAGAAAAATTACGATAGAGATGGGATCTCACTAGGTTGCCCAGGCTGGTGTCGAATTCCTGGTCTCAAGCAGTCCTCCCACCTCAGCCTCCCAAGGTGCTGGGATTACAGGTGTGAGCCACCACACCTGGCCAAGAATACCACTTTTGAAGTTAATCCTTTTGTGTGATACAGGATGAACTTGGGATGTTTGAACCCTGGACATTCCAAATAAAGAATAGGCCCCTGCCTGGCTCCTGGGAGATAACCTCTAAGCCATTAGAATATCTTGCCTGATAAGAGTGTTTTTGTTTACCTGTGGGCCTTGGGCCATGCAGTATCAGCTTGACCTTGCAAGGTCAAGCTGAGGAGACTAAGTTAGCCATGTGGGCAGTGAAGCATGCCAATGTGATCAATCCCTAGTAAAAGCCCTGGACACCTAGGCATGGGTGAGCTACTCTGGTTGGTAATACTCTGTGCACACATCATTGTAGCCACACATCATTGCTGGGAGAATTAAGCATTATCCTGAAGACTCTGCCAGGAGAGGATAATTGGAAGTTCTCTTGGACCTTACCTTATGTGCCTTTCTTCATTGCTGATTTTAATCTGTATCCTTTCACTGTAATAAACTGTAACTATGAGTGCAACACTTTGCTGAGTTCTGTGAGTCCTTCTAGTGAATCACTGAACCTGAGGGCAGTCTCAGAGGATCTCTAAACATAATTTGCTACTTATCAGTTGCTATGTAAGAATATTGCCACAAATTTAATGGTTTAAAATAACACATAGATATTATTTCACAGTTTCTGTGAGTCAGGAGTCAGAGCATAGCTTAGCTGAGTCTCCTACATCAGAGTTTTACAAGCTGCAATCAACATGTCAGCTGGGGACACAGGGTCATCTGAGGCTCCAATGGGGAAGGATCTGCCTCCAAATTACATGGTCATTGGCAGCCTTCAGTTCTTGAGTTGCCGGACTGAGGGCCTCAGTTTCTTTCTGGTTGTTGGCTGGAGACCGCCCTCAGTTCCTTACCCCATAGGCCTTTGCAACACAGCTGCTTGTTTCCTCAAAGACAATAAGGGAGAGGGTCTCCTAGCCAGATGACGCAAAATCTTTTTTTTTTTTTTGAGACGGAGTCTCACTCTTGATGCCCAGGCTGGAGTGCAGTGGTGTGATCTGGGCTCACTGCATCCGCCGCCTTCCAGTTTCAAGCAATTCTCCTGCCTCAGCCTCCCGAGTAGCTGGGATTACAGATGTCTGCCACTACGCCCGGCTAATTTTTTTTTTGTATTTTTAGTAGAGATGGGGTTTCACCATGTTGGCCAAGCTGGTCTCGAACTCCTGACTTCGTGATTCTCCCGCCTCAGCCTCCCAAAGTGCTGGGATTACAGGCATGAGCCACTGCACCCGGCTGACACAAAATCTTACATAGCATAACCACATAAACACGTAATCACGTACATCCCATTGCCTTTGCCTTCTATTGATTAGAAGCAAGTCACGTTACCACCCACACTGAAGGGGAGGGGATTACAGAAGGACATGAATGCCAGGAAGTGGGGCTAATGGGGGCCACTCTACAGTATGTCTGACACAGGTGTTATTTCATACTTGATTTCCCCTATTTTTAACAACCATTTTATTATATAAGAAAACAGATACAGAAAACTACACAAAACAAGTGGTGCTTAATGAGTTATTATAAGGTAAATACCCTTGTAACTATCATTCAGGTCAAGAAATAGCACCTGCTGCCCACCCCAGAAGCGCCTTCCTGTGCCCCATTCTAATCACAAAACCCTCCCTGTGCCTGAAAGGAGTCTTGACATTCACGCCAAACACTTCCTTGCATTTCTTTAGAGTTTTATCACTCAAATATGCATCCATAGCCACAGTAGTTTCATCTTGCCCATTAAAAAAAATGGTATGTCCTTTAACAGCTTTGTTGGGAATATTATTTATTTATTTATTTATTTATTTTATTTTGGAGCCAGGTTCTCACATTGTCACCAAAGCTGAAGTGAAGTGGCATGAATCTTGGCTCACTGCAACCTCTGCCTCCCGGGTTCAAGTGATCCTCAGCCTCCTGAGTAGCTGGGATTACAGGTGTGAGCCACCACACCCAGCTAATTTTTGCATTTTTAGTAGAGATGGGGTTTTGCCATGTTGCCCAGGCTGGTCTCAAACTCCTGAGCTCAGGCAGTCTGCCTACCTCAGGCTCCCAAAGTGCTGGGATTACAGGCGTGAGCCACTGTGCCTGACTGACATATAATTTACATTCTATGAAATTCACTTAAGGTGTACAAATATATGTTTTTTACTATATTTACAGAGTTGTAAAACCATCACCATAATCTAATTTTAGGATATTGTCATCACCCCCAGAAAGAACCCTCATGCCCATTATTTAATGTCTGTTAGTCTCCTAATATACATGTCTCTCTCTCTCTCTTTTTTTTTTTTTTTGTCTTACAGTTCATCCATAGAAGGACTCTGGTCTTGACTAGCACCTATTCTGAAGATGGGGACGTTCAGCTCCTGAACTAGGTTGAAGAGAAAACCCTGTCATGCAAACCAGCCAGGCAGCGTTTGACAGTATATTTAAACTCTTCTTGCCTTTCTTTCCTCTCTAAAATGGACATCATTATTATTTGCCCTTCCTTACCTTCCTCACAGGTTTGCTGAAACCATTAAATAAAGTAGGAGGTGAGGAAATCGGAAGAATACAAGGATGATGATTATCACAGCAGCAATGATGGAATTACATCTTAATATCACCCACCTTGGCCTCTAACATCCTGAGACTCACACCTAATTTCTATACATGATTAATCGCTCCTTCAAAACAGGGGTAAGCAGAATTCTTCCACGTGGTCTACTAATATGCTTTCTGAGCCTCACCACTGCCCTGCGTGATGGGTATTATTACCTTCCTGTTGATGCATAAGGAAGCAGAGGCCGGGACAGGTGTGGTGGTTTGTCCGGGGTTGATCAGCCAGTCATGGCAGAGCTGGAACCAGGCCCAGTTTTCTCACTTTTGTTTGTTGTTGTTTTTTTTTTTTTTTTAAGACAGAGTCTCGCTCTGTTACTCAGGCTGGAGTGCAGTGGTGTGATCTTGGCTCACTGCAACTTCTGCCTCCAGAGTTCAAGTGATTCTCGTGCCTCAGCCTCCCAAGTAGCTGGGATTGTAGGTGTGCACCCCCATGCTCGGCTAATTTTTGTATTTTTAGTAGAGACAGGGTTTCACCATGTTGTCCAGGCTGGTCTTGAACTCCTGACCTCAAGTGATCCACCCACCTCGGCCTCCCAAAGTGCTGGGATTACAGGTGTGAGCCACCATGCCTGGCTGGTTTTTTCACTCTGAAGCCTCTCCCCTCGTTACTCTCCGATAAGGTCCTATGCTAAGGCCAGGACCTGGCCTTCCACTTTGATGGGACACAGCTAGCCCTAAAGTCATGAGGTACCCTTTCTTTTTGATTTTGGTGGTTGTCCTTAAGTGGCCTTGAGTTGTCTAAGCAGTGACAAGGCTTCCTTGTTTGTGCCAAGTGACCACTAAGAAGCTATGGGTGGCCGGGTGTGGTGGCTCACGCCTGTAATCTCAGCACTTATGGAGTCTGAGGTGGACAGATCACCTGAGGTCAGGAGTTCGAGATCAGCCTAGTTAACATGGTGAAACCTCGTCTCTACTAAAAATATAAAAATTAGCTGGGCGTAGTAGCACACACCTGTAATCCCAGCTATTTGGAGGCTGAGGCAGGAGAACCACTTGAGCCTGGGAGGCGGAGGTTGCAGTGAGCCATGATCTTGCCACTGTACTCCAGCCTGGGTGATACATCAAGACTCTGTCTCAAAAATAAATAAATAAGGCTAGGCGTGGTGGCTCATGTCTGTAATCCCGGCACTTTGGGAGGCCGAGGCGGGCGGATCACAAGGTAAGGAGTTCGAGACCATCCAGGCCAATATGGTGAAACCCTGTCTCTACTAAAAATAATAAAATTAGCTGGGCATGGTGGCGGGCACCTGTAGTCCCAGCTACTTGGGAGGCTGGGGCAGGAGAATCGCTTGAACCTGGGAAGTGGAGGTTGCAGTGAGCCGAGATCACGCAACTGCACTCCATCCTGGGTGACAGAGCGAGATTCTGTCTCAAAAATAAATAAATAAATAAATAAATAAATAAATAAATAAGTAAAAAGAAGCTATAGGCCCTCACTTTCTGCATCATGGAGCTTTTATCTTCTAACCCAGAGTTAATTTGATATTTGCCTTTTGAGCCAAGATTCAGAGTTTGGAGTGAAGGGTTTCAGCCTCTTGAGGTTTTTTGGTTAAATATTGTCCTCTCAGACAGTATGTATTGCAATGAGGCCTCTGTGAGTGTTGGTTTTATCTGCCTGCCACATGATGTCCCCAGACTGGAGCCAGAGCACTAGAATCAGAAACATAGGAAAGGAAAGAAGGCTATCACTTTTGATTGCTTTGCTTTTGGCTTGCACTTTGTGTCAGCATATCTCTTCCAGGACACTGTAGAATATAGTGTCCTTCCTTCAAACAAAACACAAAATCTCCAAAGGAGAATAACTAAAGCTGAAATGCCAGTGGATGAAGGACCTCTCACTGGGGTCTGCACTGTGGGGGCGAGGAAATCATCTGCCTATGGACCAAGCCAGAAAGACTTTCCTTGGGGCTATCTTAGTCCATTCGGGCTACTATAACAGACTCCCATAGACTGGGTGGCTTACAAAAAACAGAAATTTATTTCTCAGCTGGGTATGGCGACTCACTCCTGCAATCCCAGCACTTTGGGAGGCCAAAGCAGGAGGATCACTTGAGCCCAGGAGTTTGAGACCAGCCTGGACAACTAAATGAGATCCCGTCTCCACAAAAACATTTTATATTAGCTGAGTGTGATGGCATGTGCCTGCAGTCCCAGATACTCTGGAGGCTAAGGCTGGAGGACTGCATGGGCCCAGGAGGTCAAGGCTGCAGTGAGCTGTGATCATGCCACTGCACCCCAGCCTGGGTGACAGAGCAAGGCCATCTAAAAGAAAGAGAGAGAGAGAGAGAGAGAGGAGGGAGGAAGAGAGAGAGCAAGAGAGAGAGAGAGAGAGACAGGGGGGAAAAGAGAAAAGAAAAGAAAAGAAAAAGAAAGGAAAAAAATGAAAAAAGAAAAGAAAGCAAATTTATTTCTCATAGTTCTGGAGGCTGGGAAGTCCAAAATCAAGGTGCTGGCAGATTTGGTGTCTAGTGAGGGAGCTCTCAGGAGTTCCCCCGCC
Source organism: Homo sapiens (assembly GCF_000001405.40). NCBI lineage: Eukaryota > Metazoa > Chordata > Mammalia > Primates > Hominidae > Homo > Homo sapiens. Next base: position 31,004,533 of record NC_000017.11, read on the forward strand.
GTTTTTTTTTTTTTTTTTTTTTTTTTGAGACAGAGTCTTGCTCTATCACCCAGGCTGGGGTGAAGTGGTGTGACCTGGGCTCACTGCAACCTCTGCCTCCCAGGTTCAAGCAATTCTTCCTGCCTCAGCCTCTTGAGTAGCTGGGATTATAGGTGCCTGCCACCATACCCAGCTAATTTTTGTATTTATTAGTACAGACGGGGTTTCACCATGTTGGCTAGGCTAGGCTGGTCTTGAACTCCTGACCTCTGGTGATCCACCCAACTCAGCCTCCCAAAGTGCTAGGATTACAGTCCCTTTTATAAGGTCACTAATCTCATTCATGAAGGCTCTATCTTCATGACCCAATCACCTCCCAGGACTGTCATATTGGGAGTTAGGATTTCAGTACATGAATTTTGGGAGAACACAAACATTCAGTCTATAGCGGAGACACACTGCTTCATAGGAGAGCACGAGGAACTCCTTTGGCAGCTTTCTGCGCTATCTGGGGACATTGTTCTCAAAAATTTGTTTTCTATCAGGCCTTGTCTCTCAAGTGTTTTTTTTTCCTGGGGGTTGAGGAGAATGGAGTGTTCTCATCAGTGCCATGGGCTGCTTCTGTCCTTCTCTCTTCTCTTCCACCTCACACACTCTGGTGAAGCAGCTGCTGGATAGTTCTGTTGAACCCACTATTGGGTCCGGGGCTTTGGGTTCCTGGAAGACCACCTGCTAAGCAGGAAGCCACCATCTTGTTAGGCTTGAGGAAACCTCTAAAATAGTTATATCTATCTGTCCCTTGCTTCTCTCTCAAATACTATTTTGTTTTGTTTTGTTTTTGAGACAGTCTCGCTCTATCACCCAGGCTGGAGTGCAGTGGCACAATCTCGGCTCACTGCAACCTCCGTCTCCCAGGTTCAAGTGATTCTCCTGCCTCAGCCTCCTGAGTAGCTGGGATTATGGGCATGTGCCATCATGCCTGGCTAATTTTTTACATTTTTAGTAGAGACCAGGTTTCCCAGTGTTGGCCAGGCTGGTCTTGAACTCCTGACCTCAAGTGATCCACCCGCCTTGGCCTCCCAGAGTGCTGGGATTACAGGGGTGAGCCACTGTGCTGGCCTTATTTTTATTTTATTTTATGTTATTATTATTATTATTTTGAGATGGAGTTTTGCTTTGTCCCTCAGGCTGGAGTGCAATGGCGCAATCTCAGCTCACTGCAACCTCCGCCTCCCGGGTTCACGCCATTCTCCTGCCTCAGCTTCCCGAGTAGCTGGGACTATAGGCACCACCACCATGCCCGGCTAATTTTTTTTTTTTTTTTTTTAGTAGAGACAGAGTTTCACCATGTTAGCCAGGATGGTCACTATCTCCTGTCCCCGTGATCCGCCTGCCTCGGCCTCCCATAGTGCTGAGATTTACAGGCGTGACCCACTGTGCCTGGCCGCTTGCTTCCTATTTTCTATGAACTCATGGCACTACTGTTGAACCTTTCGAGGTTCCTCTCATGGCCCTGGAACCTGCTTTCCACTGTAAAACATTCTTTCATTCTTTCTTCCGAAATTGCATCCTTATCTTAGCTAAGCAAAACTATTTTCTGAATAAACTATCTCCCTGATGGTTTTTCAGATAGAGACTGCTGTAGGAGAAGAAAGATTTCCATGTTCTCCTAGCTCCTCACATACTCAATGACTACTTTCCTGTTACTCCAAACCCTTCCTCCTCACAAGCTAATATTCTACATTCTATTTGTCAGTTTCTGTCATTAATAGCTCTCTAGGCTGTTCTCCCACATTCAATGACTATCTACAGCCAACCTATCCAAAACCTGAGATCACACCAAGGTATGGTGTGGCCACGTTCCATTCAACAGAGTTCTTTGCTTTCTACTCCAAGACTTGCACTTGTCCATACCCCTAACTGTGCTGCTCCATACTAGAAGTCTTAACATTGTAATGCTCCACTCTTGGCCGTGGCTTCCTCTTTTAGTTCCTTTTCTCTTCGTGTTTCTACTTAGGGACTCATCAAGACATCTACACTCTCTCCCTTTCTTTCTTTCTTTCTTTCTTTCTTTCTTTCTTTCTTTCTTTCTTTCTTTCTTTCTTTCCTTTCTTTCTCTTTCTTTCCTCTCTTTCTTTCTTTCCCTTTCTTCTCTTTCTTTCTCTTTCTTTTCCTTCTTTTCTCTCTCTCTCTCTCCCTCTCTCTCTCTCTCTCCTCTTTCTTTCTTTCTTATGCATATATCTCACCTAAGACATCCAGACTTGAACTTTTCACATCTTCTCCCAATTTATCAGTTGCTCTCTTTGCTTCCTGCTTCCATTTCCTAGCTAGCCCAAGTCCCACAGTGTAGCTCATGGACTTCTTTCTTCAGCACTTTGAACTTTCTTACTTCCTCATTCCTCTGGGACACAAAACTTGTCTATTGGTCATCGAAATTCTTTGACCCAACATATTTCATAGTAATGGTAACATCAATCCCAGCCTACAACTTTTTTATTTATTTATTTATTTTGAGACGGAGTCTCGCTGTGTTGCCCAGGCTGGAGTGCAGTGGCGCAATCTCGGCTCACTGCAAGCTCCGCCTCCCGGGCTCACGCCATTCTCCTGCCTCAGCCTCCGGAGTAGCTGGGACTACAGGCGCCCACCACCACGCCTGGAGAATTTTTTTTTTTTTTTTTTTTTTTTTTTTTTTAGTGGAGACGGGGTTTCACCGTGTTAGCCAGGATGGTCTCGATCTCCTGACCTTGTGATCCACCCGCCTTGGCCTCCCAAAGTGCTGGGATTACAGGCGTGAGCCACTGCACCCGGCCAAGCTTTACAACTTTATTTTTAGGGACAGGGTCTCACTTTTTTGCCCACTACTGCAGCTTCCAGGAGAAAAAGTTATTCGCCTCTGCCGTGGAATATTCTATAGCCTAATCCACGTGAGCAAAAGACACAACTCTACCAAGATATAAAATGTGTACTACATATACAGTCATGTGAGCACTAGGCTGTGACCTCGAATGCCAACAACTATGGCCAAATTACTGACAGACATAAGCCTGAGAACTAAGCCAGACACTCAACAGAAACAAGCCTCCCTTTTCAGAGACATTTTCTAAAACCATAAAAATAAGAGACAAAAATTAGGACATATTCAGGTAACAAGAGCTTCCTTCCCCCAGATAATTTCTGTTGTATAAAACCCAGAGATTAAAAACAACGATATTGGATTAGAAAAAAAAAAAAAAAAACCTTAGTCTTTCAATAAAAAGAAGAATGGGACAAATTTAACCCAAAACACATCATCATCATTTTTCTTGAAAATACGATAGTTCCCTTTTATCTGAGAGGGATCCATTCTGAGACCCCCCCCAGTGGATACGCTGAAACCATGGACAACACCAAACTTTATATATACTATGTTTTGTTCTGTACATACATACTCATGGTAAAGTTTAATTTATAAACTAGGCACAGAAAAAGATTAATACCAGAACAATTATAACATACTCTAATAGAAGTTACATGAACGTAGTCTCTTTTCTCTAAAAATATCTTATTGTACTGTACCACTGGTAACTCAAACTGCGGATAAGGGGGGACTGTTGTACAACAGTCTCACCATTTGCCGGTATTTCCGAATCATTTTTAGCTTGTCTTCTCCTCCCTTGTTCCTTCTTTCTGTTCAAGGCTGCTGATTATTCTCCAGGAGGCTCTTCTAGCTCCAATCACATTCTTATATGTAACAGATAGGAGGTTTCTTTCTTCAGCTGTCAGCTCCACATCCATCCCTGCTAATTTCTTCACTGACTCCACCATTTCTATAAGGGAAAAGCAAAATCCCGGGTCCCTCAGACAAAAGGGCGGGTGGAGGAGGAGAAGCCGAGAGTCCTGCTCCGGCGCCGCCGGAGCACCGCCTGCCTCAGCCGACCAGCGCCGTCGACTACTGGGCCTAGCCCAGACGAGAGGAGGGAAAGGCCGCAGAGGCCGCGAGGATGCTGCGGAGGCGCGGGCGGCCGGCTGCCGCCTAGTTGTGCAGCCCAGACCAAGGAAAGAGAAGTGGGAGGAGCGGGGAGCTCGGCGTCCCGCGTCCTCCGCGGCTCAGGACGACTACGCTCGGCACGTCCGGGACCCTCCGGCCGTGGCGGTTGCAGCGCCAAAAGCTCGGGCCTCAGCCCCTGACGCTGTGGTGACTCCGCCGCGCCTCGCCGTCGCCCCTGTCCCCGTCCTGCCCGCCGCCTCCGCCGCTGGGGACATGTCCAACCCCGGAAGCCGGAGGAACGGGCCCGTCAAGCTGCACCTGACAGGTGAGGGGGAGCGCCGGGCCGGGCTGGGCAGCCGCCGGGTGGGCGAGCTGGCGGGGGGTGCCTGTTGACTTGGGAAGGGCCAGGATCGCGATCAATGGTGAGTTGGGGGTTGGAGGAATGGGAAGGCCTAGTTCAGGGAGAGTAATTGGAAAACCACTCGCTCCGGTTTGGACATTCTTTAAAAAGCCGAGGATGACTTGGGGAGGGGGGGTGGTCTTTTGTGGAGGGGAGGTTACATCGGTTCGCATCGCAGGCGGATTTCAGGTCCGAAAGTCTTGGTCAAGGAGCCCGATGCTGCCTCTCGGGGCTCGGGGAGGAGCCCCTGGGCTACCGCCCAGGTGGGATCGTGAAGGGGATGAAGAGCTCTCGTGGCGAGGATTATTGAATCCGGTTGCTGACTGCGCGCAACTTTAAGGAGTGTTTACTCCTTAAAGATGGAGCGCTTAACGGAAGTGTGTGCGTGTGTGTTCCCGGGTTGTTACCTTGCACACCTACTTATGCCCGCGTGCAAAATCCTTACTCTCCGCCTCCGGCTACCGCTGCCGGGGCCGCACACCTTAAACTCACGTCTCTCTGAGGAGAGGAGACTGAGGTTGACTTTTCCCGTGTGCCTGTCTGATCCGACGGCTCGGGCTCATTGTACACTGTGTTTTGGAAGTGTCTGATTGTAGGGTGGCATGTTTGGGGTTGTACCTTGTAGGCCGCAGAACTTGTGTCACTTCTAACTCCAGACCTGCTTTAAAAACACACTTTTTGGCGGGGGTGGGGAGGGGGTACTTTTCTAACTATGTGCTCATACAAACTTTAGAGCAAACTTTCTCTTACTCTCCCCACCCTCCCCCTTCCTTTTTCTAAATGGAAAATAATGTCCGGAGGGGTTGCTAGATAGAAGACTACACTTACAAAGTGTTTATGATTCCAGGCGCATGAAATCTTTAACATTACAGGTACATTTTTGCTTACAGTGCCATTTTTGGTATTCTTACATGGACATGTCACCCCCATTTTAGGAAAACTTGTATTTGGTTTGAAAAGGAATTGAAATCACGACGTTATCCTACCTTCACCATTTACCCCTGATAAATTGTCCACGTTTATATTCGGATGAGTGGTGAGAAAGATAATTTTCCGTAGAGGATTTGTGTGTGCGTGCACGTGTACGAATAAACTGTAATTATGTTTGCCCACACTAGACTTTGAGATTTATTTGGGCTAATTTTGTAGTTGAATGCATGTGTGTCAGATCCCAGTACAGCTAGATGAAAACTTGCAGTGAATTTGGTATTTGAGAATTTAGCTTGAATGTCTGTTGGCTGCGATTTAAATAATACATGACCTTCATGACAAGTTTTGCTTTCCCTAAGGAAAAATGCAGGGAATCATTAACTGAGTGGTTCTTAATGGAAAACCTGGATTGGAGGATACTTGTATTTCCCCCCAACTTCCCCCCATTCAATGTCCTTATATTGGGAGAAGTCAGTGGAAACCTTTTTAGGGGATCTTTGTTGCTTTAGAGTTTATCTGTTGCTATCTGGAATCAGTGATCATCGAAAGAACATGCGATCCCAGGTGTGCAGAAAGCATCAGAAATAAGCTGTTTCCATTTACTTCCCTCAAGGCTACATAGAGAAAATGAGGGAAAAAATAGGGATTTTGATTTTCTGCAGATAAAATGAGTTGAGGTTTTAAGTATGACTCAGTAGATCTTAAAGTGTTTATCTGTGGTTTCCGTACTGCCTATGATACATTATAAAAATTTATAAGTAAAGTTTGTTAAGAGGAAAGATTATGCTTATATTTTAGGGGAAGAGGGAATATTGAACTACATTTATAGAGTGATTTTGTTTCAGGTTTTTCTGAGGATTTTTTAAATACCCTGTGTCCACTTAATAGTAAAAACAGTTTGAGGTACTCTGAGTTTCTTACAACTATTTGTCTCTGAATAGTTTTCTCTTAAAATTTGACAAATGTTAAAAACATTGTCCTTCCTCCTTTGGTTACAGTGGAGTCTTCTGTTTTGCCAGGAAAGTGAACTTTTTTTTTTTCATTTTTGTTCATCATTTACAAATTAGATGGGATATATTTTAGCAAATAGATCTCAAGAGCTGGATTTAATTAGCAGCTTTTTAGGACATAAACATTAAAGGTTAGATGGAAAAGATTGTTTTGACTGACAGGATAAATGACAGGGCTGTGTTTGATGTGCGTCCAGGAATTGGTCTGGAGCTGGTGCCCAACTTCTCAGTCCATCTTGAGAAGCCAAATAAAATATTTAACCTAGGCCTCATTTTGTTTTTTTAAAAAAAGTTGATTCTTTGTAAAAACCTTAAGAAATGTTTGGCATACCTTTAGACTAAGTGTTTAACAATTCGTTTAGACCTGGGTTCCCTAATAGAGGAAAAAAAATCACTTAAAAAAAGACAGATCTCACAGTGAATTTATATTTGGTTTACAATACACTTGGGCTATAAGATGTTTTAAAATTATTGTTCTTTGCTTTAAGTTAATACCATGTTAGTATTTTACATTTATAGAGTATCTTTGATTTCAAGATGCTGTATAAACTTTAGTTACTTGGTAATAACCTTATTGTGGAATTGCCCTTTTACTGAAAGGTATAAACATTTCTTGCATGGTGACACACACACACACACACACTCTCTCACACACTCATACACACTCTCTCTTTCTGAAGAAGAGGAAATATTTGAACCATGAGATCAGTGCCCACAATTGATATTAGACTTTTCCACATATTATTCTTTTTTTTTTTTTTTTTTTGAGACACAGTTTCACTCTTTTTGCCCAGGCTGGAGTGCAGTGGCACGATCTTGGCTCACTGCAACCTCCGCCTCCCGGGTTCAAGCGATTCTCCTGCCTCAGCCTCCCAAGTAGATGGGATTACAGGTGCCTGCCACCATGCCCGGCTTTTTTTGTATTTTTAGTAGAGATGGGGTTTCACCATGTTGGCCAGGGTGATCTCCATCTCCCGATCTAGTGATCCGCCCACCTCGGCCTCCCAAAGTGCTGGGATTACAGGCGTGAGCCACCACGCCTGGCCACCACATATTATTCTTAAAACCACAATCAGTGAACTGTTTGGTATTTGTCAGTGCTAAGAAGGTGGGGCTAATTTAATAATTTGATCCCAAATTTTAGATTCCTCAGGCAATTGGGGGTTAGAATCCAATTTCATCCATCAAGCTACTTCTGTTCTTTGTGACACATTAACATATGATCATTAAAATGGGGTGTATAGTAACACCATCAACTTCAACTAATATTTCTAGAACAAATTGATTATAAAGTGTATAATTTCTATATTATACCTATATGACTGTCAGATACAGGCTTTTCTTACAATGGTTTGGATAGAAAAATATTCTTTACAGTAAAAACTTTAGGGTAATTTTTAGACCATTATTGTTTTTGAAAACCAAAGGCTGCAAAAAGCAGTTTAGTGTAATTTCTAATATTTTAAATTCTTAGGTATAGAGAAGTAGAATAAGATTACTCCTCCAGAACATTTATTTCAGACCTTTTTATAAATTTAATGTTTTTGTATGCTGCTTCTCATATTATTAATTTCAAAGCCCTTGGCAATAAGGAGGTTAACCTTGTCTATAATGTAAGGAAGTTTAACTTTAAAAATTTCCCTTTAGATATGCTAGCGTCTTAATCTTGTTTCACTACATATTTTATTAATTCAAGGCCTTAAAAATGATAGCTTTATTCTATTACACAGGTTTTTATGTATGCCTATACACCATAATGACATTTATTTATTTATTTGAGATGGAGTTTCGCTCTTGGCTGGAGTGCAATGGGGCGATCTCAGCTCACTGCAACCTGTGCCTCCTGGGTTCTAGCGATTCTCCTGCCTCAGCCTCCCGAGTTGCTGGTACTACAGGTGCATGGCGCCACGCCCGGCTAATTTTTTGTATTTTCAGTAGAGATGGGGTTTCACCGTGTTAGCCAGGATGGCCTCTATCTCCTGATCTCGTGATCCGCCAGCCTCGGCCTCCCAAAATGCTGGGATTACAGGCGTGAGCCACCACACCCAGCCAAGAAATTTTTTAAATGCAAAGTTCTCTAGCCACTTTGTATTTACCACTAGATGTCTCACTAACTTCAGGAAACCTGATAGCTTTTGGCCACATTAGAGTAACTTGGTTCTCAATTAAATTTTTGTAGAATAATATGATCAGGTTAAGTTGAAACCTATTTTTTAAATTAAGATATTGAACTTGTATTTTTGTTTATTGTGTTATTTAACAGAAAGGAAACATAAAAGGCTGTGACTTTCCTACTTAATTAAGGATCTGGAAGCCACATTTTGTATGGAAAAAGGTTTTCTTTTATTTTTTTATTTCAGTAGATTTTGAGGGAACAGATGGTGTTTGATTACGTGAATAAGTACTTTAGTGGTGATTTCTGAGATTTTGGTGGACCCATCACCCAAGCAGTGTACACAGTACCCAGTGTGTAGTCTTTTATCCCTCACTACCCCTACCCTTTCCCACAGTCCCTATAGTCCAGTGTATCATTCTTATGCCTTTGCATCCTCATAGCTTAGCTCCCCCATGTGACTGAGAACATACAATGTTAGGTTTTTCATTCTTGAGTTACTTCACTTAGAATAATAGTCTCCGATTTTATCCAGGTTGCTGTGAATGCTATTATTTCTTTTTATGGCTGAATAGTATTCCATGGTGTATATATATGTGTATATATGTGTGTGTGTATGTTTGTGTGTGTGTGTATACATACCACATTTTCTTTATCCACTCATTGACTGATAAGTATTTGGGCTGGTTCCATATTTTTGCAATTGCAAATTGTGCTGCTATAAACATGCGTGTGCAAGAATCTTTTTTGTATAATGACTTCTTTTCCTCTGGGTAGGTACCCAGTAGTGGGATTGCTGGATCAAATGGTAGATCTACTTTTAGTTCTTTAAGGAATCTCCACACTGTTTTCCGTAGTGGTTGTACTAGTTTACATTACCACCAGCAGTGTAAAAGTGTTCCCTTTTCACTGCATCCATGCCAACATCTGTTTGTTTGTTTTTTATTTTTTGATTATGGCCATTCTTGCAGGAGTGAGGTGGCATCGCATTGTAGTTCTGATTTGCATTTCCCTGATACTTAGTGATGTTGAGCATTTTTCCATAAGCTTGTTGGCCTATCTTGGTTGGTATATCTTCTTTTGAGAATTGTCTATTCATGTCTTTAACCCACTTTTTGATGGAATTGTTTGTTTTTTTTTTCTTGCTGATTTGTTTGCATACTTTGTAGATTCTGGATATTAGTCCTTTGTCAGATGTTTTTCTTAATCCTTAATTTTTTTTCCCCCCTGAGATACGGTCTTGCTTTGTCAACCAGGATGTAGTGCAGTGGCATGATCGTGGCTTACTGCAGCCTCAGCCTCCCAGGCTCAAGCGATCCTCCCACCTCAGCCTCCTGAGTAGCTGAGACTACAGACGTATGCCACCACCCTTGGCTAACTTTTAAATTTTTTTTGTAGAGGTGGGGTCTTACTGTGTTGCCCAGGCTGGTCTCAAACTCCTGGGCTCAAGTGATCCTTTCGCCTCAGCCTCCCAAAGTGCTGGGATTACAGGCATGAGCCACTGTGCCTGACTAATTTTTAATTCTTTTTATTTTAATTTTTTAAAAAAGCAAGAAACCAGCAGAGAGATTTAATTCTTCAACTAGTTTAATAACACCCAAAGGGAAAGTATAGAAATGTGATTTTTTGTTTTTGCTTATAAACATAAATTTATATGTTTAAGTAGTAGAGCGGAAGTAACAAGATGGAGTAAATACTTCCCAGGAGGAAATACTTCATGAATTGAGGGTGGAGGTAAAAACATTCTTCCATTGAACACATTTATAAATGGTTAGGTGTTATTGAAATACTATGCATAACACTCAGCTTCAAGAACAATATAGTCAAATAGATTTAATACCCTAACTTACCAAGTTTGTTTGAAACATAACCCTTAAGTTTTGGTCTTCCTTTATTATTTGAAGGTGATAGATCACAGAATCATAGAATTGGGGAACTGATAGGTGATTTGTCTGTCCTTGAACCTTGGCAAATTAGTATCTTAAAAAAATTAGCATTGATACCAACATGCAAAATTTCTCCAGTCACCAACACTTAACACTGTTTTGTTGTACTATTTTCAGCTGTCCACAGGAAATCTACTGTATTCCAATATGTCTAACATGTGAAGTGTCATTTTTGTCTAACATTTTTAGTTCCACCTTTTAAATTTTTGTCAAAAAAATCATTTTCATTATGGCTTTGGGCCGAAAACTGTATTGTCATCTTTGATACAAGTTTCTTATTGATTTGTATTAGATCTTTCAGAATAGCTCTCTTAATTTTCATTTCCTTTCCCTTTCCATATGACTTTCCTCGTTCAGGGTCTTTTCATCCTACTGTTGGATGATTACAACAGCTTCATATATGGTCGCCTCTAATCTTTCTTTCTCCTAGTGGGCCCTGAATACCACTGATAGGAAAATATGACTGTAATTACAGCCATGCTCAAGAACCTGAAATGGCTCCCTGTTATCTACCTCAATCAGTCCAAGCCCTATTGTCTGACTTCTAAGCTCCTCTTACTGGCTCATGCATATTTCCAACAGTATTTACTTTTACACCTTAGCACAAACTCTTTGGTTAGACTCTTCAAAGTCTTTTAAATACTACATTGTCATACCCTCGTTGGCGCTCTTCCATTGCTAGGAAAGTCCTCCTTTTCCTGTATGTATTTAAAGCAGCAGTCCCCAACCTTTTTGGCACAGGGACTGGTTTTGTGCAAGACAGTTTTTCCAAGGATGTGGGGAGCAGGGGATGTGTTGGGATGAAACTGTTCCATCTCAGATCATCAGGCATTAGATTCTTGTAAGGAGCGCACAACCTAGATCCCTTGCACGCGCAGTTCACAATAGGGTTCCAGCTCCTATGAGCATCTAATGCTGCTGCTGATCTGACAGAAGGTGGAGCTCAGGCCATAATGCTTGCTCTCCTGCTGCTCACCTCCTGCTGTGTGGCCCGGTTGTAACAGGCCACAAACTTGTACCGGCCCATGGTCCAGGGGTTGGAGACCCCTGCTTTAAAGCCCAGATGAGTTCCCCTCTCCCCTAAAGCCCTTTCTTTACTGTTCAGATTCAAGTTGTTCTCCTGATTTTCTGAGCTCTTACTTGTACTCACTGTTGAACCATGTAGTAAATGAGAGGTAAAATCCAGCATAGTGGTTAAGATCATGAAGTCGAGAGCCAGATGGGTTTAGCATCTATACTTTAGACCCTGGCTCTGCCACTTACTACTGTGTGACCTTGGGCTACTTAATTGACCCCCTTGTGCCTTAGTTTCCTCATCAGTAAAATAGGGAAAATAATAATATCTACCTTAGAGGGTTATTGTAAGGATTAAGGATGAATGTAAAGTATTTAGAATAGTACCTAACATAGTGATATGCGTTTACATTATAATCAGTATCACTAAGCACTTGTTTATTCTCAGGTATTTTTGTTTCTGGTTTTTGTTTTTGTTTTGCGTATAGTATTTTTTAATCTTTCCACTTAGATAGTAAGCTCTTTTAAGCCAGAGTGTTACATCTTTTGTTTCGGTCTCATTTTTCTTGGTAGTTATTCAGCAAAACCCATTTTCTAATTTGATTTCTCTGTAGCCTGTGTTCCTGTATAAAAACCTCTAATAAGCTCTCCTTTAAATGAGCTACTGAGGGAGACATTTGGAAAGAAAAAGCCATGAATGGTTACAAGAATTCACCTTCCTGGGGTCAGAGGGCTGGTAACAACTTACAAAAACTTCCACCTTATGAATTAGTCTCTAGATTTTGGTAGTTTAAACTGGGAACATTTTGAGGCAGAAACGAGACAAGTATAGTTTTGGTGTTTTATATAGAAGTAACTTTTAGTCTTTTTTAAAAAAATGGAATATTCATTTATAGCTGTTAAACTTTTTTAAAAATAATGGAATAATCTTTTGTAGCAAATGGAATGTTTGTATAATCTATCTCACATGTCAAATTATTAATTTCAAAAATCTTTTTCACAGGACTTCCTGATCCATTTGCTAAGGTGGTGGTTGATGGATCTGGGCAATGCCATTCTATAGATACTGTGAAGAATATGCTCGATCCAAAGTGGAATCAGCATTATGACCTGTAGGTTTAAACGATTAGTTTGAAATGAAACATATAATTAATATTACTTGATATAGTCTTTGAAAAGAATCGTGGGAAATGATCTGAGTTTCATCTATGCTATAATTTGGTCTTCACAAAAGGTGTAAAGAAAAGCCCAGTGGGAATGTGCTTTGGTTTATAGACAGGTTTTGAAAGATGAGGTATCCCTAAAATTCTATGAAGAACAAAATGAAACTGGCTCACAGTAGAGCAGTCCCCCCAACTTTTTTCAATTAAATAAAGGTATTAATTCACCACTTTAGACCAATTATAAAACCAGAAATCAGAATTTTGATTACACTGAATAGGCATTCTTTTTGCCTTTATGTAGAGGGTTTCTTTCTTTTAAATTTTATTTTAATCATAGGAGTATATGCACCATTTAAAAAAGGCAAATGATACTATAAAGGTTTTATGGAAAACAGCAAGGTCCCTGGTCCTTTCTCATTCCTGATTCCCATCCTCAAGGCAACTGCTCTAATAACTTTGGCTGTTTATTCTGGTATTTTCATCTGTTTCTAGATATGTTCCTTATTTTATACCATCACAGTTTTCTTTTTTCAGTTTTATGTAATTTTTTTTTTTTTTTTTGAGACAGAGTCTTGCACTGTCACCCAGGCTGGAGTGTAGTGGCACCATCTTGGCTCACTGCAATCTCTGCCTCTTGGGTTCAAGCAATTCTCCTGCCTCAGCCTCCCGAGTAGCTGGGAATGCAGGTGCCCACCACCATGCCCAGCTAATTTTTGTACTTTTAGTAGAGACAGAATTTCACCATGTTGGCTAGGCTCGTCTCGAACCCCTGACCTCAAGTGATCTGCCTGACTCGGCCTCCGAAAGTGCTAGGATTACAGATGTGAGCCACTGCGCCCAGCCTAGTTTTAGATATTTTCGAATTTCCTACATAGAAGATAATTCAGCTTTATTTTTTATTAAAAATTCTTTTAAAATTAGAGACAGTCTCACTCTGTTGCTCAGGCTGGAGTGCAGTGGCATAATCATAGCTCACTGCAGCCTCAAACTCCTGGACTCAACGGATCCTCCCACCTCACCCTCCTGAGTAGCTGTAACTACAGGTGCATGCCACCATGCCAAACTAATTTTTTTTTTTTTTTTGGTAATTTTCTGTAGAGATGGGGTCTTCCTATATTGCCCAGTCTGGTTTTGAATTCCTGGGCCCAAGTGATTCTCCCTCCTTTGCCTCCCAAAGTATTTGGATTACAGGCATGGGGTATGATGCCCAGCCCAGTGGTTCAGCTTTTAAAATTGGTATTCGTCATCCCCATTCCCATGACACTCACAAGCCCCTTCCTTTCTTTAATCTTCCAATATAATTATAGGAACCTTTTTGATTAAACCATTGTTCCATGTTTACATTATTATGATTATGTAAATATCCATAGTTGGGTCACATGGGTACAAGAATTATATTTTCTTTCTTGACAGCTTTTGTTTTTTCTGAAGTTAGTAGCTACTTTTCCCTTTTGTTTAGTTTTCTATTTATCTCCTAGCTAGAAATGAGAAATTACATGTCATAATCCTCAAACTCTCCTACAGAACTAAAGATCTTTTCTCCATATATTCAATTCTGTCAGTATTCCATTGGCTTTGTTTCTTCTTGGAGATACCCCTCCTGGGGGTCTGTGTTCTCTTTCTTCAGTCTGGTGTGATGGTTCTCTAAGACCTGCTGTGCAGTTGTCCTGGGACTTGCCTTTATTGTTATGTTGGCAATTTCCTTTGTCTCTTCTAGATTTAGTGACTCTCTTGATTTGGTGAACCCTATCTTCTGTTGTCATTTTGAGAAATAATACAAAGATGGGGAGAAAGTTGAGATCTTATCAGAAAATATATTTTGGTTTCTTATCTGTTGGTATGGTTTGAGTACAGGCTTCTAGATGAAATAGCACTTTATCTCCAAATGTTGAATACATTGCTCCATTATCTTCTAGGTTTAGATTTGTACTGTTGAGTAGAAATATAATGTAAGCCACAAATGGGAGTTCATCTGTAATTTTAAATTTCCTAGTATCCACATTAAGATAAGTAAAAAGAAACAGATGACATTAAGCATAATAAACTGGGCATGGTGGCTTGCACCTGTAATCCAGCTACTCGGGAGGCTGAGATGGGAGGATAACTTGAGGCCAGGAGTCTGTGACCACACTGGGCAACATAGCAAGACCCGTAATACAATATAGTTATATTATGCATAATAAGCATAATTTATTATGCTGAAAATTAAGCATAATATATGTTATTTAATTCAATATATCAAAAATATTTTCAACATGGTAGTATAAAAATATTGAGCTACTTATTTATGTATATATACATATTTACTATGTCTTTGAAAAATCAGTGGTTTTCTCATTTTATGTTAAGAAAAATCAGTGGTTTCTTTTGCAGCTTGCCTCAATGTGGACTAGCCACATTTGAAGTACTCAAAGGTCCCATGTGGTTGGTGGATACCATTTTGGACAGTGTAGGTTCAGAGTATTGCTGATGGCATCCTGATTTTGGTCTGTCATGACTGTTGTTTTCCACTGGAAGTTTCTTTATTCGTCTGTCGCTTGTTATTTTCCTTTAAAAAAATTGTAGCCCCCCTAGTGTGTATGAAGTTGTACCTCGTCATGGTTTGGAAGTGCATTTCCCTCATGACTAATGATGTTGAGCATCTTTGCATGTGCTCGTTATGTTTTATCTTACAGTTAATATTAATTGGCTACCAGAGGCTTCTCTCTTGCTTGTGTCTGAGGTCGTTTTGCAAAATCCTTGCCTTTAATTGGCTAAGTGTACAAACAAAAGTCTAATAATTAAATTTTAGCCCCAAATCCTGAGTATGTATATTATACTTTTGTCTATATGGTAACATTATATCACCCATAGAGGTTACCATCTACCCCTCTCAACAAAACATCCTGAAACTTGTTTATAAATCATGTATTTGTTAGTGAAGTCAAAGTTTTAATAGAAGCTGATAGAGCCCTCTGTTTAACTTTCAATTATAAAAGTCTTTACTTTTTCTTTTATGTGGCCATTATGTTATATTACATGAGGTTTCATTAAAGTGAGAGCATGTACTTCTCTGTGTATAAGAAAAGGTAATATTTCTGATTAATTTCTGGCCCAGGAATATTTGGACAGAATGTTTGTGACATGTACACTTAAGTAATACAATATATTTCATAATTTTGAGTAATTCAGAGTTAGGCTGTCTTCCAGAAGGTCCATAATTAGCAATTTCTCATTACGGTTTAATGTAGAGCTTCCCAACCTTTTCATATCATGGTACACATAAAAAATATTATGGCACACTGGACTAAACAGGTGAAGTTGCTTAAGCCAGTGGTGCATTGCCCTGAGGACTGAGGTAATCAATATATGTATTTCAGCATACCTGTAAACCAGGCTTACTAGTTGGACAACTGGTTTAATGGACTTTTAAAAAAATGTTTGGTTTGGGTAATTCAGCTACTTAATACTGGATTCTGGCTCTGGAATTACATGCCAGTAGATATATACCAAGATGGATCGGGTACGTGTATTTGGAAATTGGTACATGCGTACTGAACAATATTTCAGTTCATATCTTTTCATTTGCAAGCAACAGAGACCAAGTTCAAATCGGCTTAATTTTTAAAAAGGGAATGTACTGATTTGCATAATGAAAAGCTTAGGGGTGGCCATTTTTTAGGCACAGCTGGATCCCGGGGCTCAAGTGTACCTTCCATGTTCCTTATTTGAAAGCTTTAGTCGTTACTTAAGTGGTTTAGTCTTTTCTCTATACTAGGTGAATTTTTCTGATATTGCTAATTTATTGAATTAGCAATACTTTAGACTAAAACTTTGACCTCTTAATGTCATTGAAATAGAGCTAGGATTCTGCTGACATGATTATGTTATTATATTATCTTTTTGCATGGGTTGATGCCATGTTAACAATTGGCTGTGGTAGAGCCTTTACGTACTTGCAGGTATATCCACAGACAAGTACAGTAATGCTTTTCCCTGCACTGCTTGTCTGCAGGAGGTGAAGTGAAATCTGCAAGAGTCCTGCTCGCTCAAGGCCTGCATACAGGAAAGAAGCAGGGGAAAAGCGTTACAAACAGCTTTTGTTCTACAGCATTTTAAAATATAACAGGTCAGATTTTTGGTCTGTCAGCCTTGACACTATCCGTTGAAAAGTAGGTCATGTCATTGAAATGTATTTAAAATGTGACTGTGGTAAAATTTTTTTTTTTTTTTTTTGAGACGGAGTCTTGCTCTGTCTCCCAGGCTGGAGTACAGTGGCGTGATCTCGGTTCACTGCAAGCTCCGCCTCTCGGGTTCACGCCATTCTCCTGCCTCAGCCTTCTGAGTAGCTGAGACAACAGGTGCCCGCCTCCATGCCCGGCTAATTTTTTTTTTTTTTTTTTTTTTTTAGTAGAGACGGGATTTCACCGTGTTAGCCAGGATGGTCTTGATCTCGTGACCTTGTGATCCGCCCGCCTCAGCCTCCCAAAGTGCTGGGATTACAGGCGTGAGCCATTGTGCCCGGCCGTGATAAAAGTTTTGAAGATTCTTTTTCTTGGAAAGAAGTTATTTAATAAACTCCCTTAGTGTTATTAGACACTAGCTACTAAAATAGCCTTTTTACTAACTAGAATTATAGCCCAGCTTGAGAGTGGCAGATGTGATAAAAATATACTAAAATTGTTTTTAAAAATTTTACTTTCAAGATTTTTAAAAAATTTATATTCAATCCTGTGGATTAAGTCATGTATTTTGCATAATCTAGCCAGGCTCTGAAGCAAATTTTAACTTTAGGGTATAAAAAGAACAAAAGAAAAATTTTACGCCCACTGCCTTATAACTACCAACATACTCATGTAGCCGTTTTCATTTTTAGGTATATTGAAAAGTCTGATTCAGTTACAATCAGTGTATGGAATCACAAGAAGATCCATAAGAAACAAGGTGCTGGATTTCTCCGTTGTGTTCATCTTTTTCCAGTGCCATCAACCACCTCAAAGACACTGGTTGTGAGTAGATACTACTGCTTTTCAAATTTTATATATATATGTGTGTGTGTGTGTGTGTGTGTATGTATGTGTGCATATACATATGTGTGTGTGTATATGTATGTGTGCATATACATATATACATGTAGTATATATGTATTCTCAAATATATATGAAGGATATATATATTTGAGTATGTTGGTAGGGGTTCAAACATAACTTCTTGTGTATGTCTGAAACATTGGTAAAAATTCCTGGTCTAAATTTATTTTGTAGACTTAAAAAAAATGAAACGTTTTAAATATGTGAAACTTACAGCTAAATGAGAGCTGATGCTTCATTTCCAGTTAATTTAAAAGTATTAAGAAATGATTGATATCTAGAATGGCAAAAAAAAAAGGTGTCAGGATTTACATACCTTTTAAAATTTCTTAGTACCCTTTTCTGGTTGTGGTGGATTTGTGGACAACATGTTTTTATTTAGGTGATTGGGGTCTTTAAGGTGGCAGTTAAAGAGCAATTACGAAGGGATAAGAATGGTATAATATATAAAACTGCTGTGACAAAATTAAAAGTTAAAGAAAGATTAAACATTATTTTGAGTGTATGACGGCTCTATGAACTACTTAACTGTAGCTCAGTTTATCATCAACCTGGGCGTTTAGAAGATTAGACCAAGATCAAGACATTAGAAGTGGTTTTCATAATGGATTTATAAGGTGACTTAGCATAACCAGGTGACGGTCTTTTGGGTGGGTCTTTCCATTGGAACATAAATGGGAATTCCTTTTTCAACAGGTTTTCTGTGTGTGTGTTTGTTTCTATAGAATTCTTGTGTATATAATGTAAAAAATACTGTTAGTCTTTGTAATGGGATTTTAGCCCAGATGCATATGCTAAACAAACTCACATAAGAGCTAAAGAAATTAATAAACAGAAAAGGAGTAAATTTAGCATTGAATGTTAAATATATTAAGAGATTGTCTCTTTTAATGTAGTATGATACCACAGCATAGGTATATATTGACCTTGTGAAAAAGAAAAAGGCAGAAAACTGAGCTAGAAGTTCTTAGTCCAAGGTATTTAAAGGCATCTGAGAAGTTCTTGTATTTCTGGGCTGACGGGGTAACCAACAGGAGAGAAAGGACAGTGGGATTGGAAAAAACAAGTTGCACATAAAAATGAACTGTTTTCTTACTCAGCAAACTGAAAAATTATAGGTCAAACGTCTGACATTATCCCTAGTTCAATTTAGCCAATGTTTATTGAAGACTTAATGTGCTACTGTTCTAAACCCTGGCTGTATAAAGGAGAAAGAGGCATGAACCCTGTCCTCTGAGAAGGAAGGGCAAAGGCCTGCTGGCAAAGGGAGCATGCCGCATGGGAAGGACTGAATAGGAGAGGAGTTGCTCTGCAGAATCCACTGTGTAGCCAACTTAGCAGCACCCATTTATTTTGCAAAGAGAAAAGTGTCTGTATTTTTGGTTGGATAACCAGGGACTGTAGTTTAGGGGCATGGATTTTTCTTTGTGTTTCTTGTGACTGTTTCATTGTATTAATTTATTTGACTTTTTTCATGTGCAGTAATATTGAATTTATCAAATATTTATTGAGCACCTACCTGATGCAATGTTCTACTGGGTTGGAGTGGAAAATACAAAGACTACGATATGGTCTCCTCCTTTTATCAATTCACAAATAAGTAGACAGATGGCATACGGTTGTAAAATTATTCAGCTGTAAGTACTGTAATCAAAGTAAAACCAGCATGCTTTGGGTGACATTGTTCCTTACTGTAACTTTCAGGGTCAGGCCAGTGTTATATCTCTTTTACAGATGAGGCATCTGAGAGAATAAATGAGTTGCTCCTGAATGAATTAGTGGCAGAACTGATGCAAACCCAGATTCTACAGTTTATTCTTGGCTTCTTATTAATACTTTTTTGTGTGCATGTCATTTGAAATGGTTAGTTAAAAAATAATAATGACAGCTAACATTTGTTGACCATTCATGTGCCAGGCACTATGCTGTGAGTTTTGCATAATTATCTGATTTAATCCTTAAAAAATATGAGGATTCACATATTGCCATATATGAGAAAACCAAGGCTCACGGATAAATTCCTTAAGACCAACAACTATTAAGACAGACTAAAGTGGTCTAAAAGTTTTGGAGAGAAAGTGACTGCATGTTGGCAATGAAGTACACCAGTGTTTCGTAGTTTTTGAAATCTGAATTCTTTAAATGATAGGTTTGATTTCTAATGGATTGTGGAAATTTATTGTCACTCTATAGACATGAGAATCTCTGATACCAGCTAATGTTTTCATTTCTTTCTTTGTTGATTTCAAATAGATCAGAGGTTGGATTTATGCAAACCTGGGCCAAAGGACAGTTAGAAGACGGTAAGTAAGTGTGAATTTAAAGTTACATGAATTTTGGTTTCATTCAAACTGACCTAAAGTCTAAATACCATTTAAATCAAAGTATGTTAACTGTAGCTTCATAGTGTTGGCCTGAATTAAATGAATCAGGTAAAATGTTACAGTGAATCCAGGATCCAGGTTAACTTAATTTTTAAAACTTTAATGTAAAAAAAAAGTGTCATGAAGAACTGTTGATCCTTTAGGAAATAATTTTTTCAAAGTATCCTAACATAGTAGAGCACTGAGTTCAGACTTTATAGATGTTATTAAAGTTTACTGAAAATAATTCTCAAACTAGTTTTTTTAGTAAGAAGACAACATTCTATTGAACTTGTTTTAATGTTTAATGCTTTACAGCTTTAAAATCTATGCCAATTGAAAAAAACAGAATGAGCAATGTTAGTGTAACACTGGAAAAAGGGAGAAATTGTTACCTTACTCATGAGGCACTTAGTAGCCTTATATGGTATTTAGGTGTCTTGAATTGACCTGGAGGGAAAGGCTTCACATAAAATTTGCTGAGACCTTTCTTAAGAATTGATAGAGATTTGATCAAGATGCATAGTATGGAAGGACACTGTTCATCTTGGAGGCTTCTTAAATTAAAGAAGAAAAATGTTGCCGGGCACAGTGGCTCATGCCTGTAATCCCAGCACTTTGGGAGGCTGAGGCAGGTGGATCACCTGAGGTCAGGAGTTCGAGACCAGCCTGGCAAGCATAGTGAAACCCCATCTCTACTAAAAATACAAAAAATTTGCTGGGAATAGTGATGAGTACCTGTAATCCCAGCTACTCTGGAGGCTGAGGCAGGAGAATCGCTTGAACCCAGGAGGCGGAGGTTGCAGTGAGCCGAGATCACACCATTGCACTCCAGCTGGGTGACAAGAGCAAGCCCCTGTCTCAAAAAAAAAAAAAAAAAAAAAGAAAAGAAAAAAGAAAAATCCAATAAGACTGTCACACTTCATGATGAAGCAGAACTTAGAATAAGACTATTTTGTTATGAACCCATCATAGAGGTTTTAATTACCGAAGGTACTTGAAGGACTTCATTTCACAAGGCAGTGAATTGGGTTCATGGAGAACTACCAGGGTAGCCACATAGCAAAGCCCTACTCTGGTTATCTTAGGGAAGTATCTACACCAGCACTCCCCGACCTTTTTGGCACCAGGCACCGGTTTCACGGAAGACAGTTTTTCCATAGACCAGGCTGGGGTGGAGTTGGTTTCAGGATGATTCAAATGCATTACATTTATTGTGCACTTTATTATTATTACATTGTAATATATAATGAACTAATTATACAACTCACCATAAGGTAGAATCAGTGGGAGCCCTGAGCTTGTTTTCCTGCAACTAGATGGTCCCATCTGTGGGTGATGGGAGACAGTGACAGATCATCAGGCATTAGATTCTCATAAGGAGCAGGCAACCTAGATCCCTTGTGTGTGTGGTTCACAGTAGGGTTTGTGCTCCTATGAGAATCTAATGTCACCACTGATCTGACAGGAGGCGGAGCTCAGGCGGTAATGCTTACTCACCCACTACTCACTCCTGCTGTGCGGCCTGGTTCCTAACAGACCCTGGACCAATACCCCATCCATCCATGGCCTGGGAGTTGGGGATCCCTTATCTACACTACAGCATTACTGATAATTCCTGTCATCCTTAGATTGAGAAGGAAGCAAAAACAAAAAAAATCTCAAAAATCAATTCAGTCATAACAGTACTTTCACATATAAGTGTTCCTTCTGTATTTGATTTATTATGTTACATAATGCTTGCCAACTACTGTCTAGTAGTAACAAAATAGTTTTACTAGATGTGAATTTGCATTTATATAAATAGCAGACTTTGTTAGACATTAGAAATATACCTACTGGAGGTCAGGTACGGTGGCTGACACCTGTAATCCCAGCACTTTGGGAGGCCAAAGTGGGTAGATCACCTGAGGTCGGGAGTTCAAGACCAGCTTGACCAACATGGAGAAACCCCATCTCTACTGAAAATACAAAATTAACTGGGCGTGGTGGCACATGCCTGTAATCCCAGCTACACAGGATGCTGAGGCAGAAGAATCACTTGAACCTGGGAGGCGGAGGTGGCGGTGAGCCGAGATCATGCCATTGCACTCCAGCCTGGGCAACAAGAGTGAAACTCCATCTCAGAAAAAAAAAAGAAAAAAAAGAAAAAAGAAATATACCTACTGGAGTATACTACATAGAAAACAAATGTTTTACTCTTAAATATGTGTATATGTGTATATATATGTATTTATTTAAAGCTCTTGTGTGAATCTGCTGTTCATAATAGGACCATTAATAAGAGAGAGGGAGGCTGGACTCAAACATTATGATTCTTTAGTTCTGTCATTCAAAAACAGAATGAGTTCCAGTTCTTTCAGAATTAGCCCTCTAACAAATAATTGTAAGTAGGTATATATACTTTTTGGAAAATGGAGAAAAGAACACTAGAGGACTAACTTTAAAAACTATATTCCCCTCTAGTGTCTTTATATACATAAATATGTATATAAAATGTATATATTTATGTCTTTAATTCCAGTGAAGATTAAATTTCTACTTTGCTTTCTTTCACTTACCATAATCGTTTTTAGTATTTATAATCTTTGTAATTAATGATATATATATATATATATATATATATATATATTTTTTTTTTTTTTTTTTTTTTTTTTTTTGAGACGGAGTTTCACTCTTGTTGCCCAGGCTGGAGTACAATGGTGCGATCTTGGCTCACTGCAACCTCCACCTCCCAGGTTCCAGAGATTCTCCTGCCTCAGCCTCTCAAGTAGATGGGATTAGAGGCATGCGCCCCGACGCCTGGCTAATTTTTTTTTGTATTTTTAGTAGAGACAAGGTTTCTCCATGTTGGTCAGGCTGGTCTCCAACTCCCGAACTCAGGTGATTTGCCCACCTCAGCCTCCCAAAGTGCTGGGATTACAGGTGTAAGCCACCATGTCCAGCCATATTTAATGATTTTTAAAGGATGAAGTATATAGATATATCACAACTTAATAATTAAAAATTTTTTTTGCTATTATAACATTGAAACTTGCAAACATTTTTGTACACTTTGCTTTTTTCTTTTTTAGAATCATTGCTGTATGAAAAAAAAATCTCCCAAGTTGAGATAATTGATTCAAGGAGTACAAACTTTTTTCCTTGTTTAAAACTGTGATGTCCCAGCTACATTGGGAGGCTGAGGTGGGAGGATCATTTGAGCACGGGAAATCTACTGTATTGGCATCGTTATCACTTGGATGTGTACTTTTTCTATGTATTTTTTTAAAAAATGAGATTATACTGAATTTTTAAAAACTGGTTTAAATTTATCATAAACATCTTTGTTTTTTTGGCCCATAAATACATTTCTATAGCATTGTTCCTTTTTTTTTCCTACTTTGCATTAAGGCTTGCAAAATCTATAGCATTTTTAATGTTGTGTGGTAGTCCATGGTGGGTATGTAATTCATTTAACCAGTTAATAGCTCTGCTATTAACACAGCATTCTGGAGATGTAAATTGAAGCCCATGAAATTCTTTAGTTTTGAATCTTACTATTATTCTAAACAAAGCTAACGAGAAAATACATTGTTTCTACTGTGATTGTATTTTGATAAGCATTTCACTTATTTTATCTATTTAAAAACTGATGGATATAGTTGTCTAGCACAGTTTTCATAATAATGTTTTGTTTACATTTGCTGAGTAGGTGTTTGTAGTGTTCTGTCCTCTAAATGGGACTTAATGTAAAGGAGCTCTATGTTGAACTGATCTTTCAAAATGTTCACAGAACTGGAAGATTTCAGAATTTTGAGACCCTTCTTTGAATGAAGGGTCATTAGATGTAATAATACTTTTTGTGCTAACCTATTATTTAAGAAGTTGGATTATAGTCAAGTTTGACTGTACTTCTTTCTGTCTTTTGGGAGAGTTACTAGAATTAGAATTAAACAATACTGGAGCAGCAAAGAAGGACTTCAGTGATATCAATTAAGCTAACTTTCTCATTATTCAGATGGGGATTATCTAAACCTTGCTTATTAAGTGTTTTGTTCAAGTTTACAGTGCTAAACTGGTTACTAGAGCTTGCTCTAGAATTCACATCTCTTGCTTCTTCATTTTTTGTGGTGGTTTTATATACTACACTGGATAATGGTGTCCTGTTAAAACTCATGGAATCCAAGGATTGCTCTCTTGCTGGAATACCAGGATGGCCCTCTTGCTCTAGAATACAGTGTATTTTTTTTCTTTTTTTGAGACGGAGTCTCGCTCTTTCACCAGGCCGGAGTGCAGTGGTGCAATTGCAGCTCACTGCAACCTCTGCCTCCCAGGTTCAGGTGATTCCCCTGCCTCAGCCTCCCCAGTAGCTTGGACTACAGGCACAGGCTACCATGCCTGGCTACTTTTTGTATTTTAGCAGAGATGGGGTTTCACCATGTTGGCCAGGATGGTCTCGATCTCCTGACCTTGTTATCCACCCACCTTGGCCTCCCAAAGTGCTGGGATTACAGGCGTGAGCCACCATGCCCGGCCCAGTGTATTTTTTAGATGGTGAGATTATCAAGTATTAAACTTAATGTGGACTTTTCAAACTCCTTTGTACATGAATATATTCTTAATATGTTATGCCTCTTCTTAAGTACAGTAGTGACTCTGCTATGCCCTGTTACTATGGTAAAGAAGGAATTAGGCTTCTTCCATGAACATGATGAAGTGTAGAAAACTTTAGAATTCTAATACTACTCCTAAAGGGAAAAATCTATGGGAAAAGAAATTATAAATTTTAGTAGAAACCAAAGAGGTCATTCTAAAGTATTAAAATAAGCTAAGCCAGATGTCTTCTAAAGATAGAAATTTTTGATTATAATAATTCTTTCTAGTTGTATGAATCTTAGTAATATTTCTATCATTTAATAGTAAGTCTTCAGTCCAGAGACCAAATTGGTACAGGAAGACAAGTTATGGACTGCAGTCATTTATTTGATAATGATTTACCAGACAAGTAAGGTAACATCACTGAAATCATTAGAGAATTATATAGATAATATCCTTAAATGGCTAGAAATAAATTGGTGTTTATTGTGTATTAAATGGTGTTTACTGTATATTGAATGTAGGTATTCCTTCTAATGGTAAAATTGATGGAAGATCCTGTCACAACAAATTTATAAAATAAGCCATAAATTAGGTGTGTTAAATTTGGTTATTAAGAGTTTTGACTAGGAGACAAATGAAATTTCTTGACAAATATAACTCTCTTGTAAATATTATCTAGTTAAAAAAAAGTTGGTGGATTATTCAAAACAGGCCATGCAAGTGCTAAATTAGAAACATTGCTGTATTTAAGAGGGATGTGATGGATAATTTGTGTAATAGTAATTAACATAACAGTAACATTTAATTGAGCATGTATATGTCAGATAATGTTATAAACACTTTACGTACATATCATTTAATTCTCATAGCATATTGGAAGGCAGTATATAGCCATGCTACTGAAATCAGACCACCTGAATTCTAAGCTTTACTCTTCTGTGTACTGGCTTTATGACCTTGATTTATTTAACTTCCATGGGCTTTGGTTTATATTTATTTACAAAACAGTATGAGTGATAATAGTACATACTCCATAAACTGTTGAGAGGATTAAATGAAATAATTCAGGTAAAGCACTTTAGTACAGTGTCTTTCATAAAATAAGTGCTTCATAAATAATTAGCTACTATTATTTCTATCGCTACTACTATTGTTACCCTCAAAAACTAAGAGTTACAGAAGTTAAGTAATTTGCCTAAGGCCACATAGTAAGTGGCAGAGCCAAAACACACAAACCTGTCTTGATTCTAAAGTCATGATTTTTATCATTGGTCTCTTTGATACTAGTTCTGACTCTTTTCTGATTTTATTTTTAACATTCAAAGTATTTTTAATTAATATCAATGAGATATAACTTACATGTAATAAATTGCATCCATTTAAGTGTATAAATGGTTAAATTTTAACTCCAATTATTTTTTATACAAAATTTTATACCCAGGTTATTATGATATTTACTCATTTTGTTTAAACTGTTAAAAATCACTATAATTGTTTTTAGATCACTTTAGCTTCCAGATATGTCTGTTAGCTCTTTTACAGATGTGAGGTAGATTATGGTATTTTTGAAAAGGAAATTTAGGGCCAGGCGCAGTGGCTCACGCCTGTAATCCCAGCACTTTGGGAGCCCAAGGTGGGCGGATCACGAGGTCAGGAGTTTGAGAACAGCCTGCGTGGTAAAACCCCGTCTCTACTTAAAAAAATACAAAAAATTAGCCGGGCATCGTGGCGCATGCCTGTAGTCCCAGCTACTCGGGAGGCTGAGGAAGGAGCATTGTTTGAAACCGGCAGGCAGAGGTTGCAGTGAGCCGAGATCGCGCCACTGCACTCCAGCCTGGGCGACAGAGCGAGACTCTGTCTCAGAAAAAAAAAAAAAAAAAAAGGAAATTTAGGATGAATTAACTAATCAATATTGAGAGAGTACCAGGAGTAATAAGACTTATTGTTCTAAACTTGCCATACATTACTGTACTGTAATTGTAATCATGGGGAAAAAAACCCTAGCAACTCTTTATTTTCCTTTTTTTTTAGAGCCCTTCAACCTCTGCCAATATCTTTGTAAAAATATTAAGATTATTACATTTCTATAGTGATTTGCCTCTTTTGCATTAAATGAATTATGATACAGAGTTGATAGAAAGTAGCGGCCTTGCCCGGGCATGGTGGCTCAGGCCTGTAATCCCAGCACTTTGGGAGGCTGAGGCGGGAGGATCACGAGGTTAAGAGATCAAGACCATCCTGGCCAACATGGTGAAACCCAGTCTCTAGTTAAAATACAAAAATTAGCCGGGTGTGGTGGCACGTGCCTGTAGTCCCAGCTACTTGGGAGGCTGAGGCAGGAGAATCACTTGAACCTGGGAGGCAGAGGTTGCAGTGAGCCGAGATGGCGCCACTGCACTCCAGCCTGGTGAAAGAGCGAGACTCCGTCTCAAAAAAAAAAAAAAGAAAAGAAGGTAACCATCTTGATTTTTTGTTTGTTTGTTTGTTTTTAGACGGAGTTTCACTCTTGTCGCCCAGGCTGGAGTGCAGTGGCGTGATCTTGGCTCACTGCAACCTCCGTCTCCCTGGTTTAAGCGATTCTCCAGCCTCAGCCTCTGGAATAGCTGGGATTACAGGCAAGTGCCACCACGCCCAGCTAATTTTTGTATTTTTAATAGAGACGGGGTTTCACCATGTTATCCAGGCTGGTCTCGAACTCCTGACCTCAGGGGATCTGCCTACAGTAGCACTCCAAGTACCCACCCAGCCCAGTTGCTGCAGATTCCTTCCCTATCTCCTCTGTCCTCCCCCCTTGCTCAATCCTGTGCTGTGCATCCTGCTCCGATCTCCTCCCAACCCCGCCGACCCCTGAAACGGGAAATACGAGGACACATCAGGTGGCAAAAATACTAGATTTACAAGAGGAAAGAGGTGCATTGTTCAAAATGGAGATTGCATTGTTGCAGTTTGCAGGCCACACTCGCTCACTGTCTCTCCCCCACCAACCAACCCCTTTTTCCTCTTCAAAAAATTTGTGCCAGTGCAGTGTCTGCACCGGGCAGGATTGAAACTTTGGCAAACATATCCATTGCATTCATTTTTCTCCCCTTGTTTTGGTGTGGTTTTCTGGAATGAAAGAAGCCTCTTGTTTTGCAAACCTCTTTGCATTTCTAATGAGGTTTCTTTCGGATTTTTATTGTATATCTGTTCCTTAAAAGAGAATTAAGGATTTGGATGGATTGTGGCACACAGACACACGGAAAAACTTGCCTGTTTTCACACCCCTGGCTGTGGTTTTTAAATTGTGTTAAGGAAACGGATCATTTGGGTTAGTAGGGGAACCTTACCTGGTCCTGTGTGTTTGTTTTTATTCTTCTAGTGCTGATGGGCCCGTGCAACAGTTGCTGGTAAATGGCTGATTAAAAAGCACAGAAAGCCGAACAAGACCCAACCAAATTTGGTAATTCATCCGATTCAAAATTGTTTTGGTTAAATCAAAAATACAAGTACACGACCGCAGGAAAGTGCGTCTTAACTCATTTGATCACTTTGTCTTGCTTGGGAAATGCAGTTTCGTGTCACCTGTTGCAGAAGATGTGTAGTTGATCATCTAGACATAATTGCCGAAGATGAACTTTTGGACAACTTCTGAGTCACACAGCATCAGTATCAGATTTCTTACACAATGACTTTCACTTTTCTCTCTATTTCTGAGGAAAAAGCCCTCCCGAAATCCGTAATGAATTTCTCCATGGTAACCCCTCTTCTGTTTTCACACAGAAAAGTTTCTCTAGGCTGGTGCTGAGATGCATTTTGTTAAACACAATCACCACCCCACCACGCGCCCCCCACCCCCCGCGCTCCCCAAGGCTGCTTTGTATTAAATACGTAGTTGCAATTTCCTAAATCGTGAAATTAAGCGAAGCAACAACCGGCAAGGCTTTTTCTTCATAGTTTTGCAAATCTATATTAATTAAATTAGAATCTGGTTTTAAAAGCATTTAAAAAACAAAGTTTATAAGGAAATCTTTGTGAGGAAAAAGGACCCTTTTTTCCTTGAAGTTAGGCATGTCATGTCTTTTTCAGAGAGACTAGGGTAGTAGAAGTGGTTAAATTGAAAAGTTTCTGTTTTTTAAATAAATGCTTAAATACTTATTGGAGAAGTAGGGTAGTATTATATTAAGCCAAATGTAAACCCATGTAGGTTGTCCTAACATAAACTGAAAAGAGGTAATTTCTTGTGCCCAGTGGTCAGAATCGTTGCCAGACTTGTCCGGGGGAGGCTGGCTGGAGAATGAAGGGAATGAATGAAGTGTCAGGTATTTATGTCTTATATGTAGAAAGGACTGCATGTAAATTCTTGGCAACTTAATTTTAGTCCTATTTTTGTTTTTTTTGAGACGGAGCCTTGCTGTCGCCTAGGTTGGCGTGCAATGGTGGGATCTTGGCTCACTGCAACCTCCACCTCCTGGGCTCAAGCGATTCTCCTGCCTCAGCCTCCTGAGCAACTGGGAGTACAGGTGCCCACCAGTACGCCTGGCTAATTTTTGTATTTTTAGTAGAGATGGGGTTTCACTGTGTTGGCCAGTCTGGTCTTGAACTCCTGACCTCAAGTGATCTGCCCGCCTCGGCCTCCCAAAGTGCTGGGATTACAGGCATGAGCCACTACGCCCGGCCCTTAGATGTGTCTTGTGCTTTGCATGCAAGTGTGTGTTAGTAATGGACTTCTTTTATAAAATAATTTTATTAATACTAGAAAAGCGTATATATATATATGTGTATATATATATATCTATAGTGTGTGTGTGTGTGTGTGTGTGTGTATATATATATATATATATATATATATATATTTTTTTTTTTTTTTTTTTGGACAGCCTCTCCTCTCAGGCTGGAGCGCAGTGGCACGATTCCAACTCATGGCAACCTCCACCTCCTGGGTCAAGTGATTCTCCTGCTTCAGCCTCCTGAGTAGCTGGGATTACGGGCACCTGCCACCACACCCAGCTAATTTCTGTATTTTTACAAAAATTTGGACTCTGCTTAGATTGGCTTAGTTTTCTCTTTAGTCAAATCTTCAGGAACCAATTTATTACCATTAAAAATGATCTAACAAGCTTTATTTTTATTATTGTTAAAAATCCTCATTTTGAGGAACACAACCACAAAGTAAAGAATGTTTTCATTGATTTAACCAGTAAAAATCAATATTTAATTATAAAATTTTTTTTTTCTTCAGCTAAAACAGCGGAAGAGGTGATTTATTATATGGTTGTTACACTCGGCCACAAATAAACACAGAAATAGTCCAGAATGTCACAGGTCCAGGGCAGAGGACCAACATGGGCATTTTGTTTATGAGCAAGGTGGGTCTCAGAGGTGATCGGCGATCAGAGGGCGATGAAGTTCTAGATCCATTGAGACAAGCTCTAGACAGTAGCATGCAGTCCCACAACTTGTACCAGCATCCCCAGCATCTGGCATTCCATGTTTCTGCTCCTGTGGCCTCCACAGTGCAACAAGCTAGCGGTTTACTTGGACCTCTACCTCATCTTTCTTCTTTTGCGCTTCAGCCTGCGCATTCGCTTCTTCCTCCACTTGGCTCTCATGGTGCAGGTTTCCAAGAAAATGGCGCTAAGGCCGAGAGTTAATAATAAAATATTTAAAACATGGCTCCAGGCCATCCAGATGCCTTAACTTGGGCTCAGGCTCCTGATACTGATGGGTCTTTTATCTTCCTCTGATGCCTTTTCTGTGAATTCACCTGTTTTGGAAGAAAACACAATTAAGGTTATCTATCACAACAACCACTATCTCCAATGTGTATTCATTCCTTTTATTCATTTTAAGTCTCATCTACCTGATGAGATAACTTTTTTGAAGACAGGCATTATATGCTGTTTAACAGTACTTTGATTCTTCCACAGTTCAGTCATCCTTGCTACCTTGCAGAGGACTGGTTCTAGGATATCGCCCCCACACCATACCAGAATCTGTGGATGCTCAATCCCTTAAATATAATGGTGCAGTGTTTGCATATAACCAACACCCCCGCCCCCATATACTTTATTTATTTACTTACTTAGAGACAGGATCACCCTCTGTCACTCAGGCTGGAGAACAGTGTCACAATCACAGCTCACTGCAGCCTCAACTTCCTGGGCTCCAGTGATCTGCCCACCTCAGCCTCTTGAGTAGCTGGGACTACAGGTGCATACCACCACACCTGGCTAATTTTTTTATTTTTATTTTTATTAAAGACAAGGTCTCACTATGCTGCCCAGGTTGGCCTCCCAAAGTGTTGGGATTACAAGTGTGAGTCACCGTGCCTGGTCCCATGTACTTGAAGTCATCACTAACAAAATGTATAGATATTGTATAATGGCAACAGTTGTTATACTGTACTTTCTATTTGTATTTTTATTTTTTCTTTCTTCAAATATTCAGCCTCATCTAGTTGAATCTGAAGATGTGGACCTGCTGATGAAGAGGGCTGATTGTATCTAACTTAGGGTCTTGCATGCAGCTGGCACTTAATGCATTTTATTGACTGTTTTAGCTAACATTCAATGGACAATTCCTAATAAAAAACTCCACTCCCAAAAGTATGAAAAAGTGCAAGATGTGCTTTGTTAAACAGATGCTTGAAGGCAGCATGCTCGTTAAAAGAGTCATCACCACTCCCTAATCTCAAGTACCCAGGGACACAAACACTGTGGAAGGCCACAGGGTCCTCTGTCTAGGAAAACCGAGACCTTTGTTCACATGTTTATCTGCTGACCTTCCCTCCACTGTTGTCCTATTACCCTGACAAATCCCCCTCTCCGAGAAACACCCAAGAATGATCAATAAATACTAAAAAAAAAAAAAAAAAAGTATGAAAAAAAGGAAACCTGCTCTAAAGTGGCAGGAAAACCAGCCTGGGCAACATAGCGAGATCTTGTCTCTACAACGAAAGTTTTAAAATTCACTGCCTGCCTGTAGTCCCAGCCACTCTGGAAGCTGAGGCAGGAGGATCCCTTAAGCCCAGGAGTTTGAGGTTACAGTGAGCTAGATCACACCATTGCTCTCCAGTCTGGGTGACAACAAGGCCCTGAGAAAGAAAAAACAAAGAAAGGAAAGGAAGGAAAGAGTGTAAGTATTGAAAAGGAAGAGACAAAACTGTCATTATTTGCATATAAAATAATAAATGTTAGCCAAAGAAGCCTAAGAGAATCAACTAAGATTTTACTGGAAGTAATATGAGAATTCAGTACGGTGGCTAGAAACAAAATCAAGAGAGCAGCACACAAACCTCAAATGCTTTTCAGATGTACCACCAATAACTAACTAGAAAATGGAAGAAAGATCCCATTTACAATGGCAATACAAATGTCTGAAGTATTTAGGAACAAAAATACAAAGATCTGTTATCTAACAAAAGACGTGTAAGATCTATATGATGGAAACCCTAAAACTCTTCTGAAAGACATTAACAAGAAATGAATACATGACATGAAATACCATGTTCTAGAATGTCGTACAGATGTCAATTCTCAAATTAATCTACAAATTTAAGGTAATCCTATTCAAATCCCAAGATAGTTTTTGGTGGTGGCTGTTTTTGAGACAAGGTCTCGCTCTGTTGCCCAGGCTAGAGTGCAGTGGTATGACCACAGCTCGCTGCATCCTCAACCTCCCAGGCTCAAGCAATCCTCCCACTTCAGCCTCTGAAGTCTCTTATATGGTGTCCAAGAAATGGGGACAAATCTCACAAAGGGACTAGGCTCAGGAGGGCTGGAATATTCAGGGAAGTTTCTTTTTTTTCTTTTTTCTTTTTTTTTTGAGGCAGAGTCTCACTCTGTCCCCCAGGCTGGAGTGCAGCAGCCCGATCTTGGCTCACTGCATGCTCCACCTCCCAGGTTCATGCCATTCTGCCTCAGCCTCACAAGTAGCTGGGACTACACACGCCCACCACCACACCCAGCTAATTTTTGTATTTTTAGTAGAGACGGGGTTTCACCATGTTGGGCAGGCTGGTCTCGAACTCCTGACTTCAGGTGATCCACCCACCTCAGCCTTCAGAAGTGCTGGAATTACAGGCATGAGCCACCGCTCCCGGCCGCCAGATTCTTATGTGGGACTCCCACTGTTTTAAAGTGCTTAGTAAAGGTGGTGAGTTTAAGACATTTGTATTGATGCTACCCAAACCTCTTGGTGGAGGGACCTAATGAGCCTGTTCTCCGGTGTGAGGGCAAAAGAAAAACAGACCCTCAGTGTGTCTTCCCTAAGTTAAGCATCAGCAAATTAATGAAGACAGAGAGGAGCATCTGCAGAAACTGCTGCTCTAATCCAGACACATCCTGAACACCTCCCTCTACCTCAAAATGAACTGTGTGAAACTAGATTTCTGAACCACAGGAAAGGTGGAAAGTATTTTCTAAAGTCAGATGTAGAGGAGAATCTTCACCTTGAGTCTAAAGTCCCCTTCAGGCCATTGAATATACCCACTCTGATTTGCTGGGTATGTTATACAGAGAAATCATAGAATTTTTGCACTTACGGTAGAAGAGTAGTCAGGAAAGTATATGGAATTAAAATAGAGCGACGTATTTTCTTTACAAAATTTTTTTTTGCACAATAGCTTAACATAAACACCATTTTGGCCAGGCATGGTGGCTCACGCCTGTAACCCCAGCACTTTGGGAGGCTAAGGTGGGCAGATCACCTGAGGTCACAGGAGTTCGAGACCAGCCTGGAGGGGAGGTTGGAGTGCAGTGGCACAATCTCGGCTCACTGCAACTTCCACCTCTGGAGTTCAAGCCATTCTCGACCCTCAGCCTCCCGATAGCTGGGATCACAGGCGCCTGCCACCACGACCTGCTAATTTTTGTATCGTTAGTAGAGACGGGGTTTCGGCATGTTGGCCAGGCTGGTCTCAAACTCCTGACCTCAAGTGATCCTCCCAAGGTGCTGGGATTATAGGCATGAGCCACTACGCCCAGCCCTACACTTTGGATTTAACTTTGATTCCTGCCCATATGCAGAGTTTCAAACTGCTTAAATGTCTGCAACATTTAGCTGCAAGGAAGAAAGCTTAACACAAAGTCCTCCAGGGAGCAAAAAACTGCATCACTACGCCCAGCTAATTTTTTTTGTATTTTCAGTAGGGATGGGGATTCACTATGTTGGCCAAGCTGGTGTTGAACTCCTGACCTCAGGTGATCCGCCCCCCTCAGCTCCTAAAGTTCTGGGATTACAGGCCTGAGCCACCTGCCCAGCAACAAGGCTAATTTGAGGGTCACTTGTTTGATGCCTTTTCTTGCCCATGCCATAGGTCAGAACTAGGACAAGCAGAGCAGGTCATATATAAGCTGTGTAAGTCTCTTGGCTGCTTTGTACCTTAGTTTCCCCATTTGAGAAAA
This sequence comes from Homo sapiens, assembly GCF_000001405.40. Taxonomy (NCBI): domain Eukaryota; kingdom Metazoa; phylum Chordata; class Mammalia; order Primates; family Hominidae; genus Homo; species Homo sapiens. The sequence continues at coordinate 31,038,451 of NC_000017.11, forward strand.
ACGAATGGATCTTAAGACACACTTTTCAGAGTTCATAATGGGCTTATACCCAGCTAACCAATAATTGTATGAGTTTTTATACAAAATAGTTGTTTACACGTATTCATCTTCTATTTCACTTACAAGTTGTGTAAAAACTGCATTCCGTGCCAGGCCTGAAATGTTCCAAGGCTCAGTTCTGTAATTAAATTGCAGCCCAGATTTCTACAAAAAAAGACATAAGCCAAAGGAAAAAAAAATTATTTCAGAACATTTATCATTTGCTGTGAGTCTAATTTACATAGGATGGAACATCACCTCAATCCTTTCTCTGTGCACTAAGGCAATCTCACTGTGGAAGATACTGGCTTATGATTTATACTTTAATATTGCACATGTGGTGCATTAGCTACAAAACAGTGAACGCTCAGTAAATACCTGTGTTAAGTGATCTTCATTTCTCTAGAACAGGATTTCACAACTTCAGTACCATCGACATTTTGGACTATATAACTCTTTGCCGTGGGGGTTTGTCTTACACTCTGCAGGATGTTTAGCAGCATCTCTGGCCTCTGCCCACCAGATGCCAGGAGCACAACCACAGTTTTGTCAAGCAAAACTGTCTCTGGACATTACCAAATGTCACCTGAGTACAAAATCACACCAGTTGAGAACCACTGCTCTCTGATGATTCACTATGATCTGTGTAATAATTCTCACACTAATCTTTGCTAGAGACAAAAAGGACTTGCTATATAATTTTAGTACCTTTCTACTGGTCAAATTTTAATCATATTTCAAAATGAATAGCAAAGAGGTTTATAATTAAGTTTTATAAAAATTCCAAATGTAATAAAGTTATATTTGTAACTTACGTATACTGCAAAAATGGTAGTGATTCAAATGTTTGTCTTTCAATATACCGTATTTTATTGCAGGATGAATCTCCAGGAAAAATAAAAGGAAAATATTGCCTTGATAAGTTATCAGTGTTGACTAGTATGAATAATAGCAAGAGTTTAGAATAATATTGAATACACATTTTTCATCTCGACTCTAAACATTTGGACCTGTAGTTGAACTTTCCAGAGCCCCTAACCCTGCCTGTACCTCTCCTAGAGTCTCGCCTTCATACTTTTAATAAATAAAATATACAACTTAATAGACTTTGGAATTAATTTCTCCTGAGAGCAGTAGACTTGATTAGATGCCCTTTTGTAGTCTCATCAAATCCTAGAGTATGAGCTCAAAGCTTTTATCTGTATATATAGTTACTAATATTAAAACGAATAGCCTCACATTTATACACCTTCCTAGTTGAGGTTTGTTTTCCTAAGCCAGTTCAGTATCAGAAGAAGTAAAAGACATCCTTTCAACAGCATTTGAAAGGAAGTTACCCCTTTACTTAATACATAACTTTGAACTAATATTCAAATCATATTAATACAATTAATTTCTATCATATTAATAGAAATTCATTTTTGGTTTTATATTGCTTTAATATTTCATGAAAGCAATTTCTTCAGTTATACAGAGATGGGGCTTTTCCCTCCCTCTTTACCTGGATGGTGTAACGTTGTCTGGCTGATGTCTCCATCTCTAGTCTCTCCCTTCCTAAACTATCCTCCACACAGTCATCATATAAACTCTCCAGAAGTGGCTTGCAAAGACCAGCACCTCCTGGGAAATTATTGAGGATGCAAATTCTTGGTCCCACTCTAGACCAACTGAATCCAATAACTATGAGGGCGGAGTCCAGAACTGAGTTCTAACGTGCCCTCTCAATGATTGTGATGCAGATCCATCTTACAGCACTGCTGTGATAACATGGTTCCCCATGATGGCTCCGCAGCTTGGCATTCAAAGCCCTAGAAGATCTGGCTCCAATTTCCTACTCTCCCTCCTTGTAATCTACAGGTACTCATGGCATTCCTCGAATACTTTCCTGTGTTTTGCCCTTCTCCCATTTCCCTTTTGCAAGTTTAGAATATTGTCCCCAAGATGTCTGTCCGATGCTACACAATGGCCCTTCAAAGTCCTATTCAAATGGGATTGTTCTAGTAACAGCTTCCTGGGTCCAAACTGAAGTCATTTTCCCCTCTTCTATGCTTCAGAAACAATTTATCCCTCCTAGTGCCCACATCCATTTCTTCTTATTAATGTAGTTATTTTTCATCCCATTTTTTCTGAGCATAAACTCCTTGAAAGCATGGACTAGGTCTTGCTCATCTGCATTGCCCACCATGTTTAAAACTGACACATGGAAATAGTAAATTCAAATATTTGTAAAACAAATGAATAGCTGGCCGGGCACGGTGGCTCATGCCTGTAATTCCAGCACTTTGGGAGGCTGAGGCGGGTGGATTACAAGATCAGGATATCGAGACCATCCTGGCTAACAAGGCGAAACCCCGTCTCTACTAAAAATACAATAAATTAGCTGGGCGTGGCGGCGTGTGCCTGTAGTTCCAGCTACTTGGGAGGCTGAGGCAGGAGAATGGAGTGAACCAGGGAGGCAGAGCTTGGGGTGAGCCGAAATCGCACCACAGCACTCCAGCCTGAGTGACAGAGCGAGACTCCATCTCAAAAATAAATAAATAAATAAATAAATAAATAAATAAATAAATAGCTGGGGGAGTGAGTAGAAGGAAAATGATTATTTTAAAGCAAATGTAGTTTTATTACTTCATGGCCTCTGCAGCACTTTGGCATCCACTTGAGGGTCTTTACACCCACTTTCCTTAAGCCTTTCACATTTGAAAGAATCTGTCTGCAAAAGAGCATCACTAATAAGGATTAATGACATACACACCTCTGCGGACAGAGGATAAGAATCAAGCTTTCATAGCAATTGAACATAGTATCTTCTTGTCTCTAAACAGACAGAAATACTATGCAGGTATCCCTTTCTTGGTAACAGGGCTGGGGAGATAGTTACTGTGTAATTAGTGAAGAGTTAGGGGCATTTCTGATATGCTTCTTACTGTAAACATTTCTAGCTCTACCACTTAACCATCATTTTAAACATCTGTTTTAATATAACAATTCCTGAAATGAAATCCTTAATACTAGTCTATTCTCTTGGTAGCTTAATATTCTTGATAATATTATTTCTATAATTCAGCTGATTTCAAATATTTAAATGTTAATTTAATTCCGATTAAATTACCAAAAAATTCTGGATTAATGATGTTCAAATGAATGTAGGTGGTCTATATTTTCTTCTCCTTTAGGCAACAATCTGACGTTAACTTTAATTCCTTTCATCCTACTAAACCAACTGTTTCAAATCTTTTTTTGTGAAGGTCAGACAGTAAATATTTTAAGGCTTTGTGGGCCACATATGATCTCTCTCACATATTTCTCTTTCTTTTTTCTTTCACAGTCCTTTAAAAATGCAAAAACCATTCTTAACTTAATGGGCTATTAAAAAATAGACCTTAGGTTAGATTTGATCTATTGGCTGTAGATTGAATAGAAGAAGATGGTATGTAAACCCTTAGAAAACAAGGTTCATATGGGTGTCAGTCACTGCTCAGATCTTCTTACCATGTGAAATTTTTTCTGTCAGTATTTTGTCTATACAATTTAAAAACTGAAAATGCATAGGACATAGCGAATGCTAGAGATGGGCTGAGACCCTATACAAACTTACAGAATTGCAGAATTTTATTGCTGGAAGAAATCTTAGAGATTATCTAATTTGAACCTCTTATTCATTTTAAAGATAATATGACTAAAAACTCAAAAATATGATTAACTAACTTACAAATACTGGAGGGATAGCAGGCCTTCAAATGAATCCTTAGGTAATTCAGTCAAATAATTTTCACTGAGAATTCTGGAAAATGAAAAAGTTATTTCTAGGTTAAAATGCAAACTACAACTATTTGCTACACAGGACTATCTCCTGCATGTGGAGGAAAGCTGGGTCATGGTCATTTCAAGATGGTGGGATCTGCTCTGCTTTCGTTCAAACCTTTTCTTCCATTTTCCTTTTCGTGTCCATCCCTCTCCACCACCACCACCACACACACAGGCAAGCACACACACACACGTGCAAGCACACACATATGCAAGCACACACACACATGCAAGCACACACACACAAGCACACACACACAGGCAAGCACGCACACACACTTGCAAGCACACACACACACGCACACACACAAGCAAGCACACACACACATGCAAGCACACACACACAAGTACACACACACAAGCACACACACACGTGCAAGCACACACACACAAGCACACTGCTCCACTCTTCCCACCAAATTGTATCTTTAATGACTCCTCTCTAGATCATAATATACCTTTCAGAATCCAACTCTGGGTGGCACCAAGATCAGCAGAACCTCCATTTCCTCCTCTCTTTTCCCAAACCTTATTACAAAAGCCCCACATGGGACCATGTCAGGGCTGCAAGTGAAGCCATTCGACTTTTGTCCCCCATCAAAAAAATTTGAGAACTACAATGTGCGTAAAGTGCACATAACATAAATGTTGTTTATCTTTAATTTAATTTAACTTAATTTAATTTAATTTCTGAGACAGGGTCTCATTCTGTTACCCACACTGGTCTCAGACTCCTGGCTCAAGTGATCCTCCTGTCTCTGCCTCCCGAAGTGTTGGGATTGCAGACATGAGCCACCTCACCTGGCCAAATATTCAGTTTAATAATTATAAAGCAGATACCCATGTAAACATTGTTACAAAAGATTATTGCTAGCATCCCAGAAGCCCCAGTGTGCCCCTTTCCAACCATATTCCTCTCTCTAACCCTAGTAGGTAACCACTACTCTGACTTTTGTAATGACTTTCTTGCTTTTAAAATGTAGTCCTGGCCTGGCGTGGTGGCTCATGCCTGTAATCCCATCATTCTGGAAAGCCAAGGCACATGAATCACCTGAAGTCATGAGTTTGAGACCAGCCTGTCCAACATGGCGAAACTCTGTCTCTACTAAAAATAGAAAAATTAGCTGGGCATGGTGGCGGGCACCTGTAATTCCAGCTACCCAGGAGGCTGAGGCAGGAGAATCCCTTGAACCCGGGAGGTGGAACTTGCAGTGAGCCAAGATCGCACCATTGAACTCCAGCCTGGGCAACAAGAACAAAATTCCATCTCAAAAAATAAATAAAGCAATTCTCCTGCCTCAGCTTCCCAAATAGATGGGATTATAGGCACCCACCACCATGCCTGGCTAATTTTTGTATTTTCAGTAGAGATGGGGTTTCGCCATATTGGCCAGGCTGGTCTCAAACTCCTGACCTCAGGTGATCCGCCTGCCTCGACCTCCCGAGGTGCTGGGGTTACAGCTGTGAGCCACCGCACCTAGTATGTGTTTGATTTTTAATTTAGAACTCATGTATGTCTTGTCTATATAAGTCAAACTAATGATGTGACAGAAACTGTTGTGAAAAATGTTACTTTGAATGTAAGCATTTTTCCAAAATCATTTATGTGTCTCAACTAATTCCTTCTATAAATCAGGAAGACAACGATAAAACAATTCAACAGGAAAATGAACAAAGGACAGAAAACTCAGAGGAGAAACACAAATGTTCAATAAACATATAAAGATATTTAATTAAATTCATGAGTGATCAGAAAAATTCAAATTTGGATGGAATCCCTTTTATTCATCCATAACTTCAACAAAAATTTGGTGAATACCCAACAGTGAAAAGGTGTGGGGAAATGAATGCTGTCACATTCTGCTGACAATACAGTCAGTTGGCACAACATTTTTGAGGACAATTAAAATTTTATATCTACATAGTCTTCACCCCAACTCTTCCATTTCTAGATATCTATGCTATAGGAATACTTGCCCACTAAGCATAAGCTCAACATTCATCAATGGGGAAATTATTAAATAAACTCTGATGCATCCATACTATGGATTATGCAGGAGTTTAAATGAATGGGGTGACCCTCTAAGTCCCAGGAAGGAAAGAAATTATGAAGTGAAAGAATATCATATAAGTGATACCATGAAGTGAAAGAATCAAGTTGCAAGATGTTACCCTTTATGAAAAGAAAAAAGATTTTAAAAACCACACAACAAATCTATTTTGCTTTATGTAAATATGTATGTAGGTAAATGGGGAAAAGTCTGGAAGCATGTATACTAAACACACAGTAGCATTACCTCAGGGACGAGAAAGTAGGGCAGAAGGAGGGTTTTTGTTATACCTGTTATTGCATTTTTATACATTAAAAATAGAATCATGGGCTGGGGGTGGTGGCTCATGCCTATAATATGAGCACTTTAGGAGGCCAAGGTGGGAGGATCACTTGAGCCCAGGAGCTCAAGACCAGCCTAAGCAGCATAGGAAGAACCCGTCTCTACAAAAAATACAAAATTAGGTGGATGTGGTGGCATGCACTTGTGTGTGGTCCCAGCTACTTGGGAGGCTGAGGTGGGAGGATCACTTGTGCCTGGGAGGTGAAGGCTGCAGTGAGATGTGATTATGCCACTGCACTCCAGCCCAGGGGACAAAGTAAGATCCTGTCTCTGAAAAAAAAAGAGAAAAAAAAGAATATAACCATGTATTATTTGTATGATAAAAAATAAATTTAAATTGCCTCTTAGAGAGAGCTTCCCAAATTTAATTTTAAAATAACCATAGGATTGCAATCCACAGAGGTTGATTTCGGGTATGGAGGGGAAATATCTTTTCTCAGAGGTATAGACCTCAAAATTCTGGACCAAGAAGGATCTTATAATGCAGTTAGTTTTTTGTCATATTTGGAGAGAATATACTCACAGTTTCTCGGTCCAACTGTATGCTTTCCATACATTTCCATCAATGTATGAAATATAGTTTCCTTGGAAATTTCTGTGAAGAAAGACAGTTTATATCCTTGAATAGGCAGGAAAAGAATGAACAGGATAAATAAAAGAATCATGGCAACCTTGTCGGGGATATTCGGAAACAGAAAATAACACCTGCTTTCTCATTTCCAGAGCTATCAGCTTCCCAGTTTGCACAATTCATCAAGAAATAATGCAGGGCCGCTGGCACAAATGATGAGGCATCTCCCGGAAGCTTAACTTCCTATCCATCCCATCTCTTGGACAGACGATGCCAGTTAATTACGTTGAATGTAAGTATTTTATCCAAAAGCACTTATGTGTCTAAACAAACTCCTACAAATCAACACAAAAATGGTAAATAATTCAACAGAAAAATGGGCATAAGCTTATCTTTATCGATAAATAAGTAGAAAGAAACCCTATGCCAGGTAACACCAAAGCTTTGCCCTCTGTTGAAACATCCTAGGCTTTTTCTTTCCACTCTTATTACAACTGATCTGATTTAGCCCCTTCACACTTTACTCCTACATTTTGCTAGACCTTTCTATTTTGTCTCCCTGAAATAAGCTTTTCCTTTTGGGCACTCTACATATGGATTCTAAAATAATCCTTTGCATGTCTATACTTGAACATAAAGCAAAAAAAACAAAATAAAATAAAATAATCTTCCTGTTTTAATCATTTAATCTCTCTTGCTTGGAAACTTTCAATGGCTTTCCATACCTCATTGTGTACTCTTTAAGACCCAAGTAAACTTTTAGCTTATCCATGTAGCTTTCCCTGATCTCCACACCTCAAGGACCACAGATTCTGGTAAATTCTAGCAACGATGGTATGCATTATCTTTCAGGAATTAATTATATACACCGCCCTTTTTATGCCTATTCTCTTTCTTCCCTCCTATCATCTTCATGTTCTGCGGACAATAGCATACTTTGTCCTGGGTTTGTCACAAAATGAGTGCTACATATAAAAAGCCAGGGACAAAGAGGAGTTCTGGACATAACTAAAGGACAGAGTAATCATGTTAACAGCCAACACTCCTACATATGCTAGGCACTGATGAAGTGTTTCATATATTCACTCACCCAAATTTCACAACAATCCTATGAAATGGTAACTAGCATAATCCCCAGTTTAAAAGGAGGAAATTGAGTCACAGAGCAGAATAACTTGCTCTGGATCACCAAGCTAATAAACAGACCTGGGTTCAAACCCAGGCAGCCTGGCTCCAGAATCAATTCTTAACCACTTAGAGCATCATCACTGAGATCGGGAGAGTGACAGGCTGCTGTAAAGAAGGTGAAGCGGGCCAGGCGCGGTGGCTCACGCCTGTAATCCTAGCACTTTGGGAGGCTAAGGTGGGTGGATCACCTGAGGTCAGGAGATCAACATGGAGAAACCCCGTCTCTACTAAAAATACAAAGAATGTTTTTTGTGTGTTGCCAGGTGTGGTGGCACATGCCTGTAATCCCAGCAACTCAGGAGGCTGAGGCAGGAGAATCACTTGAACCTGGGAGATGGAGGTTGCGGTGAGCCAAGACCGTGCCATTGCACTCCAGCCTGTGCAACAAGAGCAAAACTCTGTCTCAAAAAAAAAAAAAAAAAAAGAGGGTGAAGCGAAAATAGGAGCAGAGCAGCGGTTAAGCAATGATGTGATGGGGTAAATAAGAATGGATAAGAAAACGAGTAAGAGTAAAAGACTGGAGAAAAAGTAAAAGACTGGAGAATGGGTCTAACATTAAAGGAGAATGAGGAGAAGGGAGAATTGACAAGCAAAGGTGAAAGCAGAAAGTCAGTTGTCAGTATGGCTTGGGGAGATAAAGAAGGCCCTGGAAGGCCTCCAGGAAAAGGCTGCCATGTCAGGCAAGACACAGAGGATGATTGAGGAAAGGTGATTCTTACAAGGTGGTGAAGATGCCATTGTAGGTGTAGGGCTCTGGCACAGGCACTTGGCGGAGCCTCTGCTTTGGGCTGAGACCAACACATGACAGAGTCTCATCTCCGCAGGTGCAGAGCTCACATATGTTGGTGCCTGTGGAGGCCTTCTGTTCCTCTGGTGCAGTTTCAGACTGCACCAATGAATCCTGCGAAGATTCTAACTTTGTAGGTGGACCTGTGACTTCAGTCAGGCTTCGATGCAGAGTCTGAACCTGGTCTGGATGAGGAGCTCTAGTCTTCTCCAGGGCTGTGGAATGTCCAATCTCTGTAGTAGGTTCTGGAGTTATGGCAAGCCCCGGGTCTAGAGGCTGAGCTGAGGTTTCCTCCGTGGTTGGAGATGGTTTAACCTCTGTAGTAGGCTCTGTAGTTATGCTAAGCTCCAGGTCCAGAGGTTGAACTGTGGCTTCGGTCAGGTGTGAAAGCTGAGCCTGACCCTTGTCTGAAGGTGAACACCTCAGGGTGTTCTGGAGGAGGAGCTGTAGTCGTCAGGGCTGTAGAAGATTCAACCTCTGTTGTGGATTCTGGAGTGATGGTAAGCTCCAGATCCAAAGGTTGAACTGTGGCTTCAGTCAGGTGTGAATGCTGAGTCTGAAACTGGTCTGGATGTGGAAGTATCACCTTAAGGTGCTTTGGAGGAACTATAGTTCTCTTCAGGGGTGTAGAATGTTCAACCTCCATAGTGGGTTCTGGAGTGATGGTAAGTCCCAGGTCCAAAGGTTGAACTGTAATGCTGGGTGACATTGGATGCTGAGCTTGATCCTGACCTGGTGTTGGAATTTTTACCTCTTGATATAGTACAAGTTGTTGTAGAGCTTTCTTAGGAGGCTGAGTTGGGGTCTCCTGCATGGTTGGAGAAAGTTCAACCTCTGTCGTTGATTCTGGAATGATGGTAAGTCCCAGGTCCAAAGGTTGAACAGTGACACTGGGCAATGTTGAATTCTGAGCTGGATCCTGGCCTAGTGTTGGGACTGTCACCTCATAATGAGCTGGAGGTTGAGCTGCAACTTCCTTAGGTGGCTCTGGAAGCTGAACTGGGACCATTTGCTGCCTTGAAGATTCTACCTCCCTAGGGGACTCTGCAGCCTGAACTGTGGCCTCCTGCTGGGTCAGAGAAGGTTCTGCCTCCACAGGGGGCTCTGGAATCTGAGCTGGAACCTCCTGCTGAGTTACAGATGGTTCTACCTCCTGAGGGAACCCTGGAGGCAAAGATGGGGCCATCTGCTGGGTCAGAGAGGGTTCTATCACCATAGTGGGGTCTGAAGACTGAGCAGGGACTGCCTGCTGGACTGGAGAGGATTCTACCTCTTTAGGTGGCTCTAAAAGCCAAGTTGGGGCCTGCTGTAGACTGGAGATGGGTCAACCTTCTCAGGTGGCTCTGATGGCTGAGCTGGTGTCTCCCACTGTGGTGGAGGACTGACCGCTTCAGTGGACTTCCAAGGATGACCTGAGGCTTCCTGCTGGGTTGCAGATGGTTCAACCTCCTTAGGGGGCTCTGGTGGCTCAGCTGGGAACTCTTGCTGGACTGGAGAAGGTTCTGCCTCCTTAGGGGGATCTGGAGTCTGAGCTGTGGCCTCTTGGTGGACTGGAGATTCAATCTTCTCAGGAGAATGCAGAGGTGGGGAAGGGAGATCAGGCTGGGTTAAAGAAAAGTCAGCCTGCTCAGTGGGAATAGAAGGGTTGTCCTGCTGGACTGGAGAAGGTTCTACCCACATAGTGACTGCTGTAGGTTTGGTAAGCTCCCTATCTAGATCTAGATATGACACATCTGGAGGTGAACCTATTGCTTCATCATCCATTGAACTTACAAAGTCTGAGGAGAGCTGAGTTGGAGGCTGAGTTGTAGGCTCTTTATGGACTGGAGGAGGTTCATAATTTTCAGGTCTATTTAGCTGCTGAATTATAATGTCTTGCTGGTCTTTCAAATGTTGAAACTGCTCAGGGGACATTAAGGGCTGAGCTGGGGCCTCCTGCTGGATTGGAGAAGACTCACCCTCCTCAGCGGTCTGTGGATGCTCAGCTGCAGCCTCCTGCTGGGTTGGAGTGGTGTTCTCTTTATTAATAGGTTCTGGAGATTGAACTGAAGTTTCCTGTTGAATTTGTAAATGTCCAGCCTCTTCTGATGACTCTGGAGGCAGAGGTGGGCACCCGTGCTGGATGGCGGGAGGTTCTACATTACCTGGACCTGAGAGCTGAGCTGTAGCCTCCTGGTGGACTGGAGAAGTTTCCACCTCTGCACTAGGCTCTGTTGCTATAGTGAGCTGCACGTCTGGAGGCTTAACAGAGACATTGGGAAAATCTGAATGCTGAGTTTCATGGTAACCTGAAGGTGAAACTGGGACTTCATGATGTTCTGGGGGCTGAGCTGGGGTCTCCTGCTGGGTTGGAGAAGATTCAACCTCCCCAGAAGACTCAGAAGGCTGAGCTAGCTGCTCCTGCTCACTGGGGGAAAGTTCAGGCTCTATAGGAGGACGTGGAGGCTCAGTTGGGGCCTCCTCTTGGAATGCAGATGGTTCCATCTCTTCTGGAGGCTGAGCTGGGGTCTCGTGCTGGGCTGGAGAAGATTCAACCTCTCCAGAAGACTCAGAAGGCTGAGCTGGCTGCTCCTGTTCACTGGGGGAAAGTTCAGGCTCCATAGGAGGACCTGGAGGCTCAGTTGGGGCCTCCTGTTGGGTTGCAGAAGGTGCCACCTCCTCTGGAGGCTGAATTGGGGCCTCCTGCTGGGCTTGGGAAGATTCTGTCTCATTTTTGGGCTCTGAAGTCATGGTAACTTCCACATCTGCAGGTTTGACTGTAACGTTGGGAAAGTTGTAATGAGCAACCTGGAGGTTGAACTGTCACTTCATGATTCAGTGGAGTTTGAGCTAGACTCTCCATAGAGGACTCTGGAGGCAGAGCTGGGGCCTCCTGCTGGGTTGAAGGTTCTACCTCCTGAGGGAGCAGTGGAAGCTGTGCTGGGGTTTCTTCCTGGAGTGAAGAGGACTGGATGTCTTCAAGGGTCTCTGGATTTTGAGTTTCAGGCTCTAGATGGAATTGAGAAAGTCCAACTTGCTCAGGAGGCCCTGGAGGCTCATCTGCATTCACCCGGAGTTCTGGAGGCAGGCTGCCGGAATACAGTGTGTCCATACTCAAATATTCATCTGCAAAGTCTGTTTCTGACGCTGAGGTTTGTATAATTGGTGTGGAATCCCGACAATCTTAGCAAGGCTCCAACGCTCAGCTAGATCTTTCTTCAAGTTCTTTGGAAAAACAACAAATTTGGTTGGTTTTGAAACCTTACTGTCTAGCGGAACAAGTATTTCATCTGCCTGATGACCTGCAGCCCGATCTAGATCTGCAGTTTGAAACTTACTTTTGAGGCGAGGAAGCTGAACTAGGGTCTGGTTCTGATCCCTGTCCAGCAGTGGAACCACCTCTGGGAGCCTTTCTTGTGGAGTCCGCTTGTCATTTAAATCCTGATGTGCAGCCAAGAACTGCTCTGGCCCCAGGGGCAGCTCTCCACCTGAATCCGTATCCAGGAATGGAACCAAATTTTCATTTGATTCCTGGGGCAGGGCTGACACCTGTGAGGAAGCAGAGGGCCCCAGGTAATCAAAGTCCCCTGGGGCTGCTGGGGGAGCAGGTGCATGAGGAGATTCCCATGGGAGATGGGAGGAGCGGGAAGACCAGGGCTCAGGTGACCCCAGGGGTTAGAGGTCAGCTGGAGCGGGTCCTTGACCAACACCAGATGTGGAGCCTCCTTGACTAGTAGACACAATAATTGCCACTAGGAGACACAATAGCTGCCACGTAAGGAGGGGCCACGGGCCCCAGAAACGCAGCCAGGACATGACACATGCTAGTGCCGTGCACTGATTGGGAGCCATTCTGGCAGCCCTGAGATGCTCATGCCCCTTATAAGCGTGCGCCCCGCCCTGTCTTTATGACACCTTTATTTATGCCACATTTATTTGGCTCGGGTCCAGATCTGCTCCATTTTACCATGGCAATCTTATGTCACAATCTCGCTCAAGTGATCCTCCCACCTCAGCCTCCTGAGTAGCTGGGACTACAGGATGTGCCACCACACCCAGCTGATTTTTGTGTTTTTTGTAGAGACAGAGTCTCCCTATGATGTCCAGGCTGGTCTCAAACTCCTGGGCTCAAGTGATCCTCCCACCTCAGAGTCCCAAATTGCTGGGATTACAGGGATTAGCCACCATGCCCAGCCAATCCAGCCATCTTGCAGCCAATCCTCCAGCCCCAATTAAGCCTTCAGATGACTACAGCCCCAGTTAGTATCTTGACTACAAACTCATGACAGATCCTAAGCTAGAACCACTCTTCTAAGCTGCTCCTGAATTCCTAACCCATATACAGTGTGTGAGATCATAAACACTTATTGTTGTTTTAGGCCTCAAATTTTGGAGCAATTTATTATGCAGCAATAGGTGACTAAAACACACAATAAAATTGCTGTCATTACTATTATAAAGTACTTCCTGATTTTGAGCTGAAATCCACTTTCTTGTAATCACCACCCTCTCTTCCAGTTCCGTCTTTTTGGGCCACCTAGAAAAAATACAATCTCTCTTCCTCATGGTCAAAATGTTTGGTGCCAGTTTTCATGCCAACAATTTAATTCATCAGACATTTGAAGAGTGATCACTGTACCAGGCAGTAGGCATGCAAAGATAAGTAGGACGAGGTCCCTGCCTAGCCATACACTCAAAACATTCTTCCACAGGAGGTGTGCTGTAATGAAGGGACCTGACTCCCAGTGCAGGAGAAGGAGGTCCAAATGCAGGTGTGGCTGGTTCTGCTTACAGAGGTGAGGGAAGGCTTCTCAGAACAGGTGGCAGGCGCTGAGGCCTAAGGGATGAATAGGCCTTCTCCAGGATGACAGGAGGGGAAGGACTAACAAGCAGAAGCTGCAGGCAGAAGACCACCCTGACACTAACCACTTTCTTCCGCAGGGTACACATCTCCTCTCCTCTTGTCCAACTTTTGAGTCCTCTCCCAACCCCTCCCAATCTTGGTAACTCCACTCAGAACACACCCTTTCCTGTCACATGATGGCATCTAGAGGGAGCCAGCCCTCCTCCAGGGTGGTCCGGCCAGTGTGGAGTGGAGTTGGCCGTCACCTTTCTTTTTCTGGAAGCTCTGCTTGGTCCAGACTTGTCTGAGGTTTTTTGGCCTCCACATCCTTCAGCTGACTCATGCTGGGCCTGCAGGCATCTGGACTGCAAAGTCATTTTTCACACGTGCTCCTGGGAAACCACATCTCTTCGTACTTTGTACTTCTGCTGTTGTTTTGTTTTCACAATTTTTCATGGGTGTTTTGAAGTTCAATAATTTGATCTATGCAAACTGCTCATCTCAGCTCCTGGTTGGCAGGGGCCTTGTGGAAGCAAATTGAGCCACCAAAAGAATCCAATTTAGAACACGCCCTGGAAACAGAAACCGTCTGTCATTCTAAGGCCATTGTGGTTGGGAGTGATTCAGACTCATTGCAGCTCCTTCCAGCCTTCAAAGATCTCACCGGATAAGAGCCTGGCTTGGATTTGAAGACACCTTCTATGAAGGAAAGGCTTTGGCAGGGGGTGAGGGGGGTGGGCTGTGATACTTTGTAGGAGCTGAGCACAGACGGAAGGAAATTGGAAGGGGATGTTTGTCTGGCTCCCACCTTCCCCCGTCAGGGAGAATCAGGCCATTGTCTAGGTAGAACTCTTGGCTTGTTTATCTTCTCAGACCCAGCTTAGAACAAGGTTTCACTCAGTTTTCTTTCCACCCAAAAAATGACCACAGGAAAGAGTGACTTGCGTTTGCTAAGTGTCCAGTCCGTACTCTCCGTTCCCATTTCTCTGCCTCTTTCTCCCATTATCGGCTTCTAACAGAAAATAAGAAGAGCAAGCTTCCCTTTGGTCCCATCAAAGATAACATGTAGACATTCATTCATGCGTTCATTCCTTTAACTAGCATTTATTGGGTTCCTACTATGTTCCCAGCATTGTTATTGGTACTGGTGACCCTAGTATAAAAGACACAATCCCTGCTGTCAAGAGGTCACAGTTCTGGAAGGAACCCAGCGGTACTGGCAGCAGCGCTAGTGGGGAATGGGAGCACATAGAAGAGGCATTTGACTCAGCTTTGGAAAGAATTGGAAAAGGCTTTAAAGTAGAGTAAAAGTTTGCCAGAAAGAATAATCATTATTACAGCTTTTTTAAAGCGTCTTCTACATGCCAAGCACTGTGCTAAAATCTCCCTATATATATTGTTTTATTTTAATCCTCACAACTCTAAGAGGTCACTACTGTAATTATTCCAACTTCACAAATGAAGAAAGTGAGATTTAGCAAGGTCGCCTTGGTGGGGCATGGCTGCTCACACCTATAATCCCAGGATTTGGGAAGCCGAGGCAGGAGGATCACTTGAGTTTAGGGGTTTGAGGCCAGCTTGGGCAACATAGTGAGTCCTCTGTCTCTACAAAAAGAAAAAAAAATAGCTGGATATGGTAGCATGCACTTGTGGACCTAGCTACTTGGGAGGCTGAGGTGGGAGGATGGCTTGAGCCCGGGAGGTTGAGGCTGCAGTGAGCTGTGATCATGCCATTACACTCTAGTCTGGGTGACAGAGCGAGACCCTGTCTCAAATAAATAAATAAATAGGCTGGGCACGTGACTCAGGCCTGTAATCCCAGCACTTTGGGAGGCCAAGGCAGGTGTATCGCTTGAGGTCAGGCATTCAAGACCATCCTGACCAAAATGGTGAAACCCCATCTCTACTAAAAATACAAAAATTAGCTGGGCATGGTGGCACATGCCTGTAGTCCCAGATACTCAGGAGGCTGAAGAAGGAGAGTCACTTGAACCCAGGAGGCAGAGGTTGCACTAAGCCAAGCTCGCATCACTGCACTCCAGCCTGGGTGACAGAGTGACACACTGTCTCAAAAAAATACTAATAATAAATAAATAAATAAATAAAGTCAACCTGCTCACCTCTTCACTAAGAATGAATAGCAGAAATGAGAAATAGATGCAGCTTTTCCTGACTGTGTAGCCCATTCTCTTACCCAAGGCTGCTATTTACAGTCGTGCAG
This sequence comes from Homo sapiens, assembly GCF_000001405.40. Lineage (NCBI taxonomy): Eukaryota > Metazoa > Chordata > Mammalia > Primates > Hominidae > Homo > Homo sapiens. The sequence continues at coordinate 31,054,276 of NC_000017.11, forward strand.
GTTGTACATTGCACAATTCCAATGCTGGCCCTGCACTCAATAAGCCATTATAGATGGGAAGGGTATCCAGGCAGAAGGGGCCTACTTTGCAGAAATATGAAAAAGCAACCTATATTCAGGGAACTGACCCCATACAGCCATGTCAGAGGCTACAGAACTCCTTGAAGATGGGCAGCTCCTCTGCACCTCCAGTGATTGTTTACAGAACTGACCGATAGTGTCTTGGGAGAGCTCCTGGGGTTTTGCATTTGTTTTTTGTTTGTTTGTGTTTGTTTTGCTTTTGAGACAGGGTCTTGCTCTGTCACCCAGGCTAGAGGGCAGTGGTGCAATGACGGCTCACTGCAACCTTGGCCTCCCAGGCTCAAGCTATTCTCCCACCTCAGCCTCCAGAGTAACTGGGACTACAGGCATGTACCACCACACTCAGCTAATTTTTATTTTTATTTTTGTAGAAATGGGGGGGGGGTCTCACTATGTTGCCCAGGCTAGTCTGTAACTCCTGGCTTTAAGCGACCCTGCTGTCATGGCCTCCCAAAGTGCTGGGATTACAGGCATAGCCACCGTGCCAGGCCAGGCTTTGCATTTGGTGTAGAGACCCAATCCTTCCTTCTTACAGAGCTATGGAGCTCTCAGCAGGATGTGCATACTTCTGAACTGTTGACCATGCAAACATTCAAGCACAGAGGATGCAGGAGGTCCTGAGTCTCCAAACTGCTCAGTGTCCTATGAATGGCCAATCAGTTTCTCATGCATAGGCACCAAACATAACCTGCCAAACAAGCCAGTTCAATATCTAAGCCACCCCAACTTCTTTGCAGAAGTCGTTTCAGTAGCAAAGAATGGTCTGAGAAAAATAGGCACAACCAGGGTGAATGCCTACAACACTCCAGGTGCTCAGCAAACGTGATCTCTTCCACTCTCACAGCTTTATGAGACATCATCTTTCATTTTGCTGATGAGGAAACTGAGGTTCAGGGATCAGGTAACTTACCTAGGTTACGTGTGCAACAAGCAGCCACGATTCTCACCAGAATCTTTCTAGTGGCACAGCCTCTATGCTTCTATCCTAATGTTGGCTTTCAAAAGGTACCCGGAAAAGGGCAGGAAACAGCTTACATGGCTCCTAAAATGCCTGACAGCATGTATGTGGCAGAGTCTCTCTCTACTTTTTTTTTTTTTTTTTTTTGAGACGGAGTCTCACTCTGTCGCCCAGGCTGGAGTGCAGTGGCACAATCTTGGCTCACTGCACATTCCACCTCCCGGGTTCATGCCATTCTCCTGCCTCAGCCTCCCGAGTAGCTGGGACTACAGGCATCCGCCACCACGCCCAGCTAATTTTTTGTATTTTTAGGAGAGACGGGGTTTCACCGTGTTAGCCAGGATGGTCTCAATCTCCTGACCTCGTGATCTGCCCGCCTCGGCCTCCTAAAGTGCTGGGATTATAGGCGTGAGCCACCGCACCCAGCCCTCTACTAAGGTACCCAGAAAAGGGCAGGAAACAGCTTATATGGTTCCTAAAGTGCCTGAGAGCATGTATGTGGCAGAATCTCTCTCTATTTTTAATTTTATGTATTTTTCTAGAACCTATGTCATCAATCTCAGAGCTCAGAGACCCCTCCTCAGGTGGAGAGGCTGCTTCCAGACATCATTCCACCACAGCCTTTTCTCACTGTGCAATAGTTTGGTGTTGACAGAGTAGAATAAATTATTAAATGCTTTTCTGGAATTGATTTGACTCCAAGGGTCTTTGTGTTAAAATAATTTCCTATATCAAATAGGGTTCTTGGTTGTGCCTGACTCTGACTAACTTAAGGGGGGTAGGGAGTGGAACTTATTGGAAAGATACAGAGCGAGAAAGAGTCTTTTTAAAAAAATGCTGTAATAATAGGGACGAGAACCAGGGTAGCTCTGGGGAAGGAAGTCACAGAAGTTAAAGGTTGGTTCTTCAGGATGTCATTATCAGGATGTTTCAGCTCTGACTCCTTTCTGCCCTTATTCACACACCCAGCTAGAGTTCGAGTTACCCGCCATACCATGGCACACAGAGAACAAGACATCATGCCTGACAATTCCCCTAAAGCTTCAAGCAAAAAGTAAGGGGCAATCTCTAAAGCAAAATCAAGGTAATGCTACATGGAGAAAGGGAAATAGATCTGGCACTCTGACAGCATTTGTTTTTGCTTGACCAGGTTCTACTGAGGCAGGTAATACAAGCTGGGCATGTGAATAAGGGCAGAAAAAAGCAGGAGCTGATATAACCTGAGAGCAGTCTTTCTCCAAGAATGTTCAACTAAATTATTTCTTTTCTTTCTTCTTCTTCTTCTTTTTTTTTTTGTTTTTGAGACAGAGTCTTGCTCTGTCACCCAGGCTGGATTGTAATGGCATGATCTTAGCTCACTGCAACCTCTGCCTCCCAGGTTCAAGCAATTCTCCTGCCTCAGCCTCTCAAGTAGCTGGGATTACAGGCATGTGCCACCACATCCACCTAAGTTTTGTATTTTAGTAGTGACGGGGTTTTACTATGTTGGCCAGGCTAGTCTCGAACTCCTGGCCTGAAGTGATCCACCCATCTCAGCCTCCCAAAGTGCTGGAATTATAGGCATGAGCCACCAAGCCAGGCCCAGGCTAAATTATTTCAATTTAATGTACTGGAGGTTTGAAAATTAATACTTAAAAAGAAACTTGTCTAATGTTTCAGAGTTTCAGTTTGGAACGATAAAAACGTTCTGGAGATGGATGGTGGTGATGGTTACACAACAATGTGAGTGTACTTAATGTCACTGAACCACACATTTAAAAATGGTTAATATGGTAAATTTTATGTTATGTATATTTTACCACAATTTGAAAAATCACAACAACCTTAAGAAAGAGAGAAAGTTACTAAATGATATGTGGTATCCTGGAAAAGAATACAATCTATAGTTTAGTTAATATCATTGTACCAATGTTAATGTCTTAATTTTGATAAATGTGTCATAGCTATATAAGATTTTTAACATTAGGGCAAACTGGGTTCAAAGTATAAGGGGGTCAGGCATGGTGGCTCATGCCTGTAATCTCAGCACTTTGGGAGGCTGAGGTGGGCAGATCATTTGAGATCAGGAGTTCGAGACCAGCCTGGCCAACATGGTGAAGCCCCGTTTCTACTAAAAATTCAAAAATTAGCTGGGCATGGTGGTACACGCCTGTAATCCCAGCTACTCGGAGGCTGAGGCAGGAGGATCACTTGAACCTGGAAGGCAGAGGTTGCAGTGAGCAGAGATTGTGCCACCAGACTCCAGCCTGAGGAACACAGCAAGACTCTGTCTCAGAAAAAAGAAAAAAAAGAAAACAAAAAAAGGCTGGGCATGGTGGCTCATGCCTGTAATCCCAGCACTTTGGGAGGCCAAGGTGGATGGATTGCTTGAGGTCAGGAGTTCAAAACCAGCCTGGGGAACATGGTAAAACCCCATCTCTGCTAAAATACAAAAATTAGCTGTGTGCAGTGGTACGTGCCTGTAATCCCAGCTACTCAGGAGGCTGAGGCAGGAGAATCACTTGAACCCAGGAGGCAGAAGTTGCAGTGAGCAGAGATTGCGCCATTGCACCATCCTGGGCAACAGAGTGAGACTCCTCCTCAAAAAAAAAAAAAAAAAAGAAAGAAAAGAAAAGAAAAGTAAAAGAAAGAAAACAGTATATGGGGCTGAGTGTGGTGGCTCATGCCTGTAATCCTAGCATTTTGGGAGGCCAAGACAGGAGGATCGCTTGAGGCCAGGAGTTTGAGAGCAGCCAGGGCAACATAGTGAGATCTCATCTCTACAGAAAAGTTTAAAAATCGGCTGGGCATGTGGCGCTTGCCTGTAGTCCCAGCTACTCACTAGGCTGAGGTGGGAGCATGGCTTGAGCCCAGGAGTTCAAGGTTGCAATGAGCCACGATCGGGCCACTGCACTCCAGCTTCACAACTGAATGAATATATGGGACTCTTTACTATCATGCAACTTTTCTGTTAATCTAAAATTATTTCAAAATAAAAAGTTTATTTTAATAAGGAAACTACATTATAAACATTTTAATAAATAACTTTTATAAATGACGTTCAATTCGTGAGGGTTTTCAACATGTAAACTAATTTTGTGGAAGACGTCCACATTGTTCCATAAAATGAATAAGAAATGTTCTTACCAGCCGGGCGCCGTGGCTCACGCCTGTGATCCCAACACTTTGGGAGGCCGAGGTGGGTGGATCACGAGGTCAAGAGATGGAGACCATCCTGGCCAACATGGTGAAACCTCTTCTCTACTAAAAATACAAAAATTAGCTGAGCATGGTGGCCGTGCCTGTAGTCCCAGCTACTGGGGAGGCTGAGGCAGGGGAATTGCTTGAACCCAGGAGACAGAGGTTGCAGTGAGCCGAGATCGTGCCACTGCACTCCAGCCTGGCAACGGAGCGAGACTCCGTCTCAAAAACAAAAACAAACAAAACGAAACAAAACAAAATGTTCTTACCTATTAGAAATTCCACAGTATGATGATGTTCTCATCTGAGTCTTCAGTTCCCTCTGCCTTGATAGTACAGTCAATAGAATGTTCCTTCTCAGAATCCAAGCCACATAGACTCAGAACTGATGGAATTAAAACTGTACAAATCCAGGACAATCACACACCACATACCTCTCCAGGTGATGCAACACGAGGCACACCATGTCACTTCTAAGGTAATCATCCCCAAAATGTTTAACTTGAATCTTATTAAGGCTTTAGGTTCCATTTTGGGGGGAATACAGGAGATCAACGAAGAAGTTTTGTGACACCATGAGGAGAGAAGTCTGCAAGCTCAGAGTCTGGGGCAGACCGGAAGACAACTGGTGTGGTCTCTGGAAACAAGTCTAAGTTGTATTCTTTAGAGAAGTTTGGCCATGAAGGGAGCAGAAAAATGAGGAAGTAGGAGCTAAGAGGAGTCATGGGTGGGCTTTTTTCTGTTCTTAATTTCCAGTCTTTCATCAGCAGGGGATCAGTAAGATCCTGAGCCTGAGCCAGGCATGGATGAGGGAAATGTCCCTGTCTTCTTTCCCTGTTCTTGTTCTGTGTCATTTGTTGCTTCTTCTGTGCATTATATGGTCATGTTCGATATTAGAACATTTCCTTCTTATATCAGGGGTTCTAATTTAATCTGCAGAGCATTTTGTCCGGCTGGCTGTGTGCTCCATAAATACTGAATAAAAGAATCGAAAAAGTCAAAGTTGTGAATGAAGTGGAGATGAACGGAGCATTAAGAGTCAGGCTGGCACTACTAAGGTGAGGTGAGTGAGGCACTTAAGTGCAAAATTTAAGAGAATGCCCAAAAACTCATTGATCAAGAGCAATACAATTTTAATGCAATATTTTCAAAATCAAAATTAATATAAAAACCCATGGTGAACAAAATATCAGAAGTTTAAAGAGCCTACATTTGTACAACCCTGCCTCATTCATCTCATGCTAATCCCAGCCCCGTAAAACTTTTCCTGCAAAAACATGCAGCTGGCCTACAGGCATAGGTAGCTCATTTGACTTTTTGAAATATTGCATTACAATATTATTACTCTTGATTACTGAGTTTTCTGGGGCCTTTTTAACTCATCTCATCCTAGCCCTGACATTGCTTAAGTTCTGTATATGACTCAAAGAAACAATAGCCATAAAAGACATTTTGGGGATAAAAGGAAGAAATGGTATAAGACAACATTGGGGAATACTGTTAACATTTAGGTGATAATGACATTGTGATTGTGTAGAAGACGTCCTTGCTTTTTTGGAGATGATGTCAGCAAAACTTATAGATGATATGTAAATGAAACAAACTGGCTGGGGGTGATGGCTCCCGCCTGTAATCCCAGCAATTTGGGAGGCTGAGGTGGGTGGATCACTTGAGGCCATGAGTTCGAGAACAGCCTGGCCAACATGGAGAAACCCTGTTTGCACTAAAAAAAAAAAATACAAAAATTAGCCCGGCATGATGGCGCACACCTGTAATCCCAGCTACTCGGGAGGTTTGAGGCATGAGAATTGCTTTAACCCAGGAGGCAGAGGTTGCAGTGAGCCGAGATTGTGCCACTGCAGTTCAGCCTGGGTGAAAATGTGACTTTGTCTCAAAAGGAAACAAACAGGTAAAATTTTAATAATTGAATTTTGTTCCTGGGTACATATAGGTATTCATTGCACTATTCTTTCTAAGTTTCCAGGTGTTTAACATTTTTTATGATAAAACATTTTTAGACACTTATATAAGCCAAACTTTTATAACAATGTAATAGACTGCAGACCATCTAGAAGAGGCTAATTCATTACTACATAGCTGGGTGGTGAGGATGGAGGTAACTCACTTGCCCTAAAACTAACCCTAACCCAGTCCTCCTCCTTCCAATGCCTGCTGCCTCACATGTAGCCTGTCTTTGTTCCAGGCCCAGGAGGAGCTGGGGGTAAGAGCACAATCAAGTTTCAGTTTAGCTACTCAGAATCCAGATTAATGAATATCATTTCAGGCAGTTCCGCTTTGTCTGTCCTTTTCCTGGTATCTCCCCAGAGATGTCCAATGTAAGACAGGCCAGCCTCATATCAGACATAGAGAAAAGGCAAATGTGAACTTTTTTATTACACAGAACAGACAGACTGTCACAAATGGGCCTCAGGTGACACAGTAGCATGACCTGAGTACTTGCTGCAACTCCTGGGGCCTCATCTCAGACCTACTGAATCTGAAACTCAGCGTGTGGCCCAGCAATCTGTGTTTAACAAGTCCTGTAGGAGATTCTGATGCACACCAAAGTCTGAAAACCACAGATGCAAAGAGACACACAAGTGCATATGAATAGGCTTGTTTCATTTGGTCCTTCCATTTTATCAGTATGTAGCCTGTGTTTCATTATACCTGTGGTGGATGTGTTAAAAAGAGTTCTACAATGACACTCTCGTGCATAATTCTCAGAGAGAGCTTCCATTAGTGTGCTCAGGAACCTGCAGGAAAGCGTTTCACAAAAGTGCCAGTGTCACTTTAAGGAGCCACTCTGACTAGAGATGAACCCAAGGATCACGGGCTGTTGCCAAATCTGTGGTGTCTTCTGACCTTGCTTGTCTTTTTGAGCTTGGTCATGTTTTGCACGGAGCCATGGAGGCCCGTATAGTCTAGGTGTCTTACAGGCATTTTCAAGTTTTTACGAGGCCTCAAACTATATAAAATATATATAAAATATTTTGAAGCCTCAGAAAAACTTGAAAATGCCTGTAAGACACCTACACTACAGGTCTCCATGGCTCTCTGCAACTATTTTATAGTTGCTTTAATTTATAAAAGCTTCCCAGCTGATGTTTATATGCAGCCTGGATTGAGAATCACTGCTCTAGTGTCTCTGACAAGTGAATATCTTTGATAAAAGAGTAAAGAAATCTTTGTTTCTTTCTGTTTCATACACACACAAACACACACACATTTGATAGGTATATATATAGAAGAAACAGAAACAAAGAGAGCTCATTGAGGACATTAGGAGCAGGCTTTTGGATGGGGTGGTGTGCTTCATCCAGTGGCGCCCCCAGTTGGGCCCTGCTTCTACTTGCAGCTCCACACACTGCACAGGGAGGCCTACAGCAGCCACTGGCTCCCCTCCATCCCCTAGACCACAGCAGCCTCCATCTGGCCTCAAAACATGGAGCTGTTGCTGCCCCCAGCCACAGCTGGCCCAGCTGCATTCACGTTACCCATTTGGCCTTCACAAGATTTAGGCAGAAGATAAACACAGATGGGGCAGGTGAGCAGCAGGAAGGCCAGGTGCGCTGAAATTCCATCGAGGCAGGAAGTGCAAGTGCTGCACTATTTGAAGACACTTTATCTAAAAACAATCAAAAAGCAATTCTTCTCACTGGATCTGGACCCCCCTCAGGTGGAGATGGTTCTCCCCAACTGGGAGCCTGGGCGTTTTCATGAGTGGGCCACTTTCATCAGGTGCAGGAGGCTGCAGGCTCCTCAGAGGGTGCATCTTCAAGGGGGGGGTCAGAAAATGCCACCTTCTAAAATAAAAATGAAAATGAATCATGTGCATAAACTATGCTAAATGATGACTTGGAATCGTGCTTCTGGGGTTTCTCTAATATCAGTAAGGGGACTAGAACGTGACATAAATTGTGTTTCAGGGATTGTTGTAGGCCTGAGTTAATGCATCCCTGTTGTGATGGACATTTGTCAATGTTTGTGGCAGCCTAGCATCCATGCCCTCCCTCTATTTGGGGGAAATTCCCACTCTGTCAGTCACAGCAAGCTACCCCTCCCTCTAGGGAAGTAGGAAGGTCTAGAGACTAACCTCTTCCCCAGCACGCTTTTAGTTAGCACAGAGGCCAATGACAGGCTGGCCAATCAGATGCTCTCACCCTAGACTTTATATTGTGAATAAAAGTGTGGTGTGAGGCAAAGATGAATGGAAAGCTAGAATCCATGTGCATTGGCTGGGTGTGGTGGCTCACGCCTGTAATCCCAGCACTCTGGGAGGCCGAGGCTGGCAGATCACCTGAGGTCAGGAGTTCGAGACCATCCCGGCCAACAAGGTGAAACCCTGTCTCTACTAAAAATACAAAAATTAACTGGGCATGGTGGCATGAGCCTGTAATCCCAGCTACCCAGGAGGCTGAGGCAGGAGAATCTCTGGAACCCAGGAGGCAGAGGCTACAGTGAGCTGAGATTGCGCCACTGCACCCCAGCCTGGGTGACAGGGCAAGACTCCATCTCAAAAAAAAAAAAAAAAGAATCCATGTGCATTGGAAGGATCTGGCCAAGGCATGCTGGTAGGTTTTTTCCTGCTCAAAGATGATTATCTTGTATTCTGCTCCTTGGGCCCCTGTCTCTATTGGTTTTTGGCCCATATAGTTCTCTCTCTCTCTCTCTCTCTCTCTCTCTCTCTCTCTCTCTTTCTCTCTCTGTGTGTGTGTGTTTGATGGCAAATTTCAAATATACAGTACATTATTATCAATCATAGTCCCCATACTGTACAGCTTATCCCTATCGTCATTCTTCACCTTCTAATAATGTTTGTTGCTTCTTACATATTTTGAAGCCTCATAGAAACTTGAAACTATTTAATTCAAAGTGGCCTCTTAGTCTCTTTTCTGCTTACGATAATCGGAGTGGTTTTCTGCTGCTTGCAACCAACAATTGACTATATAGACATGTTTGGGAGGCATAATATAATGCTGATTTTTTAGGTGTTGTAGGGATACCAAGATGAATGCAGTCTGGAATGCACTACACACAGCGCATGAGAATACGGGCTCCGTAGTGAGACAGGCTTCAGTTCACCTCTTGCCTCTGCCACTTACTAGCTGGGTGACCTTTCACCTGGTCTTTTATCATTGCTGGGTTTCATTTCCTCGTCTGTAAAATGGAGTTACTAAATGGTCTTGAACTCCTGACCTCAGGTGATCCACCCGCCTCAGCCTCCCAAAGTGCTGGGATTACAGGCGTGAGCCACCGCTCCTGGCCTTGATAATGATTCTTAACTTCAAGGAATTTATAATCTTGTAGGTCTGGCTCATATTCACTAGTTCTTTTCAAACTTCCATGGTAGAGATTCAAGGACAACTGATGCTGTAACAAAAGGCAATCACTAATTGGGGTCTAGAAATGGAGAGCCAAAGCATAAGGCCACGTGTCAGTCATTCAACAAATAAGACCCACAGATATGTATTCAGATGCTTATTGAGCTCCTATTATATGCCATGACCTTACTAAGGATGATTTCAGTGGTCTCTAATGGTGAAAAGAAAGCTGTATGTAGAAGAAATATGCACTAAAAGAAAACAAGGTTAATTTTCCAGCCTAAAAGAAGTGAATTCCTCTCAAAACCAAGCTCTTTCTTTTGTCATCAAATGGGCTTCTGAATACTCACTAATTTACTTTCCCAGGGACCTCACAGTCAGGAAGTAGACATCCTCTAAGTGTAGTTATTAGGAATCCTGTTCCAGGTGCTGGCCTTCCATGAAAAATTAAGTTTCTAAACTTGCAAAGATAAAGACCAGATCCAACACTGACGGTTGACCTCACCAAGAAGCAGAAAACCTGTGAAACCTATCCTGCCCAGATACACCATATACTCAAATACTTTTTGAGCTCATCTTGTGTGTCTGGCGTCAGGCTAAGCACAGGGAATATCACAGTGAATCAACTAGGATGGCCCCTGCTGTCTTGGTGCTTACTCTGTGTTGAGGAAGGGAGATGCTTACCAAATAATTACACAGTCGGCTGGGCATGGTGGCTCACACCTGTAATCCCAGCACTTTGGGAGGCCTAGGTGGGCAGATCACGAGGTCAGGAGATTGAGATCATCCTGGCCAACATGGTGGAACCTTGTCTCTACTAATAAAAATACAAAAATTAGCTGGGCATGGTGGTGCATGCCTGTAATCCCAGCTACTCAGGAGGCTGAGGCAGAAGAATAGCTTGAACCAGGGAGCCGGAGGTTGCTGTGAGCTGAGATTTTGCCACTGCACTCCAGTCTGGCAACAGAGCAAGACTACGTGTCAAAAAAAAAGAATTACATAGTCATGTAATGACAAACTGTCTTAAGTACCCTGCAGGAGATGTTTAGGGATTTATGAGATCATGTAATAGGGAACACTGATCTAGTCTAGAGAGTTAGGGAGGGTTTTGATGAGTAGGAGCATACCTGAGCTTTGGTCTTAATGATGAGTAGTGGTTGACTATGTGGAGAGGGGAGGAAGGAATAGGTAAGCCAGAGAAAACATAGATAAAGGCCCTCTGGTGAGAGAGAGCAAGGCCTGGGTACCCACCTTCTAAAGTGTTGTGGGAAACATATGCAGCATTACCTGCAATACACAATAAATGTTAGTGGATGGAACAAATAATAAGCTAATAAAAACTAACTTTTTCTTAGGCTTATTATATTCTAAGAACTTTTAAAATGTATTAGGTTAATTAACACTAGCTACTGTAGCAAAGAATCCCCAAATCTGTGTGGCTTAATGCAATAAGGATTCATTTCTCCCTCACCTCACAGTGAATGTGAGTTGGGCAGCCCTCTCGGGCAATCTCCTTCTAGCTGTGACTCAGGGATCCACGCACTTTCTATCTTGTAGCTCCATAACCCCCCTCCAGAGCCTTCTTGAAGTTCTCTCCTAGATCTTTTCTATGTGATTGCCCAACTAGTGTGGAAGATAGTGTGGGACACTTTGGGAACAGGCTTGTAAGTGACATACATCACATCTACCCCTGTCAAATGGCCAGAACCACGTCAACCTGGTCCTAATGTGATTGCCGCAGAGGCCATGAAAGGTAGCTGTCCTGTGTGTGGCATGACTCCAGAACAAGGTCTCTTAACCATACCCAATATTTGCCAAGAAATCTGTATCAGGAATCAGACTTAAGTGCTTATATGACAAGCTGCTATTCTGGATGAAACACAAACAGAATTAGATAGAAATGGTCACCAGTTTTGGGAGCTTACACCCAAAGAGCCAGCTCTGGCCAGGAAACTCGACAATTTAGAGCACATTCTGTTGAAGATCATTAAACCCAGGCGGTGATTGGCAACTGCCTGGGAGTGGAGAGGGGGCCAAGGGAGAGATTTCACATTTCTCAGGGTGCTTGTGTAGTCTGGATAGGCATATTCTAAGATGACCATTGTTTTAATATGTTTTTAGTCATATCACATTTATTTTGAAGTTTTGAATAAAATTGGGGTGAGGGATGGAAGGAAATATTTATATTTTCAAAGGAGATTCCAAGAAGGTTGAGAAACTACAGACCAGGAAAGGGAAGGGAATTATTTACCAGGGGCTGAACTTATATGTGTTGGGGGAAAAGAAAGGAATCATAAAGGTATGATTTCTTCTCTTTCTCCTTCCCCGAGCCTGAACACATTTCACATTTTCTAAACTTGATGGGAATTTCCTCTTCAATCTCTGGCCTTGGAGAGAGAAAATTGGGGAAAGAGAAGACCAGGAATGAAAAATTGGAGAGAAAGAATGAAGGAAACTCTTGAATAAAAGAAAGTTGCTTAGAACATAGGGGAGGAGAAGATATCATCAAAAGCCAAACTCCAGACTTAAGTTTAAGTGTTAGAAAATGTTCCTGAAAGGTGGCCGGGTGCGGTGGCTCATGCCTGTAATCCCAGCACTCTGGGAGGCCGAGGTGGGTGGATCATGAGGTCAGGAGATCGAGACCATCCTGGCCAACACAGTGAAACCCTGTCTCTACTAAAAAATACAAAAAATTAGCCGGGCGTAGTGGTGGGCACCTGTAGTCCCAGCTACTTGGGAGGCTGAGGCAGGAGAATGGCGTGAACCTGGGAGGTGGAGCTTGCAGTGAGCTGAGATCGCGCCACTGCACTCCAGCCTGGGCGACAAAGAGAGACTCCATCCCCCACCCCCAAAAAAAACAAAAAAGTGTTCCTGGAAGGTTGGAAAGCCCAAATAAGTACAAAAAAGATTCCAAAACTGAGTTTCAAAGAAGGGAGGGGTAGCCTGGTGGTTTGAGGTGGCTTCTGATTGTGACATGACTCTGGATAGGGCTTAGAGATTTGGAATGGTGAGAGTAAACAGTGATTAACAAAAAGTAGGTAAGGCTTAGTGAGGGTTCCCACTCACATAATTTGCCATGTGAATTTCATCTGCTATTGTCACAACATTCCCATGGAACATGCACCCCTGTCGGTCCCATCTGCCAAAAATCACACTGTTAGTAAGTGGCCAAGCTGGGATTTGAGCGGTCCTTCTGGTTCCAGAGTCCAAGCTAGAGTTAGATGTGCCTGAGCTGTATAATGGCTTAATTAATTGTTGGTGTTTATGAAGTGGAAATACACATAGTACAATCAGTTAATTAGTTTTCTTCACAGCCTGAACATTAAATATTTTCCCCTTTACCTTTGCTCTGGTCTCCCACTTGGAGAGAGAATCTTTGCATTCTTTTTCTTTGAGAAGGAGTCTCGCTCTGTCGCCTGGCTGGAGTGCAGTGGCACAATTTCGGCTCACTGCAACCTCCGCCTCCTGGGTTCAAGTGATTCTCCTGCCTCCAAGCGATTCTCCTGCCTCAGCCTCCTGAGTAACTGGGACTACAGGCACGCACCACCACACCCGGCTAATTTTTTTTTTTTTTTTTTTGTACTTTAGTAGAGACGGGGTTTCACCATGTTGGCCAGGATGGTTTCTATCTCCTGACCTCGTGATCCACCCTCCTCAGCCTCCCAAAGTGCTGGGATTACAGGTGTGAGCCACCACGCCCGGCCCAACCTTTGCATTCTTAAGGATAATCTGATTGTTTCCACTTGGACAGCTTGGCGAGGAGGAGTGCTAACTCCTAGAAAGCTCCTAATTACTGCCAAGGTGAGCGAAGTGAAAAGTTGGTTCCATTTTCTGCAGAAAGGGTCAGTTCATTTAATTCCAGCAAAAAACTGGCTTCCAGGAGAAAAAGGACTGTTTAAAGGTCTGTGTCAATTATATGGTGATTATGAAATTCATGCTATGACTAATCCAGTGGCTCAATCTATGATTATCTGACACGATCCAAGAATCCACAGTGTAACAGGCTCTATGACTCCATTAAAGAAAAGTCAGTTTAATTCTGTGCTATGCTCCAGATTACTTCTCTCCTTTCCTAGATCTCCTCTATCAAAGAGAGTAGACGTTTATAAAATGGTGTCTGAATTCAACTCAGTGTCCTGGAAGCCATATGAAATATTTTTTTCATGGATGACTCAGAGCTTGGGAATTCCAGTGTGTTGCTTTATATAATCTGAAGTACCATAAAGACCTTTGACCTAGAAGACTTCCTTTGTTGCATGTGTATCTTTTCCTGTAATTAGAGTCTATGATTAGACTACAGGCCATCATGACAAGCCTTTGCTTTCCAAAGCACTCTATTTTTGGACCTTCTAATTTGATTTCTTAGGAATACTATATTTTGTAAATATTAACCAAAATCCATTTTTAACAAGCACCTACAAGCATCCCAGTTTCAAAAATCAGGAAGCAAAAAATTTTGCCCAAACTCTGTGGTCACTGACAGTGTTTTGGAGAAGAGTCTAACAATCTCTGAATTGTTGCAACTTCCCAGCGCCTTTCAGAGACAAAGGCCCGTGGTTCCTGTACACATTTTGTGTCTTGTGGCCCAGCTTTCCTGGCTGAAGCTGAGTGGACCAAGGATTAGTGACTGATGAAAAAGCTGCCATCTGTAGGTTAGACAGCAGCCATGAGATGTCCTCGTAAAAGAGCCAGGCAGAAAAGGGGCGCCCTCTACAGGATGGGCTCTGGCTGACTCAGTTTGACTGCTAGAAATACTAGAATCATCAGTCAGACAGAGAGGAAGTAAAGACAGTCACAATAAAGGTAGAAGTCTAGAGTCTGCAGCAAAAGGCACCTGTGCTGAGAGGACAGCAAGATAACCAGATATTTGCCTTGTATCTCAAATGCCTGTTGGTTTTATTGATCTCCTCATCATTTCTCTATGTAACCTCTGAGTCCTCATTGATTGACAAAGCTAGAACTTGCTTTCCTGAAACCTGTAGTAGGCTGAGTAATCCCTAATCCCCAGAATCTGTGAATATCACCTTATATGACAAAGGGACTTTGAAAATGTGATTTATATGAAGGATCTTGAGATGGAGAGACAACCCTGGATTATCCAGGTGGGGCCAATGTAATCACAAGGGTCCTTATAAGAGGGGGCAGGAGGGTCAGAGTGATGAGTAGGAGATGTGCTCACGGAAACAGGAGCTTGGAGTGATGTGAGGCAGGGGCTGTGAGGCAAGGACTGCAGGCAGCCTGCAAAACTGAGAAAGGTAAGGAAATGTATTCCCTTCTGAAGCCTCCAGAATGAGCCATTTCTGCAAACACTTGGCTAAATCTCAGTGAAACTGATGTTGGACTTCTGACCTCCGGAACTATAAGATATACATTTGTGTTGTTTTAAGCCACTAAATTTGTGGCATTTTGTTATAGCAGCCATAGGAAACTAGTATACCAACTGACAGACTAAGCCAGAGGTCCAGCATTTTCTGTCCTTTTTTATGGAGGAAGACAGACAATAAGTACCTTAAGCACTTGACCGTTCTGCCTGTTAGCATTGTGAGAAGTTCTCTGATCTGCTTTGAACAGGTTATTACATTTTGCCAGAAAGATATAAGGGAGAAAATGGGAAACTAGGCATTGAATAAAAATGACAAGAGAGTGGCCAATGGGGCCACAGTCGCTCAAAAAACACACCGTAACGGCAGTCCATGGCTGGGTGCCATAGCTGACACCTGTAATCCCAACACTTCGGGAGGCCAAGACAGGTGGATTGCTTGAGGCCAGGAGTTCAAGACAAGCCTGGGCAACATGGTGAAACCCCATCTCTACTAAGAATACAAAACATTAGCCGGGTGTGGTGTTGCACGCCTGTGGTTCCAGCTACTGAGGAGGCTGAGGTGGGAGAATCGCTTGAACCTGGGAGGTGGAGGTTGCAGTGAGCTGAGATTGCAACATTGCACTCCAACCTGGGAGACAGGGTGAGACCCTGTCTCAAAAAAAAGAGCAGTCTTTCTAAGGAGAAAGAATTTGATGTTATATTTTTAAAACTACTAATGACAATGAAAACAGATAAGAACACTGGTAAAACTGAAACCACACTTCACCCAGGGCTGTACCCATCACACAGTAATTTTTCATTAATTCAAAATCTGTCTGGAGAGATATCCCAATGCTCTTGTTAATTACTTCTTTCAAGGCATTCTTCTCATTGTAATTGAGCACTCCCCTGGGTACCATCCTATAAGTAAGTACATTAGTGCCTATATACAACCTACCGAGCCAAGTACTTATACACACAAACTGGCTTTCTGGCTCACCTTTCAACTCTCCCATTATAATTTCTAGAGAACACTGCCAGGTAGGCTTGCCTGTCATCCTCAATAAAGACCCAAGTGAGGATTCTTTTCCGTAAAGCTTCAAGTTTAATTAGCTCATTCTGCTAGTTCCTTAGAAAAGGCTTTCTGCTGCCAAAGAAAATTAAGCTTTTTTTAAAAAACAAAAACAAAAACAAAACAGGTTTCAACTCATTCGGTATATTTTAGGATAAATATATTTTGAAGGCAAGGGCAAAGTTTTTTTGTTTTTGGTTCTGTTTTTGGTTTTGTTTTTGAGTCGGAGTCTCACTCTATCACCCAGGCTGGAGTGCAGTGGTGTGATCTTAGCTCACTGCAACCTCCGACTCCCGGGTTCAAGCTATTTTCCTGCCTCAGCCTCCAGAGTAGCTGGGACTACAGGCACGCACCACCACGCCCGGCTAATTTTTGTATTTTTAGTAGAGACAGGGTTTCACCATATTGGTCGGGCTAGTCTTGAACTCCTGACCTCGTGATCCGCCCACCTCAGCCACCCAAAGTGCTGAGATTACAAGCATGAGCCACTGCGCCTGGCCAAGGGAAAGGTTTTTATACATATTTTTATTTATCCCTTAGTAACCTGAATATGACTAATAAAGAAATCTTGACCAGTGCAGTGGCTCACACCTGTCATCTCAACACTTTGGGAGGCCGAGGTGGGCGGATCACGAGGTCAGGAGTCCACAACCAGCCTGGGCAACATGGTGAAACCCCGTCTGTACTAAAATACAAAAAATTAGCCGGGCATGGTGGTGTGCCCCTGTAGTCCCGGCTACTCGGGAGGCTGAGGAAGGAGAATTGCTTGAACCCAGGAAGCAGAGATTGCAGTGAGCTAAGATCACACCACTGCACTCCAGCCTGGGTGACAGAGCAAGATTCTGTCTCAAAAAAAAAAAAAAAAGAAATCTTTATACTATAGTAATAAGGATTATTCTGATAGTTACTGTATTGATTGTTTTGATAATTACTGTGTTCTTAGTTGCAGACAACAGAATTCACTCTAGCTAGTTTCAATAGAAAGGGGTTACAGCAGGGTATTAGGTAGCTTATGGGATTTCCAGCAGTGCCAGAGAAACAGGTGAGGATACCACACAGCCGGAAACAACCCCAGCAGAAATGCCCAGCCATAAACAGGGCTGTTCTCACAGAAGCCCCACTGCTGCTGCTCACCATTCAATACCTGTGATGCTGGGGGCTGGACAGTGAGGCTTCTCTCAAGGCTCTTTCACGGTCATGTCTGCAAAAAGATGGACCCAACTACATGTGCTGCCACTTCACTTAAATGACCTTCATCTTCCTGGAGCACATAGGCATCTGCTGGGCAGAACCTGGGTCATAGGCAGAACCCTAGCTACAAAAGAGTCCAGACACTGTAGGTTTTAGAAATGGTCAAAGCAGATATTGTGTGGACCCATTCGTGGAATCTGCCACAGTGACCATATCGATTTCAGGCAATTTGTAAGTAATGGTAATCATGAGAGTTATATGAGAATAATGGCTAGCAATTTCCAGTGCTTTGTAGCACTTAATATCTTATAAGCATGATTTCATTTAATCCTCAAAGCAGCCCTATGAGGTAGGTACTATTCGTATCCTTGGATTGTAAGTGAAGACATCAAAGGACTAGAGAGGTTAATTCACTCACCCCACATCTCATGGTGGTAAAAAGCCAGGATTCAAACTCAGCTCTGTCTGAATGAAAGTCTGTGCTTTCAGCTAGTATACTGCTAATGCTTTACTAATTATTATTTTTAGTTTATCTTCTAGGAGCAGCTTGACTATCTAATCTGGGTTTACCACTTCTGGAAGACTTTTTACCCACAGTGGGACTCTGATATTTGTGTAACTGGAAATGGAAATGAGATCTTCTGAATGTGGAATGCAAAGGAGAGGGTACGTCTCACCAATCCTGGGTTATATTACCTTTGTGTCAGATGTAAGGTGACAAGCCAAGCATAGGACATGCACCAAGTGGAAAAGTCCACTGAAAATTTTATCTTTGAAGAGAACAGAAAAAGCATTAAATCTCTATATCTGGTACAGTCTATATGGGTTGTTTTATCTGAAAGGGGAAGGAGGAATGCTTTAAAAAAAAAGGTAACCTTAACTCTAGGCAAAACTTAAATTATTTTCTTCTCTTTCTTCATTTCTAAAGCTACAGCCAGTCAGACAAGATGGGACATGTAGTGTTGCACAATGATCCTGCTGCATTTTCAGCCTCCAGGCTGAGAAGCAAGTGCAATTAACATTCCAAGGTGGGAGTTATTTCCCCACCATTTGAGCCCTGCAGCATCTTATTGTGATTACAAAGGCTGGACTAACTGGCTTTGTCAATGTAATGTATACACATTAAACATATACAGACAGTTCTTGAAAAGTTATAAATTCAAACATTCCATAGTATGTGGAACCCAGTAAATTATAGAATGGGAAATGCTTTCAAAGGAGCACCTGATTCAGCATCCTCCTACCTCTTGTTTCTAATTAAAACAAAAAAAAAAAGAAAAAGAAAAAAGAAACATAAAAACAACGGCATTGTAGTCATGCTTTAATTTCATTCTAAACTTGTGTCATCCTGTTGAATTGAGGCCCACAGGGAACAGGGCCCAGCAAATCCCTGGACCTCCTGGTATTTGGTATAAACATAGCAGCTAACCTGGACTGGCTTCCACAGAGCTAAGACATTTTCTTTTTTGCACACAGAGCAGTATGCTCCAAAATTATATGTACATGTTGCAAAAGTATATATTTTGTTCCAAATATATGCTCTAAAATTATATATAATATATATATATTTTATATATATATAATTTCTTTGAGTCAGGGTCTTGCTCTGTTGCCCAGGCTGGAGTTCAGTGGTGTGATCATAACTTACCTCAGCCTTGAACTCCTGGGATCAAGCAACTCTCCTGCCTCAGCCACTTGAGTAGCTTGGGCTACAGGTGAGTGCCCCCATGTCCAGCTAATTTTTATGTTTTGTAGAGATGGGGTCTTGCTTTGTTGCAAGGTATCTAACTCCTGGGCTCAAGTGATCCTCACGCCTTGGCCTCCCACAGTGCTGGGATTACAGGTGTGAGCCAATGCACCTGGCCATGAACACATAGTTTTAAAAATACTTATTTGTTTAAATGTATATTAAGAAAGACATATAATAGGTCAAACATGAGATTCGTGGATGTTATTGCTCATAGCAAGGCTAAGATTTTAAAAAAGAAGGGGGAATCACTGAAAGGAATTAGATAAATAAATAACATGATACTCTAGCAAAACCAAAAACGTTGCAGGTGGTCCTGGAGTGATGAAAGTGAGGGAAGCCATCGAAGAGAACAGTGCCTGGATTCAAGTGCCTGCTCTGTCCCTGACAGGCTGGAAAGATCTTGAACAAGTCGTCTCCCCCTGATGAACTTCAGACTGTAAACTAAGAGGATGTACTGGGGCAATGTTGAACGTGGGGTGTGTTCTTCCTTGTTCCAGGAGACCAGGGCTTCCCATGGTGTCTCAGGCACTGGGCAGGAAGAAAGGTGAGGCTTCCACTCCCAACAGCTTCAACTAGAGGCAGCTTTCACTAGCTTTACAAATGCAGCTTCTTACAGAAGTTGGTTTGAAAATAAGGTTTCATTGGTTAAAAAGTCTGAAAATGTTCTTCTCAGCCCCAAAATAGAATATTTATATACTACGCTTTTGTAAACGATAACTAACCAAAAAGCTAATGATATCAAAATAAGTTCAGCTGGCGTGCGGCTTGTTTCAGGAAGTCTGTTCAAGAGGAAAGTATAGCCAAATAATAACAGATAATGTGTTTGATCACAGGCTATCCCAGGCACTGAGCTATATATACTAATGAATCTTGGAAAAACAAAACCAATAAACAAAATAAAACCACCACTAGGAGGTACGTTTTATAAATAACTCCACTTTACAGATGAGGATACTGAGGCTCAGAGAAGTGAAGTGGCTTGGCTTAGCTCACCCACTTTGTGCACAGTCAGGGTACAAACACAGGCAGTCTGACTCCCCTTAACTGTATCACTGTGTCGCCTCGCAGGAGGGCAGAGAGAGGTGCCTGGTACCTGGGAATCGGCGATCTCTAGCAATACAGATAAATACCCCATTTAGTGCACATTTCAGGCTACCCAGCATCCATGACCCAATTTTCAAAGATTTTCCATTCATCTAGTTGTTAGGCAGTGGTGGTCCGGGCATGCTTCTTTGGCCAGGCCAGGGATGATTTCTGTTTCATGGTACAGTCTTTGCTGTGAGGGTTCATCTGGGTGGGGGCTCACAGGCCTCTTACAATGGAGTTTCTCATATTCTGAACCAATTCTGGGTTCTCAGGCAGGTCCCTGAGTCATATTCTTTTTTCTCCTGGATCACAGGGCTGGGTCTACCTACTTTCTTTCTTTCTTTTTTTTTTTTTTTTGATACTGATTCTCGCTCTGTCAACAGGCTGGAGTGCAGTGGCACAATCTGGGCAAACTGCAACCTCCGTCTCCTGGGTTGAAGCAATTCTCCTGCCTCAGCCTCCAGAGTAGCTGGAATTATAGGCATGCGCCACCACGCCTGGCTAATTTTTGTATTTTTAATAGAGACGGG
Source organism: Homo sapiens (assembly GCF_000001405.40). Classification (NCBI taxonomy): domain Eukaryota; kingdom Metazoa; phylum Chordata; class Mammalia; order Primates; family Hominidae; genus Homo; species Homo sapiens. The sequence continues at coordinate 31,074,750 of NC_000017.11, forward strand.
GTTTCACCATGTTGGCCAGGCTGGTCTTGAACTCCTGACCTCAAGTGATCCACCTGCCTCAGCCTCCCAAAGTGCTGGGATTACAGACATGAGCCACTGTGCCTGGCCAGAAGTCTTCATTCTTTACAGTACTTCAGGACTTCCAAATGCCTCTTCACTCTCTCCTCATGGTTTGCATTCCTGCACTGGTGACTCTCTCTTCATTGCAGTGCCTTCTGCATATCCCACACGGCAGGAGGCCCAGACAGGAACCCCCACGGTGTAAAAGGATAATGTTTGATCTAAGCGTTCTGTCCAAATCCCTCCAGATCTTTTTTTTTTTTTTTTTTTTAATCAGGCAGCCCTCAGAATCACAGCAGATTCAGAGAGAGTGCCCCTCTAGATTTTTTTATGATTTTGGTCATTTCTCTCTGCCTTCAAGTGTGCTTTTGTTTACAATGGCCTGCACCTGTAACTCTTCTTAGGGGAATTTGCCCTGGGCTACTGGAGCTGCTTTTCACTCAAGGACAGAATTCTGGAAGTGTCTAGTAGGTTTTCATGCTCCTGGTGTGGCCCTTAGTGGATGACCAAGGGTGAGACCCTCTCTTGCCTTAGGCTGAGACAGACTCAGGTGTGACTTACATCCCAGAGTGTTTCCCACCCACCCCCTCCCTGCAGGATCAGGCTGAATCACAGACTGGCTGGGCTCCTTCCCTTGCCTGCCTCCTCCACGCCTTCACTGATTTCTCCTGGGAGCCATTTTTTAAATTTATTACTTACACACAGGTCCTCATCTCAGGGTTTTGTTCTGGGAAACCCAACCTAGAAAAAGACTTAAAAGAAAAAAAAAGAATTACAACTTAAAACTGAAAATAGTTATCACTGGTTTTAATGCAGTATAATAAAGCCAGGCCTGTTCCTTCTCAGCCTCTTGAAGAACTTAATGCTCAATTTAACATTTTATTTACATTTTCATTCATCTTTTTATGAATTAATCACGCCCAAACTTTTGTTGCTCTTTCCTTCCTTTGAAAGGTTTCTGAGTTTCTTCCCTTCTCTGGAAGTTAACTGGTGAGGACTGCCTTAAACACAGTTTAAGGAGTTGTGTTGCCCCCAACCCCAATATCCCCTTTCAGGAAGTAGTGTCTTGGTTGTGTTTTGTCTTCCAACACACAGATGCATACACACACATGCACCCACAAATACACACTTGTGCACACACCAATGCACACAAATCATGTTCCCACATGCAGGCATGAATAAAAACATGCACTCACACACGTGTGCACACAGAAATCACGTACATGCACACATGCACACACATATGCACACCATAGTTAGGATTCAGGCACCTGCCTATCTGCCTGCCTAAACTGTTCACTGTGGAATTTCCTGATGCTTCTTTTTACTTGTGTGGTTTCCTGAAAGAGTATGAAGGACTCTGATGGTTGTCAACAGAGTGTCAAGTGTAGGACTGAACCAAATGACATACTGTTGAATATAATAAGAAAAATAGAAGGCACTGAGAGAAAAAGAAGGCGAGTAGTAAAATTTCTTTGGGTAGCTTCTAAGCACACATTTTTAAAGTTTTGCTAAAGTCTAAGGGGGCATACAAAATTACCTTAGATTAAATGTTTATTATAGCTTCCGTATTAATGTTAGGTCAGATTTATAATGTGGTAGACTCTGAATAGAACTATGTTTATACTATGTTGTATATACACTTTTATTATTATTATTATTATTATTATTATTATTATTTGAGACCGAGTCTCATTCTGTTACCCAGGCTGGGGTGCAGTGGCATGATCTTGGCTCACTGCAACCTCTACTTCCTGAGTTCTAGTGATTCTTGTGCCTCAGCCTCCCAAGTAGCTGGGATTACAGGCATGTGCCACCACACCTGGCTAATTTTTGTATTTTTAGTAGAAATGGGATTTCACTATGTTGCCCAGGCTGGTTTCGAACTCCTGGACTCAAGTGAGTCGCCTGCCTCAGCCTCCCAAAGTGCTGGGATTATAGGAGTGAGCCACCATGCCTGGCCTGCATTGTAATTTTCCAAAAGGAGGATGGAGTCATGCTTGCCAAACCTATTGGACTACAGCACCCTTCCTGAGGAGCATCTCTGGAAAGAGAGTCCAGTGGACAATACTCTCAGCAGTGCTGACCCGCTTTACCCTTGGACCTGCACGCTTGCAGTGATCTGGTCTAGCTTTTTGTTACATGAACACCAGCATTTTCCACAGATGTGACCTCCCACTGTCAAGGTGATTTAAAACAAAATTTTTTGTAGAAACCAAAAGAATCCTTGCCAGATAATTTAAGCATCAAAGAGATAAATGCACATGTGATGTTATAGAAGGAAAAGAATCTTCTTGGGAGGTGCTACTTCTCCCCTAGCCCATGAGGACCAATAAATACTAATGAGGACCCTTCTCATCTATAAGCCAGGGTGCTAAGCACCCTCCACAGACTATCTGATTTACTTATTACAGCACTGCCACGTGGTAGATGGCATTTTTCTTACTTTGTAATAAAAAAGCCTGAGGGTTAGAGAAGTTAAATAACTCACTTGAGGTGCCCAACATCATCTGGTAGGTCTGGATTCAAATCCAAACCTGTAACACCAAAGCCCATGGCCTTAAGCAATAAAAGGTAAAAGGCTGGCATGGTGGCTCACCCCTGTAATCCCAGCACTTTGGCAGGCTGGGGCAAGTGGATCACCTGAGGTCAGGAGTTTGAGACCAGCCTGACCAACAAGGAGAAATCCTGTCTCTACTAAAAAATACAGAAGTAGCTGGGCATGGTGGCGCATGCTGGTAGTCCCAGCTACTCGGGAGGTTGAGGCAGGAGAATCGCTTGAACCCAGGAAGTGATGGTTGCGGTGAGCTGAGATCTCGCCATTGCACTCCAGCCTGGGCAACAAGAGCAAAACTCCGTCTCAAAAAAATAAAAAAATAAAAATAAAAGGTAAAAAAAGCAAAGAATGAGGGGGAGACATGTCCAAGTGGACATCTGTACATCCCCCTTCCCTTGTGTGGCTCTAGCTGCCTGGATTTAAAGTCAGGTCAGAGCCCACATACCCCAAGGTATGGGGCCCAAAGTGACCATGCTAATTTCTCAGGCCTTAGGTCAGGTCACTCAATGATAATAGCTGATATTTATGGAGTGCTTCCCCAGTGCCAACCACTGGTAGGATCTTCACACGCGTGATCTCACTTAAACCTTTAGGTTCAAAGCTGTGAGGTAGGTACTATAATGACCCCATTTTACAGAAAAGCATAGGTTCAGAGAGGTTACTTTGCTTGCCCAGGGCCACACCACTAGGAAACGGTAGAGCTGGGCTTCAAAACCAGGTCTGGTCTGAGTTCAGGCCATATACTTAACCCATACTTAACTCTTTGAGTTAAAACTAGAAAAAAAATGGAAAAATCAGTCTTTTTTAGGTATTTCCAAATTATGAACATTTGCTGGTTTTGGGGGCTATGTAACACCCAGATCGCCTTCCTGTTTCATGGGAATTCCACTTTTGGAAGGTCTTGATGGGAGGGCCTCTGCCTGTGGGAGCTGGCAAAGGCCAGACATTCCCTGTCCCTGCCTCCTGGCTCACCAGTGGGCTGCTCCAGCAGGGAATGATGGTTTTGGGGGGCGTGATGATGCCAAGACACGGGAGCCCTTAGAGAGCATCCATAGCAGTGGCTGTGGCTGTGGGTGATGTTCCTGTGTCACATCTTTGGCTGGGTTTTCTGCTGACTCACCTTCATGAGTTCCTGCCTGTTTCCTGGGGCTGGTAGCCAAGCCTCCCCACCTGTTCTGTGACCCACCAACGTTTTTCCAATATACTCACTCCCTTTCTGTTTAGGTAAACTGCAGGTGGCTTCTGATGTGTGCAACCAAGAACCAGACATGTACAAAAGTCTTCGTACTTTTGGAATTATATAATTGGAGCCAAAGATAAACCTTTGTCTTAGGCTCCTGCAGATGATTTAAAAATGTATTCTTTTCTGAAATCCAAGCAGAGGACATAGCTGTGGCTTTGTCCTTGGGTAACAACCACCTTTTGTACACTGGGGCTATAGGCAGAGAATTCCAGTTTCTCAGCGTGACCTTCAAGGCTTTGCCCAGAATAGCTCCATTCATGACTCTGTCTTCTAACTAGGCCCGTATTCCAGCCAACCTGGCCTTCTGGCTGCTCCTTAGCCATGTTTTGCCTTTTCTCACCCAAATATTCACCTGCCCTTCTGAGATCAGCTTCTTCTAACACAGGTATACATGGAAAGCTTGGTCTTACATATACCTTGAGTCGTCCGCTTAGAAGCACGTCCTATATGTAATCCCAGCACTTTGGGAAGTTTGGCCAGATGGATCACTTAAGGCTAGGAATTTGAAACCAGCCTGGCCAACATGGTGAAACCCCATCTCTACTAAAAATACAAAAATTAGCCAGGCATGGTGGCATGTGCATGTAATCTCGGCTACTTGGGAGGCTAAGGCATGAGAATCGCTTGATCACAGGAGGCAGAGGTTGCAGTGAGCTGAGATCGCACCATTGCACTCCAGCTTGGGCAAAAGAGCAAGACTCCGCCTCAAAAAAAAAAAAAAAAAAAAAAGAAGAAGGTCCTATAGTCATAGGTTTCCCACTGTTTCTAGCTCTGCTGAGGGCCGCGGCTCCCCTACAGTGGTCTGCTAACTCCAACTCTAGGCCTGAGGTAGTCCACTTGGTAGGAGAAGAGTCTAGTTGTCTCTTCATAGGCCTCACTGGGAAGTGGGAAAGGGAGCGGGTCTCCTTCCCCTTCACCACACCACCCCAGGTTGTACAGATGGAACAACTCACTTCACTGGGCATGTTGGAACCATTGGAAAGCGAACCGAAATTCAATAGAAGGAAGGTGAAAGTTCTTGATGCATCTGATTCTCCCAGAGTTGCAAGGGAAAGTAGCACAAAATTAGGCCTTCACTTTGTTGGGGTAGAGGATTCTGCTAAGGTCTGGCCCTGAACGTCCTACTTTCTTGATCAAGCATCTTCTACTACAAGACTTTTGGGAAAACCTCTTTGAGTCACTGGAAACCACTGGGAAGGCTCTGTCCCATCCCCCTCCTCTCTCCAGACATTTCCTCATTCAAATGGGCAACTCAGCAGGACTATCAGCCCTGCTAGGACAAGGAAGACCTGAAGACCCATCAGAGGTAGCAGGAGCTGGGGAGAGGCTCAGGCTCACCAGGGTCTGTGGCTGAGGATGGGTATGGGTCGTCTGGGTCAGATTATCTTTGTGCTTGCTATTCCCTTCAGCAAACATGGCTGTGTCAGTAGCTTTTGAACTTGTTAGATTTAACAAGTAGTGGTTAATTAAGAAGCTTTTCTTCATTAACAAGGTGCTTCCCCTTTCCCTTGAAGTCCCTAAATCCCGTTATAATGTACAGGAGGGGTTAATCCCTTTCTCATTTTGCCTATCAGAGCAATGGAGGAGGCGTGTGGCTCATGCCTGTAATCTCAGCACTTTGGGAGGCCGAGGTAGGAGGCTCATTGAGCCCAGGAGTTCGAGACCAGCCTGGGCAGGGCAACACAAAAAAAAATTTAAAAATTACTTAGGTGTGGTGGTGTGCACCTGTAGTCCCAGTTGTTTGGGAGGACTAGAGGGAGGATCATTTAAGTGGGAGGATTGTTTAAGCCTGGGAGATTGAGGCTGCAGTGGGCAGTGATCATGGCACTGCACTCTAACCTGGGCAACAGAGCGAGACCCTGCTTAAAAACAAAGAAAAATAATAATGCAGGAGTTACTTTAAAAAAAAAAAGCTTTATTCAGATATAATTCAAGTATGATGCAATTCACCCACTTGAAGCACACAATTTGAGGGTTTTTACTACAGTATATTCACAGTTACAGGCCATCACCACAGTCAATTTTAGAATACTTTCATCAACCCAAAATTAAGCCTCATACCCATTAGCAGTCTTGGCAACCACTAATCAACTTTATGCCTCTATAGATTTGCCTTTTATGAACAATTCATATAAATGAAATTATACAATACTGTATGTGCTATTCTGTGACTGGCCTCCTTCACTTAGCATAATGCTTTCAAGGTTCATCCATGGTGTAGCATGTATCAGTACTTTATTCTTTTTTATAGATAAGTAGTGTTCATTGTATGAATATACCACTTTTGTTTATCCATTTATCAGTTTATAGATCTTTGGGTTGTTTTGACTTTTTGGCGATCATAAATAAAGCTACTAAGAACATTTGTGTACAAGTCTATGTGTGCACATATGTTTCTTCATTTTTCTTGGGTATATACCTAGGAGTAGAACTGATTGATCACAGCTCTGTTTAACCTTTGGAGGAGCTGCCAAAATGTTTTCCAAAATAGCTGCACTATATTACATTCCTACCAGCGCTGTATCAGGATTTCAATTTCTCCACATCCTTGCTACAACATTATCATCTGTGTTTTTTATTATAGCCATCCTACTAGGCATGAAGTGGTACCTCACTGTGGTTTTGATTTGCATTTTCTGATGGCTCGTAATGTCGAGCATCTTTTCTTGTGCTTATTGGTCATTAGTGTATCTTCTTTGGAGAAACGTATATCTACATCCTTTGCCTGTATTTATTTATTTATTTATTTGAGACAGAGTCTCTTTCTGTTGCCCAGGCTGGAGTGCAGTGGTGCGATCTCGGCTCACTGCAACCTCCACCTCCCGGGTTCAAGTGATTCTCCTGTCTCAGCCTCCCTAGTAGCTGGGATTACAGGCGGGTGCCACCATGCTTGGCTAATTTTTGTATTTTTAGTAAAGACAGGGTTTCACCAAGTTGGCCAAGCTGGTCTTGAACTCCTGACCTCAGATGATCCACCAGCCTCGGCCTCCCAAAGTGCTGGGATTGCAGGCATGAGCCACCACGCCCAGCCTATTTATTCATTTAGAGATGGAGTTTCATTCTGTCACCCAGGCTGGAGTGCAGTGGTGCAATCTTGGCTCACTGCCGCCTCTGCCTCACAACTTTCAAGTGATTCTCCTGATCAGCCTCCTGAGTAGCTGGGACCACAGGCACACGCCACCGCATCCAGCTAATTTCTGTATTTTTAGTAAAGAAGGGTTTCGCCATGTTGGCCAGGCTGATCTCAAACTCCTGACCTCAGGTGATCTGCCCGTCTCGGCCTCCCAAAGTGCTGGGTTTATAGGCATGAACCACTGCACCAGGCCATTTGCCTGTTTTTTAATTGGGTTATTTATTTTTATTGTTGTTTTTGAGTTGTAAGAGTTATTTATATAGTCTAAATACAAGTCCCTTATCAGATATATGATTTGCAAATATTTTCTCCCATTCTTTGAGTTGTCTTTTCACTTTCTTTATGGTATTCTTTGAAGCATGAAGTTAAAAAAAAATGTGAAGTCCAATTTACCTTTTTTTCCTTTAACTGCTTTGCTTTAGTATCATATCTAAGAAACCACTGCCTAACACAAAGTCACAAAGATTTACTTCTTTGTTTTATTTGATGAGTTCTAGAATTTTAGCTCTTATATTCAGGTCTTTGATCCATTTTAATTTTTGTATATGGTGTGAGATAGGGGTCCAACTTTATTACTTTGCATGTGGCTATCTAGTTATCCCAGCAGTATTTGTTGGAAGGACTATTCTTTCCCCGTTGAATTGTCTTGGTATCCTTGTTGACAATCAATTAACTGTAACTGTGAAGGTTTATTTACAGACTCTCAATTTTATTCTTTTTATTTATTTATGTATTTATTTTTTGAGATGGGGTCTCACTGTCTCACCCAGGCTGGAGTGCAGTGACGTGATCTCGGCTCACAGTAACCTCTGCCTCCTGGGTTCAAGCAATTCTCCTGCCTCAGCCTCATGAATAGCTAGGATTACAGGCACCCACCACCACACCCAGCTAATATTTTGTATTTTTAGTACAGATGGAGTTTCGCTATGTTTGACAGGCTAGTCTCCAACTCCTGGCCTCAAGTGATCTGCCCGCCTCAGCCTCCCAAAGTGCTGGGATTACAGGTGTGAGCCACCGTGCCTAGCCTATTCTATTGTTTTATATGCTGTCCTTATACCAGTACCAGAGGTTACTTTTTTTTTTTTTTTTTTTTTTTTTGAGATGGAGTCTCACTCTGTCACCCAGGCTGGAGTACAGTGGCACGATCTCTGCTCACTGCAAGCTCTGCCTCCCAGATTCAAGCCATTCTCCTGCCTCAGCCTCCCCAGTAGCTGGGACTACAGGCACCTACCACCATGCCTGGCTAATTTTTTGTATTTTTAGTAGAGACAGGGTTTTACCGTGTTACCCAGGATGGTCTCGATCTCCTGACCTTGTGATCCACCCGCCTCGGCCTCCCAAAGTGCTAGGATTACAGGCATGAGCCACCACGCCCGCCCTGCCTAGAAGTTACATTTTAATCAAGGCTGCTTTCTTTCCTTCCCCAGGAGGAGCTCCTGGTTGACAGTTTCTTTGTTCATAATTTAGTCTTGGAAGGAGGATAAGGTCAGAGAGAAAGGAGGGGAGGTAGGCAGTTCTTTATGTCTGTATTTTCTCAGGCTGTTCTTATTTCTCCAAGAGTGGGACTCCATACCATAGAGGACATGTTAGTGACACCCTCATTCATTTATTCATTTTCAGTGCATGGTGATACACTGCAGCTTGTCTGTGCCTAATTAAGTGGTTCTATAGATTACACTAACTGGATTCCAATAAACTAAATTTGCTGACCTTTTCTGTGAAGGCCAGAGGCTGTCAGTAGTATCAAAACATGCCTGCATTCATGTGCATACACACACAATGTGACCTTTAAAATAAAGGTGTTATTTAACAATGATTGAGAGAAAGACAAACTCCTTTCCTAAAAAGACACGTTAAGCAGAGGGCATTAGGAAAACAGATCTTTAAAAATATTTCATAGTTATGTGGTTTTGTTGTAAAGACAAGTATGTATTTATAAAAACTCATAGCTGTGGCCAGGCGCGGTGGCTTATGCCTGCAATCCCAGCACTTTGGGAGGCCAAGGCAGGTGGATCACGAGGTCAGGAGATCGAGACCATCCTGACTAACATGTGAAACCCTGTCTCCACTAAAAACACAAAAAAATTTAGCTGGGCGTGGTGGCGGGTGCCTGTAGTCCCAGCTACTCTGGAGGCTGAGGCAGGAGAATGGCCTGAACCCGGCAGGTGGAGCTTGCAGTGGCCAAGATCGTGCCATTGCATTCTGGCCTGGGCGACACAGTGAGACTCCGTCTCAAAACAAAACAAAACAAACAAACAAACAAAAAAAACGAAAACAAAAACAAAAAACCTCATAGCTGCATACTTTTAAAACTTGGAAATCAAAATTTCTAACCCATTTAGGATTAAAAGGAAATGTTTCAGTGGATTTTGTACTCATTTGTTAGTTTAGAAGAACAACTGGTTCCCATCAGGGAAAATGGAAAGACGCTAACAGCATTACAAGAGCAGCAGCACCTTTGCATAATTAGTGAACAGGATGGAACATTAATATCATAGGCCAGGCACGGGGGGCTCACGCCTGTAATCCCAGCACTTTGGGAGGCCGAGGCAAGTGGATCACCTGAGGTCAGGAGTTCAAGACAAGCCTGGCCAACATCATGAAACCCCATGTCTACTAAAAATACAAAAAAATTAGCGGGGCGTGTTGGTGGGCATCTATATAATCCCAGCTACTTGGGAGGCTGAGGCAGGAGAATTGCTTGAACCCCAGGGGCAGAGGTTGCAGTGAGCTGAGATCGTGCCACTGTACTCCAGCCTGGGTGACAGAGAGAGACTCTGTCTCAAAAAAAAAAAAAAAGAAAAACATTACATAGTAAGCAGAACTAATGACAGCTTCATCCATTTGTGTGTATGTACTCTTTTAGAGCAAATGTATAAGTTATGATATCCATTTAAAAAGGAACAAAATAAGCCGGGTGTGGTGGCTCACATCTGTAATCCCAGCACTTTGGGAGGCCAAGGTGGGTGGATCACTTGAACCCCAGGTGCAGAGGTTGCAGTGAGTTGAGATTGCACCACTGCACTCCAGCCTGGGCGACAGAGTGAGACTCCATCTCAAAAACAAACAAACAAAGAAACAAAAAAACTGAACTTTAGAAGCAGAACTTTGAAAAGAACAATAAATCAATATGCTGAAATCGAAGGGCCGGGCGCAGTGGCTCATGCTTGTAATCCCAGCAGTTTGGGAGGCCGAGGCGGGTGGATCACTTGAGGTCAGGAGTTTGAGACCAGCCTAACCAACATAGTGAAACGCTGTCTCTACTAAAAATACAAAAATTTAGCCAGGCAAGATGGTAGGTGCCTATAATCCCAGCTACTCAGGAGGCTGAGGCAGGAGAATCACTTGAACCTGGGAGGCAGAGGTTGCAGTGAGCTGAGATCACGCCACTGCACTTCAGCCTGGGTGACAGAGCGAGACTCCATCTCAAAAGAAAAAAAAAAATTAGTTTGGCATTGTGGTGGGTGCCTGTAACCCAGCTATGAGGGAGGCTGAGGCACGAGAATCACTTGAACCCAAGAGGTGGAGGTTGCAGTGAGCTGAGATCGCGCCACTGCACTCCAGCCTGGGCGACAGAGCAAGATTCTGTCTCAAAAAAAAAAAAATGCTGAAAAATGTAAAACAAGTCCAACCACAATGCTCTTACTAAAAATATTATTATAAACAATATTAACATTTTATGTTTATAATATATTAAATACTATTAATCATGTTGCAAATATTACTAATGCTGGAAGTTTTAGTGAGAACAAAAAGTAATATATTAAACAGAATAAAATTAAAAATAGTTAAAAATATATAGATTCTGTAAGTCCTATACTGGGCAGAGGTGCTTACATTCTTTTACTGATATGAATATGCCTTCAAAAAATTTTTTTTAATTTTAAAAAAGGAATATACCATCAAAAAAGTTTGGAGGCCACTGGCTTAAACTACTACAGTGTTGTAATACAGAACAACACTGTGAACTGCCAATAGGGAACTACAGTGCATGGCATTTCTCAAACTCGTCTGGCCATGAGTCATTTGGAGGCATGAAAGTTCCAAGAAACCCTCTTTGGACCATGCTGTATGGTGGATAAGAGCATGAACCTGGAGTCAGACAAAGCTGACTTCAGCTAACTACCAGACTCATCTTATACTAGCTAGGCGACCTGAGCATTTTACTAAATCTTTTTGAACTTTTTTCCTTATCTGTGAAATGGGGATAGTGATATCTACCTCATATGGTTGTATGGACTTTAAAAACAATATTGTATATAAGTGCATAGTATAATGCCTGATGTCTTGTAAGCACCCCTTAAAAGGAAGTTTCTATCATTCTATCATCTCTGATAGTTATTTAGAGACCTGATGTATCTTTCATAACTACACTTCTTCAGAGCAGAAATTGAATCTTCTCTTATGAGTCCCATGGAACACTTAGCTGCAATAGGTATGTGAGAATGAAGAAATAAATGATATTAATAGAAGCAGAGTTCTCTGAAAGACTGAGAGACTAACTATACCACCAAAGACAGAAATGTTTCTTTCTCAGCTGTTTATAACTTACCATTTTAATGGCTACACCAGAACATTCACATAGGATGAATCCTCATAGTAATTTTCCTTACCTAGGCAGTTGATAACAATTAGTCTGTTACTAATTGTTTCCAGCTGCTCCCCTTTGATTAATCAATCAAAACAAATTTATAATGGTTCTCCTGTGGTTTGATACTGCTAGGAGCCTAGCATGCCTGTGATGAAGACAAGATGACTACGTGTGCTTAAAAGTCCGGGGAGTAGGCTAGGCACGATGGCTTACGCCTGTAATCCCAGCACTTTGGGAGGCTGAGGCGGGCAGATCACCTGAGGTCAGGAGTTCTAGACCAGCCTGGCCAACATGGTGAAACCCTGTCTCTACTACAAATACAAAAATTAGCCAGGCATGGTGGTGGCTGCATGTAATCTCAGCTACTCGAGAGGTTGAGGCAGGAGGACTGCTTGAACCTGGAAGGTGGAGGTTGCAGTGAGCCAAGATCATGCCACTGTACCGCAGCCTGGGCAACACAGCAAAACTCTGTCTCAAAAAAAAAAAAAAAAAAAAGTCAGGGGAATAAGGACTGGAGTGGCCAAAGCAAGTTCAGCATCAGAGGATTAGGTGGGCTTTAAAGGAGAGACAGTGACTCAGGCCTATAATCCCAGCACTTTGGGAGGCTGAGGTAGATGGATCACTTGAGGCCAGGAGTTTGAGACCAGCCTGGCCAATATGACAAAACTGCAACTCTACTAAAAATACACGGATTAGGTGGGCATGGTGGTACATGCCTGTAATCCCAGCTACTTGGGAGGCTGAGGCATGGGAATCACCTGAACCCAGGAGGCAGAGGCTGCAGTAAGCTGAGATCATGCCACTCCAGCTTGGGCAACAGAGCAAGACTCTGCCTTGAAAAAAAAAAAGAGAAACAAAAGAAAAGTTATTTCAGACCCAGGTAAAAAGAACAAAGGCATGATAGTGTCCATTTCTGGCTCTGATTTCCTTTTGTGCCCCTTCCTCTGGAATGTTCCTCTTACAAAGTTTTGTTATAGTAGTACTAATGATACTACTACCACTTATGACAATTACATAATTAGTTACTTAATAAATAATCCAAATAAGTCCTAGACATCACTTGGCCCAGTTTTGGAGTAGTATAACATTCAGAGGAAGAACCTAGCAACCAAAAATGAAGTTAATTCCTATGTATATTTTCCTAATTACAACCCACAGTAACACTTCTGAAAATCACCTCTCTTTCTATGCCTTTAGGTCTCCATTCAGCAGCTGCTTAAAGCCCCTCTTTCTTTACTTTTCTCAGTATCTGTGGGGGTCAGTTAGGGTTACATTCAGCTGCATGGAACTGAAACCTGGATGCACATACTTCACAAAACAGAGGTTTTATTTTTCTTTCTGTAACCAGAACTCTGGAGGTAGGCAGTTCAGGGCAGGTACAGCTGCTTGAAGAAGTATCAGGGACCCAAGCTTCCTTTAGCTTCCATCTTTTGCAAAATAGCTGCTTCACTTCTAGGCTTTGATCTACGTTCTCAGCAGGAAAAAGAATAAAGAGTAAATGACAAAAGATCTGTGCTGTTGCTGGCAGGTTGGGCATTTGGTGGCATCAGCAGCTGGATCAGCCTTGTTGAGTGGGAGCCCTGCTACTCTGTATTTGCATCCTTTTCTCTGATGTTCCCCCAGGGTATGCCACTTTTTAAAAATGTCGACTGTTGGCTGGGTGAGAGGGGTGCAGTTTTAGAAGCTTCCCCAGGTATGGCCTTGGCCTTCCCCACTATGACAGCTCTTGCTCCACAGGCCAAGGAACTATCATAGAGGTTCTGCCAACCACCAAGTATGCCCATGCTAAGTACCCATTCAGAGAGGACAAGGACTCATCACTATATACCCTTGCTGGGAATCCGGTCTTCCTCAGTCATTAGGTTCTGGAAATTGGCTCAGGTTGAGAAACAGGGCAAGGGATTATGACTATTGGGGCAGCTCCTCTCAGCTGCCTCCTTATCTGTCCTTGTGTTTTAAAAACTACATCTTGAGGCACACAGTATCCTACTAACTACCTTCATAGCTTCCTGTGGGTCAGGCTTCCTTGGATGCCATTCTATCTTGCCACTTCTAACAATGCCACTTAATCTTCTGCTAGTTATGCACTGCTACCTGGTCTCTAGCAGGCCCATTGCTATCAGGGACCCTAGCTCCTGAAACATCTTCCACTATAAGCCCTGGTCTACAGAGAAAAGTGACTATTGGACTTCTCAGTGATGCTTGTGTCCCTCTCAATAGCACATTCCTTATTGCTTGTGATAAACAGCAGAACACAGCTGACAGGATAGGATGTAAATAATATGTCATTCCCACTTCTGAGTCTTTTGCTCCCTTCTTCCATTGTTTGCCAGGACAGCTCTGGCCTTTCTATTTTGCTTAGTGTGGACCACTGCTTTCTCCAAGCTTTCTAGAGCCATCCTAGCAATCTGTTAGCTTTATCTCCTGGAGTCCTTGCCAGAATGTAAATACTGTAGTACAGGAATGTGCTTATATCAATATGCTCTGCTTTATTTAGCATTATTTTCTCCTCCCTCCCCAATTCAGCACACTGGGGACCCTTTACCCAGTTCTCCCACCTTCTGCAGATGTGTATATAAGTTGGGTAGGTTTTTTTTCAGAGGAGTCTCTCTCTGTCACCCAGGCTGGAGTGCAGTGGCCCGATCTCGGCTCACTGCAAGGCCCGCCTCCTGGGTTCACACCATTCTCCTGCCTCAGCCTCCAGAGTAGCTGGGACTACAGGCGCCCGCCATCACACCCGGCTAATTTTTTATTTTTTTATTTTTAGTAGAGACAGGGTTTCACCATGTTAGCCAGGATGGTCTCGATCTCCTGACCTTGTGATCCACCCACCTCGGTCTCCCAAAGTGTTGGGATTATAGGCATGAGCCACCGCACCCGGCCTAAGTTGGGTAGGTTTTTTAGCTCCTTCAGGATACAGTGCCTCTCCTCCCTTAGCAGGTCTAGCATTTTCTTAATGGGGTTATGTGTGACTTGACCTTAGTTATTGGTCTGTTAGACAGGTGGAAAAGTGCAGGTAGATCTGAGGAGAGCGTGTGTTGCCTTGCAAGGCAGATAATACTTCTTGATCTTCAAGCAAGGGGGTGGGGTGCTAGTTTCTTGAGGGAGGAGTGGGACACTTCTACAAACCCAGAGCACTCAAGGTGATGTGGGGTTTTAAGGTTCTCAAGTGCATTGACCCAGATGCCCCATCTAAAGTGTCAGGGTCCCACTTCTCAACTATGCCCCTGACCTTGGTATAGTACACTCACTAGGGCTGAAAACCTTTTTGGCGTTCTTCTGCTCTTATAATTAAATCCTGAGCTTCATCTTCCGCTTTTTCTGCCTTATGCAGCTCCTACTTCCTTTATATGCTGCTAAGGAGGCACACTGGCTTTCTTCCTTAGCCTTTAATTGGTGATTCATCATCCTCAACCTTTCATTGTCTTTCTCCAAAGCACAGGTTTACTCCATCAGTAGCCATCCAATTTCATTGTTCTTAAACTACTATTTGCCCTATATTGTTAAAATGCCTGATAGATTGCACCTACGAGTGCATTGTTCCACTGAGGTTACATCCCACCCATTCCAGCTCTTCACCATTGCTGAAAGTTTTAACATCGTACTGCTATGGCACGCCGGGGCCTGTCAGGGCTTCCCCTGTGGACCTTACTGCTAACTGGCCAGGGGAATGATTCAGCTCCACTGGATCAAACCACATTCATGGGACGTTTTTGTCCGTTTGTTTTGAGACAGGGTCTTGCTCTGTCACCCAGCCTGGAGTGCAGTGGTACAAACATGGCTCACTGCAGCCTCTACCTCCTGGGATCAAGCAATCCTCCAGCTTCAGCCTCCTGAGTAGCTGAGATGACAGCTGCTCACCGCCATGTCCAGCAAATTTTTTTATTTTTTGTAAAGATACGATTTTACCATGTTGGTCAGGCTGGTCTTGAACTCTTGGGCTCACGCGATCCACCTGCCTCAGCTCCTAAAGTGCTGGGATTACAGGTCTGAGCCATGGTGTCCGGCCACACTCATGGATTTAATTGCCCTTGGAATCAACACCGTGCAGGAAAGGAGTAGGATTGAGCAGAAAAAGTTGAACTAAATGTAGTTACAGCAAATGCCTCAGCTTCCGGATCCTAAGGGAGCTCTGGTGCCAGGAGAGCCCTTCAGAGCAGCCCCACCCTGAGCCCTGCATCTGCCAGTCAGTGCAGACGGACCTGGTGAGAGGCAGCTTTCTTCAGCTGAAGGCAACTCCTGGAAAGGGATTTAGCTGATAGGTGTTGACAAGTAATGCGCCCAGCAGCTGAGGAAATGAGCACCTTAGTCCTGAAGAGTGGTGTGCTCTTTGGTATGCTGGGATGGTTGGTTGTGCCAGTGGAGATGGGGGTGGTGGGCAGAATGAAGGGAATACTACTGTAAAAGCTTTTTATTTTTTATTTATATTTATTCATTTATTTATTTTTTAAGACAAGGTCTAACTCTGATGCCCGGGCTGGAGTGCTGGAATGCAATGACACCATCACAGCTCACTGTAGCCTTGACCTCCTGGGCTCAAGCGATCCTCCCACTTCAGCTTCCCAAGTAACTGGAACCACAGGCACATGCCACCATGCCCAGCTAATTAAAAAAAAAAATTTTGTAGAGATGAGGTTTCGCCATGTTGCCCAGGGTGGTCTGGAACTCCTGGGCTCAAGTGATCCACCCACCTTGGCCTCCCAAAGTGCTGGGATGACAGGCATGAGCCACGGCTCCCAGCTTGGAACAAAACTCTTCGAAGAAAAAATTGGCAGAGCTTGTTGCCTGACCAAAAAACAGAGGCTGAATGAGAGAGATGCATTTAAAACAATACGAAACACTAAGGGTTCCCTGAATACTGTTGGACAGTGCAAAATGGGGGAAGTTAGGATACAAATCTAATTCTGTTCTACTGTAAGGCTCATGCCTTTTCACTAGACTAGTGCTGGTCAAACTGGTGTTCCATGGGCTACATTCAGACAGCAGACGTATTTTGTTTGGCTACACAGCATTTAAAAAATGTAAATTGGCTGCCACTATGTAAAAATTGGAAGAGTTTATATGTAAGTTCAGATCTCTAGCTTCTCTTGAGTAACTAGAAGATCTAGCAACACTGGGTCAACATTCCTGCATGGCAGTAACTGGAGTTGAGTGACAGATACTCTTTAAATGGAGAGAGTATCTCTTATCTGGATAAATGGAGGTGGGTATATGCTTCTTAATTCACCACAGTCTCTATGCATTACCTTCTTTGGCATTTTTTTTTTGAGATGGAGTCACTCTGTCGCCCAGGCTGGATTGCAGCAGCACAATCTAGGCTCACTGAAACCTCAGCCTCCTGGGTTCAAGCAATTCTCCTGCCTCAGTCACCCTAGTAAGTAGTTGGGATTACAGCCATGTGCCACCATGCCCGGCTTTTTTTTTTTTTTTTTTTTTTTTTTAGTAGAGATGGAGTTTCACCACATTGGCCAGGCTGGTCTCAAACTCCTGACCTCAGGTGATCTGCCTGCCTCGGCCTCCCAAAGTGCTGGGATTACAGGCATGAGCCACAGCGTCCAGTCTTCTTTGGCACTTTTGTTTAGCATTCCTGCCATATGTACTATGTATGGTCTAACAAAGTACATAATACATAACAGGCATTTGGGTACTTTTATTTTTATTTATTTTTTAGAGACAGGGTCTTGCTCTGTTGCCTAGGCTGGAGTGCAGTGGCGAGATCACAGCTCACTGCAGCCTTGACCTCTCTAGCTCAAGTGATCCTCCCACCTCAGCCTCCCAAGTTGCTGGGACCACAGATGCACACCACTATGCCTAACTAATTTAAATAATTTTTTTTGGTAGAAGCTGGGATCTCACTATGTTGCCCAGGCTGGTCTGAACTTCTAGGCTCAAGCAATCCTCCCACCTCGGCCTCTAAAAGTGCTGGCATTATAGGTGTGAGCCACCACGACCGGCCCATTTGGACACTTAATACTGGTTCAGCAGAACTGAATGAATTTAATTGGAGAGGAAGTTGGGGTGAAGTCTAGGCCTCTGACTATAATGAGAGGTTTGGCACTGAGGGGAGGCAACAGAACAGGGAGTACAAATTAGGATGAATTAATGACATGCTGGCAGGAGCTTGAGTAAAGGAAGAAGAGCAGAGGGCCAGGGCCTGAAGTTTGGGTGTCTTACCACAGAGCTAAAGAAGAGTGGGCAATGGTAGACTAAACTAGAGAAGAAGAGGAGAGAAAGGCACAGAGGAACTTCAGCAACGGAATGCCAGGGAAGGCAAGGGAGCTGAGGGTTTGGGCAGTTGCATCCAGTGTAGGGAAGAAGATCAGGGAGATAGACAGGCAAAAAGCCATGGCAACAAGGAAGTAGTTAGGGACTTTCAGAGGAAGTATGAGAAAAGGAGAGGAAGGTCATAGGTCTGAAGTTTAGCAGTGCAGTAGGGGGCACTGGAATACTATCTTGGGGGTATGAGTGAGTGCTTTTTCAGGGGTCCTACTTGGGAGAAACATAGATAGACATTCATTTAATATTCATCCATTTCTTTCCAGCATAGTCATCATTCTGACATCATCTAAAAGAAATTAGTATCTGCATTGCATCCTTAAAGAAGAAGGGACAAAAGACATGTCCAAACTGTCTGTCTGTTCTAGTGGAATAAAACATTAATTTAATATGTATTTTGGACAACCACCAACCTAGAGATTGGAAACTTTTCTCAAGGATATATCTCTCTGTATGTGGGCTACTGGCTTTGTGGCTTTTCTGTAGGAAAATTAAAATTCTAGTTTTGTTCTCCCTTATCACCCAGTGTCTGTGTGGCTTAACTGGCTGATTAGCGCGTGCTTGGAATGTGTAAATTCATTTTAACATTGGCCTAGGGGCCTGTGTGGTAGCTCACCCCTGTCATCCCAGCACTTTGGGAGGCCAAGGCAGGGGGATCACTTGAGGCCAGGAGTTCCAGACCAGCCTGGGCAACATAGCAAGACTGTGTCTCTACCAAAAAAAAAAAAAAAAAAAAAATTAGCCAAAGCAGGGTGACACTCACCTGTAGTCCCAGCTATTCAGGAGCTTGAGGTGGGAGGATCACTTCGGCCCAGGAGTCTGAGGCTGGAGTGAGCTATGATTGAGCCACTGCACTCCACTGCACAGAGTCAGACCTTGTCTCTGAAAAACAAAAACATTTGCCTAGGTAAAATGTATCGAGGAAGACAAATTTTAAAATTACTCATTCCAGGCCAGGTGCGGTGGCTCACACCTGTAATCCCAGTACTTTGGGAGGCTGAGGTGGGCGGATCATGAGGTCAGGAGTTCAAGACCAGCCTGGCCAATATGGTGAAACACCGTCTCTACTAAAAATACAAAAATTAGCCGGCTGTGGTGGCGCATGCCTGTAGTCCCAGCTACTCGGGAGGCTGAGGCAGAAGAATCACTTCAACCGGGAGGCGGAGGTTGCAGTGAGCCGAGATCGCGCCTCTGCACTCCAGCCTGGGTGACAGGGTGAGACTCTGTCTTAAAAAAAAAAAAAAAAAATTAGTCATTCCAAAGTCCAATGTCAGACATAGATTATCCGTTGTTTTGGATGTAATCCTCTTCCTGGAAAACTGGCACAACCCAATTACACATGAAATCCTTTCAACTCTGGTATTGGAGGTATAGGGAAGGACTTTGTTTTAGGAGACCCATAGTCTACCTCTATTGTTCTAGGAGTTAAACCACGTTGGTTTACATCCTGACTTTGCCACCTGTCAACTCAGACCTTGGGCAAATCAAAGGTCTGAGGGAGGAGTGCAGGCTCCCAGCGTTCCCACGGGGGTGGGGACGTGACGTATTCATCAGTTCATGAAGTTAATGATATGTATTGAAAAGGTTTGTTCAAGGATTTAAATAAGACGATGAATATATTGAATTAATAATGAATGCAAGGCCTTAAAGGTGTTTTGAGGGTGGTGAAACTTGAATCTCTCATCAACTGTGCAATAGTTATATTAACTTGGATGGCTATGAGTTTTGCAGAGGAAAGCTGGGCTTAAATCCCAATGCTAGACCTGGTGGCTAGACCTTGATTGCCACCGGGTCTAGCATTGGGATTTAAGCGACCTCTAAAAAAAAAAAATCACGGAATCTCTCTTTGGCCTTCCTTTTTTGTTTCTCAGCAGTCTACCAAGCTACGAAGAACCTGAAAATCGGAGGTCGTGTACCTTATTTTTTCTGAGAGCTTAAGCTGAGAGCACAGCCTCCCCAGGAGATTAGCGGCAGAGATCCGCGCGCTGGGAGAAAGGCTAGCCCCAGGGCGCCCTAACTTCCAACTCCGGGAGCAATCCAAACCCGGAGGCCGGCGGGGGAGGGGACAGCTGTAGGGGGCGGTGGGGATGGGAGTGGATGCTCCCGGGTCAGCTCTGGCACTCGCCAGCTGAGCCCAGCGCCAGTCTAGGTGAGCCCCACGGCGGTGAGGGACGCTCGCCAGACGGCCCAGAGGAGTTAGATGACGTCACCTCCAGGAGGACTCGCTTTTTCATTAATGAAACCGGCCGGCGCGGGCGCATGCGCGGCAGGCCGCCTTCCCTCTCGCTTCCCCCTCCCCTTTCCCAGCCGCGCTCTCAATCTCTAGCTCGCTCGCGCTCCCTCTCCCCGGGCCGTGGAAAGGATCCCACTTCCGGTGGGGTGTCATGGCGGCGTCTCGGACTGTGATGGCTGTGGGGAGACGGCGCTAGTGGGGAGAGCGACCAAGAGGCCCCCTCCCCTCCCCGGGTCCCCTTCCCCTATCCCCCTCCCCCCAGCCTCCTTGCCAACGCCCCCTTTCCCTCTCCCCCTCCCGCTCGGCGCTGACCCCCCATCCCCACCCCCGTGGGAACACTGGGAGCCTGCACTCCACAGACCCTCTCCTTGCCTCTTCCCTCACCTCAGCCTCCGCTCCCCGCCCTCTTCCCGGCCCAGGGCGCCGGCCCACCCTTCCCTCCGCCGCCCCCCGGCCGCGGGGAGGACATGGCCGCGCACAGGCCGGTGGAATGGGTCCAGGCCGTGGTCAGCCGCTTCGACGAGCAGGTAACCGGCCCGTGGCGGGCGGGAGGTGGGAGCGGAGTGGGGGTGGGGACAGAGTAGGTGAGGGGAGGTAGGAGCGGCCGCCTCCCCCGCGGCTGCCTCAGGCTCTGGAGGAAAGGAAGGGAAGGGAAGAGAAGGGAAGGGGGGATAAGTGGGGGTGGCCAAGGCGGGAGGTGAGGGGTAGGAGGGGACAGCTGGGAGCTTGGGCACCCTTTCCCTCCTAAGTCGGGGGGTGGGGCCTTGTCCCTGACCAGCCTCCGACCCTCCATCCCCTTTATCCCAGCCCTTCCGCTTGGAAATGGGGATGAGTGACCTGGGGGCGCCTTTAGGGGCGCGCCATCTGGATTTAATAATTACCCCCTTACTTTTGTTTTTGAGCAGAGGTGGGTAACGTTTAGGGGTTCTCTCTTCCTCTTCCCTCCGTGACCCTCCTAACTGGGGACGAGCGAACCCTAAGGCCTGTCTTATATACCCTCAATAGGAGAACGATAACATTCCGCCCCTCCCCCAGTTTCTTCAGCTTCCTCTCCTGGAGGGGGAAGAGCAGAAGAAAGCAAGGAAGGCACAGGTTTTCTTACTTTCTGCTCCATCGTCTCATCCTGCCCCGAGAGCTTCAAGTGCACACTCACTGCACATCTTTGTGATGCCCTACAACGTCGTCCCCCATATCCTGATGACACAGACTGCCTTTTTTTTTTATTGCCGTTTGCAGTGGAAACCGTGGTTCTGAAATATCTTCCCCTTCCTTGATAATTGCAGTCTCTTCCCCCCCCCCTTTTTTTTTTGCCAGCGGTCTGAGGATGTGATGCATTCTCGAGTGAGAATGTTGGGGAGTAAAGGGGAGAAGGGTGAAAGGAAAGTGAGAAACTGCTTCAGAGCCACCGACAACAGAGCAAAGCCAGCTGGGATGTGGTCCTGGAGCGGATCATTCTGCTAGTGTTTGTGGTTGTTTTTGACTCTCTCCTGGTTGACAAGAGAACTTTCATTGAGAATATTTGGGATGAAAAAAAAGTTTTGTAGCTTGAGGAGGTGACTTTTTATCGCCTGAGTTTCACACAATAAATCCTGGGGCTGATTAGAATAAATGCACACATAGCCTTTTGTCAGTGGAAATTGGTTTAACTTTGTGTTGCTGTAGGTAGTTGGGGATGGTTTAAGGGATGCTTTCTGCAGCTGTGGGTGCAGTGGGCTTCCTGTGATGGGGGAATTGTTTAAGATTGAGTCAACCTATTTTGTTTACTGGATATAATGGTAAAACATTATGGGAGCTGAAGGGGTGGGGGAAGAGCTCTTCTGTTATTTGATGCATAAACATTTCTTTACGGGACTCAGCGTTTCAGACCTACCTGGAAAATATCTTGGAATAGACAGAGGAAGTTGAGAAGAAGCTATGTAGATAAAATAGAGTTATGAAGCTGTCAGAGACTTGAAGGAATTGTTTTATCCATTCGTATGCTTCCAGACCCAAAGGCATCTAAACTAAACTACTAATCCATCTGAAGTATAATGTTACTGCATATAAAAGATTACATTATTGATAGAGCGTTAGATTTAAAACTTGGTAGAAAAGACTCTGTAATTTTAAGAAAGGATTTAAAAGGCACATAGAAGACTTCCAAAGCTGAACCTTGTGGACAGCAGAATCTGGATGTAGGAAATTGAAGGATCCACGCCGCAATTCTCCTTAAATTTTAAAAATTAAAAATTTTTTTCAGTTTTTTCTTAATTTTATTTTTTTACTTCTTACCTGTTCATCTCTAGGCTTATTTGCCATATTGGAAAAAGATACTTAAGAGAGGAATGATTTTGGGCTGGGCGCGGTGGCTCACGCCTGTAATCCCAGCACTTTGGGATGCCAAGGCAGGTGGATCACCTGAGGTCAGGAGTTTGAGACCAGCCTGACCAACATGGAGAAACCTCGTCTCTACTAAAAATACAAAAATTAGCTGGGCATGGTGGCGGGCGCCTGTAATCCCAGCTACTCGGGAGGCTGAGGCAGGAGAATTGCTTGAATCCGGGAGGTGGAGGTTGCAGTGAGCTGAGATCACACCACTGCACTCTAGCCTGGGCGACAGAGCGAGACTCTTGTCTCCAAAAAAAAAAAAAAAAAAAAAGGAGGAATGATTTTGATTATATACCCAGTAAAGCAAGAAAGTGTTTCTCCTTCTGTCCCTAGCTTTAAAAGACCTTAAGGCTTCGTTGTTTGTTATGCATATTGTGGAATCAAACTCACCACCATCTGTTAAAAATTAAGGACATTAGTTTTTAAAACAGCATTTTTCTGCATTCCTTATGTTGTAATTAAGAGAAAGATATATAGGAGAGATTATTCCTCACTTTTTTTTTTTGAGACAAGGTCTTGCTCTGTCGCCCACGCTGGAGTGCAGTAGCTTGATGTCGGTTCATTGCAACCCCTGCTTCCCACATTCACGTGATTCTCCTGCTTCAGTCTCCCAAGTAGCTGGGATTACAGGTGTGCACCATCGTGCCTGGCTAATTTTTGTATTTTTAGTAGAGACGGGGGTTTCACCATGTTGGTCAGGCTGGTCTTGAACTCCTGACCTCAGGTGATCTGCCCCCCACCCCCTGCTCGGCCTCCCGAAGTGCTGGGATTACAGGCATGAGCCACTGTGCCTGGCCTATTCCTCACATTTTTCTCTTAGAAAGTTAAAGTCTCTGACCTTGAGATACAAAAATGTAAGGGTTTTCAGTGTTTAACATAAGGTACTTATATATATTATATATAGTATATATATAAAATAAATTAATATATTAATTTATTATATAAGTGATAAATGTTTAATTCAAATTAGAGTTCACCTTACGGTTGAAAATGTCTTTTAGTCAGAAAACTGAGGCATGGGAAGGTTAAGTGACATAGATCTAATAAGAGCTTCAGTATGAAAAGTAGTGAATGCTTGACCATCAGGGAGATACTTTTCCTAAGTATCCCATAAAATTTGTTCTAATCCATTAAATATATTTAGAAGACTTTATTTTATTTTTTTTATTTTTGAGACGGAGTTTCATGATTCTTGCCTAGGCTGGAGTGCAATGATGCGACCTTGGCTTACTGCAACCTCTGCCTCCTGGGTTCAAGTGATTCTCCTGCCTCAGCCTCCCAAGTGGCTGGGATTACAGGCGCCTGCCACCACTCCTGGATAACATTTGTTATTTTTAGTAGAGTGCTGAGATTACAGGCGTGAGCCATCGCTTACATTTTTATTGAGGGGAGAAAAAGCCCTGCATGTACTGAGAGATAGTTGTATAAGAATCTTAAGAGTTGGCCGGGCGCGGCGGCTCACGCCTGTGATCCCAGCACTTTGGGAGGCCGAGGCGGGCCGATCATGAGGTCAGGAGATCGAGACCATCCTGGCTAACACAGTGAAACCCCATCTCTACTAAAAATACAAAAATTAGCTGGGTGTGGTGGTGGGTGCCTGTAGTCCCAGCTACTTGGGAGGCTGAGGCAGGAGAATGGCCTGAACCTGGGAGGTGGAGCTTGCGGTGAGCCGAGATTGCGCCACTGCACTCCAGCCTGGGTGACAGAGCGAGACTCCATCTCAGAAAAAAAAAAAAAAAAAAAGAATCTTAATAGTTTCAACTGTTTATAAAACTTTTGAATTTTGGATTATATTATCTGTACTTTGCTTTACTGGGCCCAGGGGGAGTTAAGCTTTCCTTCTTATTACAGCTAAGAGTTTGCCTGTTGGACCACTTAACGCCCCCAGGGAGCATGTGCATGTCTAAAGATGGCAACTCTGTTTATGATTGCTGTTTTGGTTGGATTTCTAATATTCGGTGTGATTAAAGCAGAAATGCATTTCTAGCCACTGCTGATTACAGACATATTGCACTCTGATGGGTATCGCTTAGCAACTTAGTGCAGTAGACTCAGTTAAAAGAAGTGGATGTGTGCCATATTGACATTTTGAGCTCACATTCTTGTGGGTAATATAAAATTCCTTAACCTGATAATATTGCAGCTAAACCTAGTATTTAGGGTCTAAGTTGAATGAGTATTACCAATTTTAGAAGTAATCACCTCCTTGGTTAGGGAAATGACAGTTGCACAGGTGGACAGCCAGAAAGCTGAATGTTATCAGTTAAATCTTACATCTCTCCTTAACCTGCCTTCGTGGTGCCAAATAGCAAGTTTCTAATTGAAACTGACAAATTGTAGGTGTGTAGCTTTTTTTTTTTTTTTTTTGAGACAGAGTTTCGCTCTTGTCTCCTAGGCTGGAGTGCAATGGGGAGATCTCAGCATACTGCAACCTCTGCCTCCTGGGTTCAAGCCATTCTCCTGCCTCAGCCTCCCAAGTAGCTGGGATTACAGGCGCCCACCACCACGCCTGCCTAATTTTTGTATTTTTAGTAGAGACGGGGGTTTCACCGTGTTGGCCAGGCTGGTCTCCAACTCCTGGCTTCAGGTGATCCACCTGCCTTGGCCTCCCAAAGTGCTGGGATTACAGGCGTGAGCCACCACGCCCGGCCATGTGTAGCTTTTAATTGTGGTTCATTAACCCAGTTTCTAAGCAAATTAGAACCTTCTGTGTATCTCCCCTAGTTCTGTATGCCCCACTGGTTCCTGTAGAGCTTTATTTCTGAAGGGAAGTATGGGAAAACTATGGATATTTGAACTAAAAAAAAAAAAAAAAGAATTAAAAAGAACTCCATCCCAAAATGATTTGTTGTAAATATGTTCATTTAAAGCAATTATATTTTCCATATCTGATCAAGCAAAAGTAGTACATAAAAGCCAAAAAACCCAATTTAAAGAATATGTTATGGAATAAACTCTGATTTTAGAGGTTGTAGTAGCATATTTGTTGTTCTCATACATTGAGTGTTCATCTGAATGTACGTTGAATATGCGGTGAGTGATTCACAGTATAAAATGATTGGCAAGTATCTTCGAAATTACAAACCACATACTGATTAGACAAATAGATTTGCAAAACTGAAGCTTTTTGGATTTAAAAAATATCTCCTAGCCTCATTCTTCAAGCCTGGTGTGTAATTTTTATAAGGCCTTATAGTAGTTGAAAATGAGTACTCTTTTATGGTGACGAATTCTTTATGGTGAGTGAGAAATAATGCTTATTCTTCCAATTTTAGTATATGTGGTGCTGAATCGAGCACAATAATGCTTATTCTTTGCTTCGGAATTTTTTAATTTATTATTATTGTTATTTTAAATTTTTATTTATTTATTTATTTTGAGATGGAGTCTCACTCTGTCGCCCAGGCTGGAGTGCAGTGGCGCGATCTCAGCTCACTGCAACGTCTGCCTCCTGGGTTCAAGCGATTCTCCTGCCTCAGCCTCCCAAGTAGCTGGGACTACAGGCGCATGCCACCACGCCCAGCTAATTTTGTATTTTTAGTAGAGACAGGGTTTCACCGTGCTAGCCAGGATGGGTCTGAATTTCTTGATGTCGTGATCCACCTGCCTTGACTTCCCAAAGTGCTGGGATTACAGGCATGAGCCACCGTGCCCGGCCCGGAATTCATCCTTTAGAAAGATTTCTTCCAGCTGTTCCTCAGTTCTCTGCACTCCCTTACACTTTCCACCTTATCTGTCTGGGAACTAATTTAGTCTTTATGTTGGCTGCTTTCTTTTCACTTTTCAGGCTAAGATTTCCTTTCTCTTGGAAATCAGACGTTTACTTGGTCCTGCAGCTCTCTCTCTGTGGACCAGTCTTTTTTGTTGTTGTTGTTGCCAGATACTCACCGCCTCTACTGTTTATCCACCCATTTCCTTTATAACTCTGAAAAGTAGCTCCTGCCTCTGCTTGATTGCTGTTTTCTTGAAAGTGATTACTTCTGGCAAAACATAGTGGTCATTGCTTAGTTGTAATGCCACTGTGATGTTCCACTCCCCCCGGAAACCAATCTCTTCCAGTTCCCAAGACACAATACTTTTCTACTGAATTGGAGTTCCTTAGCGGGGGTCTTAGTTTTGTTCTGCTATTCAGTGCCTTTGTCCCTATCCTAGCCATTAGCTTTCCTATAGATCCTTGATTTCCTCATCTGTTGAAAAAGAAATGGCTAGAAAATCTTTTAGATTCTTTCAAGTTTAAATATTCGATGATTTTAATATTCTAACAGCATGTCTCTGTGACCCAGCAGTCTATTGGGAGCTGACCCCACTTGATTTACCAAACTCTTTCCCATTATGCCTCTGCATGCACCTATGTTCCAGGCAGGTCACCTCAGTCTCTTCTGTGTGTATCATGCTTCTTCCCACTTCTTGGCCTTTATTTCTGCCAGTCTCTGCCTGAATGCTTTAATTCCTCCTTTGTGCTTTTCTAATTCCTGTCCATCCTTCAATGTTCAGCTCAGATTTCATTTTTTTTTTTTCCCCATGAGGTTGTTTCAGACTAAACTCTGCTATCTCACTTCTTGGTATCCTTGTTACCTGGAGTTTTACAGAACCACACAGTAAGTTTTCTTCCTTTAGGAGGATTGTTTGAACACAGCTTGGCTTTGTTTTCTTTTTTTCTTGTCTTTTTATCAAATGGAGTGCATACTTTCTGAAAAGCAAAGAACGCTATTTGAATTCTCTTCTAGTCACCCCAGTGCCCAGCACAGTCTTAAACACACAGAACATTGATGGAATGTTTTTCATATGATTCCTGGTTGAAGGGTAGACTGGCTAAATAAAAAAAGTGGTACTTTTGGCTTTGTTTTACTGAATTTTACTTCCATGTTTGCAATAGCCTAGGTCTGATAAGTGATATTTTAACTAGGAATGAGTAAGAAAATTAGCATAAAGAAGGAATTTATACATATTTATATTTCCTCCCATAGAGCAAACATGTTTTTTGAATCAGGTTTCAGATCTGATCAACTACTTTTGTAATTTTGGATTTGTCACTTACTGTTAGGATATTTTGCAATGGTGTGATAGAATATGAATGTGAAGCACTTTGAAAAGTCTAAAATTTTTCTAATATAAGATTTATATGTTTTCTTTATAGCTTATTATTATTATTATTTTTTGTGTGTGTGACAGAGTCTTGCTCTGTCACTCAGGCTAGAGTGCAGTGTAGCTTATTACTGATTATTGTGTTTTCATTAAATAAGGGAGAGTAGGCCAGGTGCGGTAGCTGATGCTTGTAATCCCAGCACTTTGGGAGGCCCATGTGGGAGGACTGCTTGAGGCCTTGAATTCAAGACCAGGCTGTGCAACATAGTGAGATGCTGTCTCTAAAAAAAATTAGTTGGGTGTGGTGGCATGTGCCTGTAGTCGCAGCTACTCAGGAGGCTGAGGCAGGAAGATCACTTGAACCCAGGAGTTCAAGCATACAGTGAGCCATGATTGTGCCACTGTACTCCAGCTTCGGTGACAGAGTGAGACCCTGTCTTCCAAAAAAAAAAAAAGAGAGCGTGACTAGTCTCTGGATATTCCTTTGTATGTACCTTGGCCAATATATACCTTACTTTAGTATCCATTGACAAGTTCTCTTTTTTCTTCTTCTTCATTTTTTTTTTTTTGAGATAGAGTCTCGCTCTATTGCCCAGGTTGGAGTGCAGTGGCACGATCTCAGCTCACTGCAAGCTCCACCTTCTGGGTTCAAGCGATTCTCCTGCCTCAGCCTCCCAAGTAGCTGGCATTACAGGCACGTACTACCACACCTGGCTAATTTTTGTATTTTTAAAAGAGACAAGGGTTCGCCATGTTAGCTGGTCTCAAACTACTGACCTCAAACAATCCACCTGCCTCAGCCTCCCAAAGTGCTGGGATTATAGGCATAAGCTGTGGTGCTGGTCTAATATTGTTACATTTTATTTTAAATGTTCCTGTTTTTTGCCCTACTCTTTTTATTTGACTTTTTAACCATTAGGAAATTAGATTCTTTTCTCAAATCTGCTTTATTATTATTATTATTTTGAGACAAGTTCTCGCTTTCTCGCCTAGGCTGGAGTGTAGTGGTACAATTTTGGCTCACTGCAACCTCTGCCTCCCGGGTTCAAGTGATTCTCCTGCCTCAGCCTCCCAAGTAGCTGGGATTACAGGCGTGTGCCACCACACCCAGCTAATTTTTTTGTATTTTTAGTAGAGGCAGGGTTTTACCATGTTGGCTAGGCTGGTCTTGAACTCCTGACCTGAGGTGATCCGCCCGCTTCAGCCTCCCAAAGTGCTGGGATCACAGGCTTGAACCACCGTGCCTGGCCCTATTTTTGTATTTTTACTATAGACGGGGTTTTGCCATGTTGGCCAGGCTGGCCTCAAACACCTGCCTCAGCCTCCCAAAGTGCTGGGATTACAGATGCAAGCCACTGCACCTGGCCTTAAGTCTGCTTTTAAAAAATGTTTTGGCTGGGTGCGGTGGCTCATGCCTATAATTCAAGCTTTTTGGGGGGCTGAGGTGGGAGGATCACTTGGGCCTCAGAGTTTGAGACCAGCCTGGGCAACAGAGTGAGACCCCATCTCTACAAAAAGTAAAAAAAACAAATAAAAAAAAAATCAGCCAGTGTGCATTGGTTGAAAGTAAAGAAAAGAAAAAAAACAGACAAATTAGCCAAGTGTGGTAGTATATGCTACTTGGGAGGCTGAGTCAGGATTGCTTGAGCCCAGGAAATTAAGGCTGCAGTGAGGCATGATTGCACCACTGCACTCTGGCCTGGGTGAGACCCTGTCTCAAAAAAAATTTTTTTTTTTAATATGGAGAAAGTATTTTTGTTTTTCGTTTTTTATTTGGGTACCGGCCACTGCACCCAACCAAACATTTTGTCCTTAAACAAAAGTTTAAGTCATATAATACAGTAGTAAGAATGCCTTATTTTTTACATCTTTGTTCTTTAAATTACTCAGATTGCTATGGGGCATTTTTGTTGTAGCTTTCAAATTTGGTATTCTGGGGTTCTATGTAGACTCTATATTGTTGCATTCTAACGACATACTTTTAAGGATAAGCAGCGTATTAATTAAAAATGTGTTTTCCACTTGTGTTCCTTAGGTCTGCGTATATTTTGGAGGTGTGTGTGTATATAAGTCAAGGGACAGGAGGTATCGGAAGGCTCTAAAGGAAGTTTAAGGAGGAGAATATTCTATAGAAGTGGAAGGGGAGATTTGTGGTCAGCTTAAACTGTTAAAAGGCTTGGGATCAATACCGAAGCAGAATATGAGCATCTTAATCTGTTTCTTTGCAAAGGATTGACTTGTATTTATAAAAGCATTGGCTTGTTTCATCTGACATCTTTTAAAGTACCCCATTTTCTTGGGGGCGGGAAGGGAGAGATGAGACCATTTGTTTTGATCTTGAAGGACAGAAAAGTGGTTTTACGTTGTAGTGACTGTGAATTAAGTTTAAGGTCTCAGCAAGTTGTAAATTTCTGTATCATACTATGTGGTAGAGCCTTCAGTAAACAGAGTACTCTCAGGTGTTTAATGCTATAGGATATAAACTATAACTGCTGTTTATAGTACCCTCGCTAAATTCTCTTAAAGGCAATCCATTTGACCACTTCAAATGTTATATGCCTGTGATATATAGTTATATTCTCTGCATATAACTGGTTTTTAAAAATTGTTTATTATTCATTTATTTTAGAAGTGAGGTCTCTCTTTGTTCCTCAGGCTGGAGTGCAGTGGTGTGATCATAGCTCACCATAGCCTCGAACTCCTGGGCTCAAGTGATCTCCCACCTCCCGAATATCTAGGACTATGGGCGTGCGCCACCATACCTGGCTATTATTTTAATTTTTTTCGTAGAGACAGTGTCTTGTTATGTTGCCCAGGCTGGTCTCAAACTCTTGGCCTCAAGCAGTCTTCCCACCTGGCTTCCCAAAGCACTGGAATTACAGGCGTGAACTACTGTGCTGGGTCCTGAGTGGCTTTTGAGCCACTGACTATATCATCAAAAAGCTTCTGTTGAGACAAAGCCTCAAGCTAGTGTGGAGTTCATCCTACTAAAATGAAGAATTGGCATTATGTTCTAAAACTTTACATATTCTTACCATAAATGGTACTAATTACTTTGCAGTAGCAGTAACTTGAGGTGCAAACTTCCAGATTGCATATTTTCTTTAAACCATAGTCTGGCACTCACGGTTTGGCTTAGGGTTGCCACTGCAGTCCACAAGCTGTCGCCTGCCCTTATTCATATTTTATAGCTTTGAATGTCTTATTCCATTGAACTTCAGATAACTTTTTTTTTTTGAGATGGAGTTTTGCTCTTGTTGCCCAGGCTGGAGTGCAATGTTGTGATCTGGGCTCACTGCAACCTCTGCCTCCCAGGCTCAAGCGATTTTCCTGCCTCAGCCTCCCAAGTAGCTGGGATGACAGGCATGCGCCACCATGCCCAGCTGATTTTGTTTTTTTAGTAGAGACAGGGTTTCACCATGTTGGTCAGGCTAGTCTTGAACTCCCAACCTCAGGTGATCCTCCTGCCTTGGCCTCCCAAAGTGCTGGGATTACAGGCATGAGCCACCGTGCCCGGCTGAGAACTTAACTTTTTCTGATGAAATTCTTTCCTGCTCCACCTAACTCCCGTGTCCCACCCCCACCAGCAGAGTGGTATATCTAGCACAAGAGGCATGAAATTAATTTAGTAAATAGCAGGACTACTAGAAACTTTTAAGGATTATTTAACTTATTTTTAATCAAAATTTTATACTCAGATAATGACCTTTTGGGAAGTTATGTCTCTTAATGATCTCAAGTGGTGACACTTTTCTGTTGACACGGTTTCTCTTGGGTAGTTCTCATAGTAGTTTGGGCATGAGAAAACAACTTTTACCACTTTAGACTTGTGAGGGCAGCCTACTATGTAGTAAAAGAAAAAGCTTTTGATTGTGCAACTTGCAGTGTGGTCTTGGGGAAGTCTCTTAACCTCTCTGAACATCAGTTTTCTATATTTTCATGTGTAAAATGGGCATGATACTTACCCTTCTCACATCATGGGCTTGTTTAATGACTTAGGTATGAATCTTATATGAAAGGAAGCTGTAAACAGTCATAAAAATGTATTAGCATCTGTGCAGTATTTTTTTTCTATCCATTCTTTATAATTTGGTGGTTATTATTTCTACTCTACATGAGAAAAAAGTTACAGAGGCAAAACATGTTCACAATCATATGATTATATAATTAACTGAGTTAAACTAGAGTATGGATGTCTTGACCCTTAGATCACTATCTTTCCAATAAATAGTTTTAAAAGTCTAAATTTTACTAACAGGTAGTACAAATATGCAAAATGAGGGATGTATGATTGCTTCTTCACTCGAAGATGGTATATTATGTTTTTCCTTTTAAGTTCATGTTAGAGTATCTGAATCTTTTCAAGTTGGTTAGATGTTAGAAATAGATGTAAATTTTAAGCATTATATATCCTTGATTTCATTATGTATTATTCTCCTGGTCACTTTATCAAAACTTCTTCAGCTGTTAGAAGTTGTAACATTGTTTCCCTTTTATTTAGTTATATAATACACTTATTGTACATTCTTAAGTGGGAGAATAGAATTTGTGAGAATACCAACAGAAATACACATACAGCTATAAATATGAGATTATGATTCTTTCATGTTGGCATTGCACAGTCTATTTTTGTAAAGTTGGTTTTTATATTCTAAGAACATTTTACTTAGAGTTTGATTACATTTGAGGCAAACTTTTCAACTTTGGTAGTATTTGAATGAAGATTCCTGGATGTGGTTTTTTTAATTGTTACATCTACTTTTTCAGTTTTTCTTTTTCCCTATAACAACCCTCAAATCCTTCATCTTGTCTTTTGGAGTATTTTTTTCTATCCTCCTGTCTTTATCGGTGCCTTCTATTCCTGTCCCACCTTGGGTCTGGGAAAATGTGCCTTTATGCTCCATGTGAGTCTTCTTCCTTTTGGGTAATGAGTGCGGAGGGAAAAAAAGCACAGTATTTCTTTCCCTGTTATGTTTCAGTTTTTGGCCTCTGATAAGTGAATCTGGAGTAGGGAATGACAGTGATAGTAGGTTTTGTTTTAGTCATATATTGGCGACAAAGATCAACGAAGACCTGAAGCTCTTGTTCCTCTCATGACACAAACTACCCACAGGTGCATGCCACCATGCCGGGCTAGTTTTTAAATTTTTTGTAGAGACGAGGTTTCGCCATCTTGCCCAGGCTGGTCTTGAATTCCTGGACTCAAGCGATCTTCCCACTTCGGCCTCCCAGAGTGCTGGGATTACAGGCATGAGCCACCGTGCCCAACCGAGATTCTGTCTCTGAAAAAATAAATAAATAAATAAAATAAATACATAAAAATAAAATAAAAACATTTGAAGACATCTTAAGTACACCCTAGATTCCCACCCCCACCAAAAAATTTCATTCATTCTTCAACCATTTCTCAAAGAACATGTTTTCAAGACACCTCACTATCCTAATTGTTTTCCTTTTGGTGCAATGGTGGTCAGTACTCAGGCATACCATTTTTTATCTTTCCTCCCAATGTTGTATGAGGGCATTATATGAAACTTAAATGGATTTAAAAATGCTGAGCTTGCTGGACATGGTGGCTCACACCTGTAATCCCAGCACTTTGGGAGGTGGGGGAGGGAGGATTGCTTGAGCCCAGGAGTTTGAGATCAACCTGGACAACACAGCTAGTATGCACAAAAAAATAAAAAAAGTAGCTAGGCGTGGTGGTGCATGCCTGTAGTCCCAGGTACTTGGGAGGCTGAGGTGGGAGGATGGCTTGAGCCCAGGAGGTTGAGCCTGCAGTGAGTGGTGTTTGTGCTACTACACTCCAGCATGGGTGACAGAGTGAAACTCTGTTAAAAAAAAAAAAATGCTGAGCTTCAGGTACAGTATATTTTTGGTATGCATTTGATTACCAGTACAGTATACCTATCAAAAATGTTAATTCACATGTTTTAAAATAAAAAGTTTCCAACATAAAAGTAGAGAGTTTTTTTTTTTTTTTTTTTTTTTTTTTTCTGAGACAGAGTCTCACTCTATTACCCAGGCTGGAGTGTAATGGCACGATCTTGGCTCACTGCAACCTCTGCCTCCCAGGCTCAAGCCATCCTCTCTCTCAGCCTCCCGAGTAGCTGAGATCACAGGTGCACACCACCACGCCTGGCTAAATTTTTTGTATTTTTTGTAGAGACAGGGTTTTGTCATATTGTGCAGGTTGGTCTCGAACTCCTGACCTCAAGTGATCCACCCGCCTCAGTCTCCCAAAGTGCTGGGATTACAGGCGTGAGCCACTGCACA
This sequence comes from Homo sapiens, assembly GCF_000001405.40. NCBI lineage: Eukaryota > Metazoa > Chordata > Mammalia > Primates > Hominidae > Homo > Homo sapiens. The sequence goes on from NC_000017.11 coordinate 31,108,571, forward strand.
TGGCCTAGAGAGATGTTATAAATTAATCCTTTTGTATCCATTACTCAATTTCTCCCTAGTCTTATTTCATCCGTATTCCTACCCATTTCCTGCTCACTACCTCTTTATTATTTTAAAGCAATCCTATATATCATTTCAGCGTGATTTATTCTTATACTGACTTTAAGAGCTGTGTAATATAAAAACAACTCAATTAGGAATCAGAAGACTTGACTTTAAGTCTTAACTTTCTACTGGAATGAGTTAACAGGGGGGCAAGCCAAGCTGTATGAGCCCTGAATTCCTAATATGTTGAAGAGAGTAACACGTGGTGGAGGGGACATAATGTTACCTGCACTTTTTCACAGGGATCTATGAGAATCAAAGATAGGAGGTAATATGCATGAAAGTATTTTGTCTACTCTAAACTCAAAAGCAAAAGTGCTTTACAAAGGTAAGATTTTATTAGTAAATGCTGCTTCCCTGTATAAGTGCTAACAACTCATGCCTAATCAGTCTTAGAATTATCTGGATGCTGACATTAAATTAAGTCCATAGTATTAAAATCACCCTTTCACCTTTACCCACTCTTGGATTTTGACAATTGCAACAACATTTTCTCATTCCCAATCTGGCTCCTGTTACTTTTCATGACTTCTGCAAGTTCACTGACCACATTTCTCTTACCATATTTCTAAATTTTCATCTGTATCTTGGATTCATGTACACTTGAGCTCAGGTAAAACAGGGAGGTGGGCTCTTCATGCTTTATGTATCTAAGTTCTGATGACTCTCAGCAATGCTTTTTTTCAGATTTGAAGATCATTTTCTTTTTTTTCTTTTTCTTTTTTTTTTCTTTTTTGAGTCACTGTCACCCAGGCTGGAGTGCAATGGCGCGATCTCGGCTCACTGCAACCTCCGCCTCCCAGGTTCAAACGATTCTTGTGTCTCAGTCTTTCGAGTAGCTGGGATTACAGGCACCTGTCACGATGCCCGGCTAATTTTTGTATTTTTAATAGAGAAGGTGTTTCACTGTGTTGTCCAGGCTGGTCTCGAGCTCGTAACCTCAGGTGATCCTCTTGCCTCGGCCTCCCAAAGTGCTAGGATTACAGGCGTGAGCCACCATGCCTTGGCCTCATTTTATTTTCAACTAGAACAATTAGAAATAAAAATTGAGTTGAATAGTTCTGCTTTTAATGACCTATTGGTGCTGGAATCATGGACTCTAGTGATTCTTGTTCTTCTTTCCTCATCTTTTTGATCCTAATGTATTTTAAAAGCCTTTACATATTTTTGTCTTTAACATTTCTAGTTATTCTGAACTTTTGTTTTAACTCTTCTGTTAATTTATCCATTGTGTGTAGTGTGTATTTTTTCTTAAATGTCCTTATAAATACTGAGCTGTGGGGGAGGGGAGAGGAGGAGCAACTGGTGCAGGCACGCTAGTTTCTTTAGAAATGTCAGCTCTGCCAGATCACTTAAGACTTGTTAAAAGTACAGATTTCCTGGCTCTACTAAACATCGTGTGATTTCTAGAGGTCCCAGGTCATTTTTGACATAAAGCTGGGTTTGTAAACCACTGCTGTGTGATATACAGGGAGAATTTAATTTCTGGGTGGTATTTAATAGGTCACAGTACAGTCATATATATCACTGCAACAAGTTAGAAAACCACAATTGGATGAACTTTAAAAATCAATACTAAAAAAAATATTGGAGAGCTATGGATGTAATGAGGACTAGATGAATTAGAATTCCAGAAATAGAAGAGATCTTTATAGGTGAGCAGAGGATTGCTGACATTTGCTGATTCTGGACACACACTGAAGGAAAAGGAAACTAGAGAGGAAGTGCATTTTACTAAAACTGCAACATATCCCTGGCCCAGTTCAATTCCTGATTGGACTGAGGTGATCAGCCTATCTTATCCCTTTTGCCTAATAGAGGAAATAGACAGCTCTTACTGAGGAGATATATTCTGGGGTTTCTATGGTTCTTTCGTTTATAATACTATCATACTATTAACTATTCTAGAGATGTGAAAGGGTGGAAAAATTCAAGAGAAAAATAAAACTTATAGAAGCAGACTCAGAAAATTGAAGTTCATCAGACAAAGACTTATTTTAAAATAACTATAATATACTTAAGAAAATAAAGGAAAATACGGAGAAAATGGATGAAAATTTTCATAGAGAATTGGAATCCACAGAAAGAAACCAAATGAACATTCTAGGAATCAAAAACACAACGTTGGTTGCTTAAGGTCTTTATTTGTAGTTTAATTAGAAACTTTGGCGCAGGACTCTAGGACACTCCACCTCCCCCTCATTCTTTACTGTTCTTAAAAAACAAAAACAAAAACAAAAAAAACCCAGGTAAATTTAATGTATACTATTTAAGTTCCACGAGAGCAGGGCCTATGTCTGTTTTGTTCGTTGTTGTACTCCCAGGGCTTAGTATAGTGCATGCCACATTAAAAAACAAAACAAGACAGAACAAAATCTTCCTTAACACCACCATCACAAACCCCCCCATTAATAATTAATTGACATTAATCTGAAATTAATTATTCATTGTACCGGTTCAGTAGCAGACTATACACAGCAGAAGGCAAGACTAGAGAGCTTGTGGACAGATCAATAGAAAATATCTAGATAAAAGCACAGAAAAAAAAAAAAGAATGGAAAGAGTAGAACAGAGCCTCTGAGACATGTGGAACATTAGTAAAAAGTCTAATGTGTAATTGGAGACCCAAAAGTAGAGAGATTAGCATGGAAGCAAATACTTGAAGAGGTAATGATAAAATATTTTCCCAAACTGATGAAAGGCATCAACCTATAAATTCAAGTAGTTTAGCAAACCCCAAGCAGGATGAACACAAAGAAAACTACACTTAGCATATCTTAATGGAACTGTTGAAAACCAGAAACAAAGAGAAACGCTTAAAAGCAGCCAGAAGAGGGGAAAAAAGGCACTGTGTTCAAAGGAACGATATAATACAACTGATGGCTGACTTTTTAATACAACTGTGGAAACTGGGAAATAACAGACATTTTTTAAATGTTGGCAAAAAAACCTGCCAAGCTAGAATTCTACCTTCAGCAGAAATATCCTTCAGACAAGAAGGCGAAATAAAGACATTTTTAGACAATCAAAAGCTGACAATTTATGACCAGCAGACCTGCACTGTAAGATTACTGAAGGAAGTTTTTTAGGCAGAATGAAAATATCTCAAATGGAAGTACAAAACTGTAGGAAATAATGAAGAGCACACACTCGGGTAAGTGTGTGAGTAAATAGACAAGACCTATTGCCTCTTGTTTTTATTGCTGTTTTTAGGAACTTTATTGCTTTTTGCTATTCTAGAATAATAGAATTTCCACAGCTTTTAGGTTAAGGTAAAATTGCCATCCAATCAATAAACTGCACATATTTAAAATGTATAATTTGATGAGTTTTGATATACATATAAGCCTTTGATACCATCACCACAATCAAGATGAAGAACATATATTACCGGCAAAAGTTTTCTCCAGCCTCCTTATAATCCATTCCTACCTCCATCCCATCCCTAGGGAACCCTTGAGCTGTTTTTGTCTCAGTGGATATATCATAAGTTGTTTATCCATTCACTTGTTGATGGATAACTGAAGACAACTCAAATTTTCACCATTACAAATAAAGTTGTCTTGAAGATTCATATACATGACTGTCATTTCTCTTGAGTAAATACAAAGGAGTAGAAATGGGTGGATCATATGGTGGATGTATATAATAATGTTACAGGATATTATATTCTGTAATATTTTAAGAGGCCACCAAGCTGTTCCTAAAGTGATTGTATCATCTTACAGCAGTATATGAGAGTTTCAGTTGTTCCACATCTTTGCCAACACTTATTTAACCTTTTCTTTTAAATTACAGCCATCCTAGTGGGTATGAAGTGGTGTCTCATTGTGGTTTTGATTTGCATTTCCCTAATGACTCATGATATTGAGCATCTTTTCATGTGCTTATTTACCATCTGAATATTTTCTTTGGTGAGCTGTTTATCTCTTTTGCCCATTTTTAAAAAATTGGGTTTTACTGGAGTTTTCAGAATTCATAATATATGCTGAATACAAGTTCATCAGATAAATGATTTGCAAGTCTTCTAGTTTTTCCTTGTTTTTTTGTTCTCAAAGTCTTTCAAAAGCAGATGTTCTTAATTTTTCTGAAGTCCACCTTATCAATTAAAAAATAGATCATGTTATTGGTATATCTAAGGTATCTTTTTCTAATATAAGGTCACAAATTTTTCTCCTCTGTTTTCTGTAGAAATTTAGGATTTATACTAACGTTTGTGGCTCATTTTTAGTTAATTTTTGTATTTGTGCTATGTGCCTGTTATGCCAATACCACATAGTCTTAACTATAAAAGAGCTTAACTATATAAACTATAATAAAATATCAAGTCAGGTAGTATAAGTCCTCCAGCTTTCTTGTTTCTCAGAATTGTTTTGACTAGTCTAGGTCTTTTGTTATCCTTGTATGGTTTCGGATTGGCTTGTCAATTTCTATTAAAAAGCCAGTTTTGATAGAGATTCTGCTGAGTCCATGGATCAACTTTGGGAAGATTGCCATCTTAACAGGTATTGTTTTTTAGTTTCAATTTTTGATTGTTGCTAATATATAGAAATACATGGATGTTTATTGATCTTGTTTGTTTTTATTTAGGCCATAGATTTTTTTCTTTTTCTTTTTAAAGACAGGGTCTTGCTCTGTCCCCTAGGCTTCATAGCTCACTTCAGCCTTGAACTCCTGAGCTGAAGTGATTCTCCCAAGAAGCTAGGACTACAGGTACATGCCACCACGCTCGGCTCATTTTCTTATTTTATAGAGACAGGATCTTGCTGTGTTTCCCAGGCTGGTCTCGAGCACCTGGCCTCAAGCTGTCCTCTCGCCTCGGCTTCCCAAAGTGCATGAGTCACTGAACTTGGCCAGGCCGTAAATTGTTTTGAGACAGGGTCTTGCTCTGTTGCACAGGCTAGAGTGCAGTGGTGCAATCATGGCTTACTGCAGCCTTGACCTCCTGGGCTCAAGTGATCCTTCCACCTCAGCTTCCTCAGTAGCTGGGACTGTAAACACTCACCACGATGCCTGGCTAATTTTTGTAGAGACAGGGTTTCACCATGTTGGCCAGGCTGGTCTCAAACTCCTGACCTTAGGTGATCCATCTGCCTCGGCCTCCCAAAGTGTTTGACCACTCAGCCTTTATACAGATATTTCATCTTCTTTACAAGAAGAAAAACACTCTAAGCTCTTGCCTAAAAAGATGAAAATGTTCTTTGTAAAAATGAGGATGTCCTTACCCTCTTCCCAAAATGAGGAGCAGAGTCTCATAATTGTATTGATTTCTGGGGGACATTCACACTATCTATTTCTAGGCTGTGTTAATTATGCCTCAAATTCATAGTTCCTTCTGAATATCCTGTTACCTAGGGACTAAATTGTAAAGTTAACCTTTAATAAAGTTTGAATAACATAGAGAAGAAGAGGGAAGGAATTGATTTATAAACTTGCCCGTTTCCCTGTAATAAGGAAGAAAATATGTATAGCTGCTGTAGACCTTGCTTCTGTAACTGGTTGAGAGATTGTAGTTCATATTTATAACTACTTCTGCTGTACATTCCATGTTTCCTTTGTTCTCATTCAAGATCTCAGCTGGTGGGGTAACCTAAATCTTCATTAATAAAGAATATGGCTTTGGGAGGCTGAGGCGGGTGGATCACGAGGTCAGGAGATCGAGACCATCCTGGCTAGCACAGTGAAACCCCGTTTCTACTAAAAATATAAAAAATTAGCTGGGCGTGGTGGCGGGTACCTGTAGTCCCAGCTACTCAGGAGGCTGAGGCAGGAGAATCGCTTCAACCCAGGAGGCAGACGTGGCAGTGAGCTGAGATCACACCACTGCACTCCAGCCTGGGTGACAGAGTGAGACTGTCTCACAAAAAAGAATAAAAAAAAAAAAGAAAAAAAGACCATGGGCCGGACATGGTGGCTCACGCCTGTAATCCCAGCACTCTGGAAGCTGAGGTGGGCAGGTCACAAGGTCAGGAGTTTGAGACCAGCCTGGCCAACATAGTAAAACCCTGTCTCTACTAAGAATACAAATATTAGCTGGGCGTGGTGGCAGGCGCCTGTAATCCCAGCTACTTGGGAGGCTGAGGCACAAGAATCACTTGAACCCGGGAGGTGGAAGTTGCAGTGAGCCAAGATCACACCACTGCACTCCAGCCTGGGCGACAGAGCAAGACTCTGTCTCAAAAAAAGAAAAAAAAGAATACAAATCTTTGGTGGTCCTGCTTCATGTGTGTGCATGCCTGTGGCTGTGGTTTTCCATTAAGTTTTGCTCTTATATATATAGGTTTAGAAAAACATTTCAGGGAATCCTCAGGGTTCCAGACATAGTCCTCTTTGTCCCCATTATGTAGCAACAGTACAGTATCACCTAGTAATAGGACTGAATTACATCAGCTAATAGAATAACCCCCTTCTTTGACTGTTGATGTAGTGCGGTGGTTCTTAGGACAGTTTTACCTCCCAGGGGACATTTGGCAATGCCTGGAGACATTTTTAATTGTTATGACTTTCGTGGGGGTGGGGGAATGCTACTGGCATCTAGTGGGTAGAGTTCAGGGATGCTGTCAGGCATCCTGAAATGCACAGGACAGCCCCCAAGAGTAGAGACTGATCCAGTCCAAACTGTCAGTAGTGCTAAGATTGAGAAATTCTGATTTAGTGGTATGGAGGCAGTGGTCATGAGGTAGTTGTTACTTCCAGTTCAGTGGAACTGTGTGGAATCATTCCCTGCTTGGGAACCAAGGCCTCCAATCCAGCAGATATCAAAGTCGTAGGTACTTGAAACAAAACTTCTGCTAATGGAATTTTTAGGAATAATAGAGGAACTACTTCTACTTGTGCCCCTTGATTCTCAGGCCTTTGTATTCTAGCTATGGGGAAAACAATATTGTATATTGCTCATTGATCCACTGTAACTGAGTGAGTCTTCAGTAGTCCATTCTGTTAGACCAGCTGCTTCTGGGTGATGGAGTATGTGGTAAGACCAGTGATTTCCAAGTTCCATAACCCATTCCTGCATAACCCTTTTTCTGTGAAATGAGTACCTTGATCAAAGTCTTGTTGAGTAGTATACCTTGATGATGAACAAGGTGTCGCCCATGTCCTTGATGGTGATGCTGGCAGAAGCACTGTAGGCAGGGAATGCATATTCATATTCAGAATATGTTGGTGCCAGTGAGGACAAATTCTTGTCCCCTCCATGTATGTAGAGTTTTTGTTTTGTTTTCTTTTTTTAAGGTATGGTATTATCCACTGTCATTAATATTTTGGAGCATTTTACTTCCACATTAAAAAAGATCAAAATAGGTAATAATTATCTGACCAAGAAATGTTTTAAATAAATTGTAGACTTATGACAGCTATATCATCTATCTAAAAACCTTGGAGTAACTGTAAAATAGTGACTTTTGAACTGTAGACTTTACTCATGCAGATATCTCACTAATTTTGTTGAAATCTACCAGATAGAAATCCATTGTTATGGGTTGTATGGTTGAAAACTTTTTAGGCTGTCATTTGTTTCAAGATACAGATTGACTCGGTATACTTTAACATTTCTCATAGTTGGCCAAATTTAGGTAAAACTATTTAATTTCATTGAACGTTTTAGGGAAAATGCCTGAATATTAATAGAGATAGGATGAATTAAATTAAAGAACTTACCCTTTGAAAAATTGCCAGGGTTAGCAATTTTTATGCTAACCCTGCATAAAAATTGTGCGTGGTGGTGTGTGGAGTGGTGTATATGTTTCAGAGAAATAATATAAATGTTCAGATAAGAGTATCTGCGTAATCTAACTAGGACCTGTCTAACCTACCTGCTTAAGGATAGAGGAAATCTTGAGAGACTTGAAATTGAAGAACTTAAAATTTTAAGTCTTCCCTTTCAAGGCCCTATCAAAACATCATGACCACATCTTTGAAATAGTTACTTTTATCACTCAATATAGTTAGAAAATTTTATTTTTAGAACTCCAAAATCATTTTATTTTATTTTATTTATTTATTTTTTTCGAGACGGAGTCTTGCCCTGTCGCCCAGGCTGGAGTGCAGTGGCGCCATCTCCGCTCACTGCAAGCTCCGCATCTTGGTTTCACACCATTCTCCTGCCTCAGCCTCCCGAGTAGCTGGGACTACAGGTGCCCGCCCCCATGCCCAGCTAATTTTTTTGTATTTTTTTTTTTTTTAGTAGAGACAGGGTTTCGCTGTGTTAGCCAGGATGGTCTCGATCTCCTGACCTCGTGATTCACCTTCCTCGGCCTCCCAAAGTGCTAGGGTTACAGGCATGAGCCACTGTGCCTGGCTCATTTTATTTTTATTATTATTTTTTGAGATGGAGTCTCACTATTGCCCAGGCTGGAGTGCAGTGGTGCTATTTTGGCTCACTGCAACCTCTGCCTCCTGAGTTCAAGCAATTCTCCTGCCTCAGCCTTTGGAGTAGCTGGTACTACAGGCGTGCCGCCACGCCTGGCTAAATTTTTGTATTTTTAGTAGGGATGGGGTTTCACCATATTGGCCAGGCTGGTCTTGAACTCCTGACCTCAGTTGATCCTCCTGCCTCAGCCTCCCAGAGTGCTGGGATTATAGGTGTGAGCTACCGTGCCTGACCTCCAAAACCGTTTTTATTAATTATATTCTTTATTAAGTATATGTTTGATAAAGACAAGCATTTTTCCTTTTTTCACTGTTACATTCTTTCTGTTTAGAATAGTGATTTGCGGCCAGGCGCGGTGGCTCATGCCTGTAATCCCAGCACTTTGGGAGGCTGAGGCAGGTGGATCATGAGGTCAGGAGATCAAGACCATCCTGGCTAACAGGTGAAACCCTGTCTCTACTAAAAATACAAAAAAAATTAGCTGGGCGTGGTGGCGGGCTCCTGTAGTCCTAGCTACTCGGGAGGCTGAGACAGGAGAATGACGTGAACACGGGAGGCGGAGCTTGCAGTGAGCCAAGACTGCGCCTCTGCACTCCAGCCTGGGTGACAGAGCAAAACTCCATCTCAAAAAAAAAAAAAAAAAAAAAAAAAAAAAAAGGAATAGTGATTTGCACATAGAAGGGACTCAATAAATATTTGTTGAATGAATGAATATATGAAATAAAATCTTCCATGCTCTTGAAGAGAAGTATTTGTCATGTGACTGGTCTTATATGGCAGAATGTCCCTTGTTTACCATTCCTATTCCCTTCTAACCAAATCATGATATGTATTTTTAGGTATTCTTTGGCATTTCTTTTTGAACACCTGGAAAAATGCTAAAATATGGTTTAAAACTCAATGTTTGTGAATTAGGCTGTTAGGTGCAGCCTGACTTAAGGGATAAGGGCTGAATTATAGAGAAATTGAATTATGCTTTCAAATATGGTACGCATATGAAAGTAATACATGGTTGTTTTTTAAACTAGGTTAAATGTGGTAAATGCACTCTTTTAATTTAGTGTTTTATTAAATTTTGGTATATGTTGTGTTATAAGCATAAAAGTTTCTGAAAGAATTTTTGTGCCTAGAAATTGTGGGAATTGTTGCTTTCTTTAACTTTTGATTTGAAACAATCACAAATTACACTGGATTCTTAAAAATGTTGTAGGATCTTTAGGGAGCTCAACTGCAGTCCAGATGCTGATTTTTTTTTTTTTTAATACTTTAAGTTCTGGGATACACGTGCAGAATGTGCAGGTTTGTTACATAGCTATACTCGTGCCATGGTGGTTTGCTGCACCCATCAACCTGTCGTCTACCTTAGGTATTTCTCCTAATGCTATCCCTCCCCTAAACCCCCACCCCGCAACAGGCCCAGTGTGTGATGTTCCCCTCTGTGTGTCCATGTGTTTTCATTGCTCAACTCGTACTTATGAATGAGAACATGCAGTGTTTGATTTTCTGTTCCTGTGTTAGTTTGCTGAGAATGATGGTTTCCAGCTTCATCCATGTCCCTGCAAAGGACATGAACTCATCCTTTTTTATAGTTGCATGGTATTCCATGGTGTGTATATACCACATTTTCTTTATCCAGTCTATAATTGATGGGCATTTGGGTTGGTTGCAAGTCTTTGCTATTGTGAACAGTGCCGCAATAAACATAGGTGTACATGTGTATTTATAGTAGAATGATTTATAATCCTTTGGGTATATACCCAGTAATTGGATGGCTGAGTCAAATGGTATTTCTAGTTGTAGATCCTTGAGGAATCGCCACACTGTCTTCCACAATGGTTGAACTAATTTACACTCCCACCAACAGTGTAAAGGCATTTCTATGTCTCTCTCTCTTTTTTTTTTTTCTTGAGATGGAGTCTCACTGTGTTGCCAGGCTGGAGTGTGGAGTGTGGTGGCATGATCTTGGCTCACTGCAACCTCCGCCTGCCAGGTTCAAGTAATTCTCCTGCCTCAGCCTCTCCACTAGCTGGGATTACAGGTGTGTGCCACCACACCCAGCTAATTTTTTGTATCTTTAGTAGAGACAGCGTTTCACCATGTTGGGCAGGATGGTCTTGATCTCTTGACCTTGTAATCTGCCCGCCTCGGCCTCCCAAAGTGCTGGGATTACAGGTGTGAGCCACCGCGCCTGGCCTTAAGAGTTCCTGTTTCTCCACCTCCTCTCCAGCATCTGTTGTTTCCTGACTTTTTAATGATCGCCATTCTGACTGGTGTGAGATGGTATCTCATTGTGGTTTTGATTTGCATTTCTCTAATGACCAGTGATGATGAGCTTTTTTTCCTGTGTTTTTTGGCTGCATAAATATCTTCTTTTGAGAAGTGTCTGTTTATATCCTTCGTCCACTTTTTGATGGGTTTTTTTTTTTTCTTGTAAATTTAAGTTCTTTGTAGATTCTGGATATTAGCCCTTGGTCAGATGGAGAGATTGCAAAAATTTTCTCCCATTCTGTAGGTTGCCTATTCACTCATGATAGTTTCTTTTGCTGTGCAGAAGCTCTTTAATTTAATTAGATCCCATTTGTCAATTTTGGCTTTTGTTGTCATTGCTTTTGGTGTTTTAGTCATGAAGTCTTTCCCCATGCCTGTGTCCTGAATGGTATTGCCTAGGTTTTCTTCTAGGGTTTTTATGGTTTTAGGTCTTATGTTTAAGTCTTTAATCAATCTTGAGTTAATTTTTGTATAAGGTATAACAAAAGGGCCCAGTTTCAGTTTTCTGCATATGGCTAGCCAGTTTTGCCAACATCATTTATTAAATAGGGAATCCTTTCCCCATTGCTTGTTTTTGTCAGGTTTGTCAAAGATCAGATGGTTATAGATGTGTGGTGTTATTTCTGAGGTATCTGTTCTGTTCCATTGGTCTATGTATCTGTTTTGGTTTCAGTACCATGCTATTTTGTTTACTGTAGCCTTGTAGTATGGTTTGAAGTCAGGTAGTGTGATGCCTCCAGCTTTGTTCTTGTTGCTTAGGATTGTCTTGGCTCTACGGGCTCTTTTTTGGTTCCCTATGAAATTTAAAGTAGTTTTTTCTAATTCTGCAAGAAAGTCAATGGTAGCTTGATGGGGATAGTATTGAATCTATAAATTACTTTGTGTAGTACAGCCATTTTCATGATATCGATTCTTCCTATTCATGAGCATGGAATGTTTTTTCATTTGTTTGTATCCTCTTTTATTTCCTTGAGCAGTGATTTGTAGTTCTCCTTGAAGAGGTCCTTCACATCCCTTGTAAGGTGTATTCCTAAGTATTTTATTCTCTTTGTAGCAATTGTGAATGGGAATTCACTCATGATTTGGCTGTTTGTCTGTTATTGGTGTATAGGAATGCTTGTGATTTTTGCACATTGATTTTGTATCCTGAAACTTTGCTGAAGTTGCTTCTCAGCTAAAGGAGATTTTGGGCTGAGACGATAGGGTTTTCTAAATATACAGTCATGTCATCTGCAGACAGAGACAGTTTGACTTCATCTTTTCCTATTCAAATACCCTTTATTTTTTTCTCTTGCCTGATTGCCCTGGCCAGAACTTCCAATACTATGTTGTATAGGAGTGGTGAGAGAAGGCATCCTTGTCTTGTGCCGGTTTTCAAAGGGAATGCTTCCAGTTTTTGCCCATTCAGTATGAGTATACCTATGTAACAAACCTGCACATTCTGCACATGTATCCCAGAACTTAAAGTATTTAAAAAAAAAAAAAATCAGCATCTGGACTGCAGTTGAGCTCCCTAAAGATCCTACAACATTTTTAAGAATCCAGTGTAATTTGTGATTGTTTCAAATCAAAAGTTAAAGAAAGCAACAATTCCCACAACTTCTAGGCCCAAAAATTCTTTCAGAAACTTTTATGCTTATAACACAACATATACCAAAATTTAATAAAACACTAAATTAAAAGAGTGCATTTACCACATTTAACCTAGTTAAAAAAAAACACAACAACCATGTATTAGTTTCATATGCATACCATATTTGAAAGCGTAATTCAATTTCTCTATAATTCAGCCCTTATCCCTTAAGTCAGGCTGCACCTAACAGCCTAATTCACAAACATTGAGTTTTAAACCATATTTTAGCATTTTTCCAGGTGTTCAAAAAGAAATGCCAAAGAATACCTAAAAATACATACCATGATTTGGTTAGAAGGGAATAGGAATGGTAAACAAGGGACATTCTGCCATATAAGACCAGTTACGTGACAAATACTTCTCTTCAAGATCATGGAAGATTTTATTTCATATATTCATTCATTCAACAAATATTTATTGAGTCCCTTCTATGTGCAAATCACTATTCTTTTTTTTTTTTTTTTTTTTTTTGAGATGGAGTTTCGCTCTGTCACCCAGGCTGGAGTGCAGAGGCACAATCTTGGCTCACTGCAAGCTCCGCCTCCCGTGTTCACGCCATTCTCCTGTCTCAGCCTCCCGAGTAGCTGGGACTATAGGCACCCAGCTGTGGGTTTGTTATAAATAGCTCTTATTATTTTGAGATGCTCTCCATCAGTACCTAGTTTATTGAGAGTTTTTATCATGAAGGGGTGTTGAATTTTATCAAAGGCCTTTTCTTCATCTATTGAGATAATCGTGTGGTTTTTGTCATTGGTTCTGTTTATGTGATGGATTACATTTATTGATTTACATATGTTGAGCCAGCCTTGCATCCCAGTGATGAAGCTGACTTGATCATGGGGGATAAGCTTTTTGGTGTACTGCTGGATTCGGTTTGCCACAATTTTATTGAGGATTTTCACAGATGCTGAATTTTTTTCTGGGAAGAATTTACTTTGACTTTTTCATCCTACAAAAATTATTCTGGTTCTGAAGGATGCAGGTGTTTCAATGGTGTCCCATTAATATCCCCAGGCTTAGCACAGTTCTTGCTTGGTTATAATAGGCAATTAAGTGTTGAATGAATGAAAGAATTTTAACTTTATTCTGTGGGTTCAGGGAGCTGTTGAAGAGTATTAAGCAAGTGAGTGGCATGCTCACATGTTCTGAAGAGTGTTTCCTGGTAGTGATATAGAAGATGGATTTGAAGGGACAGTAAAGGCAAGAATAATAATTAAGAAATTGTTATAATAGGGATGATCTGAGCCAGGGTACTCATTATAGGAAATTAGGGGCAACCTTGTCATGAGATTTGTTTAGGAGATGAAATTGGAAGGCTTCAGATGGATGATAGGGGTAAGGAGGAAAGGAGGAGATTTAAGTGAATAAGAGTTGAGGAGAGGGAGGAGTTGTAAATGACAAGTTTCTTGTTTATTGTTTTGAATAAAGGGGAAAATTGTTTTCAGTTATTCATAAAGGACTTAAAAATGGGCTTTGATCCCAAAAGTTGTTTTGAAGTTATTTCCTGCTTTATCTTTGGAGACCCTTCTTCCCACCCCCACATCAAAGCAAATGCCCTCAACTGCTTTAGATGCAGTCTTGCATTGAAATAGGTATCACATTGTTTTATTTTGCTTGAATGGGTGCTGTTGGCTTAAACATCTAATTGCATCTGCTTTGTCTTCTTTAGTTGTGTCTACTTATGGGCCAAAAGAGCATTTCTACCTCTGTAATTTCATTTGCATATTGGTTTTCAGATAAATTGAAGATTAATTATATGAAGTATATGGTTTGTAATCTCAATTGAAGGTGAATTTTTTATTTTCCTGGTTGAATATAATGGAATCATTTTGGTATGGAGAAGAAATGGTTAAAAATAGACCAGTGGGTCATCTCAGTGTGAAAGTCAAGAGGACTTCTAGGCTTAAGCCTGGTAGCTAAATTTCTGTTGGCTCTACCCTCTTCATGATGAGTCCAAGTTTATTTTGATCTGCATCTTTCTTTTTTTTAATGAATGAAATTCTCCTTCATTCAGCCTGGTAAGTAACCTGGCCATTAGTACGTGACTAAATAGCTGAAGCTTCTGGCTTGAATTAAGTTATAAACTTAGCACAGTGGCAGGTGCTTGAACTGCCATGTTAAAACTAGCGCATAGAATCTTTGCCATTCAAAAACTGTTTTCTCAATCCCATGAAGGAGATGAAGCCTACATGGGAATCTTCACTGATTGTGCTGACTTTTCTTCTACAATTTTTAGTTTATAACATGTATAGTTTGTCAATTGTGCTAGGATATTTTGTTAATATGTTCTTAAAAATTCAAATCCCAGGGGTAAACATCAAATAATTTAATTGTGCCTATTTGACTTTATGGGAGAGTTAACAACCATATTTATATATATGGTTAAATGTGTATAATCTTCATTCTCAATCTTTCAGAATCCTTATTTTCCATTTTCATTTTTAGCATTAGCTGCATTATTTCTTTATACAACTAGGAAAAGGGATTATTCAGAAATTTGGTTGATGGCTTTTTATTTTGTAGAGACAGGGTCTGTCTCTGTTACCCAGCCTAGTCTCTAACTTCTAGTCTCAAGTGGTCTTTCCACCTCAGCCTTCCTAGTGTTGGGATTACAGGCATGAGCCACCGCACTGGCCAGATGGCATTTTAAAGAATAATGTTAGGAAAATAATTAATTTTTGCAAGTGAAGATAGTTGAAATGTTAGCTAAAATGATGACCTAGAGGCAGCTTGTTTTGGTAAATATCTTAGTCAGTTTAGGCTGCTATAACAAAATACCATAGATTTGGTAGTTTATAAACAACAGAAACTTACTTCTCACAATTCTAAAGTCTGGGAAATCCAAGAATAACATTCCTTTAAGCAAGGTTGAATGTACCAGCTTGGGCGATAGTGGCAAGTAGCCTCCTATTCCATTTTGTTCTAGAAAGCATTTTTTCTCTTTTCTATTATTTTTGTCTCTTTATATGTTTATGTGTTAGGGGGAGAAGGAGAGAGAATATTTTTATATTTTTCTTTTGGGGGGATATTTTTATTTTTAAATTATAAATACTTCTAATTTGCAAAGGATCCCAGAAATAGTTGAAGCTGTCTTTAAACCCCTCTCTGATCCCATTCTATCCTTTCTGTTAACTACTATTCTGAAGTTAATTTGTACTCTGTCCATTTTTATCCTTTTATTACATATGTTTGTGTTCATAAAAAAATTACAGTTTAACATTTTTACATAAAAAATGTTCTTGTAAATATTCTGCAATTTGCTTTTTTAAATTTTATTTTTTATTTTTAATTTTTTTTTGCAGAGCCAGGGCCTTGCCTTGTTGCCTAGGCTGATCTCAAACTCCTGGCCCCAAGGAATCCTCTTACCTTGGCCTCCCAAAGTGCTGGGATTATAAGTGTGAACCACCACTCCTGGCCTTGCAGCTTGCTTTTTAAACCTATTCTAAGACTTGCTCCCTATTTATACATGAGTATTAAGTTAACTCATTTTAACTGCACGTATAATATTCTATTATCAGTATGTCAGTTTATCCATTTCTGGTATAGAGGAACACTTAATTTGTTTTCAGGGTTTTTTTTTTTTTTGCTTGTGTTTTTGTTTTATTATAAACAATGCTTCAGGAAGCATATATTTGTATTCTTGAATTTTTTTTTTTTTTTTTTTTTTTTGAGACAGGGTCTCACTCTTGTCGCCCAGGCTGGAGTGCAGTGGTGCGAACTCGGCTCACTGCAAGCTCCGCCTCCCAGGTTTATGCCATTCTCCTGCCTTAGCCTCCTGAGTAGCTGGGACTACAGGTGCCTGCCACCATGCGGGCTAATTTTTTTTTGTATTTTTAGTACAGGCGGTGTTTCACTGTGTTAGCCAGGATGGTCTCGATCTCCTGGCCTCATGATCTGTCCGCCTTGGCCTCCCAAAGTGCTGGGATTATATGCGTGAGCCACCGTGCCTGGCCTTGAATTTTTATTTGACTTAAAACATACTGTGAAACTTGTAAGATTATGTGAATCATGTTTGTACAGTTTATACTTAAAAAAAAAAAAACATGGTGAACTCTTATCAATTCACAGAGTAAAAAACAACATTCCCAATGCTGTGGAAACACCTCTATGGCCCAAATCACAGTTCTTTTCTTACCATTCCCCCTACCACTATCTTGAATTGTATTTTAAAATTTCCTTTCTTTTCTTTATGTCTCCATGAACAATGTATTGCTTTGTTTACTTATTTTGATTTTCATGTAATGGAATAATACTGTAAGTATTCTGATTTCTTTTGTAAGCATCATTTTTCTTTTGAGCGTTAATCTATGGTATTGTATGCAGTTCATTCAGTTTTACTGCTATACATTAGTTCATTATTTGTATATATTGTATATATATATATATCTGGGCTATTGATGCACATTTGGATTGTTTCTAGTTTTTTGCTATTACTAAGAATGCTGCTTACGAACATTGTTATTCATGTCTTTTGTGCACATGCAGGAATTTGAAGTATATGTCTGGGAGCAGAATTTTTCATTTTATGGGGTATGGGTTTGTTTAGCTTTACTAAGTAATGCCAAATTTTTCTAATTTTTAAAAATTTTTAATTAATTTTTTTTTTGAGATGGAGTTTCTCTCTTCTCCCCCAGGCTGGAGTGTAATGGCACGATCTGGACTCACTGCAACCTCTGCCTCCTGGGTTCAAGCGATTCTCCTGCCTCAGCCTCCTGAGTAGCTGGGATTACAGGAGCGAGCACCATGCCCAGCTAATTTTTGTATTTTTATTAGAGACGGGGTTTCGCCATGTTAGCCAGGCTGGTCTCGAACTCCTGACCTCAAGTGATCTGTCCACCTCCGTCTCCTGAAGTGCTAGGATTACAGGCGTGAGCCACTGCGCCTGGCCACCAAATTATTTTTTAAAGTGATTGAATCAGTTGACACTCCCAACTGCAATATAGAAGTATTCCTATTGCTCTGTGTCCTTGCCAAAGCTTAGAATTGTTTCTTTAAAAAATTTTATGGGGCCGGGTGCAGTGGCTTACACCTGTTCAAGGCCAGCCTGGCCAACGTGGTAAAACCCGGTCTCTACTAAAAAATACAAAAAAATTAGCTGGACGTTGTGGCATGCACCTGTAGTGCTAGCTACTCGGGAGGCTAAGGCAGGGGAATTGCTTGAACCTGGGAGGCGGAGGTTGCAGTGAGCTGACATCTTGCCATTGCACTCCAGCCTGGGCAACAAGAGCGACACTTCGTCTAAAAAAAAAGAAAAAAAAATTATGTATCTGGTGGGTAAGAAATGTTGTTTCATTGTAATTTGAATCTGTATTTCCTTGACTACCAATGAGGTTTAGTTTCTTTTCGGATATTCATAGAGCATTTGTGTTATTTATTCTGTGAAATGTATTTGTGTTTCTTATTCTGTGAAGTGTCTGTATATACTTTTTGCCCATTTTTCTGTTTGGATTGTTTAATTTTTCCTGATTGATTCATAGCAATTTTTTATGGTTTTAGATCTAATTCTCTTGTTTTTTGAGACAGGGTCTGGCTCTGTCACCCAGGCTAAAGTGCAATGGTGCAATCTTGGCTCATTGCAACCTTTGCTAGGCTCAAGCTATCCTCCCACCTCAGCCTCTTGAGTAGCTGGGACTACAGGTACGCGCCACTGTGCCTGGCTAATTTTTGTATTTTTTGTGGAGATGGGGTTTTGCCATGTTCCCCAGGCTGGTCTTGAATTCGTGAGCTCCAGTGATCTACCCACCTCAGCCTCCCAAAGTGTTGAGATTGTAGATTTGAGCCACAGTGCCTAGCCTAGATCTAATTCTAGATTTGTGTTGCAAATATCTTTTCCAATTTATGATTGGATTAAAAAAAACTTCGGTGATTGAAATTCTTGATCTTACTGCAGCTGAATTTATCAGTCTTCTATGATTTATGTTTTAAAATTTTTTTGTGTCCTATCATTAAGATAATTCTCTATTTTCTAAAAGTTGTTTGCTTTTCACTTTTACATTGAAGTCTCTAATCCACATGGAAAGACTTTTTTTGTAAGGATCCACTTTTATTTTTTTGCCATATGATAACAGATAACTGATTGTTCCAGCCTATTTATTGAGTAGTGCATTTTTTCTCCTGTGATCTCAGTGCTTGCTTGGGTGAATATTAAGTGTCAGTATATGCACAGGCTCAGTTTCTAGACTCTCAGTTCGGCTCTCTCCTCTAGTGCCAGTAATCCACTTGATTATTTGTCCTGATTGTGGTTGCTTTATAATAATTCTTAGTATAAAGTATGGCAGGTCCCCAAAAGACTTATAATAATGCCTTTCCATATTGGTTTTACAGTCAGTTTATTGATTTCCGCAAAAAATGATACTGGGATTTTGAATGGTATTGCATTGAGTCTTTGGATCAAGTTGGGAAGAATTGATTGACATTGTTATGATATTGAGGCTTCCTATTTAAGAACATAATATGACTTTCTATTTATTTTATGTTTTAAAAAATCATTCCAGTTAAGTTTTATAATTTTCTCCTTATATAAAGAACTTCTACATAAAATGTCAGTTTTTCCTAGAATATTTTTATTATTTATACATGATATTTAAAAAGTTATATTTTCTGATTGTATATAGAAATGAAATTAACTTATATTTTGTCTTTATACTTTTTTTTTTTTTTTATTTAAAGAAACGGGGTTTTGCTATGTTGCCCAGGCTGGTCTTAAACTCTTGGCCTCAGGTGATCCTCTAGTCTCAGCCTCCCAAAGTGCTAGGATTACAGGTGTGAGCCACCACATCTGGCCTGTTTTTGTGCTATTACTGACTTATATCTAGATTCTTTGGGGTTATCTATGTAGACAGTGGATGATCTACAAATAGTTGTAGCTTTGTTTCTTTATCTTCAATCTTTTTTTTTCTCTGTGCATCTGTTGAGGGCTTTTAATGTTGAATAGGGGAGATGACATTGGGAAGCTATGTGTTGTTTTTAATTAATATTTTTTTTGTACATTGACCTCTTCTGTACCTTGCACTTCTGTTTTGTTTTGTTTGGTTTTGTTTTTGGAATGCAGTGGCGCAATCACAGTTCACTGCAGCCTTGATCACCTGGGCTCAAGCCATCATCCCACCTCAGCCTCCCGAGTAGCTGGGACCACAGGCGTGTGCCACCATGCCTGGCTGATTTTTGTATTTTTTTTTTTTTTTTTTAGAGATGGGGTTTCATCCTGTTGGCCAGGCTGGTCTCAAATTCCTGAGCTCAAGTGATCCACCTGCCTCGACCTCCCAAAGTGTTAGGATTATAGGTGTGAGCCACTGCACCCAGCCCCAGGGTTGTTGCTTCTTTATTGAGCTTGTCACTCAGTGCCTTTTAACTGGGGCATTTAGCCCGTTTACATTCAAGGTTAGTATTGATATGTGTGGATCTAATTGTGTCATCATGTTGTTAGCTGGTTATTATGCTGACTTGTTGGCATGGTTGCTTTGTAGTGTCACTGGTTATGTACTTAAGTGTGTTTTTTTTAGTGTCTGATAATGTTCTTTCCTTTCCATATTTAGTGCTGCTTTCAGGAGCTCTCGTAAGGTAGGTCTGGTACTAACGAATTCCCTCAGCATTTGCTTGCCTGAAAAGGATCTTATTTTTCCTTTGCTTATGTAGCTTAGTTTGGCCCAATATGAAATTCTGGGTTGGAATTTCTTATCTTTAAGAATGTTGTGGCTGGGTGCTGTGGCTCACACCTGTAATCCCAGCACTTTGGGAGGCCGAGGCGGGCAGATCATGAGGTCAGGAGATCGAGACCATCCTGGCTAACACCGTGAAACCCTGTCTCTACTAAATATACAAAAAATTAGCCAAGCATGGTAGCAGGCGCCTGTAGTCCCAGCTACTCGGGAGCCTGAGGCAGGAGAATGGCGTAAGTAAACCCGGGAGGCGGAGCTTGCAGTGAGCCTAGATCGCGCCACTGCACTCCAGCCTGGGTGACAAGAGTGAGACTCCGTCTCAAAAAAAAAAAAAGGAATGTTGAATATAGACCTCCAATCTCTTCTGACTTGTATAGTTTCTACTGAGAGGTCCATTGTTAGTCTGATGGGCTTTCCTTTATAGGTGACATGTCCTTTCTCTCTAGCCACCTTTAACATTTTTTTCTTTCATTTCTGCCTTGAAGAATCTGATGATTCTGTTTTTTGGAGATTATCTTTTTGTGAAATATTTTGTGGGAGTTCTCTTTATTTCCTGAATTTGAATGTTGACTTCTCTAGCTAGGTTGGGGAAGTTCTCATGAATGATATCCTGAAATATGTTTTCCAAGTTGCTGCCTTTCTCCCCATATCTTTCAGGGATACCAGTGAATCATATATTTAGTCTCTTTATATAATTTCATATTTCTTGGGGGTTTTGTTTGTTCCTTTTCATTCTTTTGTCTTTATTCTTGTCTGTCTTCTTATTTCAGAAAGCCAATCTTCAAGCGCTGAGATTCTTTTCTCAGCTTGGTCTGTTCTACTGTTAATACTTGCGATTGCATTATGAAATTTTTTTTTTTTTTTTTTTTGAGACAGAGTAGTGACACGATCTCAGCTCACTGCAACCTCTGCTTCCTGGGTTCAAGCGATTCTCCTGCCTCAGCCTCCTGAGTTGCTGGGATTGCAGGTGCCTGCCACTACACCCATCTGATTTTTTGTATTTTTCGTAGAGACGGGGTTTCACCATGTTGACCAGGCTGGTCTTGAACCCCTGACCTCATGATTCGCCTGTCTTGGCCTCCCAAAATGTTGAGATTACAGGTGTGAGCCACTGCGCCCGGCCATGAAATTCTTATAGAGTGTTTTTTAGCTGTATGAGGTCGTTTATATTCTTTTCTATACTGGCTATTTTGTCTGTCAGCTCTGTATCGTTTTATTGTGGGTAGCTTCCTTACATTGGGTTTCAACATTCTCCTGAATCTCAATGATTTTCATTCCTATCCATATTCTGAATTCTGTTTCTGTCATTTCAACCATCTCAGTCCAGTTCAGAACCCTTGCCGGAGAGCTAGTGCAGTCGTTTGTTTTAGAGGAAAGAAGATGCTCTGGCTTTTTGAGTCATCAGAGTTCTTGTGTTGGTGCTTTGTCATCTTTGTGGGCTGATGTTCCTTCAGTCTTTGAAGTCGCTGTTTTTTTTTGTTTTTTTTTTTTTATCCTATATGATGACCTTGGATGTTTGTGGTACAAGGTAGGTTCAGTTAACTGGCTTCATTACTGGAGGGGCCAGGGCTCATCTCAGGACTCCCGGAGTACATGGGTCCTCCAACTCTGGGGGACTGGCATTGGGCCCCAGCTTTGTTCTCTGGTTCTTTAAGGTTAGGAACCTGCTGCACTGGAGGGGCCGAGGTGCTCCTGGACCTCTGGTCACAATACTCCCGTGGGTTGTGCCAGCCAAAGTGTAGGGGGTGGCAGTGGAATCAATTCTTGTTCGCATGTGCCAGTAGCAGTGGCAGCAAGGCCACAGGGTGCTGGCCTCCATGTGGGCATTGGCAGCAACAGTGGCAGTAAGGCCAGGGCGGGGGGCTGCTGGTACACATGCACTGGTGGTGGTGTTAGCACAGGGGCAGGGTGCTGGTGGGTGCAGGACTGGGTGTGCCCTCTGTGCACGTTCATGCTGGCTTCAGTGGCCGGTAAGGGGTGGGGGTGGGTCCTCTGTTTTCTCTGCCTAGTTTCATGTTGGTGCAGGGGCTCAGTGCTGGTGGGGATGGCACTGGTGGGCTCTGTACCTGCCAGTGCTCCCTTGACAATGGCCATGGAGGGATAGGCAGGGTGTACTCACGCTGGCTGCAGTGGCATGGGAGGGTGCTTGCACGCATGTGTGCTGGCGGGGAAGGGAAAACAAGGTACACCTGTGCACACGTGTGGGCAAAGCATTTGGAGGGTGGCCATGGGCGAGTGCCTGCAGGCAAAGCAGCATGGAGCAGCCTTCGGTGGGAGGAGGGTATTGGCAGGCTCGTGCTTTTCCACAGGGATCACTGTGGTTGGAGCACTCTGCCTGTCAGCACCTTGTCAGTGCAGGAGCTGGTATGTGGCCCCCCCCGGCAGTACTGCAAGCATCCTGGCCAGGCTGGAGCCCCATGAGAGACCAGCAGACTGAGGGTACTCAGGTCACACCACCCCCACCTTATGGGCAAGACTGCCCTGCAGAGTTCAGGTCTGGCAGTTCCTCTAGGGCTAAAGTCTCCTATGGGAGCAAGTCGAGCCTTGGGGGATGGGCACTCCTGGCCCTGTTGCACTACAGATGCTCCAGCACCAAAACCTCTGAGCTCTGCCCTGGCTGGAGTTCTGCCCCTACCACTTCTCTAAGCAGCTTTCCCTGCCAGCTCAAGTGTCCTTGGTGGTTGAGGGGTCTCCTTGTGGTGGAGGAGTCTCCTTCTGCAGGGATTCCAGAGTCCCCTGGTGAGAGTGGGTTGCTGCTTCCCTGTTCAACTCAACTGCCTCTTCAGGAGTCACTGGGGGCCAGGAAAAAGTCCCGGTGCGTGGTAGCCCTGTGCAGGGTTCCTTACTTCTTCCCTCGTCAGTTCAGCATCTGTGTCTTCCCTCTGTCAGCACTCAGTGCTTTCCCTCTGAAGATCTGCTAAGAGTGTGCCAGTCATCCTGATCCTCTGGGAGATGTTCCTACTGGCTGCAGCTAGTTGGCCATCTTGGAGCCCCCTCCCTGTGGCTTTTCATGATTTCTAATAATTACATTGATGTTACATTCTGTGGGCTGTTCTTATTGAAATGTATAAATTTAACAAATCAGTTGTTGGTGTAAACTTGCTGATATTTTGTTTAGGATGTTTGTATCTATGAGTAAGATTGGTTTGTAATTTTCTTATATAGCTGTTGTCTGGATTTCATATCAAGGTGATTCTAGCCTTATAAAATCAATTGGGGAGTTTATATAATCTATTTAATCTCTGTGTTAACTGAAGTTGTGTCTAATATTTCACCCCTAATGTTTATTTCTTTATTTTTTCATGTTTTTTTTTCTGTTTGTGTATTTCGTTTTTATTTTTTTGAGACAGGGTCTTACTCTGTCATCCAGACTGGAGTGCAGTGGTGTGATCACTGTTCACTGCAGCCTTAACCTCCTGGGCTCAAGCAGTCCTCCCACCTTAGCCTCTCAAGTAGCTGGGACTACAGGCACATGTCACCATCCCTAGCTAATTTTTAAATTTTTTTTGTAGAGACGGGGTCTCACCTTGTTGCCCAGGCTGGTCTTGAACTCATGGGCTCAAATGATCTTCTTTCTTGGCTTCCAAAAGTGCTAGGATTACAGGCGTGAGCCACTGTGGCTGGCCTCAGTGTATTTTTAAAGACTCATTTCTAGGCCAGACTTGGTGGGTCATGCCTGTAATCCCAGCACTTTGCGAGGCTGAGGTAGATGGATCACTTGAAGTCGAGAGTTTGAGACCATCCTGACCAACATAGTGACACCGTTTCTACTAAAAATACAAAAACTAGCTGGGTGTGGTGGCAGACGCCTGTAATCCCAGCTACTCAGGAGGCCGAGGCAGGAGAATCGCTTGAACCCAGGAGGAGGAGGTTGCAGTGAGTGGAGATCATGCCGCTGCATTCCAGCCTGGGCCACAGAGCAAGACTTCATCTCAAAAAAATAAAAAGACTCATTTCTTAGCTTTTTAAACTTTGTTTTCTGTTTTGTTAATTTTGTTGTTACATTTTCTTTCCTTGGGTTTATTCTGCTATGCATTTTTCCCCTAACTTTTTAATGTTACTTATTTATTTATTTTTTGAGACGGAGTTTCACTGTTGTTGCCCAGGCTGGAGTACAGTGGCGTGATCTCAGCTCACTGCAACATTTGCCTCCCGAGTTCAAGTGAGTCTCCTGCCTCAGCCACCCAAGTAGCTGGGATTACAGGCGCTCGCCACCATGCCCGGCTAATTTTTGTATTTTTAGTAGAGATGGGATTTCACCATTTTGGCCAGGCTGGTCTCGAACTCCTGACCTCAGGTGATCCACCTGCTTCGGCCTCCCAAAGTGCTGGGATTACAGGCATGAACCACCGTGCCTGGCCTTAATCTTATGTTTAAATGTGGAAAAATGCACATAACATAAACGTTACCATCTTAACTGTTCCTAAGTGTATAGTTCAGTAGTATTAAGTACATTCACCTTGTTGTGTAACCAATCTACAGAACTCCCTTCATCTCAAAAAACTGAAACCCTTTACTCATTAAACTAGAACTTCCCATTCCTCCATGTTCCCAGCCACTGGAAACCACCATTCTACTTTCTGTTTCTATGAATTTGACTACCCTGGATACCTCAAATAAGTGGCGTCATACAGTATTTGTCTTTTTATAACTGGCTTGTTTCCGTTAGTGTAATGTCTTCAAGGTTAATCCACATTGCAGCATATGTCAGAATTTCCTACCTTTTAAAGGCTGAATAATATTCTGTTATTTGTGTAAACCACATTTTCTTTATCCATTCAGGACATTTGGGTTACTTTCACCTTTTGGTTATTGTAAATAATGCTGCCATGAACATGGGTGTGCAGATACCACTTCAAGACCCTGCTTTCAGTTCTTTTGCATATGTACCTAGAAGTAGGGTTGCTGGATCATATGGTAATTCTATTTGTAATATGTTGAGGAACTGTTTTACTGTTTTCCATAGGTATATGCACTATTTTACTTTCCCATCAGTAGTGCACAAGGGTTCCAATTTCTCCATATCCTCATTTACGTTTGTTATTTTGTGTCTTTTTTTTTATTTTTTTGAGACAGAGTCTCACTCTGTTGCCCAGGCTTGAATGCAGTAGTGTGATCTGGGCTCACCGCAACCTCCGCCTCCCGGGTTCAAGCGATTCTGCTGCCTTGGCCTCCCTAGTAGCTGGGACTACTGGCACCTGCCACCATGTCTGGCTAATTTTTGTATTTTTAGTAGAGATGGGGTTTCGCCATGTTGGCCAGGCTGGTCTTGAACTCCTGACCTCAAGTGATCTGCCTGCCTCGGCCTCCCAAAATGTTGGGATTACAGGCATGAGCCACTGCGTCTGGCCTTATTTCATGTCTCTTTTTGATAGTAGCCATCCTAATGAGTGTTAGGTGGTTTTATGACTTTTTGGTTTTTTTTTAATAGAGGTTTTTGCTCTGTCATGCAGACTAGAGTACAGTATCATGAGCATAGCTCACTGCATCTTCGAACTCTTGGACTCAAGCAATCTTCCTGCCTTAGCCTCCCCAAAGTGCTGGGATTATAAGTGGAAGCCACTGTACCTAGCACGTTTTCTGACTTTTAGAGTTATATTTAAGCTCATCAGTTTTGAATATTTCATTTGATTGTAAGTATTCAAAGTTATAAATTTATTAAATGCTGCTTTAATTGTATCCTACAAGTTTCAATAATTGGCTTTTTATTTTTCAATTTCATATTTCCATATAATGTTTTCAATTATGATTTCTCCTTTCACCTAGAGTGTTTCATATGAATATGAAACATGTTATGGTTTATATGTTACCAGTAATTTCAAATTTGAACTTAGCTTTATGACCTTGAACATATTTATTAGTTATTTATTGTTATGTTATAAATTATTCCCAAATGTAGCCGTTTTGTACAACAAACATTTATTATCACATAAAGTTTCTGTCCATCTGAAATCCATTAGTGGCTGAACTGAGTGTTTCTGGCTCAGAGTCTTTCATGAAGCTGCAGTGACAGTCTTGGCTGGGTCTGTAGTAATCTGAAGGCTTGACTGGGGGTAGAGCATTTGCTTCCAAGTAAATTCACTTACATAGCTTTTGGCAGGAGGCCTCAGTTCTTTGCTGGCCATTTGTAAGAGGTCTCAGTTCCTTTCTACTTGGGCTTCTCCATCTGGCTGCTTGTAATGTGGCAGCTGACGTCTCCCAGAGTGAGTGATCTGAGAGAATCAAAAGCCACATTCTTTCATGATCCTTAGAAGTTACATACCTTCCTGCTTGCCGTATAATATTGGTTATGCAGAACAACCCGAATACCAGATGAGAGAGGATGACACACGGGTGTGGATATCAGAATGTAGGAATACTTGCAGACCATCTTGGAGTCTGGCTACCATAAGCATACAGTCCATTTTTATAAAGTTTTCATGTCTTCTTGAAAATGATATGTAGTCCCAAGTTCTTGAGTGTGATTTTTACATAGGAGTTTGATCAAGTTTATTAAGCAGTTCAACTCTTCTAAATTCTGATTCTTTTTTGTCTGCTAGATCTTACTACTGAGAAAGGTAAGTTAGGAAATCTTTCACTGAATTAGTATGTTTATGCTTTTTTCTTGCAGATGTGTCAGTTTTGTGTGTGTGTTATTAGGTGCATAGAGGCTTACAATATCTTACAGTTGATTTGAGTCCTGTATCATCATGTAGTGCCCCTCTTGATCTCTAGTCCTTTTTATCTTAGTCCACTCCAGTTTTCTCTTGTTTCTATTTGCCTGATAGATCTTTTTCCATTTCTTAACTATCAATATTTCTGTGCCTGTATGCTTTATGTTTGTCTCTTATAAACAGTTCATGGGAAACCAGTCTGATGGTTTTTTTTTCTTCTGCCTGGAGAGTTTAGTTCATTTACATTCATTGTGATGACTGACATCTTTGGATTCCTTTCTGCCATTTTCTTTTTAAAATTTAATCTAATTATTATTACTTTTTTGAAACAGGGGTCTTTCTCTGTTGCCCTAACTTGAGTCCAGTGGTGTGATCATGGCTCACTGCAACCTCTGTCTCCTGGGCTCAAGTGATCCTCCCAGCTCAGCCTCCTAAGTAGCTGGAACTATAGGCATGTGCCATCTTGTCTAGATAATTAAAAAACATTTTTTTTTTTTGTAGGGACAGCATCTTACTGTGTTTCCCAGGGGCTAGTCTTGAACTCCTGAGCTCAAGCGATCCACCTGCCTCAGCTTCCCAAAGTGTTGTGATTACAGGTGTGAACCACCACCCCCAGCTCTGCCATTTTCTTATGTGCCTTTTATTCAACTGTTTCATTTTTTTACCCCTTGAGTCTCAGAATTTACCTCTGGGTTCATTTTACTTCTGCTTGAAGCATATTCTTTAGAATTTCTTTTGATGAGGGTCTGTTGCAGTAATTGCTCTTACTTTCCTTTCTTTGAAAATACAGGGCCAGCGCGGTGGCTCACGCCTGTAATCCGAACACTTTGGGAGGCCGAGGCGGGCGGATCACAAGGTCAGGAGATCAAGACCATCCTGGCTAACGCGGTGAAACCCCCATCTCTACTAAAAATACAAAAAATAGCCAGGTGTGGTGGTGGGCGTCTGTAGTCCCAGCTACTCAGTAGGTTGAGGCAGGAGAATGACGTGAACCTGGGAGGCGGAGGTTGCAGTGAGCTGAGATTGTGCCACTGCACTCCAGCCTGGGTGAAAGAGCAAGACTCTGTCTCAAAAAAAAAAAAAAAAAAAAAGGAAAGAAAATACAGTAGTCTCCCCGCTCCCCCCACAACCACTTATCAGCAGTTTTGCTTTCTATGGTTTGTTGCCCACAGTCAACTGCAGTCTGAAAATGTTAAATGGAAAATTCCAGAAATAAACAATTCATAAGTTTAAAATTGCATGCTGTTTTGAGTAGTGTGATGAAATCTCACACAGTCCTGCTTCGTCTTACTTGGGATGCAAATCATCCCTTTGTCCAGTGTATCCACACTGTGTATGGTACCTGCCTGTTAGTCACTTAGTAGCCATCTCATTTATCAGATTGACTGTCATGATATTGTAGTGCTGTGTTCAGTTAACCCTTATTTTATATAGTAATGGCCCCAAGGAGGAGGAGCAGTGACGCTGGAATATTGTTATAATTGTTCTTTTTTTAAAATTAGTTATTATTGTCGATCTCTTACTGTGTCTTATAAATTAAACTTTTTTATAGGCATGTATGTGTAGGAAAAAAACATAGTATATATATAGGGTTCAGTACTATCCCTGGATTCAGGCATCCACTGGGGCTCTTGGAACTTATGCCCCATGGATAAGGGGAGACTACTGTATCTTTATTTCTCCCTTATTCTTGAATGATAGTTTTGCTGGATATATAGAATTCTGGACAGTTATGTTTCCCTCAGTATGTTAAAGATACTATTTCACTATCTGTCTGCTATCATAGCCATTGAGAATTCAGTTGACATAATTGCCTTTATTTTATAGGTGACATTTTCTCTCCAGTTGTTTTTTTAGGTCTCCTTTTTGTTGTTTGTTCTGTAGTTTCACCAAAATGTTTGTAGGTATATGGATCTCTATTCTGCTTTGAGTTTTTGGACTTCTTGGGAGTGACATTTGTTGTTGTCTAACAGTTCTAAAAAGCCATTACCTTCTCAAATATTGTTTCTTTTCTGTATTTCTATTAGTTTTCTTCTGGAACTACAATTAGATGTATGTAATATTGTTTGAGGCTGAGCCAAGTAGTGTACTGTGATTAAGTTTACTTTCTGGTACAACTTTTTGTGTCTCCTAAATGTAATGTCTCATTTAGCCTCATTTTTTTCATTTGCTTCAGTTTTTATGTAGCTATTGTTATTTCTTTCCATCATTAACACGTTCTCAGTACAGTTTTTCACATAGGGTCAAACCTGTTAATCTGTTCAGTGTGACCATTTTCCTTGAGGATTTCCTCCCATGCTAGTGTTTAGAATTGGCTGCTTGCTATACCAGGTGTGCAGCTATCATCCTGTGTTCTCCCTTCAGCATCATTTTGGAAATTCCTATTGCTTGTCTCCTGTGTTGATTCCCTTGTTTTGTGGATCTCATTCATTTACAACACACCTTCCACTAGCTTGCTGGAAAAAAAAAAAAGTACAAAGGAGATAAATTTTGAGACCTTGAATGTTTGAGAATGTCTTTATTCTACCTTTTTTGAAAAAAAAATTGATAATTTGTCTAGGTCTTAAGTTCTAATATGAAATAATTTTTTTTCTCAGAATTTGGAAAGAATTTCTCCATTGCCTTTTAGTTTATCACTGAGATTATTGCTAACCCCAATGCCATTCTGGTTTCTGTTACGTTGTCATCAATCTGTTTATTTTTTCTTTTCTAGAATCCTTGGAATTTTTTTTTATTTGTCCTTGCTATTCTGCAGTTCAATAATAACATGTTGGGATACCAAATGGGTCTTACTTAGTTTAGAGACTCTTCAAGTCTGGAAAACTTCTTGTGTTATTCTCTGGCAACGTCTTCCTATCTTATTTATTAATTTTTTTCTTTTTTTCACATGTTGGAATTGATTACTCATGTAATGTTTTACATTTTTTTCTTTCATGGTCTTTCTTTTGTTCTTTTTTTGTAGAAAATATCTTGACTTTATCTTCCAACTCTTTAATGTTTTCTTTCTTTCTTTCTTTTTTCTTGAGACAGGGTCTGGCTCTGTCGCCCAGGCTGGAGTGCAATGGCACGATCTCAGCACTCTGCAACCTCCACCTCCCGGGTTCAAGTGATTCTCCTGCCTCAGCCTCCTGAGTAGCTAGGATTACAGGTGCCTACTACCACACCTGGCTAATTTTTGTATTTTTAGTGGAGACAAAGTTTCACTATGTTGGCCAGGCTGGTCTCGAACTCCTGACCTCAGGTGATCCACCCGCCTGGGCTTCTCAAAGTGCTGAGATTATAGGTGTGAGCCACTGCACCTGGCCTGCTCTCTCTATTTTAAAAATAGCATTCTTTAGTTTTTTTTTTTTTTTGAGTCAGCGTCTCGCTCTGTTGCCCAGGCTGGAGTGCAGTGGTGCAATCTCGGCTCACTGCAAGCTCCGCCTCCCAGGTTCACGCAATTCTTCTGCCTCAGCCTCCTGAGTAGCTGGGACTACAGGCTAATTTTTTTTTTTTTTGTATTTTTAGTAGAGACGGGGTTTCACCGTGTTAGCCAGGATGGTCTCAATCTCCTGATGTCGTGATATGCCCACCTTGGCCTCCCAAAGTGCTGGGATCAGAGGCAGCATTCTTTAAATTTTTAAGTATTTTTTAAGATACTAATAATTTACCGTATTTTGAAGTTTTCTTCTCATTCTTCATTATCTTTTTTCTCAAAATTAATTGTGTGTACTTGGTTCTTTTTCTTTCATGTTAATAAGGTTTCCTTATACCTGGTGATTCTGAGCTGTTTTCACTTTAAATATCTAAGTTTTGTTTGTTTGTTTTTTGAGACAGTCTCATTCTCTCGCCCAAGCTAGAGTGCGGTGGCATGATCTCAGCTCACTGCAACCTCCACTTCCCAGGTTCAAGAAATTCTTGTGCCTCAGCCTCTCAAGTAGCTGGGATTACAGGCATGTGCCACCATGCGTGGCTAAATTTTGTATTTTTAGTAGAGATGAGGTTTCACCATATTGGCCAGGCTGGTCTGAAACTCCTGTCCTCAAGTGATCGGCCTGCCTCGGCCTCTCAAAGTGCTGGGATTACAGCATGAGTCATTGCGCCTGGCCTACTCTTAGATCTTAAATGTTTTACACAGACACACACACACACACACACACACACACACACACACACGGTAACTGTGATGATGGATGTGTCAGTTGATCGTGGTAATCATTTCAGAATGTATACATCTATTAAATTATCATGTAGACCTTAAATTATTATTTTTGTCAATTATACCTCAAGCTGGAAAAAAATGCAGATCTACTCTTAAATGTGAGATAATTGGAAGCTCATGTGCATGGGCTAGGGTAAGTTGGTGGAGAACTAACTTTATTGTTGGAGGCTTTCTAAATGTATGTCTTTTCTTTGAACATTAGTTTGTTCCAGAAAATATTGCGTGGTTGGTTGCCTGGGAAGATGTATGTCTGATTTTCGGACTTGGAAGCAAGATAAAGGAAAGAGGCTGCTGGTTTATGGTATAGAGATTTTCACTCGTTAAGAAAGTAACAAAGTAAGGAAGTAGGATTATTGTAGAAATATTATTTTACAGTTCAAGTTTGTAAAACACAGGTGAAGGTAATCGTTGGTGGGTCTCTTCCTCTGAGATCACCAAATTATCTGTAGACTGGTTGGTAGACTTGGAGAGACCACTTGTTCTTGGACAACAGTTAGAAGCATACTGCCCTAAGCAGTAAAAAGGTGATTGTTGAGGGCAGCAAGAGGCGGTGTAACATACCAGTTCATTTTTCTTTTCTTAGCAAGCATGTACTAATTGCCTTTTAAAACTCCTGACCATAGGGGATAAAACGATTACAAGAAAGATACCTTCCCTGCTCCCATGGAATTTACATTCTAGCACAACAGTGGATATTAAACAACGTATCATCTGGTTATGTAATTACAGTAATAAGAATCATGTAGGAGAGGTCAAGGAAGCTTACTGCTGTGGGGTTCAGGATGGCATCTCCGAAAGTATGAATAAGGAAAGTGGTGGGAGAATAAAAGGAGAGTGGCAGAGACTCAGACTGAGAGATTAATTGAGATAATGACAATTGTGGGATTCAATGAGGTGTATAATGTGTTTAGTGCCTGGTACTTGTGCTCAGTAAGTGCTAATTAGTAGTTGTTTATAGCAATACTGTTATCTTGGATGATCAAATAGAAGATCCCTAGCAAGTAATTTTATAAAGACAAAAATTTCGTGTCAACTCTGTAATAAAACAATATATCCTTAGAATCAGTTATCACTTAAAATCCTTATTTTATAGAAATTTTTGTGTTTCAAAAGTATAGCTAGGGCAAGTCCCCCTTCAGGGTGGATACTTAAAGGAGATGAAATCACTTCATAAAGGTGTCTGCACTCCCATGTTCATTGCAGTGTTATTTACAAGGTAGCCAAGATATGGAAACAACCTAAATGTCTGTTGATGGCAAATTGATAAAGAAAATGTGTGTGTATGTGTGTGTTTATACAATGGAACGTTATTCAGCCTTTAAAAAGAAGGATATTCTGTCATTTGCCACAACTTGGTTGGACCTTATGCTAAGTGAAATAGACCACGCACAAAAAGAAAAATACTATATAATCTCACTTATATGTGGAATGTTTTTAAAAAGTCAAGTATACGGAGACAGAGAATAAAACAGTGGTTACCTTGGGCAGGAGGAGGAAGGAAATGGGGTTATATAGATAATAAAATAGCAGATATATAGAATGAAGAAGTCTGGAGAGCTTATGTATAACATGAAGACTATAGTTAATAAAACAAAACTGTATTAAGGATTTTTATTAAGTAATTTAGCTGCTTGTAACACTTACACACACACACATAGTAACTATGATAGATGTTTTCACTGTAGTAACCATTTTGCTGTCTATACACATCCCAAGATATCAGCTTATAAATCTCATATACACAGATTTTTTTTTTTAAAGGTATTGTTGGGGCAGGGATCAGGCTTAACTTTGTGGTTGTATCTGTAGTACCCAGCACAGTGCCTGACACATAGAAGGTGTTAATCTTGTTTTTTTTTTTTTTAGGTATCTGAAATACTTACCAGAAATTCTATTCTTTCAGATGAGAGACATCTATGTGATTTTAGGTATTAATAAAAGAAATATTCTTCCTTTTTTCTTACTACGGTGTTGGTAGTGGTGCTCTTTCTTCAGGGACATCATTGATGGCCTTTTAGTTAGAATTTAAATGTTATCCTTTCTGTAGCCAGCAGGGATCTGTTGGGATAAAGTCTTATTTTTCTTTTCTTGGGAGTAATTGGTGCTTTCTAACTTTTCAGCACTTAGACTCACAATGTATTAGTTATCTATTGCTGCAAAACACATTACTTCAAAACTTAGCAGTTTAAAACAACAGACATTTATTATCCCACAGTTTCTATGGGTCAGGAAGATAGGGGTACCTTAGCTGGATGCCTCTGGAGCACGGTCTCTTGAGGTTGCAGTCAAGCTGTTGGCTGGGGCTATATCATCTGAAAGCTTTACTGGGGCAGGGGATGATGTACTTCCAAGTTCACTCCCATGATTGTTGGGAGGAGGACTTAATTCCGTTTCTTGTGGGCTTCTTCCTGGTTTATGTTTGTTACCTGGTGTCTAGAGCTGATGTATTGGGTACTTCCCCTCTAGCATGGTTATTTTCTTTGTTTTTTCTCTCATTTAGGTGAAAACTTAGGTGAATTTTAATGTAAACCCTACCCCCATTATGGTCTAAGGGGCCTTTTAGAAAATGAGTAGAATGTACACAGAGGCAAAAATTTTAGCCTGTGACCTTTTGAAGAATTTTCTAAGTGAAACTAGAAACAAATTAACCATTGTTCACAGAGTGCTTTGCTTAATGTTATGCCTTCTTTTGCTAAATCCTCTTGTTTGTTGAAATCTTACATCTTAAGTTGCTGATAGTTTGTTAATAGAGATCATAATTAAAAGGTGATTATATTTCTTCATGCAGTTTAGCTTTACATTTCTTCCATTATACCCAAAGATTTCTATAATATAGCAAGAAATGTTTTTAAAAAGTGTTTTTCCTCAATTGTGTGAAAGTAATGTATCTAACTGAAAAGAAGAGAAACTCATAAAAGTAAAAATTTTAAAAAATCACCTTATTCTTACCTCTCAAATACAATGACCTCATATTTTAAATTTTGCTCAAGGTTTTTTCCTCCTCATTCTAGGCATAATTATTTTCTTATATGTGTTTCAGTATTACTTTTTTTGTGAAAAATATGGTTACAAATGTGGTCTAATTTCATTTTGCACTTTAAAAATTATTAATGAGGCCGGAAATGAGGCCGGGCACTGTGGCTCATGCCTGTAATCCCAGCACTTTGGGAGGCCAAGGTGGGCAGATCACGAGGTCAGGAGTTCGAGACCATCCTGGGTAACACAGTGAAACCCTGTCTCTACTAAAAATACAAAAAATTAACCGGGTGTGGTGGCAGGCGCCTGTAGTCCCAGCTACTCGGGAGGCTGAGGCAGGAGAATGGCATGAACCCGGGAGGCGGAGCTTGCAGTGAACCGAGATCGCGCCACTGTACTCCAGCCTGGGCGATAGAGCGAGACTCTGTCTCAAAAAAAAAAAAAAATTATTAATGAGATGGTCATATTTTTATGTTATTTACTGATCACTTACCTTTGAATTGCCCCTTGTTTCTTGAAGTTTTTCCAATAAATATTCTTATTAATAGGCAAGACAACCTGATCTGTTAGTTATGTAAACTTTTTGGTAGCTAATTGTATGTGCATTCTTTTACCTCCCGTTTGTTTCTTTATTAGCAGTGTCTTTTTGTTATAGAATTTATACATTTTCTTGTAAGCAAATATCAGTGTTTTTATTATAGGTGCTGTATGTTTGTCTTGCTTAGGAAAATCTTTATTACTCCAATATTATTAAATTATTCTTTAGTATTTGTCCTAATAGCTTTATGGCTTTGTTTTTTTTAAATCACACACACACACTCACACACACACACGGACACACACACTCTTTGAGACGGGTCTTGTTCTATCACCCAAGCTGGAGTGCTGTGGCGCAATTATGGCTCACTGCAGCCTCAACCTCCTGGGCTCAAGATATCCTCCCACCTCAGCCTCCCAAGTAGCTGGGACTACAGGTGCATACCACCACCCCCAGCTAATTTTTAAATGTTTTTTTTGTAGAAACAGGGTCTCACTTTGTTGCCCAGGCTGGTCTGAAACTCCTGGGCTCAAGTGGTCATCCTTCCTCAGCCTCCCCAAAGTGCTGGTTTTACAGGCATGAGCCACCACACCTGGCAGCACCCATATATTTTAAAATTTAGTATGAATTAGTCTTTTCTTTTTGATGTGGCATAATTGTATTGACTAATCCATTCTTTACCATTGATTTGAAATACCACCTTTATTATATTAAATTTGTGTGTGAATATGAATATCTTTTCTGTGATTGCAATTAATTTGTACTTGTACAGATTGTGCTGTAAGAGCTTAACAGTATATTTCAGTACTTGGTCATGTCTCTTGTTCTTGTTTTTCTTTTCTTTTCTTTTTTTTGTTTTGTTTTTTGAGACAGAGACTCGCTCTGTTGCCCAGGCTGGAGTGCAGTGGCGCAGTCTCGGCTCACTGCAAGCTCTGCCTCCTGGGTTCATGCCATTCTCCCGCCTCAGCCTCCCAAGTAGCTGGGACTACAGGCGCCTGCCACGACGCCCAGCTAATTTTTGTTGTATTTTTAGTAGAGACAGGGTTTCACCGTATTAGTCAGGATGATCTTGATCTCCTGACCTCGTGATCCGCCCGCCTCGGCCTCCCAAAGTGCTGGGATTACAGGCTTGAGCCACTGCGCCTGGCCTTGTTCTTGTTTTTCAAAAATTTCTTTGGTATTCTCACAAGTTTATTCTTCCAAATTAACTTCAGAATCAGCTTACCATTTTAAATAAGCACCCCCCTTCTAAATCTATTATAACATCTCACTACTTTCTCTTCTATTCATATTAGCTTAACTTAAGCTACCATCCTCTCTTGAGTAAGACTGTTTTCTAACATACAGCAACAAGAGGGTTCTTTTTAAAACATAAATCAGATTA
The DNA here is from genome assembly GCF_000001405.40 of Homo sapiens. NCBI lineage: Eukaryota > Metazoa > Chordata > Mammalia > Primates > Hominidae > Homo > Homo sapiens. The sequence continues at coordinate 31,144,358 of NC_000017.11, forward strand.
TGTCATTCCTTTGCTTAAATTCGTTCAGTGCCTTTTTCCCCTGTCTTTTGGTTATCTATTGCTGTATAATAAGCTACTCCAAAGCCTTGTAGCCTAAAAACAACCATTTTATTGTGCTCACAATTTTTGGGGGTCAGGAATTCATGACAGGTTCAGCTGGGCAGTTCTTCTGTTCCATATTGTGTTGCTGACACTGGAGAATCCCTTCCATTATGGCTTCTTCAGTCACATGTCTGGCTCCTCAGTGTTTCTTGGCCTCTCTCTCCACAATGGCGTCCCATTCTTCAGAATCTCTGCATGTGGCCTCGGCTTCTCACAGCATGCTGATCTCAGAGTAGTCCCATTTTTTACATGACAACTGGCTTCTAGGAAGAGGGAAATAAAAACTGTCAGACCAATTAAGGACTATGGCCTGGAACTACACAGTGTGCCTTTAAGCCGTATTTTATTGGTCAGAATAGTCACTGGACCTGCTAGATGAAAGGAGGTAGAAAAATAAATTTCTTTTCCTAATGAGGGAGTGGCAAAATCTTATTGCGGGAAAGCATGTGGGATGAGAGATACTTGACAGTTGGAAAATATAATCCGTGACATCGTCAAATTCAAAATAAATTCAGAGTTCTTAAAATGGCCTATAAGGCTTTTCATGATCTGACTCCTGCTTCTTGAATCTCTGACCGCATCCCCTAGATTTTCCTCTTCGTTCCCTTTGGGTTAACCACATTGGCCCTCTTGCTAGGCTTTGAACATGCCACACCCAACATCAGATCCATTTTACTTGCAACTACTGCCGTGAATGCTCTTCTTTAGATCTTTGCATGGGTCTTCCCGTTCTCATTCATTCATTCATTTTGAGACAGGGTCTCACTCTGTTGCCCAGACTGGAGTGCAGTGGCACGATCTGGGCTCAATGCAACCTCCGCCTCCCGGGTTCAAGCAATTCTCCCACCTCAGCCTCCTGAGTAGCTGGGACTGCACGCATGTACCACCATGCCTGGCTAATTTTTGTATTTTTGGGTTTCACGAGGTTTCCCCATTTGGCCAGGCTGGTCTCAAATTCCTGACCTCATGTGATCCGCCCGCCTCAGCCTCCCAAAGTGCTGGGATTAGAGGTGTGAACCACTAATCCCATGGCTGGTCTTCCCATTTTTTTACTTCATTTAGGTCTCTGCTCAAATGTCACATCTTCAGAGAGCTTCCCCTGAACACCTTATCTGATAAATTCTTGGTTACTTAGAACTCCTTAATCTTGATTTTTTTTTCCTTTTCATAGAATTTGGTGCTGTTAGTAGGAGCCTGGGGGGCCTAAGTACCACTTTTCTTCCTTCCCTGCCTGGCTTCTGAGCAAGTTGAGAAATGAGTAAAGGTGGAGGCCAAAATATATTTTAAAAATTCTTCTGACTAAAGGGAGATGAAGTAAAGGGAACAAAAGAAGTATCATGAAGATTCTCAGATGTCCGACATGGGAAACTGGGTAGATTGTGGTACTATTTACCAAGACAGGAAACATGGTAGGAAGATTATGAATTAAGCTTTGGAAATGTTGAGTTTGAAGTGCCTACAAGTTATCCATGTGGAGAAACCAAATGGACATTTGGATAACACATCTGAAGCTCAGGAGAGAAGTTTCCATTACAGATTCAGGTTTGGTAGTTGTTCTAGTTTTCTATTGCTGTGTAACAAACTACCACAAACAGTAGCCTAAAACACACAAAATTACTATCTTACAATTTCTGTGGGTCGGAGTCAAGGCATTGCTTAGCTGTGTTCTCTGCTCAGGTTCTCATCAGCCTGAAATCAAGGTTTTGGTTGGGGCCTCAGTCTTATCTGAGGCTTGGGGTTCTCTTCCAGGCTCATTGGTTGTTGGCAGACGGTTCAGGAATCTGGGGAGACAAGATTTTTGGGAGCGCCAACCCAGATGTTTCCATTCCATGTGTCAGAGTCTTGTTCTTTCCTAGCCAGGCCCCTGATCTGGACGTAGGAGACCTGCTGCCTTTGGGAGTTCAACCTTTGAAGCCCAACACATACAGATTTAGATATCTAATCTGTCTGTCCATCCATCCATCCATCCATCCATCCATCCATCCATCCATCCATCCATCCAATCTGTATATCTCTGAGATATATAAGTGTAATAAATGGGCGATAATCAAGTGCTGGTTTTGGTCCTTAGGTTTCTCTGCCCTCCTGCTGCAGGAGAGGAGAATCTCTGTGTTTTCAGAGAGGTTCTCTGGCTTTCAAACTTAGTTTTCAATTGGAAGTTAATCAGCTTTTTTGTTTTTATCTTTTTTCTTTGAAATCAACATCTGGGAGTGAGGAGCACTGGGCAAATGCAGTGCAGGCCCAGCACCAGCTTTGGCCAACCCCCACGGGGAGCCTGGAGCGAGAATGGGAGCCTGGGACAAGAATGGCTCTTCTGAGTTGCCCAGAATTGCGGTGGCTGATGTGTCCAGGCCTTCATATTGCCATATCAATTAGTCATTTGATGTGGGTTATCTTGGGAAGGATATGACCTTGAACAGGGTTGTTCCTTGTAGGTGAGGCAATCCCTGAAGGGGCTGACTGACAGCACTCCCAGCATTTAAGGTAAGTCCTTTTTTGAAGGAGGAACTGGGTAGCACCTCAGTGTCTACCACGATTTCTCTGTATCCACCAAATGGCCAATTTGTTTTTGTTTTTTATTATCATTATTCATTCATGGATTTAAACATATATTTAGCAAACTTTCTGTTAAATTATGTGTATAGAAAAGGGCACAAATTGTAAATATACAGCTCAGTTAAATGTTCACAAAGTAAACACACCAGTGTAACCAGTATCCAGATCAAGAAATAAAACAATACTGTGAATCTAGGAGTCCTCCTCGTGTTTCCTTTCAGTCACTGTTTTCCAGGGATCTATCCTGACTTCTAAAATCATGGGTTGAATTTAGCATGGTTTTGAAATTTATGTAACATCATACAATATGTCTTGTTCTGACTTCTGTCTGTCAGTATTGTATTTGTGAAATTAAGCTCACAATTGTAAGTCATTCTCTTGCTGTATATTTTTTCATGGTATGACTATACCAGTTTTTAAAAACCATTTCTGCTATTAACATTTGGATTGTTCCAGTTGTTGGGAATTATAAAACATGCTGCTGTAAAACATTGTTGTGCATGTCTTTTGGTGAACATATATACATTTCTGTTGGGTATATATCTAGTGAAATTGCTGAATGTGTGTGTGTGTGTTCAGTTTTAGCAGATAATGCCAGTTTCCAAGGTAAGTACTGAGTTACATGCCTACTAGTAGCTCCTAAGATTTCCAGTTGCTGTAATTTGCTCCTGTTTGTAGAAGACACAGCCTTCGAGGGCTTATCACTGAGAACTGTATTTACTAAGGTCTCCACTAGCAGATTCTGAACTCTTTTGTCCTCTCGAAGCTGCAAGGCTTTCAAATTCTGCTTTGCTTTTCAGAAGTTTTTAGTTTAGCCTTTTTACCCTCTTCCACTCACTGAGGCATTTGAGATTCCCTCACGTCTTCAGTTTTGCCAATCTAGCCCTCAGTGAACACCAGAATCTCTGATGGTTTCTTCTTCCATTAGAGGTACATTGCCTGGGAAAAAAGCCTTATTTCTCAATCTGTTTTCCTGACCAGAATCTGCAAATGCCCCAGGGGAAAAGCAGCTGCAGAAGATCCCCTTACCTCATTATAGCTCACTCTTTTTGGAATCTTAGTGTTGCTAATCCCTATTCCTTCAGTAGCTCTCTGAATTCTTCAAACAGGTGATTTTTATATTTCATCTTTTGTTAGAAATTAAGTTTGTGGTGGGAGCTATTGTTTTGCAGTAAATTATTCTATCCTACATGGAAACAGTAGTATGGATTTAAATATATTTAATATGTTTCAATAAATTGCCATCCTTAAGTGTTCAAATTATTACACTTTTGGCCAGTGGGGGCCTCTTTAAAATTCATTCCTAACCATTTTTGGCTTGACCGTTATTAGTCAGTGCTGCTATCTGGTATGACAAGATGTTCCGGGGTCATTATGTCTTTTTTTTTTTTTTTTCCTCCAGACATAGAAGCAGCCATTTCCTAAAGGAGTCCAGATTCCTTTTACTGGGAAATGGTCGTTCAAGATTACAACTGAGTGAGGATTACTATGGGATTGGTCATTAGTCATTACTATGGGATTGGTCATTGTTTCTAGGCATTTTCATTGGACAGAAATAGAAATATGTTTTTTAAAGTACAAAATAAAATATCTTGACTTCATATAGATACTTCTATTTCAAATTCAAGACTACATTTCTTTACTTTACCATTACTTTTATTTCCCATGCTGAAAGTCTTGGGTTTTTAGAGGCACTAGGAGTCATAGAATTAAAATACCACAGAATTATTTAGTTCCTCTCTTTATACCATTAAATAATTAGATACATTTATACCATTAAAGAATTAGATACAGTTTTCAGTTGATTTGTTTATTTTTGATTTCTAGACTTCTTAAAATTTTAATTTTATGTTTATGTAAGTTACGTAGTTCTAAAATGAAATCTACAAAAACAATATGTATTCCATATAGAATATGGATTCTATCCTTTTCACTTCTACTTTCTTTTCATTTCCTAAAGGCAACCACTAATTTTTTTGAGCATTTCATTCTTCTACTGTTTTGTTTTGTTTCTTAATATAAGAAACATATATTTCTATCTCCTCCCTCTTCTTAGATGAATGGAACATACTGTGTATATTTTCTCCATCTTGTTTTTTTTTTAACTTAAGATGTGTCCTGGAGATTATTCTATCATTTAATGAATTTGGATTCATTTTTTGGTTTTACGTTACATTTTATACATGTCTTTTATTTAAGTGTCACTGTGTTCATGTTATTTGCTCTTTCAGCATATATAAATATATACACTTATATACATGTACACACACACACATACACACACACACACACACACACATTTTTTGAGACAGAGTCTTGCTCTGTTGCCCAGGCTGGAGTGCAGTGGGGCTTAGCTCACTGCAGCCTCTGCCCCCTGGGTTGAAGCAATTATCATGCCTCAGCCTCCCAAGTAGCTGGGATTATAGGCACGCGCCACCATGGTCAACTAATTTTTTTGTATTTTAGTAGAGATGGAGTTTCAGCATGTTGGCCAGGCTGGTCTCGATTGCCTGCCTTGGCCTCAGCATATATTTTTGTATTTAGAAAGATTTATTCAGACCAGCGTTCATACTGTGTAATGATAAGGAATTTATTGTAGAAATTAGATTGTATACAGTTTTGAGGGGACTAAGTGAGGTGAGTATCTGGAATGGGGAATTGGAGGATCAGAGGAGTCCACTAACCAGATCGTCCAAATCAATGACAATGGGTAGATAAGTTGGAGCTGTTGGGGAAATCTGAGAAGTCAAATATATCCAGCCACTGAAGTGAGATTATGAAGGAGGAGCTTGAGGAGGGCACTGTGGGAAGCTCTTGCCATGTAAGGTTTGTCTTACAAAGCCCTGTAGGTTTGCACCCAAGCATCTGGTGGTAGGTTTGGGCTAGTATTGGTCAGCAAAGTGACCACTGGTCCAAAGAAAGAGCTGGACATGGAGTGAAAGAGAGAGAGAGTAAAAGCTGGAACTTTCTGGGTGCCTCTGTATCTGTCTCTCATTGTATGTTACTGTGAAACCTTCAGAATAATAGCTGCTGCTTCGCTTCCACATTTCAAACAAATTTTATACAGGTCGAGTATCCCGTATCTGAAATGCTTGGGACCAGAAGTGTTTTGGATTTCACATATTTTTGGGTTCTAGAATATTTGCCTTTTACTCACCGTGATCATCCCTAATCTGAAATGAGCATTTCCTTTGAGAGTCATGTTGTTGATCAACAAGTTTGGATTTTAGAGTGTTGTAGGTTTCAGATTTTTCAATTAGGGATAGACAGCCTGTACAAATTACCCTTTAGACCAACTCTAACCAGAACCATATAGTGAGTGGGATCTGGGAAAGTAGTTCCCAGCTTAACAGTTAACACACCACGCACCACCAGTACAATTTGTGTTTTTGTTCTGGTGGTTACCATTATATTAATACCTTTATATGGTATTCTAATTTCCTTCTCTTTTGGGGTGGAGGGGTATTATGTGTTGGTTTTTTACTCTGAGCAATATTGAAATGAACTAGAAACCTCCTTTCCTCATCTCCTTTTTCCCTAGCATTTTACTCTCAGTTAATAACAAGACAATCAAGAAACATATTCTACTATTTATATGCTCTCACCACCCTCCCTCTCCTCATTTTGATAATTGTATTGTATCTATATTATCAAGTACATAAAGCAGTCACCTAATATACTTTCTCCCTTATTGCCACCATTCTCAGTTCTTTTAGAAAACACAGTGATGCTCCGGCTGGGCACGGTGGCTCACGCCTGTAATCCCAGCACTTTGGGAGGCCGAGGTGGGTGGATTACCTGAGGTCAGGAGTTCAAGACCAGCCTGACCAACATGGTGAAACCCCGTCTCTACTAAAAATACAAAAAAATTAGCCAGGCAATGGTGGTGCATGCCTTTAATCCCAGCTACTAGGGAGGCTGAGGCAGGGGAATCGCTTCAACCTTGGAAGCAGAGGTTATGGTGAGCTGAGATTACGCCACTGCACTCCAGCCTGGGTGACAGAGCAAGGCTCTGTCTCAAAAAAAAAATAAATAAATAAATAAAAATACAGTGATGCTCCACATAATGACATTTTGGTCAGTGATGGACTGCATATGTAATGGGAGTCCCTCAGTATTATAATATGGTATCATTACCTTTTCTATGTTTAGATACACAAACACCATGTGTTCAAGTTGCCAAGAGTATTCAGTACAATAACATGCTGTACAGTTTTGTACCCTGTATACCATATAGCCTAGAGGTGTGGCAGGCTATACTATCTAGGATTGTATAAGTACACTCTGTGATGTTCACATGACAGTGGAATCATGTAAGGACACATTTCTCAGAACATACCCCATCACTAAATATATTTAATGATTCCTATTAATGTGGATGTCTTTCCAATTATTCTGGTCATCTGAAGCATATTCTCTAGTATATCCTCCAGGAAAAGGAAAAGGGAACAAAATTTCCAGGGTTCTTGCCGTTTAGCACAGTTTGTCATTGCTATAAAATTGTCTCTCAGTATCTGGGACATTGGTTCCAGGAACCTCCATGGACGGTGAAATCTGTAGATGCTCAAGTCCCTGATATGAAATGGTGTGGTATTTGCATATAGCCTACACACATCCTCCTGTGTACTTTAAATCATCCCTTGATTACTGATAATACTTAATACAATGTAATACTATATAAATAGTTGTTATACACTATTATTTAGGGAATAATGACGAAAAGTCTGTACCTGTTCAGTACAGACATACTAAAATTTATTTTTTGATCTGCAGTTTGTTGAATGCATAGATGGAGAACTCATGGATTCAGAGGGCTGACTGTATTTGAATTCAGTTTGGCTAGATATAAAATCCTTGGTTTATGTTTTCTTCTTTTTTTAATTATACTTTAAGTTCTAGGGTACATGTGCACAATGTGCAGGTTTGTTACATATGTATACATGTGCCATGTTGGTGTGCTGCACCCATTAACTCGTCATTTACATTAGGTATATCTCCTAATGCTATTCCTCCCCCCTCCCCCTACCCCACGACAGGCCCCGGTGTGTGATGTTCCCCTTCCTGTGTGGTTTATGTTTTCTTTAAATATCTTAAATTTATTTTACTTTATTGTTTTCTGACATAAAATTTTGTCAAAGTCTGATGAGAGTCTAATTTTTGGGTTTTTTTTGTATAAATAATGTCCTCTTTCTGCCTGTAAGTTCAAAAGATTTTTTTTTTCTTGTTCACGGAAGTTCAAAATATGTTAAGGTATTGGTCATTCTGGGTCACTTTTCCAGGTGTGTGGTATGCACATTAAAGATACAGTTTCAAGTTTTTAAAAATTTCAATAATAATTTCAGCAAAGTTTTCTTGAATTCTAGTTTCTAATATCCACTTTATTCCATTGGTTTGGTTTCTTTCTTTGGTGACTCCTGTTATATGTATGTTGAATCTTCTTTTTCTATCTTTTTTTGTCACTTTATTGTAAATTTTTATTATCTCGTATGTAATTTCTTTTTTATATTACAACTTTCCTCCTTAGTCCCCCCTTTTTTTTCAACATTTGTTTACTCTTAAAGCATTATCTTCTGTGTTAATTTACTCTTATGTATCTTCTGGTTAGTTTTCATTTCTGAAATGATTTATCTTCTAATTCTTTCTTGAGTTCTGTCAACTTATTTCTATCTGTAATTCTTATTTGTGTTATTCCACATCTTTTGTCATTTTCTTAATTTCTCTTGGCTCACTTTGAAATAATAATTTACAGTTTTCATCTGTTGGTGGATATGTCTTTTTGGAAACTTTGATTTTCTGTTGTTTAGACCCTTATTTTTATGTTTTTCTGTTTCTTACTCCTTTTTCTTAATAATAACTTTACATATTATTTGACCATAGAACTTTTCTGTTGGCTTATTTTTATGTGAAATTAATTTTTCTGAATTGGTAGGAGGGATTTGTAGGCCAGGATAGCTTTGTAGCTTTATGTCTCTAGAGCTTATTCTTTTTTTACTTTCATGAAATAAAAAAAAAATGGTCTCATTCTTTCAGAGATCTCTTGTTCATCTCTCTCTTTTTCATTTTTATTTGGACCTTTTTCCTTTTCTCCCTTTACCCCTGTTTTCAGTTTGGAGTTCATTCTCAGCAGTTTCTTCTCAGTGTGGGCTAGAACTGTGCTGTCCAGTCAGATCTAATAATTACATGTGTGGCTACTTAAAGCTAAATTTAAATAAACTTTATTTAATAATAACTTAAATAAACTTTAAACTTTTGATTTCTTGTCTATACCAGCTATGTTACAAGTGGTTAATAGCTACATGTGACGACTAGTGGCTGTTGTATTGGGCATTGCCCATGTAGAGCACTATCATTACCACAGCAAATCCTATTAGACAGTGATGCTTTTGAGTGTGCTCCATTCTCTTGAGACTTTTATCATAGGCCTTTTTCATTCATCTGCAAATTGCAATGAGCATAACTACCCTCTGTTTTGGCTAATATTCCTAAATTGGGCTGCTGTGCTTTTTATTAAGGATGCAGTACATTGGGAATCTCCTCTTGTCAGATCCATTAGACATTCTCCTTCCACCTGCTTTCTCTTGCATAGATGCTTATACCACATTAGTATTTTTGTTTTTTGTTTTCCAGACACAGGATCTCGCTCTGTTGCCCAGGCTGGAGTGCAGTGGCTAGATCACAGCAACTTTCTGGGCTCAAGCAGTCCTCCTGCCTCAGCCTCTTGAGTAGCTGGATTACAGGCACACACTACCAAGCCTAGATTTTTTTTTTTTTTTTTTAAAGTAAAGATGAGGTCTCACTCTGTTGCCCAGGCTGGTCTTGAACTCCTGGACTCAAGCAGTCCTCCTGCCTCAGCCTCTCAAAGTGCTGGGATTACAGGCATGAGCCATTGCGCATGTCCCCAACCAGTTTTGTAACTATAAATGGTTTGTTTCTATTTGTTCACTTCTCTGGGTTTGGGAATGAGGGACCTTGTCCCTTCATTTTCATGTAGATATTCATCAGTTTGTGTTTTTACTAGAGAAGTTCTAGTTTCTTTGATTTTTTTTTTTTTTTTTTTTTTTTTTGAGACAGAGTCTCTGTTGCCTAGGCTGGAGTGCAGTGGTGCGATCTCAGCTCACTGCAGCCTCCACCTGCTGTTCAAGCCATTCTCGTGCCTCAGCCTCCCTAGTAGCTGGGATTACAGGCATGTGCCACCACGCTCGGCTAACTTTTTGTATTTTTAGTAGAGACAGGGTTTCACCATGTTGGCCAGGCTGGTCTTGAACTTTTGACCTCAAGTGATCCACCTGCCTTGGTCTCCCAAAGTTCTGGGATTACAAATGTGAGCCACCGCACCTGGCCATTTCTCTGATTTTTATGGGATACTTAGGGAGATTCACCAGCTGCATTTTATGAAACCCTAGTTCAAGAAACATACTGGAAAAGGAGATATGGTCACAAAGAATAGGAGATGTTTCTAAGGGAAATAATAAATTAAAATGAAAGTTACAGTGACTTGTGCTCACTGAATCTAAAACCCAGCTGATTAAAAATTTGGCAAAATAAAATTAAAAAGGTTATCTGTGCTCGTAAACAAAAGTCCCATTTTTGGCCTTTCAGGTTTTTTTCCTCCATAATCTTTATAATTAACATTACGAAGTTCTGTAGTTTCTGTTCTGCCCCCTCCTTTACACTCTAAAAATGCTGCCCCACCCCGCCAATTTCATTTAGTATTTCCTTTTTTTTTTTTTTTTTTTTTTATTTGAGATGGAGTCTCGCCCGATCGCCAGGCTGGAGTGCAGTGGCGTAATCTCGGCTCACTGCAATCTCTGCCTCCTGGGTTCATGCCATTCTCCTGCCTCAGCCTCCCGAGTAGCTTGGATTACAGGCACGTGGCACTACACCCAGCTAATTTTTGTATTTTTAGTAGAGTCTGGGTTCACCATGTTGGCCAGGTTGGTCTCAATCTCCTGACCTCGTGGTCTGCCTGACTTGGCCTCCGAAAGTGCTGGGATGAGCCACCGTGCCCAGCCTATTTAGTATTTCTTTACTATCAAAATAATCGTCCATTATTAACTGATTTAGCAAACTTGGGCATGCCCCTCGGTCTCTTTCCACCTTTAGTTGTACTATGTTAAAAATGAGAAAGTTATATTCAGGTTTGTTTTTTTCACAGAGGAACATTGCTAGGTTTCTCTGTTAGCATTAGCAGGGTTTAATATTAACAGTAAGTATGTCCATGATGCTTTAAATACAGAATGCTATTTTTGAGCAGAGTAGAGATGAACTTCTAGACAGTGGAACTTAACTCATTCACAGAGAAATGTAAATGTGGTCTTCTCATAGAATATTTTTTCTCATGGGATTTGTCTGCTTGTGTTCTGTTATCCCTTCAATTGTGTAGCTGAGGGTGCTTATCTTACTGAGTGAGTCTTACTGTTTTTTCCCCAGGTTTTATAGTTTGTTCTTGCTTCTGAACAATCAGCAGTTGTTTGCCATTATTGACAAGAAGTCTAGGGCATAGATTTTCTTGATCTGTTTTTCTTTTAATGTTTGAGTTCAATGGATAAGGGAAACGGTTGTATGCATTTTATTGCAGACATTCTCTGAAATAATTTTTAGCCACAAGCAAATAGCTCTGTTTCTGTGAGTCATCATTTCTTCTTATATAGTGCTGGATAAAGAATTCTATTTTGTAGATAGAGATTTATGACTTCCAGAAAGAAAGCTGCAAAAATGGAAGTTTCCAAAGAATTTAAGATTTGCTATAATAAATGCTATCATATATTGGTGTTTGAGATGCAAATGTACATATCTGTGTATCATATATTGGAGGTTGATTGAAAATCGGAGTTTGAGATGCAAGTATAGGTATCTGTGGTTGATGCAGTTTTCCTAAAACGTCATGATTTTCAATGGCAAGTAAGTTATTTATGGTCGTTTTTAAGGATAAGCTGTTAACGTGTTTTTTTTTTCTTTTTTTTTCAGCTTCCAATAAAAACAGGACAGCAGAACACACATACCAAAGTCAGTACTGAGCACAACAAGGAATGTCTAATCAATATTTCCAAATACAAGTTTTCTTTGGTTATAAGCGGCCTCACTACTATTTTAAAGAATGTTAACAATATGGTGAGTATTTGGGTTACTGTGTTTTGGGGAATTTGCTTTCTTTTCTTTTTGATTAAAAAGTTTAGAACAGCATATTTTGAAGTATGGAAAGTGATTTTCTGTGGACTTTGGATATAACCATTAATCTTATTTTGTTTACGAGCACAGATAACCTTTTAATTTTATTTTGTCAAATTTTTAATCAGCTGGGTTTTAGATTCAGTGAGCACAAGTAACTGTAACTTTCATTTTAATTTATTATTTCCCTTAGAAACATCTCCTATCTTTTGTGACCATGTCTCCTTTTCCAGTATGTTTCTTGAATTAGGATTTCATAGAGCTTTTGTGGCCTACACGAATTGACCACAGTAATCCATTACACATATTTTTCTTTAGCATCTTGTTTGAATTTACTTACGGTTGTCCCAGCCCTAAGTAGATGATAAAATATGATCTCATAGTCCTAAAATGTGGATTGATTTTTTTATGAAGATATGTGTTTTTTCTTCCTTCTGTAACCTGTGACAGATTCTGTAGTAGTTACCCTGTTGTTGAAACAGTTTTTCTCAAATACCAGTTTCATCAAATAATTCCACTGTTAAAAGCTCATAATTTCTTTCTTCTTCCCATTTTCTAAAATCGATTGACGTTTCCTAGACTTCAGAGTACTCCAGCTGTCCTCCCTCTGTACCTTTGAACATATAACATCTTTTGTCTTTCTCAAGTGATCCCTTCCTCTCTCTAAATTCCTATTTAACATCTCCATTCTAAGCTGTTTCAAACTAACATACTCAGTTCATGGCAACTGATCTGGATTTTTCTTGATTAACTCTGAACTCTCTGCTGGTGTTTAGCATTTATTTATTTATTTATGAATGAATAAATGAATGAATGAATGAATGACAGGGTCTCATTCTGTCACCCAGGCTGGAGTGCAGTGGCGCAATCTCGGCTTACTGTAACCTCCCCCTTCCCAGTTCAAGTGATTTTGCTGCCTCAGGCTCCCCAGTAGCTGGAATTACAGGCATGTGCCACCATGCTCGGCTAATTTTTTTGTATTTTTAGTAGAGACGAGGTTTCACTATTTTGGCCAGGCTGGTCTCAAACTCCTGACATTAGGTGATCCGCCTGCCTCGGCCTCCCAAAGTGCTGAGATTACAGGTGTGAGCCACCGCGCCCAGCCTGCATTTATAATCCCAGTTTGTATTTGTTTGTATTGAGTTGTGAAACAACTTCTGGTTATAGATTGTGAAGATTGTTCCCCCTTCCTTTTTTTTGAGATGGTCCTTAGGTTTATTAGATAATATTCTAGTATGACATTGAAAAGACATGAAGTTACCTTTTTGCCTTATTCCCATATTTTAGATAATTTTTCTCTTGTTCTATTTTATTTTTAACTGGCATACAATAATTGTACATGTTTATGGGTACATATTGATGTTTCAATACATATAATACATAGTGATCCCACTAGGGTAATTAGCATATCCATCATCTCAATATTTATCATTTCTTTGTGTTGGGAATATTGAATATTCTCTTGTTATTTGAAACTATATAATGTTAACTGTAGGCCAGGCATGGTGGCTCACGCCTGTAATCCCAGCACTTTGGGAGGCCAAGACGGGCGGATCACGAGGTCAGGAGATCAAGACCATCCTGTCTAACATGGTGAAACCCCGTCTCTACTAAAAAAAAAAAAAAAAAAAACTTAGCGGGGTGTGGCGGCATGTGCCTGTAGTCCCAGCTACTCAGGAGGCTGAGACAGGAGAATGGCGTGAACCCGGGAGGCGGAGCTTGTAGTGAGCCAGGATGCGCCACTGCACTCCAGCCTGGGTGACAGAGTGAGACTCCGTCTCAAAAAAAAAAAGTTAACTATATAATGTTAACATAGTCATTCTACAGTAGTACAGAACACTAAGTCTTATTCTTCCTATAAAGCTATATTTCTGTATCCTTTAACAAATCTCTACCCACCCCGATTCTCCCTACCCGACCCTTCTTACCTCTAGTGTCCTCTCTTCTACTTTTTACTCTTTTTAGCTTCCACATATGAGTGAGAGCATGTGGTGTTTAACTTTTTGTTCGCATCATCCTTGGTGTGTTTCCTTTTAAGAAAGTTGCTTACACAATACCCTAAACTTACAAAACTAATAAACTGGAGGTGTAGAAAATCATTTACCTTCTTTATGGAAAAAATTAGTATTTTCCCCCCAAAAGCAGGACCATTTATAAATAGGTAAAGAGATTTACGGAAAGACATTTAACATTTTTTGTAGCTCCTCTGTTGCAGTGTGTGGGGCACAGTTTAGTATTTGCACATATGAATATGTGGCTGTGTTCCCAGTTATATTGAAATATTTTAATATTTGGGACCCTCTTTTCAAAACAAAACAGCATTGTTATATTGGCGTTCATTTAGTGCTTATTAAATAAGTTTTCAAAACCATAGTCTCTTGTTAATAAATACATATGTAGTATTCATTTTGAGGATAGTGAGTACTTAAAATTCACTGTGGTGCTATAGCATGTTTTTGCTATAAAAATTAAGACTTTGATCATTTCGTGGCATAAAAGTATAGTTAAATCCCCAATTCAAGATTCTGGTACAGGTCTATATGTGTGTCTAAATCCTACATATTTTTAAAGCATGAAGCAAAACAGCATCTTTTACTGTTACAAGGTTAATGGCAGACTCTAATAAATGCCATTTCTGTTTGCCTTAGACTTTAGTTTTTATGAGGATTAGGATAAAATCAGAAATAATATATTTAAGTATAGTATAATCTGGGAGGTAAAATGGAAGACTATTGTTGATCTTTTAGTCTTTCACTTTTCAGATGTGTGTTGATTGGTAGCAGAAAGTGAAACTAACTTTTATGTTCTGAATATCTTTTCTGTTAGAGAATATTTGGAGAAGCTGCTGAAAAAAATTTATATCTCTCTCAGTTGATTATATTGGATACACTGGAAAAATGTCTTGCTGGGGTAAGTAAATTGATCTTAAGTAGGCAGGCTTTGTGAATTTGATCTTGAGAATGATCTTATGTCCCAAAGTACAGATGTGGACCAAGAGGACAGTCCTATGGACTTTTGTCTGAGACATATAAATATGAGTTTTGTTAATATAGCTGACCTGGTGACAGACAATTTTTCATGAGAAAATTTTCTCATCTTTTGTAAATTAAACAGATATTAAGTTTACTTATAAAATGTTATGTTTCAGCCACGTATCTGTCTCTCAGGTTTTTAGGAAAATATTTTATGAAGAGATCACTATTTGATTTAACGGATCTCTCAGAGAGTTGTGGGAGAGTGCGATTCAGAAGTCCAAGAGTAATCTTGTATTTCCTCCTATATGAATATGATTTTAATATTCTACTTTTGAAATTTATGTAAATGAGAACTTAAAAATTAAACCTATTAAGGATAGATGTTACCTTGAGAACACTTGTTTTATGTAGACACACAAATATGCGATAGGTATGTGGAGGAGGAGAGTACCAAACAATTATTTCTCTGGTTTCCTGTAAGTTGTTACCACAGTGTATTTCAACCATGACTTAATTTGAACTTTTTCAAGAGTATTTCTATTGTGTAAAGAAAGTATTTCTATACATCATTATCCTTAATTCTTCCTGGAACATGGTAAGAGTTTATATAAATATATAAATTAAATACCTCTGTTTTAATGATCTGCCTAATCCATGTGTATTGAAATTAACTCATTTCTTATGTTCTCTCTTCCTTTGGCTCAGAATTCAGAATTTTGTTTTGATTCAGAATTGCTTCCCTCTTCACATATGTTGCAGTTCTCTATAGTGAAACTAGTTGAAAGAGACCTTAATATATGAGGACTGATAGTGTGGTTGAGAAGTGTTGGTGGAAGCATTGGGGTAGGGCATTGAAAAAAAAATTATATTGACACAACTGTGTATCCCTAGGGAAGGCTGTAAGCGAAAAAATGTAAGCATAATATGTATATATATTTTTCTTTTGAGACAGAGTCTCACTCTGCGGCACAGGCTGAAGTGCAGTGGCACCCTCTCGGCTCATTGCAACCTCCACTTCCCGGGTTCAAGCTATTCTCATGCCTCAGCCTCCCAAGTAGCTGGGATTACAGGCATGTACCACCATGCTCAGCTATTTTTTTTGTATTTTCATAAGCCATGGGGGTTCACTATGTTGGTCAGGCTAGTTTTGAACTCCTATCCTCAAGTGATCCGCCCATTTTAGCCTCCCAAACTCCTGGGATTACAGATGTGAACCACTGTGCCTGCCCTAAGCATAATATTTTAAATTTTCTTATTGACCGTTGACCATATTCCAAAATTGTGGAGACAGTGTTTATAAGTTTTCTACTTAAAATCGAAGGTGAGCTAGTTGTTTTAGCATGGTATTTTCCGTTAACTTGTGATATGCTATTGTTCATGTGTAAAATGGAGTGAAAGAGCAAAAGAGCTGTTACATAGGATGATGGAACTGGGAAGATGGGCAAATTTTAAACTTTTCTTGAATCAGTTTTTTCCAGTGGTCTTATTACTTTGACTGCAAATTACCAGTATATCAGCCACACCCATGACTGAATGGTGGGGCGTGGGGTCATATATTGCCTTGTTCAGTTTCACAGCTTTTCTCCATTAACATTTGTAATTGAGAGGTAATAATGAATGTATTTTGGAGAATGATTACCGATATTATTGGCCTCTGTTTGATTTAATACTCTTTGAAGATAGCCTAATTGAAATGCTAATAAGTGGGCCTAGTATAACTTATGTAATGCATAAAATGTATATTATCTTGCCGTGCTCTACTGTTGAAAAATGTGTATGCTTTTTCATTAAATTTACTATTTAAAAAGTAATGCTATTTATATTATTGAACAATTGTTTTATTTCCTTCAGTGATTTTACAGATGTTTCTTGATTCTTACTTTTAAATCAAAGTAAATTGAGGCAGTTTAAGAAGAACGGAGCTCACAAGTATACGTTTGTTATACATAGTTGGAATATTTAAGTGAAAGAAAAATACTTACCAATATGTTATGAGTGCAATTTTGTAGAATTTGAGGAATCTTAAGTATTTTTGTTCCTGTGAATATGACTATTATTTAAAAGATTTAATACTTCTTAGATTTTTATTTGTTAGAGTTAACATCTGTATTGTTTGGTTAGCCTATAAACAAGAAATAGGCATTGTAATGTGAATTCACAGGTTTTTGTGAAGTCTGTTTATGTACTGTCCCTATGTTTCAGTGTATTTGCATCTGAGAGTGCTTGGATTGCAGTTACAGAATTGAGCGTAGCATACAATTGTACACATTTTTGTTCTTTGCCATCTTGCTCAGTGTTATTAAAATTCTTATCCGCATGTAGTTATCAAGACTGTTAGGTGAAATAGTAATGTGGAACAGCATACCTACAGGATAGCTTATCCATTGATTGTGTGTTAATTGTAAAGTATATATTTACAAAGTAGAGATTTCACTGTTAACACCGAAGTTATCAAACTTGGTGTCAATAACAGGACCACCTGGCCTTATGTTCTCATGGTGTGATGTAATATAACCTATAGTGAATCCCCTAAACTGTTTAACCTCAATCTAATCAGACCATTAGGTTTAAATTTTAGCTTACAGAAAATATACAGGCCGGGCACCATGGCTCACGCCTGGAATCCCAGCACTTTGGGAGATCGAGACAGGCGGAGAGCTTGAGGTCAGGAATCCAAGACCAGCCTGGCCAACATGGCAAAACCCCATATCTGCTAAAAATACAAAAATTAGCCAGATGTGGTGGCACATGTCTGTAGTCCCAGCTACTTGGGAGGCTGAGGCAGGAGAACCACTTGAAACCAGGAGGCAGAGGTTGGAGTGAGCCAAGATTGCGCCACTGCACTCCAGCCTGGGCCACAGAGCGAGACTCCATCTCAAAAAAAAAAAAAAAAAAAAAAGAACGAAAATATACAATACAGTAACTAGAAGAGCAAATCAACCTATGTCACTGGAAAATAATTAAATCAAGGATATGGAACATTCTGTAAGGCAGCTGGCCCACTTAAAGTCATGGGAAATAAGAGTGGTGAATATGGGCCAGGCGTAGTGGCTCACGCCTGTAATCCCAGCACTTTGGGAGGCCGAGGAGGGCGGATCACTTGAGGTCAGGAGTTCGAGACCAGCCTAGCCAACATGGCAAAACCCCGTCTCTACTAAAAATACAAAAATTAGCTGGGCATGGTGGCGGGCGCCTGTAATCCCAGCTATTAGGGAGGCTGAGGCAGGAGAATTGCTTTAACCCTGGAGGTGGAAGTTGCAGTGAGCTGAGATTGCGCCCTTGCATAGAATAGTGAAACTAAGGAAACATCATGTTGTAATCGGTGAACTTTTTTGGATCCTTATTGAATAAAAATGCCTATGAAAGACATTTTGGGGGCAGTGGTGAAATTTGAATTCAGACTTGGTATTAGATGATACAAGGGAATTGTTTATTTTTCCTTGGTGTGTTAATTGTATTGAAGTTACATTAGAGAAAATTCTTTTAAGAGATGCCAAGGCACATGGGGTGAAGTATTCTATTTATAATTTACTTTGAAAAGATTTCAACCAAAATAAAATTACTTTGAGTAGGTAGTGTCTGTTTTGGTCAGTCTGCACAAAAGCAAGTGTGATGGCTCACCCAGGAATTTACTTAAATGTCAAGACAGATGACACAATGCACTCATCAATCAATATGAATTAAGTCGATTCTGTAATTGTAGAACTCACAGCAAACTGGGGATTCCCAGGGAAGGGCTCGTTTGGTGAACAAGAGAGCAAGCAGGAATGGGAGGACTGGTAAGGATGGCAGGGGGATTGAACTTTAATTGTGATTATGGGGTCAGAGATGGAACCATCCTCTTTATTAAACTATCTATAGACAGATGTAGCAAATATGATGAAACGTTAACAGTTGTTAAATCTAGGTGGTGTGTATGTAAGGTGTTCATTATTTTTGTTCTGTGTGTGTGTTTGAAAATTTTCATAATAGAAAATGTTTACAGGTAAAATTAAAGTTTAGAATAATGTGATTATTTCTATTTTAGCAACCAAAGGACACAATGAGATTAGATGAAACGATGCTGGTCAAACAGTTGCTGCCAGAAATCTGCCATTTTCTTCACACCTGTCGTGAAGGAAACCAGCATGCAGCTGAACTTCGGAATTCTGCCTCTGGGGTTTTATTTTCTCTCAGCTGCAACAACTTCAATGCAGTCTTTAGTCGCATTTCTACCAGGTTAGTGTGTAAATCCACATGGGACTACTGAAGTAATATGAATATTAGAAGTTTTGTTTTTTGTCTACATAAAAATAAAAAGTTAATGGAAATGAGGTTTTTTTGTTTTTGAGACAAGTTCTTTTGCCCCTCACAGCAGCTTTGACCTCCCAGGCTTAGGTGATCCTCCTACCTCAGCCTCCAGAGAAATGAGTTTGTCTGGGCTTGCGTAGAAATTTTATGCATTAATATCTTTGACATTTTAATTGCGTAATATTGTGATATTGATATGTGCAATTAAATAAGAGCACTGTTATGAATGTGAAAGTCTAAATTTCAGATAAAAATATCTGCCGTGAGCAGGCTTTAAAAAACAATACTAGGTATGAACTTTTGGTTTGGCTTTTTAAACATATTATCCCTTTAAATGAAACTACCCAATTAGATGGAATAATTAATGAGAGTAGTCAGAATTCAAATACTTTCACAACTCTACCCTTTATCACAAGATTTTAGGTTACCAAAAAACAAAACAAAAACAAAAACAAAAAAACCTAAGTGATGTGAAAACACAAGGAGGTGAATAATTGCAAAGTAGAATTCTCCAGAAAGTGGACTACATTTTAAATGTATGTAAAATACTGCCATTTATTGAGTATTTATAGCATTTCCTTTGCTGTCTCATCCTCACAGTAACCTTGATGATACTTCCCTCATTTTACAGGTGAGCAAACTAATACTCAAAAAAGTTCAGGTGATGTGCCAAATAATGGAGGACCCAAAATTTCTAAGTCAGGCTGGCTTCAGAATTTATATTAGTTTCACTATACCAGATTGCTTCCCTATCTATTTTAGCCACATTTTGATGAAATCTGTTTTATAAAATATACTTCTGTTTTTAAAGATGTATCAAAAATATAATTTAAGCTTTTATTGATGACTCAAAATCATCCTGAGCATTAGTTGTGATATGCTACCTACAGGTGGAGAAATTAGTATAGGTAGTGCTCTATGGGATAGAATTATAAGTGACAGTAGCAAGTAGCTGCAAATTGTTGTTATGCACATGATTTGCCTTTCTAAGGCAAGTAAAGTCAGATGGGTTATTAACTTAATTAGAAACTATAGCACAAATTATTTAGTGATTCGTGAATCGAAGACTAATACCGAATAGAGAAAAACAATCCTCTTTGTTGGTGCCTGCATCTTTGGCTCGTCAGTGTTGTACGAACAGTGGACTTTGATTATTCAGATTTACTGATTCCTTTGTTGTTTTCCAGCAGGTGTGAAAGACAACATACATCACCATTTGAGAATTTGTGTTACGGTTTTTTGGGGGAATTGATTAACTTCAGAGTCCTGCAATCTTTTTAATCAACAATGACATTTCTATAATTAAGATCCTAGGCAGCAATATTTTTCAACCTCAATGCAATTCTTGATCCAAAGAAAATTAAAGTTTTATTTAATGGTATATTATTGATAATCTTGGGTAATATTTACATGATAGAAAAATGTTTTCATGAAATCTTTTGAGCAGTAACGTTTTATATTATGAATAATAATACAGTGGTTGAGTCAGCAAGGTAACAAACACCTAGAGAGTAGGAGGGTGGAAAATTGTATTTAATAAAAAACGCAAACCCTTTTCATTTAGGTGACTGCTAGGCCGGCCTTACTATTTGAAACACCTGTTAAATTAAAGGTAGAAAGTGGTACAAAAAAACCCAAATGTCTTGTAGTCTATCAATGCATGAACTGCCTTATAGAACACAACAAATGTGCCACCTTGGAAAATTCTAGAAAATTTCTAGTCACCAAAGGTTTTACTTTATGGGATTTTGCAGCATTAGCACATGTAAAAATAAGCAACTTTTGTTTATTTCCTGAATCTAGTTCACTGTTGCCAGAATAGAAACCAAGTGTCTAAAATTTTATTAGCTTTCAGAGGACAGACCACTCAGAAATGGCATCTGTGAAATAACATTGTTTCAGACAACTGCATTTTCAGTTCCATTTAGCTTGTGTCAGAAATAGGAGCTGATCTTACTGAAGGATCACTCACCTAAAAGACCATTATGATGGTTTAGTTTAGGTTGGAACATCTTATGCTGTCATCGTCATAGTATTAGGTGACTTAAAATATGTGTGTGGCTTGAATGGTAGTTCTTTCTAAAGATTGATCTTATGTTTTATATATAATAGATGAATCAGTATCATGAAGATGTTTCGTGTTTGTCCATTCTCCCCGTCAATGTTTCTCCTTTAAGATTAAGATTTGGTTTTTATATTTCTGACCTTTACTTTTCTTTAGGGGAAGATAGGCTATAGATTTATTTATTTTATGTTTTTGAGACACAGTCTCTCTCTGTCACCTAGTCTGGAGTGCAGTGATGTGAACATGTCTCACTGCAGCCTCGACCTCCTGGGCTCAAGAGATCCTCCCACCTCAGCCTCTTGAGTAGCTGGGACTACAGGCACGTGCCACCATGCCCGGCTAGTTTCTTTAATTTTTTTGTAGAGACGGGGTCTTGCCATGTTGCCCAGGCTTGTCTTGAACCCCTGGGCTCAAGGGATCCTCCTGCCTTGGCCTCCCAAAGTGTTGGGATTACAGGATGTGAGCTACCATGCCTGGCTGGCTATAAATCTTAAGATAGCTTTATTTTTCTCTGGGAGTATACCATTTTCTGTGGCTTATAGTATTTATGTAGCGGAGTAACTGCTTTCTCCACAGAATTACTCCACAAATGCAGTTGATCTAGTTGTTTTGTAGTGAGAAGGTGCTTCAGAATATCTCATTTGATATACCACCAGAAGCAGAAAACTCAATGACTTTAAAAGTCATTTGGTTCTTTACAGTTTACTATTTGGTTCCATACAAATCTGTTCGTTATGGTTTCTTACTCTTTTTTTAAAAATAGTTTTCAGTTTTTTTATATGTCTCTGATCATTTAAAACGTATTTTACGTTCTCTTTAGTATTGTTTAATATTGATTTGTTTGTGCTGATTCATTCATAGTGAATTGTTTCATCTCAGTTTTGGAATCCTTGATTGCAAAGTTATCTTTAGTGTGGCCTGTATTTTCTTTGAGAATCCTTGTAGCCTTGGGCTGAGGGAGTGTTCTAGTGATGGTTTTGCATTTGCATTTGCCAGGTGCCCAGTTCTGGAGCTATTTTTTTCTTAATTTCTCAGTCCCAGCCTGTATGGGCAGTATAAATTTGAACCCTAAACTCTTAGAAGGTAAACAGCTCTAGGTGACTTTTTTCACTTTATCCAAAGTTTAGGCAGAGCAGTTAAGCTTCTTTGTGCTGGTAGGTTTTTTTCTTTTTTTCTTTTTGTGGGGAGTGGGGGCGGCAGGGGGAGTGCATTGTTCTTTCTAGTTCATGTTTTATGCAGGGCCCAAGTTAGAATCCTGAATTATTAGGGTACAAGGCGTTTATATCCAGTCTCCATGTGGATGTTAAGCCCCAAGCTCCTAGGTTAAGGAGATCAAAAACCTCACTCATCTTTCCTTTGTTGCAGGGCTGGGTCATGTACTTGTGCACTTAACTCTCTGGTTTTCAGTTTTCTTCTTCTTTTCTGGACCTATACATTTAAAATATCTTTCAGTATGCCTAGACTTTCTAGCTGTTTTAGTGATAGGTTTTCTACTGTTCATTTCTTTTGCTCAGACTACGCTTTATTTGATTTCTCTGCTTCGGAAATGATGTTTAACCTTCACAAAATACCTGCTCTCTATAAGGGTACCAGACTATAAAAGGGACAAAATTTTTCTCCCATTTTTCACAAACAACCACAAGAGTCAACTTTTCAGAAGTTGGTATTGCTGATCTATGATGTTGTGTTTTCTGAGGAGCCGTACTCCATATTTCTACGCTCTTTGCAGCAGCTGTGGAATTTTTAGCATTGAGGACAACCTCATTCCCAGCTTGAAATGCTGAGCTTTTCTTACCCTGATGATAGGAAGAGAGTTCATGTAAGTGCTTAGAATAGTTGTACTGTTAGCTGTAGTCTAATTAAAGCTAAAGTGAGTGAAACGAGAATTTGAGAAGGAAGAATAGGATTGATTACATTCTTATCAACTGAAGGTTTAGTGTGATGATTAATAACTCCTTTGCAAATTGCACTAAATGATTGAAATTCAAGTTAATACATATAAATTATAAGACCATATAGTATTTGTGCCTTTTCACCATATCTCTATTGCTGCATTTATAAAAGTTTACAATTTAATTGTGCTGCTTATATTTTTTATGTCTATTAATATGAATAATGAGTATGCCTCATTAGGTAGCATGATTTAATAGATTAGCAATACCAACTTTTGAAAATCTGAGTGCTGTGGTTGTTGGTGTAAAATGGAAGAAAAGTTTAATGCCTTTTATTAACATTTAGGCTAAGTGAATTTCTTTTATCAGTTTAAAAATATCTACATATTTGTTAAGTGTTAAATGTTTCTACGTTTGTGATAACTTCATATTCAACATAGGAGAAGCTGGGGTTTAAACAGATATTCCTGTCCTTATAAGCTTATGTTCTGTGAAGTAGGGATATTAAGCAAATAATTACATAAATACATGTACAAACTGTGAAAAGTGCAATGAAAAAAGGCTTACTCGGTTTTCAAATACAAAGTAAATGTACCCTGTGAATATAAAGTTTCATTCGTGTTTCAAAAATCTAGTTGATAAAAGTAGAAGTTAGTAAAATCAAGTTTACTTATTATAGTTTTAGTCTTAATTCAAATTATACTTTTACTTGTAATTGGAAATATGAATTTTTAAAACTATTCATTGTGGAAAAATGGAAAAATACACATAGAATAGTACTTCAAATCCCCATGCATCTCTTACTCTGCTTTAACTGTTTCTGGCATGCTATGGTTTCTCTTCTTCCCTTTTCAGTAATTTAAAGCAAACCCCAGACATCATTTCACCTGTAAATATTTCAGTATATATCTCTAATAAATAGATTTTTAAGCATTTAACTATAATATTGTCATACCTATCAAGAATCATAATTCCTTAATATCATGCATTGCCAAATTTGTGGGTTTTTTCATTATCTCAGAAATGGCTTTTTTGTTTTGTTCAAATTAAGATACAAATAGGATGCGTACTTTGGAATTGGTTGATATTTCTCCTGAGCCTCTGTTAATCAGTATCATTTCTTCATTTCTTCACCTTGCTCTCCATTTTTTCCCATGCTGTTTATTTGTTGGACTGCGTTATTTGCCTTTCTACATTCTGTATTTGGGTTTCATTGGATTCACGTTCATTTGGCTGGGGGGGGACAAGAATACTTTACTGATGATGCTATGTGGTTCCTAATGAATCACATCAGGAAACATGTCCTATTATTGACTTTTAATGTTATGATCAGTGATTGGATTTCGATGTTATCAGCATTATGTATTCATTATACAGTTTCCCATAAATTTTTCCTAATGTTTTTAGTAATCACTGATGATCACTGCCTGGATTCCACTTCATTGGGGGCTGCAAAATGAAACGTTTTCTATTCTGTCATTCATTCTTTATTTTAAAATTGTGACTTCTATGAAAGATTTTTGCTTCATTGTGTGTTTAGTTATCTTGCAATACAGTCCATGTAGGGAATGCAGGATACAGACTTGACTTCCATTATTCGTTATCAGAATGAGTTGGTACCCTAACAGTTGCGAAAGGTTACCCATGAAGTTTTTTCTTTCAATATTATAACAGGCTTGTGTGTTTTAATTTATTGTATGTGTTTCCATTGTAGACATAATTCTTTTGATCCTCAGATTATCCCATTTTTGACAGTTGAGATGCCTAAAGTGCATACCTGTGTGATATTTGACATGGTTCTGATAGTTGTTGATAGTTTCCTGTTTTCAAGCCCAAGGTGACCTGCCCTCACCTTGTATATCTCTTGCCCCCATCCTGGAATTAACTAATTTTCCCAAAGAACCCTGGCCGAAAGTCGGCAATATTTAGACACCTCAATCTTAAGGATAAGGATGCTACGATGCTACGTTTACTGAATTATCATGGTTTCTTTTATCATATCCCTTGTTTGTTATGTTCCTTTAGGTTTTTATAAGAAATATTTATTGCCTTATTTTTATATATGTCTTTACTCTTATGAACTCATCTTTGGGGGAAGAATCTGTTGAATTCAGAATTTAGGGATACCCGAAGACTTTTTTTGTTTTTGTTTTTTTTAAGAGATAGGGCCCACTCTGTTACTCAGGCTGAAGTACAGTGGTGTGATCACAGCTCATTGCAGCTTCAAACTTCTAGGCTCAAGAGATCCTCCTCCCTTAGCCTCCTGAGTAGCTGGGCCTATAGGTGTGTGCCATCATGCCCAGCTAATTTTTGTATTTTTTTTAGAGATGATGTCTTGCTATGTTGCCCAGGCTGGTCTTGAACTCCTGGCCTCAAGTGGTCCTCCTGCCTTGGCCTCCTGAAGTGCTGGGATTACAGGTGTGAGATACCACACCTGTCCCCTAATACTTAATTTGATAAGTTAATTTTGGTTTTTACTTTTTAGGTTACAGGAATTAACTGTTTGTTCAGAAGACAATGTTGATGTTCATGATATAGAATTGTTACAGTATATCAATGTGGATTGTGCAAAATTAAAACGACTCCTGAAGGGTAAGTTTAAATGTATAATATATCTGAAAAAAATCACTGGGTCAAAAACTAGTATCATGAATGTACTAATTATATTAATTGTGCTGAACTAGAACACCAAACTGGATTTTATAATGACATTTCCTTGTGAAATAACCAGTAATACAAATGGGTAATTATTTTTCAATCTTTGAAAATAATGCAGTAGAGAAAATGAGCATTTTAAATCTTGGCAATGGAAAGTTTTGCTTAACTACAATTTTTGTTTTCAATACAGAGAATGCAAGGGTGCTATTATTTCATTTTTCTGGAATTTGATCTCTCAAGGGTGGCTATAGGTTATAGAAGCTATCTGTTTAGCTATTGTAGCACTTTACAAAGATTGTCTGTAGTAGGATATCAAAGTTTTATTGCAGAATGGAACGAGGAGATTGTGATGTTATGGTGAGAGGATGAATTGAGCCAGAGATTTCATTTCTGACATTTCTGTTTTCAGCTCTCTACTGACTGACTTTATAGCATTACAAAGTCCCTTAACCTTCCATTGCCGGTTTTGTCTCCTTGTAGAACATGTCAGTAGTAGTTCCACATGGGGATATTATAACACCTAATATGTGACTTTAAAGCTTGGGAAGTACTTTACATGATTATGTGGATTGAAATAAACGATCAGAAGGAATTGAGATATGTTCTGTAGTAAGCAGTGATGTGTTAATGTAAATCAGATACCAATGAGTATTCATAAACTGAGTATGATCTGAAGGAATTGAGATAAATTCTGTGGTAAGCAGTGATGTATTCATGTAAATCAGATATCAATGAATATTCATAAACTGAGTATGAATATCTAAATTTCATTTTACAAAAAAATGTTTTTTAGTTTTTGGCATTATTAGACCCTGGCTAATTTAGATATGAAACCGTATACAGTTCACACATATTTTTATTTGTAACTTAAGGAATTGTCAAACAATAATATTTTTAATATCTGACCTAAAACAGATTGAATTATATTAGCTTCAGAAACATCAGTTCTGCAATGTAGTTTTCAAAATACGTGTTTTTGTTTTCTTAATATTTCCTTTAAACTCAATAACTATCTCACCAGAGATGTAAAAAGGCAATACCTATATAAAGGAATAATATAAAGCTGTGTTCTATTCATATTACCCTTGTTCATAATTTATGATTTTAGGTCATTACCATTGTGAAACCAAGCAACAATTAATTCAGTAACTTTAATAAAGGAAAATATAGGGGTGATTTTAGCTGTTATGCCAAGATACAAACATGTGGACAGCAATTATTTTAGATTATAATAAACCACCATTGAATTAATAGTTGAGATTTGCAAGATTTTGATATCTATTATTAAGCGTTGAGCAGTTGAGAAACTGAATGGTAAAATTTAGAGATCTCTATGAATTAAAGTTAAGAAGTATTAGTGGGATTTTATGATTTTTCATAACTATTCAGTGATGTTTTGGAAACAAGTCTAGTCCAGGTTGCCTGTGAATAGCTGTTTAAAACAATAGAAATGTTCAATCCGTAATAATTAACTGAAATGTCTCTTCTGTCCAAATAAGAGAAACTAATTGAATGTGTGGATAAATGACTTTCTTTTATACTGAAGTAACTTTCCCATCGAATGCGGCTCCCTCATGAACATAAATTTAGAGTATATGCTGATAAATATATAAAGTATAAAACCGATATTAAATAGGCCAGCAAAATATGGCTCTTGGTGACAGTGGTAAAAGGAATGCACCCTTTCAGTAATGAGTAGTAAAGGTAGTAATGTGTTTTAAATACAACTCAACAAGCCTTTGTTGAGAAACTATGTATAAGAAGCCATGCTAAGTGCTGGGATTACAAAAATTAATAAAATATGGAATCTGTCCCTAAGGAGCTCATGGCATGGTTTATGAGACAAGTGATGTCATTATCAAGTTATTTGCAGAAAAAAACTATGATAAACTCAAATAGGGTGAGTGTAAAGTGAGAGAGGAAGTATATATTTGTTTGAGGGGATGAGAGATGAGCAAGATGTGAAGGTACAAGAATAGGTCAGATCATTTTAATAAAAATATGGCCAGGCCTGGTGGCTCACACATGTAATCCCCACACTTTGGGGAAGCCGAGGCAGGAGGATTGCTTGAGCCAGGGCAACATAGAGAGACCCCCATATATACAAAAAAAAATTAGCTGGGTGTGCTGACACGCACCTGTAGTCCCAGCTACTTGGGAGGCTGAGGTGGGAGGATCACTTGAGCCCAGGAAGAGGTTGAGGTTGCAGTAAGCTGTGATTGTGCCACTGCATTCCAGCCTGGGTAACAGAGTGAGATCCTGTCTCTGTCTGTCTCTCTGTCTCTCTGTCTCTCTCTCTCTCTCTCTCTTTCTCTCTTTCTCTCGATATACCTATCTGTATATAGATATATCAATCGATATGTGTATATCCAGATCTGTCTATAGATATATCTGTATCTTGATAGATATATCGAGAGAGAGAGAGAAACATTTGTTATATTTTCAGTCTGCACCGGGCCTTGCGCTATGCAGTTTGCATGCCTTTTCTCATCAATTCTTACAATAACCCTGTGACGCAATACTAGTATTAATATTATCATCTCTTGTGTAGATGAGGAAACTGAGGCCTCAGTAAATTTTCAAAGTCACAGAGCTAGTAATTGTTCAGTAAAGATTGAGTTCACATCTGCTCGTCTCTAGAACCTAGATACTTGACTGCTGCACTGTTGTGCTTATGAGTTACGAAGCTTTATTTTAGTGGCCCTGGGAAGTGATAGAAAGGCTTTGAGGTAGAGAATACCTTAATCAGTATTTTATTTTAGATATACCCCTTTGCTTGAAATTTGCAGGATGGCTTGGTAGAGGGTTACCTGAACTTCTGGGACTTGGTTATGCAGTAATATAAGTGAAAAATAATGAGAGTTGTGGAGATCCAGATGATGGATTGGGGTAGGGTAAGGATGGGGACCAGTTTGATAGGTATTTAAAGAAGTGGAGGCTGGGCGCAGTGGCTCACACCTGTAATCCCAGCACTTTGTTAGGCTAAGGTGGGCGGATCACTGAGGTTAGGAGTTCGAGACCAGCCTGGCCAACATGGGGAAACTCCGTCTCCATTAAAAATACAAAAAATGGGCTGGGCGCGGTGGCTCACGCCTGTAATCCCAGCACTTTGGGAGGCTGAGGCAGGTGGATCACGAGGTCAGGAGACCATCCTGGCTAACACGGTGAAACACTGTCTCTACTAGAAATACAAAAAATTAGCCAGTCGTAGTGGTGGGCGCCTGTAGTCCCAGCTTCTTGGGAGGCTGAGGCAGGAGAATGGCATGAACCCGGGAGGCAGAGCTTGCAGTGAGCCGAGATTGTGCCACTGCACTCCAGCCTGGGCAACAGAGTGATACTCCGTCTCTAAATAAATAAATAAAATAAAATAAAAATACAAAAAATTAGCCGGGTGTGGTGGCACGTGCCCATAATCCCAGCTACTCGGGTGGCCGAGGCACAGCAGAATCGCTTGAGCCTGGGAGATGGAGGTTGTAGTGAGCCGAGATCACGCCATTGCACTCCAGCTTGGACAACAAGACCGAAACTCCATCTAAAAAAAAAAAAAAAGAAATGGAATACATAGCATTTGATAGTCAATTTAGATATATGAGGTTAGAGAGATATCACCAAATATTACAGAATAAGCTGGTTAGAGCAGAAAAGGGAAGGAAAGGTTGATGGCAGAAGAGAGGGTTTGACCAGGAAAATGATAAATTCAGTTTTAGATCTTCTGAGTTTGAGGTATCAGTAGGATGTCCAACAAGAAACTTGTAGAACTGAAAGATACTTTGGCTTTGAGAGTAGATTATGGTATATAACACATTTAAGATGTCATAAAGGTAAAGTTGTTGCTAAAGAGCACTGTGAAGAGTAATGTCATTATTTGGAAATCAGTGGAGGGTGAGAGCAAAGAGAATTCAAAGGGGTACTTTTAAAAACTGATTTGGAGAGTTACTTATTTGCAAGTCCAGAAAAAAGACTCATCTCTCTCTTAGACACTTACATAGATGTAATAAAAACCTTTATCCCTTCATTAAAAGTCAACAGGAGAAGTTCTTTGCCGAGGGACCATTGCCAGTAAAATCGCTTATAGACAGGTCATTTTTTCCAAACATAAATCTTTTTCTAGATGTGGACAATAAACTTAAAGAAGAAGAAATTAAAATACCCAATATATTTATATGGAGAAATGTTTACTGTTACTTGCGTTAAAATGCAGTCTACTATTTTGAACACTCCAATTAGCAAAATAAAGAAAATGAACATACTTTTATGATGACAAAGATAGGATGAAGGCACTTTCGTATGCTGCTTGGTGATAGCAGCATTTGGCCCAACCCTAGTGAAAGGCAGCTTGGTAATCTTTATCAAGGGCCCTAAAAATATTCATCTCTTTGACTGGACACTTCTAGAGATTCCTTATCTTAAATAAGCAGTGATGTGGGAAAAGATGTTGATATGAAAATATTTGTTAATGTTATTTATAATAGTGAAATAACAGAAATAACCTCAGTGTTAAAACTGGAAAACATTAAATAACCAGTCACTTAATACAGTGACTTAAATATTATGAGGGGCATCAAAGCATACTGAAAAGACCTTGGTTTTAAAGCCCAATTCAATCATTTATTAGATCTGTAACCTTAGACACACAGTTTGTTCATCTGTAATACTCTGAAAACATTAAGATTCAAAAAGAATTAAGTGTATCATACTAAAAATACATGATATGTTTTAATAGTTTGTGTAATAGTTACTATTGCATATAGAGCCATCAAAAATAGGCCAGGCACAGTGGCTCACACCTGTAATCCCAGCACTTTGGGAGGCCTACGTGGGCGGATCATGAGGTCAGGAGTTCGAGACCAGCCTGACGAACATGGTGAAACCCCATCTCTACTAAAAATACAAAAATTAGCTGGGTGTAGTGGCGCACGCCTGTAATCCCAGCTACTGGGGAGGCTGAAGCAGGAGAATCGCTTGAACCTGGGAGACGGAGGTTGCGTGAGCCAAAATTGTGCCATTGCACTCCAGCCTGAGCGACAGAGCAAGACTCCATCTCAAAAAAAAAAAAAAAAAAAAAAAAAGAGTTTTTACTGATACAGAAATAATTAGGGATACTATGGAAAAGAACAGGTTTGATACAGCTTATATGATCTCAGTTATGTTAAATATATTTGTTTTCTACATGCATAGGAAAAGTGGTAGAAGTAAAACCACCAGATGTTAACTGTGATTGTCTCTGAATGATAGAATCATTGATGGTTTTAAAAATTTCCCATAAACACCTGTGCTTTTGCTTTTTTTTTTTTTTTTTTTTTTTGGACAGAGTCTTGCTCTGTCGCTCAGGCTGGCATGCAGTGACATGATTATAGTACACTGTAGCCTTGAAATCCTGGGCTCAAGCTATCTTCCCACTCCTGCTTTCGAAAGTGCTGAGATTATAGGCGTGAGCCATCGGGCCTGGCCCTGTATATGTTTTCCAAATTTTTTAATTATACTTTAAGTTCTGGGGTACATGTGTAGAACATGCAGGTTTGTTACATAGGTGTCCATGTGCCATGGTGGTTTGCTGCACCCATCAACGCATCATCTACCTTAGGTATTTTTCCTAATGCTATCCCTTACCTCAGCCCCCACCCCCCGACAGGCACCGATGCGTGATGGTCCTCTCCCTGTGTACATGTGTTCTTATGGTTCATCTCCCACTTATGAGTGAGAACATGTGGTGTTTGGTTTTCTGTTCTTGTGTTTGCTGAAAATGATGGTTTCCAGCTTCATCCATGTCCCTGCAAAGGACGGGAACTTATCCTTTTCTATGTCAGCATAGTATTCTGTGGTGTATATGTGCCACATTTTCTTTATCCAGTCTATCATTGATGGGCATTTGGATTGGTTCCAAGTCTTTGCTGTTGTGAACAGTGCTGCAGTAAACATACGTGTGCATGTGTCTTTATAGCAGAATGATTTGTAATCCTTTGGGTATATACCCAGTAATGGGATGGCTGGGTCAAATGGTATTTCTAGTTCTAGATCCTTGAGGAATCGCCACACTGTCTTCCACAATGGTTGAACTAATTTACACTCCCACCAACAGTGTAAAAGTGTTCCTATTTCTCCACATTCTCTCCAGCATCTTTTCTTTCCTGACTTTTTAATGATCGCCATTCTTACTGGCGTGAGATGGTATCTCATTGTGGTTTTGATTTGCATTTCTGTAATGACCAGTGATAATGAGCTTTTCTTTATATGTTTGTTGTCTTCTTTTGAGAAGTGTCTGTTCATATCCTTCATCTACTTTTTAATGGGGTTGTTTGTGTTTTTCTTGTAAATTTAAGTTCTTTGTAGGTTCTGGTTATTAGCCCTTTGTCAGATGGGTAGATTGCAAAAATTTTCTCCCATTCTGTAGGTTGCCTGTTCACTCCGATGGTAGTTTCTTTTGCTATGCAGAAGCTCTTTAGTTTAATTAGATCCCATTTGTCAATTTTGGCATTTGTTGTCATTGCTTTTGGTGTTTCAGTCATGAAGTCTTTCCCCATGCCTATGTCCTGAATGGTATTGCCTAGGTTTCTTTCTAGGGTTTTTATGGTTTTAGGTCTTATGTTTAAGTCTTTAATCTATCTTGAGTTAATTATTGTATAAGGTGTAAGGAAAGGGTCCAGTTTCAGTTTTCTGCATATGGCTAGCCAGTTTTGCCAGTACCATTTATTAAATAGGGAATCCTTTCCCCATTGCTTGTTTTTGTCAGGTTTGTCAAAGATCAGATGGTTGTAGATGTGTGGTGTTATTTCTGAGGCCTCTGTTCTGTTCCATTGGTCTATGTATCTGTTTTGGTACCAGTACCATGCTGTTTTGGTTACTGTAGCCTTGTATAGTTTGAAGTCAGGTAGTGTGATTCCTCCAGCTTTGTTCTTTTTGCTTAGGATTGTCGTGGTTATGCGGGCTCTTTTCTGGTTTCATATGAAATTTAAAGTAGTTTTTTCTAATTCTGTGAAGAAAGTCAGTGGTAGTTTGATGGGGATAGCATTGAATCTATAAATTGCTTTGGGCAGTACGGCCATTTTCACGATATTGATTCTTCCTATCGATGAGCATGGAATGTTTTTCCGTTTGTTTGTGTCCTCTCTGGCTGGCATCTGGCAGGTGCCCCTCTGGGACAAAGCTTCCAGAGGTAGGAACACGCAGCAATCTTTGTTGTTCCGCAGCCTCTGCTGGTGATACTCTGGCAAACAGGGTCTGGAGTGGACCTCCAGCAAACTCCAGCAGACCTGCAGCAGAGGGTTCTGCCTGTTAGAAGGAAAACTAAGAAAGGAATAGTATCATCATCAACATCAAAGACCAAAGGTAGATAAATCCACAAAAATGGGAAGAAACCAGTGCAAAAAGGCTGAAAAAAAAACGAGCACGCCTCTTCTCCTCCAAAGGATCACAACTCCTTACCAGCAAAGGAACGAAACTGGACAAAGAATGAGTTTGACAAATTGACAGAAGTAGGCTTCAGAAGATGGGTAATAACAAACTCCTCCAAGCTAAAAGAGCATGTTCTAACCCAATGCAAGGAAGCTAAGAACCTGGAAAAAAGGTTAGACGAATTGCTGACTAGAATAACCATCTTAGAGAAGAACATAAATGACCTGATGGAGCTGAAAAATACAGCATGAGAACTTCGTGAAGCATACACAAGTATCAATAGCCAAATCAATCAAGCAGAAGAAAGGATATCAGAGATTGAAGATCAACTCAATGAAATAAAGCGAGAAGACAAGATTAGAGAAAAAAGAGTGAAAAGAAATGAACAAAGCCTCCAAGAAATATGGGACTATGTGAAAAGACCAAATCTACATTTGGTTAGTGTACCTGAAAGTGATGGGGAGGATGGAAAAAGTTGGAAAACACTCTTCAGGATATTAGCAGGAGAACTTCCCCAACCTAGCAAGGCAGGCCAACATTCAAATTCAGGAAATACAGAGAACACTACAAAGATAATCCTCGAGAAGAGCAACCCCAAGACATATAATCGTCAGATTCACCAAGGTTGAAATGAAGGAAAAAATATTAAGGGCAGCCAGAGAGAAAGGTCGGGTTACCCACAAAGGGAAGCCCATCAGACTGACAGCAGATCTCTAGGCAGAAACCCTACAAGCCAGAATAGAGTGGGGGCCAATATTCAACATTCTTAAAGAAAAGAATTTTCATCACAGAATTTCATATCCAGGCAAACTAAGCTTCATAAGCGAAGGAGAAATAAAATACTTTACAGACAAGCAAATGCTGAGAGATTTTGTCACCACCAGGCCTGCCTTACAAGAGCTCCTGAAGGAAGCACTAAGCATGGAAAGGAACAACTGGTACCAACCACTGCAAAAACATAACAAATTGTAAAGACCATCTATGCTGTGAAGAAACTGCATCAACTAATGGGCTAAATAACCAGCTAGCATCATAATAACAAATTCACACATAACACTATTAACCTTAAATGTAAACGGGCTAAATGCCCCAATTAAAAGACACAGACTGGCAAATTGGATAAAGAGTCAAGACCCATCACTGTGCTGTATTCAGGAGACCCATCTCACATGCAAAGTTACACATAGGCTCAAAATAAAGGGTTGGAGGAAGATTTACCAAGCAAATGGAAAGCAAAAAAAAGTAGGGTTGCAATCCTAGTCTCTGATAAAACAGACTTTAAACCAACAAAAAAGATCAAAAGAGTCAAAGAAGGGTATTACATAATGGTAAAGAGATCAGTGCAACAACAAGAGCTAACTACCCTAAATATATATGCACCCAATACAGGAACACCCAGATTCATAAAGCAAGTCCTTAGAGACCTACAAAGAGACTTAGACTCCCACACAATAATAATGGGAGACTTTAACACCCCACTGTCAACATTAGACAGATCAACGAGACAGAAAGTTAACAAGGATATCCAGGAGTTGAACTCAGCCCTGCACCAAGTGGACCTAATAGACATCTGCAGAACTCTCCACCCCAAATCAACAGAATGTATATTCTTCTCAGCACCACATTGCACTTATTCCAAAATTGACCACATAATTGGAATACAACACTCCTCAGCAAATGCCAAAGAATGGAAATCATAACAAAGACTCTCAGACCACAGTGCAATCAAACTAGAACTCAGGATTAAGGAACTCACTCTAAACCACACAACTACATGGAAACTGAACAACCTGCTCCTGAATGACTACTGGGAAGATAACAAAATGAAGGCAGAAATAAAGATGTTCTTTGAAACCAATGAGAAAAATACACAACGTACCAAAACCTCTGGGATACATTTATAGCAGTGTGTAGAGGGAAATTTATAGCACTAAATGCCCACAAGATAAAGCAGGAAAGATCTAAAATTGACACCCTAACATCACAATTAAAAGAACTAGAGAAGCAAGAGCAAACAAATTCAAAAGCTAGCAGAGGACAAGAAATAACTAAGATCAGAGCAGAACTGAAGGAGATAGAGACACGAAAAACCTTTCAAAAAATCAATGAGTCTCCTGACCTCGTGATCCGCCGCCTTGGCCTCAGTGAAACCCCATCTCTACTAAAAATACAAAAAAATTAGCCGGGCATGGTGGCAGGCACCTGTAGTCCCAGCTACTCGGGAGCCTGAGGCAGGAGAATGGCGTGCACCCGGGAGGCAGAGCTTGCAGTGAGCCAGGATCGTGCAACTGCACTCCAACCTGGGCGACAGAGCAAGACTCTGTTTAAAAAAAAAAAAAAATCAATGAATCCAGGAGCTGGTTTTTTGAAAAGATCAACAAAATAAATAGACCACTAGCCAGACTCATAAAGAAGAAAGAGAGGAGAATCAAATAGACGCAATAAAAAATGATAAAAGGGATATCACCACCGATCCCACAGAAATACAAACTACCATCAGAGAATACTATAAACACCTCTGTGCAAATAAACTAGAAAATCTAGCAGTAATGGATAAATTCCTGGACACATACACCCTCCCAAGACTAAACCAGGAAGAAGTCGAATCCCTGAATAGACCAATAACAAGTTCTGAAATTGAGGCAATAATTAATAGCCTACCAACCAAAAAAAGTCCAGGACCAGATGGATTCACAGCCAGATTCAGCTAGAGGAGGAGCTGGTACCATTCCTTCTGAAACTATTTCAAACAATAGAAAAAGAGTGAATCCTCCCTAACTCATTTTATGAGGCCAGCATCATGGTCATACCAAAACCTGGCAGAGACACAACAACAAGAGAAAATTTTAGGCTGATATCCCTGATGAACATCGATGCAAAAATCCTCAATAAAATAATGGCAAACTGAATCCAACAAGCACATCAAAAAGCTTGTCCACCATGATCAAGTTGGCTTCATCCCTGGGATGCAAGGCTGGTTTCAACATATGCAAATCAATGAAAGTAATCCATCACGTAAACAGAACCAATGACAAAAACCACATGATTATCTCAATAGATACAGAAAAGGCCTTTGATGAAATTCAACAGCCCTTCATGCCAAAGACTCTGAATAAACTAGGGATTGATCAAACATATCTCAAAATAATAAGAGCTATTTATGACAAACCCACAGCCAATATCATACTGAATGGGCAAAAACTGGAAGGATTCCCTTTGAAAACTGGCACAAGACAAGGATGCCCTCTCTCACCACTCCTATTCAAACTAATATTGGAAGTTCTGGCCAGGGCAATCAGGCAAGAGAAAGAAATAAAGGGTATTCGGTTAGGAAAAGAGAAAGTCAAATTGCCTCTGTTTGCAGATGACATGGTTGTATGTTTAGAAAACCCCATCGTCTCAGCCCAAAATCTCCTTAAGCTGATAAGCAACTTCAGCAAAGTCTCAGGATACAAAATCAATGTGCAAAAATCACAAGCATTCCTATACACCAATAACAGACAAACAGAGAGCCAAATCATGAGTGAACTCCCATTCACAACTGCTACAAAGAGAATAAAATACCTAGGAATCCAACTTACAAGGGATGTGAAGGACCTCTTCAAGGAGAACTACAAACCACTGCTCTAGGAAATAAGAGAGGACACAAATGGAAAACAATTCCATGCTCATGGATAGGAGGAACCAATATCCTGTATGTGTTTTATACTTTTTTTTGAAAAAGCAAGTTATTAAAAGAAAAAGCTCACAATCATTGATGTCCAAGGCATATTTGCTGTTTATGGAATTTTTCTTTCCTAGCAGACAACTATCGAGTTTTGGGTTTATGTTAGGTGTCTTTACCTTTCATTGCTTACAGATAATATTGGAGCAAAAGTAATACGTAAATGGAAAGTTATTTTGCTCTGAGTTGTATTTGTGTTAACTTATTCTAGAGTTAATTTTTAAAAATTGTGTTTTTTCCAGAAACAGCATTTAAATTTAAAGCCCTAAAGAAGGTTGCGCAGTTAGCAGTTATAAATAGCCTGGAAAAGGTAAGTTACAACCTCTCTGGTATTAAAATTTTGTTTTTGATGTAAAATTTGCTGTTGTTAGCATCCTGAATCAAAAAGTTATGACTTGAGTGATAGTTTCACATTCATTTTCAGGAAGAATACATTGTAATATTATTATGAAGGAAGTTAGAAGTTTGTGACATTTTATTTACTGTATTACAAAAAATCACTGTAAAGACATGTGGTTCTTTATTTATAGGCATTTTGGAACTGGGTAGAAAATTATCCAGATGAATTTACAAAACTGTACCAGATCCCACAGACTGATATGGCTGGTAAGGATACGATTGATTTTTTTTTTTTTTTTGTCTTTTAAATGCCTACTTGTGACATAAAAACCTATCATCGTTTTCCAAGTTATTTTTGTTATAAAGGTGCTTTTACATCTTCTATTGTCAACTGGTGTCAAATAGGAAATACTGTTTTTCTCTTACATTTCTAAATTAGGCCCAACCCTCTTCCTTTCCTTGGAGCAAACAAAGTAGTTTGAAATGAAGGTCAGATCTTTAGAGCTGTGATAGGATGGGGTGTTTGGCTCTTTGTTGTAGAGAAGCATGTGCTCTGAAGCTTTATTTTGTATTTAGGGAGATGTGTATAAAGTAGTAATATTCTCACCTATAATGTAAGACACAACTGCAAGGCAGAGAATACAGACTCCTGGAGAACTTTGGTAATTCTTTTTGGGAAGCTGTTCAGTCTTTGTTGCTTGGGTACATCACACTTTGCATAAGGCCCTTCACAGTGAGACT
Organism: Homo sapiens; assembly: GCF_000001405.40. Classification (NCBI taxonomy): domain Eukaryota; kingdom Metazoa; phylum Chordata; class Mammalia; order Primates; family Hominidae; genus Homo; species Homo sapiens. Next base: position 31,182,260 of record NC_000017.11, read on the forward strand.
GAATACATGATCATCCATTCTAAAATGTGAGCTTTTCCAGGATAGATCAAGATAGCTCTTCTAACACATAGACAGTATTACATTGCTTGTCTACTTACCAGAATGCATTTGTGTAGTTGCTTAAATGAAGTTCCATGTTTATCTTTTAAAAATGTTGCCCTTGGGTTTTTACATAGTGTCAGCTTTTACTTTAATGCCAGGGATTTTGTTCCTATCTAATAATGTCATTTAATATATTTTTCATGCAGAATGTGCAGAAAAGCTATTTGACTTGGTGGATGGTTTTGCTGAAAGCACCAAACGTAAAGCAGCAGTTTGGCCACTACAAATCATTCTCCTTATCTTGTGTCCAGAAATAATCCAGGATATATCCAAAGACGTGGTTGATGAAAACAACATGAATAAGGTAAGGAGGGCAAAATTATTTCCATTATATCTAGATGTGAAGCAGTTTATTTTACTCAAGGTGTGTATTACTTTAGGCTTATTATTTAAGCAAAGTATTTCAGGGAACCATTTAAATGATCATTTTAGGTTTCTTTGTTTGATGGACTTAGAAGAGACATACTCATACATAATTTTATTTGGCAGAGGGAAAATAATACCAGGCAATGAACAAAGATTTAAAATAATCCCTTAGTTTCATTCTTTTGTCTGAGAAGACTAAACGATACCTCTGTTATTATTAAACGTAGTTTCTCTAATATTCACTACAAGGATTGCCCTACTTGAGTTCATCACTTTTATAGTGTGTTATTTGCATGTACTTAGGGTATGTGTCCATATAGTGCTACTGAAATTATCTAGTAACTCATTTTAAGTATTTTAGAACAGTTTTCAAAGAATTTTGCCAGGAAGGTAAGGCTCTCGCATATACCATCTATAGTGAAATTGGCACCATGACAACTGGTAATTCTAGGAGGCTCTTAAAATTTTTTTAAATATCACCTAGGTGATTGAAAAAAAAAAGAACTGAGTATTAATCCTAGGGTTTTACTGAAATTTCAATATGCAGTTTGTTTTGCAAATATTTTTTTTTTCATTTTTTGCTGCTTTTGGAGAAATACTCTTAGCTGGCTGAACATGAGATGGTTTCCTTCATGGTTTGCCTGTAGATGGAGATGTTCAGAATCAGCTGAATGATTTATTACTTTGTAGAAGTATTGGACCGGGAATTTATACATTAAAGGGTAAATAAATGAACCAGGTAATCCTTGAGAGTCTGTGATTGCGTGTTACTCCACTTAGGTGTATATCTCAACTTTTCCATTATGAGGACACCATTTTTCATGGTAGATTGTTTTGGAGCCCTTCAAAATAGTAGGTTTGATGATAAATACTGAGTGTCAACTTGATTGGATTGAAGGATACAAAGTATTGATCCTGGGTGTATCTGTGAAGTTGTTGCCAAAGGAGATTAACATTTGAGTCAGTGGGCTGGGAAAGGCAGACCCACCCTTAATCTGGGTGGTGCACCATCTAATCAGCTGCCAGCATGGCTGGAGTATAAGCAGGCAGAAAAATGTGAAAAGAGAGACGGGCCTAGCCTCCCAGCCTACATCTTTCTCCTGTGTTGGATGCTTCCTGCCCTCGAACATCAGACTCCAAGTTCTTTAGTTTTGGAACTTGGACTGGCTCTTCTTGCCTCTTAGCCTGCAGACGGCCTATTGTGGGACCTTGTGATCGTGCTAGTTAATAGTTAATATCCCCTTTATATAAATATTCTATTACTTCTGTCCCTCTAGAGAACCCTAATAGAGATTTTGGTACAAGGAGTGTGGTTCTAGAGGAACGGAGTATTAAGGATGGAGTTTCTTAGTTTGTTTGGGGGTTTCTGGAGTTTGCTGCTTAATATGATTAGACCCTAAAATATTAAGGACTCTACTTCTAATATTGTGGAGAACACTGATAGTCGTTGCTGTGAACTGTTTAGAGAGTTTGCAAAATAAATGCATTTGACACTCCTGATTCACCGCTAATGAGAGGCAAGGAGTTTAGTGACCCTATACATAATAATACCTTTGACCATATATGGAGAACCAAGGAACATAATGAAGCTGGTTGGTTGCTCCTAAATTCAGTGGACAAAGTGGTGAAAGAAAATGATGGGCCGGGCGCGGTGGCTCACGCCTGTAATCCCAGCACTTTGGGAGGCCGAGGCGGGCGGATCACGAGGTCAGGAGATCGAGACCATCCTGGCTAACACGGTGAAACCCTGTCTCTACTAAAAATACAAAAAATTAGCCGGGCGAGGTGGCGGGCGCCTGTAGTCCCAGCTACTCCGGAGGCTGAGGCAGGAGAATGGCGTGAACCCCAGGGGGCGGAGCCTGCAGTGAGCCGAGATTGCGCCACTGCACTCCAGCCTGGGCGACAGCGAGACTCCGTCTCAAAAAAAAAAAATAAAAAAAAAAAATAAAAAAATAAAATAGAAAATGATGAGCTCAGGGATTCTGTCTCCTGTCTTCAGAAGCAGATACTGAGCCTCAAATCTGCTAAGATTGACCTGAGTGAGACCCTTATCTCCTGTAGAAAAAGAGCTGAAATTGTGAAAAAACAAACACAAACTCTTATCATGCAAGTGGCTGACCTGCAACAAAAGGTGCATGTACAGCCTAACCAGGTGTCTACTGTTAAAGTGTGGGCATTGATTGGAAAAGAATGGGACCCTGCAACTTGGAAAGGGCATGTGTGGGAGGACCCTGATGAAGCTGGGGACTCTGAGTTTGTAAACTCTGATGAACCTTTTTTGCCAGAAGAAACAGCTTCCCCATCCCCAGTAGTGGCAACATCCCCTCCCTGAGCCATGCTGCCATCAGCCTTTCCACTTTTGTCTGAAGAGATAAACCCTGCGCTGCCTGAGGCAACAGGAATGGCCTCCCCTGAGGCAGTTGCCAGGCAAGATAATGTTGATTCTCCTCAGAAGCCACCCCCAACACCCCTGTTTGCTTCTAGACCTATAACCAGACTAAAGTCCTAGCAGGTCCCTAGAGGTGAGGCTGAGAGTGTGACCCATGAGGAGGTGCGCTACACTCGTAAAGAACTGCTTGAGTTTTCTAATTTATATAAACAAATCTTACTTGGAGAGACCTTGGTCATGTTTCACTTCCACAACATATGACACTGGTCTATTACATTAATGATATTATGCTGATTGGATTCTGTGAGCAAGAAGTAGCAAACGCACTGGACTTATTGGTGAGACGTTTGGGTGCCAGAGGATGGGAAATAAATCCGAGTAAAACTTAGGGACCTTCTACCTCAGTAAAATTTCTAGGGCTTCAGGGGTGTGGGGCCTGTCAAGATATTCTTTCTAAGGTGAAGAATATTGCTGCATTTGGCCCCTCCTACAAAAAAGAAAGAGGCACAATGCCTAGTGGGCCTACTTGGATTTTGGAGGCACCATTCCTCATTTAGGTGTGTTACTCTGGCCCATTTATCCAGTGACCCAAAGAACTGCCAGTTTTGAGTGGGGTCCAGAACAGGAGAAGGCTCTGCAACAGGTCCAGGCTGCTGTGCAAGCTGCTCTGCCACTTGGGCCATATGACCCAACAGATCCAATGGTGCTTGAAGTGTCAGTGGCAGATAAGGATGCTGTTTCGAGCCTTTGGCAGGCCCCCATAGGTAAATCACAGCGGAGGCCTCTAGGATTTTGGAGCAAGGCCCTGCCATCTTCTGCAGATAACTACTCTCCTTTTGAGATACAGCTCTTGACCTGTTACTGGGCTTTGGTGGAAACGGAATGTTTAACTGTGGGTCTTCAAGTCACCTTGTGACCTGAACTGCCTATCTATGAACTGGGTGTGTTCTGACCCATCTAGCCGTAAAGTGGGTCGTGCACAGCAGCATTCCATCATCAAGTGGAAGTGGTACATACACGATCGGGCTCAAGCAGGTCCTGAAGGCACAAGTAAGTTACATGAGGAAGTGGCTCAAATGCCCATGGTCTCCACTCATGCCACCGTACCTTCTCTCTCCCCACCTATACTGATAGCCTCATAGGGAGTTCCCTATGATCAGTTGGCAGAGGAAGAGAAGACTAGGGCCTGGTTCGCAGATGGTTCTGCACAATATGCAGGCACCACCTGAAAGTGGACAGCTGCAGCACTACAGCCCCTTTCTAGGACATCCCTGAAGCATAGTGGTGAAGGGGAATCTTCCCAGTGGGCAGAACTTTGAGCAGTGCACGTGGTTGTGTACTTTGCGTGGAAGGAGAAATGGCCAGATGTGCGATTATATACTGATTCATGGGCTGGAGCCAGTGGTTTGGCTGGATGGTCAGGGACTTGGAAGAAGCATGATTGGAAAATTGGTGACAAAGAGATTTGAGGAAGAGGTATGTGGATAGACCTCTCTGAGTGGTTAAAAACTGTGATGTTTGTATCTCATGTGAGTGCTCACCAACAGGTGACCTCAGCAGAGAAGGATTTTAATAATCAAGTGGATAGCGTGACCTGTTCTGTGGATGCCACTTAGCCTCTTTCCCCAGCTACCCCTCTCCTCGCCCAATGGGCCCATGAACAAAGTGGCCATGGTGGCAGGGATGGAAGTTATGCATGGGCTTAGCAACGTGGACTTCACTCACCAAGGCTGACTTGGCTATGGCCACTGCTGAGTGTCCAATTTGCCAGCAGCAGAGACCAACACTGAGCCCTTGATATGACATCATTCCTCAGGGTGATCAGCCAGCTACCTTGTTGATTATATTGGACCTCTTCCATCACGGAAAGGGCAGAGATTTGTCCTCACTGGAATAGACACTTACTCCTGATATGGGTTTGCCTATCCTGTATGCAATGCTTCTGCCAAGATTACCATGCATGGGCTCACCAAAGGCCTTACCCACCATCATGGTATTCCACACAGCATTGCCTCTGACCAAGGCACTCACTTTACAGCTAAAGAAGTGTGCCAGTGGGCTCATGCTCATGGAATTCACTGTTTTTGTTTGTTTGTTTTTTGAGATGGAGTGTTGCTCTGTTGCCAGGCTGGAGTGCAGTGGCGCGATCTCGGCTCACTGCAACCTCTGCCTCCCAGGTTCAAGCGATTCTCCTGCCTCAGCCTTCCGAGTACCTGGGACTATAGGTGTGCGCCACCACGCCCAGCTAATTTTTGTATTTTTAGTAGTGATGGGGTTTCACCATGTTGGCCAGGATGGTCTCAATCTCTTGACCTTGTATCTGCCCCCCTCGGCCTCCCAAAGTCTAGGATTACAGGCATGAGCCAATGTGCCTGGCCACACTGGTCTTAACCATGTTCCCAACCATCCTGAAGCAGCTGGATTGGTAGAACAGTGGAATGGCCTTTTGAAGTCACAATTACAATGCCAACTAGAAGACAGTACTTTGCAGGGCTGGAGCAAAGTTTTCCAGAAGGCTGTGTATGCTCTGAATCAGTGTCCAATATATGGTACTGTTTCTCCCATAGCCAGGATTCCCGGGTCCAGGAATCACTCACCATCACCCCTAGTGATCCACTAGAAAATTTTTCTTCCCGTTCTTGAGACATTATGTTCTGCTGGCCTAGAGGTCTTAGTTCCAGAGGGAGGAACGCTGCCACCAGGAGACACAACAACGATTCCATTAAACTGGAAGTTAAGATTGCCACCTGGACACACTTTGGGCTCCTCCTACCTTTAAGTCAACAGGCTAAGAAGGGAGTTACAGTGTTGGCTGGGGTGATTGACCCTGACTATCAAGATGAAATCAGTCTACTACTCCATAGCGGAGGTAAAGAAGAGTATGCATGGAGATCCATTAGGGCGTCTTTTAGTATTACCATGTATTGCCATGCCCTGTGATTAAGGTAAATGGGAAACTACAACAGCCCCATCCAGGCAGGACTACAAATGACCCAGACCCTTCAGGAATGAAGGTTTGGGTCACTCTACCAGGAAAAAAACCACCACCTGCTGAGGTGCTTGCTGAAGGCAAAGGGAATACAGAATGGCTAGTAGAAGAAGGTAGTCATCAATACCAGCTACGACTGCATGACCAGCTGCAGAAACAACTGTAATTGTCATGAGTATTTCCTCCTCCTTTTGTTAAAAACATGTTTGTGCATGTATACACCTGTACTAAGAAAATATCTTCATTTTATTTCCTTTTTCTTTTATCATATGACTTAAGATTTATTGACTTCACATCAGCATTTTAAGTATTGTTAACTTTTAGTATTTGGGTTGGGATAGGTGTGTTTCTGGTTGTACGAAGGATAATTGTATTATGTTAGGCATAATTATGACTTTATTGTCTTTATTTAAAGATTATGTATGATCTCAGGAGATATGTATGGGTTCAAGTTGACAAGGGGTGGACTTGTGATGGTTAATACTAAGTGTCAACTTGATTGGATTGAAGGATACAAAGTATTGATCCTGGGTGTGCCTGTGAGGGTGTTGCCAAAGGAGATTGACATTTGAGTCAGTGGGCTGGGAAAGGCAGACCCACCCTTAATCTGGCTGGCTACCATCTAATCAGCTGCCAGTGTGGCTAGAATATAAGCAGGCAGAAAAATGTGAAAAAGAGAGATGGGCCTAGCCTCCCAGCCTCCATCTTCCTCCTGTGCTGGTTGCTTCCTGCCCTCCAGCGTCGGTCTTCAAGTTCTTCAGTTTTGGAACTTGGACTGGCTCTCCTTGCTCCTCACCCTGCAGACAGCCTATTGTGGGACCTCGTGATCGTGTAAGTTAATGCTTAATAAACTCCCCTTTGTATAAGTATCTATTCCCTTAATTCTGTCCCTCTAGAGAACCCTGACTAATACAGTAGGGTGTTTTTTGTTGTTGTTGTTTATTGGAAAAATAGAAATAAATAAATAAGCTATAGATTCAGTAGTACTCGAGTGAATTTACGTTTTAATAATCACAACTGTAGCTTTCTAAGTGTTTACTGGTTATTTGTGTATCTTCAGGGAATTGCTGATTTTTCCATTGAATTGTTTGTCTTTTGTTGATTTGTAAGGGTATATGTGTACATTTTTACTTGGTTTCATTTTTAAACTTTATGAGTTCTTTTTACTATATAGATATTTAAAATTTGCATGTAGTCACCTCAGCCTTGTTCCTTTTTGTCTCCTAGCTTTTTTGGTCAGATCTCTCTTCCCAGAAGATATTATTCATTTTATTGAGATATAATTCACATATCATAAAATTTACGTTTTTGAAGTGTAAAATTCAGCGATTTTAGTACATTAACAAAGTTGTACAATCATCACCATTGTTTCTGTGCAGAACATTTTCATCTTCCCAAAAAGAAACCCGTTAGTAATCACTCCCTGTTCCTCTCGCCTCACTCGCAGCCCTTGGCAACCAGTAATCTAGTTTTTTGTCTATAGATTTACTTAATTCTAAACTAGACATTTCATACAAATGGAATCATTCAGCATGTTATGTTTTTGTCTGGCAGGTGCCAAGATTTTTGAAGTATGCTTTTTAATTTTTTTCTGGTATTTTCTAGATTTAAAAGTTTAGATTTTTAAATCTTTCTGGATTAAAAAGAAAAGTATTTTTTTTTTTTTTTTTTTTGAGACGGTGTTTCACTCTTGTTGCCCAGGCTGGAGTGCAATGGCACAATCTCCGCTTAGTGCAACCCCCGCCTCTCGGGTTCAAGCGATTCTCCTGCCTCAGCCTCCTGAGTAGCTGGAATTACAGGCATGCGCCACCACGCCCGGCTAATTTTGTAGTTTTAGTAGAGATGGAGTTTCTCCATGCTGGTCAGGCTGGTCTCGAACTCCTGACCTCAGGTGATCTGCCTGCCTCGGGCCTCCCAAAGTGCTGGGATTACAGGCATGAGCCATTGCGCCTGGCTAAAAAATGTATTTTTAAAAATGTATTACAAAAAAAAAAAAAAAAAAAAGCTGGCCATGGTGGCAGGCTCCTGTGATCCCAGCTACTCTGGAGGCTGAGCCGGGGAGAATTGCTTGAACCTGGGAGGTGGAGGTTGCCATGAGCTGAGATCATGCCACTGCACTCCAGCCTGGGCGACAGAGCGAGATTCCATCTCAAAAAACAAAAAAACAAAAAAAATAAAATAGTATTCTCACCCTTTTCTACTCACATTCCTTCTGAGCTGGTTAGTGTTATTGGCTGGTATGTATCCTTCCAGTCACATCTATTTACCCATATATTCAAATGCAAAATATACATACGTAGGGTGGTGGTGGTTGTATTTTAAAATGAAATTATTTTATGCACATTACTCTGCATCGTTGTTTATCTAAGAAAATATTTTAGCTGTTCCTCAAAATAGTTGATAGAGATCTGACACATTCCTTTCAGTATTAGGTAACATTCTGTTACACTAATGAGCCTCATTTACTCAGCCATTTCACTGAATGGGTGGATATTCAGATGTTTTCAGTTTTTTGACACTTAGCTAAGCCTTAAGTAAATATCTTGTTCATATATCCTTGTTAACTGATGCTCTTAATTCTATAGACTAGAATCTAAAAACTAGGGGTTCCTGTGTCAAGAACATTTGCATTTAAAATTTGTAATAGTTATTACTAGATTTACATTCCCCAATAGTTGCAGCAGGTCAGAGTTTCATCCCCACTGAATTGCCTATTTTCCTGCATTTTTGTCAGGATTAGCTGTTGTTAAATCTTTAAAATTTTGCCACACTAATAAGGTGAGATAGTATCTCATCTCAGGTATTCTTACCTTCTCTTTCAGAGGTAAACTGTGTGATGTGATGGATATGTTATTACCTTGATTGTGGTACTCATTTTAGAATGTATAAGTTTATCAGAACATCATGTTGTACACCTTAAATATATACAATTTTTATTTTTCAATCGTACCTCAATAAAGCTGAAAAAATGTCATTCAGAAAGGAAGCAAACAGTAGATACTAGCATTAAAAATATGTTGTAAATTTTCAAGCATAGAATGATAACATAAGGTTAGGAACAAGAATATGTGTATAGATTTAAATATTTATCTCTGTGAATATTAATCCATAGATACAAATGTTGAAGGCAAGTTACAATCTTGAAGAAAATGAAAATTATGTTGTGTACCTATAATATGAAAATAAAAAATCACACAAAGGCATATACCTTCACTCAAGGATGTATACTCGAGTATACATATTATTTATAATAGCGCAAATTTGAAAACAGCCCAAATGTCCCTCAGCTGGTGAATGAATAAACCAGTGGTGATGCCTTGGAACTGTGGAATACTATTCAGCAATAAAAAGGAACTACTGACTCGGCAACATGTGTAAATCTCAAAAATATTATGCTAAGTGAAAGAAGCCAGGGTCAAGAGATGACATACTATATGATTTCTTAAAACTTCCAGAGAAGACAAAATTCAGGACAGAAAGCAGATCAGTGGATGCCAGGAGTGAGAGTTAGGGGAGGAAATTTATTGCAAAGGAGCAGTAGGGGATTGATTGTGGTGATGTTTGAAATGTTCTATGTCATGATCGTGGTTGTAGTTACATGACTATTCTGAAAGTTCATATTTAATAAGTGATATAAAAGAAAAAAGTATTAATGGCTTAAACATTAATTTTCCAAATGAGAGCACTAATTAAAATTCTCAAGTGTTGAGAACAAAGATAGTATCTCATTGTAATTTTTATTCTTTTTAAGGTTAGTGAGGTTTGAAAACAGTTCATATGTTTCTTTGCCATTTGCATGTTTTCTTTTGCAGGTGCCTGTTGACTTCCTTTACCTATTATTCTGTTATGTTGCTTCCAGTTCCTTATGAATTCGCGGAACTTTTTGTATATTCAGAGCAGTAATCCTACATTTTTAGTCTGTAAATGTTTTTCCAGTCACCTGTTTCTTTTGACTATAGTATCTTTTTTTAAAAAGAAATATTTGAAATGTACAAAGAATGTAACAGTTTCCCATACTGCTATTAACATTTTTATATTTTGCTCATCTTTTGAGAAATTTATATATGTGTCCACGAAAAGAGTCAAACTCTATAAAATATTTTAAGAGATTTATTCTGAACCAAATACGAGTGACCATGGCCCGTGACACAGCCATCAGGAGTTCCTGAGAACATGTGCCCAAAGTGGTTGGGGTACAGCTTGGTTTGATATATTTTAGGAAGGCATGAAACATCAATCAGATACATTTAAGAAATACATTGGTTTGGTTTAGAAAGGCGCGACAACTCAAAGTGGGGGCTTCCAGGCCATAAGTAAATTTAGACGTTGTCTGGTTGACGGTTGAGTTTGTCTGAAGACTTGGGATTAATGGAAAGGAATGTCCAGGTTAAGATAAAGGATTGTGGAGACCAGATTTTGTTGTGCAGAGGAATCTCTCAGCAGACTTCAGAGAGAGAGAAGGTTGTAAAATGTTTCTTATTAGACCTAAAAGAGTGCCTGGCTCTTAGTCGATTAATCTCCTGGATCTGGAAAGGAAAGAAGGAAAACAAAGGGAAAAGGGGATTCTCTATAGAATGTGGATGTTTTTTCCCCACAGGAGACTTTGCACGGCAAATTTCAAGGTATGGCAAGGAAATATATTTTGGGGCTAAATATTTTTTCCTTGTCTCATAATGTTATGCCAGAGTCAGATTGAAAAGTAAGTCACGATATATAGCGTCAAATAAAACCCATCTGATGAGAATTTATGGTTTGTAGGGCATGACTTCCTAGACCCCTTAGGTAGGAGTTTGGGCAAGTTAAAAAATCAGAGCTAAGTCCTCACATGGCTTTTAAAAATTGTGAATAAGTAATACTTCCATAAATTCTGATTTAATTACGAATCCCACTAATTTCTTTTTTTTCTTTCCCAGGGACAGCCACTGCAAAGGGTTAAATGTATATTCTTCCAGTCTAGCTTTTATATTTTTATGAGGATGGGGAGATAGACAGATAGGTATATAGTTCAGTGTTTCTCAAAGTGTGGTCTTTAGACCAGCAGCATCAGCGTCACCTGGAAATTTGTGAGAAATGCCAGTTCTTAGTTTCTAACTAAATACTTAGTTTCTCACTAAAAACAGCCATTTTTATTAAGTCCTTCAGGTGATTGTGATGCACATTGAAGTTTGAGAACCATTGTTCATCTAGGTCATTGTCTTTAACTGCTGTATGGTGTTCCCTAAATTGAATATACCATTTTTTAAAAAAGAGACTAAGTCTTGCTATTATGTTGCCCAGGCTGGTCTCAAACTTCTGGGCTTATGCGATCTTCTTCCACCTCAGCCTTCAGATAGCTGCAACTATAAGCATGCACCACCGCACCCAGCTTGAATGTACCATATTTTAAATTCCATATTGTCAAGCATTTAAGTTACTTTTCTTTAAAAAATTAACGTTATTGCAAAGGAAACAATTGGCAGAGTGAAAAGACAACCTACAGGATGGGAGAAAATATTTGCAAAGTATGTATCCAGCAGAGGATTAATATCCAGAATATACAAGGAACTCTGATATCTCAACAGCAAAAAACAAAACAAAACAAAACAAAACAACAACAAAAAATTTAAAAATGGGCAAAGGACCTGAATAGACATTTCTTAAAAGAAGACAGACACATGACCAACAGATATATTTTTTAAAAAAGCTCAACATCACTAGTCATCAGGGAAATGCAAATCAAAACCACAGTGAGATATCATCTCACCCCGGTTAGAATGGCTACTATCAAAAAGACAAAAAATAGCAAATGCTGGCAAAGGTGTGGAGATAAGTGAACTCTTAAATGTGGCTAGTGGGAATGTAAACTAGTACAGCCACTATGGAGAACAGTGTGAAGGTTCCTCAAAAAACTGCAAATAGAACTACCATGTGATCCAACAATTCATTACTGGACGTTTATCCAAAGGAAGGGAAATCAGTATATTGAAGAGACATCTGTACTCCCATGTTTATTGCAGCACTATTCACAATAGCCAAGATATGGAATCATCCTAAGTATCTAACAACAGATGAATGCGTAAAGAAAATATGGTATATATACACAATGGAATAGTATTCAGCCATAAAAAAGAATGAAATTCTGTATTTTGAGGCACGTGGATTGAATTGGAGGACATTATATTAAGTGAAATAAGCCAGGGACAGAACATTAAACACTGAGTGTTCTCATTCATATGTGGAAGCTAAAAAAAAGTTGATCTCAGAAGTAAAAAGTAGAACAGAATACTACAGGCTGGGAAGGATAGGGTGCGGGGAGGGTAGGGAACGATTTGTTAAAGGATTCAAAATTACAACTAGATAGGAAGAGTAAGTTCTAGTGTTGTATACCACTGTAAGATGGCTGTAATTAACAATATGTTACAAAGTTTCAAAGAGCTAGGAGGAGGATGTTGAATGTTCCCAGCACAAAGAAATGATAAGAGATGATGGGTATGCTAATTACCTTGATTTGATCTCTGTATAGCTATGAAAATGTTACTATGTTCTTCATAAATATTAATACATCAAAAAATTTAAAATTAATAATTAACAAAAGATAAAGGGCCCTGAACTCTAGTTTTAGAGCTGAATTGTATCCAGTCAGATAGTTTCTATGTTATTTAAATGTTCACTTTAAATTTGGAGCTGAAATATATTTGGAAATCTTTACTTTTAGTATGTTCATTTGTGTGTGTGAGGTAAACTTGGTTGGCTATTGGCAAATGTATTGGGTAGCTGCTTAATAAAACATTTCCTTCCAGTGCTTCAGCTTTCTGATGCTTAGAAAATATGTATAATTAACATAATATGCATTATCACTTTTGAAAGTAACTAATTATTCGAACAGTTATTTGTGCCAAATTAGTAATGTGAATTTGGGAACTATCAGTCTTTTCTATGGCCCGGAATAATTTAAATAATAGAAATTATCTGATTAGATAGAAATCATTGTAAAATCATCAAGGTTAGGATTTCCTTTGACTTTTGCTTATCATTAGTTTTAAAGAAAAAAAATAAATTGACATAATGGAAATTTTCACTGTACATCAGGAAGGGAATTCAGTGGAAAAGTAAGCTTCCTATTCACTCTTGACCTTCAGTTTATACTTTTTTTCCTAAGTCAAGTACTGCTACTGGTTTCTTATGCTCTTTCTAGAACTAGCCTGTTTATTGTCTATTTAAAATAACTCATTAATCACCTTTTATTTGAGCTCCCTTATGGATCTGTGTAGTTTTTCTGTCTCTTTAAAATTTTGTATGCGGTAAAATGCACGTAACATCAAATTTACCATCTTAGCCATTTTTAAGCATACAGTTTAGTAGCACTATCTTTCACATCGTTGTGCAATCAATCTCCAAAACCTGTTCATCTTCCAAAACAAATTCTGTATCTATTAAACAGCTCTCCGTTCTTCCCTACCCTCAACTCCTGGCAACCGTCCTTTTACTTTCTGTCTCTCTGAATTTGACTACCTCATATAAGTGGACTCATACAGTATTTGTCTTTTTGACATGGGCTTATTTTACTTAGCATAATGTCCTCCAGTTCCATTCATGTTGCCTTGAAAGACAGGATTTCATTCTTTTTTTTTTATGGCTGAAATAGTATTCATCCATGTTGTAGCATGTCAGGATTTCCTTCCTCTTTAAGGCTGAGTGATATATTCCATTGTATATATATACCAACATTTTATTTATCTAAATTCATCTGCCAATGGATTTTTCAGTTGTTTCCACCTTTTGGCTATTATAAATAATGCTACTGTGAACATGGGTGTACAAATAACTTCAAGACCCTGCTTTTAATTCTTCTGAATATATATCCAGAAGTGTAATTTCTGGATCATATGGTTATTTTATTTTTGATTTTTTGAAGAATTTCTGTTGTTTTTAAAGTCACTTTTGATGGTTTGTTCTTTGCTAGAAAATATATATTTCAGTTTTATCAGTGCAGAGTTGTATATAATACTTACATATTTTGTACAATTATATAAAGGTTATATTATATTTCCATATTCTCATATAATTATCTTTAGTATCCATGTTTGTAACTGTTTACTCATTTCTCTTTCCTCATTCACGTTTACTATTTTATTGGTCTTTAAAACCTAGGCTTTGATTTTGTTTCCTAGCATTTAAATTTTTCTGTTTCATTAATTTTAGCTTTCATTTTATTTATACTGTTATTTCTTGAGGCAATGGCTTGGTTCATCTATTTTCAGTTTTTAAAAAAACTGTAAAGTATTTGTAAGGCTCTAAATTTTATTTTATTTTTTAGTTATAGGAATTTTTAATATATTCTGGTTATTCACCCCTTATGAGATACATTATTTGCAAGTATTTTCTCCCACTCTGTGGATTGTTGTTTCATCTTCTTGATAGTGTCGTTTGATACACAAAAGTTTTTATTTTGATGAAATCCAGTTTATCTGTTTTTTCTTTTGTTGCCTGTGCTTTTTTGGTATCATATACAAGAAATCTTTGCCAAATCCAATGTTGAAAATATTTTTTTTTCCTATATTTTCTTATAGGAGTTTTATAGCTTTACTGTTAAGTTTTGGTCTTTGATCTATTTTGAGTTAATTTTTGTATATGATGTAAGAAAAGGGTCCATCTTCATTCTTTTGCATGTGGATAATCAGTTTTCCTAGCATCATTTGTTGAAAAGACCATCCTTTCTCTATTGAATGGTCTTAGCATCTTTGTCAAAAATTGGTCATATGTGTGAGGGTTTCTTTCTAGGCTCTCTATTCCATTGGTCTGTATGACTGTGCTTATGCTAGTACCACATTGTTTTGATTACTGTAGCTTTGTAGTAAGTTTTCAAATAAGAAAGTGTGAGTTCTCCAACTTTATTCTTTTTCAAGATAGTTTTGACTATTATGCGGCTCTTTGAGATTCCATATGAATTTTAGGATGGGTTTTTCCTTTTTTTTTTTGAGATGGAGTCTCGCTCTGTTGCCCAGGCTGGAGTACAGTGGCGCGATCTCGGCTCACTACAAGCTCCGCCTCCCAGGGTCACGCCATTCTACTGCCTCAGCCTCCCAAGTATCTGGGACTACAGGGACCCGCCACCATGCCCAGCTAATTTTTTTTGTATTTTTAGTAGAAACGGGGTTTCACCATGTTAGCCAGGATGGTCTCCATCTCCTGACCTCGTGATCTGCCCGCCTCGACCTCCCAAAGTGCTGGGATTACAGGCGTGAGCCACCGCGCCTGGCTTTTTTTTTTTTTTTTTTTGCAAAAAATACCATTGGGATTTTGATAGGGATTGCATTGAATCTGTATATTGCTTTGGGTAATATTGTTACCTTAACAATCTAGGAACGTGAGATATCTTTCCATTTATTTATGTTTAATTTCTTTCAGCAATGTTTTGTAGTTTTTTATTAAGTTTTTCACCTCCCTGATTAATTCCTATGTATTTTATTTTGGATGCTATCGTAAGTGGAATTGTTTTCTTAATTTCCTTTTTGTATTTTTCATTGCTAATGTATAGAAATCCAGCTGATTTTTGTGTGCTGATTTTGTATTCTGTGACTTTGAATTTATTAGCTCTAACAGCTTGTTTTTGGTGTGTATGTGTCATCTTTAGGGATTTCTACATATATATCATCTGTGAATAGACATAGTTTTGCTTCTTTCTGTCCAAATTCAATGAATTTTCCATCTTTTTCTTGCCTACTTGCTCTGTCCGGAATTTCTAGTATTATGCCAAATAGAAGAAGAAAAAGTGGGCATCCTCATCCTGTTCCTGATCTTAGGGGAAAAACGTTCAATCTTTCACTATTGAGTATGTTGTTAGCTATTGGTTTTTAATACATGGCTTTTACGATGTTGAGGAAATTTCCTTCTATTCCTAGCTTGAGTGTTTTTTTATCATAACAGGTGTTGAACTTTGTCAAGTGGTTTCTCTGTATTGATTCAGATGATCATGTGGAGTTTCTTCTTCATTCTATTAATGTGGTATATTACATTGATTTTTTCATTGTTGAATCATCTTGTGCTCCTGGAGTAAGTTTCACTTGGTCATGGTGTGTCATCCTTTTAATAGGCTGCTGATTTTGTTGAGTTTTTCATCAGTATTCCTAGGGTGTATTAGTCTGTAGTTTTCCTGTAGTATTTTTGTCTGGCTTTGGTATCGGTAATGTTGGACCATAGAACTAATGAAGAGAAGTGTTCCCTTCTCTTTAATATTCTGGAAGTGTTTGAGAAGCATTCTTTAAATGTTGGGTGGAATCAACCAGTGAAAGCTATCTGGTCCTAGCCTTTTCTTTGGGAGCTTTGTGATTACTGATTAATCCCTTTACTAGTTATAGTTCTATTTAGATTTTCTATTTCCTCATGAGTTAGTTTCGGTAGACTGTGTGTTTGTAGAAATTTGTCCATTTTGTCCAGGTTATCCAAATTGTTGGCATACAGTTTTACATAGTATCGTCTCATAATTCTTTTTATTTTTGCAAAATCAGTAGTGTCACCACTTTTTTTGTTGTTGTTGAGGGGGTGGGGGGGATAGAGTCTTGCTCTTTCGCACAGGCTGGAGTGCAGTGACAAGATCTTGGCTCACTGCAACCTCTGCCTCCTGGGTTCAAGTGATTCTCCTGCTTCAGCTTCCCTAGTAGCTGGGACTACAGGCATGCACCACCATGCCTGTGTAATTTTTGTCTTCTTTACAGTAGAGATGGGGGTTTTACCATGTTGATCAGGCTGGTCTTAAACTCCTGACCTCAAGTGATTCGCCTGCTTTGGCTTCCCAAAGTGCTGGGATTACAGGCATGAGCCACTGCATCTGGCCGTGTCACCACTTTCATATCTGACTTTAGTAATTTGGTGTTCTTTCTCTCTGTCTCTCTTTTATTTATTTATTTTTTTGTTAACCTATCTAGCTAGAGTTTTGTTGACTTTTTCAAAGAATCAGCTTCTGGTTTTGTAATTTTTCTCCATTGTTTTTCTGTTCTCTCTTTTCACTCTAATTTTTATTATTTTCTTTCTTCTGCTAGCTTTGGTGTAGTTTACTCTTTTTCTAGTTCCTTGAGGTATATGGTTAGGTTATTGAATGAGAACTTTCTTATTTTTTGATGTCAGTGTTTACAGGTTTACATTTTTCTTTTAGCTCTGCATTCACTGCATCCTATAAGTTTTAGTATGTTGTGTTTTCGTTTTCATTTATCTCACGTTGGTTTCTAATTTCCTTTGTGATTTTTTCCTTTGATCTATTAGTTAACATTCACAAATTTTCACATATTTGTGAATTTTTTAGTTTTTTTATCTGCTGTTGGTTTTTCATTTCCATTATGATCACAAAACATACTTTGTATGATTTCAGTTTCTTTAAATGTATTAAGACTTATTTTGTAGCCTAACATAGGTCTGTTTTGGAGAATGTTCCATGTACACTTGAGAAGAATATATTGTGCTGGTGTTGGGTGAGTTTAGTTTTTGACATGTTACATTTGAGCATTCATTTAGGAGAAAAGCCAAAGGAAGACATTTGTTAATGAACTGTAAAGAGGGGTTGACATCACAAGAATAGGTAATTTTTTTTGAGAAACAAATTTAGAGCAACAGAACAGCCTTGAATATATTCTTATTTAGAAGGCTGAAGGTTGAATATAACCTGGAGTGTTAGAAAAGGGTGGAACAGTTTATCATAGACCAGAGCCAAGAAAGTATAATATTTAGACTTTAAATATCAAAAAGAAGATATGGTCAGCTGAATTCAAAGTTGAAGGCTAGGTGTGGTGGCTCATGCCTGTAATTCTAGCACTTTGGGAGGCTGAGGCAGAAGGATCACTTGAGCCCAGGGGTTCAAGACCAGCTTGGCCAACATGGTGAAATCCTGTCTCTACTAAAAATACAAAAATTAGCCAGGCATGGTGGCAGGCGCCTGTAAACCCAGCTACTCTGGAGGCTGAGGCGGGAGAATCGCTTGACCCTGGGAGGCAGAGGTTGCAATGAGCCAAGATCGTGCCTTTGTACTCCAGCCTGGGCAACAGAGGAAGACACCATCTTGGGAAAAAAAAAAAAAAGAAGTTCAGAAAACAGCTTGTTTGGGAAGGACTGTTTTTTGTATTCCTTTAATAATTCAATAAAGAAAATAGAAAAAGGATTTTTTTTAAATTTGAGAAACATTTAAATGATGACCACTACTTAAATTATGAAATTGAAAACCACAAATATAAATTATGCATTCTTTATAGTATGAGTTTTAGAGGCTGTTAATTTGCTATAATATTAGCTACATCTGGAATAGAAGAAACTTCATATATTATCTTATCGCTATATTTGAATTCTGTAGAAGTTATTTCTGGACAGTCTACGAAAAGCTCTTGCTGGCCATGGAGGAAGTAGGCAGCTGACAGAAAGTGCTGCAATTGCCTGTGTCAAACTGTGTAAAGCAAGTACTTACATCAATTGGGAAGATAACTCTGTCATTTTCCTACTTGTTCAGTCCATGGTGGTTGATCTTAAGGTAACATGCTTATTCTTTCTCTACTACAAACTTTAAGAAAATTAAATGAATTTTCTAGCATAAGTATTATGTCAAAGATAATTGCTAACATTAAAGTTCTGACTCTTCGTTGATAAGTTCATAGGACTTGCTTTTGTTGTTACTGTGTTCATCAGCCTAAATGGACTGAGAATATGAAGAAAACACCATTTTCTTAAATAAGCATAAATATACAGACTTGGGTTTAAAATAATGTGGCAATTAGGGCCTGAAATGAACCTATATATGGTATAGGAAGAATTGTATCAGACTGATGAACCACAGTATGGGTGCTTTGTGCTTCTTCTGGCAGCTGGATTTTACTGCCATTTGTGTGGGTAATGTGTTGATGTTATTACATGTTAGTAAAGAAATACTGCATGGGTATTTAAAGGCTTTTGTTTTCTGTTGGGGTTTTTATAGAACCTGCTTTTTAATCCAAGTAAGCCATTCTCAAGAGGCAGTCAGCCTGCAGATGTGGATCTAATGATTGACTGCCTTGTTTCTTGCTTTCGTATAAGCCCTCACAACAACCAACACTTTAAGGTGAGAGCATTGGTTTTTATCTAACTATATTTACTGATGCTGTTATCCTTTATAAACAAAAAGACTATAGAGATTAATAGGTTCACTTTTATCGGTATTTCTCACTATTATGTATTGATGTTCGTTTCAAGACCTTAAAAACTTAGTGTTTTTTTTTTAAACTTTCTATTTGCTGTTCTTTTTGGCTTCATTTGTATTACTGAGTATTTTTCTCATAGAAATAATCTGCTTTTTTTTTTCTTTTTCTATAGATCTGCCTGGCTCAGAATTCACCTTCTACATTTCACTATGTGCTGGTAAATTCACTCCATCGAATCATCACCAATGTAAGTCCAAAAGGTATTGCTAAATTACTAAAAAAATTTTTTTCTTTCTTTTCTTTGCGTATTTCTTTTTAAGAAATGCACTCTTGGTTTTCAAAAAGGTTCTGAATTTAGATGTATGAAATAGGAAAATTTCTCCATGGTGATTCTATTTGATAATTGATAAATATTTGTATTTTTCATATTAAGTCTTGACCGAAGGGACCATATTAAGGAAGATGGAGTTAATAAGATGCTTTGGAAAGATTAAATCTAAAACGTTTTATTCAGATCAGAAGCCCTTGAGAAAAATGTCACTGAAAATACAGTTTAAAATTTTCATCCCGAAGCTTTTCAAACATATTATTTCAGCATTTGATACATTGACTTGCCACCTTACCATTTAAGTTAAAAGTAATAGTATTTATGTTGTAGTCTAGTATAGCACATTGACAAAATGATGGGACTATATTTGATGGTACTTTTAAATCTTTTGATCCTAAATTCATTCATAGTGTAAAATTTCATTTTTCTTAAACAAAATGAAATATTAACATACTTTAAAGTAGGTATTAACAAGATACAAAAGCATATCAGACAAAGTAAGTGAAATCATTAAAAGGTACTTGCGAAACCTTCAACTCTGTCTGATGTGGAGACATTAAATAGACAGCAAAACTATCAGATTTGGACTGTGGATTTTTAAAATTCTGTTCTTGTAATAATGAACAACCCTATTTTGAAAGTTTTCAAGTGTTATTTTCCATTGTTCCACTTTTATCAAATGATACTCACATTTATGGGTAAATTGGTTGATGCTTTCCTTCCTTAAAGGAGGCTGTAATCATTGATAACTTAGTATATTTGACCTGTTTATAATCAAATTCCATTTTAAGACTGTGCCTCTGGTGAGTTGAAAATAACCCTTCACCTCATTTGCCCTGGATGTTGTATTTATTTAAAATAAATACTGCCCATATTCTATCCATTCCTGCAGTGGAAAATTAACTATTGATAAAGCTATTTGGTGATACATTTAATTTTTCTCAGCAGGTGTTTAGTGAGCATTTTGGGAGGACAGTCCTTTGTTGTGCAGGATGCCTTGGGCATTGCAGGACCTTTAAGATCGTCTGGCCTCATTTCATTAAATGCCAGTTGTGCTGCATCTCCCCATCCCTAGTCATTATGAACAAATAAACATGCCTGAGGGAATGATACCTCCTCCCTTAGTTGAGTATCACTGAGTTAAATTGTAGGTAAAAGTAACATTGAATATGCTTTGTTCCAAAAGGGAAAGTTTAATGAAGATTGTAAATAAGGTATGTTTGTATTAAAAACTTAAAAAAAATCACTGTACTTTTGTCAGCGTAATGAGCCAGGGCATTGTACCTTCAAGGTTTACTTTCAAGGCCATTAAAACAAAAAGATGATTTCTCCCCTCAAGTTTATGTGTAACTCAGAAATAAGTCATTATTGCTTTTTTCCGCTGTGGCTCAGAACACTAAAAATATTCAAAGAGTGGATAGCTTTGCATAAATGCTTAAAATTTGTATACAATAAACCCAAATATATACTTTTTTGATACTTTGTGGCTAGTTACTTTAATTGTGAAATATTTTTGTCTACAACTGACTACATAGAGCACTTTCAAGCATGGACTTGGCACTGCTGTAAGTGGCTGAGCTGCTCCTTTCTGGGTTCCAAGCATGCCTGGAGTGGTGCTTCATGCATGCCTCAGTGTACTTGGTGAAAGTGGCTGTGCATCCTCTTCTACTCTAATGAGCACTGCATGTGTGGAGGGTGGAGTGTGTCTGTATCAGAGATCAAGTTATATGAAAATCTGTTTTTATAAAGAAAAAAACTACATTGAATAATTTTTAAACATTAAGTATCAGTAACTTTTCAATGAAATAGCTTGAAAAGGAACATAAATATTAGTTCAAAGTATCTTTTTAAATTATGCTTTGGGTAGTGATACTTTATTATTATAGATAGTGTGGGAAATTGTTTCTCGTTAGGATATTTTCCCCCTTGGTTTGAGGCTAATCGCTATTGAATCTGAAGTACTCTTTTGGTTGAAAAGGACTATTTATAAAGTGAATATAGAAATTTATGAGATTGACTATTTTAGAGTTTCATTTGAAGACATTTATTATGGCAATATTTTTGTCTTGAAAAATCACATGAAATTATTCTTAGATATTTGGACTTCTGATCTTAAATTCATTCGTAGTGTAAATTTTTTTTCTAATGATTCTTGGTTCAATGTACCTCATAAGTTCTCTTCTCCCATGGTTCTTTAGCCAGTCCACACATTTTTTTTAAAGCATCACATTCTCAAATAAGATAAAAGTTTTAGTGATGTGTATTGAGGGTTTGTGTAGAAGTAGTAAGGTGTTTGGAGTTCTACTTTTGTGAAACATACTCATACTCAGTTCATAAGTACTGAGTTTAGATCTAAAATATTCTAGTGTTTCTTCTTAGAAAATCTAAAATATATCCACTATTTGATTCTTATTATAATGCAGGTTCCTAGCAGTTACTAAAATAGTAGTTGTACTGTCATCTTTTTTATTATGATGTGCCATAAGAGATGAATTAATAGTTGTAAGATCTATGTTATATGCATAATCTTCATAGACTTCCTTTAGGTTAAATTAGATATGTAATTGGGAAATTTAAAAAGTAATATACACACTTATGAACCAATTATCTTAGCCATCACTGGTACATGCTATAGCTGGTATATTACTTATTTCTGTTTTTTCCTTACGACAATTTATCGTAATTTACATATGGATAGTTCACATACTGAAAATGAGATGATTGCTTTCTACTGAGAGGTTGTAGTTGAAAGGAATTGTTTCCAAGGCATTTGAAAATTATTTAAATCTCTTAAGGAATTGCCACATAATTTGTTCATATTATGTAAGTGTTGCCATTTGGCTATAAACATGGTATTTTCAAGGAAAAAAAGAGTAAGTCTACTTTAATTGACTGGTGTTCAGGAAGGGCACATTTAGTAACTGCTCAAAATACTAAACTTTTTTGCCAACCACATGATGTCTAGTTTTTCATACTTATTTTATTTGAAAATGTGTATTTTACTTTAAAATGAATATATTATGAAAAATGAAAACTATGAAAATTACTAAATCTTAAGCCTAAAGTTATTTTATGTGGTGCACCTGGTACCACAATACGGTTTCAAAAGCTATTAAAAAAAGACACAGTAATTTGAATAGGATGTTATATGGGATGCCTTTCTTAGTTTATCAGTTTCTGACAAGATCTTACGAGATGTGTTGGGTAAGGAAGACCCTTCACTCAATGTACTTTGTTATTATTCAGCTTTTTGTTACTTTAGGCTGATTAACACAAGCTGTATAATTTAGTAAGTATAAGGAAATCAAGTTGCATTGGTTGCTTTGGGCAAGTCAAAATTGCTGAGAGTTGGAGGAATCCATTATACTATCAGACTAAAAATTGATCATTTGTAGAAACTAGATTAAATAAAGTAGGAGTTGAGGGAAAAATGTAAACAACCATACTGTCCCAAAAAAGCATTTCTTCCCTCCCAGTTTTGGGATTCCTCCCTGAATGGAGTTCAGTATTCAAAATGTGTATCATAAGTTGGTTTTATATTTTACTATCCGGCGAACAGGATTTGTAATCCACAGTTTGGGTTAAGGTAATATAACTCGATGCTATTCAAAATATTCTGAGAATTCCAAGTGAAGAAATTAAAATGTCGAGACTTCAATTAGCTTAGTTTTGAATAAGAAAAAATCTGGGACTGAAATGTGAGAGATGTGAGGCTATTCAATCCCTCTTATCTACAATTTGAATGTATTATTCTTCCAGATTTTTTAAATAAACATCTGGAGTATTATAAATTAGAAGCCTACATTTTAGGTCATTTAATGCATAGTCTACATATGTAGTGAAAATTCATCCAGTCAGTTTTTTATTAAATGATAGACTTTAAAGATATAGTGATTTTCACAATTGTCATTTTTTAATAATATATCAAGTAATTCATTTTAAAGTTAAAGATACACTTCCAAATAAAATAGGCACTAAAAACTAGACATCAGAGTTAAACAGGGTAAATTGAAATAGAAAATACATAAAATAATTGTTTAAAAAATATTTCACTAGGATCAGTTTGTCTTTGTTTATGGTAATTGTTAGTCTCCCATATATCATGTCATCATTGCATATCAATTTATAGGTTTACTTAATAGTTTTATTTCATTTACTAATTTCATGTTGTAATTATCATTGTTGTCTGTAAACATATAAGTAATGGTTTTCCACATACACTTTTAATACTGTGTTGAACCACTAATCACTTTTAAAGCTTTGATAATAGCATTCTTACCTGGGAAAATATATGCCATGTATGCACGTGTGCCAGAAATTGTAAAACATTAAACTTAAAAAAAAAAAAAGAAGATTGGCTACAGATTAGCTCTCTGAAGACTTTATTTTTCAAATTCACTGGCTAATCATCGAGAAAAGATGTCTCACATGCACATGCTCATAAAGTGGGCAATTTGTCTCATGCTCACTATTATGTTTTATAATATAATATGTATGAGTTAGTGTTTGAATTAAAGACGTTGTTTGAAGACTTTGGAAATCATGGTGTGTGTTTGCATGGTCTTAGAAAGTTCCCGACAAAAGGATAAAACTTAAAACTACAGTGATAAACAGAGCATACAACTCACGTAATTTTGTACTTTTTCTTCCTATTGGTCTTTGTTTTTCTCTAGTCCGCATTGGATTGGTGGCCTAAGATTGATGCTGTGTATTGTCACTCGGTTGAACTTCGAAATATGTTTGGTGAAACACTTCATAAAGCAGTGCAAGGTTGTGGAGCACACCCAGCAATACGAATGGCACCGGTAAGATAAATCACGAATTTTGAATCTCACCTCCTTTCTATTGCATTTTTTTTAGTGTCTTTATCCTATTCCTGCTGCTTTGGTTATTTTAGAGAATTGAATGGGTCCTTCATTTCCTCTAAATGTTGTGGTATGTTGTATCTAGAATATTGTTGAATACTAGATTATGTTTGTTTTCCACTGTTTCCATGAGTTGAACTTAACTTTTCTTAGATAAATTTTCTCACAAAACACTGAAAGTCTTAATGAATGTCACCTTTTTTTTCTGTTTTTAAAGTTTTTTTTCTCCTTAAAACTTTTGAACAAAAATATTTTGATTAGCCTCTCACGTTTTGGGGATGAGTAAGGGAAGCTGACTCCTGGGTTAGAGTGAATGTTGCTGCCAATGCACATTTTAGCTAATTGAATGGTGACTATTAAACATAGGAAATGAATAAAATTTAGAGTTTTTGTATTTAAAATAAAAATATTTTGTATTTCAACAAATATGCCTTGAGGTTTTACAACTGATAGGAACTTTGATACTGACATTTGACTCTAAACTTAATAAAAAGCAGACTTAAAATTGGGTATTCTCACAGATTATTACTCTTAATATGGAATTTTAAAACTCCTATGGAATCAATTTAAAAAGATAATTATAAGATTGTGGAAGTCATTTTTTTGGTGTTTATGTATAGCAAGAGTATTATACAAGAGCAACTCTTGACATTGATTGGTGGTGCTTTGTCTTCTGCTTCTTATTTTCTATTATTGGCTGCTGTCGCTCACATGATCAGATGCCAACCAGTCACTGTTTTGCATGGCAGTGGGCTTCTGTGGCTGTAAGTATGACCCATTGTAACTACATCAGAAAAGTCCTTGGTTTCTTTGACTTTTCTGTGTATAGTTACCATTATAGTCACATCTTGTCATTTCAACTGAAAATATAGCATGTCTTCACCTGTTGGTTTTATCTAGTAAGTTAGTCATTTCACAGTTAGGAGATAATTTAAACAGCTTTCTCCCTGGCATGCTTCTCTTTTTCCAAGTCCCCTTAGTCAGTGAAATATTTTGGTTTTATACAGTTGTGGTTCACTCTTATCCAGTTGTCAGTAATTATTTCTGAGGATTGTTTATCTTAGATGTTCAAATAGAGAAGTTTTTTATGTCATATATTTTGGGATTATTGAGCCTAAAAAATATAGCCAAAAGATCATGGCAATGATGTTTCCTTAAGTAAACTTTAAAATGCAAGGTTACCTTTTAGTTGACTTTTTGTAATGCCAAGTACTTCACTTTTTTTTAAGTTGAAGAAATTTTCAGTACAGGTATAAGTTAATTGGAGGTAAGCATAAATAATAGCTGTTTAAATGTCATTTAATAAGATATTTTTAAAAAATCTTTTAAAACTACTTGAAATAAGTTGTTTAAAAGTTATTTATTGACCTGTTTATTCCAGAGATCTGGGAAATCAGAAGTTTATTTGACTTTTTTGCTTTAAGTTTACTACCTTTTCTGGTAGAAAGTTAATGACCTCCAATAATAGGACTTGTTGGGGGGTTAATATTCACTTCCTATTTAACTTCAATATCCACTTTACCAGCTGCCCATAATTTTCTGTGAATAAGGACTAAAAATGAAACTAAATGATTATTTTGAACAGAGGTAAAATTTGATTGGTAGTCTAAATATGTTCTCTACACTTAGAAGTTATTTTACTTCTTAGCCCTAGTTATAAGCTGATTCTCAGAGCTACATATTATTTTACCGAAAAGCCATAACTAGAGAGGATTTCCTCTTTTGGCTCAAGGACACCTGTAATAAGAATTTAGTTTTTATTTCTAATTATTTTCTGAAAATATCAATATACATTTAATTTTCAAAATCATTCCTAAGCTGTTTATGTTTTTGAAATGTTATATGTATGTATATTTGTACATAATGACTAAAGGACAGCTTTTGGGCTGATATTACCAGGAGAGAAAATAAATAGCAAATGTAATATGAAACAATTTTTAGAATAAGAAAATTTTAGGTTTTGAATGGCTGTTAGGGTAAAATCTCACCCTTCATAAACTTGGTGAGTTAACAGTCAGATAACCAGTATGGAAGTATTGACCTTCTACTCTTTGCCAGGCAAAGGTGCTAATGCCAGGGAAGCATGGTGAACTAAACATACACAGCACTTCCCCTCACCGAGATTCCAAGCAAAAGGTTTATAGCTTTTGCTTGAAAATGTCTAATGAAGAACTCAACACCGGACACGGTGGCTAACGTCTGTAATCCCAGCACTTTGGGAGGCCAAGGTGTGCGGATCACCTGAGGTCAGGAGGTCGAGACCAGCCTGGCCAACATGGTGATACCCTATATCTACTAAAAATACAAAAATTAGCCAGGCGTGGTGGTGCATCCCTGTAATTCCAGCTACTCAGGAGGCTGAGGCAGAAGAATCGCTTGAACCTGGGAGGCAGAGGTTGCAGTGAACTGAGATGGCGCCATTGCACCCCAGTGTGGACAACAAGAGCGAGAATCGGTCTCAAAAAAAAAATCAAACAAAAAAACTCACTACAGGTGGCATGGAGTCTGGCAACACAGGCAAATATATATAATAAATGGTTTACAGATAATACCTAACATCAGAGTTTCCTACTGTTGGCACTATTAACATTTTGGACTGGATAACTCTGTTATAGGGGGCTGTACTGCGCATTGTGGGATATTCAGCAGCATCTCTGGCCTCTACCCACTAGATGCCAATATTCCCTTTACCCCCCAGCCCTCCAAGTCATGAAAACCAAACATGTCTCCAAACATTTCCAGATGCCCCTTGGGGGACAAAATCACCCCCAGTTGAGAACTACTGTATTACAGAGTATGTTCAGTGGGTTGTCCCTCATTTGTATTGCCTCAAATGATTTGGGACTGATAAACCTGAGCCATTAGCTTGCTTCAGAAGTAGCAATCTAGGAGTTCTGTTGCAAAACAGTAAAAGTAAAATAATATCTGCTTCAAGGCTTTACTAACACTTTGTATTTTGGAGAGACAAGTTACTTGTTGGAAGGAGCTAATTATTTGAAAATTTTCTCTTCGACCAAGATAGAATCATGTCTCTGTCACTTACAGCCATCACTGATCCTCTTTCTGTTGGAGCTCTATAGAATACTTCTGATTCTTCCACAAGGTGGCCCTGCAGATATTTGAATAAGGTTATTCTGTACTCCTAGAATTCGTTTTATTTTTATATCGTTTTGGCATTGGAAGGGATTTTATTCTTTTAGCTCTCTCTCTTTTTTTTTCTTCTTGAGACAGAGTCCCACTCCGAGTCCCACTCTGTCACCCAGGCTGGAGTGAGTGCAGTGATGCAATCTTGGCTCACTCCAACCTCTACCTTCCAGGTTCAAGTGATCTCCTGCTTTAGCCTCCCGACTAGCTGGGGTTACAGGTGCCCACCATCATGCCAGCTAATTTTGTGTTTTTAGTAGACCATTTAGCACCATTTTGGGCAGGCTACTCTTGAACTGTGACCTCAGGTGATCCACCTGCCTCAGTCTCCCAAAATGCAGGGCTTATAGGCATGAGCCACTGTGCCTGGCCTCTTTTAGCTCTCTTTAAAACTGTATGTGTGTTTGTTGGGTCTGTTTTTATAGCTAAAGAAACTGAAGCTTAAATAAAGTTATATTAATAACAAATGCATGGTTAATGAACAGTCAACCAGAGTTAGTTCTGAGGTTTCTTGACATTCAGTTCAGTGTCTTTATCAGGTTCTTTAGTTGTCCTTCTTCACTAGCAAGTTAGCTTGATGAAAGCAGTAGCTTTGTCTGGCTTAATCAACACTGAATCCCTAACGTTTGAACAACATCTGATACATATTGGGCATTTAGTACATGTTTGCAGAATGAATGAAGGAATGAATTTCTTACTTGATGTGGTTTCAAAATCCTCGTACAGGCCGGGCACAGTGGCTCATGCCTATAATACCAGCACTTAGGGAGGCCGGGGCGGGCAGGTCACTTGAGACCAGGAGTTTGAGACCAACTGGGCCAACATGGTGAAACCTTGTCTCTACTAAAAATGCAAAAAAATTAGGCAGGCGTGGTGGCAGGCACTTGTAGTTATAGCTACTCAGGAGGCTGAGGCAGGAGAATTGCTTGAACCCGGGAGGCGGAGGTTGCAGTGAGCCAAGATTGTGTCACTGCACTGTCAGCCTGGGCAACGGAGCGAGACTCTGTCTCAAAGAAACAAAAACAAAAAACAAAAAACCCTCCTGTTTCTGATTTGCTTCTCTTCTGGAAAGACCAACCTGACAAAAATTTTTAAAATTAAAATGCCATATTAAGATCTGATGTTAGTGATACAGATATAATACTATGATGTAATAATTGATAAAAGCTATTAAACTGCTGTGTTTGTATACCCTGTTTCTATTAATACAATCTAAGATAGTATTATTATTTTATGTTGACTTTTTAGTTATTTAAACTCTTTGGCCCTTTTTATATGAATGTTGAGCCATAACTTCTCCTTTGTACCTTTGTAGTATTTTTTTAATATTTGAAATGTTTGTCTTAGCACTGATTTTACTATTTGCAAACTAACATCTCCTGCTTTCATAAAATTCAAAACTGCCAATAACAGATATATGAATTTTCACAAGTATTTGTTATTTCTCAACATTTTTTATCTTAAGTGGCATGCTGGCTCACCAGATCTTTCTTACATGCCTGTTATTCAGTCACATGGTCTAAATTAACAAGTGGTTTGGGCCTTTAATAGATATCTGAAGACTCTGGTTCATGAATTTCTTCCCAGACATGATTGCCTCTCATCTTTGGCCAGATCACATGTACCAGCTTCTATTCCTACTAATACCTGCAATATAGAAGATCAACTAATGAATGAATGAATTTTTTTCTTACATTTCTAATTAAGAAACACATTGCTTCTTTAGCATGTTTTTCCTCACTTTCTGTAACCCACTAAAATTAAAAGGTATTTGAGATGAATTAAATTTATTGGAATTTCTGAAGTCATACATTTCATATTAGGCAACCATGTTGGAACAGAATTTACATGTTGATATTTGGGATTAAGAGGTGACATAATTAAACTAATATAGTCATACATCACTTAATGACAGGGACATGTCTTGAGAAATGAGTGCATCCTTAGTGATTCAGTCATTGTGCAAACATCATAGAGTCTGCTTACATGAACCTAGATGGTTATATAGCCTGCTACATACCTAGGATATATGGTCTAGCCTACTGCTCCTAGGCTGCAAACCTAGACTAAACAGCATGTTACTGTACTGAATACCTTAGGCAGTTGTAGCACAATGGTAAGTATTTGTTTATTCAAACAGAAAAGGTGCAGTAACAATACAGTATAAAAGAAAAAAATGTATAGGACACTTAACACAAATGGAGTTTGCAGGACTGGAAGTTGCTGTGGGTGAGTCATTGAGTGAGTGTTGAGTGCATGTGAAGCCTAGGACATTACACTACTGTAGACTTAAAATTTTTTTAAATTTATTTTACTTTTAATACTTTTGCATTTTTCTCATACTCAGGATCTATACTGTAGACTTTATAAACACTACACTTAAGCTATATCAAATTTATAAAAAATATTTTTATATGATAACTTTACAGTAGCTTTTAAAATATAAACTTTTAAATTTTTTAATTTTTTGACTTGTAATAACACTTAGCTTAAAACACTTTGTATAGCTAGCTGTATAAAATATTTTTCTTTATATCCTGTAAGTTTTTTCTATTTGAAAATGTTCTATTTTAATTTTTATTTTGAAAACTGTTTTAAGATCTGGGACACAAACATACACGTTAGCCTAGGCCTACATGGGGTCAAGATCATCAATCAGTGTTACTGTCTTCCACCTCCACATCTGCTCCCATTGGAAGGTTTTTAGGGGAAATAACGTGTGGAGCTGTCATCTCTTGTGGTAACAATGCCTTCTTCTGGAATACCTACTGAAGGACCTTCTGAGGCTGTGTTTCATAGTTAACTTTTTATCTTTAAGTAGGAGTATAACAATACAAAGTATACTATAGTAGGCTGGGCCTGGTGGCTCACGCCTGTAGTCCCAGCACTTTGGGAGGCCAAGGCAAGTGGATCACCTGAGATCAGGAGTCGAGACCAGCCTGGCCAACATGGCAAAACCTCTTCTCTACTAAAAATAGAAAAAAATTAGCTGGGCGTGGTGGTGCATGCCTGTAGTCCCAGCTACTTGGGAGGCTGAGGCAGGAGAATTGCCTGAACCCGGGAGGCAGAGGTTGCAGTTAGCCGAGATCGCGCCACTGCACTCCAGCCTGGGCAACAAAGTGAGACTTGGTCTCAAAATATATATATTATAATAAATACATAAACCAGTAACAGTTATTTATTCTCATCAAGTATTGTATACTGTACATAATTGTATGTGCTATACTTTTTTTTTATATGACTAGAAGTGAAGATTTGTTTACACCAGCATCACTACAAACAATAACGCATTGTGCTTGGACATCACGATGGCTATGATACTAAGTGATAGGAATTTTTCAGCTATGTTACATATTGTCTATCATTGACTGAAATGTTGTTTTGTGGCATATGACTCTATTTACGTTTTTTGGAAATGATTCTTAAGGAAAAATTCTGATACCTGCTCATTGTTCTCTGATCTTGTGTTCCTGTGCAATGGCTGCATCAGGGAAGAGCCATTTGATAGTTACACTTAGTTACATCAAAGTAAATAAATTCGTTTAATCAAAGTTTCAGCTTGATCTGAGGTGAAACACCTCAACTTAGAGTGAGGAAAAAAATACAGTTGAAAGAGAGCAAACAGTAAAACCAGAATTTATTAAATCATTTAGTAAAACATTTGCTTTGGGGTCAGGGGGCAGTTATAAAAAGCAAACTATTTGGAAGTTTTGCTATTTCTCTTCTGTAGTGACATTCTTGAGTATAAATGTGTGCATTAAATAGCTATTCTTCCCCGCAAGGACTAAAACCCTTCGGTGTTCTTGGGTATAATAACAAATGCATATTTCACTTAAACATTGAGGATAGTTCATTTGTGTTGTAGATATGCATGTCTGCTTCTTAACTTTGAAAGACAGCCTGTTTACCTGGACATTTGTATTATGGGTCCACAGTTGGTACACAGTCTTGTTATTTCTGTATTATATATATGTTTACATAAAGACATTCATTCAGAATCAGATAGTTTTGTGTTCTTTTCAAGGAAAAAAGGAAGGAGATGTTTTATAATAATAGGTGATGTTAGCTCTGGAATATAATTGTTGGATTTTTGGTTGAAAAACATTTATAATTATTTTAATTCATCATATGTCTCTATAATTGAAACATATTTTCTGTAAGTTTACCTTTCTGAGTTCTTTCTGTTTTACAAATGTTCTTCAGGCAAAATGCATGCATTCTGTAACTTAAAAGAGGTGGAGTGCCGTCGAAGGAAAAAGCAAATTTTACAATTAAACTAGTAAATACAAAGATTGCCTACATGTTTCATTAATTCTAAGAAGCACTTATTTTTACTCTTCTCTAAAATTGGGAATGTATCTTATTTTAAATGGTGTCTTACAATTGACAGCAGTTTTTCATTCCTTTTGGGACATCAAATAATGATGCATCTTACAATTGATAATGTTGTAGAGTCTATGAAATACTTGTATGTATGTCTGGGGAATGTTTGTTAAATAAATTACCCAGTGTGTATATTTGTGAGAACTATAGGCCAAATCTTTTTTCCCTTATGTTTTTACATTTTAGAAAATAGTTTTTTACATAGATGTTTTACAACCTGATACTAAGCTTTTAGTATTGTAATAGATTTTCATTGTTTTATTAGATTGATAAAAAAAAATATAAATGGTGCAAAAACGATTTTCATTGTTTTGTTAAGCTTAATAATACTGACCTTATGCTTACTATTGAGTGTTTCTACTAATACCACACATTTGGTAGTATAAAAAATAGCTTTTTTCAAAGGTTTTTAATAATAAATTTCTTTTAAAAGGTTGGATAGCTATTATCCTGAGTCTTATGTCTGATACCATGTTTTTGTTTTGTTTTTAGAGTCTTACATTTAAAGAAAAAGTAACAAGCCTTAAATTTAAAGAAAAACCTACAGACCTGGAGACAAGAAGCTATAAGTATCTTCTCTTGTCCATGGTGAAACTAATTCATGCAGATCCAAAGCTCTTGCTTTGTGTAAGTATTTTTTTATGAAATGTCTCAAAATTATCACACTAAGTTAATTGGGTTTAGCTGAAACGCCAAGACCTTGAGGATAATTTTTAGCTCAAGAGCACTTACTGATCCTTTCTGATCATACCTGAAAACTAAGACGTCTCTAAGAAAACTAATGTATAATGAATACTAATATAATTAGATCAGATTCTTAATTGCCCTTATCATTTCCTAACATTTCTCTTTCTTCTTAATTTCCCTATCATTAAACTAACATACTTTGATGAGATCTCTGTTCTCATCCTATTACTAAGTTATATATTATTCAGGTATAATCCTGGTATGGGGGATAGAAGTGACCATCGATCACAGTGTCTACATCTATACTGTTGGTTTAAAAAATCTCCAGATTGCTTTTGCCAGTTTAGCTTTTCTATCCCCCTTTCTTTGTGTTATCAGCTTTCTGTTATCATTGGCTCTGCCTACAAATACTGTATTGGAAAAAGAATGAGGTGAAAATGGGTGTGGTTAGTACTTGAGTTAGTGTGATTATCATTATTATTATTATTTTGAGACAGGGTCTTGCTCTGCTTCCCAAGCTAGAGAGCAGTGGAGCAGTGATGGCTCACTGCCTTCGAACTCCTGACCTCAAGCCATCCTCCAGCCTCGGCCTCCCCAAGTGCTGTGATTACAGGCATGAGCCCCCATGCCTGGCTAGTAGTCAGTTATTGTCATAACTACTCTTACTGCCTCAGATGATATTAAATTTCTGAGAACATCACTCTGGTACACAGAGTAATTAGGAACAACGCAAATAATAAAAATGAGTCATAATGAAGTGATTAACAGCATGGACGCTGGAGACTACCTACTAGCTATGTGATTTGGATGACTATTTAATCTTTCTATGCCTTAGTTTTCTCATCTGATATATTGGGATCATAATAGTTCCTATCTCAGAGATACTGTTAGGAAAATTGAAATAGTACATACAATGCTTTAGGAACAATGCCTGGTGCATAATAAGCACTAAATAAATGTTAGCTATTATTGCTATTAATAAGATACAATTTAACACTAATTAATGCACCAAATGTAATAGTTCTATATTGTGTCTTTCATAGGATGACATGTTTAACCTTTGTTGAGCTTCTTCAGTCCCTGGAGAGCAGCATCAAGCAAGGTTTCTTATCGTTTTGCTCAGTAACTGGCTTTTTAAAAAGTGTTAAGGTGCTTTCGATTTTGGTGGCATATTTTTTAAATTACTGTAATACAGGGAGTTTGTAACTACATGCCTATGATTCCAAGAGTTCTATGAAACTTCGTGAATTTTTTAAAAATGTGTATTTATGAGTAATTTTTCTTGGAGAGTGGAGAGGAGAGAAGAAGGAACATTCCCAAAGGATCAGTGACCCCAAAAGAAGGCCTGTGATACTTTAAGCCTGAAAAACCCATTCAAGTTTGAAAGTCTAATTAGAATAAACAGATCTTTGGCATGAAAAAATTCCATAAAACCTGTCAGTGAAACTCTATAAAAAAATGAAGTTCCCTTTCTCTTCATTCCTTTGTTATGTGTTACAAGCTATTTGTGGCATTATTTCATCATGAAGGTCACATAATACTAGCAGTACTCTGTTTACGTGGTGATAATTCACATTCAAAGCAGGCACCAAACTCACCAATGCCGTTTCTACTAAATGTTGCTTCAAGAAGAATTTAAGCAAAACTTGCCATTTTCCAAGGATCATTTAAAATGGAAATTATTTGCTTTGCTGCCATCTAGTGGTTAATAAGTTTTCTCAAGGTAACCATAAGTACATTAAAATAGAAGATTCGTTGTAAATATTTGACCATTTTGTCTTTTACATAAAAAATCTGAGTCTTAGTAATTTAGGAGGAATGTAGGAATAATTATTAAATGGTCTCAATCATGGTATTTTTAAAGTAATATGATTTTGTCTTCCATTTTAGTACTCTCAATTTCTCAAGCCTCCTAATTACTCAGCTTGCATCGTTTCTTAGATCCCCCTGATCATTTCTCCACACTGAAGTTATGGCAGTCTCTTTAAAAAGCAAATCTTATTATGCCCCCTCTCAGCTTGAACCCTTTTAGTTGAAATTGCTCTTGCTTATGAAGACCAAACTCCAAATAGATCTACAGGGTCGTGCAAAATCTTTCTCCCATCTACCATTTCTTCCACATGTAGCATTACATTTTTTGTCTTCCTTTACTCTATTCATGATGGTCTTCCTTTCAGTCTTTCTAACCACATGCCTTCATACCTCCCTTGCAGTTGCTTTTCCCTCTGCCTAGAATCTGCTTACTCTTAACATAGTAATTCCTACTCATTCTAAGCTATTGTCACTGCACTAAGGAAGCCTCCCTGAGTCGGACACTTTTCCATGTTATAGGCTGTCATAGCAGCATGTACCTTAATAATAGCTCTTATGTGATTTGCATTTTTATACTTGTTGATCTGATTATTTCATTGATGATATCTTCCCCCATGAGACTACATGCTCATGGAGGATGGGAAACACATCTTCTCTTTTTCATTGTTGTGTCTTTGGCATTCAATAAAAATGATTTGGTTTTGGATGAATTTATATGAATGTCAGAAAATAAGCTAACGGTTTTGAATTACAGATATATTGCAGTGAGGGCTTACCTTAGTCATTATAATGGGGAAAAATCTATAGTTAGCAAAATAAAATATGGGACACAAGTTGCATTGGCTTCATATATTCTTCTTTTTTTTTTTTCTGAGACAGAGTCTCACTATATTGCCCAGGCTAGAGTGCAGTGGTGTGATCTCAGCTCTCTGCAACCTCCGCCTCCTGGGTTGAAGTGATTCTCCTGCCTCAGCCTCCCAGGTAGCTGAGATTACAAGCACCCGCCACCAAACCGGCTTGTACTTTTAGGAGAGATGGGGTTTCTTCATGTTGGCCAGGCTAGTCTCGAACTCCTGACCTCAAGCACTCCGCCTGCCTTGGCCTCCCAAAGTGCTGGGATTACAGGCATGAGCCACCATGCCTGGCCAAACCATATATTCTTGAAGTGCAAATATATGCTTCCAAGTTAAGAGAAACATTTTAGTCTCTAAATAGGTAGGCATTCGGCAGGGCGTGGTCGCTCACATCTGTAATCCCAGCATGTTGGGAAGCCGAGGCAGGTGGATCACCTGAGGTCAGGAGTTCGAGACCAGCCTGGCCAACATGGTGAAACCCCATCTCTAATAATAATGCAAAAATTAGCTAGACGTGGTGGCGCATGCCTGTAATCCCAGCTACTCGGGAGGCTGAGGCAGGAGAATCGGTTGAACCCAGGAGGCAGAGGTTGCAGTGAGCCGAGATCACGCCATTGCACTCCGTTTCAAAAAAAAAAAAAAAAAAGGTAGGCATTCACATTTTTACATAACGTTAATTTTCTTTGCTTAGTACACTATATTTTTCCACGATGAAAAGGACCGAAGTATGGGTATCTGCCGATGCAAATTCTAGCCTTTGCTTTGTTACCAGCTGTGTGGATTTGGGCAGGACCTTTGTATGGGTCAAGAGGGCTGTACAGGATAATCATGCAATCCTTATCCAACATGTATGTCCTTTACCTTTGATCACAATCATGTATAAGCTCAAAACCAGTAAGTTCCAAACCAGAGATACGTTCTTTAGCCAGTTTACTATTGTTGGAAAAAAAATTATTCCTCATATTGTTGATGTAATTTTTAATGGGAATTCGTGGTTTTTGTTTTCATTAGGATTTTCCCTGGACATTATTCACATTAATGAACAAGTATAGATGTGGATTAAAAGAATCCCTAACAAAAGAAGTTTTGATTTAATAAAATTTTTATTTTATTGAGATAAAAATACTATACCCACATACCATAAAATTCACCATCTTAAAGTTTACAATTCAGTTGTTTTCAGTATATTTACAAGGTTCTGCAACCATTACCACTATGTAATTCTAGAACTTTTTTTTCTTTCTTTCTTTTTTTTCTTTTTTCTTTTTTTCTTTTTTCCAGATGGAGTCTCGCTCTGCCACCCAGGCTGGAGTGCAGCGGTGCAATCTTGGCTCACTGCAACCACCGCCTCCCAGCTTCAAGCGATTCTCCTGCCTCAGCCTCCCAAGTGGCTGGGACCACAGGCGCATGCCACCACGCCTGGCTAATTTTTATATTTTTAGTAGAGATAGAATTTCACCATATTGGTCAGGCTGGTCTCAAACTCCTGACTTCAGGTGATCCACCCGCCACTACCTCCCAAAGTCCTGGGCTTACAGGCGTGAACCACCGCGTCCAGCCTAGTTCTAGAACATTGTTATCACCCCTAAAAGAAACTTGGTACCCTTTAGCAGTCACTGTCTATTTCTTCCTCCTTCTAATCTCTCTCGATTTATTTATTTTTTTAATTGAAGTTTCCTTTTTTTCCTTGCAGAATCCAAGAAAACAGGGGCCCGAAACCCAAGGCAGTACAGCAGAATTAATTACAGGGCTCGTCCAACTGGTCCCTCAGTCACACATGCCAGAGATTGCTCAGGAAGCAATGGAGGTAAGGGGAAAATGAATTCCATGTTCTTGAAGGAAAGATTGTAACTATGTACATTCATGATGTTCCTTTGGTGTGTGGTTTCTGTGAGTAACAGGTAGATGTCATTTCTGGAAATGGTATGTTTATGTCTATACATTGTTTTATAAAACTCCATGGAGAAAGAAGGGGTTTACTTGCTTTGTATCACATAGCAATAACATTGTACAAATTCTGATGCTTAATAAAATAGTTCGAGATTTTCTAATTGCAGTTGACTTTAAAATTTTTAAAAATATTATTATTAAATATTAAAAATACTAATTTTTAAATTGAGACATAATTCACATACCCTCAATTTGGCCATTTTAAGTAGTTCTTTTTTTTAAATTTTATTATTATTGTACTTTTAAGTTTTAGGTTACATGCGCACAATGTGCAGGTTTGTTACATATGTATACATGTGCCATGTTGGTGTGCTGCACCCATTAACTTGTCATTTAGCATTAGGTATATCTCCTAATGGTATCCCTCCCCCCTCCCCCCTAAGTAGTTCTTATTCACACAGTTGTGCAACTATAGCTACTCTCTAATCCATAACATTTTTATCACCCCAGAAAGAAACTTGACTCCCCATTCCCTCATCCCTACCAACTACTAATCTATTTTCTGTCTCTATGGATTTGCTTGTTTTAGATATTTCATATAAATAGAATCATAGAATATGTGGCCTTTTATGTCTGGCTACCTTGACTTAATGCTTTCAAGGTTCATTTATGTTGTGGTATGAATCACTATTTTCTTCCTTTTTATTGCCAAATATTTCATTGTATGGATCTGTTTTGTTCATCTAGTTATCAGTTGGTGGACGTTTGGTGTTGTTTCTACTTTTTAGCTATTACAAATAATGCTGCTATGAACATTTGTGTAAAAGTCTATATGTGGACATATCTCTTAAGTATATAGGAGTGGAACTGCTAAGTCGTGTGGTAACTCTGTCGAACTTTTGAGGAACTGTCAAACTCTTTTTCTGAAGCAGCTGTATCATTTTATATTCCCAGTAACAACATATGAAGGTTTTAATAGTTCTGTATGCTTGCTAACACTTCTTATAATGTGTCTTTTTGATTGTAGCCATCCTAATGTACATACTGTACAAATGTTTATACATACCCAGTAAAAATGTTTATAAAAATATTTTAGCACTTACTACGTAATCATTGCTTCCATTTGTGTACATTGCTATTGGTCCCGTAAATTGATACATTTCTTGTAGTCTTTTTGGAAGGCTATTTGGCAGGAGCTATACAAACATTTCATTTTTTTATGCAAATAATTCAATTTCTATCACTTTAAAAATCTTATGAATATAACTCAAAAGGAAAAAGCTGCACACATAGGTACTTATTGCTCTTAATTATAATAGAATATTAAGAGAGCTTTATTTACTGGGAGGAGAATGGGTTAATATTCAATAGTGAGAATGCTATTTTAACTTGGTGAGCTGTTAAACATTTATTAAAACTTATATAGATCACACAGCAATATGGAAAAATATGAAATGTCAAGTGAGTATACTGCATTTATGGCTTTGTTAAAACATGGAAAATACAAAAAAAAGAAGGCAATATGAAAAGAAAATTAAAGCCTGGAAAAGGCTAACACATTTTCTTTCAATATGTATTTTTAAAGTTTTATCAAACAAAAATATAGAGAATTTGTCACTTAAAAAAACTAGTGCCAGTAAATTGTACCACGTTTTTGTACAATAGTAGCAAAATTGAATTTTAATTTGTGTTGTTTTTCCTTGATATGAGAGCTATAAATTATATAGCTTTTTAAGATTCTCAACAATTAATTGCAATTTTCATTAAATATCTCAAAGTAATTACAATAAAAATGTTTGAAATAAGATAATATGGGTCTGGCCTTTAAATGTTGATATGTTGACCAAGGACTGAAAGAAATGTCCAGAGCTTCACAGTTTCTGCTGGGTTGGGGGTGGAGGGATGGTGGGAGGAATGTGAATTGGGATTGTAGAATTGGAGTTGAGATAAGATCAGTTCGAAGGAAGAGTTTGTGTTTTTTTTATATCTTTGATGGTTTTAATTTATATAATAATCTATTTATATGTTATATATTGTAAATGAATTATTTAATTCCCGTTAGTGTTCTCTGAGCCAGATTCCAACTTCAGTTCTGTGGTCAATTGAAATACTTTAGAATGGATAATCTGCTATGAAATACTGAATCCATTTTGCTTCCTCTCTCTTGATTTTGAAAAATAATTGCTCTTTTCTGTTACAAGAGACTTTGTGGCAAGTGAGACAGTTTAAGTAAAAACTTAAAAGATAAGTAAATCTTTTGCTGTGTGTATTAATTTTGGCAAGCCTTCTTACTTGGGGATTAGCTTTTTGTTTCATAGAGTTCTTTAATATCTATTGAAATTATTTTGTTTGTTTCTTAAAGCAGTTTTTACAGTTATATATTGTTCCGAATTCATCATTTAGCTTTATATGTACATGCCAGTTAGAGTCAGAATGATGGGAATAAAATGATTTCATTCTGTCTGTATTATTCCCTAGAGGTTTGTGTTCACCAGAGTTTCTCTCTTTTTACCTTTTACTATATATTGAAACTACAAATGAAAGAGCTCAATTTCTTAGCATTTATAAAATAAGTACTCCAGTGTTATGTTTACCAAAAATGTTTGAGTGAGTCTTCTCTTTGTCTTTCTCTTTTTTAAAAAATTCAGGCTCTGCTGGTTCTTCATCAGTTAGATAGCATTGATTTGTGGAATCCTGATGCTCCTGTAGAAACATTTTGGGAGATTAGGTATATGTACTTTTATTTTTTAAATTCAACTTTTAAATTTTATTTTGTATTTTTGTCTTGAAATATTAACTCTGTAGTACTTAGTACATTGTAAAACTTACACTTCCAAAGGTTTTATGGTTTTGTATTTTATTTGACTTCAAATTATTAGAATTTCTTGTTTTAACTGTAAGAAAAGTATCACAGCAATTTAGAAAATAAATTTTAAGAATAGTGCTA
The DNA here is from genome assembly GCF_000001405.40 of Homo sapiens. NCBI lineage: Eukaryota > Metazoa > Chordata > Mammalia > Primates > Hominidae > Homo > Homo sapiens. Next base: position 31,222,149 of record NC_000017.11, read on the forward strand.
AATTTTGTCACCCTAACATAAGTACTGTTGTTTGGTATATTACTTTTTTCAGATTTCAATGTGGTTACTACTGTATTTTTAATAGATTTTCATAGTTATAAGCCTAGAATGATAAAATTTTGTAACAATACTGTTTTTTCAGTTTTTTGAACTATGATCTTTCATAAACTTTCTGTAATACCAATGCTTTCGATGAATGAATTAATAATGGACACCTGCTTAGAAGAAAAAAATGTATGCAGAATTTTGTGGTCTGCTTCCTAGATTATACAAATCATTACATTTTAATGAGCATGAAGTCACCACACGGAGGAAAATGTAAATGTGTAAACCTCAAGTTTGCCATTATCTTATAAGAATGGGTGTGCTAAGTTACTTGGCAGCTGAATTAAACCTTACTCTAGAGTAGTGCTGTCCACTAGTAATATAATGAGAACCCCATATGTTAAAAACTTTTTTACTTACTACATTAAAGAGTAAAAAGAAGCAGGTAAAATTAATTGTAATTATGTTTTGTTTAACCCGGTGTATATTATCTATAATTTCAACATGTAATCAATATAAAAGTTATTAATGACATTTCATTCTCTTTTTTTTAATAAAGTCTTCAAACTTTGGTGTGTCTTTTATACTTACAGCACATCTCAATTTGAACAAGCCACACTTAAAGTGCTCAATAGCCACGTGTGGCTGGCTAGTGGCTACCATGTTAGACAGTGCAGCTCTGGAGTAGGGATCAGGAAACTTTTCTCTAAAAGGCCAGATAGTAAATATTTTAGGGCTTGTGGGTCATATAGTTTCTGTCATAACCATTCAGTTCTGCCTTTGGAGCATGAAAGTGGCCACAGACATGTGAATGAACGGGCATGGCTGTGTTTAACTAAAACTGTATATTTACAATAGCAAGTGATAGGCTAGGTTTGGCCTGTGGATGGTAGCTTGCAGACCCCCACTGTGGAGCACTGGGTTTATAGGCAGTCTCTGCTGTGCATGTGGTTTATTGTTTCTTCTTATGTCTACTACAAGGATGAGATACATGGATAGAAACACTGGGAGTTTAATGAAACATAGGGGGCTTATAGATAAATACTTGCTTTTTTTCTATAACCTGTAGACTTATTTCCTTTGATTATAATGCTATTGACACTTTGATAACTGTTTCTCTAAAACCTTACAAGAAAAACTAAGCTTCTCTAAACTTGTATTCATTATGGGAGAATGCCATTCTTATGTCTGGTTATATCTGCATTAGGTTATTGATGATGCTAGTAACAATGAACTTTATGTTACTGCAGCTCACAAATGCTTTTTTACATCTGCAAGAAATTAACTAGTCATCAAATGCTTAGTAGCACAGAAATTCTCAAGTGGTTGCGGGAAATATTGATCTGCAGGAATAAATTTCTTCTTAAAAATAAGGTAAGCAAAATGACATATTTAAAAAATGGAAGAATATTTGGAATGGTAATGGTGAGAGATTACTAAAGTGTTTTATAGCCAAATTAGGTTCTATTTCAGCTTCTCCTTCCTCCCAATGTTCTCAAAAGGAAATATGTATGCAGAGGACAATGACTGGCAAATCAGCATTTTAAAAATTATTCTGAGGCTTTGGCCTTAGAACCACACTGTTGATGAATTCTAGTTCTAGTTGAGTTAAATAGGTCTCTATGGGGCAGGCCTAGGAAAAGTGGGGGCTGCTATAACCAGAGTAGCTTGAGGAGCATATTGTATCTTTACTCTTAAGTTCATACATAAGACATAATTCATACATAAAATTTATTTTAACATATAGCTTCTGTAATTTAAGAATTCTATTATGGCGTAGATTTGGGAGTACTTGATTTAATGGGTTTTTGTCCAGTTCTAGAATCATAGCTCTGAGAAATCGTAAAGACCTAGATCTCATGGCTAGACTAGTCCAGAGAATTATCTATCAAGAAGCAAAAGGGAAACAGTTGAGGGTCCTCAATCTAGATTTATTTCGATTCCTCCAATAAGGGTTTCACCTCTTGAAAATATCAGGAGACTTTTTCATTGGGGTGGAGTGAAATGTTTTGATTCTGAACTATTGAAACATGGTGAGGTTGTGGAAGATAGAGAAGAGCCTTAAATTTCTTTTAACATATAGTTTCTGTAATTAATCAATTTAGGAATTCTGTTATGGCCTAGTTTTCGGAGTACTTGATTTAATGAGTTTTTATCTGGTACTAGAAGCATAGCTGTGAAAGACCTTAAATGTATGAAACTCATATCCTTTTCAGTATTTACAGCTTGTTATTAATAAATTGTCTCTTTAGAAATAGACTAATGGTGAAGTGGGTTTATTCACATGTGACTTATTTGATATGTTAATGTAGTGGAATTTGGCATTATTCCAAAGATACAGAAAGAGATTAGACTTCAGACTTTCATGGCCTCGCCTATGGTATAATCTCCAGAATGTGAGTATGAGGAATCCAGTAATGAATTCATAGTGCCCTGGTAGGCATAGTCACTCTTGTGACATACTTGGTGTATATACATACCAGAGTTAATTACTGGTCCAGAAGAACTTAATCTCAAGAGCCAATTTCTGGTTATCCCAACATGGCACAGTATAAAATCTTATGGAAAAAAAATCTTTGTCATTGAGATCAAATTATAGTTTTCATACAGTAGATTTATATTGTTGATGTTTTACTCATGTTTATGTCAGACTTAATTTATATTTGTAGAATCTACTGTTTCTGATGATTTAGAGAATGGGAAACTGAAAGAAATTTTAAAGAATTAAGTAAACCTTGTTTGTTCTAATGGGTTTCTAGTGAATCTCCTTCAAGTTGGGGCATAGAGATTGAGAGGAGAGGTTTTTTAGGAGAGTCTCAAACAGGAAGACAACTCAAATAAGTGTTTATTCCTCTTGGTTGTCAGTGCTTCAGTAAAGCTTATTTATTTATTTTTTTCTAGCAGGCAGATAGAAGTTCCTGTCACTTTCTCCTTTTTTACGGGGTAGGATGTGATATTCCTTCTAGTGGAAATACCAGTCAAATGTCCATGGATCATGAAGAATTACTACGTACTCCTGGAGCCTCTCTCCGGAAGGGAAAAGGGAACTCCTCTATGGTCAGCTTCTTCTGTACTTTTTCTGTATCATTTTATGTGCTCTGTTTGTTTTCTGAATGAAATTTGGTAAATTTCATCTAGGTAATATAGTGTAATAGTGAAAAACTGCTTAGAATCTAGTTCTATTACTGCTCTTTGTGGAACTTTGGGCAAGTTCTTAACATCCTTGTTCCTCAGTTCCTCAACTTTAAAATGGGGACAGTAATAGTTCCTGCCCCAGAGTTGTTAAAGAGGGTTAAATAAAAGGATGTGTAAATAGCACTTGACACTTACAAGCTATATCTGATAATTATAATTATTATAAACCTCCACTCCATAAAAAACCCATTCATACCACAGAAGTATAGAATTCGTACCGGCTAACAAAGGTACAGATTTACAGGGATAAAAACAAAGTATTTTGCTTCATGTTAAAGATAAGTGTTTCTGTGATTTGTGTTTGTGTGTATAATTTCTTTTAAATATAAATCATATTTCAAGTGAAAATATCACATCATTACAGAAGAGTTTATTTTCCAAACCAAAACTTTTTTCATTCCTAATTTTTAATGCAACCTTGTTAAGGAAGAAACACCTAAGCAGTATGATATTTACTAATGTCTGTTTTACTTGTAGAATTTGCATTTATTTTATCAATTATTTTCTCCATTTCGTGTTTGGAGAATAAGTAATTCAGAATCAAATGTATCTTCTACAGCAATATTTAGTTCTTGTTTATGCCCTTGTTTCAATGAGTGCTGCAGTGTACTTATTTTATTACTTCCCTATAGCAAGTAGATAGAATTTCCTGTTACTTCCTCTTTTTTTGTCATTTCTAATTGACTGGGAGGTACATTATATTGTTACTGCAGTAGATTTACGTTATGGTGTTTACCTGTCCATGTTAGAATCAGTTTACATTTCTGGAATCTGGAATAGGATAATATCTATTTGATTTGAAATTGAACAGATGGTAGCATTATGTTGGTCCAGATAATCTCATTTCTCATTTGGACAAGATATTTTGGGGTTTGAAAAATTCCTATAATGATTAAAGGAAAAAGCTCTTGTGAGTTATTGTATGCGGAGACACACACACACACACACACACACACACACACACACACACAGTTTATTGCATTGTTAGATTTTATACATAAAATTACCCAAGTTGCAAATATATGTCTTCCACCCTTGACTCTCAGGATAGTGCAGCAGGATGCAGCGGAACCCCCCCGATTTGCCGACAAGCCCAGACCAAACTAGAAGTGGCCCTGTACATGTTTCTGTGGAACCCTGACACTGAAGCTGTTCTGGTTGCCATGTCCTGTTTCCGCCACCTCTGTGAGGAAGCAGATATCCGGTGTGGGGTGGATGAAGTGTCAGTGCATAACCTCTTGCCCAACTATAACACATTCATGGAGTTTGCCTCTGTCAGCAATATGATGTCAACAGGTAAATGTGAATAGTGGTTTTTTTTACTCAGTCTGCCTCAAAGCACATGGCATCTGATTTTGAGAATGTATTTAAGGTCACTACTTTGTAAGTTTACAGGGGAAATTCAAGTAGCTTACTTGAAATCCTTTTCTGAACAAAGTAAGATGAAAATAAAAAGCATTTGAAATAAATTGTTAGTCTTCCACTGAGTTGTTAATATGCTATACATTTTAAAAATAACTGGCAGTAGATGTTACTATCAGTTATGATTATGTAATTTACTCTGCCTAAGTTGTAGATAGTGAAGTTTTACAAACATTGGCGTATGTTTTGAGTAAATTGTAGGTGGGAATAGCTATTTTATTCTGTGGACATTGTAGAGTCCAAGATAAGTACCTTTCCTGTGAGGTTAGTGAAAGGAAGTTTTTGGCTTTATCATTTGAAGCATTTGCTCTGCTCTTCCTACTCCTTTTGGGTGGAGCTTATCAGGTTCTCCATTGGCAGGCAGGGCTCTAAGTGCAGTAACTTGATTTGCTGTTGTATTTGCTTAGGAAGAGCAGCACTTCAGAAAAGAGTGATGGCACTGCTGAGGCGCATTGAGCATCCCACTGCAGGAAACACTGAGGTATGCCCTTAGCAACAGAAACACCCCTCCCAGGCGCCCACCCTCAATTTGGAAGCCTCTTGTTACATATGTGTGATCAGGAATAGCTTTTGAAGTAAATCCAAGATACGTGCATATTACAAGTATAATATCTGAGTATTTAATATACATCAAGTTTGAAACTTGGCTGTAGCTGATTGATGTTTAGCTCTAGACTAAGTTGCTTTCAAGTGATAATTGCCTTCATTTTAGGCTTGGGAAGATACACATGCAAAATGGGAACAAGCAACAAAGCTAATCCTTAACTATCCAAAAGCCAAAATGGAAGATGGCCAGGTAAGTCTGTAAAGTTGACTTTTGTCTGTTAACTGATCTGCTAAATATATGTACTTCACTTTGATAATCTTTCAAGAGTCGCTCAGTAAAGTAAACATATAGCTGTGTGAAGACTGATATTTAGTTGTGGTTTATCTAGACCTGTACTTTGTAATGTGGTAGCTACTAGCTATGTGTGACTATTTAACTTAAATTTTAACATAATTAAAATTAAATAAAATTTAGTTCCTCAATCATATAGTAACCACATCGCAAGTACCAGTAGCCACATATGACAATTACTTACTCTATTGGACAGCAGAGAGAGAAAATGTTCCTGTCATCACAGAAATACTGGGCAGCACTGCTAGAGACTGTTTGTTGCAGAGACCATTTCTTTACCTTTTCTTGCTCTTTCTCCCTTCATCAGGGTGTTTCACAGAATTTTCAGAAAAGGAGCAACAGAGGTAGAGATAAATTAACATGGAAACAATTCATTTTGCTATTTTGTTAGGTATTCTAATTAAGGAATGTCTTAGGCAGTAGATTGATCCCATAGAGTAAATGAAATTTTAAAATGTGGACAGTTCATTCAACTATTACTATTGACTATATTATCTGTTACTTTGGAAATTAATGATCAGTTAGTGTTTGTGTGTATTTGATTTGTAATGTTCATATTGCTCTCATTATTAGGTGATTTATAAAAACTGGTTGTTCCTCCATGGTGTTTTTGTCATGCTTAATTACAATAGGAAAAAGTTATATTTTTACGAAGCAAATGTGTGTACCTAATACCTTTATTTGGAGGGGACATGTAGCTTTAGAATGAAAGCTTTTGGGGGGATAACTGTTTTATATAATTACATACCATACAGTTCACCCATTTAAAGTGTCCAATTCAGTGACTGTTTTTAATGTATTCACAGAGTTGTGCAACCATCACCACAATCAAGTTTTAGAACAATTTCATCAATTGAGAAAAAAACCCCGTACCCTTTAGCTATCTCTGCCTCTAACCACCCCCCACCCACTTTCTTGCCTCTCTTCCCCCAACGTCTCTAGCCCTAGGCAACCATGAATCTACTTTCTGTCTTTGTAGATTTGCCTATTCCGGATATATTCTGTAAATGGAATTATAGAATATGTGGGCTTTTGTGATTAGCTTCTTTCACTTAGCATGATGTTTCCAAGGTTCATCCATGTGAAATCAAAACTTTTTAAAAGAAATTTGACACTCGGCTGATTATATTAGTGTATGATAAAAATAGATCAGTGGCTCTTTAAAAATGTATATGGTAATTTTATGGGTTGATTTTAATGTATATTTTACATTTTTTGTACTTTTGTCATGGAAGAAATGTTGGATAAAGCATAATTTGTCAAGTCTCAACTAATTAAGGTTTAATTCATGCTTTGCACAAAAATTTTGTGTTTAGGCTGCTGAAAGCCTTCACAAGACCATTGTTAAGAGGCGAATGTCCCATGTGAGTGGAGGAGGATCCATAGATTTGTCTGACACAGACTCCCTACAGGAATGGATCAACATGACTGGCTTCCTTTGTGCCCTTGGGGGAGTGTGCCTCCAGCAGAGAAGCAATTCTGGCCTGGCAACCTATAGCCCACCCATGGGTCCAGTCAGTGAACGTAAGGGTTCTATGATTTCAGTGATGTCTTCAGAGGGAAACGCAGATACACCTGTCAGCAAATTTATGGATCGGCTGTTGTCCTTAATGGTGTGTAACCATGAGAAAGTGGGACTTCAAATACGGACCAATGTTAAGGATCTGGTGGGTCTAGAATTGAGTCCTGCTCTGTATCCAATGCTATTTAACAAATTGAAGAATACCATCAGCAAGTTTTTTGACTCCCAAGGACAGGTAAAGTGTTCTCTTATTTTTCACCTTTCTCTATGAATAGAGTGACTTGTTTGAAATAAGCCTTTTTCTTTCAGATTATTTAAATTAGGTACTCACAGTTTTTAAAAATTTCCAAAAAATTGCAGAAAGAAGAGTCATCTCAATGTAGGGGTCAGCTTGCCTCTTAGGAACTCTGGTGTGTATGTGTGCCTAAGGGTATACGTGCCCTGTGTATGGGTACGAGTGTCTGCGTATATCTGTATGCTTATTTGGCTCTATGCCTGTGGGTGCACTTACTCTGTGTGTTTAGATCAGTCAGTTTCATCTCTCTAGGGGGTCTGTCTTCTGGGCATTGATGGCAAATCATTAATGTATTTGTTCTTTCTTTAGGTTTTATTGACTGATACCAATACTCAATTTGTAGAACAAACCATAGCTATAATGAAGAACTTGCTAGATAATCATACTGAAGGCAGCTCTGAACATCTAGGGCAAGCTAGCATTGAAACAATGATGTTAAATCTGGTCAGGTAAGCATTCTACTGAAATGTAGCAGAAACATTTTAAGAGATAAGAAAAACCTCTTACACACTGATACTGGTAGTAATTGATAAAATAACTGGCCATTCTTTACTGCACACAAACTAGGGTGTGACAGTAAGGTAGCCAGAAGTTGTGTACGTTCTTTTCTAAATAAATATCTTATTGTTTTCAAACTTACATTTAATTCGTTTTACTTGATGACTAAAGTATTTAGAATGCCTTCTCTTTTGTCTATATCTGATAATTTTTTTATTGTTTCTATGTCTATATAGGTATGTTCGTGTGCTTGGGAATATGGTCCATGCAATTCAAATAAAAACGAAACTGTGTCAATTAGTTGAAGTAATGATGGCAAGGAGAGATGACCTCTCATTTTGCCAAGAGATGAAATTTAGGTGAGTTCTCAAAAGAGCAATGTAGGGTCTTGTAAATCTTAATATGTCCAATGAAGTACAGAAAAAGAGTAGATATGCGGTTATTGGTAGAAAGGAGGACATGAAAAGAGAGCAATTTACATGTTTGTTTTTCTCTACATCTCTTCTCAAATTTCCCTAAGCTTTGTGCCTGTGACAATGCTCCCTTTTTCTAAAACTGTGCTATACTTGAGCTAAGAATTTGATTCTATTTCCAATCTGATACCATAACTAAGGGCCATGATGGAGGATAAATATCCATGTTGCTTGTTCCCTTCTGGCTTTTATGTCTGTGATAGCAGTATCTCTTTTATAAAGTCGTCATGTCACTTAGGTTATCTGGCAAATTATTTGCACTATAAGAAATCTTACGTGACTAAAGGTGTGTGTGTGGCTTCAAAAACATTGTTTGCTGTTTCTCTTTTCTCCACCATTCTATAGGAATAAGATGGTAGAATACCTGACAGACTGGGTTATGGGAACATCAAACCAAGCAGCAGATGATGATGTAAAATGTCTTACAAGGTAAAAAAAGAATGACCTTCAAGTATTAGTGGGTTTTACTGTGAGAGTTATAACTACTTAATTACAGCTTTATACTTGTATTTTGTGTGTATTTAAACTTTTGAGATGTCAAACTTTTGTGTTTGAAATATGTAAAGATGCTAATCTTTATTACTGCTTTTTTTTGACTGATAGACTTTCAGTAAAATTAAATGTGAAAGAGTGATATGTTTGGGAAGTTAGTGTTGTCAGTTTATGAAGAATAGTCTACAGTTATTGGGAAATAAGATACATAAAGCCTCAGATTGCATTTGTGTTATGATTAGATAGATAAAGGTATTATTTGAGGAACTCATTGTGTTGAATCTTTTTAAGAAATAATTGATTTCCTGATTCAAGCACCAGAGACAGAAAAAAAAGGAAGTAATCAAGTCTGCTTTAATGATACTTATTGACACATATCAGAAAATGATTAAACACTATGGACTGTATAATAAGCATTCACATATGTTTCTTTGACCAAGCCTAGCTTTATAATACAGTCTTCTCTGTCAGGGATTGGTTCCAAGAACCACTCCCCAAACCCCTGCCCACATCTTACTCCCATGAACACTAAAATCCACAGATGCTCAAGTCCCTGACTTAAGATGTCATAGTATTTGCATATAAACTATACACATCCTCCCATATATTTTTAATTATCTTCAGATTACTTATAATATCTAATACAATATAAATGTTGTATAAATATTTGTTATACCATATTGTTTAGGGAATAACAACAACAAAAAATCTGTACATGTTGAGTACAGATGAAACCCTCCTTTTTTTTCCCCCAAATATTTTCAATCCATGGGTGGTTGAATCCATGGATATAGAACTCACTGATACAGAGGGCCCATTGTACATGCTTCTGATTTAAGGTAGCCATTTTGCCAAGATTACTTTGTAGAAAGTAAGTATTACCTTCTCCCCATTTGAGATGATTTTGTATTCTGGGATCTGCATATTAACTCAAATTATTTGGGTTGTGCTAATAATTTGTTTAATGAAATAGGTAGTTCCTAAGGTTTATATCTGTTAGTAAGAGGTTTATTTGAGGGGAAGTGAAAGAACTTGAAAGATTCATGGTCTCTAAATTTTTTTTTTTTTTTTTTTTTTTTTTCAGAGATTTGGACCAGGCAAGCATGGAAGCAGTAGTTTCACTTCTAGCTGGTCTCCCTCTGCAGCCTGAAGAAGGAGATGGTGTGGAATTGATGGAAGCCAAATCACAGTTATTTCTTAAGTAAATTTCAGTCACCAAAAAACATAAAGCAAAAAGCAAATAAAGCCCCCCACCACACAAAAAAAGCAAAGAAATAATACCCATGACAGGACTAGGATAGGAAAATAACTGTGTTTTGTGATTTTTTTAAAGAAAGTAATATGATCAGTGAAATTTTGCTTATAATAAAACCCAGATTGCTTCATTAAGTCATTTACAAAAGTGACATTGTCTAAGCTGTTTGGACCACTAATTTTATATACTAACATTAAAAGTGACACATTTACCAGGTAATATTGCATCTATTTGATGCTAATGTTATGAAAGGTATACTAGGCTATATCAGGTAAAATCATGTCCAACATAGCACACTTCATAATAAGCCACCCTGGCTGATTATCGCGAGAGAGGAGAGAAACAGTTAACCCAGGGCCATTCACACCATGCACATATGATTGTTTTGGAATGTCTGGTTAGCTTTCTAGTTGATACGGCCTTCACTATGTAAAGGTCAGTCTTTTTATTTCTCAGATACTTCACATTATTTATGAACCTTTTGAATGACTGCAGTGAAGTTGAAGATGAAAGTGCGCAAACAGGTGGCAGGAAACGTGGCATGTCTCGGAGGCTGGCATCACTGAGGCACTGTACGGTCCTTGCAATGTCAAACTTACTCAATGCCAACGTAGACAGTGGTCTCATGCACTCCATAGGTGAGATCAAATGAAAGTTTCATATAGAAATACAAAACCTAGAGAACTGGCATGTAAGAGAAGCAAAAATTACTTCAGCAAGGCCATGTTAGTAAATTTGCATCTGTTTGTCCACATTAGGCTTAGGTTACCACAAGGATCTCCAGACAAGAGCTACATTTATGGAAGTTCTGACAAAAATCCTTCAACAAGGCACAGAATTTGACACACTTGCAGAAACAGTATTGGCTGATCGGTTTGAGAGATTGGTGGAACTGGTCACAATGATGGGTGATCAAGGAGAACTCCCTATAGCGATGGCTCTGGCCAATGTGGTTCCTTGTTCTCAGTGGGTAAGTGATTAGAGTAAGCGGGGAAGAAAAGTGCCTGGCACATAGCAAATCCTTCAGAATATATTTGTTCAATAAATGTTTGTTGAATGAATTGATAAAATTTCAGAGCCAGAAGAAAGATGTTTAGTTAGGTGATTTTTCAGCTGTAGGGAAGTGGTTGGCACCACTAGACCTGACTAGTGTTCTGTATCATTTCATCCTACTAAAAAATTCCATTTAAACGCATTAAAAATCACTGATCTACTCTGGTGTCTTCATATATTTGATAAGGTAATTAGGTTAAACCTAATTTTAGTTAGTTGTTGCAATGCTGGAATTGGAATCCACGATTTGTGCCTGTTTACTACCTCCAGTTTGCTATTCTTTTCCCCATAATGTCTCATACAGTTTTTTAAAAATTTAAGCACTATATTTGCATTTGATATTATGATATTGTTTATTTTAAAAACTGAAAGCGTCATATGGCTATGTCTCTCTCTTAATTTAATGAAAAATTTTCCTAAAATCACATCATTCTTAATACATGCTAAAACGTTGAGACGGGTTGTTGTTCCTTTCCAGTGTTAAAAGGCTATTTGCTTTTTAGTGTACCAAAACTGATTTCAGTTATAGTAAATTATGACTAATAAGGTAATCTGTCCTTGTTAACAAGCCTGTATTTGTTATACCTGTACTTAAAGTAAAATTCAAACTCCTTACCCTGTCCTACAAGGCTCTACCTGATCTGGGCCCTACCTCATCTCTAACATCATCTTATGCTATTTTCTTTCTTGTTCACCAGAGCCACACCAGCTACCTTTCTGTCCCTCCTTGTTAGACTTATTTCTGCTTTAGAGCACCCTTGCTGCTGCCACCACCTGAAATGCTTCTCTTCTGGTATTTTATTTTGGTGAGAACACCTGGCATGAGATCTACCCTCTAACAGATTTTTAAGTGTATAATACAGTATTGCTGTCTGTAGGCACAATGCTGCACAGCAGATCTCTAGAACTTACCTTGTATAACTGAAATTTTATACTCATTGATTAGCAACAGCCCCAAATTATTGAAACCTCCTTGAAGCCTAAATTTCAGAAATGTTCAAATGTTTTGAAAATGGATATTCTGAATTATCTTATTAGCATCTACCTATAATTAGCACTGAAAATAGTAATTTTTTAAATAAAGAATCAGTTAAGGGCCGGGTGTGGTCGCTCACGCCTGTAATCCCAGCACTTTGGGAGGCTGAGGCGGGAGGATCACAAGGTCGGGAGATCGAGACCATCCTGGCTAACACCGTGAAACCCTGTCTCTACTAAAAAAATACAAAAAAATCAGCTGGGCGTGGTGGCAGGTGCCAATAGTCCCAGCTACTTGGGAGGCTGAGGCAGGAGAATGGTGTGAACCCAGGAGGGTTGCAGTGAGCCAAGATCTCGCCACTGCACTCCAGCCTGGGCGACAGAGCGAGACTCTGTCTCAAAAAAAAAAAAAAAAAAAAAAAAAAGAATCATTTAGTTCAAGTAGCTTTAATTCGTTGAGTTTTATATTAAATGACTTTGAGAAGGAATTTTCTGTTAGGCCAGATCTCACCTACCACATTATTGTAATCCTTGGATCAGGCAAGAATTAGAGAGCTATGAGCCATGATCCTGGCCTTTGTTGTTACTGCTTGAGGATTGAGGCATCTTTTTATGGCTACCCCTATTATCTATAAATTTCTTCTTATCATGTGATTAAACAGTGATTTACCATTAGATCATTTTTTCTTGAGTGTACCCCAAACTGTTTTACTACAGAGAGTTATAAAGGATGTCATTTAGGTAATAGATAGAAATTTCAGCCCTCATCCTTGTGACCCTAGCTTTGTATGTAAATCTGGCTCATCTCTGGGTTCTGAATGCCCAATTCCTTTTCTTCCTGGTTTCTCAAAAATCCTATAGTCTTTCTGTTTTTGTTGTGTCTCTGCCTAGTATATATTCAGTATTCGCTGAGTTCCCCGACTGTATGAGAAGAGAGTAGAACTCTTCTGATCATCAATCTTATTTCTGCTCTGTGCAAATGCTTGTACAAATCAAACTAAATTCTTTGCTGTCATCTTCTGTTTCTGCTCTCTTTCATTTTGTGATGTAATTTGAGCTGAATCTTGGAGATTTTGTCTCCTAGTAAAGCGTAGGCCTCTCTTAATAGCTTTTACCGGTTAATCCTTGGAATTAACAGCTATCATAGACATTGTATATAGTCATCTATCATAAACAATGTACACTGTTAAATCTCAGGATAAATATTAATCAGTCATCATTTGCCTTAATTTAGCAAGTGGTTGTCAACTTTGGGTTTACATTTTTGCTACTCTTTAGCTTCCTACCTAAGAATAAAAATGGGATTGTTTGCACTAACCTGATTTTGTTTTGTTCTCAGGATGAACTAGCTCGAGTTCTGGTTACTCTGTTTGATTCTCGGCATTTACTCTACCAACTGCTCTGGAACATGTTTTCTAAAGAAGTAGAATTGGCAGACTCCATGCAGACTCTCTTCCGAGGCAACAGCTTGGCCAGTAAAATAATGACATTCTGTTTCAAGGTTTGTATCATTCATTTTGTGTGTATGTGTGTGCTGAGGTATGTCAAGTAATGATTATGTACAGAATGTGCAGGGCTGATTGTCTTCTTTTAAGGTAAAATATATGGAGCAGGTATAATAAACTCCTATTCGTGCATTTCTGTAGGTATATGGTGCTACCTATCTACAAAAACTCCTGGATCCTTTATTACGAATTGTGATCACATCCTCTGATTGGCAACATGTTAGCTTTGAAGTGGATCCTACCAGGTTTGTCATCTTTTCACATAGAACCGCTGTTTTTTGTTTTTTTTTTTTTGTTTGTTTGTTTTACTAACACTGCATGAAGCAAGGCACCTTCTCCCCTTGATCATTAAAATTAGTTTTTAATTATAAAAGTTATATACAAATACACGTTTCTTTAATGATATCTGTAATTTTTTTTTAAGGTATCCTTTTATTTGCCTTAGATCCAGGGACAAACTAGAGAAAGGTGTCTTTGACTTCCACCTCCAGAGACTGTTACTAGTTAAGTCTGTTCCCCTGTCCTTTTTCCATGCATTTACATATTCATATGCAGTCACTTGCATGCATACTCTTTTTCTAACTCACTTCTTCTATGATGAGGAGTGACTTAGGAGAAGGGAAAGAGGCTAATAGGTAATGCAGGCTGCAGTTTATTTATTTGTCATTTTTTTAAAAATTTGAGACAGAGTCTCACTCTGCCATTCAGGCTGGGGTGCACTGGCGCAGTCTCGGCTCACTGCAACCTCTGCCTCCCAGGTTCGTGTGATTCTCCTGCCTCAGCCTCCTGAGTAGCTGGGATTACAGGTGTGCGCCACCACGCCCAGGTAATTTTTTTTTTTTTTTTGTATTTTTAATAGAGATGGTGTTTCACCATCTTGGCCAGGCTGGTCTCAAACTCCTGACCTCAGGTGATCCGCCTGCCCTGGCCTCCAAAAATACTGGGATTACAGGTGTGAGCCACCATGCCCAGCCCAGAGTGCAGTTTAAACCACCATTTCTGTGAAGCTTTCTCTGCTTGTTACCAGGTACTACCCACGAACAAAGAAATATGCTTTGTTCTGTGCTGTGCACCACCATTGTAACAATTGTGACGATTTATGAGTTTCTCTCTCCTCTAGACTGTTTGCTCTTTTACATTTTTACATCTTTATATCCTTCCATGAATATTTAGCATGGTGTCTGCCTTATAGTGAACATTTTATAAATATTTGTTAAGTGAATGAATTTTAACGGAATATCTTATGCTTGCTTTTTCTAAGCCACATGTTAAGATGTTCTTGTCTGTCTTTCAGTTAGGACTTTATTTTTTACTTTTAAGTTCAGAGCTTCTTGATGATTGTTCTTCCTAAATAATCATTATTTAGCAACTGTGTATCAGTTGATATTTTTGGCTCTGCATTTGCTGAAGTATCAACTGTAATATCTATTCAGAACTCCAGCACTAAGCCAATTTTTGTTAAAATAGTTAAAAACTTAAAAGCAATTTTTATATTTTTATTTACTTCTTATTTTTTGAAATGGGGTCTCACTCTGTCACCCAGGCTGGAGTGCGGTGGCACCATCTCGGCTCACTGCAACCTTCCTGTGCAGGACTCAAGCGATTCTCCCATCTCAGCCTCCCAAGTAGCTGGGATTACAGGCATGCACCACCATGCAAAATACAAAATTTTTGTATTTTGGTAGAGACGAGGTTTTGCCTTGTTGCCCAGGCTGGTCTCAAACTCCTAGACTAAAGAGATCCACATGCTGTGGCCTCCCAAAGTGCTGGGATTACAGATGTGAGCCACCACGCCTGGCCAAAGCAATGTTTTGTAAAGCCTTGTATTTTCTTGCCATTAAGCACTTTCAGTTTTTTTCTTGACAACTTCTCATGTCTACTTTTTTTTTTTTTTTTTGCAATTTTCAAGTGTACATAATACATTATTACGGATTTTATGTTAATTTTGTGCCCTACAATTTTACTGAATCTTATTATTAAGCAATTTTACTTTCTAAAGGTTAAAGAATTACTTAGAGAGTGAACCAGCTGCTTCAAATAAGTTTACTATACAAAGTGCTGTGGTCCAGATAAGAGAACTAGATGGCAAACAATATACTCAGGTTGCTTAAAATCAAACTGAGGCCCACTCTGACATGTCAAGAGCTTGAAAGTCAACACTCCTGTGTTCACAACATGAAAAAAGCTAAAAAACTGAAAATCAGCAGCTCTTAGATCCATCAGAGAATTTAAGTCCACTCCAAAAACTGGAGAGACAGGTAAATGTATACAGAGAATCACAGTTTACCAGGAGAAGAAGCTGCTGGAGCCAGTAACTGGTAGGAAAGCTTAGATCATAATTGACGAGTTGCTGGAGGCTGAGCATGGAGTGCCTAGAGAGTTAAAACTCCTAGGGGCCTAGTCTTGCAGGGACCCCTGCACCTTTGTAAGTTTTACCTCCAGAAGCCTCATCAGGCTCTCATGGTGAAGATAGGAGAAAAATCCCTTTATGCTTTGGGCAGGGGAAGGGGAAAAGTAGCCATTTTTAAATATGACCACAGTGTTCTGTTATCCCTAGCAAAGGTTTGCCCTCAGGAGAAATTACTTTACCAGAGCTTTATTTGACTTAGAAGTTAGCCACCTCCAGCCCCCTCTAGCGTTTCTGTAAGAAGAGAGAAAAGGCTAAGAAACTCTTTGAGTCTGGCCTGGTGGCTCACATCTGTAATCCCAGCACTTTGGGAGGCTGAGGTGGGCAGATCACGAAGTCAGGAGATCGAGACCATACTGTCTAACATGGTGAAACCCTGTCTTTACTAAAAATACAAAAAATTAGCTGGGTGTGGTGGCACGTGCCTGTAGTCCCAGCTACCAGGAGGCTGAGGCAGGAGAATCGCTTGAACCCAGGAGGTGGAGGTTGCAGTGAGCTGAGATTTGCACCACTGCACTCCAGCCTGGGCGACAGAGCGAGACTCTGTCTAAAAAAAAAAAAAAAAGAAACTCTTTGAAGGTCACACTTTAAGGAATTTGGCCCAATAAAACAATGGAGATATAATCAGATTGTAGAGTACTTCCCTTCCCCAGTATCCCAGTTAACGGGGAAACCCAGGGACAACAAAAGAGACAGAAATAAGAGCACTAGAGGAAATGGGCGCCTACAGTTACAGCGAACATTAAACATAACCTAACTTCTAGGCAGATTAACAGAATGCCTCACACTAAAGTCCAATTTACCTCAGTTCCTATGACCCAATACATCTTGTCTGGCTTTCAACAAAACATTACAATGCATGCTAACAAAAAATGAAAAATTAGTCTGAGGAGACAAAGCAAGCATCAGAATCAGACTCAGATGTGGCAAGATGTATTGGAACTTTGAAATTGTCAAACTGAGAGTTTAAAATAACTAATATGCTAAGGGCTTTCATGGAAAATGGACAGTGTGTAAGAACAGATGGGTAATGTAAGCAGAGACATGGAAATTAAGAAAGAATCAAAAGAGAAGGCTAGAGAAAAAAGCTGTAACAGGGAGAATTCCTTTAGTGGGCTTATCAGTAGTCTGGGCACCACTGAAGAAAGAATTGGTGAATTTGTAGTTATATCAAGAGAAACTTCCCAAACTGAAATGCAAAGACAAACAGAAGAATAAATGAAAATGAAAATACATCAAAATTTGTGGGGTTTAATAAAAGCAGTTGCTTAGCAGTGTTAAATGTATGTTAGAAAAGAAAATCTAAAATGAATTATCTGAGCTCTCACCTTAGAAAACTAGACAAAGAGCAATACCTAAAGCAAGATGGGGGGAGGAATCAGAAATCAATGAAATTAAAAATAGGAAAAAAATAATGAAACGCAAAGCTAGATCTTTTTATTTTTTAATTTTTATTTTTTTGTGGGTACATAGTAGGTGTTTATATTTATGGGGTACATGAAATATTTTGATACAGACATGGAATGTGTAGTAATCACTTCAGGGTAAATGGGGTGTCCATCACCTCAAGCATTGATCCTTTCTTTTTTCTTTTTTGAGACAGAGTTTCACTCTTGTCGCCCAGGCTGGAATGCAGTGGTGCTATCTTGGCTCACTGCAACCTCCGCCTCCCATGTTCAAGCAATTCTCCTTGCCTCAGCCTCCCGAGTAGCTGGGATTACAGGTGCCCACCACCATGCCTGGCTAATTTTTGTATTTTTAGTAGAGACAGGGTTTCACAATATTGGCCAGGCTAGTCTTGACCTCCTGACTTCAGGCGAGCCGCCTGTCTTGGCCTCCCAAAGTGCTGTGATTACAGGCGTCAGCCACCGTGCCCGGCCTATCGTTTCTTTATGTTACATACAATCCAATTATACTCTTTTAGTGATTTTTAAATGTACAATAAGTTCTTGTTGACTGTAGTCACCTTGTGCTATCAGATAACCAGATCTCATTTATATTCTTTTGTACACATTAACCATCCCCGGTCTCCCCTTCCCCACCCCCCACTACACTTCCCAGCCTCTGGGTAACTATCATTCTACTCTCTATCTCCATGAGTTCAATTGTTTTAATTTTTTTAGCTTCCACAAATAAGAGAGCGCACGATGTTGTATTTCTTTGCCTGGCTTATTTCACTTAACATCATAACCTTCAGTTCCATCCGTGTTGTTGCAAATGACAGGAATCTCATGTTTTGTGTCTGAATAGTACTCCGTTGTGTATATGTACCACAGTTTCTTTATCCATTCTTCTGTGGACAGACACTTAGGTTGCTTCCAAATGTAGGCTATTGTGAATAGTGCTGCAACAAACATGGGAGTGCCGATATGTCTTCAATATACTGATTTCCTTTTGTTTCAGTATATACCTAGTAGTGAGATTTCTGGATCATATAGTAGTTTTATTTTTAGTTTTTTGAGGAACCTCCAAATGGTCCTCCATAGTATTATACTAATTTACATTCCTGCCAATAGTGTATGAGGGTTCCCTTTTCTCACTTTTCTCCTTGTCACCATTTGTTATTGCCCGTCTTTTGGATAAAAGCAACTTTAGGGTGATGTGATATCTCATTGTAGTTTTGATTTGCATTTCTCTGATAATCAGTGATGTTGAGCACCTTTTCATGTACCTGTTTGCCATGTGTATTTTGTTTGTGTGTTTGTTTGTTTTGAGACACAGTCTTGCTCTGTCACACAGGTTGGAGTGTAGTGGCGTGATCTTGGCTCACTGCAACCTCTGCCTCCTGGGTTCAAGTGATTCTCCTGCCACAGCCTCCTGAGTAGCTGGGATTACAGGTGCCTGCCACGATGCCCAGCTGATTTTTGTATTTTTAGTAGAGACAGGGTTTCACCACGTTGGTCAGGCTGGTCCCAAACTCCTGACCTCAAGCAATCCACCCGCCTCGGTCTCCCAAAGTGCTGAGATTACAGGCATGAGCTACCATGCCCAGCCATGGAATATCTTTTTTCTTTGCTTTATTTTCAGTCTGTGTTTTTCCTTATAGATGATGTCTGTTTCTTGTAGGCAACAGATTGTTGGGTCATGGGTTATTTTTGTTTGTTTTTAATCCATTCAATCACTCTTACGTCTTTTGATTGGAGAATTTAGTCCATTTACATTCAGTGTTATTATTGACGAGGACTTACTCCTGCTATTTTGTTATTTGTTTTCTGGTGGTTTTGTGGTCTTCTCTTCCTCCTTTTCTTCCTTCCTGCCTTCCCTTTAGTAAAAGTGATTTTCACAGATGATATGTGTTAATTTCTTGCTTTTTATTTTTTGTGCATCTGTTGTATGTTTTTGATTTGAGGTTACCATGAGGCTTGCCAATAATATTTTATGAGCCATTCTTTTAAGCTGATGACAAGTTAACACTGATGGCATAAAGCAGCAAACAAAGAAGCAAAAAGAAAACTAATAAAAACTCTACACTTTAACTTTATCCCCCTACTTTTTAACTTTTTGTTGTTTTTATGTATACCTTATTATACTGTCTGTATCTTGAAAAGCTGTAGTTATTTGTAAAAGGTTCATCTTTTAGTCTTCTCAAGATAGTAGTTCATACCACAATTACAGTGTTATAATATTTTGTGTATTTACTGTTACCAGTGAATTTTGTACCTTCAGATTTCTTATTGCTTGTTAATGTCCTTTTCCTTTTGATTGAAGAACTCCCTTTAGCATTTCTTCTAGGACAGGTCTGGCATTGATAAAATCCCTCAGCTTTTGTTTGTCTAGGAAAGTCTTTATTTCTCCATATATGAAGGATATTTTCACTGGATACTGTTCTAAGGTAAAAGTTTTTTTTTTTTCTTTATCACTTGAAATATGTCATGCCACTCTCTCCTGGCCTCTAAGGTTTCCACTGAGAAGTCTGGGGCCAGACATATTGGAGCTCCATTGTATGTTATTTGTTTCTTTCCTCTTGCTGCTTTTAGGATCCTTTCTTTATCCTTGACCTTTGGGAGTCTGATTATTAAATACCTTGAGTTAATCTTCTTTGGTTTAAATCTGTTTGGTGTTCTGTAACCTTCCTGGACTTGAATATTGATAAATATCTTTCCCTAGGTTTCATAAGTTCTCTTTTTTTTTTTTTTTTTTTTTTTTTTTGAGATGGAGGTTCACTCTTGTCGCCCAGGCTGCAGTGCAATGGTGCAACCTCTGCTCACTGCACCCTCCGCCTCTACCTCCTCTTTAAGGCCAGTAACTCTTAAATTTGCTCTTTTGAGGCTGTTTTCTAGATCTTGTAAGCATGCTTCATTCTTTATTCTTGTCTCCTCTGTGTATTTTCATATAGGCTGCCTTCAAGCTTGCTAATTCTTCTGCTTCATCAATTTTGCTTTTAAGAGACTCTTGATGCATATTTCAGTATGTCAGCTGCATTTTTCGTCTCCAGAATTTCTCTCTGGTTCTTTGTAATTGTTTCAATCTCTTCGTTAAATTTATCTGATAGGATTCCGAATTCCTTCTCCACATTATCATGGATTTCCTTGAGCTTCCTCAAAACAGCTATTTTGACTCCTCGGTCTGAGAGGTCACATATCGCTGTCTCTCCAGGATTGATCACTGGTGCCTTCTTTAATTCCTTCGGTGGGTCATGTTTTTCTGGATGGTCTTGATGCTTATGGATGTTCATTAGTGCCTGGGCATTGAAGAGTTAGGTATTTTTGTAGTCTTTGTAGTCTGGGCTTGTTTGTACCCACCCTTCTGGGGAAGGCTTTCCAAGTATTTGAAGGCACTTGGGTGTTGTTATCTTAAGTCTTTGGTCACTGCAGCTATATCTGCTTTAGGGGACACTCCAAGCCCAATAACGCTGTGGCTCTTGTACACTCATAGCGGTACCACCTTGGTGGTCTTGCATAAGATCCTGGAGAATTCCCTGGGTTATCAAACAGACTCTTGTTCTCTTCTTCTCTTCCCTTACTTTCCTCTAAACAAACAGAGTCAGTCTCTCTCTCTGTCTGTGTGTGTGTGTGTGTGTGTGTGTGTGTTGAGCTGCCTGGAGCTGGGGGAGGGGCGACACAAGCAGCCCTGTGGACACCAGCACTGGGAGTGCACTGGGTCTTGCCCAAGGCCTGCAGTACTGCTGCCTGACTACCACCTATGTTCACTCAAGGCCCAAAGGCTCTACAGTCAGCAGGTAGCAAACCCAGCCAGGCTTGCGTCCTTTCGTTCAGGCAGTGAGTTCTCCGTGGGTCCAGAGATGCCATTCAGGAGCCAGAGCCTAGAGTTGGGTACATCAGAGATCTACCTAGTGCTCTATTCTGCTGCGGCTAAGCATTAAGCTGGCACCCAAGCTGTAAGACAAAGTCCTTCCCGCTCTTCCGTCCTCTTTTCTCAAGCAGAGGAGTCTTTTCCCATGGCCGCCATCGCCCCAGGCCCATGGTGAGTGCTGCCTGGCTACCACTGATGTTCACTCAAGGCCCAAGGGCTCTTCATTCAGCTCATGGTGAATGCTGCCAGTTCTGAGTCTCTCCCTTAAGGCCTTGGGGCTCCCCTCTAACCCAGGGCAGGTCCAGGAAAGTTTTCCAGGAGCCAAGGCCTGGAATCTGGGACCCCAGGAGCCTACTTAGTGCCCTACCCCACTGTGTCAAGCTGGTACCCAAGTTGCAACACAGAGTCCCCTTTATTCTTACCTCTTCTTTCCTCAAGCAGAAGGGGTCTCTCTCCATAGCCACCACAGTTGGTAATGTGCTGGGTCACCCCTGAAGCCAGCATGTCTCCAAGTCTCACCCAAGGCCCACAGCAAGTACTGCCTGGCTATCCCTCCTGGTTGTTCAGGGGCCAAGGGCTCTTTAGTCAGCAGGTGATGAGTTCTGCCAAGACTGGGTCCTTCCTTTTAAGACAGCAGATTTCCTTCTGGCCCAGGGTTTGTTTAGGAGTGTTGTCTGTGAGGTAGGGCCTGAAATGGGGGCCTCAGGACTCTGCCTGGTGCCCTCTCCTACTGTGGCTAAGCTGGTAGTTACAAGACAAGGTCCTCTTTACTCTCTCCACTCTTGTATTTGAACAGAGGGAAGGCATCTCTGTTGGAGCTACAAGCTGAGCTGAGCTGCCTGGGTTTGGGAGAGGGGTGATGTAAGCATTCCCTTGGTTGCCCTGGCTGTCTCACTAGGTCCACCCCAAGTCCACTGGCTCTGAGCCCAGCACAGCACCAGGACTTACCCAGAAACTGCAGTCCTTGTGGGCCTAGACTGCCTTTCAAGTTTATTTAGGACCTCAGGGCACTTTAGCTCTTGGTGGTGGGGCTTGCTGGAACTCAGGTTTCAACAGCTGGGATGGGTGATTTACCTCTGGCTAGGTCTGTTCTAAGTTCTCCATCCTTGAGCACCAGCTGAGCTCTGCCCTGTGTTGCTTTCTGCTATGACAGGGCAGCATTTAGTCCTAATGCAAAGTCCCATAATCACTGTGCTGTCCGTCCCCCAAATGCAGATTTTCTTTGCACACCACGGGGCCACTGCCAGGAGGTGAAGGAAGGGTGGTATAGGTAAGTCAAGACAGTTTTTCCTACCCGCTTCAGTGCCTCTTCCTTAATATGATGTTAAGACCAGGTATTGTGATCACTTACCTGATTTTCAGTTCTTATGAAGGTGCTTTTTTGTATGGATGGTTGTTCAAGTTGGTGTTCCAATAAGGGGGACGATCCCTGGAGGCCTCCATTCAGCCATCTTGCTCCACCTCCAGTTCTCAAGCTAGTTCTTTGAAAATCAACTTGGGAAAAGTTTTATACACAGGAACACTTGAATAATTGAACACAAATGTTCATTGTAGTTCAGAATTAGTAGAATATTCAACAGGTTACCATTGGCATGTGGGAAGCAAGAGAGCACTGTGGCTAGAAGGTATTGTTTTAGAGGGAAACCTGAAATGGACTGCAGTGTACCTGCTGCTATGCTGACTCAAAAAAAAAATTTCACAAAGTAGGCAATTGTCAGGGTTTCTAGCAGTCTCTTTGAGCCTTGTTAAAGAAATTGTTAATCTCATTCATACCTACCAACTCCTAGACCTCCATATCTTAAGATTTGGATTACTGTTGTAGCTTAACTGTTCTCCCTGCATATAATCCCCATATTTAGGCTGTCTCTTCAATTAGCCACATATTGCAAGTTCATTTTCCTCCTCTGGCTTCCTAACAACCATCAGCCATTCTCCAATAGATACCAACCAGGTGTCCTTGTGATTCAGTTCAACCGTGACACTGTTTACCTGGAGAGAGCATCAGATTTCCCATAGGATAAGGGCTGAGTAAGATTGCTACCACTTCAGATGCCAATTACAAGCCCCAGGTTGTTACCTGTGCTTCTCACAACTTCACCTTGAGTTGGATTAATTTGCTAGAAGGACTCACAGAACTCAGGGGCATACTTTACTTTTGTTTGCCTACTTACTATAAAGGATATCAGAAAGGATACAGATGAACAGCCAGATGGAAAAGATGCACATAGGGCAAGGCATGTGGGAAGGGGCTTGCAGCTTCCATGCTGTCTCCAGGTGCACTACCCTCCAGGCACCTCTATGTGTTCGGCAACCTGGAAGCTCTTCAAACTCTGTTCGTTGGGTTTTTATGGTGACCTCATTATATAGGCATGATTGATTAAATCATGGGTCATTGGTGATAAACTCACCTTCAGCCTCTCTCCTCTCCTTGGAGGTTGGGGAGTGGGGCTGAAAGTCTCAACCCTCTAATCGAAACTTGGTCTTTCTGGTGACTAGCCCCGTCTTGAAGCTCCCTAGGACCTCCCAGCCACCAGTCATCTCATTATCATATAAAAGACACTCAGCACTTCCAGAGATTCCAAGGGTTTTAAGAGCAATGTATCAGGAATCAGGAGCAGAGACCAAATATATATTTATCACAATACCCTTGAATTATTGTATTGAGTACTTAGTGTGGAATACCTGGTCTATATGTCTTTCTCCTTTTTGAAAAGGTCAAAAGGCAATTGTTGAATCCTCAGCACCTGATACTAAGATGGCAGATAGTAGATGTGCACTAAATATTTATTGGATTGATTACCTGCCGCACCTACTTTCTCTTTCTGAAATACCCTTACTTCTTTTGTCTATGCAAATTCTGTGCCTCCTTTAGAACTCACCTGTTCAATGAAGTATTTCTTGCTTTGCAGTCCATGCTAATTTCTGAACTCTTACTGTATTCATATGCTGTGCCACACAGCAAACTCTAAGGAATCTACAGCAATGACGTAAGTGTCCAAAGCATTTCTGTAATACGTTAATTAATATAGAAACAAAATTACTAATTAACCTGTTAAAAACAAATATTTACTCAGTACTTGCTGTGGTAAGGCACTGTGCTAGTCTTTAAGGGGACATAGGTAAATACTTCCTTCAAGGAGCTTACAGTTTAGTAAGAGGGATAAAACACACAACAGATAAGTGGTGAGTTTCATAAGGGGTGTATTTTGAGAGTTCAGATTAGGCTAGTTAGAGAGTAAAGGTTTGTGGATTTGATTACTATTGGGTAAAATTTAAACTACATAAAGTAGGCATTATTAGTCCTGTATTATTGATGAGAAAAAATGACACCCAGAGAATTTAAGGATTGTGACCAACTCATAATGATTGATAACTGATAGAGCTGAAATTTAAACCTAGTAAGTCTGCCTGCGGAATCTCTTCCTTTAATCACAACATCAGAGTTTAGAGGTGGTACTGATAAGAGTTAGCAACACTGGGCCGGGCACGGTGGCTCATGACCGTAATCCCAGCACTTTGGGAGGCTGAGGTGGGCAGATCATAAGGTCAAGAGATCTAGACCATGCCGGCCAACATGGTGAAACCTTGTCTCTACTAAAAATACAAAAATTACCTGGGCGTGGTGGTGGTGCGCCTGTAGTCCCATCTACTTGGGAGGCTGAGGCAGGAGAATTGCTTGAACCTGGAGGCGGAGGTTGCAGTGAGCCGAGATTGTGCCACTGCACTCCAGCCCGGCAACAGAGCAAGACTCCATCTCAAAAAAAAAAAAAAAAAAGCAATACTGATTGGATATGGGGAATAATGAAGTAGAGCAGGAAAAAGTGACATCAGAGATGGCCTGAATGATGTGATTAAGAAAGTGATAGTGCTATTGATAACATAGAGCACATGATAAGACATAAGAGTACGAGGAAAAATCAGTTAATTTGGGGCATACTGATTTTTAGATACCAGTGGGGAGGGGACATCTAGCAGTTAGAAATGTCAGACTGGATGTGAAATGCAGTTCAAGATAGGGGAAACCTGAATGGCCACAAAATATCTAAAAGCATGTCTAACCTTAGTAGGAACTGTGGAAATAGAAGTTAAAAACATGAGCTACCTCATGTTTTACTCAACTGCTAGATTGGAGGGGAATAAGAATTCTTATACAGTACTAGTTTTAGAGCTATTTGGCAATATCTAGTAAAGTTATATCTGCATATACTCAATAACTCAGAAATTTCATTTTTAGGTAGCTGCCTTAGAGAATCTCTTATGTGCAAGAATGTTCATTGCAATGGTGTTTGTAAAGGTGAAAAATGTTTAATGTTCATTATAATTAGAGAATAGATAAATCATGGTATACAATAGACTATTATGCAGTAAAGTGAACTATATCTTCATCTATCAACATGGATAAATCTCAGAAACATAATGTAGAGTGAAAGATGAAAGTTGCCTTTTGTTACTATTGATGAAAAAAGTAAAGACCTACATCATTCAGCCGGGCGTGGTGGCTTATGCCTGTAATCCCAGCACTTTAGGAGGCCGAGGCAGGTGGGTCACTTGAAGTCGGGAGTTTGAGACCAGCCTGACCAACATGGTGAAACCCTGTCTCTACTAAAAATATAAAATTAGCCGGGCGTGGTGGCCCATGCCTGTAATCCTAACTACTTGGGAGGCTGAGGCAGGAGAATCACTTGAACCCGGGAGGCGGAGGTTGCAGTGAACTGAGATTGCGCCATCACACTCCAGCCTGGGCAACGAGAGTGAAACTCCATCCCCCGCCCCCACCCCCCACCAAAAAAAAAAAACACCTGCATCATTCATATGTGTGTGTTAATTTTTTCATATGGGCATATACACATAGAGGATTGTGAATTGGAAAAATACATGATATTCTTGTTTTATCTGTCCCCTCTCTCCCCCTTTTGTTGCTTGGGTATTTTAAAGCATATCTCAGAGATCATGTTTCTAACATATACAGACTTAAACACACATACACGTGCATGTGCAGCCTGAGTATTTCCACACAAATTAAAGTTAATAATCCTGAATAATATATCTAAGACTAGTTTTCTGTTAAATTTTTTTCAGTTATCTCAAAGTTGTCTTTTTTTTTATTTTTATTTTTGAGATTCAGTCTTGCCCTTTCATCCAAGCTGGAGTGCAGTGGTGCAGTCTTGGCTCACTGCAGCCTCCACCTCCCAGGTTCAAGTGATTCTCCTGCCTCAGCCTCCTGAGTAGCTGGGATTACAGGCACCTGACTAATTTTTGTATTTTTAGTAGAGATGGGGTTTCACCATGTTGGCCAGGCTGGTCTTGAACTCCTGACCTCAAATGATCTGTCAGCCTTGGCCTCCCAAAGTACTGGGATTGCAGGCGTAAGCCATCCAGCCCTGTCAAAGTTGTCTTTTTTTTTTTTATAGTTGGTTGTTTAAAGATTCCAATGAAGTCTACACGTTGCACTTGGCTTAATGTCTGTATAAGAGTCTCTTTTAAGGAGTGATTTTTGTTATTTGTTTTAAACAAAAGTGTTAGGATTTTATTTTTATTTTTTTGTAGGTTAGAACCATCAGAGAGCCTTGAGGAAAACCAGCGGAACCTCCTTCAGATGACTGAAAAGTTCTTCCATGCCATCATCAGTTCCTCCTCAGAATTCCCCCCTCAACTTCGAAGTGTGTGCCACTGTTTATACCAGGTATGCTTACAGTTAGAGATTACCATTATTAATCTAAAGTTAAATTATGAAGAATGCTTTATCAAAGAAGGATCTAGCTGCTGATGGTGTGTGGTTAACTATAATACTGAGTCAGTTTGGATGAATAATACATTGAGAATTGTTGGAATTGTCTTTGAAAAAAACTTAAATATTACTTAGGCAACAGTTTGAAGTAAGAGAATACTTTAAAATACTAAATTTTACTTGCATTGGGAGCAAGTTTAAAATGCAGTGAATCCATTGGGTATGATGGATGTGGCTGAAATGAACATATTATGGATTTTTGTTGTTGTCATCTATTAACCTAAATTATTTACAGGGTGTTTCACAGTTGAGGCGGGTCTCCTCCTTGCTTTTTGCATTGTGAATTGCTTGATCATCTGTGATTTTGGTTTCTTCATTAATGTATAATTAGTTTGTGTCAGGTTTTCCCAGGATAGACTGATTGTTCTGTTTACTTTATGTAGCATATTTCTTAAAAGAGATACTGCATCATCATTCAGACCAAATTATTAGACCTTCTAACACTAGCACTGCAAGTAATGCGTCTGAACTCAGAAAATAGCCATAGTCATGGCCTTCTTTTTTAGGGAATTCGGTCTATGTTCTTTTATGTCTTCTACTGTGTTTTTGAATTGCACATTGCAGTTTTAGGAATTATTTATTCCAAGGGAGGTCCTGCAAATGCATATTAGCCTTTTGGAAACTGTGATTCTGGAAGAAACATTAGTGGGTCTGGAATTTGGGATAGGGGTGGATATAAGGGAAATACACAGTTATCAAAACCCATGTCTTTGTGTCTCTCTCTTTGCAGAGTCATCGCAGCCATTTGCTTTTTTAGCACACGGCTTCAGTTGCTTAGAGACGTTAACAGCATCATTGAAATCACCATTTTAAAAGCTGTTTGAGGCTGCTCTATGTGAATTTTTTCACCATTGCTATTTTTAAAGATGTATCTGTTCTATCTGTAAAAAAGCTTTTCACGGTATACATAGATGATAAAACATACTTAACCTTGTCTCTCTTAATTTATCATGACTTTTCTGCCTTTACAAAAAGGCTCAAGGAAACTTAGGAAAATCCTGTATAGTTTTTTCAACTAGTTAAGTCTGAGTCTAAAGGGTAGTTTAGTTATAATATGAAACTTAATACAGTGAATATCTTCTCAAGTTTGGGCTGTATTCAGGTTTCTCTTTAAATTTTATTTAGTAATTGTTCTATTGATGAAACTAGGCAGACAGGAAATAGCACATATTAAAAATAGTCTGGGTCAGCTTCTTGGTTGGCCTAGTAGTAACTGGTTTCAGAGAGCAAGTGGGTTTCTAAAATGACAGAGGCTTTGACTTTAGCTGGTTAAAAGTGAATGGGGACTGACTACATGATTACATGGTCTAGGAGATTGTAGTAGAATTTCTTCATGTGGTTGTCATCCTAAAAGAAAAATCTTTTTGTATCATGAGCAAAGTTGGAGACCGTTTTGAGACCATGATTCTAATAATGTAAAAGGAACAGGTCTTAGCACTTATTTAGTACTTAGGAAATATTTAATGAAGAAATAAATTTCCCATCCCTCCCACCTAAGTAAACAAGATTCTTGCCAGCTTTCACAGCTAAGAAAGGAGGAAAATAGTGAAAATAGATTTTTAAACACTATATGTGGTGATTATTAAACAGTATGTTATGCTTTTTAGAGCACTTCACAGTAAAATATCCTATATTATTTTAATAACAAACCTGGTTTATTATGTTAAAATTTCACATAAAATTATTATCTTTAAAAACATGAATTAAAGGTGGTATCAGTGCATTGTTTAAGTATTGGGTAAAAGCATTGTTGAAGAGCAGAGACAGCATGCTGTGTTGTTATTAAATAAGGCTTTATTTTTTAATTAGTAACTGGTAACAGGGAATGTTACATTTACTGATTAGAAAGAAAGATAGGAAAAAAGCTTTGGTCTCAAGATAGTATTTTATTGAGTCTGCTTCCCAAACCTAGTTTATTTCTTTTGGTTTGCTCTTTTGTTTTTATTCATCTTCCCTCTTCTGGCTTTTTCTTGCCCCTTTGCCTTTGGCAGTAACAGAAAGGTACCTTCCTGCTCTTCTGTGTTCTGCCTGGAGGGATAGTAGTCCCTTTGGGACCTACTGGGGAAATGTTGAAAGGGAAGTGAGTATATTGCTAGCTAATAAACTTCCCTGGACTTTAGCTCCTTTTTTGAGTTCATATCTTGGCCTTTAAGCCTTTTCAAATCATGTGTTAACCAGCTCTATTACTTTATATACCTTCCTTCCTTAGTTGACTGGATTAAGGTTATTTAAGAATAGCCAACTGTGAACATGTGTCAGATTTATAATTAAATCATTTTCTCATGTGTTGTTTTCACTTCTCCTGATGGTTTTAGGATAAAGATAAAATGATTCCCAAAGTGGATATTCTCGTATGGTGAGAGAATTCTAAGAACTAATTTATGATTCTAAATAAATCTCACCCTTTTTCAGTAAATCTGCTTCTCCAAACTGAAGTAGTTTACACACAGTTTTAAGGCTATAAATGATAGTTATATACCACTGTTACTAATACATTTGTATATAGTCTAAAGTTTGAAACAAAGCTCTGTGAGCTAAGGGGCTGTGTCTTGTTGTTTTACTGCTATTTCCCAATGCCTAGAATGGTATTTGACCTGTAGGTACACAGTAACTCTTTGGATGGATGAATGGGTGGGTGGATGAATGGATGTCTAACTAACTTAAAGCCCAAGTTATGGGTTATGGTGTTGGATGTCCAGAATTCCCAGAATAAGATGCCATCTATTTGTGGATTAAATAATTCTAACATGGTTTTAAAAATATTTTTAAAATAATTATTCTGCCTAGGCTAGTCCAATCAAGAGTCTTTTAATTTTGAAAGAAATCTTTGGTCTAGAAAGAGCTCTGAGAGATGAAACCAATATGTGCCTGGAGTTTTGGGGGTTTTTTAGGTGGCTTTTTTTTTTTTTTTTTTTAAGATATTTTGATAAATGGTCAACTGTAATATGTGAAAAGTTTTAAGCAGGCCTACAGTTTTGTTCTGTAATTTTCTCTGCAGTTTCTTCACTTTAATAATATTAATGCTTCTTACTAGTTGAGCTGATAACCTTCTTCTCCCAAATGTTGCAGAGCTTTTAACCTCCTCTGATTAGAACCATTTCAGGAAGTAGCCTGCAAACATTGAAAAATATGTGAAATGTTAAGAGTAATCTTTTTTAGAGAGAGAGGTCTTTAATTCAGAATTTCTAAAGTGAATTTTTATATTTATCCATATAATTTTTATTTCTTTATTCAGTAGGATCATAATTAAATGCCAGGTGTTGGAAAAAGAACTTAAAGTCAATTGAAGGATACACAGAGAAGAATTTTACATACCAAGAAAAAATTATGTAGACACAAATGTTTTTAGTGTGTGATCTACTTGTAATGAATATTTTATATTACATTTCTCAAAAGCTAGGAATTAACCAAAATGTAAATATTTAATATCCTCAAATTCACTTGGAGAGAGTTTTTCTGTGATTCATAGCCAGAAATAGTAGACATGATTGGGTCTCAACATTTCTTGCTGTTTTAGTGCTTGGCTTAAAAATGTAATAAAAATTAAAACCCAGAATTAAAATTCATTCCTCAAAATTCAGTTGATTTCTAATTTTTTGTTGATTCCATTTGTGTTACATTTTATGGTGTAATTTTATGTACAAGCCAACATTGTTTTTGTTGCTGTATGTAGTCGGTGCTGTGACTTGTTTGTGCTCATCTCTGTTCTGTAGGCAACTTGCCACTCCCTACTGAATAAAGCTACAGTAAAAGAAAAAAAGGAAAACAAAAAATCAGTAAGTTTGGAGAACTTTTTATTAGCTGTTTCTTTCAAAGCAAAACAAAAATCTTTTGCTGTTTGTTAAGAATATCTTCACTTCAGCCTATTTGACCTTCACTGTAAAATCATTCTACTAATTCTGGCACAAAATAGCTTTCATTTCAATTAACCCTGGAATTAAGTTACATTGAAACATTCTCTGTGTTCCTTTGGTTTGATTTATCCCAAAGGCAATTTGTGGGCATTTGTTGCATTGGATATCCTTGGTCTAATTTTATTATTGTTACTTTTTAAATTATAAATGAATGCAAAGAAACTTAATTTCAAGGCCTTAGGAAACGCTGACTGTCTTCATTCTTGCTTCTTGTTTGAAGGTAATGTGAGTGGTTTCTTTTCCCAGAGATGACAGTGTTTCTTAATTGTTAGAAGTATATGGTGGGAAAGAGTCACTTTCTAAATCTTACCTAAAAGTTGCTAAATTTTATTTTTTTACTCTTCATATTTTTATCTAGGCAGTCTCAGGCATAATTTAGATATTTGTGCATAGATTATAGAAATTTTAATGGTAAAACTACTTTTACCTCAAAAAAATAAGAGGTAAATGATAAGATAGTACTTTTGAGATAAAAGAAAACTGAGTTCATATTTGTAGAAAAACACATCATTCTGCAAACATAATGTGAATATACTATCTGCTTCTATGAACTTGCCTTGATTTATTTAAAAGGAAGAAAATTATGAGAGTCGTAATTATTTTCTTCCAGTGAATGGAATTTGTCCAAAATATAATATGCATTCATTTTACATTTGCCATTATCTGTCACAGTGACTTATCAGGCTGAGCCCTGTCTTTGTTCATATAATCCAAATGATTGTAGAGTAAGATGTAAAGAAAACTAAGTAGGTAGTTTTCTTAAAAGGGTGTAATTTAGAATACAGTGTTCATCTGGTTTCATCTTTCATGCCTTATCTAAACTTTACATATAATAAAAGCTTTATGGCTGGGCACAGTGGCTCATACCTGTAATCCGGGCACTTTGGGAGACCAAGGTGGGAGTATCTCTTGAGCCCAAGAGTTAAAGACCAGCTTGGGCAACATAGCGAGTCGTCTCTACAAATAATTTTTTTTTTTTTTTAATTAGCCAGGCGTGGTGGTGTACTCCTGTAGTCCCAGCTACTCGGGAGGCTGAGGCAGGAGGATTGCTTGAGCCCAGGTGGTTGAGGCTGCAGTGAGCTGTGATTGTATCACTGTACTCCACCATGAGTGACAGAGTAAGACCCTGTCTCACAAAAAAAAAAAAAAAAAAAGAAAACGAAAAAGCTTTACATATAAGTTTCTAAGCTGTACATATAAATTATCTAAGCTTTAAATATAGATTTTTAAAATTCAAATCAAAATTTAAATTTATAGACATATACTTTTGTTGTGTCCATTGAAGATTTTATTTTTGATTATATTAAGTAAATTTGCCTAGCTATGATCAAATTGATTGGATTATAAAGACGTTTCTAATGCTTCAGCCTTCTAATTCTCAGCATATGTGAGTTTAACATAATGTACACCATCATTGTTGAAATTAATTTGCTGCTTCTAACACTCTTGTTCAGTGTTATACTAATGCCATTTTGTAGTGTATCACATAATTAAAATTCAGGCTTTCTGTGTTTCTCTAGAGCATGTTTTCTAGCCTTTCTAACACTGCTTTATTTATTAAGATTATGTCTAAAATTGTTTCTTGAAATGTTTTTTTTTCTACTAGAGTTATTTTCAAAAAATTTTTTTTTAATTTCTGGGTAACACCAAGTTTTGGAATGTATTTCTCAGCACAGGTAATACGAGCTCCTCATGGAAACAAGGGGAATCTAATTGGTAATTCGAGATATTTTAGAGTACATTCCAAAGTATGAAGACAGTATACTCATAAATTTAAAATGTTGTTTTATGGAGTTGTGTGCTTTAACAAAACCTAATGATATTTAAGAGCAAGCTGACTTTCTTTTTGGGTGTATATGTCATGGATTGGAATATGTAAAATATAGAGAGAAGATCTGGCTTCTAGTATATAGCTGTGTAGTCACATTACAAATAACTGTTTATTATTCTCAAATATATAGTGTATAATGAGGTTTACTTTGAAAGTTAACTGTCTGCCTAACTCAGGGAGAATGCAGTAACTAAGCATATATGGGTAGTAATGCTCTTGCTGAAGTGTAGTTTATGACTACATGCATTCGCGTTATGTAGTCAGCTTTTACCAAGGGAAGAAAGGGTACATTTGGCTGATAACTGGTCTCAACACACAGACTGGCCCAAGTTTGACCTTTTATGCAGAATGTCTTTTGGATCCAAATTAGATTTTTATGGATTAAAAAAAACACTAGAGCATGTATGTATTATGAGGTAAAATTACATTGATGTCAATTAGTGGTGAATGAAAAAAAAACAGTCCTTTTATAAGTTGACTTACGAAACTTGTTATGTAGCATTTTTATTGGTTTTTAAAATCAGTTTTTAGTTCCAAAATTATATTGATTCTGCCATCAGTGATACATATATTTATATGATACATGAGACAGTATGTGTTCCTGAGGTGTCGATATTTTGGGTTTTGACATGAATTATTTTTAAAGATGTGGAAGATGGTAAAAGTGTAGTACTTTTCATAAAGTTTACAATATGCTTTTGGGAAATCACTCAGTTTTTCATTAAATTCTGAGGCTGAGTACCATTAAATCAGGTGTAAATATGAGTCACATTTTAAAACTTCTTTGTCCTAGAGAAAACCGGTAAATAGCTACTTTCAAAGAAGTATTTTGTCTAATTGATGATAACCATTACAAATTTCCTTGTTCCTTCTCCACTCCCAGTGCTTCATTTTACTAGCAT
This sequence comes from Homo sapiens, assembly GCF_000001405.40. Classification (NCBI taxonomy): domain Eukaryota; kingdom Metazoa; phylum Chordata; class Mammalia; order Primates; family Hominidae; genus Homo; species Homo sapiens. The sequence goes on from NC_000017.11 coordinate 31,255,872, forward strand.
AAAAAATAAAACAGTATTTTGAAAGCTCTCCATGTGTTTCACAGCAGGTTAACATTTTATAAACTAACTGGTTCTTTGAAAATTAAACTATGGGTTTTAGTTTTGTAAAAACTTTTAGAATTTTAATGAGTTAAACGTATGAGATGCTAATTCTTTTAAAATAATCTATTTTAAAATAATTATAAAGCAGTTTTTAATCCTTTTCCCTCCTGCTAACTCACTCCTTAAAGGCTTTAAAATGTTATAGGTTTCTTTTGTCTGCCTTTATTTATTTATTTATTTATTTATTTTGAGACAGTCTCTCTGTCACCCAGATTGGAGTGCAGTGGCACGATGGCTCACTGCAACCTCCACCTCCTGGGTTTAAGCGATTCTCCTGCCTTAGCCTTCCAAGTAGCTGGGATTACAGGTGTGGCTCCACCATGTCCAGCTAATTTTTGTATTTTTAGTAGAGATGGGGTTTTGCCATGTTGGCCAGGCTGGTTTCGAACTCCTAGCCTCAAGTGATCTGCCCGCCTCGGCCTCCCAGAGTGCTGGGATTACAGGCATGAGCCACCACGCCCAGCCAGAGAATTGTCTAAGATTAAAATTTGGGAGTTTTAGAAAACCACTCAGTAGCAATGATGGTCTATGAATATTCTAAAATTATGTGAAGAATTTTGTGTGTGTGAATGCATACATTCATTTTTCTAACCTTTATCAGATTTCAAAGAGGTTCCTCGTCCCCAGAAGGTTCAACACCGTACTGGAATAGTCAAAGCACTGGAATTTTTTCTTAATTTTACATCTTTCTATAGTTTTAGCTAAAACTTCTGTATCTAATTCTAAATGTATATATTTGAGCTAAAAATAAATGGTATTTAGGTTTTAAAGCCATTCTAATAAAGCAGCTATATTTAGTCACCTTCACCAGTTTCCCCTTATTTAAGGGTTAAGGTTGTTCTTCATGCAATAAACACTGTAACATAAAGAAAGCTTCCTGAACTATGTGTAGTGTAACTGAAGATGGAACTATATTAGTTACAACTGACCTCTTTTTATCACCTCTTACAAATATTTTCTCTAAAATCTAGTTTTTACTAACTTCCTGTTAGAGATTATAGAAAGCTATTTTGAGGTTATAAGCAGTGATAACACATTTAAAATGTGGACTGCATGAAGCACTACATTGAACAAGATGAAGTGAAATAATCCCCATTTTTTCCAGAGTTAATCTGGAGTCAGCCTGTCATAATTTGTGTCATAATTTCCTGTCATAAATTATGACAGGAAATATTTATTGAAGCATTGTGAAAAAAATAGCTACGTGATATTCCGCATGTAAATCTGGGTCCCCTCCCACCAATATCCTTTGAAATGAAGGTTTATCCTTGACATCACAGAATATTGAGTGGAATGCTACAGTTTTGTAGTCACTGCTACTTTAAACAGCAGTTTAGCCGCACTAAGCAAGAATAGCTGTAGAGATTAAAATGTTACATTAAGTGTTCTTTAAAAATGAACATATATAGTATATATAAAAATGTAAACTGCAAAATATAATTTTCATCTATGACATGATTTAAAGCAGGGGACTCTGGAAAGGGATGGGAGCTGAACCAGTTTTATAGCACTCTTCCCGAGCTAAGGTACCTTTTTATCTTAATGTAGAATGTTTTATAAAGGGAAAATCATCCATTTTAAATATTGGGTTCACATTGCTTTTCAGGCTGGACAACCATTTCTTGAGTTCTTAAATTATTTTTATTTGACAGAATTATAAATTGAGGTAGACATAGGGGTTCTCTCTTCTGGTGAGATCCTTTTTTCTTTTAGGTCCCCAAGAATTCCCATCCCTCCATGGTTTAAATAATAGGTAGGTTCTTGTATTATAAAGGAAGCTGTGAAGAAAAGGCACTGGCAGTAACATTACTTGTAAGTAAGTTTTTTTTTTTCTCAGTAAGAATCTAATATTTTATTTTGTATATGGCAAGCATTTTTTTCTTAAATTCAATTGTAACTGGTACACAACAAAATGTAAATATGTACTATCAGGTATAGGATGTTTTGGGGGTGTGCTGTTGAAAATTTAGTTTCACGTTATAAAGTTGACCACACTTTCATGTCTGTTAATCTTAGTAAATTATGATCATCTTTGTGTGAAAAATTTGGTCTGCTTTCATTACTCATCAAACATGCAGTATAAGTGATGATACAGTGAAGATCTTTTTTCAGGTTTCTTCTACCCATCTCATCCATGAGGTTTTTCTTTCCTCTGAGATACCTTAATTGTACTTTAATATGATATAAGACTAGAATTGAGAGGAAACTTTATTTTCTCATGTTTTGGGAGAAGAAAAAAATAGAAATATGTCATTCATGAGGACTGATTGATTCAGAGTTTTTATGCAAAGTTTGACCTTTGAACTCTTTGTTTTCATGTCTTTATATTAATTCAAACCTTATACTCAATTCTCAACTCCTTGTTTTTAGGTGGTTAGCCAGCGTTTCCCTCAGAACAGCATCGGTGCAGTAGGAAGTGCCATGTTCCTCAGATTTATCAATCCTGCCATTGTCTCACCGTATGAAGCAGGGATTTTAGATAAAAAGCCACCACCTAGAATCGAAAGGGGCTTGAAGTTAATGTCAAAGGTGAATTATTTTGATAATCTAGCTATCTTAAATTCCCCTTCCAACTAAATTTTCAGCTTTTCTTACAGTACTTCCTCTTACATTTATATTTGAAATACCCTATGGTTTTCAGTTATGTGCTTTTGTTTTATTTGTTTATATTACAAAGGAATTCATTAGTTAGGTACCTGATGGACCTTATTTTCATGATAAAACATTTTATTATAGCAGATGTCTTGTGTTATGAAGATCATTTTTTGCGTAATCATTCTAGACATTCTGAAACAGACTAGAATGTAGACTATAGGATTTTTTATTTTAAAAGTCATTAAACATTTTTAATATGTATTTTTACATGTAAATATAATAATTATATTTGGGAAGGTTAGAAACACTACCTAAAATAATTTATAGAATGAGGAATGTTTGATTTTTAAGTACTAGCAGAAATTATATCAATGAGAAAATTCATGTTTTTAAAGAATGTCTTAATGTATAGACTTCATACAATAAATAATCTGATTATTTATAACCCTGTTTTATTGTGTAGATACTTCAGAGTATTGCCAATCATGTTCTCTTCACAAAAGAAGAACATATGCGGCCTTTCAATGATTTTGTGAAAAGCAACTTTGATGCAGCACGCAGGTAATTTTCTTGCCACTTACTCAGTTGCTCTGTTTGAATCAAATATTTTCGGTTTCACATAAATCCATGTACCTGTTTTACATGAAGTTCCTGTGTAAGTTTTTTTCTTTTCCTGCTCTAGGTCAAGACATAGCTTGTCTTATTTTATTTTACTATAAAAGACAGTCATGAAATAAATTAATATTTTTTATAATTTGGTAGTGATTTTCATATTTGAAAACCAAGAGGGATTTTTGACATGTCTAATTAAATAAAGGATTTGAGGATGGTACAATATGTGGACAAGGAAGAAGTAGGATTCTTTTTATTTAAAACTAAAACCAAATTGGTATCAATAATACATAACAATGTTTAATAAGGTTTTTTTGATGTTAGAGTATTTGTGATACTTAAATTTGGAAGTGTATCTAAACTAAAATGTTATTCTTTAAACCAAGTCAAACAAACACATAAGATTTTGTTTATGAGGAACTGAACTTTATGATTTTAGAAAACTTTTCTGCTAGATTTCTATAACTAGTTATTTCACTTTATTTCTCTGAGTTATTGGTCTATCTGTAAAGTAGGGATAAACTCTTTGCCTGAGTTGTTTTTAGAGAAAAAAATGAGATAATTCATAAGAAAGCGCTTTGTAAATTTATGTCTGGAATTCTGCTTTTCATGCAGTGTGAATCTAATTGATCCTCATCATCTAAGCTAGCCTTGTACAACTCTCTCTTCCAGTTTATCATCATTGTAGTTGTTACTGACTTTTTTTCTGTTAGAGAAATTGGAGTTGAAAAGGTATATTGCTGAATGACAAGCCATGTTGGAAAGAGAGTGAATGTCAGCATAGGATTCATATTCTGGCACTCTGTGTACCCATACAAAGTTAAAAGGATCAAAGTTTTAATCCTGGCTCTGACCTAGCAGGCTATATATCTTTGGGGAGGTCTTTCGTCTGGACCTTCATTTCCTTATCTGTAAAATACTAGCCTCTTTCCAAAGTTTCATCCATCTTAATTTTGTTGTTGTTTAACTTCAGAGCCTACTTTGAAGCTGAAGCCGGGTATCAGAAATGGAAAGCCAACTTTCTCCTTGTCCTTTTTGCTTTGTCTAATGTCAAGTCACATTGTGTGAACAAGCCCTCCATATTTGTAATCTTAGTTACTTCACAAAGTTACTTCTTATAAATTTAATTCAAACATAAGTCTGGGTGTATCTGGTGTTGAAAATTCTAATGACTTTGCATTTTTGAAGGTTTTTCCTTGATATAGCATCTGATTGTCCTACAAGTGATGCAGTAAATCATAGTCTTTCCTTCATAAGTGACGGCAATGTGCTTGCTTTACATCGTCTACTCTGGAACAATCAGGAGAAAATTGGGCAGTATCTTTCCAGCAACAGGTAAGATTTCCCAGTCATGGGGATAGTGAACACTCTCCGTTTAAATTTAGATTAATACAATTATTGGTCATGAATAGTGCTTTTTACTTTGCATCTTCTTGGACTAAGAATTATGGTTTAGAAAGAGAAAGATTCTTTTTTTCAAAAAAATACAAACAAAAGGTTAAGTCATATTAAATAATCAACAAACCTACCTAGGTTCCAGTGGTCATTATTATTATTTTTTTGTCAGGTTAAGAAATCACAGATTTGCTCTTTGGGTTTTTATGGCTTGCAGATTGTTATAGATCCAAAGAAGTTCAGATTAGCGTTGGCATTTGACTCTGAAGAACAGCCAATTCGTAGGAATTCAGTAATTAAAATATTGTCAGTGTTTTAATTCTATGATAAACTCATTCGTGATACTCTTAAGTATATGCAAATAAAGCTTTATATAGAAAATACCGGCCTGGCACAGTGGATTACACCTATAATCTCAGCACTTTGGGTGGCTGAGGCAGGCAGATCACCTGAGGTCAGGAGTTCGAGATCAGGCTGGCCAACATGGTGAAACCCTGTCTCTACGAAAAATACAAAAATTAGCTGGGCATGGTGGCAGGGGCCTGTAATCCCAGCTACTCGGGAGGCTGAGCCAGGAAAATCGCTTGAACCCAGGAGGCAGAGGTTGCAGTGATCCAAGATCGCACAATTGTACTCCAGCCTGGGCCACAAGAGCTAAACTCCATCTCAGAAATTAAAAAAAAAAAAAAAATACTTAAAAATCAAAATTATTAATTTGGGCATTGTTTCATTAGCTCTTATTAGTCTCTTGTGTAACATAAATTACTTGCTGTCCCATCTAGTTATATAAACTTGTAAAGGGACCAAATTCCTATGTATGAAGAGTTCCTTACAAAGGAAGAATGAGTCCAAATTATTTTTAAATGCCAATAAAAATGATTAGCACATTCACGGGAAAAGTAGTGGACTGTGAAGCTAAGGGTAAGCAATTGGGAGATGGGAGTTTAAATGACAGGGCATTTTAATCTTTTATGAATTATTAATGGATTGAAGTAGACATGGTCCTGAGGTCTTTTTGGTGCTGTTTACAAATCAGCTGACAGTAAAAGGAAAAGCAACCAGTTACAAGTTAAAGAAATGTGTAGTGCTAAATGTGAACTGCTAATTTTTTTTCTAAGTAGTTTGCTGTATCTAGGGATCATAAAGCTGTTGGAAGACGACCTTTTGATAAGATGGCAACACTTCTTGCATACCTGGGTCCTCCAGAGCACAAACCTGTGGCAGATACACACTGGTCCAGCCTTAACCTTACCAGTTCAAAGTTTGAGGAATTTATGACTAGGTAAAGTACAACCTTGAAATAGTTGATTGCTTTCTTTTTGGTTGAGAAGGAGAGTTTGCCACCAGGCCACTTGTTAGATATGATAGAAGACTATGAGGAAAGATGTATTTAATAATCACATTGCCATGTTTGGGGAATCCAACTATATATTATTTATATATATAGGGTGTGTTTTATTTTATATATTGATTGTCATAACAATAGTAACAAATCATATTTTATCATCTTGCTTTCATAAGTTTTCACATTTAATACTTACCAGGGAGTGAAGACAACATTATTTTCAAATTATAGTTAAGGAAAATGCAACTCAATGTGAATAATTGACTTGCCTAAGATTCCACACCTGATTCATAGGTCTTTTGGTTTTAAGTGCAGGACTTCTCTACTACACTATAACATTTTTCAGAACCCTCATAAAGGTTAATGGTTTTAAATTATTTCAGATTAAGGTTCAGAAAATATAGTATACTTCAGTATTGCTATAAAATTTCTGTGGACATTTGTTTGAATCCCATTTAGTGGGATTTAGTTTGTGAATGAAAAGATCCTCATTGTTAGACACTTACTCTGTGATGATACAGTGAGAGTAGTTTGCTGAATCTTTTAAAGTACCTTTCACAGGACTTTATGCTTAGTAAGTGCTCCTTCGTGTCTGTGATTTGAGTGCTATGTTCATAGTATGTTCCAAAACAGAATAAAACAGAATCTGATGATGAGAAGTTAAAGATTTGTATATAATATGCCTTGAATTGTAAGTGCCTGTTGTTAGTTGTATTACTTACAGGTCATGGTTTTGTACATATAACTCCAAACCATTGATACTGTTAAAAGAATATATGAATATATGAAAGAATGTATAAACATAAGAATGTATGGGTATATAGTGTCCTTTCCAAATTAATTTTTATTTTTAGCTCTACTAGATTTTTTTTAGTGTAACAAATGTTTATTCCTATGTAATTAAGGGCATATTTTCCATACAGACTATTCACATTACCTAATTGAAAATTATATACTACAAAAATATAATACTATTTTTAGGCCAGACATGGTGGCTAATACCTATAACCCCAACATTTTGAGAGGCCAAGGTGAGAGAATTGCTGGAGGCCAGGAGTTCAAGACCAGCCTGGGCAACATAGTGAGACCTTGTCTTTATTAGATAGATAGATAGATAGGTAGGTAGGTAGGTAGGTAGGTAGGTAGGTAGATAGATAGGTAGGTAGGTAGGTAGGTAGGTAGGTAGGTAGATAGATAGATAGATAAGATAAGATAAGATAAGATAGATAAGATAGATAGATTGGGCACAGTGGCTCATGCCTGTAATCCCAGCATTTTGGGAGGCCAAGGCAGGAGGATTGCTTGAGCCCAGGAGTTTGAGACCACCCTGGGCAACATAGCAGGACTCCATCTCTACAAATAATAAAATATTAACCAGGTGTGATGGTACGCACCTGTGGTCCCAGCTACCTGGGAGGCTGAGGTGGGAGGATTGCTTGAGGATGCAGTGAACTGTGATTGCACCAGTGCATTTCCAGCCTAGGTGACAGAATGAGACCTTGTCTATAAATAAAGAAATAAGTAAAAATATAAATAAGTAAAAAGAAATATAAGTAAATATAAATATAAATAAATATAAATATAAAAATGAATGAATCAAAACAGTTTTTAAATTTGACATCACTGAGGACATCCTAGCCATTTTTCTAGAAAAATATTTTTATTATTCCTTTTTTCTGAGATCCTACCTTCCCTTACAAAGCAATCTTTTGTGCTTTTGAAGATTAAGTAATCCAATATATATAATATACTTAGCATAGTATCTGGTACTTGTAAAGTAATTAATAAATGTTGGATCTTATTTTTGTTCTAAATTCCCACTGATGCTCTTGGAGACCCATTTTCTTTTTTTTAAAAAAAATGAAGGTAGCTTTATAATATTCTCAGTTATTTAAAAAATTATTAAATTACTTGATATAGAAATCTAAAGAAAGTTAAAAAAATTAAAAATTGTTTATCCTCCCTCTCAGAATACTTCACTTAACGTTTGGTGAATAGTCTCCCAGTCATTTATCTATGCACATGTACATTTGTTTCTCCTATCAAATGATATCTAGGTTGTTTCCATTAATATTTTTAAAATTCTGACCTGGTACCAGCAGCATGATGGGCTGAGCTAATGCAATCTCTTCCCAAGACATAAGGCTCATAGAAATACTAGGTGTAAAAGAAAATATGTGTACTTAAAAAAATTTAGGCCGAGTGCGGTGACTCACGCCTGTAATCCCAGCATTTTGGGAGGCCGAGGTGGGTAGATCACCTGAGGTCAGGAGTTCGAGGCAAGCCTGGCCAGCATGGCGAAACCCCATCTCTACTAAATAAATAAATATATATATATGAATTAGCCAGGTGTGGTGGTGGGCACTTGTAATCCCAGCTACTTGGGAGGCCAAGGCAGGAGAATCATTTGAACCCGGGAGGCAGAGGTTGCAGTGAGCCGAGATCGTGCCACTGCACTCCAGCCTGGTCAACAAGAGCAAAACTCCATCTCAAAAAAAAAAAAAAATTAAATTTATAGCTGAAGCTAGTTTCTAAGCAAATTACCTAGCATACAGTCAGTATAGACAGATAAATGGAAAATATGAAAGAGGTTAGGAGATGCAGAAGATAAAATGAGGAGGTTCAAAATATGTCTAGTAGGTGTTCCCTAGAAACTGAGCTCAGTGAGAATGGGAAGAAGTAATATTTGAAAGGCTAATGGATGTATGTTTTCTAGAGTTGATGAATGACATGAATCTTGAGGTTGAAGAAGCACACTGAGTCTTGAGCAAACTATATAAAAATTAAACCAGGCTTTAATACATATGGGAACATAATATATGCTAAAGCTGGTATTCAGAATCGAGATTAGGATGGACTTTCAATAAATGGTTTTGATAAAACTGAGTAATGATTTGGAAAAATATTTTCATACCATTTATGATAAACTTCCATAAATCAAAAAAAATGAGCAAAGCAAGGCCTTTTTCATCCATTCAAAATCCATAAACTAGAAAAGATTGATAAAATGAATTATTTAAAAAATCATAAACTTCTGTCTGGGACAAAAATGTCATGAGTAAAACCAATCCTATGGTTAATATTCTTGCCCAGTAGTTCTCTTAGAATAGTCCTAAAAGTGCTTTTGTGGTTCAAAGAGTAATACCTTGAAATTTTTGGTGCATGTTGCCAAATTACCCTTTAGAATGCCTGTTGCTTTTAAAATATTTTTTCATTTTAGTATTTTATTGTTTATCCAATTATAGACTTTTTTACATACTCAGTAGACAACATAAAGCCTCATAATTACTCTGTTATTTTTCTTTTAGGCATCAGGTACATGAAAAAGAAGAATTCAAGGCTTTGAAAACGTTAAGTATTTTCTACCAAGCTGGGACTTCCAAAGCTGGGAATCCTATTTTTTATTATGTTGCACGGAGGTAAGAAATACTATGTTTTGGGTCTCTTAACAGAATTTTTTAAATTATAGCAAATATAGAGAGATGGCAAGTTTGGTTTTTCCCAGTTGACTTAACAGGAATTGAAGACAAGTTTACTTGGGAGCATATAGCAGGGTAAATAGCCTGCGTTTCCTAAAATGATGGTCGGTATCTAGTAGCTGCTTTTCATACTACCCATTTCATATTGCTTACTCTGTCCTACATCATTTTTTAAAATACTGCCTGCAATGGATTAATTACCAAGAGTTAAAAACCCACAAAGAATCTTTTGTTTTCAAGTATATTCTGATTAAATAGTACTCACAACATGATAACTGGGAACTTTTTTTAAAGGAAGAAATAAAACTATAAGAGCCTATTTCTGAGAACTTTTAAAAATATGCTGTGTAAGACAGCATCAGGATGATTTAAAAAATAATTCAAAGGAGTGGTGAAAAATCTCTATGAAGATGGTGCAAGGGGTGGCCTGGAAAACGGTGCTTGTTCATGCTGCCCTCAGTTGAGGCTAGTTCCTAGAAAGCCTTTCTGGAAATGTTGTGAGCTCTTCCTTAATAATAGGTATGATGCTTGCCTTGCTTTCCCTACCATTGTCTTTTCTTTTTTGCTTCATTTTACCTTCCTTTTGAAAACTCAATCTGTGACGTTATTTGGTCAGTTTTACTTTTTCCCATTTACCATGACATACATTCATGGTAATTGAGCCTTAGAGACAACATGATACATAGAGAAACCACTGACTTTGGAATCTCAAGGACCATGTTTAGACCTAGTTCTGCTACTCATTAGTTATAGACTTAATCTTTACCAGTTTCCTGAATTTAACAGTATTTAACATCCATGACCATTAAGTTAGTAGACTTACATTGTTAGTCAGCTTGCTGGCCACAGGTGGCAGTGTGTAGGAAACAAATCAAGGTTGAGAAATAGTAGAGAGACGGTGAAGGAAGATCAGTGGAAGATGGGAAACTTGTCTAATAGGGTCATTCAGATAGCCTTAAGACCAAGAAGTCCAAAGGACTGGAGTATTAGGGAATCAAGAAAGTAAGAAAATTGCATTGAACCTCCCGCCACCCCCCTGCCCTTTAACAACTCTAAGTAACCCCTGCTCACCTTCCCATGAAAGGCCTCTCTCCAGCTCTCATCTCAGTTGCCATTTCTAAATTGCCTAAGATCATTTTAATTTTCGTTTGCGTTTGAGATGAACCATATTTGTATTCTAACCCCAACCTTTAATACAACCAGGATATTTTTACTTTTCCGTTGTTGTCTAAGTAAAAAGCAAACATTGGTAAGGGAGGTAGAAGATGTGTTTCCCCCTCTTCTTTAAAATCTTATTAGTTTACAAATAGCAAAGATTTCTGGAAAACAAAGCTGCGTTTTTTTTTTTCGGAATCAGAAACTGTTATATTTGTATTCCCTCTCTGTGGTGATCTAGAAAAAGCTAAAGGAAAGATTGGACCTGCTGCAGATCCCTTAGTGAGATTCAATCAGTTTGGTTTCCATGAAACCTATTGAGTCTTGTGGCCTGAGAATGCTAAGAATTCTCAGCTCTGCTGCTTATTAGCTGCATAATCTTTTTTTTTTTTTTGAAATGGAGTTTCACTCTTGTCACCCAGGCTGGAGTGCAATGGAGCGATCTCGGCTCACTGCAACCTCCACCTCCTGGCTTCAAGTGATTCTCCTGTCTTAGCCTCCCGAGTAGCTGGGATTGCAGACATGTAGAACCATGCGTGGCTGATTTTGTATTTTTAGTAGAGATGGGGTTTCACCATATTGGCCAGGCTGGTCTTGAACTCCTGACCTCAGGTGATCTGCCTGCCTCGGCCTCCCAAAGTGCTGGGAATTACAGGTGTGAGCCACTGCACCTGGCCTTAGCTGCATAATCTTAGATAAGTTTATTTTTCCAAATCTGTTGCTTCATATGTTAAAGCTGGGGTATGTGCTTATAAAAACTGTCTACCTCTCCTATAAAGTGTTTTGTGACCTATAAAGTTGTGTAAGGAGTAAATTTGAGATTTTCTTTTTTTCTTTCATTCTTTTTTTGGGGGATATGGCACTGTCAGTTTCAGATTTTCAATCCTTTTAGTTTCTTACTTAGACCTACTGGAGCTCCTCCTGACCTTCATTTTCACCTGGTGTGAAGCCTAGCTCCAAGACAGATGAGTACACAGTATATCAGAGCAGAGCATCCATTTACTCCATTATGAAGGTCTTGTCTGTCTGTATGCCGTCAGTTTTGTCAAAGAGCACTTGGGTTTGACTTCTCTTTTGATATTCCTGTGTTTCTGTGGCTTAGACTACTATGTATTAAGTAATGCTTTTTGAATTGTGGATTTTCTAATTTCCTTATCGATGGTCCACAGACGTTTCAGACTTGAAATGTCCAAAACTTAATTCAGTATATCTTCAAATCAACCTCCTCTTCACACCGTATTTCTGTTTCTCAGTACCATCATCATCCCTTCTAGTTCCCCATCTAGAGACCCTAATCATTTTAAATTCTTTCCTCTTATTGTCTTTCTCATTGTTAGTCACCAAATCTTGGTTTTACCTGTGAGATCCTGGGCAATCAGTTAAGTTGTTTTAGTTAGGCTTTTATTGCAAAGCAGTCATTTGTATTTTCTCAAGGATAGTTTTTAGGAAAAGCATGAATTAGCGCAGAGCCTACCCAGATATAGAGAACTAGATGGCTGTGGTGCTGGAACTGGCTATGCTCTTTGACTGTCTCTCGGTTTTGTGTTCAACTCTTCCTCATGATTTTCATCTTTCTGTATCCTTTCAGCTTTTGCCCCAGATAGTAACCCGTTCATTATCTCAGTACTGCACATCTGAAATTCCAGAAAGAAAATATGATTCAGCTAAAAAGCATCTCTGCTTGGCAGAAACTTTAATGTTAGGTTCTGGCCAGCCAGTTGATTACTGGCTGCCCCTATGTCCAGTATGTGCTCCTGGCCCAGCAGTCATGTGATTCAAAATGTGACCACTTGGCTGGGCGCGGTGGCTCATGCCTGTAATCCCAGCACTTTGGGAGGCTGAGGCGGGCAGATCATGAGGTCAGGAGATCAAGACCGTCCTGGCCAACATGATGAAACCCCATCTCTACTAAAACACAAAAAATTAGGCAGGCGTGGTGGCACGTGGCTGTAGTCCCAGCTACTCGGGAGGCTGAGGCAGGGGAATTGCTTGAACCCGGGAGGTGGAGGTTGCAGTGAACCAAGATTGCACCACTGCACTCCAGCCTGGTGACAGAGCAAGACTCTGTCTAAAAAAAAAAAAAAAAAAGTGACCACTTGGTGCTGTTTCTTCATCAGGGGCTGTTCTTAGGTATGTGTTTTAATTTTTTTTGTTTTGTTTTTGAGACAGGGTCTCACTCTGTTGTCTAGGCTGGAGTGCAGTGGCACTACCATGGCTCACTGCAGCCTCTAGCTCCCAGGCTCAAACAATCTTCCTGCCTCATACTCCCAAGTAGCTGGGACAACAGGTGTGTGCCACCACAGCTGGCTAATTTATTATTATTATTTTTTTTGTAGAGATGAGGTTTTGCTATGTTGCGCAGGCTGGGCTTGAACTCCTGGGCTCAAGCAATCCTCCTGCCTTGGCCTCCTAAAGTGCTGGAATTACAGATGTGAGCCACCACACCTGGCCTAATTTTTTTTTTTAGTTGGACCTTAATGGTCTAATATTACTATTACGTACCTTGGCAATGTCTTTCGAAACCATTTTCCCCCACTGCTTTGCTGGAACTCTGTGTCTTACCTATACTAATGTAGCATTATTCTCCTCCTCCTTCATCACCAGTTGACTACTTCTAGGTAATCTTAACATTTCTTCTGGAGCCAGTTTCCAGTAGAAAGCTTGTCTGTCCCATTGACTCCCTGTATAAAGTCCAAGTTCTGTAGTCAAACATGCAAGGTAATTTTGGCCTAATGTACTTTTCTAATCTTTTCCTTCTATTCCATCCAATATACTTATGCTCTTGCCCTGTGGTAAGGTAGCATAATACAAGGACATTGTTGCAACATTGTTTATATAGTGGCAACAAAAAGGAAAACAATAGAGTTGTGTTTCAAAAGGGGAATTGTTGAATAAATGATGATACATTTACATTAGGGAATAAGGCAATGTGTTAATTTTGCTTGTTACAAGTGACAGAAATGCAATTCAAATTTATGTGTGCCAAAAAGGAATTTATTGACTCATGTACCTAAGAAAATCAAGAGATGTATTAGTTTCTTGCATGACTAGCTGCAGAGCTTTAAACAGTATCATCTGCAGAACATCTGTCTTCTCTGGCTCTTAACTCTACTTTCTTTGTGTCGGTTTTATTCCCAAGCAGCTGCTCCCTAGCTGTGGCTGGTAATGGTTTGTGTTCTCCCAGCTTAACAATCCCAGAGGAAAAACACCTCTTTCCCAGTTTTGTGGTTTCAGCAAAAGTGGTTGGTCTTACTGGCCTGGTGTGAGTCACATGCCATTCCTAAGGCAGTCACTATGGCAAGGGGGATGGAATTTCTTGGTTATCTAGGCCTGGATCATGTGCCCCTTCCTGGAATGCAGTGGTAAAGCCAGCCCTATCCAAATTGCATGAACTAAAAGGAGGGCATGGGGGCAGGGTTTTCACAAAGGAAAATTGAATTGCTGTTACTAGAATGAGGCAAAATGGATACTGGGCAGGCAGAAGTAGCAGAAGTCCTCTACATCCAGCTTTAAAAAGGCCCAGAAAGATGACTCTGACACTTACCTTACAAGGTACACGACAGTGTGTGTGTGCACCTGCACATGTGTATGTGTAGACTGAGAAATGTATGAAAGTATACATATTAACTGTTCACATTGCTTATCTCAGAAGTGTGATTGGAGGAGATAGAGGACCAATTTAATATTTCTGTTATCTATCTCTATGTTGTTTGGCTTGCCAGGAGCATATATTGTTTTTGTAAGAATAATTAAAAATATAAAACCCCAAAGTGGCCGGGCAAGGTGGCTCACACCTGTAATCCCAGCACTTTGGGAGGCCAAGGCGGGGAAATCACTTGGGCTCAGGAGTTTGAGATCAGCTTGGGCAGCATGGTGAAACCCTGTCACCACGGAAGAATACAAAAATCAGCCGTACATTGTGGCATACACCTGTAGCCCCAGCTACTCAGGAGGCTGAGGTGGGAGGATCACTTGATCCTGGGAGGTCAAGACTGCATTGAGCCGAGATCACACCACTGTACTCCAGCCTGGGCAACAGAGTGAGGCCTTCTCTGAAAGAATACATTAAAACAAAACAAAACAAAAACCCCAAGTTACAAAGAAGAGTTTTCCTCTTAGGAATATTGTGATACCTGGCAATTGCTTTTTGGGTGGTAGTAGTAAATAATGATAATAGCTAACATTTCCTAAGTGCTTTCTCTGCATCAGGAAACTGTGCATATTACATAATTTCTCATTTAATCTACATAATAACCTTCTGAGATATTATTAACAATTAATTGACGTACGTATAAACTGAAACCCAAACATGGCTATCAGAATGATCTGGAACATTAAAACAAACATATCCCCAGCCCCCATTTCCAAACCAAAATCTCAGGGGCAGGGCCTTATTTATATATTTAACAGGCACTCCAAGTGTTTCATTTATTACTAAAGTTTGGGAATCTCACTGGGTCATGTACTTAATTCATGGTAGCACAACTAGTAAGAATCAGAATTCGGTTTCAAACCTAAGCCAAAGCTCTTAACAAATGCACTATTAATTACATGCTTATTACTATTATAATTGTATGCTTGGGTAAATCTTTGTAGATGAGCATGAAAACCTAACCAACAGTTATGAGATATATTACTCTGGGGAAAATAAGTTCTCGATTCCAGGCATCTGATTTACAAATGGTTTTTTGAAACATAAGACAAGAGTGTACTCAATATAAGATAATCTTGTCATTGGCGCAATATCATTATACATTACAAAGGTTAGCAGAATTGGCACCTTTTCTTAGCGAAATGACATATTACTATTAACACATTCATGAAATATGTTAATACAGATGAATGTGTTATTTTGTAGAGCGCTTTAGTTTATCAGATTAGCATTTTTTGTCTGTTTAATAAAAAATAAAATATAGACCGGGCATGGTGGCTCACACCTGTAATCTCAGCACTTTGGGAAGCCAAGGCGGGTAGATCCCCTGAAGTCAGGAGTTTGAGACCAGCGTGGCCAACATGGTGAAACCCCTCTACTAAAAATACAAAAAATTAATCGAGCGTGGTGGTGGGCATCTGTAATCCCAGCTACTCTGGGGGCTGAGGCAGGAGAATTGCTTGAACCCAGGAGGTGGAGGTTGCAGTGAGCTGAGGTCATGCCATTGCACTCCAGCCTGGGCAACAGGAGTGAAACTCTGTCTCAAAAAAATAAAAATAAAATACAAAAACAACTTCCCCCATACCACTCCTTATCCCACACCCCCATCCTCTATCCCCTATCCCCTATCCTTCATCTCTCTGTCACTGTTGCTCACTCGCTCTCTCACTCTCATGTGTGTGCTCTCTCTCACATACACCACACACACACACACACCCCACCTACATAATTTCTTCTCTTACACCTTTAATATAAATATCTGAGTTTTGGTTCAGTTTTGCAAACATTTAAAAGGCAAACATGGTATTTTGCTTGTTTCAGCATTTAATAAGGTAGTGCATACTTCTTTCATATGGAAGGAAAACATCATATTAAGTTAATATTTAAACGTACACAATTATAATTTGCAAAAAAAAATCAAGATGATAATTTCTTAAATAGTAAATTGAAATAAATGATATTTTCCTAGCATGCTTGTCATTCAGCAATAATAAGAAACTGAGATAAGAATGCAGGCAGTTGAAGTTCACTTCAGCCTGAGTGCAAGTATACACAAAACAGCAAAAATATTACATAGAAAATAAATGTTGTCCATTGGATTGAGTATGGTGCTACCATTTGTCACAGTGTTCATATTCATAGTTGTGGCTATCTTTGGGGTCACTGCTGTATTCAGACTTGTCTTGGAATTTGGAGTCATCTAGGGATTTGAGGTCATTTTGAGATTTGGGCTTGTCCCAGGATTGGTGCTACCATTTGTCACAGTATTCATATTCATAGTTGTGGCTCTTTGGGGTCACTGCTCTATTCAGACTTGTCTTGGAATTTGGAGTCATCTTGGGACTCGAGGTCATTTTGAGATCTGGGCTTATCCCAGGATTGGGGTTCATTCTGGGATTGGTGCTCTTCCTGGGATTAGGTCTGGTCCCGGGATTCAGGCTTGACGCAGGATTGGATACTGCCATAGAATTTGAGGTTGTTGATGTTGAAGTTTGTCCCCGGAATGTTAACAAACATGAAGAGCAGGCCAATCGGTGATAGCTTGAACATCATCCTCCTCTGTTTCACAATAATTATATAATTTTAATTGAACACTTGGATCACAAATAGGCAAGCATATATCCTTAATTGTGTTTATCAGTACATTTGTGTTATGTAAATGTTTGCTTTTTCACTATTAGTGAACAAATTAAAAGCTTCCCTTTCTTTGTTGTCAACATCTGCTGACACAAGACCTATTTTCTATTGAGGGCTACCAACTGAAGGCAAAAACAATCCCAAGACTGAAAAAGAGCTTAATTGGCATTTTTCTATTTAAAAAAGGAAAAAAATAAAACTCTAGACATTCAATGCAATAAATATGGGGGCTTGAGATCAGTATAGAGTAGGGTAGGGGCAAAGACTGAGAGGCAATTTGGGACAGTAGAGCAACAAAAGAAATAATGAAATAAATATTGGTATTTTCTTGATTTCTCATGACCTTTATTCCAACAATTTAAGGTTTTAGTTTAGGTCACAAATTAGGATATTACTTCTAAATATTTACCCAAAGACTAAAGAGGTTAAACCAAAGCATTTCCCCAGTGCTGGGATGAGGTTTTCTTCATTAACAACAACAACAACAACAATAACAAACTAGAGAAGTTCATAGTTTTAAGATTTAGAAATGAACAAAACCAACTCCTTCATTTTGCAAATGGGCTCAGACAAGGGGCATAACTTACCTGAGGGTGCATATCTAAAAATGACCCAAGCTAGAACTTAAGTCTGTGACTTAAAGCCCAAATTTTAACTGTAGAACTCTAACATATATATTAAAAGTTACATTTGGCTCTAATATGTAATTGAGAACATTTCAAATTAATGTTACCTTTTGATATTTTTCTTTGAAGAGTAAGAATTCAGTCTTTCTCCAGCGTCTATGGGGAATCTGATTTCTCACTCACTGCATGCTATTTAAATATAATTAGTGAGGAAGTCATGTGTTCTAAACTTGACCTGCCATTTGCTCTTTGGAAGTATCCAACTGAGTGTTTCCAGACAACTACATATAAACAGATAGACTTTGGCAGAGATTAAAGAATTCAAATAAAGTTCTAAAATCTGCTTGCTAATTTAAAGAATCCAGTGAATAGCATTTGTTATTCCTCTTACCATGTATACATTAATGAATTGCTTCACTGGATTGACTCTAACTAGATGAATTTACTATTTTGCCTGCTGTGATTATTATGATTTTAAACCAAGTAAGTGTATTAAAGGTGTCTGCGTTTTCCTTAGAACATCTGTACATATGTTTATAGGGCAGTTTCTACCCATGGTTATTTTGAAGTTTAAAAAATAATTCAGTAATACAACATTTCAGGTATTTAATTTTTGGTAAATAAAGTAACCTTAGAAAAGAAGTTAAACTTCATTAATATGAAACTTAAGAAAAGGATTACATATGAAAGTGATACTTTTTCATACTGAGTTTACAAACTTTTGTGTGTTTGTGTATGGTTTTTTAATGTATTAAACCAGTCACCTTGAAGTGCATAAAGTAAATTTTTTGAAGGAATTTTGTCTTTTGGTCAGCCGTTTTCCATGATAACTAGCATATAGGGAAATTGGGTTGTATTCTGCTAATGTTTTCATCATATTGGCCAGCACACTTTAAAAATTGCAGGACTGTGAACAATGGTGTTGACATACAAGGAAATTGCAACATAAATGGCAGAAGTACAAGCCAGTACATGTTCCTCACTTGTTTTACTGTGCTGTGAAGATCATTTTTCCCCTGAATGAATAAACCATGAATAGAACCATGCTTGGTAAATCTTATTTATATGGTACATATAATAACTTCACTTAACTGGAGGTTAATGTGGTCAGATCTAAGAAGTAAACAAACAAAAAAAAACTACTTGGCAACCAGAGTAGATATTATGAATCGGAGTACTGCAGTAATTTACAGGAGTTTGTCATTGTCCTCTCTCTGCTCACTTGCTCATTCTGTGGATTTCTTTGGGGGGTATATAGTTGGTAATAGTAATAGTAATAGTAATAGTAATAGTAATGTTTCGAACTTGAGCAAACTGTGACTTATTCTATTTTTCTAATCTTGACCTTTTGAGTACTACACTTACACAACTCTTTATTGATGCTTCAAACACCTCAGTCTCAACTTGTTTAAAATTCAGAAGTTAGTGTTTTCTCCTTCCTATTTTTGTATCTAGATATATTCTTCTCATAATCTCTTGGTTAATTGTATCATCACCTAGCCAAATGTTTCTCCAACACTGGATTTCTCATTATCTTCTCTTTCTTATTTATCTTAAGCTCTCCAGGCCTCTTCATGATGATTAAGTAAAATTTAAATTCTATTTAGTACTCAAATGTTCCCAAACAAACAATAGTCAATTTGCCATTATTCAGGTCTTCAAATACCCACCAACTTTGTATCTTTGTGCAGCCTCCCCAACTTGCCCAAAGTGTAATAATAGCCCCCTCTTATCCTAAGTTTCACTTTCCATAGTTTCAGTTACCCATGGTCCACCATGGTCTGAAAATACTCAATGGAAAATTCCAGAAATAAACATAAGTTGGATGTATCATGAGGTTAATAGTAGCCTAGCACTGTGTCACAGTGCTGCATTAGTCAACCCACTTCATCTTATCACATAGGCATTGTGTCATATCACATCATCACAAGAAGGGCGAGTATAGTACAATAAGATATTTTGAGAGAGATGCCATGTGCATGTGCTTTTATTGTAGTATATTGCTATAACTTCTATTTTATTATTGTTTTTAATCTCTTACTGTGCCTAATTTATAATTAAACTTTATCACAGGTATTTCTGTATAGGAGAAAAACACAGCATATATTGGGTTCAATACTGTAATTCTGTGGTTTCAGGTATCCCTGAGGGGTCTTGGAACATATCCCCCACAGTTAAGGGGGTACTACTGTACTTTCCTCATTCAAAATTGTGTTGTTTCTTCAAGCTCCACTCATGTCAGCACCTTTTATACGATCCTTCCCTAATTCTTCACGTCAGAATCAGTCATTTTAGTACTTTATACTTTGATCAGAGTCTCATTTTCACTAAAGAAACTAAATCTTCCACCATATTCTGGCTTTTTTTGTGGTAAGATACCACCTCTTATTCCTTCTATTCCCTCTAGCTTCTAATATAGTGAGTGTTTATAAAGAATAGGACACAGGGCCAGTTATAAAGAATAGGACACAGGCTCATGCCTGTAATCCCAGCACTTTGGGAGGCCGAGGTGGGCAGATCACGAGGTCAGGAGATGGAGACCATCCTGGCTAACACGGTGAAACCCCATCTCTACTAAAAATACAAAAAATTAGCCAGGCTTGGTGGTATGCGCCTGTAGTCCCAGCTACTTGGGAGGCTGAGGCAGGAGCATCGCTTGAATCCAGGAGGTGGAGGTTGCAGTGAGCTGAGATCGCACCACTGCACTCCAGCCTGGGGGACAGAGCAAGACTCCATCTCAAAAAAAAAAAAAAAAAAAAAAAAGGGGCACAATAAGTATTGGAATTCATTGAAATACCTCCTGTTTCTCCATGTCGGAGGGCTGGTATCATTAATGATGTCTAAAGTAAGAGTTATTTGGTTATTTGCAGTTTTCCCTTCACATTAGCATAAATTTGGAAGGCACAGGCTTGAGTTTAACTTTCATCTCTACTTTCCTGGCTGCTGTTTTGAGAAGATTTCTTCATTTGTACAATGTGGATCATAATGCACATTCATAATCCCTTGTCTGTAATCTGAAACCCCAAATCCTCCAAAAACCTTAAGTTTTATCAAAAAATAAAAAAGTTTGACACCAAAATTTATTTGGTGCAAATGCCTTATCTGCATAGATGGGAGGTTTTTAGCTATCTTTGTTTCACTTAGTGTGGATATTAATGTTGCGCTGCAGAAATATTGATGAGATTGATTTTGGGGTGCTGTTCCATTTTCTACTGGAGTGTTACATAATACATGATAAGAATAGTACTTAGCATATTCATGTTTCTCTTCTTCCTTCTGGGCACAGCACCATACCACTCTTAGCATTCTGATAGTTAGGTGGTACCATCTGACTGAGTTCTGGCCAGTAAAATGTCAGTTCCAATGATGTACAATCGACCCTTGAACAACACTGGGGTTAGGGGCACTGAATCTCCACGCAATGGAAAATCTACGTATAACTTTTGCCTCCCCAAAAACTAAACTACTAATAAGACTGTTGATCGGAAGCCTTTTGATAACATAAACAGATTAACATGTTTTGTAAGTTAAATGTTGTATATGCTATATTCTTAGAGTGAAATAAGCTCCAGAAAAGAAATTGTTACCCAGAAAATCATGAGGAAGAGAAAATATATTTACTGTTCTCTGAGTGGAAGTGGATTATCACGAAGGTCTTCATCCTCTTTATCTTCATGTTGAGTAGGTGGAGGAGAAAGAAGAGGGATTGGTCTTACTGTCCCCGGGCTGGCAGAGGTGGAAGTAAACCTCTGTATAAGTGGATCAGCATGGTTCAAAGCCATGTTGTTTAAGGGTCAACTGTATATGATTTTTAAGCCTGATGTCTAACTTCTCACCAATCTTCCATTCTTGCTTTCTTCTATCAACGCCTACTAGAAACAGACGGTTCAGTGGAGGGGGTCTCCAAGACGCCAGAAGATGGTAAAACCATTAGAAAGCATGATTTAAGAGAAATTAACTTTTGTTGTCTTAGCCAGTGATATTTTGGGATTATTTGTGACAGAAATTAGTTCGTGCTGACTAACATAACTACATGCTGGACATCTTGCCTTTGCCTCTTCAAATCCACTCTGTTCTTTACCCTGCTGTGTACCCTAAGAGGCTGACCTGTGTAGAGGGTATCATTGGGCTCCCCTCCTTTCTGGCTTTCAGCTGGCCCATAGGGAATACAAGCGGAAGATTAGGGAGAAGAAAGAGAGTAAGGTTAGGAGGTATATATTTTTGGCTCCGTTTCTGCAGGGTCCCAGTGGGCTGGCTACATCCATCCATGCAGTATGGTTTTTGTTGGGTGACCCTCTCCACACAACCTACTCTGTGTCTGCTTTCTGCTAACTGCTTCCTGCACTCACTACTTCAGGTGTAGTATCACACTGTCTCTTAAGAGTTTCCTTAAAACCTGCCTTCTCCTTTATACATAATCTCTAATATCTCAGTTTGAATTTGCCACCTGTTTCCTGCTAGAACCTTAATTGCTACAAGCTGTATGTACACTGTATCATCTTCCTAAAATCACCAGGCATGGTGGGATGTGAGCTATAGTCCCAGCAACTCAGGAGGCTGATGTAGGAGGATTGCTTGAGCCCAGAAATTCAAGGCTACAGTGAGCTATGGATACCCTAACCTGAGCAACAGAGCAAGACCTTGTCTCTAAAAAACAAAAATTAAGTTAAAAAATTGTGTCTTTCTTTATATACTTACATTACTTTCCGTTGATCTGTTTTTGAAATGTTTCCAGAACTGTCTTCCCTCACGTATTGATTCTTCCAAAATTCTTAAGAAAATGGAAAAAAGTAATTTCTGAAAATGATGAGAATGATCATAAATTTCATATAGCACTTTCTTGAGAATTTCAAATTGCAGTTTTAATATTTTACTTTAGAAACAGGTCCAGTTTTCCCTTCTGTAATTTTTTTCTTTGGTCTTTTTGGATTTTTTGGGTTTTTTTTTTTTTTTTTTTTTTGAAAAGAACACAGAGATCTTTTCTTGAGTGATATTTGCACAGACATTGCCTTGGTAATTGAAGCTTTTTTTTTTTTTTTTTTTTTTTTTTTTTTTTTTTTTTAGAAAATCCTATTAAGTTTTATGCCATGTCTATGCTCATTGCACCTGTGCCTCATGTCTCATTCATTCATTCGTTTATTTTTTTATTATTTTTTTTTTTTGAGACAGAGTTTCGCTCTTGTTGCCTAGGCTGGAGTGCAGTGGCACGATCTCAGCTCACTGCAACCTACACCTCCCAGATTCAAGTGATTCTCCTGCCTCAGCCTCCTGAGTAGCTGGGATTACAGGTGCCTGCCACCACGCCTGGCTAATTTTCGTATTTTTAGTAGAGATGGGGTTTCACCACATTGGCCAGGCTGGTCTGGAACTCCTGACCTCAGGTGATCTGCCCACCTCAGCCTCCCAAAGTGCTGGAATTACAGGCGTGAGCCGCCGCGCCTGGCCTTCATGTCTCTTTTAAATAGGACTTCTAAAATTTTGAAATGAGGTCAGCTTCAGTGGCTCATGCCTATAATCCCAGTGCTTTGGAAGGCCAAGGCAAGAGGATCACTTGAAGCCAGGGGTTTGAGACCAGCCTGGGCAACATCATGAGACCCTGTCTCTACAAAGTACATTTAAAAAAAAATTAGCCAGGTGTGGTGGCACACACCTGTATAGTCTTAGCCACTTGGGAAGCTGAGGCAAGTAGATCGCCTGACCCCAGGAGTTCAAGGTTGCAGTGAGCTATGTTCCCACCACCGCACTTCAGCCAGTTAAGGGGACAGAGCGAGACCCTGTCTCAAAAAAATTTTGTTTTGAAATGAATTTATGTATGTTTGGTTATTTCTGAAAGCAGTTCAGGCCTACAGCCATACCACCCTGAATGCACCTGATGTTGTCTGAAAGCAATTCAGGTTTTCAGGATTAAAATTTTTATGCTACTAGGTTTGTAACCTATATTTAAAAGTAGAACATTTAAAACATTTTAGTAGTATATAGCACTGAAAAGTGGCTTTTTAGCGTAGACAGTTGTTTTTCAAGAAACTATTTTGTAATCCTAGCTACTTGGGAGCCTGAGGTGGGAGGATCGCTTGAGCTCAGAATCCAGTCTGGGCAACAAAGGAGAATTCCAGCCTCTTTAAAAAAAAAAAAAAAAGGAAGAAACTATTTGGGAGTTTTGTGAACAATGGATATGCAAAAAGACAGGCCATTGTTATGAGAGGCCTAATTGTGAGTACCTTCTAGAATTGTATATAAGCATGATTCTCTTCAATAGTAAAATCTCAGCCTCTTCATTTTAGAAATCTAATATAGGAAAAAGAACACATTTCTCCATAGTTGTAAAACATAGGTTCTCAGGGTGAATGCCCATCTTTGAGCAAGTTTGTCTTCCTAATGGTATAATACTGTAAGTCTGTTATCTAATTTTGGCTTGTTGTCACTTATTTTTCATAATCAAAGAAAAATGATTTAATTTTAAAAAGATGCTCTCCTTTCTGTTTTCTTCTCTTGGATGATAGTATCCCTATCTGTCTGAGTTTATAGAATCTTAATTTTTACCTGCTCTTACCACATACATCTGATTAGTCATTAAGTCTTACTGATTCTGCTTCAGAAATTTTGTTTTATGCTTCACTCTCATGCTACCAACTTATTTGGTAGCTTCAGCAGTTGTCTAAGCTGGGGTTGGCAAATTTTTTCTGTAAAGGACCAAATAGTAAACATTTTAGGCTTTATAGCCCATATAAAGTTTTTTTTTAATTTTTTTTTTTTTTAAAAAAGAAAGAAATGTAAGAACCCACACCTGTAATTGCAGCACTTTGGGAAGCCGAGGCAGGGTGGATCACGAGGTCAGGAGTTCAAGATCAGCCTGGCCAACATGGTGAAAACCCGTCTCTACTAAAGATAAATTAGCTGGGCGTGGTGGTGTGTGGGTATGTGCCTGTAATCCCAGCTACTCAGGAGGCTGGGGCAGGAGAATCGCTTGAACCCGGGAGGCAGAGGTTGCAGTGAACCGGGATCGCGCCACTGCACTCCAGCCTGAGCGACAGAGTGAGACTCTGTCTCAAAAAAAAAAAAAAAAAAAAAAAAGTAAGAATCATACTTAGCCTGGAGGCCATACAAAAATAGGTCACAAGCAGGCTGTGGGAAGGATATTGTAAGTGGGCCATACTTTGCTGACCTCTGGTCTAGGCTATTACAACAATTTCCTAATTGGAGTATTTGTCACCGGTATTTTACCCCGGTGTAAGATTGCCTCCATCTTACACATTACTGCCAGAATCATCTCTCTGAAATGTGACCATTTCACTTCCAGGTAAAATCTTTATGTGCTCCTTTTAGCTAAGTTTTCTTGCTTAAGGTATTCATGTATTACTTCGGGGATTTTTTTTTTTTTTGCCATTTCTTCATAACCATCTATATTATTTATTCAGTATTTTTATAGACTTTTTTTTCTTAAAGGAAAGTTTATACTGTGAATGGAAAATCAATATTGATTGCCATAACTAGAAAACCAACAAAAGGCAACAGTAAAAGGAAATATAGAACTATGAAATGCCTGTTTCATGTAGCACCCAATCATATATGTACTACATTTCAAAAAGTCACTGGCTTATAAAAATATTTTTTAGCATCTCATACAAGTCTCTTCATAATCTGTTATACAGCTCACCTTACTTGCACGATTGCTGAGCCAAAGCAGATCGAAAGTCATTTTGGTAAGAGGCTAGATGCTGACCTTGTATTCTGAAAATCTGATGATTCTACTGTTGTTGATGTGATTCCAAGTAAGCCTGTGTGAACTTCTGGGCTATTCTCAGGGAAGTGTTTATGACACATTGTTGAAGGTATCATCAGGGCAGTTGATCCAAGAAGACTCTAGGAGCTGGCTAAGCCACAAAGTCTGCCCAAAAAGCTCAGAATGACAAATGAATGTTTTGTACATTATCTCCACTATAATGCTAGAAAAAAGTCTTAAAAGCATTTGTCTCAATTGATCATTTATATGGAATAATACTGGTTAATCATCTTAAATCATCATAGTGTTGGGTAATGTCTGTAGAAGGATGCTTTAAACTCTACTTGGTGCTTCAGCTATGCTGACCATCTCACCATTGCCCCCTTTGCCATGCCCTGACATCCTCACATGTCTCTCTGCTTTTGCATACTCTTTTCCACCTGGTTTGAATGCCCTTCCTTTATCATGGGACATTATCCTTTCCATTTAATACCCATCTTGATAACCTGACTCTGACCCCCTAGGCAAGTTTAAAAAAAAAAAATTCATTGAAATGAAATTCACCCTTTTTGAAGTGTACAATTGCCTGGGCACAGTGGCTCACACCTATAATCCCTGCACTTTGGGAGACTGAGGTTGGGAGAGTCACTTGAGTCCAGGAGTTCGAGACCAGCCTGGGCAACATAGTGATACCCTGCCTCTACAAAAAAAATTGCAAAAATTAGCTGGATGTGGTGGTTGATGCCTGTAGTCCCAACTACTCAGGAGGCTGAGGTGGGAGAATCACTTGAGCCCGGGAGGTTGATGCTGCAGCAAGCTGAGATCAAGCCACTGCACTCCAGCCTGGACAATGGAGAGAGACCCTGTCTGGAAAAAAAAAAAAAAATCTTTTTTTTAAGTATACAATTTTGGGCCGGGCGTGGTGGTTCACGCCTGTAATCCCAGCACTTTGGGAGGCCGAGGCAGGTGAATCCCGAGGTCAGGAGATCAAGACCATCCTGGCTAACACGGTGAAACCCCGTCTCTACTAAAAATACAAAAAATCAGCTGGGCGCGGTGGCAGGCACCTGTAGTCCCAGCTACTTGGGAGGCTGAGGCAGGAGAATGGCTTGAACCTGGGAGGCGGAGCTTGCAGTGAGCTGAGATAGCGCCACAGCACTCAAGCCCGGGTGACAGAGCGAGATTCCATCTCAAAAAAAAAAAAAAAAAAGTATACAATTTTGCATATTCAGAGTTGTGTACTCATTACCACTGTCTAATTTTAAACATTTTCATCACTCCAAAAAGAAACCTCATAGCCATCAACAGTCACTCTCCCCTTTCCTCCTGCCCCCCCTCAGCCCCTGGCAACCACTGATCTACTTTCTGTCTCTATGGATTTGCACAGTTTAGATGTTTCATATAAGTGGAATCATACAATATGTGCTCTTTTGTGACTGCCTTCTTTTACTTTAATATTTTCAAGATTCATCCATGTTGTAGCATGTATCAGAACTTTATCCCTTTTTATAGCTGAATAATATTCTATTGTATTCATACAATATATAAGCGTTTGTGTGGACGTATGCATTCAGTTTTTTTAGATACATATCTAGGAGTGGAATTGAGTCATATGGTACCTCAGTGTTTAACTTTAGAGGAACTGCCAAATGATTTTCCAAAGTAGCTGCATTATTTTACATTGCTACCAGCAGTGAATGAGAGTTTGAATTTCTGTACATCTTCACCCAACACTTGATATTGTCTGTCTTTCTAGACAAATTTTGATAAATCCCTCCTTTTCTAAACCATAGCCAAGTCTATTACTGTTTAACAATGACCATCTTGGAGTATAAATTTTCTGTTCACACTTTGAACTTTAACTTCCGGGTCTTAGATGTCTTTATCTGGATATACAGAGAATCTAGGTTTTGTATGTAATTATTCAATGATAGTATTAAAACTAAGTCCGGACGCAGTGGATCACGCCTGTAATCCCAGCACTTTGGGAGGCCGAGGCGGGCGGATCACGAGGTCAGGAGATCGAGACCATCCTGGCTAACACAGTGAAATCCCGTCTCTACTAAAAATACAAAAACTTAGCTGGTCGTGGTGGCGGGCACCTGTAGTCCCAGCTACTCGGGAGGCTGAGGCAGGAGAATGGCGTGAACCTGGGAGGCGGAGCTTGCAGTGAGCTGAGATGGCGCCACTGCACTCCAGCCTGGGCGACAGAGTGAGACTCCATCTCAAAAAAACAAACAAAAAAAAACACTAATTACCAGTTTTTTTGTTTTTGTTTTTTTGGGACAGGGTCTCACTCTGTCGCCCAGGCTGAAGTGCAGTGACGCAGTCACAGCTCACTACAGCCTCAGCCTCCCTGGGCTCAAGTGATCCTTCCAGCTCAGCCTCCTGAGTAGCTGGAACTACAGGTGTGCACCACCATGCCAGACTAATTTTTGTATTTTTTTGTAGAAACACCATGTCTAGCTGATTTTTGTATTTTTTGTAGAGACAGGGTTTGTCATGTTGCCCAGGCTGATCTCAAGCTCCTGGACTCAAATGATCCACCTTGGCGTCCCAAAGTGTTAGGATTACAGGCATGAGCCACCTTATTAGGCCTAATTACCAGTTTTAATTATAGACCTACATGACTACGGTTTGAAGGAAAAAGACTTTATTTAATCCTAGTGATTGGAATTGGAATTCTCATTTGAGCCAGAAGATTTCTTGAGTGGTTTTGTTTTCTGTGATAACTTGGTTTATATAAGTAATCCACATTACTTGGGTGTTAGTGGTAAAGCAAGTCTTTGCCTTGTACAACAAAGATAATTTAGTGATTGATACATTCTGAATAATCTGGTGGTTATGACTTGACACATACAAAAAATGTTAGTGGTTGCAGTCCATCTGTTGCTCTGTAAAAAGATTTTTGTTATTGTTTGTTTGTTTTGAGACCAAGTCTCACTCTTATTGCCTAGGCTGGAATGCAGTGGCATGATCTCTGCTCACTGCAAACTCTGCCTCCTGGATTCAAGCAATTCTCCTGCCTCAGCCTCCTGAGTAGCTGGGATTACAGGCATGCACCATCATACCTGGCTAATTTTTGTTTTGTTTTGTTTTTTCTTTTTTTTTGAGATAAAGTCTCACTATGTCACCCAGCCTGGAGTGCAATGGTGAGATCTCAGCTCACTGCAACCTCCGCCCCCCAGGTTCAAGAGCTTCTCTTGCCTCAGTCTCCCGAGTAGCTGAGATTAAACAGTCATGTGCTACCATGCCCAGCTAAGTTTTGTATTTTTAGTAGAGATGGGGTTTCACCATTTTGGCCAGGCTGGTCTTGAGCTCCTGACCTGAAGTGATCCGCCTGCCTCGGCCTCCCAAAATGCTGGGATTACAGGCATGAGCCACCGTGCCTGGCCTAATTTTTGTATATTTTATAGAGACGGGGTTTCGCTATGTTGGCCAGGCTGGTCTCATAGAACTCCTGACCTCAGGTGATCCACCCACCTCGGCATCCCAAAGTGCTAGGATTACGGGCATAAGCCACTGTGCCCGGCCAAAAGTTTTTTTGAATCACCTATGGTTCATTTATTTCAGTTTAAGTGTATAATCCTCAAAGGAAATAATCCATTGGGATGTATTTATGAAGTTTAAGTCTGTAAAACAATGTGGAGGCCGGGCGTGGTGGCTCACGCCTGTAATCCCATCACATTAGGAGGCCGAGGTGGGCAGATCACTTGAGGTCAGGAGTTCGTGACCAGCCTGCCAACATGGCAAAACCCCATCTCTTCTAAAAATACAAAAATTAGCCGGGCATGCTTTGCGCGCCTGTAATTCCAGCTACTCAGGAGGCTGAGGCAGGAGAATCGCTTGAGCCCGGGAGGCAGAGGTTGCAGTGAGCCAAGATAATGCCACTGCACTCCAGCCTGGGTGACAGCATGAGACTCCATCTTAATAAATAAATAGCCAAGTGTGGTGGCACATGGCTATAGTCCCAGCTACTTGGGAGGGTGAGACAGGAGAATTGCTTGAACCCGGCAGGCAGAGGTTGCAGTAAACCGAAATCGCACCACTGCACTCCAACCTGGGCAAGACAGAGTGAGATTCTGTTTAAAAAAAAAAAAAAAAAAAGGAAAAATTCTGAAACAACCATGTAAGAATAAATGCATCCAAATGAACGTTGTTCATCTCAGAAGAGTCACCTTTGGAGGTGATGCACTTAGTTCCAACTTTGCTGCCTTTGAGCACAACATTTTAGGGAAATAATTTTTTGGAAGTGTTGTCAAAGTCTGAAATACATTCTTGTAGAATGTGGAAAATCTCATACTTGAAATTTTTTGATAAGCAAGACAAAATGTCACGTTTAGTAATACTGTTTTTTGTTTAAGATGAGGTTTTTCTGCTGGACATGGGGGCTCACACTTGTAGTCCCAGCACTTTGGGAGGCCAAGGCAGGTAGATTGCTTGAGCCCAGGAGCTCGAGACAAACCTAGGCAACATGATGAAACCCCATCACCTGTACAAAAAATTAGTAGAGTGTGGTGATGAGAGCCTGTAGTTTCAGCTGCTTGTGAGGCTGAGATCGGAGAATCACTTTAGCCTAGGAGGTCAAGGCTGCACTCCAGCCTGGGTGACAGTGAGACCCTGTCTTAAAAAAAGTTTTCTTATGTAACTTACAAACTAGCTCTTAGTGGTATTTGAAAGGAACAGCCCCAGAGTTGTTTTCAGTAACGATGGTATCATTGGAGTAAAAGTATAGCGATCCAACCTGACTACTTTGAAGAAATAATACAGAAAATGAGGTGTATCATGTGTGACATTTATGTTTAAATTTAAAATCAGTTTATAGTCAACTCATAGTTAATATACGAATATTTTTTACTAACTTCAAGTGATTCCTTGATCCTTTAAATAATTTTAATATGCTTTTTTGTTGTTTTTTGTTTTGAGATGGAGTCTTGCTCTGTTGCCCAGGCTGGAGTGCATTGGGGCAATCTTGGCTCCCTGCAACCTCCACCTACTGGGTTCAAGTGATTCTCCTGCCTCAGCCTCCCGAGTAGCTGGGATTACAGGTGTGCACCAACACACCCGGCTAATTTTTGTATTTTTAGTAGAGACAGGGTTTTGCTCTGTTGGCCAGGCTGGTCTCCAAGTCCTGACCTCAGGTAATCTGCCTGTCTTGGCTCCCAAAGTGCTTACAGGCGTGAGCCACCACACCCAGCCTATTTTAATATGTTTTAAAGAGACTTTAGCTTTTACAAGGTGTCTCTAAGCTCATACTTAATGACCTGCAGCTTTTTTTGTAGAATTTAAAGTCAAGGCAAGAGACTCATAATACTTTATCCAAGTATATTTTGTTAAAGCAAAAAAAATGTCATGTGATCTTGTGGAAAAGCCATACCATGAGGAAATTTTAGCTCCTATAAATAGGTGAAACTATTTTTAAACAATTGTTTGCTTTCTTAGATTATTTGTCATTGGTATAAGGAATACAGATGAGTATTTAATGTCTAAATAATATAACTCATAAATGGATGTGGTTGTATGCCAGTTACTCTTACACTACATAATATCTCAAATGTGATAATGGTTGCTGAGGCTTTGGATGGCAAATTAGGGCTTTCCCAGTGGTTATTGTGGTGTATGGCATCCTTGTCTTCCCTTACTTATGTTTTGTTTTTCTTCTTTCTCAATGGAAAGCCATTAAGTCTTAGTTAATTTTCTGTTGAGGCAAGCATTTGACATTCATTCGAATTCCCTCAGCCTTCCAGAAGCATTCAGTATGTTTCAACTGTGACTATGAGCAACAAAATAATACAAAGTGAAAAACTGCGTTTCCTGGTGTGAGTATTTCATTAGATTTATTGATCCTTGGCCTTATGGTATCCATGTGAAATGTTCAGACATCTAATTTTTTACTGCTAAATAATTTTTTTAGGGGATAAATAACAAACCTTGTAAATTATTTGAAGCATAACTGAAGATGTCAGATATATGAGAAATTATTTACTATTACTGTTTCAGTCATTTTCACTTCTAATCTTGTTAACTACCCAAGAATCTCTTGTACAAAGGATAGTAATCATTAAAATGGTTATATAGCACCCACAAAGTGCTTTAATATACATGTTTTAATCTATTCCTTAAAACACCTTCTGGAGTATATGTTCTTAACCATATTTTTTATCAGAGGACACATTTAATCACTTGCCCAAGGTAAAAACACACACCGTAGGTGATAAACTTTATGTCATGCTCTGCTGTTAAACCACCAATATAGTTAGAATTATTTTGATCAGACAAGAGCGAAGCAGTTTTCCTGTTTTTAGTGAGTGCGTATGTATGTTTAATTTCTGTGCTTTGATCTCATTCATAACTGTGTGTGTGTGTGTGTGTGTGTGTGTGTGTGTGTGACACAGGGTGTGGCTTTGTCACCCAGGCTAGAGTGCAGTGGCATGATCTCAGCTCACTGCAACATCCGCCTCCTGGGCTCAAGCCATCCTCCCACCTCAGCCTCCCAAGTAGCTGGGACTACAGGCACACGCCACCACACTTGGCTAATTTTTGTATTTTTTTGTAGAGACAGGGTTTGCCGGGCTCAGAGCTCAAGCAGTCTGCCCACCTCGGCTTCCCAGTGTGCTGGGATTACAGGCATGAGCCACTGCTCCTGGGCTCATTAATAACATATTCTCACTCATAGGTGGGAATTGAACAATGAGAACACATGGACACAGGAAGGGGAACATCACACTCTGGGGACTGTTGTGGGGTGGGGGGAGGGGGGAGGGATAGCATTGGGAGATATACCTAATGCTAGATGACGAGTTAGTGGGTGCAGCACACCAGCATGGCACATGTATACATATGTAACTAACCTACACATTGTGCACATGTACCCTAAAACTTAAAGTATAATAATAATAATTAAAAAATAATAAAAATAAAACATAGTTTTAAAAATACAAAAAAAATAAAAAATAAAATAACTTTCCAGAAATTTAGATTCAGAATCTCAGGTCAGGCTTTCTAGATAAGGATAAGTGGGTATGTTGAGCATGTGTCTCACCTGGCTCTTAAATATGTTTAACAAAGTTGGGGCTGTTGAACCAAACTGACATTTCTTAACAGTTGATCTTCTTAAAGACCTCACTTTGCACCACAGTTTTCTAAATGTGAAACATACTAATCTGCTTAACACATTATTAACACCTTAACATGACATTTGTTTCTACTTCTCTTCTAACTTCCCTTGAGCAATTTTCTATATTGAATTGTTCATGGGTATCAGAATTAACCTTTCTCTAGAATTGTTCCAAAGGTAACTCCACATTGCCCAGAACTAGTTTTTTTTGCTTTGTTTTTTTTTTTTTTTTTTTTTTTTGGAGTGGGAGACAGAGTCTTGCTCTTGTCACCCAGGCTGGAGTGCAGTGGCATGATCTCGGCTTACTGCAACCTCCGCCTCCCGGGTTCAAGCGATCCTCCTGCCTCAGTCTCCTGAGTAGCTAGGATAATAGGTGCCTGCCCAGCTAATTTTTATATTTTTAGTAGCGATAGGGTTTCACCATTTTGGCCAGGCTGGTCTTGAACTCCTGACCTCAAGTGATCCACCCACCTTGGCCTCCCAAATTATTGAGGTTACAGGTGTGAGCCATGGTGCCTGGCCCAGAACTAGTTTCTTATATGACTAGTAGTAGCCTAGCCAAATCCTCCCTCATTCTTAACTTTTCTTTGATCTTTCTTTTCTCAGGACTTTGAAGCTGTAACTTTGAAATAAATGAAAGAAACTTAGACTCTAGAATAAGACTCGCAGGTTTGACTTGGTCTGTCCTAAGTAGGTCATTGTTAGCCAACTAGTCACATCTTTGATCTATGTTAATTCATTCTTTTATTTATAAATTCAGATAAAGGTGGTCAAAAAAACAAACTTCTAGGGGCAAGTGAATGTCTCAGCTGAAATCAAAAGGATGAGTAGGGTTTGAGAGGGCAAGAAGAGGGAGAGAGGACATGCAGCATCTCTGAAAGCCTGGTGGCACGAAGCATGGTGACTAAGGGACAGAGGATATTTTGTTTGTTTGAACTATAAAATGTTAGAGAGCTGGAAAATTTTAAGATGATACTCTAAAGGGAAGCAAGGCCCTGATCATGCAGTAAACCATATTAAGAGTTTAGATTTTATTATGAGATATGAGAAATTATTGAAAGGGAAGGGTTGGTACACAGTTCATCTTGTGTCTTCTTATTTCTCTTGTTTTCTTACTCAGTCTAGATGCCCTAGACAAACATTTCAGTAGTTCTTTTCTTAGATCTCTTGGCTATTTCAAGGACAAGGCAGGTAATAAAATATGCTTGGTCTACAGTGTTAGTTAGCATTTTGGCATTTTTCTTTTTGTTACTTTTTAATACATGGTTCTATGTCCTATAATTTTTTCTTATTTTTCTAATATTTGCGTTTTCCACATTTCACACTTTAAAAAACTCTTCATAAATATTTTTATTGGCCAGATATTCTGGTCAGTGGGTCATTGTTTACTTAATTTCCTAATGGTGGATATTTATTGTTGTTTCAGTTTTTCTTGTTAGAAAGAATGCTGTGATTTACCTATAGGCAAAAGTTTAAATGCCTTAACTGTAGACAAAAGTTAAAATATCTTACTTTTTTAAAAATTTCATTGCCAAATTGCTTTCCCAAAGAATTGTGCCAATATGTGAACATGGCCATTTCATTCTACCTTCCCCATCGTTGGTTTTTTTTTTAATTGCTTGCTATTTTAATAGTGAAAAATGATGTCACATTTTTATTGCATTTCTCAATTACGTGGTTGGCCATATTCCCATATATTAATCATAGTATTTTGTATCTTGTAAACATTCTTTTTATGTCCTTTGCCCATTTATTCATTGAGAATTTTAAGATTTTTTTCTCATCCGTTTTATGAGCTCCTGATTAACAACCTCCTTTATAGCATCTTATTTGAATATTTTTATCAGGCTGGTTGTTTCAGCATAATGGGGATTTTGTATAGACCAATCTATTGATAATTTCTTTGTGATTGTTTTTTTTTCTAATTAAATAGCCTTCCACCTGAAGACTTACAAATATTTTTAAATTCTTCTGCTGGTTTTATGACTTCCTTGTTCATGTTTTCTTTCACTTTGTCAGTGTATCACATGAAGTGAGTGTTAAACTGAACTTTTTTCCAATTTCCTCATCTCATTTATTGAGTCTTTTCCTTTCCCCTTTGGTTTCTGATTTTTCTTTCCACAGCTAACAATGTTTGAGAATTTACTGTGTGCTAGGCACTGTTCTAAACACTTTATCTGTATTATCTCATTTTCTTCTCACAACAACCCTGTAAGGAAATAGAGGCACAGAAACCTAATTTGCTGAAGTGACACAGCTAGTAAGTAAAGCTTTGTCACATATTCAGTTCTTCTGTGTACCTGTGCTCTCATTGTGCTGTTGTTTCTATATTGTGGTTATCTTTCTGTTTTTATGCCACTATCATTCTGTAATTATTATGGCTGATACATGTTTCTCTCTCAAGAAAAGCTAATATCGGCCGGGCACGGTGGCTCACGCCTGTAATCCCAGCACTTTGGGAGGCCGAGGCAAGCAGATCACCTGAGGTCAGGAGTTCAAGACCAGCCTGGCCAACATGGTGAAACCTGATCTCTACTAAAAATACAAAAATTAGCTGGGCATGGTGGCACATACCTGTAGTCTTAACTACTCAGGAGGCTGAAGCAGAAGAATCGCTTGAACCCAGGAGGTGGAGGATGCAGTGAGCCAAGATCGCACCACTGCATTCTAGCCTGAGTGACAGAGCAAGACTCTGTATGAAATAAATAAATAAATAAATAAATAAATAAATAAATAAGTTAATGTAACTGTAGTATTTACTTCTTTTTCTATTCTTGCTTGTTTCTAAGTGAACTTAAGGTTCCAAAACATTTCTCATTGGAATATTTTTCAGAATTGCCTTAATCTGTAAACTATACTGGAAATAATTGCAACGTAATAGTATCCCACCAAAGTCCTCTGTACCTTAGTGTTTGATATGTTCCAGGTGCTGACTAAATATTTGTTGAGTGAAAGAATGAATGAATGAATGGAGAGACCTTAGTTTGTCATCTGCATCAAGTCTTAATTTATACTTCTCATTAATATTTTTCAGATTTTCCCCATTTGATGCTGCATATTTCATGTTAATGTTACTTCTTGACATTGTATATTTTTCCCATAATTTTCTAATTATTTGTTGCCAATATCTGTTATTTCTGTTTTTTTGTTTTGGAATTTCCCAAATATTGTTAAAAAAGATTGGCAATAGTGGGCATCCTTGTTTCGATTGTGATTTTAATAGAAATATGTTATTCTTCACCAGCAAGATGTTGGGTGGTAGTGTGTAATACATTCTTTTATCTAGTTCTTAAAATATATTTTATAAGGAAAAATTTTATGAAAGATTTTAGGTTAACTCTTGACTGACATTTTTGGTATTAAAGGAATTTGCTGTTGTTTGATAGCATCATTATGGAAGATATTGAATAGCACATATTTGTGATCTTTTAAGTTAGCTATAGAAGCCATCTTCTCATTCTGCTGTGGTAAGTGAATGTCTTTCTGACTTTCTTCTGGGTCCCTATTTCACTGATATCTAAACCTGATTTCTAGCAGGGAAGAGACTAAAGCAAGCACATCCTTTCATTCCCTTGCTCTCAGTGTGTAGAGCTGAAATGTTTCCATATATGGGAATTTCTCATAGCATTGGGTTTGGACATACAGATGTGATAATAATCCTCACAACAACAACATTACTGCATCTAGGAATGTGGGTGGGCCAAGACACTGTGAAGGGTTTATGTGAATTATGTCATTTAATCTTCAGAAAAAAACCACTGTAAGTTCTGCCAGCCCATTTTATAGATGAGGAAACTGTGACTTAGAGCAGTGAAATAACTTGTCTATGGTCATACAGCTGAGAAGTGGCAGAGGCAAGTTGCTTGTAAAGTAGAGCCAAGCCTTAGAGATGGATGGGTGAAGATAGATATAGATGTATGTGTATATAGGTATGTGTATATCTGTACACATATGCATACATATTTGATGTGCTTGAGAGATAGATGCTAAGGACTAATGCATTTTGAAATTTTTCTGGAGCCAGGAATATAGTAATACTTAGTGGCAAATAATGAGCCTTTTTCCATTAATAATAAGAATATAATTTCTTTGGAAGGAAATACTATCTAATTATAGTTTCCCTCAGTATATCTGGGGGATTGGTTAGCAGACCCCTGTGTATACCAAAATTTGCGCATATTCAAATCCCAAAATCGGCCCTGTGGAACGTGCTTCCTTGTGGAACCTATTTATACAGTATGTGGGTTTCACATCCCACAAATACTGTGCTTTCAATCTATGTATAAGTGTGCCCATGCCATTCAAACCCATGTTGTTCAAGGGTCAACTTTACTTTAAGGCTAGATAATTCTTCTGTCTAAGAACTTAGAGTCTGAGTAGTTGACGTATATTGTACTTGTAAGTTTACCAAGTTTGACTCTGCATTTTGCAGACATGTCTGTAGGATTGACATAATCCATAGGTGCTCCTAATGCAGTAGTCTATAATTTGACTTTCTTATTACTTTTCCCCTTAAAAATTCTAAGACAGCATTGAGTTTTTGGTATCCTCAGAGGAAAAGACAGTTACCTCTAAGATACCTACTTTCAGGGCAGGCGTGGTGGCTCATGCCTGTAATCCTAGCACTTTGGGAGGCCAAAGCAGGCGAATCACCTGAGGTCAGGAGTTTGAGACCAGCCTGGCCAACATGATGAAGCCCCGTCTCTACTGAAAATACAAAAATTAGTCGAGCGTGGTGGCAGGCGCCTGTAATCCCAGCTACTTGGGAGGCTGAGGTGAGAGAATTGCTTGAACCTGGGAGGGGGAGATTGCAGTCAGCCGAGATCACGCCATTGCACTCCAGCCTGGGGGATAAGAGCGAGACTTCGTCTCAAAAAAAAAAAAAAAAAAAAAAAAAAAAAAAAAGAAACCTACTTTCTGTGAAAGTCGGTGTATATGTTTTTTTAAATAAGACACAAGTATGTGGTAGAGTAGGGATTATCTAAGCAATTAGTCCCTATCATGGATGGTGAAGGTACTAATCAGTGTTTGGGAGGGAGTGGAGATAGCTTCCGTATATAGAGAGGTAATGCATTTTAAAATCATTTAGGGGACTTTTTCAAATAATCCTGTTTCTTCATGGTGAGATTCCCTGACACAGTGAGCCAATCAGGTTTGCTAAGGCAGAAAATGTTCGAGAGCCACTGTACTAGACAGCATGAAAGATGACTGTTTTGTTGAAGCTTAATGGTAATTTTTCCATAATCCTGGTCCTTAAAAAGCAAAAAAAAGAACACATTAGAGTGTTGTTACTTTTCTCTCTCTCAATAGAAATGTTCCTAAACCAGCAAAGGAGGCTATCTGAATTTTTAAAAGTTTTTACGAAGGAACATAAAAATTCCTTTCTCTATCTTTTCCCACCTCTAGAAATGCTTGAAATGAGATTCTGCCTTACGTCTCACAAATTAAATACCACATTTGTGTCTCACCCATCTCAGTTATGCTGTCTTGCATTTTAATCAATCCTGTTTCAGGACTTCTTTTGCTGCCTTGTGGCTGTTTCTTATGTTTGTCACTAATTCATAAGTTGGCTAACTTTTATATTTGTAGAGAATTTCTCAGTGATTTTCTTCTAGTTGGAGTTCCAGTGTGGTTTGATTTGGAGTGTCAAGATCTCTGTCCCATGCCTAGCCTTAGTCCTCAGTCTGTTTTACTGGGTTCACCACCTGGTTGTAGTACCAAATGCCCTTTTCCCTTTCCCTCTCTCCTTCCTCACTTCCTCAGTACTGCCCAAGTTCGTCAGACCCAATGATTTTATTCTTAAGCTAATCTTATTTTTAATTTAGGTAATTCTGATTTCTGATTTGTAAAAGATAAATTTTCTTCTCCTTCATGTAGTAGGATTTTAATTTTGTAAATATTTAAATTCTCCATTAATGGTGTGTTAAATCTGCACTAAAACTGCTTCTTTACATGTTTTTAAATTTTTTCATTATGTTTTTAACACTTTTCTTACATGCAAAAAACACAACCGTTAAACTTTTCTTATTAAAATGCAAAGCCTAGTGTCTTCTAGCTTTTTG
Organism: Homo sapiens; assembly: GCF_000001405.40. NCBI lineage: Eukaryota > Metazoa > Chordata > Mammalia > Primates > Hominidae > Homo > Homo sapiens. The sequence goes on from NC_000017.11 coordinate 31,294,369, forward strand.
AAGAGCTTTTGTCCATTATATAATCTGTCAAGTAGCCAAGAGTTCCTCAGAAGCAGGACATCATTTAGATTTAAAACAATTATGGCTTGTCTGTAAAATAATGTTGTAGCATAACCATTCATGGGATGGCAGCTACGATTTTACTTCAGTAAAATATCCTTGGATACTACCGCCATTTTATTTACCTTAAAGATTTTACCAAGGTACCCTAGAACAAAAATGGTGAGGTCATTTTGATTCTGCTAAAGTTGGTATGACTGGAAAGCCAAATGACACAGTTATGAGCATAGACCTTTTATTTTCCAGATGTTTGACAGTGTAAACATACATAAAATACATATTAAAGTTTAGATGCTTTATATTTTGTGCAATAAATTGAAGCCTTAAAACATTTCATTTTTTTTATAAAAGAAACTCATTAGTTTACTTAATTAAGACAGTAAAATAGCAGCAAGTACCAAGACATTGTGCATTTCTTTTATTTAAGACAAGTTACTTCATTTACATCAGAGTTAGAAATGTTAAGACTGGCTTTCTTGAATACTTAAATATAGCTCGAATCACTGGTTAGATATGGACATATTTTCCCAACTGTACATCAGGGAGGAGTGCTTTCATTAGTTTCAGAAAATGCAGACCCTCAGACAGCCAGCATGACCACAACATTGAGCAATAAGAGAAATGAAGCATTTACTTTCCAAGCATTTGCCACAGAAGGTAATGGAGTCTTTACATTTGTGGTTGTCTCTTCCCTCCATAAGTTAAGGGTTGTGCTTTGTTGAGGCATTTCAGAGAAATTATTTGGCATGCCACTAGTGATACTTAGGGTCATGGGTGTTGGGGATGATTTTGTTGAGCTAGTGAGGCTTGTGTTTGTGACCATTCCATCTTGGAGATGAATAGTTAGAGTTGCAGCTGCTGCTTCATGTGAATTGATAGTCTCTGTGGATGTATCTTCTGGATAGGGCACAAAAGCCTTATCAGTGCTAGTAAAGGTGGTGTCTTTGCTTAGAGTGGCACCAAACGTTGTTTCCTTTGTTCGATATTGTTTGGGTATTTTGGTCACTTTGGGTTGAGTTACCACACTCAGAGAGTTAATGGTGTCCACTGTCTGCATCCCACTTACAGTGAATAAGCTTGAGGTAAATCCAGAAGGTGTGGGATACATGTTATGTTCCTTTAAAGATGATATTTGGGTAGAACATGGAGTCCCTATCACATGGGCTTTTGTTTCCATCATCCACTTCAGTAAGTAAGTAATGTTTTGTTTGTGGTCACATGACCACCTGTTATTGTAAAGGGTTATCTCTTGCAACTGAAAGAGTTGGTCAAAAGATTGGTCTGGAATGAATGTGAACTTATTGTTGTGCAGGTAAAGATGTGTGAGATTTGTCAGGTTTATTAATGTACCTGGAAGAATTTGTGTCAAAGAATTATTAGACAGGTCCACGATATGTAGTTTGGAGGGCATGTTGGTTGGAACTGTCCAAAGTTTGTTACTACTGAGGTTGAGAACCTCGAGACTTCTTAGTGTATTTTTAATGAGGACAACCTTTTCCAGCATGTTCTTAGAAACATCCAGATATTTAAGATTCCACTGATAAGCAGTATCAGATTTGTCAAGAAGTTTAATGTTGTTGTTAGCAGCAGACATGTTCCACAGAGACCGAGGTAAGTGAGCAGGCAGGCTTTCAAGCCTGTTGTTTGAAATGTCCAGGGTCCTCAGATTGGTATATTGGGTTAACTGGTTATGCAGATCAGTAAAGTGGTTATAAGACAGGTTTAAATGTATAATATTCTCTTGCAGTCCAGATGGTAATGTAGACAAGTTTCTGCCTGAACAGTCCACATGCCTGTGCCTCTCTGTGCATATACATTGGAGAGGACAAATGCATAAAATACCAGGTGTGAGAAACAGAAGGATGAACAGGCAGAGAGACATTTTCAATATCTGATATTCCATCAAAGCCTAGAAACAAACAGATACACCCTTCTTTTAATATGCAAATACAGTTTAGGCATCTGCATGGGTCAGTTAGCATTAGGCAAAATTTTCAATAAACCTCGTTGTTGTCGAGTCCTTTTATAATTGTTCCAGTGATTAAACTAACAAAGCTCCCCTTCATTTATAGTCCAAATGCTTAATCCTTCAATTGGGCTATGTGGTAGAGAGAGACTCTCTCCCTACTCTCTCCTGCATTTTCTCCTTTATTTTCTCTCTCCCTCCCCCCTTTTCTAACCATATTCTTTCTTATTTATCTTTCTAGAGCCTTAATATGATAAAATAGCATTCTTTGCAAATAAATAGTTGCAGTTGTAGGCTATTACTATTTTTGATGATATGCTTTCTTACTCAGATGAGAAAAAATGGCTGTCGTGTCTTTTTTTTTTAATCTCTGCAGTAATGTAATTCAATGTGTGTATATAGGGTAGATTTTATTTAGATATTAAAGCAGTTCTTCGAAATTTTATCTGTATGTTTTTAGGATAAATATATCTTTGTAAAAAGCACTTGAAAAATCCAGACCAACACAGTACCTATAAACCTCACATTTTATAAAGTGATTTTTTTCTGTATATTTCAGTGCCCATTTTAAAGGAAAACAATATGTATATTTACAGAGTGACTGAATGTATAAAAAATATCCCTCAACTGACACTGCAGCAAATTTCTGGTGCATGCACTTGCTATTGAATATATATTTAATCCTAACGTTGACTTTTTCTTAAAAGAAAAAGGAAAAAGATTCCAAAGTCAGCCTTTTACTGATTTAAATAACATCTTACCGTGGTGTCGTCTTCAACATCAGCATCTCATTTTCTCTGGGAAACTTAAAGGTCGTCTTGTTCTGTAGAGTCGGAACTGTTTCTGGCTGTGGGCTGTGCTTGCCTGCTCAGCTGCATTGTGTTGCTGTGAGCTGAAGCTCTGCAACCACCTGATCAGTACCACATAGGAGGACTGCAGAGCTGTCGCTGGTGCTGACTCAAATTTATGGCAAGAGGTGCACACGCAACAAAATGGACAATTTTTTAAAAAATTTGTGGCATCAAGCGTACCTATATATCTGATTTGCTATAGGATGGGATACCTTATGCATGAGAGTTGGCCCTTACTCCTTTCTATGTATTTGTCTGAGATTGGGTTCCATATTTTAACATTTGCCTCATTAAGAATCTGTGAATTTTTAAAATACCTCTACTCTTTATCCTTTTTACATGTTGAAAATAAATTTGACCTTCCTCATGGATAGTTTTCTATGATATTAGTCCCACTATTTTTTAACTCCTGCCTTTTTATATTCCTTTCTAAAATTGTATAATTTTCATGTCACTTTTTTAATATTATAAAAAATCTGTTTTATGACTTTTATGTCTTCCCCCAACATGGTGATTATTATGTTTAATCAGCTTTTCAAATTTATCAACCACTTAAGTGTTCCGTCTTCCCTTTTAGGATGTATAGAAGTACTGAAATACGATTATTTTTTCTTTATCTTTCTGATACAATGATCATTTGACCAAGGCTACACACAAGCCAGGATACATTTGGAAATTAGCATCTTATACTTCAGATTATCAGTTCCTATGTAAAATAAACATGTTTTATTTTATATATTTGGAGTTAAAGTTTTTTTTCTTTATGCAACCTTGGGTGGTAAGTGGATATGAGTATTGTTTTTTCCAAAGACATTTTTGGTGCTGTATGAATGACCATTTATTTGATTTTATGTTTTAAGAATAGCAGTATCAATTTAGGTGATTTCAGAGTGTTGCACATTTCATCTTTCTGGGAAAGTAGTTTATAGTTTTAAAATTACATGAAATGATATAAAAGGAAAATTTTTCATCATGAGTTTTATAAAGTGAGATCAGATTTATGATAAATTTTGCTCCACTCTTCAGTGGACTGCTTGTGTAAATCTGTTAAAACACAAATCTGATTTCCAGAATGGCAAGTTTAAAGAAAGCAAATAAAGTTACGGTATTTTCGTTACCAAGTGGCACCATTTAAAAACGAGTAATATTTAGCATGTTATGTGTAAGGAAAGTCTCTTTATGCCTTGTTACTAAATCGTTTGTTTTTCTCTAAATTATATTAGCATTATTTAGATTATACCACAAATAGAATTTGTTGTATTAAAATTTGAAGTTTATTTTCTTACAAGAGAAACTATACTCTAGGAGCCACCTTTTGTATAAAACTAATGTTCCTCGAAAAGTATCTGCATTTTAAGAGTCCGCAACATAGAAGTTTATTGTTGATTGGGTGCTTTATTGCCACTTTACTTTGAGGGTTCAGTTGAACTCTCAATTGGATTCTTACTGTGGATTTAGGAAACCAGCCATCAATCATAGTGCTTAAAATAATGTGTTAAAAATACTACATTCAGCAATATTGTGGAAATAGGGAATGCATTGACATTTAGAGTTCTATTTAAGCTCATATATACACTGCTGCACTTCTAAAGATGTGACTGAGGGTCAATTTACCGACCACTTAAATCTCTTAATTTTAGGAAACCTCATTAAGTCAGTGTAGAAGTAGAGTTATGCATTTTCATTACACTTAACAGTACTTTTGTTTGAAAGAAAAGACATGTTACTTCATTAATGGATTCAAATGAATTTGGGTTTAGGCTGTATCAAGTTTAGTTTCTGTTGTATATAATAGAAAATTCCAGTGCAATAGTAGTGGCAATGTTTCTCATTTCAAGTTTGGGACATACCAAATTGCTTCATATTATTCAAAGATTATTGTAAAATTCTCAAAAAGAAAAAGGGAGATCATTTCAATATATTTGAATTCTAACAATCTCTTACACTGGGTGCAGCACACCAGCATGGCACATGTATACATATGTAACTAACCTGCACGTTGTGCACATGTACCCTAAAACTTAAAGTATAATAAAAATAAATAAATAAATAAAAGAAATTCTCATGAAATAAAATAATACTGTATTACTGTTACTCAAAAAAAATATTTTTTAGAGGCATAAGTATGTGTTACAACTTATTTTAAATATTATTCAGACTCATTACATTTTCTATTAGGCTGTCTAGGTCAGTAATGATAGTTAGGCAACTTTTACATTCTAGATTAAGCAGTAAATTAATTTACGTATTCTTTTGTGTCCTAGGATATATTACCCCAACATTGTGAAAGGTATCACAAAGCATCTGCCAAGGAATAGCTATCCCACGCTAATCAGTGGTTTCAGTTTTCCATTATTATAGGTAACATTTGCTATGCTTGAGAGTCAGATATTGTTTATTTTTGGTAATATGGTTGGCTATTTAGACTGATTTTCCTGCTGAATACAACTGAGAGTACTCAATAAAGTACTTTAAAAGCATGAAAGAAATAACAACATAGAAATTACCAAGTCAAAATCCAAATGAATCAGTTTCTTTGCCCACCTCCCTACTCCTTTTTTTCTTTATGCCACTGGCTTGTTGCCAAAACTCAGTCAATTATTTCCTAAAATGTCTCTCATCTTGGAGTTTTCTCTTTGACTCTTTGGGAAGATTTAATTTGTTCTTCTGTCCCCCATATTTTCTATAAGTGATTCCTCATATCATTGACATAATTGCTCATTTGCATCATCTCACAATAATTTCAAAATAATACCAGTATTGATTGCTACAATTAGATTATAGACTACCGAATAAAGTTTAAAATTTGTTTGTAGCTCTGCTTGCTTTATTTTACTAAAAGTGTATAGTAAATTCTGTGTTCTAATGCAATGTGAAATAATTCTTTTCTGTGTATTTTTATATCACCAACTTGATATAAACTTTGTTTCAGTTTTCAGCTTTTCAGGATCACAAGTCAAAATTATATATATAACAATGTATATTCAGATAAATCTTGCTTCTCTGTCTTTTCCATCCTATTTCCTTCCTTCTGCTATTAGTAACTGTTTTTATTAGTTTTTCGTTGTATCATTAACATTTCTTTTTGAAAACCTAAAAAAAATGTAAGCATATGTATGGTATGTTCTTATCCCCCCTTCTAATATAAAAGGTGACATATATACATACTGTTAGATAACTTGTTCTTCTTTTCTTACTGTATCTTGAGTATCACTCCATATCAGTATATAGGTATCTGTATGATTCACTGTTTGATCCATAGTACTCCATTTGGGAATGTACCATGGCTTATTCAACCAGTCCCCTATTGGTGGACATCTGGGTTTTTCAGACTTTTGCTGTTACGAATAATGCCACAGTGAATACCCTTGTACCTAAATAATTTTATATGTTTGCCAGTAAATCTTTGAAAAAGATTCCTAGAAGTAGGATTGCTGGGTAAAAGGGTAAATGCATTTGGAATTTTTCCAGACATTACTAAATTCCTCTCCATTGATTATACCATTTTGCAGTCCCACCAACAGTGTATCATGGTGTCGAGTTCTATACAGCCTCACTGTATACTTTGTTGTTGAACTTTGGGATTTATTGTCCATCTGATAGGCAAGTATCTCCATCTAATTTTAAATGCATCTCTGTAATTATGAGGGGGAGTATATGTCTTTACATATGTTTAAAGACCATTTAAATGTTTTCTCCTGTAACTGTCTTTTTAATGTTTTGCACTATTAAAAGTTGTGTTTTGGGTCTTCCCCTTCCTGCCCCATATTAGGAGCATTTTAAATTTTAGAGGTATTAGCACTTTGTCTTGATTTAAGTTTTAATTTTTTTTTCCAGTTTGCCATTTGTCTTTTGGCTTTATTATGGTGAGGTGTGTGTGTCTGTGTGTAATGCGCACTTGCATGTGTGTGATATTTAAAAGTTTCATATAATTTGATTTCCCTTTTTATTGCCTCTGGATTTTGAGTCTCAGCTAGGAAGGTTTTTTCCCGCTTCCAGATTATAAAGGAATTTACTCATATTTTCTTCTATTACTTGTATAATTTCATGGTTTATATTTAGAACTCTGGTCCTTGGTGTTCCAATATAGTGTGAAGTATGGATCAAATTTTTTCTTTTTTCCAGATGTCTATCCAATTGTTCCAATGCTTGTTTCCACTGATTTGATATTTATTTCTGGACTTTTTCTTCTGTTCCATTGATCTGTTTGTTTAGTCATATACCGGTACCACAGTGTTTTAGTTATAGGTTCCCAAAGGTGCTACTTTACTTTTTGATCAGAATTCAGTAAGAACAACAGTTAAAGATCACCCTCATCTAATTCATTTGTGTCCCTCACCACTGACACCAAATAGAAGACTTATGTGATATATGTATGTTTCAGTGCATGATGTAGGTGCTCTTTGGTCCTATATTAGTGAAAAGAGTGTTGAACCAATAGTCAGGGAGCAAACTCAGCTTTTAATACCACTTCTAAGCACATCACTTACTTTCTCTGGTCCTGTTTTCTCAGTAGTTAACAAACAAAAGGAGTTGAACCAAATGGTCTTCAGGGTTGTGTCTGACTCTGGTTAATGCTATTTTGGTTAAGAGCACCACTAGTATGTGGTGTGAACTTTAATCTACCTTTTATTCCCCTGTGCCTTATTCTTTTGCAGTATTCATGAAATAAACTTTCTCTTCTGGATCTTAGTTCTTTAATCTTTTCTCTAAAAGATTTTTCTTTGTTCCAGCATTTTCTTCTGTCCTGCATTTATTAGTTTGTATCTCTTCCTGCTGATTAAGCAAGGATTGCCACTGTTTGGCTGCTCAGCTTCCACTGACCTCACTGGGGAAAATTACATGCAGTTAAATGTGAATTATTCTTCCCCCAGCAAAGAATTTCTTTAAAAAAAATAAAAGGAAAAAAGACAACATAAAAACCCGGCTGCTGCCAGTAGTCTGTCCTGTTATACAAAGAACAGAAAGAGAAAACCTCCCTTTAAAAGTACTTAAAGATATCAGACAACACTGTGGTCAGCTAATCAGCTCCCGTTTAATCTAAGAAAATTGGTATTTCCCTATTTTTCCCTGTATTTCTTTCAGGAAAGAAGGTGGTAAAAAGGGGCAAAAATGTGGAACGAGCCCATTAAGTAACTGTCACAAATGTAAAATGAGAACAGTTATGATGATTTAAGGCATGTCAAAGACTTGGCCAAGTATAAAAACATATCTTATTTACCATAACAAAAATTCGTAAAATTAAAAAGAATAATAGGAAATTCTCAACTCCAGATTGCTGCTGGGGAAATTAGCTTTAAAAGTACTAAGTTTGGGCCGGGCACGGTGGCTCACGGCTGTAATCCCAGCACTTTGAGAGGCCGAGGCAGGTGGATCATGAGGTCAGGAGTTCAAGACCAGCCTGGCCAATATGGTGAAACCCCATCTCTACTAAAAAAAAAATACCAAAATTAGCCAGGCGTGGTGGTGCACGCCTGTAGTCCCAGCTACTCAGTAGGCTGAGGCAGGAGAACCCCTTTAACGTGGGAGGCGGAGGTTGCAGTGAGCCAAGATCATGCCACTGCACTCCAGCGTGGGCGACAGAGTGAGACTCTGTCTCGAACAAAAGTACTAACTTTGAAGAATACATGAAAGAAAATTTTTAATGAGGAAGACAAAAGATGTAATATGACAATAAGTATCATGCTTATTCAGGAAAAGTAAGAAGCTCAAGGAAGTGTTTCTATAGATTAAAAAATTAATGGTCAGTAAAGATGGCTTGAAAGATTTTAGGAAAAACATTGTATGTAAAATTCCTGTGTCCAAAACCCTACTGGTTCTTATTAAATATGGAGCTTTGTTAATGTCATGAATGCCAGTGCTATGAATAAATGCTATGTTCTACTCTGAAAATCCCAGAACTATGAGTGGTTCTCCAAGACTGGGCTACCATTTTATTCTAAGTGCTTGTTTCCCCCTGGAGTTAGATGGGACTAATGAGGAAGAATATGTGCTTGTTGGGCAAAGGAGCACTTCTGCAGACAAAGGCTGGCATCCCCAAAAGTATAGGCTGATGACCACTCTTGACTTTGACAAAGATTGGGCCCATTCCTACTCTAATAACTCAGACTTACCAATTGTCAGATAATGGATAAAGATGAAATTCTGTGTAAGAAAGGTGACTTAAGAGTGGATAGCATCAGAAAGTATAAGTTTAGTAAAAAGTTGAGAATCATCTGTGTTTTGATAGTCTCTTTTCCTGAAAAAAAAATCACCCAAAGTCACCCGTATTTAGAATGAAGCCATAGTCTTCTTTTCCTTTTTTTTGCTTTATAAAACTTGATTTTGTTTGGGTGTTTATAAAGAAGAAACTTGTAAAGATGCCAGTTTTAAAATTTGTGCCCCCCCAACATGGTAGGAAAATATTTACATTTTATGATGCATCCTCATATTTTTTTCAGGGTAAATGTTCCTAACCCAACCCTTCAGTTGATGTTTTAACATGTTTGTTTTACTCTTTGCAATGAAACCAAGAAGAAAATTTCTCTATTCTCAAACATGCATTTTAATCTCCCATTCCCACAAACTTGGAATATTTATTTAATACTTGAGGTATTAATTTAAAACTTGAAGCATATACTTAGTCTCTTATTCCTCTCCACCCTGGTCTTTGAAATGGAAACATAAAAGTTTATTCACCATAATTTTATACACAGCTTTTCAGGGGAAAAAAAACTGTACTGGGTAATAAGTATATGTAGATTGTTTCAGAGTTCTTAAATTATTGAAACATACCATTTACATATGTAAAATGTACTATACTTTAAAGATAGGTACTATAATTAGTAAATAGATTACTGTTAAATAACTTTTTTTAAAAAAAAGTTTCATCTATGCACATAGGCTCTGAGCAGATTTCAGATAGTTCCTGAATAAAAATCAAAATTGACTATCAGTTGCCATTTTATATATGTTAACATATAAAGAAAAAAGAGTCATTTGAGGATGGAAGATCAGCTAAAAAGCAAGTTGTAATATTTATAACAGTTCTGCAGGTGGAGGTGGCAGGGATTCATTAAGATCTTGATCAGAGTTGGGAGGAATAGAGAACTCCTGACACTGGATCTCAAGGTTGGAATCTTCTTGGTTTTTCATAAAATCTACTGGTGGCAGGGGCAAGTTAAGTGAGTCAAGCGGTGGAAATGATTGTATTATCTCAGATTTATGATCTCCACAGTCTTGATTGAGACAGTCCAGAGATGGAGGGAGACTAGTAGAATCATTTGGAAGAGGAGATACAATTGTCATTGTGGGTTTGTCAGATTGGTTACTTTCCTGTCCTTCCAAATCCAGAAGGGGAGGTGGTGGAGGCAGATCTGCATCATCTGAAGAAGAAACAGCAGTTCCAACTGTTGAACCATCAGCACTATCTTCTGATGTACCATTTACTTGATCTTTTATTTTCTCTGTTTTGGGGTTGTTGGAGTCTTCAATGTTTTCACTTGATTCAAACAACTTAATTTCTAAGTCATCTGCTAAAAGTGTGCTTTTGCTTGGTTTCCAGGGTGTAAGTGAAATGATTGATGTACGTTTTGTGGATATTTCATTTTCTCTGATGTTATCCATACAAATGTCAGGGGTTTCTCCATCAGCAAATGGAGATCTACCTGCCCAATTTTGATCATTTAAAACTGGTTTCCTTAAGCATTTCCAAAGTACAATGATGATTATAGCTACCAACATAGAAGTCAGAAGTACACCAATTAGTATGGCAGCTATTGAATTATAATTGTTTTTTTGTGGGGTTTGTTTGTTACTGGTAGTATCTAAGATAAATCCTGGTGTACTCCTAGGTGAATTTTTGACAGTTGATGTTGGTTGTGTGGATGGATTATGAACAGTTATTTGTTTTCTAGAAGGGATCTGGACAGATGATGATTGTTGAGTAAAAGTATAGACAAATGACTTTGGTGGTTGTGTGGTAGAAGTACGGGCAGATGGTAGTTGTCTGGCAGAGGTGAACACGGCTTGCTGGGAGGAGGTGTTGGCTATTGGTGTTGGTTGTTTGGTGTTGTAGGCAAGTGGTTGTCCAGCAGAAGTATGTGCTTCTGGTTTTTCAGAAGAGGTATAGACAGCTGGTGTTGGTTGTCCAGCAGTGACTTTGGCAGGTGATATTGATTGTCCAGAAAAAGTGTCGCTGAATTGTGTTGGTTGACCCAAAGGATTCCCTGTTGTGTTTTGAGAATTAGCCAATACCTGTGACATTGATGATGTGAATAAGGTAGGCTGTGACTGCTTCTCTGTTGTAATTGTCTCTGTCTTTGAAAAAAATGTATTGTTCAGGTGTCCACAAAACAAAATTAAGATGAAATATTTGGGATCCATTTCAGAATATTTCCTCGTTATCTATAGCGGGTTTATAATGAAAGAGAAAGACAGTTAGGCGTCATTGGTGTCTAGTTAAAAATTTGACTTTTCATTATGATTCCTGGCATAAAGTAGGTAGACATTATTCCTAATTAGTAGTAGTTGATTAGTAGTTATTATTCCTAATTTAGACTTGATACACTGTAGGTTTGGTGTAACAACTCTTGGATATACTCTAACCCATCATACAGCATTTGGACCTCATAAGCAGTGATCTCTCTTCTTTTATTAATACAAGTTCTGTACTTGGCTCTGCTGCCCCTCTAGCTTCATTATATTTCAGTACTTCACTTAGTCATACTTCTCAAAACGCATAGGCTCTATATGCTGGATCCATGTGTTCTCTACCTTTTTTCACCATTTTCTACTAGAAATATATTGATTCTCCTGCCTTGAAGAACACCAGTGATCATCTGTTACCTAATCTAATTGTTCTTTATTTCTTCTCTCCCCTCCCCTCCTTGACCACATTAGACACTACTGTTCCTTCACTAATATTCAAGTAGCTTTTTGTAATCAGTCTTCCTTTCATGTTACTCTCACTAGCTCTTTTTCTTCTGCCTCCTAAATATGGTTAATTGATATTCTGTCCTCACCCTTACCTACTTTTCTTTGTTCCTGATTCTGTAAGATTTTAGTTCTCAGCTTTATGCCACAATTCCTAAACCTGTACCTCCAGCCTACATCTTCTTTGTCCTAATTCTATTTGTGTGACTTCTTGGTGGATTTTTCCATATTTTATATATATAGATAGATAGACATAGATATAGATATAAATATCTCCCACTATCAGCAAATTCAACATATTTAAAATGGAGTTCATCTTTACCCTCACAACTGACAACTGACTCTTCTCCCAACTTCTCTGTATCTGTTAATGGTACCACTAAGTTTCTTAGGCACAGAGTCTATTAGTAATCTTTGAAGCATCCTTAGTGTCTCTGTAGCGTGGTAGCCTTATGTTAATATTGCATATTTTTAAAGAATTTCATTCAACTCAGAGTCTTAGGCTTAAAATCCTAGAGTGATCTCTGAATCTGGTGGAGTAAATTCAATCCAGTTGGTCAAGTAGTCCTGCTGCTGCTTTCATTCATCTATTGGTAAATGCCACATTTGTGTGGAGCTCTGTTCTAGGTTTAGGAGATTAAAAAAAAAAAAAAAAGATAGTCACTGCCTTTAAGTGTTTCAGATTCTAGTGATAGAAGCAAACAGTAAAGGCCAGGCGTAGTGGCTCATTCCTGTAATCCCAGCACTTTGGGAAGCCAAGATGGGAGGATCGTTTGAGGCCAGGAGTTCAAGAACAGCATGGACCACATAGTAAGATCCCATCTCTAAATAAAAAGAAGAAAGAAAAAAAGCTAAAAAATAATTACAATAATTTTTTTTTTTTCAAGACAGTCTTACTCTGTCACCCAGGCTGGAGTGTAGTGGCACAATCTGGGCTCACTGCAAATTCCGCTTCCCAGGTTCAACTGATTCTCCTCTCTCAGCCTCCAAGTAGCTGGGATTACAGGTACACATCACCACGCCTGGCCTATTTTTGTATTTTTAGCACAGACGGGGTTTCACCGTGTTGGCCAGGCTGCTCGAGAACTGACCTCAGGTGATCTGCCTGCCTTGGCCTCCCAAAGTGCTGGGATTACAGGTGTGAGCCACCACGCCTGGCCCAATTACAATAATTTGATAAGCTTTCTCATAAAAGTATGCAGGAGATGTACAGAGAAGTTAACCTAGCCTGGAAAGGCTTCAGTGAAGTAAAGCTTGAACTGAATTTTAAAAGTCTATAAAAACTAATTAAGTTTCCAGCCAGGGAGAGCAACAATGTGGGCACAGGAAAATAAGGCACATATGAAAGTTTGGCAGATAGGGCTTTTTCTGGGATGTGGTAGATGCTAAAACTTGGAGAGTTAAGTTTCAGTTCTACTTCTCCCATCTAACTACCTGTCTAACCATGAGAACTAGTTGCTTAACCTTTCCTGTTCTCAATTGCCTTTCCTCTAAAGTGAAGAGTTCTACTGAGACAATTTGCAACTTTTGGTATAATATACTTGTTTTGCACATCATCAAACACAATGGCAACTATTTGGTTATCTCTTAACATTAGGGAATAGAAAATCTTAGGGTGTTAGATATTGGTATACATGATTAGAAACTATAGTTCTTCTGACTCATAAGCCTATATTTAGAGAGATTTGATGTTCTGTTGGAAGGTGCAATAAAGGTTTTACAAATTACCTTTTCAGCATATCTAAACAGCATATCATTGCTTACTCCTCTACCACTTGGTACACAGTGATGATAAATGGCCCTGTTTTAGTAGAAGAAAAGATATGTGATTTTTTTCCCTATACGAATAATTCAAGCCTGAATTTTAAAACAGTTCTCCTTTGAACTCTCCTGCACACTGCTGAATTAATCTTAAAAGTGTGCATGATCAGGTTACTACTGCCTTGCTTGAGGGTTTAATTTCTGTTAAGATAAAACTTCCTTTTTCTTTTTTTTTTTGGAGACAGAGTCGTTCTGTCACCCAGGCTGGAGTGCAGTGGCATGATCTTGTCTCGCTGCAACCTCTACATCCTGGGTTCAAGCGATTCTTGTGCCTCATCCTCCCGAGTAGCTGGGACTACAGTAGGCATACACTACCACACCTGGCTAATTTTTGTATTTTTAGTAGAGACAGGGTTTCACCATGTTGTCCAGACCGGTCTCGAACTCCTGACCTCAAGTGATCTGTCCGCCTCAGCCTCCCAAAATGCTGGGATTACAGGCATGAGCCACCACGCCTGGCCTGTTAAGATAAAACTTCTAAATTGAGTTTTCTTCCTTCTGGCTTGAGTTAACCAGTCCAGATTCACGTATCATGACTGAAACTTCTTATCCAGCCAAATGCATCCCTTTCCCACCTTGCATACTTTCTAAACACACGATTTTTCCCTGCTAAACAGACACTTCTATGCTGTTTTTTACCCTTCTCAAGGGTGTTCTTTTTTTTTTATTTTTCTTCCAGACCTAGCCTCTTCCCCTTTCTGGCTGCATATCTGAATCTGTCCTCATCTTTCAGACCTCAGTTTAAATTCCCCTTCTTAACCCAAGTTCTCTGTGACTGACTACAGCCCAAACAGATCAGTCATTTACTGAATTCCCCCTAGCTCTCATTTATTGTTTTTATGGTTCCTTACATAATTCATGTATGTATCTCACTCACACTTCTATTCTCTTAAGTAATTGTGTTTACTTTTCACATTTTCCTATACCTACTTCCTTGAACAAGATTATAAAGAACCTTGAAGAAGGCAGAAAGGAGAAAGAAAAATACTTATCTAGAGCATATTATGTGTTGTACTATCCCAGTTTTGCATACTTTATTTCACAGAACCTTCAAATGACTTTATAAGGAAGGTAAAGGGATCCCTTATTTACAGATAAAGAGACAGTGTCAAATGAGTTAAGCAGTTTGCCTGATGTTATACCACTCGAAGTGACAGATTGGGAGTTTGTACCCAGGGCCACCTGATTCCAAAGCATACATTCTTTCTGCTACCCTTTATTGCCTCATGTTTTTATATTTTGATTTCTTTGTAGTTAATGCCTTATATATTAGGAGCACAGTAAACATTTAACCTGTATTGGGCTTCTTGATTCCTTTCCATTTTAGTTTTTGCTTTTTACTAGTACTTCTACCAGAAAATAAGCAGAGGCAGTGAAATCTGAGTTAATAAATTCTGCTTTTTATCCATTTTGCAAAAGATTTAAAAGGGAAAATTTGAACACTTTTGGCATAGATATAGGGATTTGAATAATCTCTGGATGGTCATCATCCATGCAGTTCCTACCCATTATTCTTATAGATTACAAAAAAAGGCGGGGGGACTTCTTTAGAAAATGTTATTCTCTTCAGAACTTCATTTTAAAAATCTGTTTTAATGCTATGCAAAGCATCAGAAAATATAAGCCATGAATTGTCTTTAGCCAAAAATGTTTCCTCTTTTGTGACTTTGCTTAAAATAAGGAAACCATACGGTTCCTCTTTTCAGTTAGCTGAAAAAGGCATTAGAGAAGGACAGGGCCCAAACAGGAACATAATTTTAAACCCAGGTTAGTTTGTAAGATCAATTTTGATAGGCTCCTATCCTCTACTGTCAGTAGTAAGCTGGTGGAACCCTCCATGTATGAGATTTTCACTTGTCAGTTAACGGTTATGGCAATATTAAAACCAAATTCCATTTTTTGCCTATCCTAACACTTTCTACCACTCTTCAGTTAGCTTTTTATCCTCCTAGGATCTGCCACATCAGAGTACTAGAAACTGTATTAGAATTCTATGATGGCAATTCAGTGTAGTCCAGAGAAGGAGAAGAAAGATTTAAAAGAGGAATAAATAGGGAATATGGTAGTGGAAAAAACTGACTTTTTTCCCAGCGGTAATGAGGCCAGCGTTACTACCAGTGTGGAAGGTTATTTAGCATACACATTTTAAAATATGTAAGTGGTGTGTACCTGAAGTACCAACATTGTTTCTGTAGGTAAAGAACAATATTGGGCAGGGGAATAAAAAGGAGATTTAGAATAATATAAAAGGCAATGCAAAGAAATACAAAATAACACAAAAGAGAAAAAACAAAAACTCTAGGAAGCAGCGAACAGAAAAGAGGAAGGTCAATTGACTAGAGAAGATACAGAAAAGAAGAAAAGTTAATAAACAGGTGAAAAAAAAAGCAGTGGTTATATAATTAGCAAGAAGGCAGTGTAGATGATTGAAGTAGGCAAAATGAAGTTGGGGGTGGGGGGAGATGATTGAAGTAGATGAAAGAAGCAACGGCAAAATGCTGCTCTGTTGTGGCTGGCCTGTGTTTGTGAGTGCAGGGAGACAGTAAAGAGGAGCTTGCTTTCTAAAATGGAGGACCAGAAGGAACCATCCTTTCAAATTCATTTACCTTTCATTTCAGGCTCTCCTGTCTGCTGTGAGTATCCTTACCATCCTCTCCCTTTTTTTTTCCCTGACACTATCCAGAAGCATACCTAGCAATTATTCCAAAGAACCCATGTACCCGTGTACGTTTTATATAGAGTTTTCCAGAAATCCCTTAGTCTGCTGCTCAAGCAAATTTGTCAGCCCTCATATGCCGGTTTTTACTCATTATTATAGGCTGGCACTTTGAGGTTTAAATCTGTGATTTTGGTTCTTTTTCTTTGCTGAATATTTAGAATATTTTAAAAAGAAAAACATAAATTTAAACATTTTAAAGACAGTTACAGTGAAGCAGGAGTCCCCGTGTATAAGACATGTTCTTTTTTTTTTTTTTTTTCCGTTTGGAGAC
Source organism: Homo sapiens (assembly GCF_000001405.40). Taxonomy (NCBI): domain Eukaryota; kingdom Metazoa; phylum Chordata; class Mammalia; order Primates; family Hominidae; genus Homo; species Homo sapiens. The sequence continues at coordinate 31,310,970 of NC_000017.11, forward strand.
AGGGTCTCACTCTGTCACCCGGGTTGCAGTGCAGTGGTGCAATCTCAGCTCACTGCAGCCTCTGCCTCCTGGGCTCAAGCGATCCTCCTCACACCTCAGCTTCCCTAAAGAAGTTAGAAACTGCAGGTGCACTACACCACGCCCAACTAATTTTTGTATTTTTTGTAGACATGGGGTTTCACCATGTCACCCAGACTTGCCTTGAACTCCTGGACTCAAGTGACCCACCCACCTTGGCCTCCCAAAGTGCTGGAATTATAGGCATGAGCCACCGAGCCCGGCCATAGACATGTTCTTATAAATATAATGCATAAGTACTTAAAGGGTCCAGCATTTAAAATTGATGCTGTTAAGTTGGATATGTTAGGAAGTATGCCATTATCTTTTAAAGAGAATCAAGATTTGGAGAGCATATCCTAGACAAAAGACAAGTATAGATAGCTGTATCAATTACTTTGATATAATAAAAGTTGTGATGCAAATATAATAGATTAAAATTTAGCAGTAGTATTATCTCTAACTAGTGAAGTTTTGAAACCGTAAAAGAAAAAACCAGCCATTCTGCATCTTGAGGAAAAGTGGAAAGAGAAATTGACCTTCAACTACAATAGGAAGTATTTGATGACCATCTTGTATCATGATAGTGACCATTTACTGAGCACCCACCAAAGGCTAAGCAGTATCCTATTTTAATTAGCTAGGTGGTGGTTTTTTCATCCTACAGATAAGGAAACTGAGACACCACGATGTTGGGTAACTTGGCAGTATCACAGCTCTAAGTAGTGGCACTAATACAAAAATCATGCTAATCTTGTGCCAGAACCGTTTCTTTCTATCACATTTCACTGTATGTGCTATACTGCCTTTCATAGAAAAGTTATGAAATAGAAATGCTTTATGAAGGAAGGAGATGTGAGTTGGTGGGAATTACACGTAAATAACACTTGTAGGTAGTCTTAGATAAAGGGTAGGAAAGAAATACCTGAAAACCCATTTTAGTCCTGATTCTACGAAAACTATTATAAGAATTTGGAATGGTTTCTATAAAGTGTCATATTTAGTAAGTTTACTGAAAATTTTGTGGTGATTTTTTTTTTAAAGCTTGGACATTGAAAGGCATCAGATTTATGTTTCTCAATTCAAACTTAATCAGAATTAAAGTTTCCTTCTAAGTAGAATTATGTGGGAATTAGCTGGAAAACACAGGCACTACTAGTAAACTTTAGATTTGGGACTAACCCTTTAAAAACATGTATGGGACCAGGCGCAGTGGTTCCTGCCTGTAATCCCAGCACTTTGGGAGGCCGAGGTGGGCCAATCACTTGAGGTCAGGAGTTGAAGACCAGCCTGACCAACATGGTGAAACCCCGTTTCTACTAAAAATACAAAAAATTAGCCAGGCGTGGTGGTGGGTGCCTGTAATCCCAGCTACTCAGGAGGCTGAGGCAGAAGAATCTCTTGACCCTGGGAGGCGGAGGTTGCAGTGAGCCTGTGAGCCAAGATGGTGCCGCTGCACACCAGCCTGGGTGACAGAGGGAGACTCCATCTCAAAAAAAAAAAAAAAAAGTATGGGATTCTATGACAAAAACACACCATAAGGATCGATGGGAAATTTTTTAATTTTATGAAATATGACAGTGAAAAAAATTTAATATAATTTTATGACTTTATGCATAATGAAATAAACTAAATATTAGAAGTAGAAAAATATATAGACAAGCCTAATCTGAAAAAGAGATAAATATCTTTATTTTCTGACTTCCACAGTAATTACTTAGAAGAAATCCTTCTAAGAGAAAGTCATGAATATTTATTAAGTGTTGAAATGGGATATCACCCACTATGAACATATTATTCCCTGAAATTACAAGTCTATGTAAAATACTCTTTGCAGTTTTTATTTGCCCATTTTACCCACAGCAAGCATCTTTTATGCATATTAACAATTTTCTATTGTTTATTCTATAGGTTTCTTCTATCTTATACTATGTTCTAAAGTCTCAGATAATGTGACATAAACACGTAGATGATATTAATATACGCATGCATGTTTGATTATTGACTAACATTTTTGGCTTAGTAAGCTTTTAAAATGAGCCATAATGTTTTCATGTCATCATTATTAAATATAAAATCTATATGTAAAAAATAAAGCATGTATAATAATAATAGTCAAATACCACATCTGATTTCTTTTTCTTTCTAAATTAAGTGAAAGTGACCATTCTTACTATGCAAACTAAAGGGGATACAAAAATTTTAATTTATGCATTATATTATGTACAGGAAAATTCTATAAAAAGTACATTAGAACTTTTAACAATTAATATTTTGGAGGTTATAAATTCAGTCATAGCCTGTGGAATCTAGTTCTATTTCTAACCCTTAGCTTTATCTGCCATGGCTATAGTTTCTTTTTAATTCTAAAACTAAGGTTAACAAATATGATTGTGGCTGGGAGCGGTGGCTCACTCCTGTAATCCCAGCACTTTGGGAGGCGGAGGTAAGCGGATCACCCAAGGTCAGGAGTAGGAGACCAGCCTGGGCAACATAGTGAAACCCCATCTCTACTAAAAATACAAAAAAATTAGCCAGGCGTGGTGGTGGGCGCCTGTAATCCGAGCTACTTGAGAGGCTGAAGCAGGAGAATTGCTTGAACCCAGGAGGTGGAGGTTGCAGTGAGCTGAGATCGTGCCACTGCACTCCAGCCTGGGAGACAGAGCAAGACTCTATCTCAAAAAAAAAAAAAAATATGTGTGTGTGTGTGTGTGTGTGTGTGTGTGTGTGTGAGATTAAATAAACTTAAAAGGTCTTATACAAACCTAGGTGAAAATATTTTTCTAAGGCAAGCTGAACTGAGTATTTTTTAATTCTATGCAACAAAACCACAAAAACCTGTTATAGACATCTTTAGACTATCAGAGTTTAAGTTTAAAACACTAATGACAGTTTTTAAAATAAATTTTATATAAAGCAAGATCAAACCAAATTGTGTGAAAATTTTCTTACCTCAGCTGTTAACTTCTTTTGCAGAATGCTAAATTCTTGTTCTAACTGGACATTTTGGTGATTTGGCTAAGAAAGGAAAATGGGTGGTTCAATTCAGATTTAAAATGTTCCTCTAGCAAACTGAAATAGTTTCTGTAGAAAAAGAGGAAGTTTATCAATAGCTGGTTCCGGAAGTGCAATAAACCACAAAGTGACTAAGAAATATATTACTTTAACAGAACTTATTTTGAAATACATTTTGGAGCCCTATGATTTGAGTGCTTTTAATTATGTAAATAAATATTTGAGATACTCTAGTAATATGATTATGTAAATTAAATATTTAGGATGGAGTCCCGAAGAGAAAATTACATGTTCTAAGAAGAAAAGCTGCCAGTTGGGTTATCACTTACAGTGAGATTTCTTCTCATAAGAAGTGAGTGATGTGTTCTGTTTACTTGTATGACCTTAGGCAAGACTCTGCACTTCTGAGTCACCGTTTCCTCCTCTAAAGGAATATTTTATTGGGTTATTGTGAGGATTAAATAAGATAGCATAATATAACATGTATAAATGCCTCACCAACTGCAGGTAACCAATAAATGTAATGTTATTTCCTCATAATATAAAAAGTCCAGGGTAAAAGTATAATTACATTATTTTGCAAATGACAGGATCTCATTCTTTTTTATGGCTGAATAATACTCCATTGTGTATATGTACCATATTTTCTTTATCCATTCATCTGTTTATAGACACTTAGGTTGCTTCCAAATCTTGGCTGTTGTGAATAGTGTTACAACAAAAGTGGGAGTGCAGATGTCTCTTTGTACAGTTTTCCTTTCTGTTGGGTATATACCTAGCAGTGGGATTGCTGGATCATATGATAGCTCTATTTTTAGTTTTTTGAGGAACCACCAAACTGTTCTCCATAGTGGTTTTACTGATTTACATTCCCACTAACAGCGTACGAGAGTTCCATTTTCTCCACACCCTTCCCAGCACTTGTTATTGCCTGTCTTTTGAGTATAAGCCATTTTAACTGGGGTGAGATGAGGTATCATTGTAGTTTTGATTTGCATTTCTCTCATCAGTGGTGCTGAGTACCCTTTCGTATGCCTGTTTGCCATTTGTATATTTGTAATTAAATTATTTTGACCAAATATTTTACTAGTGACTTTTGAGTTCAAGTTCTCAACTATTTATTTGATTACCCACAAAGTAGTTACTTCTCAGTGGAAAATAAAATAAATTGGGGATCATTTTTTAAATAAGAAGTTAACTAAAGTTAACTTGTTACTAAAGGGTAATGAGGGGTTGGGGAGATGGTGTTACCAGTTAATAGGTACAAAAAACAATAGAAAGAATGAATAAGACCTATTTGATAGCACAACAGAGTGACTGTCATTAATACCATAATTATACATTTTAAAATAACTAAAAGTGTAATTGGATCCTTTGTAACACAAAGGATAAGTGCTTGAAGGGATGGATACCCCATTCTCCATGATGTGATTATTTCACGTTGCGTGACTGTATCAAAACATCTCATTACCCTTTAAATATATACACCTACTATGTACCCACAAAAATTTAAAATACAAAAAATTTTTAAGTTAACTAAACAAAGTGTATTGAAAGGAGTGAGTCCATCTGAATAAAAATTTCTTTGAGTAAGTCACCTTTCCTCTCTTGAAAAATGGAGATCATAATTCCTAATTTATAAGCTTATTGTGGAATTAAATAAATGTAAAGTGCCTTGGATGATGCATATTATAGTAGGTACGGAATGTGTTAACCCATGCACTGCTTTTTCCTGGTCACTGCGGGAAACACAGGTTATTATGACCTTGTTCTTAACTTCAGGGTACTTATAGCTTGGTGCAAAAAGAATAGTTTTTTTTTATGGGCTCCTACTATAAAGCATAATATAATCAAATGCTATAAAGCTTTTGATTCACTGGTTTTTGGAAGTATTGTTGTTTTTACGGACAGGGTATTGCTGTGTTGCGCAGGCTGGTCTTGAACTCCTGACCTCAAGCAATCCTCCTGCCTCAGCCTCTCGAGTAGCTAGGACTACAGGCACATGCTACTATGCTCGCTGGCTGGCTTATTTATTTATTGTAAAGATGAGGCTCTTACTTTGTTGTGCAGGCTGGCCTCAAACTCCTGGCCTCAGGTGATCCTCCCAGGATTATAGGTGTAAGCCACTGTGCCTAACCTGATTCACTATTTTTAAATCCCTGAATTAAGCTGGTGAACTGTAATACCCAGGGGTAGGGAATGTGTTTTTGTTCAAAACTAAATGACTTTTAAATTTTGAACTCAAAGATATCTTACCTACCATTTTAAAATACCTGTCATTTGGAAAGGAAACACTTCTGTTTGTTCAGTAACTATCATTGGATAGTACCATTCTGAGAGTATATGTTTAATAGCCAAGATAGTGAGTGGTGAATTTTAAATATTCTTTTAAATATCCTTGTGGTAGAAGCTCTCTGGTGAGAAAATGTTTGACCAGTATGTTGAATATGAAAGTAATTTCCTATTTTTATGATGATATTAATTTCTTTTAATTTTCTCTGACACGTGTTTATTTATGACCCTTGATTCAAGGAGTGCTTTGTGTTACTCCTGGATGTACTGGTGCACAATCTCAAATTTTCAATTTTTGCACAGAATGGGAAGTCTGCCCAGTTTCATTTCTAATCTGGGTTATTTTTCCCCTCAAAAGATAACCTGATTTCAGTCACCATGACTGGCATGAATATTCTCATGCTTTCCTTTTTACTTTGTTAACACTTAACTTTATCTGGAATAATATTGTTATGATTTCTCGTTTAGAGAATAGATTTGTTTTTTACAAATTGCTAATAAATTGATAATAAAAATGATGCTTTATTTTTTTCCTCTCATTTTAATAATAGCTAGACGTTTGAATTTGATGACCAAGAGCAGTTATCACCTTGAGAGTTACGTAAAAATTACCAATGCTTAGAGTTCACCCCATTCCAGTTGCATCAGAAGGAAGACATGGGAATTAGGCATTGGTGTTTTTTAAAAACTCTTCAGGTGATTCTGACATGCAGCCAGGGTAAGAATCACTAGCTTAGAAGGGAGAGTAAGATTGTAGTCATACTTGGGAAAAAACATATAAAAAATATTTTTAAAATGGTTACTATATTGCCCGAAATAAATGCCCAGTAAGGGATGAGATTTTTGAAATGTGGCCTGATCTTAGCCCTGTGTTAATTTCAGTAGATATTTGGAAAGTCTCTCAAACCAATTTTTGTAATATATTTAATTGAAGATGGGGGGGTTCTCAACTTAAATGTAAGTCATTATTTTACTTGAAGCCAGTTTCTTTAAAGGTTAAATTATAACCTGAAGTATGCAGTTTTCCAGATTTGAACACACACACACACACACACACACACACACACACACCCCTAATAAATCATTAGGCTACTTGGCATCCTTGAAGTCCAAAAATTAATCAACCTTTGGTACTTGTTGTTAATGTTCCAGTAAGTAGTATTTATAGAAAAGATGAATATTATTAATCATAAACAGTGAAACATACTTTGCGTTTACACTTAGCCTATTGGTGTGGCTATAAATCTTATTTATTTTAGTTGTGCTCTATTTCTTATTGATCTTTACAATGTGTTCTCTAAAGTAATAAAGTGAATGCAAATATACGTGGTCACAGGTTTATTCTGAGTTTTAATTTATTATACAAAAGTAAAGGTTTTAATTTAATATTAATAGTAGAAAAACACTTTCTTACGTGTGCCATATGGAAAGATAAAGGATCTATTCTAAAATTAGCTGTGTTGGTTGATAAGCTGGTGTGGATTCTGCCACATCCAGCAAGGAAGATACCATTAAATTACACAGTTTAGCTCTCTCTATCTATGCATTAGGAATTTGACTTCCATTTGATGTTAAAGCATATACTTGGCTTTAAGGACACACTAAAACTATTCAAAGTTTAATTACATTCAGACAAAGATCATCTAACCACTGTTGCTACATAGGGAATATTTATTTAATTATCCCTTGCTATCTCTATTAATCAGTTTCCTCAATTTATCCTTAAAATTTTCCTCAAATGCTTAGTTATTTTATTATTTGCTTTTTAAAATATTCAGTGTCAAAACAAAAGTACACAGTTTAAATAATTAAGCAGGCATACTTCTCCCTGTCTCACCTGCTTGATTCTAAATTGCAAGGTCTACCATGTCAAATTTTAGATAATCAGAACAACACTTTGGGATTAAATACCAACTGACTTCATTTTTACTCCATAAGCCTTCTCATTGCTACTTTGCATTTTTCTTCACTAACCTATCTGTTTGTTAGTAAGTTTTTCAGTTCCTTCTTCATCTTTTCTTTCCCTTGTAGCTGTGAGCACTCCAGTAGATTGCATCACTAGGTTGGGTCCTGTGAGCTGTTTTGTTCTTTTCCAAGTGTCTGATTCAGCGGGCCATAGACCGCTTGCCAGAAAATCGCCATTGCTTCTAGGCTGACGCTTGCCTACTTGTTTTGATCGTCTGAGAGAAGAGACTTTGTTTGCCAAAACCACAGTTGATAGAAATAGAAAGGTACAGATAAGAAAAAGCACTGCAATTATAATTAAGCAAATTAGCATAGCCATGTTGTTGTTGTTTTCCGCACAGACATCCTTTTTGAAAATTTCACCATGACTTTTGCTTGTGTTTTCAATGCTCTGTACTGTTGAAGGACTGTTGCTGACGACAGAAGGTATATAAAGCTCCTGTTCAGATTTAGAAGTTAAAGCTACGATGTGAGATGTTTCAGGCATGTTTGTAGAATTACCTTTATAATCTACTTCAGGAGTTATAGGGTTTGTGTTAATGTTTTCATTTTGGTTTCTGCCTGTCTTGTTTTGAATAACTGAATCCCAGGAAGAAGTACTGTTAGCCCACAGACGGGTATAGTTTGCTTTTGTTCCAGGAGACAAAGAAAAAACTGTTGTCATCAGAAAGGCAAGATGTAGGTAATGTCCTGTGTGTTCCATGTCCGTGGGCATGCTTGGCAATCTGTTGGGATAGCAATATAATTTGTTAGTTTGTGAAAGAATAATGGATCCTAGTTTTGGTAATTGTAGTTAAAAGATAGTGTTGAGATGTTACAAGTAAACTACAAGCTTATGCCTAATATTCGCTACCCTGAATTCCTTCTCAACTAAATTTCTTTTCTATTCAGCTATGTATGAAGAAGCATTTTAATTTCTATTAACACTTTTAGATGCTAGAAGTTAGCATTACAAATAAATATTAATCATTTTAAGTGGACTATCATGGCTTTATATAGTTTTCTTCCTTTGAAGCGTGCTAGACTTCTGCTTTGAGTCAGTTAGTTCTGCTTTTACTTTTCTGATTCCTTCTTTAAAAAAAAAAAAAAATTAAGGATCATTCTTACAGAAACTACCCACCCTCTAACCTGTCACCAATCTTTACAGAAGAAATGTGGCCTTGAGCTTCTTGCTTCATGTATGAAATAAATGCAAATTTTTTTGGTGGAAAGAGGGGAAGTTTGGTAGCAACCAAAAGAAACTGAACTTCAAATAGAAATTCAAGGTGTTCTTTTTTTTTCTTGGGTGTTCATCTTGAAGCTTAGAATAAAGCTGGTACTTAGAAATACATTTGTAAGTGTATTTGTGAACGCAATTTTACTGTGGTGGTTGTCTCTTTTCATTTATATTTCCCTGGACTGACTGTGTCTTTCTGAAGGCAAAGGCATACCAGTTTTCTCAACCTAAAAATCTGAAGAAAAAAAAAAAAAAACAGCAAATTTCCTCTGAGTAGACTTAAAAGTTCAACAAAAGTTGCTGGGTTTTCTTTTAAAGCATCATTTATACCTAGCATTTTTTCTGATTTTGACATAATTGTAAAAAAAAATGTGTAATAAAATAGAAATAGAGCATCAGGATCTTGATGATTTGGGATGAAGTGGCAGGTTATAAGCATCTCAACAGATAATTGAAAATGTTGAATTTCCGCTTTGGCCCTGAGCTTGCTGGAAACTAGTACAAAAAGGAGACAAGTTATATTATACATTTTTTAAATCTACCAAATGATTGATTTAAATAGAAATGGCATATCTTAGAATTTAACAGTTCCATGTACTGCTAACCCAGCAGGAAAGATTTATAATCATTATTAAGGTATCTTATAATAATATACCAGTTTGTCTTGAGCTACTTTTGAAAGGAGTATTTTATTGTTAGCATTTATTTGAATGAACTAAAAGCAAAACTATATTGTTCTCCTGAGATTTACTAAATGAAATTGCCTGGTTAAGAACCCTACGTATGCTATAGAAATTCTTCTCAAATGTACTTAGGAGTCCTTTTATTTAAAAAAAAAAAAAAAAGGCAGATTCTTACCTAGCTAGTATAGGTAGGGCCTGAAAGTCTTTGTTTCCAAACCAACTCCTAAGCAACATGGATGCCACTGCTAGTCAGGCTTTTGAACATCAAGGTTTTATAAGAAATGGTTGTTATATGTCATTGGCTGACATTTGTATACTATTAAAATACAGAAATTGAAAATAAGAAATGTGATACGTTGAGTTATGCAAACAAAAGTAGCATGTAATAAACAATGCTAACTGGAGACTATATTTCATATTAATAGTAGGGAGGAAAAACTATTAAATATTCCAGGATTAAGATTACTTTTTAGATTATGACCTTTAGTAGACAATTAAAGGCCCAAGTCACTGGCTTTTGTATAATAGTGTTCAGCTTTAATTTTTAAGTTTAGTGACATAAATCTTTGGATATTTCATGATTCTTCCACAAAAAGAAATACTTGAAATTGGATTAGCAAGTAATTTCCATCTTTTTATACTAGACTGGACTTCTGTATTAGATGCTAGAATGATTTAAAGTAGATTATTCTTTTCACATTAGTTCATTAACAGTGTAGTATACATCATAGTATTGGTACACATTTTAACAGTGCTTACCACGGAACAGATAATAGGCCTGCTGTTGATTGTCTTCAGCCAGATGTACTGCAGTGCCCAAATAAACAAACTGTATGACAAAATGAGACTTTCTCTTGCCCTTACAAATGCCTGAGAATTGAGGACTGTTTTTACTCCAGTTTATGCCTTGGAGGCCAGGTTGTGTTATCAGAAGTTTTCTTATATCTGATCATTTTCAGTAGAATTTATTTTCAGTAGAATTTGTAATGTCCAAGCATTAGTAATGAGAAATTTATTTTTTAACTTTTGAAAAATAACAAAACATTTCCAGTTTACTTGAGGAAACCAAACTTAGATCCTTCGTAATCCTAATTTAAAACTCCATGGCGATGGCAAATTTTTTCATTTCTAACTTAAAATTTATGTAACAGGACAGAAAAAAAAAGTATACATTTTCAGTCACAATTCTAGTTTGTTAGTGAGATTCTTACACACTTTGATAGCATTTCCTCGAACACTAATCTGTCAGACGTTAGAAGTGAAAAGGCATAAGAAAAGCCGTATATATATGACCTACCTTACAAAATGCTTGGTCAAAATCTGATTATAACGTGATTTTGATAAACCACTTCTTTTCTTGTCTTCTTTTTAAAGCAGAATAGACTTGGAGAATATGAGCCTTAAAGTAAATCTGCAGTAAAAAAGGATATGTGCAGCTAGTTTTCCACTTTTAAAACCAAACCACAGATGACACATTTCCTTTCCACTGCAACTAAAGCACATGTCACAGGAGGGAAAAAAAAAAAAACAACGAAAAAGCTCCAACTTCTCTAGTTGGCCACTGGCATGACAGGAGGCTTTGTAGAACCAATCCCCGCCTCCAGAGCAGGGAGGGTTTTCCACTTAATGCCTTTTGACAGTATGCTCATTCTATAGGCCTGCTACATGCTTTAGTGTCATTCAAAAGAGGTTTTGAAATGGTATCTTCCATTTCAAATCTTCTCTAAAAGACTTATTTGAAATCTACAGACTGATTTGAAAATGTGAGTTTGGAGTCCATGGGATACTGATCAGATAATGTAACAATTGTGGAACTGCAGCAATTATTTGAGAAAATATCTAGTAAACTTAGATTATATGGGACAGAAAATGCTTTCGTGTGGTGTAGTGTGTGTATACACACACACACACACACACACACACACACACACAACTGTCAAACATCCTGTCATCACCTCAAGTTTAACATGACTGAAACAGACTTTAAGAACTAGGTATGGGCTGAACACGGTGGCTCACACCTGTAATCCCAGCACGTTGGGAGGGTTGACGCAGGCAGATCACTTGAGGCCAGGAGTTCAAGACCAGCCTGGCCAACATAGAGAAAACCTGTCTCTACTAAAAATATAAAAATTAACCAGGCAGGGTAGCATGCACCTGTAGTCCCACCTACTTGGGAGGCTGAGACAGGAGAATAGCTTGAACCCGGGACGTGGAGGCTGCAGAGATCATGAGATCTTGGCTGCATGAGCTAAGATCATGCCACTGCACTCCAGCCAGGAAGACAGAGTAAGACTCTGTCTCAAAAAAAAAAAAAAAAAAAAAAAAAAAAAAAAAAAGAACTGGATATGGCAGCACATATCTGTAATCCCAGCTACTAGGTAGGTTGAGGTAGGAGGATCACTGGTGGAGCCCAGGAGTTCAAATCCAGCCTGGGTAACATAGCAAGACTCCATCTCTTAAAAATTAATTAAATTAATGAAATAAAAAGAACTTTATTTTTTCTTTAAAGGAGGCTGCCTGTGACAGTCTTCTTGTTTCTGTTCATGATAGCAACATTCTAATATCAGAGGCTTAGTATACAACACATCATTTTAATTTAAGTCCTCTCAGTCCTGATCAGACTTTGAATCATGTTGGTCCTTCCTTCATATTGTTGGATCAGTTTCTTTTTCCCTGTTTTTACTGTCAACAGTACTATTTTAGATCCTTATCAGGTCATACCTAGACTCTACAGTGCCTTTTCGGTAGCCCTGAATCCTTCTTATATCTTGTATACATCACTGTCTTTGGTCATACCACCCTTTCTTTAAGGGAAAATAAAACCGGTTGAACAGTTCCCTAATACATACAACAATGATTCAGAAATGTTTGTGTACATAAACATCAGATGAGAAGATTGTTTAAAAATTATAAAAGCAGGACATGGTGGCTCACACCTGTAATCTCAGCACTTTGGGAGGCTGAGGCGGGAGGATTACTTGAGCCACAGAAATTCGAGACCAGCCTGGGCAGCATGGCAAAATCCTGTCTCTACAAAAAATACAAAAAAACAAAAACAAAAAACTAGCCGGGCATGGTGGCGCTTATCTGTAGTCCCAGCTACTCAGGAGGCTGAGGTGGGAGGATCACCTGAGCCTGGGGAGGTCAAGGCTACAGTGAGCTGTGACCGTGCCACTGCAGTCCAGCCTGAGTTAAGGGAAAAAAAAAAAAGATAAAAATTTCCAGGCCCCACTACATAGATCCATATTTAGTAGGTCCAGGTTGGGACCAGGAAACTGCATTTTTATCAAGCACCACAGTTGATTCTGACGCCAGTAGTCCACAGAACATATGCTGAGAAATGGTGAGCCCCTAGTAGAAAACCTAAGCCCTTTGGTTGGGCAGTTATGGTCTCTCCACAATTTGACTATTCTGTATTTTCCCAGCTTTATCTCTCAAAACTTCTCTACCTGAATCCTCCATTCTGGCTAGACTAGCTGTCTCTTCAACACATCTAGTTACCTGTTTCTTTTCCTTTTTGCCTTTCTCCATAAGGCCTGCCCAGTCCTCTTGCTGAGTCTGCATTCCTCCTTACCTGATTCAGCCACTGTATCTTCTATGTAGCTTTCACTGACTGCCCAGTTTGTGTTAATCTCTCTCTCTCTCTCCTTTGTCTTAATAACAGTATTTTCTCTGCATTTCCTTTGATAAGTGATTACTTTCTACCTCATATCTTCTATCTTGAAATATTTGTGTTGTTTTAAAATCATTTGACTTGTCATATTTTTATCTTATTTTCTCCCAACAAGATTAAAAATTCTGAGGTGAAGTTTTTTATTGATACATGATAATTTGTACATATTAATGGAGTATGTGTGATTTTTTTGGTTTTTTTTGTTTTTGTTTTTGTTGGAATCTCGCTCTATCGCCCAGGCTGGAGTGCAGTGGCACAATCTCAGCTCACTGCAAACTCCCCTCCCAGGTTCAAGCAATTCTCCTGCCTCAGCCTCCCAAGTAGCTGGGGCTACAGGCACGTGCCACCACGCCCAGCTAATTTTTGTATTTTTAGTAGAGACAGGGTTTCACCCTGTTGGCCAGGCTAGTCTTGACCTCCTGACCTCAGGTGATCTGCCCGTCTTGGCCTCCCAAAGTGCTGGGATTGCAGGCGTGAGCCACCATGCCCTGCCTGTATGTGTGATATTTTGATACATGCATATAATGTGTAATGATTAAATCAGGGTGATTAGGATATCCATTGCCTCAAAGAAAAGAAATTGTTTCGTCTAGCTGTTTTGAAATATACAATGTTATTATTAACTAGTCACCTTACTATGAATAGTAGAACTTGTTCCTTCTATCTAATTCTAACAATACATATATTATTTATTTTATTATTATTTTTTTAAGACAGTCTCACTGTTGCCCAGGCTGAAGTGCAGTGGTACAATCTCAGCTCGCTGCAGCCTCTGCCTCCCAGGTCCAAGTGATTCTCGTGCCTCAGCCTCCCAAGTAGCTGGGATTACAGACATGTACCACCATGCCTGGCTGATTTTTGTATTTTTAGTAGAGACAGCGTTTTGCCATGTTGGCCAGGCTGGTCTCGAACTCCTGGCCTTATGTAACCCACCTGCCTCAGCCTCCCAGAGTGCTGGGAATACAGGCGTGAGCCACTGTGCCCAGCCCTGATTATATTTTTATATCCATTAACCAACCTCTGAGGTAAAGATTTATTTTAACTTACTTAGTAGTATTATCACCAGAATCATCACATATGGAAAACTTTGGGCCTAAGTTAACATAGATTGTTTTGATTTGAAACTTTGGTACCATTACTTCAGGGCTTTTTCATGGTCCTCACTGTGGCTGCTCCCATTTATTAGTATTCTTTTGGTTTTAAGCAACATATGACCTAATATGGCTTAATCAAAAAATGGTATTTATTGGCTTATGTAACTGAGCAGTCCTGGGATAAATTTGACCCCAGGAGAGGCTTTATCTCATACACAAATGATATGGCCAGGGTTCCAGTTTGTCTATTTCTCAGCTCCTTCTCTTCAGTCTTTTGGGAGGCTCTTCTTTTATATCCCAAAATATGAGCTAGCAACTCCTAGGGCTACGTATTCCCTTGTTTATAAACACCAGGAAAGAAATATCTCAAATCCCAACAATTTAAGCTAAACTACCTGAACTGGGCCTCTTTGGCCCTGGTTGTCCTGGTTTGAATAATGTGTTCATTGCTGAATCAGTCTGTGATCAAGGTGGGATAAATGGATTGGCTAAAACCATCTCACTCCAGAGCTCCAGATGGGTCATTCCTACCAGACTATTCGCCTAAGGAGTTTGGTGGGCCCTGCAGGCAACCAACTAATTCCCACTGTTTTCTTCCTTTCTTGACTCATGGGCAAATTTTTTATTGTTGTCGTGGCTCAAAATTTTTGAATTGGAGATTTGTCTCTTCTCTTAGCCTTATTTCTCAGTGTCCAAAAAACAACTGATTTAAAAAATGAATCCAGACTTTGAAGAATTGTTTTATATTATTCTCTCTAGAAAATGAATCATAAAATAAAATTGATTAGTGGCATCTGTATATTTATTTTAAACACTGCTAATAATCTTTGTCTTTTTTGTCATTTTCCTTAGGTTCAAAACTGGTCAAATCAATGGTGATTTGCTGATATACCATGTCTTACTGACTTTAAAGCCATATTATGCAAAGCCATATGAAATTGTAGTGGACCTTACCCATACCGGGCCTAGCAATCGCTTTAAAACAGACTTTCTCTCTAAGTGGTTTGTTGTTTTTCCTGGCTTTGCTTACGACAACGTCTCCGCAGTCTATATCTATAACTGTAACTCCTGGGTCAGGGAGTACACCAAGTATCATGAGCGGCTGCTGACTGGCCTCAAAGGTAGCAAAAGGCTTGTTTTCATAGACTGTCCTGGGAAACTGGCTGAGCACATAGAGCATGAACAACAGAAACTACCTGCTGCCACCTTGGCTTTAGAAGAGGACCTGAAGGTATTCCACAATGCTCTCAAGCTAGCTCACAAAGACACCAAAGTTTCTATTAAAGTAAGTTCCAGTCTGTGTTTTGTAAACGATTCATTGCTTTTCTTGACTAACTAGACTATATCCTGGCCTCCCTAGGTGTCCTACCCCTATAGTGGTGTATAAAATGTCACGTAAGGCTGTCGCGGTGGCTCACGCCTGTAATCCAAGCACTTTGGGATGTCAAGGTGGGCAGATCACGTGAGGTCAGGAGTTCAAGACCAGCCTGGCCAACACGGTGAAACCCCGTCTCTACTAAAAATACAAACATTAGCCGGGTATGGTGGTGGGCACCTGTAATCTCAGCTACTTGGAGGCTGAGGCAGGAGAATCGCTTGAACCCGGGAGGTGGAGGTTGCAGTGAGCCGAGATTGCGCCACTGCACTCCAGCCTGGGCAACAGAGGGACGCTCTGTCTCAAAAAATAAAAGGTTATGTAAATCTAGATGTAGGAAGACCAACATTTGTGTCATCATGGAGGTCCTGTGGAGGATATGAGACGTATACATTTTATTCTAGCTTAGGCTGGAAGTAGAAGAGTGTTTTGGAGAGGGCAATTTGTTATGTCATTCAAATTGTAGGAATGTGTGGAGAGTAGAAATTACCTAATGAGAGTTCTGATTATTACATGCTTTTTTCAGAGTGAGGAACATGAACCTTCAGGATAAAATCAGTACTTTTCTATAAGATTGTTTGTTTTGTTTTGTTTTGTTTTTTGATATGGAGTCTCACTCTGTTGCCTAGGCTGGAGTGCAGTGGCGTGATCTCAGAGTGCAGTGGCGTGATCTCAGAGTGCAGTGGCATGATCTTGGCTCACTGCAACCTCTGCCTCCCAGGTTCAAGCGATTCTGCTGCCTCAGCCTCCCCAGTAGCTGGGATTATAGGCGCCCACCGCCACGGCAGGCTAGTTTTTGTAGGTTTAGTAGAGACAAGGTTGTTGGCCAGGCTGATCACGAACTCCTGACCTCAAGTGATCTGCCCACCTCGGCCTCCCAAAGTGCTGGGATTACAGGGATGAGCCACTGCACCCGGCCTTCTATAAGATTCTTGACCTTTTTAAAAAGGAAAATTAAAAAATTTTTAAATGTTTTTTGTTTCTTTTGAGAACATTTATCATAATAATTACTGAACCATTTGAATATACAATGGTGGGAACTCTTCCTTAAATGGCATAGTGTTTTGTTTGGTTGGTTGGTTTCTGGAGCCTTTTAGAATTTTATGTAAAAGAGTTTAATTCTTCTCCACTTCACCCCGTCACCACCACTTTCCAGGTTGGTTCTACTGCTGTCCAAGTAACTTCAGCAGAGCGAACAAAAGTCCTAGGGCAATCAGTCTTTCTAAATGACATTTATTATGCTTCGGAAATTGAAGAAATCTGCCTAGTAGATGAGAACCAGTTCACCTTAACCATTGCAAACCAGGGCACGCCGCTCACCTTCATGCACCAGGAGTGTGAAGCCATTGTCCAGTCTATCATTCATATCCGGACCCGCTGGGAACTGTCACAGCCCGACTCTATCCCCCAACACACCAAGATTCGGCCAAAAGATGTCCCTGGGACACTGCTCAATATCGCATTACTTAATTTAGGCAGTTCTGACCCGAGTTTACGGTAGGTTTTTTAAAATTCTCTTCAGTTTGATTTGGGGTTTGTTGCTTTTAAAATGAGACCATTTAATGAATTTTAAAACAGCCTCTACCTTAATATTGTAAATTGGAAGGTATGCAGTGTTGGTTAACCACTGTGACCTCATCAAGTTGTGGGGTATTCACATGAACTGTGGAATTCCAAACAGGGTGATTCACACTAAACCAATATATGTCCTTTCTCCATCATGTAAAACAACACGACATAGCAGATTTTTTTTTCCAAAGTATCCTAAATTAAGTTTTTCTTCCTCTAAGTCCTCTAATTTTTTTCCATTTTCAGAAGTATATCACTATTTAGTTTAAAAGTCAAGTCAGATTATTGCTTTACAAAAGAAGGCCTAATGTTCAATAACTTGGTAACATTATTGCATACTTTCCACCTACATCACTCTTAACAAAATTCTCAAAATAAATCTTAAGACAAATAAGTCATCTGAGCAGAGTGTAATTGGTTCCATTTAGGCTTAATAACTTGAATATGCATGTGGAAAGAGCATGGCTGTGGAGTGAGTAGATGTGGTTTGAACAGATATGCCACTTTCTAGCTATGTACTTTGAGCAAGATACTGAAGTTTTCAGATATCTAGTTTCCTTATTTGTGAAATAAAGGTAATTGCCTTTCTTATATACCCACAAAAGCTTAAAAAATAGTATGTGTAGTAGTATAGTATAGCAAACTAGCAAATAGTTTATACTTAGTAAGTAGTATTTTCTTATCTTTTCCCTCCCTGCCAGCATCTCCTTGCACCCTTTCTCCCTTTTCTCCCCTCTCCTTACCAAGTTAGGATAATTCTTTGTCTCAAGTACCCTGAGACTTTGAAGATTTTTCAGATGTAAATTCTTAACTTCTGAAAATTTTCCCTGAGGATAACATAGCCCAGGTTTTATAGTGGGCCTTTTAGGATTCCAAATTCTCCTTTACTTAAAGGGAAAAAGAAGAAAATCAAGATATGTTTACTTGGATGGGCTTCAGAAATTGTACATAAGATTTTGTGTATGCTTTGCTTCCTTTATCTCATAGGTGTCTGTGACACCTGTCCTGGGTTGAGGAAGTCCAATTCTTTATAAGTGTTGAAATACACAGGATAAAAGTTTTGTCAAAATTGTATAACTTAGAATTCCTGGGAATTAGTAAAAGATACAAGCTGAGCACTGGCACTGTAGTCCCAGCTACTCGGGAGGCTGAGGCGGGAGGACAGCTTGAGCTCAGGAGTTCAAGGCTGCAGTGTGCTATAATCATGTCTGTGAATAGCCAATGCACACCAGCCTGGGGAACATAGTGAGACTCTGACTAAAAGTTTTTTAAAAAAGAAAAAAGATATGTAAACAGAAATAATAACACTAATTTTCACATTTTAGGAAAATGGAGCTATAAGCCTGCCTTTAATTTCTAATTCAAAGATCTTCATTGAAAAATACAACCTTTTAACAATTATTAGCCTGGGTAAACCTGTATTCTTCTCTAGTGACCTAAAGCAATCTCTGACAGCTTCTGCTTTTTGCTGAAGCATGTCATCCCAGAGAAAAAGCCTTTAGGCAGACTTAAATTCCAGTGGCTTTTTTTCCCTATATGGTTGTTGCATCAATATAGTAGCATGATAAACATTCAGAGGTAAGGAAAACCTGACAGTTACTGAACAAACTATTTCCTTTACTGGACAGGGGAGAAAATTAAAATTTTTAAATTGAGTCTGAGTCTTTTAGGCTGTCTCCTAAATTGCTTAAATATATTTTCAGACATTTGTAAGTGATGTTTGGTCTCAATGAAACCTGGATATTATAGTTTTTTTCCATATTGGTGGTTATATATGATGTAATGAGGTCATAGAGGGAAAAATGGGAGGACTTAATTATAAGTTAATTTTGTTTTTAACCTTCAGTTTGTAGGGTAACTTTTAGGACACCCAGAAAGAAGTTCAGCAGATCCTGATTAAAGATTTTCACATTCTAATTTGATGAAGGGAAGGGCCATCTGATATCTGTCCCTATGATCCCCATTATAACTGGATCTAGTGGGAAAGAGAACCAGAATTTGAGTTTTGGCTTTGCTAAAAATGTATGGTGTGCCTTATTCTGACTTAATTTCTATTGATCCACATTAGGACCATAAGTCCTCTCATATTTTATGTCTCAGTGAGATGTATTTTAGGAAAGCCTATACCCCGCCCCTCTGTCATAGGAGCCTCACAGTGCTCTTATGGTTATATCAAGTGTGTCCCTTTTTATAAAATCCCTAAATGATTAAGGGGTATTTTGGTTTTACTGTAGAATTATAACATCTTATTTCTAACTGATCATAAAATTTAAAAATAGTTGATCATACTTTGTAACAGAATCACAAATTGTATGTTATGAAAAAATTTTGGAACTATAAGGAAAAATACGTTTTAAAACAACTTCATTTGTGTTTTCTCCTAGGTCAGCTGCCTATAATCTTCTGTGTGCCTTAACTTGTACCTTTAATTTAAAAATCGAGGGCCAGTTACTAGAGACATCAGGTTTATGTATCCCTGCCAACAACACCCTCTTTATTGTCTCTATTAGTAAGACACTGGCAGCCAATGAGCCACACCTCACGTTAGAATTTTTGGAAGAGTGTATTTCTGGATTTAGCAAATCTAGTAAGTAATGATAATTTTCTTTAATACTAACAATTATTCTAAGAGAATTCAAAGAAAACCCTTTCATTTCAGAATTTTCCAGTGAAGACTTTCACTTACATTTTTACTTTTTTTCCTCTTCTGATTTTATATCTGTGGTATCCTGTAACTGAAGGAACTCTGAAGGAACTTTTTGGTAGGCCACATTGAGAAATCCACCAAAATTCTGATAATAAAAGCAAAGCGGCAAGAGTTTGGTACTTTACACACCTCTGGACCACTTACAAAGTATTTTCTTCACTGTTGCAGTTTAATTAGCTTCAGCATTTCTCTTCATAGCAGAAAAGTCCACATAAGTATCCATGTTGCCTCCTTAATTTTAGAGAACTAGTCATTTTCTCTTTTCTTTAGGTTGACTTTGAACAATGAATTTATTGTAAATGTACAGTTCACGGAGAGCACAGTGGCACATAATACAGGGCCCAGAGTCAGTTCTGACTTTGTTTTAACTAAGTCTTATAAATTTAATATCCACTCTTTATATTTGTCCATCTTTATATCCTATAGTTTTATAAATGTTGATCTTCTCCCAGCATATTTCCTGACCTTTTCTTCCCTTTCCTTTCCCTGTAATATATAAAACTTTTTTTTCTGCATTCAAACACATTTCTTGACTTTTATATATTAGATAATTAAAAGCTTCAGCAATTCACTAAGACTCTTTGTCAGGTAAGAGATGTAGGACTATAACCCTAACAAAAAAATGTGTAGGACTGACAAAACAAGAAAAGTATAAACTTTATTCATAAATATTAATATGAGAGAAGATTTGAGTGAATGTAAAGGCATATTGTGTTCCTGCATGAACAGTTCTTCCCAGATTATTACAAATTTAATGTAATTTCATCAAAATAACCATGGGATTTGAGGATTGAGAATGGAGATAGAACTTAAATGATTCTAAATTCTACATAAAAGTGCAATAATAGCTAAGAAAATATTGAAAGGAAAGAGACTTGAGACTTAATAGTACAGATGTCTGAACACTTTATAGCAGTACAATAATTAAAACATACATGTGCAAGAATCAGCCATCAGATCAGTTTAAGAGAAACAGATTGATAAAGAAGCATCACAAACTGATGAGGGAGAGATTAAATCATTTAATAAATGAGGCTGGGAAATGACTTAAATTAGGTCTTCGTCTTCACCGTACACCATAAGATACCAAGTATGTTCTGCCTGTATTTAAGAGTTGAGTAGGGCTGTGTGTGGTGGCTCTCGCCTGTAATCCCAGCACTTTGGGAGGTTGAGGCAAGAGGATTGTGGCAGGAGGATTGCTTGAGCCCCAGAGGTCAGGGCTATAGTGAGCTATCATCGTACCACTGCACTCCAGCCTGGATGATAGAGTGAGACCCTTCTCTATTAAAAAAAAAAAAAAAAAAAAAAAAAAAAAAAAAAAGTTGTATATAAAAGCTTGGAACCATTTTAAAAAGAAGAGGAACAAGTGAATATTTAATTGCTTTCTAGATGAGTAAGGACATATGAAGTAAAAAAGTGATAGGATGAAACAAAGGAAATAGCGAACAGATTTGACTACATAAAACTTCAAAACATAGCTACTCAAAAATAAACACAAGTGAAGATAATTAAAAACTAGGAAATACACTTGGAGCAAATATGAGAAATGATTAATATCCTTAATCGGCCAGACGCGGTGGCTCACGCCTGTAATCCCAGCACTTTGGGAGGCTGAGGTGGGTGGATCACAAGGTAAGGAGTTCGAGACCAGCCTGGCCAATATGGTGAAATCCCCTCTCTACTAAAAATACAAAAATTAGCCGGGCTCGGTGGTACATGCCTGTAGTCCCAGCTACTCAGGAGGCTGAGGCAGGAGAATTGCTTGAACCCAGGAGGCAGAGGTTGCAGTGAGCCGAGATCACTCCACTGCACTCCAGCCTGGGCAACAGAGGGAGACTCTGTCTCAAAATAAATAAATGAATGAATAAATGAATGAATGAATGAATAAAATCCTTAATCATGAAGGGTGCTGACCGATTAATAAAAAGTGGATTAACAGTAACATACAGATCATGGTTTTTTTTTTTTTTTTATTATACTCTAAGTTTTAGGGTACATGTGCACATTGTGCAGGTTAGTTACATATGTATACATGTGCCATGCTGGTGCGCTGCACCCACTACTGTGTCATCTAGCATTAGGTATATCTCCCAATGCTATCCCTCCCCCCTCCCCCGACCCCACCACAGTCCCCAGAGTGTGATATTCCCCTTCCTGTGTCCATGTGATCTCATTGTTCAATTCCCACCTATGAGTGAGAATATGCGGTGTTTGGTTTTTTGTTCTTGCGATAGTTTACTGAGAATGATGGTTTCCAATTTCATCCATGTCCCTACAAAGGATATGAACTCATCATTTTTTATGTTTTTTAAAAAAGAATATTTGTACAAAAAAAGAAAAAAGCCAGGCACCATGGCACATGCCTGTAATCCCACCTGCTCAGGAGGATCGCTAAGCCCAGGAGTTTGAGACCAGCCTGGACAACATAGTGAGGCCCCCATCTCAAAAAGAATATTTATATTTTAAGAAATTCACTAATAAAAGCCAATTGAAAGAATAGTGAGATAATCAGTTATCAGCTTGGCAAAGATTTTTTTTTTAAGATCCATTCCTGGTGGTCTGTGGAATTGTGAGTAGAGGCAATTTTTCTAGAAAGGCATTTGGAAGTGGATAACAAGACCTTAAGACTATTCATACCTTTTGGCCTCATAATTCTGCTTTTTAGCATTTATCCTAAAGAATTAATGTTAAAATGTTTATTATAGCATTATTTTTATGTAGATTTTTAAATTGAGGTATATCTTGTCATCAGTAAAGTGCAAGATCTTAAGTCAACAGCTTGATGAACTTCTACATGCAAATACATCATGAAAGTATCTCCAGATCTAGACATAGAACATTTCTAGCATCCAGAGGGATATTCTCAGTACCCTCCCTTCACCAAGAGTAAACACTATTATGACCTCTATTGCACAGATTTATTTTGCCTACTTTAGAACTTCATATGACATTATTTATAATAGCAAAAAAATGAACAGGCCAAAAGTCAAAGAATAAGGAACTGATTAAATTATTGGTTCTCCATCTGATGGAATAATATGAAGCCATTGAAAAATGGCTTTGTTACAGAATTTCAGTTTGGAAGATGAAAAGGTTCTAGAGATGGATGGTGGTGATGGCTGCACAATGATTTGAATGTACTCAGTGCCACTGAACTGTGCCCTTCAAAATGGGTAAAGCCACGGAACTGTACATTTAAAAATAGTTAAAATGGTAAATTTTGTGTTGTGTATATTTTACCACAATTTTAAAAACTCTTTGAGACTTTAGGTAAAGTGTATAGATAAATTTTTGTACAATTTTTGTCTTATAAATGTGAAGCTTTTTCAAGTAAGTTTAAAAGAAGTTTGCAGAATTTGTAATGTTGAATAAATAATCTCAGTATAGGCCAGGGGTGGTGGCTCACGCCTGTAATCCCAGCACTTTGGGAGGCCGAGGCGGGCAGATCACGAGGTCAGGAGATTGAGACCATCCTGGCTAACACAGTGAAACCCCGTCTCTACTCAAAATATGAAAAAAAATTTGCCGGGCGTGGTGGTGGGCGCCTGTAGTCCCAGCTACTCGGGAGGCTGAGGCAGGAGAATGGTGTGAACCTGTGAACCCGGGAGGCGGAACTTGCAGTGAGCCGAGATCGCTCCTCTGCACTCCAGCCTGGGCGACAGAGGAGACTCCATCTCAAAAAAAAAAAAAATGAATAATCTCAGTATAATCACTGAAAAAAATATTCAGAGCCTACTGCATGTATAGCATAATCCCCGTTTTTGCGGGGGAGTGGGAGTGGGTTATACCTGTGTACACACACATAAATGTACATTAACTCTACATAAATTTGAAAGCCTGAGGAGAGATGAGATGATACACCAATGTTAATACAGTTTTCATTTTGTGGTGATGCTTTCCTTTTACCAAACTTTCTATGATTACCACATTTCCTTTTATAATGAGAATAAAACAACTTTTTAACAAGAAAGGACTAAAATGGAGGAAAATAAGACAAAACTTTTCAAAAATTGGCTTACTGGCTTTTAAAATTACTTTCTTCAAGGACTGTTCTTTCTTCGCCTCTACAAAAATATATTTGCCAAGTGTCTTTTCTCCAGGCCTGATTCTAGGTAATAGTCTTTACCTTTTACCATTTTTTCCCCGAATTCTTTATGTTAAATAATTGTTGATGTGATTTTCATTGACCATCACATGCTAATAGTGTATTTTTTTCCAGGTATTGAATTGAAACACCTTTGTTTGGAATACATGACTCCATGGCTGTCAAATCTAGTTCGTTTTTGCAAGCATAATGATGATGCCAAACGACAAAGAGTTACTGCTATTCTTGACAAGCTGATAACAATGACCATCAATGAAAAACAGATGTACCCATCTATTCAAGCAAAAATATGGGGAAGCCTTGGGCAGGTATTGAGTTTGCTCAAATATTTATCTAGTATCTCCTTTGTGCACATATTTATCTGGTGCCACATTGGGCAAAGCACTGCGCTAGACACTAGGGATAGAGTTGTAAAAAACACAGTTTCCTCCTTCAGAAAGCATGTAGACACTCACCCAGCTCTTCATCTGGTTCAAAATTGTAAATGTCTAGTGCATGTCTCAGAGCCAGAGAAAAGCTAGTTATTTGCACAGTCTCCTTCAAGGCATAATTATATATATATATATATATATAATTATGCCTTGAAGGAGACTGTGCAAATAACTAGATTTTATATATATATTATATAGAACTGTAGAAATCTGGTGACATTTCTAGTGCTTTATTCTAGTTCTCTACATTCCAAAGGTGTCAGTAGATGTTTCTTCTTATTGATGCTATTTGGGACATCTGCTTTCATTTATAGTTCTACATAAGAATGCCAATATTAAAATAGGATATAATGTAAATTTTATTTTTATCTGACAAGAATTAGGCATATCATTTCTTCAAAGTAATCATTTAAGGAAATAATGCCCTCACTCAAACACTGCTGCTCCTCCTCCAAATAATTAGAAATAACCTTGGAGCCAGTGTTGCAGCCCTAGAAAACATCCTGGTACTTAATGTCATTTCCTATATTTTATTTTTTTTTGAGACTGAGTCTCGCTCTGTCACCCAGGCTGGAGTGCAGTGGTACAGTCTCGGCTCATTGCAACCTCTGCCTCCCAGGCTCAAGTGACCCTTCCACCTCAGCCTCCCAAGTAGCTGGGCCTACAGGTGCACACCAACACACCTGGCTAATTTTTGTATTTTTTTTTTTTTTTTTTTTTAGAGATAGGGTTTTGCCATGTTGCCCAGGCTGGTCTTGAACTCCTGGCCTCAAGCAATCCGCCCGCCTCAGCCTCCCCAAGTGCTGGGATTACAAGCGTGAGCCACTGCACCCAGCTCTGTATTTTCAAATTACTATTTTATATTGATGCTACATTACTGTCTTAGAAAAGCATAGAGATACTTTGCAAGTGACTGAAGATAGTATTGATAGAGATTTAAAATTTTTGAATACCAATCTCTTAATCTCTGAAGGAGTCAAATGAATATACTCATCCTTTACTGGATATTTTATAATAAATTGTATTTACTGACAGGCCTGTAAATAAAATCTAGTATTTTTGAGGCCTCAGGTAAAATAGAATTTTCATATTGATTAGGCTGTTCCAATGAATATTTTTTAATTAAAAATTAAATTGGTAGAGTGATTAAAAACATGTTATTTTCCTTCTTCAACTAGATTACAGATCTGCTTGATGTTGTACTAGACAGTTTCATCAAAACCAGTGCAACAGGTGGCTTGGGATCAATAAAAGCTGAGGTGATGGCAGATACTGCTGTAGCTTTGGCTTCTGGAAATGTGAAATTGGTTTCAAGCAAGGTAATCACTTTTCTTTTGCCTTCTGTACTATAGCATATCTGTTTTATCATCAGGAGGTTTTTTGTTTTGTAATTACTTTTAAATTAAACTGAACTTTTTTGTGCTAAAACTTTGAGTCCCATGTTTTTTTTTTTAAAAAAAAAAATCCTGCTTCTTTACAGGTTATTGGAAGGATGTGCAAAATAATTGACAAGACATGCTTATCTCCAACTCCTACTTTAGAACAACATCTTATGTGGGATGATATTGCTATTTTAGCACGCTACATGCTGATGCTGTCCTTCAACAATTCCCTTGATGTGGCAGCTCATCTTCCCTACCTCTTCCACGTTGTTACTTTCTTAGTAGCCACAGGTCCGCTCTCCCTTAGAGCTTCCACACATGGACTGGTCATTAATATCATTCACTCTCTGTGTACTTGTTCACAGCTTCATTTTAGTGGTAAGTTCTAGGAAAGGAATTTGTGTTTACCAGTTCCTTTCTCCATTTTACTTCACCTGATCAATATAGATTATCTTATTTATGTTTGTGCTCTAACACCAAGTTGCTAATTTAAGCCTCCAGTAATGACATGAAATATTACCAAAAAGAAAATAAATTACTTCCATTCCATATCAAGCTATAGTAAAGATTTTCTATGCATACTTGTCATGTAGAGTTATCCCATAAGCGGAATACTCAGTGCCAGTTGACCATGTTCAGTTACCAGCACTAATTTGTAGATAAATGAAGCAAGGAGCATTAATACAATGTATCTAGAGGTTTGATTTAGGGAACATGATTATGTAATTTTTATATGGTATTCAAATTTTCTAAATTCAAAATGAAACATGGAACTTTAGAAATTAAAAAGTAATATTTTCTGTCTTTACTTGTTCCTTTATTCTCTTACAGAAGAGACCAAGCAAGTTTTGAGACTCAGTCTGACAGAGTTCTCATTACCCAAATTTTACTTGCTGTTTGGCATTAGCAAAGTCAAGTCAGCTGCTGTCATTGCCTTCCGTTCCAGTTACCGGGACAGGTCATTCTCTCCTGGCTCCTATGAGAGAGAGACTTTTGCTTTGACATCCTTGGAAACAGTCACAGAAGCTTTGTTGGAGATCATGGAGGTATAGAAGCCAAAATGATAAGAAACTAAGTTAAAATCTTTTTTTAAAAATATGTTAATACTATATAGAAGAAATATTGGTTTATTGTGCTATTTTGTACTTAATGCTTAAATAAAAACACTTGCATGGACTGTGTTATTGGTAACAGGTCACTTAATGACATCATAATAAACATTATTTAAACAGTTCTAAAAACATTTATGTACAATATGTATTCAGAGTATCCCCTTTTTTAGGCATGCATGAGAGATATTCCAACGTGCAAGTGGCTGGACCAGTGGACAGAACTAGCTCAAAGGTATGTCCTAAATTAAATATAAGTTGTAAAAATATGCATATTGTTGAAAATACAGCTATTACTGTATGATCAATGTTATAATTTATTATTTAGTATATATAAACACAAAGGTTTTTATAAGTTCTGTGGATCTTTTAATTGCAGATTTGCATTCCAATATAATCCATCCCTGCAACCAAGAGCTCTTGTTGTCTTTGGGTGTATTAGCAAACGAGTGTCTCATGGGCAGATAAAGCAGATAATCCGTATTCTTAGCAAGGTACCTGTTCCGCCCTCACTTCTCCCAAATATTTATGGTTCTCAAGTTGTAAAGCATATCTTTCATTTTTCTAAAAGACGTTTAAATTTGAGGTCAATGAAATATCTTATATGTTACTTATTAAGCCTTTAAAATGTATTTTGATTATTTATTGTAATTCTTTGAAGAAGTCTTCTCTAAAGAAGCTGTCTTTATATGTAAACTCTGATTACTTCATTAAGGAAGATGTCTTTAAAATAAAATATGTTGCCTCTTTTGCTAAGCAGGTACACTTAGTATTTTACCAGTTTTCAAAGCATTTAATTATATGGTAAGACTATAGCCTTGCATAAAATTATTTAATTTGTAATTACTATAATAATGTCTGACTCTTATAATGTAGAAATGTCAAAAAATAAGAAAACAAATGTACATTAAGCTAGCTACCAAGATCACCATAGCATGAGAAATCATTCTAGCATTTATTAAATAAGTAAATGTTCCTGAATTCATTCCGAGATTCAGTTTAGGAGTTAATGTTTTATTTCAATGAAAGTAAAATAAAAAATTCTGTTTTCCTAAAAGGCACTTGAGAGTTGCTTAAAAGGACCTGACACTTACAACAGTCAAGTTCTGATAGAAGCTACAGTAATAGCACTAACCAAATTACAGCCACTTCTTAATAAGGTAATTACTGTATAGAAAATGAGTGCATTCATTTTGGGTATCAGTGTTGAATGTTACTTTCTTTCAAAGAGTTTAGAAAATAAGATGAATTGAGAATAAGTTATAAAGAAAAAACTATAGTTAAAGTAGAACCTCTTAAAGTTTAGTTGTTTGAAGTAGTCATATTAGAAGAAGAGTAAGTATGGATAGTATGTTCTCAAGCGCTTGTAAGTTTTTGGTCTCATCAGTGCTAAAGGAAAGATAGGTATATATTCTTAATTATTTTATCTTATAACTATTAATTATCTGCTATTGCCAAGTACTGTTTTAGGCGCTAGAGATAGAGTACTAACAAAGCCCATAAAACTCACTGCCTTCATGGAGCTTACTTTCTGGGGTGGGTGTGGAGGTTGGGGAGTGAATGGATAATGAAGTAAACAAAATACGTAGTATGTTAGTGATTATTACTATGGAGAAATTAAAGCTGGGAGAAGTATACTTGATCGTCATAAGAGTTTGGGTGCCAAATGAAGATTATATTTAAAAGGAGTAAAATGAAGTGGCCACTGTTTTAGGATGGTCTGACCTTATCCCATTTTTATATTTAAGATATCTGGAAATCATGTTTTTGTATTAATAAAATGAAAAAGATTCGATAATGGCATGGTATTACCATCCAGTTCTAAAGTGGTTTAATTCTGTGATTTGAGTACAAAGGTATGCCAGACTTGGGAGAAATAACAGAGAAATAATACCTGTTATATTCCTGGTTTGTCTACAAGCATTCTAATTTTGTATTATACAAAATGGTTCTCTGGTCCCCATCTTCTAAGTGAAAATGAGCTCAGAAGGGCTAAATAACTTGCCCAAAGTCACATACCTAATAAAAGAACCATGATTCTAATGTGATACTATTTGACTCTAAAGTCCATGTATTTTCCCTAATATCACAGTGCTAAGTAAAGATTGCCAGTAATAAATACTTTTAATTCAGAGCAGCAAGAGATTACCATACTGGTTAAGAGTGACAAGAAGTTGAAAAGACAGTTTAAAATAAAGTTAAAGGGAAACATAGGAGTTAATGTAGGTAGAGAGAAAGGGAGAGAGCTGCACAAGAATGCCAGGACAATGGAGGGAAGGTGGGTAGAACATTCTAGTTGTAATGGAGAAGCTTTTCAAAGGAATCGAGAGAGGGAAAGTTGTGAGGACTGGATAGACCTCATCTCACATTCAGCATTGTTCAAAAGAGTTTGGAAATGTACAGTTTTTAAGCAGACAAGTCATACGATGAAAGCAGGACTTAGCTCCTGGTGGTAGTGTGCACAGTGGATTGGAGTAGGGAGAAACTGAAGTAAAAAGAATCCACCTTTATAATAAAGAAGGTTGGCATGTGGTAATGTCATTAGCAATAAGAAAGAAATGACAAAAGATACAAAAGAGACTACTCTAGAAGAATCAACAAACCTTGGTGACTGGATTTAGAAATCAAAGAACAGGGAGAAGTCAAAGGAGGTGCTAAGTAACGTTCTCAGTCCAGCTAACAGTGTCTTTAGTTATACATATGGAAAAGTGAAGAGCTTACTCATATCTTTATCTTCCCCAAAAGAGAAAACATGGGTAATTTAGGAAGATAAGCTGCTTTATTTTTAACTGCAGTGTGTTTTGAAAGAGACTATGTCATGATTCATCTTACTAGCCTCAAACATATCTTCTTTGCCAGGACTCGCCTCTGCACAAAGCCCTCTTTTGGGTAGCTGTGGCTGTGCTGCAGCTTGATGAGGTCAACTTGTATTCAGCAGGTACCGCACTTCTTGAACAAAACCTGCATACTTTAGATAGTCTCCGTATATTCAATGACAAGGTAAGCAAACTTTGCCTTGAGGTTCCTAGATTACTCAAATTTAGTACTCTTCCATCTTTTCTTGTTGCTATTCTTTTAAAATCACAAGAAGTCCATAACTTAAGTAGGAATTTGTATAATGTAACTTATTGTGAGTATATTTCCTTACCAGCTCATAAAGAACTATGTAAACTTGAATGCATATTTTTTACATAAAAATAGCAAAAAAAAAAAAACAAAAAAAAAACAGTACTGGCCTAATACTAGTAGAATTACAGAATAAGGATAAATAATACATGATCATCCTTACAGAATGAGCATAAACAATACATGGTAATAATATTAATAGCTACCATGCCAGGCCGTATGCTAAACACTATACATTTATTTTTAATTTTCATAACCTTAAGGTAAAGGTTAGCATTCTCTGCCCCCCATTTCACACGTGAAGAAATAATCTAAAAGTAATCTTAGTTTTACTTAATAATGCCACTTAATGAAAAATACGTATAATTCATAGTAGATAAGGAAGTTGGAGAGTCTAAAGGAAACTTTTGGGTACTTAATTTTACTAGTTTTTTTATTCTGTCTAATCTTACTTTAAAATATACCATTAGTGGCCAGGAGTGGTGGCTCATACCTGTAGTCCCAGCACTTTGGGAGGCCAAGACAGGTGGATCAGTTGAGCTCAGGAGTTAGAGAACAGCCTGGGCAACTTGCAAAACCCCATCTCTACAAAAAAGGCAAAAATTAGCTAGGCATGGTGGCATGCACCTACAATCCCAGCTACTCGGGAGGTGAGGTAGGAGGATTGCTTGAGCCTGGGAGGCAGAGGTTGCAGTGAGCTGAGATCACGCCACTGCACTCCAGCTTGGGCAACAGAGCAAGACCCTGTCTCCAAAAAAAAGTGTGTATACATATATTACATACACACATATATATGTAATGTATGTGTATATATATATATAAAGTGTGTGTGTGTGTGTGTGTGTGTGTACACACATAAAATATGTAAAATCCAACTCCAATTAAGGTTAATAAATGTTAGGAGGGGTGCTAATGGGGTGTGTGTGTGTGTGTGCACGTGTGCATGTGTGTGTGTATATATATATGAACATGGGCAAATTACTTCTTAGTTCCTTTCTAATTTGTAAAATGGAGATCTAATTGGGGTTGGATTTTAGTTCATAGAGAATAGAGGAGAGAATAAAATAGTATGAAATTACGTCCCTTTTGTCTTTGGATAAAAATGGGAAGGGTCTAGGAGAAAAGAGGGGAATGTTTTTAAAAGAATGTGTATATACAGTGAGATTTGCTTGAAGTGAAATTAACTGAACTGTGGGTACAAAGAACAGGATTATGGTTTTAAGTGTAAAAAGATACTTGGTCTAAACATTATTAGTTCAGTCTACCAGATGTAGTGTGAACCTGGAACAGATATGGGTCTGAAAAATATAGAAGCAAAATTTTAGAGGTAAGAGGTCTTATGGAGTTTATTAATCAGACCTCCATTTTGCAAATTAGAAAGGAACTAAGAAGTTAAGTAACTTGCCCATGCTTGTACATCTGTTTTGGGACTAGAACCCCTCTGTCCTAATTCTCATTGCCGTTTTTCTAAAACTGTTTTGGGACAGTGGTGGTCAGCGATATCTAGTTGTTGGCTATTTATATGTTAAGAATATTTGCAAATTGGCCGGGTGCAATGGCGCATGTTTGTAATTCCAGCACTCTGGGAGGCCGAGTTGGGAGGATCACTTGAGGTTAGGAGTTCGAGACCAGCCTGGCCAACATGGTGACACCCTGTCTCTACTAAAAATACAAAAATTAGCCAGGGTGGCACATGTTTGTAACTCCAGCGACCTGGGAGGCTGAGGTGGGAAGATCTCTTGAACCCAGGAGGTTGCAGTGAGCCAAGGTGGTGCCACTGCACTCCAGCCTGGGCGACAGAGTAAGACTCCATCTCAAAAAAAGAATATTTGCAAATGGAGCATTGCAAATGGGGCATCTGCCTCGGTATTTTCATCTTCAAAACAGCCCAGTAGCGGGAGCTAATATTGATTCTAGTGCCCTTTGGATGCTAGGCATCAGAGTTAATAAGCATGTTAAAAGTCACCGGGATGTAAATTGACAGTCATTTATTTTGTATTGTAAATAAAAGTGATTTCATCTTCCACCATCTTCTTATTTATATGCTTGACTGTCTTGCACCAGTTAATTTGTAGTAGCTAAAATGTTCTGTGGTTTTCTGCAGTCAACTGAAAATAATTTCTCTCAAATTGAAAGGATTACTTATCTTGTCATACTATTGAACACAAAATTAAGTGAGCCTTTAAAGAAAGCTACTGTGTGAACCTCATCAACCATCTCATGATTATCTTTAATAGAGTCCAGAGGAAGTATTTATGGCAATCCGGAATCCTCTGGAGTGGCACTGCAAGCAAATGGATCATTTTGTTGGACTCAATTTCAACTCTAACTTTAACTTTGCATTGGTTGGACACCTTTTAAAAGGTAAAAAAGCCTTATTTAGAATATTTTTATGA
The DNA here is from genome assembly GCF_000001405.40 of Homo sapiens. Classification (NCBI taxonomy): domain Eukaryota; kingdom Metazoa; phylum Chordata; class Mammalia; order Primates; family Hominidae; genus Homo; species Homo sapiens. The sequence continues at coordinate 31,343,168 of NC_000017.11, forward strand.
AGTACTATTAAGAAACCAGAAGTAATTTGAATAAGTGATTACTTGAAATAAATTGAAGTAAGTTAGCCCTTATGTCTTACTTTAAATGCAAACTAGGCCAGGCGTGGTGGCTCACGTCTGTAATACCAACATTTTGGGAGGCTGAGGCAGGAGGATCACTTGAGGCTAGGAGTTTGAGGCCAGCCTGGGCAACATAGTGAGACTTCATCTCTACAGAAAATTTAAAAATTAGCCAGGCATGGTGGCACGTGCTTGTAGTCCCAGCTACTTAGGAGGCATAGATGGAAGGATTGCTTGAGCCTGGGAAGTCGAGGCTACAGTGAGCCGTGATCACACCACTGCACTCAGCCCTAGGTAACAGAGTGAGACTTTGTCTCAAAAAATAAATAAATAAATGCAAACTATATCTGTCTTAATGAGTTGTGTTTTATTCAATATGTGTTTTAAGAGAGCTTCATTTCCAATTCAAATATCAAATTTGCCTGAAAAACAAAAGAGTTTATTCTGGCTGGGTATGGTGGCTCACACCTGTAGTCCCAGCACTCTGGGAGGCCAAAGCAGAAGGATCTCTTGAGCTTAGGAGTTCGAGACCAGCCTGGGCAATATGGTGAAACCCCCTTTCTACAAAAAATAAAAACATTAGCCAGGTGCGGTGGCACATGCCTATAGTGCCAGCTACTTGGGATGCTGAGGAAGGAGAATCACTTGAGCCCAGGAGGTCAAGGCTGCAGTGGGCCATGATCGTGCCACTGCACTCCAGCCTGGGTGACAGAGTGAGACCCTGCCTTTAAAAAAAAAAAAAAAAAAGTGTTGATTCTTACAAAAACCTACATACTGAGTCTGATAATAGCTATATTAATAGTAACAATACCTAAGTATCTTACTGATTTTCAAAATGAAACAGACTGCAAATCACTAAGTGTTATTTGAATAATTTATATTAGAAAATGTTAAGAGATTTGATCACAGATTTTCTTCAACTTGTTTATAGTTTATTGTTGATTAATACTATTATTTTATACCATTGTACATCACCTTTCTGGCACCCTATTCTCACCCCTTTCTATATTGCTTATAGCCAGTGATCTCCAGCTATTCCTCAGAGCCCGCTCATTCACTTCCTAACCTGGTTTTACTCCCCGTTGCTGACTTCACAGCTTGTTAACTTTGGTTCATTAACATGGGGCAGTCATGGCCAGAGACTGCAGTTAATAAGAACAGCATGTAGTGGTGGGTCAGAAGCAAAGCAGGATAAAGTAAGACCTGGGATAAGGAGCTGGCATGAACCCCAGTGGTCTCAGAAGTGGATTTGGCCACAATAGAGATTCAAGCTATAGCTTGAGTCAACAATTTTGTATTAATTTAAATCATAGGCTTGAGGGACCATGGAGATTCTCCCAGTTTTTATGAGAGAGAGAGAGATATGCATACACCCACTATTGTGAATGTATGCATTTGATTTCACTTTCTTATGAAATTTCTACAAAAAATATTGACAGTGTTAATCTCTAAGGTCAATGGGGATTTCTCAAAAAATACTACCTTACTAAAGGATACCAAGATAAGTAATTGTAACTGGGCTAATAAAGTGCTTAATTATTCTTTATATCTAAAAGAATACCAGGCTGGGTGCAGCGGCTCATGCCTGTAATCCCAACACTTTGGGAGGCTGAGGCAGGTGGATTGCTTGAGGCCAAGAGTTCAAGACCAGCCTGGCCAACATGGTGAAACCCCTGCTTGAAGGCAGGAGTTCAAGACCAGCCTGGCCAACACGGTGAAACCCCATCTCTACTAAAAATACAAAAATTAGGCAGGTGAGGTGGTGCAAACCTGTAGTTTCAGCCACTCAGGAGGCTGAGGCACAAGAATCGCTTGAACCTGGGAGGCAGAGGTTGCAGTGAGCCAAGATCCTACCACTGCACTCCAGCCTTTGTGACAGAGTGACACTCTGTCTTAAAAGACAAGAAAAGAAAAGAAGACCAGATACTTTCCATGTTCAAATCACCTATTTTTAAATGGGGGAAGGATTAATGATTAAAAGCTGGCCAAAGATCAAATTTATCCTCTAATCAACCCTATTTATTGGGCTCTTAGAGCATATACTTCCTATGTCATCAGCTTTTCTTTTAATTAAAAATGTTTTTGTATTCCGCCTGCGACTCGGTCCCGGCGCTGGGCTGAGGGGAGGGGTTGTCTTAAAAGTCTCTCCTTCCCCCTGTAGGGGCGGCCGGCGAGTCCCAGTGAGAGCGGAGGGTGCCAGAGGTAGGGGGCCGAGAAACAAAGTTCCCGGGGCTCCCTCCGGGGCCGCGGTCGGGGCTGCGCGTTTGACCGCCCCCCTCCTCGCGAAGGCAATGGCTTCCAAACTCCTGCGCGCGGTCATCCTCGGGCCGCCCGGCTCGGGCAAGGGCACCGTGTGCCAGAGGATCGCCCAGAACTTTGGTCTCCAGCATCTCTCCAGCGGCCACTTCTTGCGGGAGAACATCAAGGCCAGCACCGAAGTTGGTGAGATGGCAAAGCAGTATATAGAGAAAAGTCTTTTGGTTCCAGACCATGTGATCACACGCCTAATGATGTCCGAGTTGGAGAATAGGCGTGGCCAGCACTGGCTCCTTGATGGTTTTCCTAGGACATTAGGACAAGCCGAAGCCCTGGACAAAATCTGTGAAGTGGATCTAGTGATCAGTTTGAATATTCCATTTGAAACACTTAAAGATCGTCTCAGCCGCCGTTGGATTCACCCTCCTAGCGGAAGGGTATATAACCTGGACTTCAATCCACCTCATGTACATGGTATTGATGACGTCACTGGTGAACCATTAGTCCAGCAGGAGGATGATAAACCCGAAGCAGTTGCTGCCAGGCTAAGACAGTACAAAGACGTGGCAAAGCCAGTCATTGAATTATACAAGAGCCGAGGAGTGCTCCACCAATTTTCCGGAACGGAGACGAACAAAATCTGGCCCTACGTTTACACACTTTTCTCAAACAAGATCACACCTATTCAGTCCAAAGAAGCATATTGACCCTGCCCAATGGAAGAACCAGGAAGATGTGGTCATTCATTCAGTAGTGTGTGTAGTATTGGTGCTGTGTCCAAATTAGAAGCTAGCTGAGGTAGCTTGCAGCATCTTTTCTAGTTGAAATGGTGAACTGATAGGAAAACAAATGAGTAGAAAGAGTTCATGAAGAGGCCCTCCTCTGCCTTTCAAAAGGGTGGTCACCTACACATGTTTAAGGTGTCTCTGCACATGTCTCAAGCCCATCACAAGAAAGCAAGTACAGTGTGGATTTCAAATGGTGTGTAACTTCAGCTCCAGCTGGTTTTTGACAGCTGTTGCTGTGGTAATATTTTTTACATGTGATGGTGATAGTCTCTGGTTCTCCCCATCCCCACAAAGGCTGTTGAACCACAGCACCAGGAAGCCTGAGAATGAATCCTGAGGGCTCTAGCCCAGGCTTTGTCCCAGGCTTTCTGGTGTGTGCCCTCCTGGTAACAGTGAAATTGAAGCTACTTACTCATAGTGGTTGTTTCTCTAGTCTTGAGTGACTGTGTCCACAGTTCATTTTTTTCCGGTAGGAATAACTCCTTTTCTACATCCACACTCCATAGAGTCTCTCCTTTTCAGACATCCTGGGATGAAAGAATTTGGCTTTTTTTTTTTTTTTTTTTTTTACATCTGTTTTCACTCTTAGGCTTTTAAACAATAGTTATTGCTCTTATCCCTCTCAGATTCTAATAACTGAGAGCGATGGGGCTATATTGAATCTCTGTATGCACTGATAACTGAGCTATGAAGAGGATCTTATTAAACTGCTGGTCTGACTCTATGGATTGACACTGTTCCTTTCTTTTATTGTGAAAAAAAAAACCCCTGAAAGTCTTGGGAACCCCCTAAAGTCTTTTGGGAATCCTCAAAAAGCATGGGAAGTTAAGTATTTAGCTACATAAATGTTGTAAGATCATATCTTATGTATAGAAGTAATAAGACCATTTGGAATTACTGGACTAATTGAATAGTTAAGGTTTCTATTCGGGACAATAAAATGTATTTTGAAAGTGCTGCTAACTATTGATGCTGACAGTGTTTCACTCCTATGAGTGACCCAAACATATTATAAATATGTGGTAAAGGGAATGGAGCCTGTGGGGTTGAGCAGAATGTTGTACTAGCTGTGCCTGGACTGAGTATAACAGCTTTATGATTATGAGAAAACAAATTCTTTATTTTTTTTTCTGTTCCAAAGATTCATCCTATGGGGTGGCCATAAAGTCTAGAATTAGATACTAATATTTTGTCATTCATTATAACATATCGATAAACCATTTGTTAAAAGATTTGCCTGGTTTCCAGACTTGGTGGCCACCTTGAATAATTCTTGCTGTCTTCTGGGAAGGATGATGAAATTTATTCCTGCTGCCTTAAAAATATGTATCCCTTCTTCACCCATCATGACTGTCCCCAGTGAGTGTCCTTTACTATTCTTGGGAGTGACTCCTGTCTAACTTTTCATACTGGCGAGAAGAAAAGAAGCCTATTTTAACACTTTAGTGGTGTTGAAACACATTACTTACTTTCTGAAGATGTCCCAGTGAATCCTCTGTCAATTCACTGCCATATGTAATCTATATGATAAGGAATGCATCTTCCTTCTAAGTACTGCCCAAACTCTTGCCAGCTCCTCTCCCATTGTCCCTTCATGTGAATATTTCTTGGCTACCTTAGTGGAAATATAGATCAGTCTTCTCCCCATCCATCCTCTCAAACATAATGAGATTGTTTACTTTTTAGATTTATGCAGTGAAAATGCCCAGTCAGGTCTGAATCGTCAGTGCATTATATTGACTCTGAGCACTTTAGAATTTAGAGTTGCAATTGAATGCCAGCTGTGGAGATGGGGTGCATATCAGATATATAAATAAAGCTCAGGTTTGCTAGGGAACCAGGTATAGAGAAAAATAAGTCTGATATGAGGAAGGAAAATTGCACAATTTAGAGTAGTTATGCCATAGAGAAAATTTCCACAAACTAGGAAATGTAGAGAGTTATTCTATAGAATACTCAAAAGAGGAAAGTATGTGATTTTTGGAAACAGGAAAATCTTCAAACTTCTTTCTTCACTTCCCTTTGTGTTTAGCTGACCCTCCAATGTGATCATTGCCTTTGGAGTTTGGGAGAGGTACGGGAAGTGGCCTGATCCCTGCTTCCATACTTCACTCCTCCATCCATCCTTCCCTCCCTCTTCCCCTCCAGCTAAATGGACAATTCTAGCCAACATTGAGTCACTCAATAAGTCTCAACAGTGGGTGTGTTTGCTGAGATTGTCCAGCAGTTGAGCAGTTTGGTCTCACCTCCCTCGCTAGTTGAGACCAAAAAGAGACAAATAACTTTTTCATGGTCTTTGAAACATAATGCTTATTTCGTGGTCAATGGCTTTAAAAAAATCTGTTTCTTGTTTTCTTCAACAAACTCACTAGTTTTCCCTTAACTGATATTGTAAAAATTAAAGTAATCTTGAAAATGTTTTGACAAAAGTAAAATTAAAGGGACATCTTTTCTTAAAAAAAAAAATGTTTTTGTAAAAGAACCCTATTTTCAAATGAAATCTTAAGGAGAATTATAATACATAGATTTTTTTTTTTAATCTCTGTGCTGCTTTAGGGAATAGAAGATCTGAAAGACTATCATGTTTTTTAATTTTCCTCTTCCTGGAGTACTGTAGAGTTCTAGGGAATATTATATTCTACACATTTTTGGTACTTAATCTTATACATAATTAATTATTCTCATTCACATATGCATGTTTTACCTTCCCAAATGGCTATTCTTGGAAAGTAGGAGTTATATTTCCTTTCCTTGCAGAGTTGTTAGTCAGGGAAGAAGACCTCAGCAGATGCTTGTTCAAAAAATTAATTCTTACTTGTTTGTTTGTTTGTTTGTTTGTTTTTTGTAGGGTACAGGCATCCTTCACCTGCTATTGTTGCAAGAACAGTCAGAATTTTACATACACTACTAACTCTGGTTAACAAACACAGAAATTGTGACAAATTTGAAGTGAATACACAGAGCGTGGCCTACTTAGCAGGTAAAAACACAAAATAAACAAAATTAATCTTGCTACATCTATATATAAGGATCACCCAAAAAGTACAAATACCTATAGGTTTTTTGGCGGTTGCGTGGCAGAGCAGAAAGTTCACAGTCTAGTCCTTTAGTGGTGGTTACAATTTTGAGAGTTTTGCCAGAACATTTTTCTGTAGGAAAAAATTTAATTCCCATTAAAATCTGAAATGTGTTCCCTTGGTCATCTTTGGTTCAAGACACTACAGTGGCTCTCTGTTATCTGTCATAAAATCTGAATGCTTCAGTCTAGCACCCTGGGTCCTTAAATAGCCCTCTCAGTTCTGTTATCTTTCTCTAAATTTCATGAGCCTCATTTTTTATTACCACTCCAAATGGATGAGCTATTTTAAGCTAATCTACTTGCCATCTCCTACAAGCAACTGCCTCTTCAATATTCATTCCTTATGTCATTTTATCTGGAGTATCTGCCCTATCCCCACCATTCCATTAAAGCTTCCTATTTGCTCTTATCTGATTTTTGTTTCTCTACTCAGCAACACTTAGCACTTATGTACAATACAATTCTTGAACATAGTTGTTTGATAGAAAGTGCTGATTCTCAGTTTCACAGACTTGTATTTGTTCAACTTTTTTGTTTGAACCGTATCATCTTGAGCAAATCATTTAACATCTCAGTATTTTTTCTCATTCAGCTTAATAATACCTGCCCTGCCTACTTTGTGTTTGTTAAAGATCAAATGTATATTAAAGAACTTGGAAAATAAAAGATGCTTATTAAATCTCTCTGTATATTTCACATTTATGTAGTCTTCCAAAATATGTGCACATTTAACAGGTACTATGCTCTTTAGGAGACTGTAAGAAGTTCATCCTGTTTTAAGTCACACTTGTGATTTGTTAAATTTTTTAACCTGCCACCGTTTTCCTTTTAGCTTTACTTACAGTGTCTGAAGAAGTTCGAAGTCGCTGCAGCCTAAAACATAGAAAGTCACTTCTTCTTACTGATATTTCAATGGAAAATGTTCCTATGGATACATATCCCATTCATCATGGTGACCCTTCCTATAGGTAAGTGGATTTACTCTCCTATAATTACATAATCATAATCAAGTTTCAATTTTCCAACTAATGGAGGCAAGCAGCAGAGTAATCTAGAAGGTAACATGGGAGAAATCTAGAGATGGCCTAGGAAGAGTAAGTGAAACTCATTTTATAAATGTGTGGTATTTTATGTGGGTTAGTAGGAAAGTTATTCTTCCAGTCTGATTGTGCTAATGTTAACATTAGTTTGCCTCTGAAGCACAGACCAAATGAACAATGAAAAGAGATGCTCTTGAAAATATTAGGTTGCAGGGGAAGGGCCTGGGGAAAAAAACTAACGCGAAATATAAACAACACATTACGTGCTTGGATAGAGAACGAATCTATACAGATTTGTAAAAATACAGGCATGCTAACACATTTGTTGTATTTACTCATATCACACAAGTTATTTAAAAGTTTTCTATAATGTAGACATAGATGGTAAAAATTATATCTGCTATACATGGGTTTGGGTAGTATATTTTTCAGTATAATTTAGAGAAATTTCATGAAAATGGCATCATTGGGGGATTTTTCTGTATTTTCAATTAAATAAAAATATCTTTAAGGTTTAGGGACAGTGTTGAACACAGAAAAGTTATCTTCTGTTCGCAAAACTCGTATCATTCCATTTATCAACATCCTGCTTTTTGATAAAAAGACTTCAACAATTTCCTTAAGATTCTAACAATGTACGCAAAAATTTTTCAAACATGGTATTCAATAGTCTTACTTTCGTCAGTCCCATTATTATATTACTTTGAGATATGCCCTTTTTGTTATAGAAAGGGTAAAATAGTTTGCCTGTGTTCCCCTGTCAAAGTATAAATTAATATCTGATTTTCTTGGTTTTTAAACAATTGCCTATTTAGACTTAATTTTTTCTGATTTAAAAAAAATCAGTGCAATAAGTTCAAGGTCTTTTATCAACATAACTACAGTTAATGTATTTTATACTTGAAAATAGCTACGAGTAGATTTTAAGTATTCTCACCACAAAAGATAAATATATGAGGTAACACATATGTTAATTTGCTTGATTTAGCCATTCTACAATGTAAACATTTTATTTATTTTTATTTTTCTTTATTAATTTTTTTTGAGACAGAGTCTTGCTCTGTCGCCCAGGCTGGAGTGCAGTAACACAATCTCGGCTCACTACAACCTCCGCCTCCTGGGTTCAAGCGATTCTCCTGCCTCATCCTCCCGAGTAGCTGGGATTACAGGCGCGTGCCACCATGCCCAGCTAATTTTTGTATTTTTGTAGAGATGGGGTTTCACCATGTTGGGCAAGCTGGTCTTGAACTCCTGACCTCAGGTGATCCGCCTGCCTCGGCCTCCCAAAGTGTTGGGATTACAGGCGTGAGCCACAGCGCCCAGCCAATGTAAACATATTTTAAAACATCATGTTGTACACCAAGCTTGCTCAACCCATGGCCTGCAGGCCGCACGCAGCCCAGGATGGCTTTGAATGCAGCCCAACACAAATTTGTAAACTTTCTTAAAACATTAAGTGATTTTTTGGGGTTTTTTTTTTTTTTTAAGCTCATCAACTGTAGTTAGTGTTAGTGTATTTTATATGTGGCCCAGTATATTCTTCTAATTCCAGTGTGGCCCAGGAAAGCTAAGAGATTGGACACCCCTGTTGCTATACCTTTTTATTTGTCAGCTTTTAAAAATTGCAGTACAGATCTTTTTGTTCAGCATTTGGTGAGTACCTACTATGTGCAAGATACTATGGCAAGAAAGTTGATAATTCCTAGGGATACACCAAGAGTTTGTATCCTAAAGCCCTTTAAAGTGCAATTTTAAAATTAATTGATTGCTGTTGTTAGGAAATAGGACAGCCACTTGGAAGGAGCAAACGATGGTTGTATTTGTCACCATATTAATTGATTTTTCTCTATTGTTTTCATCTTTCAGGACACTAAAGGAGACTCAGCCATGGTCCTCTCCCAAAGGTTCTGAAGGATACCTTGCAGCCACCTATCCAACTGTCGGCCAGACCAGTCCCCGAGCCAGGAAATCCATGAGCCTGGACATGGGGCAACCTTCTCAGGCCAACACTAAGAAGTTGCTTGGTTAGTTTATCTAAATTATGTAGATTTTTTTTATTATTTAAAAAAATAGATATTTTTACTCTTGGAAAATTATTTGAAATTTCAGGATTATCAAAATTTTCCATGTCAGTGTAGCAAAGTTTTTGATGCCATTTAAAAGAGAGTTTGATAGATCAGTTAAGCATTATAAGTTGAGATAGAGAAATGAGAATGGGACCTTGAAACAGTTTTTTCTGAATCTTATACTAAATATTGTGACTCTCCTTATTTTGTTTTGCCTTTGCTGGCCAGCAGGGAATGGGACTCTGAGACATATTAGATAAATACCTATAAGAAAGGAAGAGTCTTGCTGCACTCAGGGGATTTAATGATATACTGTAATACTTCCCAAAATTATCATCTGAGAGAATATATGAATATGGTATGAAGCTGTAATAGTACTATTTGCCGTGCTTTCTTTGAAAAGACAAAAAGACATGCTTCTCAATTACCGAAAGAAAATAGGATTCTTTTTTTTCTTTTTTCTTTTCTTGATATGAAGTCTTGTTCTGTTCACCCAGGCTGGAGTGCAGTGGCGCAATCTCAGCTCACTGCAACCTCTGCCTCCCGGGCTCAAGCAATTCTCCTGCCTCATCCTCCCTAGTAGCTGGGTTTACAGGCACACGTCACCACATCTGGCTAACTTTTGTATTTTTAGTAGAGACAGAGTTTCACCATGTTGGCCAGGCTAGTCTTGAACTCCTGACCTCAGGTGATACACCCTCCTCGGCCTCCCAAAGTGCTGAGATTACAGGCATGAGCCACCATGCCCGGCCGGAAGATAGGATTCTTGAAATTAAGATTGCTCAGTTACATCAACATTTATAGAATTTTTGTCTCTGAGAAGTACACCTGAAATGCTGCGAGACTCATTTCCATTTTAGTAACTGAAAGTAAATGAATGAAAAAACCCACTAGGCCAGGTGCAGTGGCTCACGCCCATAATCCCAGCACTTTGAGGGACTCAGGTGGGAGGATTGCTCGAGTCCAGGAGTTCAAGACCAGCCTGGGCAACATGACAAAACCCATCTCTACAAAAAATACAAAACTTAGCTGGGCATGGTGACGAGCACCTCTAGTCCCAGCTACTTGGGAAGATCACTTGAGCCCAGGAGGTGGGGGTAGCAGTAAGCCAAGATTGCACCACTGCACTCCAGCCTGGGTGACAGAGTGGGACCCCGACTCCAAACAAACAAACAAACAAAAACACTGATCTTACATCGCTCCTCAGAGGAAATGCAGAGATGTTCTTGCATTCCATTGGGTAAAATTGTAATTGTTACTGGAATACATTAGGATCTGTATTTCAGTAGCCAGCACTGAATGGTTCAACAGATTTCAGTTATCCATGCAAACATATTTAAGTATCTTTAGGTATTGGAAAAATGTTTGTGTTCATAAGGAAATTAGTGAACAAACAACAAATTGTAACATAAATAACGTGCCAGTAAACCGTGAAAGAAATAGAAACCATGAATGTGTCAATCACAGTTACTAGCCACATAGGTGTGTTACTGTTGTTTGAGTTCCCTTCTGTTAGTACCTTGCCATAAATAATCATTTAGGAGTTTCCTGGTTACTTTGTGTTTTGTAATTCTGGATTTTCATGCCAATGAAGTTGTAAATGAAAAACTAACCTCAGAAAAAAATATATTGAATTCATTCAACCCATGTACTAAGTGAAAAAGATAAGGTAACTGCCCTGGAAGACTTTGTAATTTGTGTCCAAGACTTATAATCAGCCAATCACAACAGCAACTCCAGGTGCCATTAAAATGATATGTCTTGATGGAGAAAGCTGGAGATCTGGGGAAATTAGAAGAAAAAAAACTGCAGAGAGGAGATAACATTTGGGCTGTGTCATAAAGATTTAATATATGCTTGCAAAATAGCAGGATAAGTAGGGGCATATGTTTAAGAGCAGTGGGGAATAGCAAGAATAAAGAAAAGGCAGGAAAGCAACTGATGATACATCATGGCATCATGGGGAATGGGGTAGGAAATGAGATGAGAAGAAGGACTAGAACTCGATTGGAAACGACTGTATGCCATGGTAAGATATTTACCCTTATCACACATTCAGCTGAGGTATTTAAGTAGGAGAAGAACATGACCAAATTTTAATTTTTGCCAAGTTTTTCTAGCAGCAATGTGGAGAGACAGGAAGAGATTTTTAGCAAGGGAACCATTTAATAAAATTGATATAGCAGTCCAAGCAAAAAAAATGGTGTGGGCCCCGCACTAATGCAGGAGCAATGGGAGAATGGAGAAGAACCAGCAGGTTTGGAGCTGGGCATAATGGTACACACCTCTAGTCCCAGGAACTCAGGAGGCCAAGGCAGGAGGATTGTTTGAGGCTGACCTGGGCAGCATAGTCAGACCCTGTCTCAAAAAAAACAAAAATCAGGTTTGGAATAGGTTTCTGAAGTACAATGGACATGACTTAGTGACCAATTGTTGCAGGTGGGGAAGGGGAGAAGACTGTGAAGGATGTCAGAAGCTTTTAGTTTTAAAAACTGTCTAGATAGTGATACCATTCATAGAGATCAGGACTAATACGTTCACAGTACATGATAAATTTAGGTTGATTACATTTGATATATTTTCAAGACATCTATGAGTATATATCTAAGAGATAAACCACAAGATGTACCTGGAATTCGGGAAGAAAGTAAACAAGTAAACATTTAGAATTGATTAGCTCACAGATAGTTGAAGCTATGGAAGCAGAATGAGATCTTCCAGGAAGAATGCAGAGAATAAAATAAAAAGGACAAGTGAGAAAGGAAGGAAAACTAAATGTAGAAAGTAGTGTCCCAATCTCATGTACTTTGGAAAGCACTGACTGGTTTTAGAAAACCTGAGTTTTCCATCTGGTCATTGTCTAGATCCCTAGCCATGCTACCTCAGACTAATTACTTAACTGCTCATGGCTTCATCAGTGTACATGTGCATGAAACGAAGAAGCCGGACTAGATCCCTTTGGACTGTTAAATTATTTGGCCTTGGTATTTATGACTATTATGAATAGTTATTCATATTCTTGAGGTAATAGACTTTGTATTTCTCAAGTGTTAAATTGTCAGATTTTATTATATTGGCTTTAATTCTGGCTTTAATAAAATAATACTGTTGGCCGGGCATGGTGGCTCATGCCTGTAATCCCAGCACTCTGGGGAGACCAAGGCAGGTGGATTGCTTGAGCCCAGGAGTTCGAGACCAGCCTGGGCAACATGGAGAAACCCTGTCTCTACTAAAAATAGAAAAATCAGCTGGGTGTGGTAGTGTGTGCCTGTAGTCCCAGCTACTGGGGAGGCTGATGTGGGAGGATCACCTGAGCCCAGGATGTGGAGGTTGCAGTGAGCTGAAATCATATCACTGCACTCCAGCCTGGGCCACAGAGCGAGACCCTATCAAAAGAAAAAAATAGTGTTAATACATGATTACATGATTAGAGAAACTAAAAGCCAAATGGGAGATAATGCTACTTGCTATTTTTGAAGCATCTCCCAGTGTATCTGGTTTTTAGTATTTTCAGGCATGCATATCTTTTTTTCAAAGCTTAAAAAATTAAAATCAAACTCTGCTTTCTTCCTAAGCTTGGAAATTACTCATGTATTAATGAGTAGTTCTTGGCACCAGCAGCGTTTCTTAAACTGAAAAGACTGGTCAGACATAGTTGACCTTTGCTACTGAATAATGCCTACCATTGCATTTATTATCAGTTATCATATTTGTTGATTTACCTCCAGTGTAGTTTGGTTTACCTCCAGTGTACAGAATACAATCTCAGTTTAATTTGCACCAGTAAGGTGCAACCTATCCTGAAACAGAAAGCTATGGGAACAAAACCCTTTGAGAAGATGGAAAATAAAGGAAAGAAACTGCTCCAGGGATGTATTAGAGCTTTCTTTGAGTCCTCAGTGAAAGCTTAAACACTTTATGTCCAAACATTTTCTTTTTAGTGTATTCCCATTTATAGACACTGTAGTTAATGAACTTGCATATTCTTAACTTTTGTTTATAGGAACAAGGAAAAGTTTTGATCACTTGATATCAGACACAAAGGCTCCTAAAAGGCAAGAAATGGAATCAGGGATCACAACACCCCCCAAAATGAGGAGAGTAGCAGAAACTGATTATGAAATGGGTGAGAAACAAAGTATTGATCTAGATCATTGAAAATAAGGTGGGAGAGTACATGAAAGTCATGTTTATTTTCCAGCCATTTCTTAGAATCTTTAGAGTGAAATATAGAAACGTTTGCCATTTCTCAAAAGATAAACTCTACCATTCAAGACAGTTATCTTGAAGCTTGTGTAAAAATTAATCATATATATTATATACAGCATTGTAAATAGGTAGCCAAAACTTTTGTGTAGGCGAATAGTAATTCTCTATGATGTTTATGTTAGTATTTTAAGTATCTACTAAAGAAAGCTGTTGAATTTTAGAAGTAACATTGAAATAGTTAGGTGAAGTGATTATCCAGGTGTTTGATCACGTTAATTCCCTATCTTGCTGCAGAAACTCAGAGGATTTCCTCATCACAACAGCACCCACATTTACGTAAAGTTTCAGTGTCTGAATCAAATGTTCTCTTGGATGAAGAAGTACTTACTGATCCGAAGATCCAGGCGCTGCTTCTTACTGTTCTAGTAAGGATTTCCCCTTTTTGAGTCCCCCACCCTCAAATTTTTATTCCAGTCTACTTTTAGGAGGCCCTTAAATATTAAAAACATGAATAGGATACAGTCTTCTACTTCTCACCCAAACAGATAACAATTCAGCCACAAAGTAAAAATGTTGTGTGTTTACTTTTTTGCATCTTGGCAGGCTACACTGGTAAAATATACCACAGATGAGTTTGATCAACGAATTCTTTATGAATACTTAGCAGAGGCCAGTGTTGTGTTTCCCAAAGTCTTTCCTGTTGTGTAAGTATCTCCTTTTGATTTTAATTCACCTTCGTGCCTGTCTTTAAGTTAAATGCTTACCCAGTAATGTGCACTGGTTGCAAAGAGGGCAAAATGAGATATTGTGATAGTGATTTTAGCTTTGAGACAGTAGGTTTAATGAGGGTTAAGATTAGTTTTGACCTACTAGATCTATTAGAAAGTTTATAAGGAAAGACTTTTAAAAAATCTGGTTGATTTATTTAAGTGGTTTATTTTGATGATCATTGCTCATTTTCCTCACTTAGAAGCAAACTATTAGACTGCTATATCTAAATCAGCATATCTGTTTTGGTTTACTTTTTAGTAGAGCTTTTGTATTTATCCACAGCTGAGTGAAAACAAAATTGACCTTCTGTTTAGGAGGTGAATTGTTTACTCTCTCTTAAGGACTAAAAAATATTAACCTCAAAGTGTTCAAATTTAAATAGTTCAAATAAATTCTTTTCCTGATCTAGGCCTTCTATATCATGTCATTATTTTCTTTTTTTAATCTCATGTTAGAATTTTAGAGAGTTAGAACTCAGTTATTTTTATTAATGGAGTGTAGCCGGGTTAGAAATAATTTTTTTCCTAAGTTTCAGTTGGATCATGTATTTCACTCCCTCTAAACTATTTTGCTTTCCCTATTTGATCTGACTCAGCATTTTAAAAGCACTGATTAACATTAAATTTAATTTTTTTCTTTTTGTTTTGCACAGATCCTAAATTTAGTTTTAACTTCCTAAGCGCATGTCAGTATACAACAGATGGAAATAGTACTAAAACATGCTAAGTAGCAGACAGAGCCAACCTTGTCTTAAGCAAACATTTACCGTATATGGTTACACATGGTTATATGACACTACCAGTTGTTTGTTTTCACAATTTCTTCCCTGGTGACTAAAAACAAAAGACAAACAAAAACAGACACACACACATGTTCATTGTAGAAAATTTGGAAAATGAAGAAATGCCCCAGAAAGTAAAAAGCACTCATCTCCCTTTAATTTTGGCACATTATTCTGGGGAATGTATATTATGTTTTCCACTACATATTTTCATTTAATTTTCCTCTAAAATGTTCCTCTGTTGACTTTTTTTTTCTTTTAGGCATAATTTGTTGGACTCTAAGATCAACACCCTGTTATCATTGTGCCAAGATCCAAATTTGTTAAATCCAATCCATGGAATTGTGCAGAGTGTGGTGTACCATGAAGAATCCCCACCACAATACCAAACATCTTACCTGCAAAGTAAATAAATGTATCTGGAGAAGGATGGTTGATGAACTTGCTAACATGCGCGCTGTTGTAGAATGCACTGACTACAGAATTCTTTATAAGGGATAGACTTGTTCATACTTTTATTTCCATATTCCATTTTTTTACTCTCTCAACTGTATGTCCAATGTAACTGGTTGACAACTTTTTATGCTGAGTATATTTTAAGTAGGTTTTAGTTGCTTTGACACTCATTCTAAAAACATGTTTTCAACATGTACATAGGGTTTATATATCATCAGCTATATGACTTATTTAATTTCTGTTACAATTAAAAGATACCTTGCTTGTTATAAGAGTAAAATTTGATTTGTTGCAGGTTTTGGTTTTAATGGCTTGTGGCGGTTTGCAGGACCGTTTTCAAAGGTAAGAAAATATATTTTTCTCTAACTTTTGGCAAAATGAAGGTTTCTGTTCAAATTAGTATGCCTGCTTTAAGAACACACAATGTGCTGAAAACCAGAAAAATAATTCACAATAAACACATATGTTACTTTTATAAAAAGTTTCTCATCACAAGGTTTTTTTCCAGGAGGCAGCATGGTGTTGGGGTGTGTGTATTCACTTTTACAAACAAAGTCAACTTATGATCAATTTTTCAGAAGAGTATGATAAACCTCTGTGATACTTTTCTGCCACAGTCCCTTGTGTATTTGATAATCTTAATGCACACAGTTAGATATCTTATGACTAGCAAGGAGCATTACCATGGTTAAAATCTATTTCATGAAAACATTTTTATTTCCAGCCTATTAGATTAGATTAATTTCTCTCTGGATTTGTCCTCATTTGCTCTTATTCAGTTTTTTTGTTTGTTTGTTTGTTTTGTGAGACGGAGTCTCACTCTGTCTCCAGGCTGGAGTGCAGTGGCGCAATCTTGGCTCACTGCAACCTCTGCCTCCCAGGTTCAAGCGATTCTCCTGCCTCAGTCTCCCGAGTAGCTGAGACTACAGGCATGCAGCACCACGCCCAGCTAATTTTTGTATTTTTAGTAGAAACAGGGTTTCACCATGTTGGCCAGGATGGTCTTGATCTCTTGACCTCGTGATCTGCCCACCTCGGCCTCCCAAAGTGCTGGGATTACAGGCATGAGCCACCGCACCTGGCCTCAGTTTGTTTTTTGATTGGCATTAGTTTATGTAGTGCTACATAAGATGTATATGATCATTTTCTCTGTATGTGGGCTCTCTCCAAATTGATCAAAGTTCCTTGAAGACAGGGTTTCTGTTTCTTCCTTAAACAGTTCCTGGTGCAGTGTTTTAGATACAGGGGGTGCTAAATCAATATGAATTGTATAAACCTTGTTCCAGTTTTTAAGAATTGGGTATTTTATTTATTTCCTTTCACTATTACTTGAATATCTGTCAACATGCAAAGGTTGTCACTTAAAAAATGGGCCTGAAGTTACAGAAATAAGTATATCATACAGAAGTTTTTGCATTTGGATTGCCAGTAACCCTCTGAGCCCTTTACAGTGTCTAGTGAGTGGAATCTAAATGGCAGCTGGAATGATGATGCTCTGCTCATTTTCTCTGTTTTGGAAAATTGGCTAGACATCATTCCTGGTGATTGTATTGTCTCAGTATTACATTCAGTCTGTCTTGTGCATGGCTTTCAGAAAATGCAGGTTCATCTGGAAGCTTTAAGCTGAATAGAACTCCCTGTTGTAAGTCCTATGGTAGTCTATAAATATTACTCCACTCCCCTTTTTTAATGATAAGTAATACAAAGGAAGAAAAATAGTAAATTAAGTCCAAACAAAATTAATATTTTTGGCTTCAGATGGGGATTTACTTAAAAAAAAGGAACTAAAATAATTTCCTATTTTCCATTACAGCAAACACAAATTCCAGACTATGCTGAGCTTATTGTTAAGTTTCTTGATGCCTTGATTGACACGTACCTGCCTGGAATTGATGAAGAAACCAGTGAAGAATCCCTCCTGACTCCCACATCTCCTTACCCTCCTGCACTGCAGAGCCAGCTTAGTATCACTGCCAACCTTAACCTTTCTAATTCCATGACCTCACTTGCAACTTCCCAGCATTCCCCAGGTCAGTAAATGTGATCTTTATATGACTTTGAGCAACAATATAAGACACCAACATTAGGAATTCCCTTGTGATCAGTTTATAGCAAATTTTGCTCCTTTTTCTTATGAGATTCACCTTACATTTCTTCTTTACCTTGTAACTGACTTGACTTTTGTTATTCTATGAAGCTTTCTACTTTCAAACAAGTTGTACATAAGACAGTAAAATGTTAAAATGTCCACATGATATTCCAAGGTTGACAAGTTTGTAGAGTTTGGGCAGGAAGAGGAACTTAAAACACATTATTCTGTAAGTGAACAGAACTATAATTTATTTACTAGATATACTAACATTGCCCTAAGGGCCTCTTTCTCTGTCTCTGATACAGCATACTATATCAAAAAAAAAAAAAAAAAAAAAAAAAAAGAAGAAGAAGAAGAAACACAAAATCTATTAGGTACCTCACTTTCCTGCTGCCAGCAATAACTCAACCATCCATAGACCATCCTGAAAATCTGGAAGTAAATAAATAATCAAACAAAAAATTCATCTCAAGAAAATAACATCTTAAAGCCCATAAGCATATATATACCAATTCGTAATGCAACTTAGATTTGAATACACTGAGAAATACTAATAGCTAATAGCTCCAGTGGGACTGAGATAAACAAGGTGGGAGAAATGGCAAACCTACAGAACTCTGGACTTATTCAGTGTCATAGTGAATGGTTTCATACAACTCTGGTTGACCCTGGAGGTGCTATTCATTATAGAACTTAAACTATTGTGTGTGTTATTATGACAGTGAGTAATGAAGGAAAGCTTTTGTTATGGTTGTGTTTTCTATTTAGAAAGATATTCTTCTAAAATGGTTAAAAATAAAAGAAACTTTAGTTGTTTAACGTTCCATTATCTGAAAAGTTCACTTATGAAACACATCATTGTATAAGGAAAAGTTACTATATATAGTTCTTTTAAGTGTTAGCATAAATTTAAAAAAAATCCAATGACATAACTATTCTGTGATATTCAAGATCAATAAATAGAATTCCCAGTTTATGATCTCAGTTTTGCATGAACATTTCAACTTATGTAATTTTGAAGGTTCTGAAGAATTTGGCAATACCCAATTCATATTATAAACTATTATGTAATTAACTATATTCTATTAAATTCTGCTTAACAACAAAGCTTTGGTCAGCAGAGGAAACAAATTTTATTTCCACATTTGTCAGTCGCCTTACAAGTAATCCTTTTTTCCCCCAGAAGTAAGAGAAGTCTAACTTTTTTTCCCATGTAACAAGGTTTGTTTGCCCTCTGCCACTAACTCTCTAGTACAGTGTTTCTCCACGTGTGATCCCAGACCAGCAGCATCATTTGGGAGCTTGTTAGAAATGCAGATGCTGTAGTTTCACCTCAGATCTGCACAAAAAACTCCCAAGTAGAGCCCAGCCAGCAGTCAGTGTGTTAATAAATACCCCAGGCGATTCTTACACACACTAGAATTGGAGAAGCACTGCCCTGGGGTCTGCTTCTGGTCTTGCCCATTATCAGCATTTCAGCTGTGAAGGCCAGGGCAAAACTTAAAATTTACTTTTTTTACAGATACTGCAGCCACTGAATTCCTTCCTGCTTCCCCGCTGATAAACCTTTTAGCATTTTGGAGCTAGGGAACCATACAGGTAATTTAGTTTTAGGCTCACAATATTGTGTACATTGGGGAGACTGAGTTTTAGAAGAGCTGGGTTAACTGCTTTATACAGTTCTTATCTAGAACCAAGGCCAGGCCCTTTTGTACTACATTCATTGCCTTCCATGGCTGTTGTCTGTTTGATTATCTATCTACTTTCCCTTCTCCTTCTTTATTTCCTTGTTTTTGTTTGTTTATTGCTAATTCATTACTTCTGTCTGCCTTGCCTTAAGCCCACCAGTTCTTTTTTTTCTGTTGGACTATTTTCTGGGTTACTGAACAGAAGTTGAAAAGTTTTTAAAAGTCTGCTTCATCTTAACCAAGCTTTTGCCTTTTGGGCTACTAAACTGGTGTTAAACATGTCAAAAATGGTTAGTTTTTTTATTGACTTTTTTTACCCAGTCTAATTGTAGGGAAATTTCTGCCTATCTTTGCCCACTAATGGAGACAATAAAATAATCTGGATGAGAATAAAGAACCATTACAGGTTTCTCTGCTATTTGATTAGTTGCATATGTCCAGTGTTGATTGGCTATTTGCCAAATCATTTGCTTTGGTGAAACAGTCTTACTCTACAACCTTTTACTTAAAATTGTTTATTAAAATCAGAATAGGTTTTATGGCTTTGGTTCCAGTTTCAAACTAATGGTGTCACCTCCATTAGCTCTCCAAAGTTGGTGCCTTTATTCAGGCTGGAAATCTCTGACTATACACAGAAGAGATGAGGAGGTTTAAAAGTAATAGAGTTAAGTGGTATTGTGGTGTTCAACTCTTCCTGTCACTCAATTGTGTGTCATTGGTTTGACAGTTTATTTTACTACATGTTTTCAGAGAAAGGGTTTATCTTTTCAAAAGTAACCTTACTCTCCCACAAAACCCATTTGTATCTCTAAATTACAGGCTCATGTTCACAAAAGGATCCCAATTTATATGCCCAATCACTGAGTTTTTGTCATTTGCTCTTACAGAATAACTCTTAATGGTAAGAGTTGATCTTTTGTTTATAATTAGGTATATTGCTTCATATCTTTAGCTCCATGTAATCTTATATCCTTATCTCTCTCTTTTTTTTTTTTTTTTTTTGAGACAGAGTCTCGCTCTGTCGCCGAGGCTGGAGTCAGTGGTGCGATCTCGACTCACTGCAACCTCTGCCTCCCAGGTTCATGCCATTCTTCTGCCTCAGCCTCCCGAGTAGCTGGGACTACAGGCGCCCACCACCACACCTGGCTAATTTTTTGTATTTTTAGTAGAGATGGGGTTTTATGGTGTTAGCCAGGATGATCTCGATCTCCTGACCTCGTGATCCACCCACTTCAGCCTCCCAAAGTGCTGGGATTACAGGCGTGAGCCACTGCGCCCAGCATTTTTTTTTTTTTTCCCCCTTTGGAGACAGTGTCTCGCTCAGTAGCCCAGGCTGGAGTGCAGTGGCGCAGTCTTGGCTCACTGCAACCTCTGCCTCCTTGGTTCAAGCTATTCCCCTGCCTCAGCCTCCCTAGTAGCTGGAATTACAAGTGCACACCACCACGCCTGGCTAATTATTGTATTTTTAGTAGAAACCCGGTTTCCCCATGTTGACCAGGCTGGTCTCGAACTCCTGACCTTAGGTGATCCACCCATCTCAGCCTCCCAAAGTGCTGGGATTACAGGCTTGAGCCACGGCGCTCAGCCATCTCATTTCTTTATGGCGTTGAGTTTGCTTATATCAAAAAACCAAAAGAAAGTTGTCCAGATTCCTAACTCAGTCTGGCGTTTCAACTTTGCTGTTTAGCTGTATAGAAACCAAAACATTTCCTTATCTCCATTCCCAGCAGCCAAGTCTCAAGCAGTAGTATTGAAAGAAGTTCTCTGTCATTCCCCGATATGGAGCATAAGTTTGATTTACCATCAAATTACCCAACATCAACCTATACTTAGTCAACTGAGATTTAAACAGATAAAGGTTCCATTGCCCTATTTCAAAAAGCAAATGTTGCTGATCTGCACGCATTCAATCCTTTGCTATAAATGTTTCATGTCAATGCAAAACTCTTCATTCTAGATCTTTGATGTTTAGCAGGATCAGCTACTGAGCTGTATTTTCTTTTGTCCAACATTTTCTACTAGCAAATCAACAAAATAAGAGATTCATGAACCTCTCCTCCTCCCCCTCCTGCCCCAGCATTAGGTCTTACTTAAATTAAACATTTGGGCAGTATTTCGTTAGTTACCAGCTTTGAGGAGAAGTGGTAGTCACTTACATAAAGCAATTGTCTCTGAAAATGCATTCTTCTTGACAAATTAGCATAGCCTAATTCTCCATCCTAAGGGGGACTGTTTTACAAGTCTACATATAAAAGTACCTAAATGGTTGTCTTCTGAATCCCTCCCTAGTAGAAATTGAATTTGGCATCAGTGGAGCCAGTGACTGTACCTGGGATTCAGTGCATATAGAATTGCATTGACTGTGACCCTTTAGGCAAATGGATGTAAGACTTTGGCTCTTAGGATTTTCCCAAACACCAATAAGAGCATCTTGAAGAGAATCCATTTACTTTATGATATATAAGGATATTTCAGGTTTGATATTATGATCCTTATTAGGTCCAGTCTAGCTGAGCTGGACATGAATTGAAGAACCAGAATTAGAACTAGAAAATGAAACCCAGGCTGAGTGCGGTGGCTCACGCCTGTAATCCTAACACTTTTGGGAGGCCGAGGCAGGTGGATTGCTTGAGACCAGCCTGGGCAACATGACGAAATCCCATCTCTACAAAAATAGAAAAATTAGCCAGGCGTAGTGGCATGCATTTGTAGTCCCAGCTACTTGGGAGGCTGGGGTGGGAGAATCACCTGAGCCGGAGAGGTCAAGGCTGTGGTGAGCTGTGATCATGCCACTGCACTCCAGTCAGGGATTGAGAACCTATCTCAAAAAAAAAAAAAAAAAAAGAAGGAAAGAAAGAAAATGAATTAATAGGATCCATTTCCAAAGCATTAAAATTTAATATATACTTTATCAGGGTCTTCTGATATTCTTCAGAGGAGAATTGTTGTAAGTTAATTCAATAAACATTTGAATACCTGTTTTGTAGGTGTATGTTAAGTATGTATTAGAATCCTTGATCACCAGAGACTTGACGGTTTTTGCCTTGAAAGTTATTTCCTTCCGATCCATGTTGTTTAACAAATTCTAAGTGTGCACTATTTTTTTTATTTTAAATACAAGATTAATACTATAGTGCACTGTAGAAAATACCAAAATTCCAGATATTTATCCTACATATATGTATTGTTTACTATATGCAAGGGGCTCTTAGACCCCAGGGGAGCAGAGGGGCTGCCAGGGCATGATACCTGCCTTCAATATATTTCAGATCAGAACGGGCAGTAGAATGTACATAGATAACTATTTTGACCTCTATTGTGATACCTGTCATGTTGTACCTTGTACTATATAGTATTCTGATAGTTCAAAGGGACATTTGTGTGGAAGGATCATGTAATAATTATGGCAAAAGTTTTATAACACATTTTTCACCTCAAAAATGTTTTTAAACAAAACAAGTAAATTCGTGATCTATTTAATTTTTTTTTTTTTTTTTTTGAGATGGAGTCTTGCTCTGTCACCCAGGCTGGAGTGCAGTGGCACGATCTCAGCTCACTGCAACCTCCGCCTCCCAGGTTCAAGCAATTCTCCTGCTTCACCCTGCTGAGTAGCTGGCACTACAGGCACCCACTACCATGCCTGGCTAATTTTTGTATTTTTAGTGGAGACAGGGTTTCACCATATTGGCCATGCTGGTCTCGAACTCCTGACCTTGTGATCCTCCCACCTCCACCTCCCAAAGTGCTGGGAATTACAGGCATGAGCCACCGCACCTGGCCTAAAATTTTTTTTTACTAGGAAAAAGGCTTTAACTTTTTTTTGTTTGATCAGCTCATTTTACTGTTAGTATTGGTGCGTGAATTTTTTAGAACAAAGACATACTTAGTTCATCGTTACTTTAGACTCCCTTCTTCCATTTTTATTTCTGGCCTTGGTCCAAGCCTACCAGTCATTCTCTCACTTTGCTTCTGTAATGTAGACCTTCTTCCTGAGAAGCTGGCTAGATCAGGTAGTGATCATAACATTCCTAAACCAATAGTGCTGATAGCTCTGTGTACGGAGGGATATTTCATCTAAACCATTGCTCTAAACTTAGACTTGGCTCTGAGTCAGTAATACTTCTGTTTACTAGGTTTGAAATATCTCCCTCTTAGCTGGGCACAGTGGCACATGCTTGTGGTCCCAGCTACTAGGGAGGCTGAGGTGGGAGGATTGCTTGAGCCCAAGAGTTCAAGTCTGGCCTGGGCAACATCATGAGACCCTCGTCTTTTAAAAGAAGGAAAAGAAATATCTCCCTTTTAGAAGAAACCTAGAAGTCTCTATTTTGAGGCCACTTAAGATCTCTGAAATGATTTTAATGTTTTAGAGAATTGTTTATGGTATTACCTGACCTTTTTTTCTTGATTTGTTTTCTTTTTCTTTGTTATTATCCTATGTTTAAGGGAGAAAAATAATTTTAAATTGAGCGATTTCTTGGTATAATTCTTGCTAATTTTTAAATCTAATTTTTAGCTTAATTCTTAATTTAAACTAAAATTCTTAATTTTAATATAAGTGGTAAAAAAATACATCTACAAAGTTGTAAGTTCTCTCATTTATTTACCAACTGTAATATTTAGGAAATTAATGGTCAGAATTCAATAATTAAAACCAGATTCCTTCTGAAAACCAAGGAACATTATAATTATCTAGTATCTAATTGTATTTCACCCTTTTTTAAATCTTATGAACATCACTTACTTGCTTTTTTTTCTTCCATTCTTTGTAAAGCTTCTCTGCCTTGCTCTAAATCAGCAGTTTTCATGCAGCTGTTCCCTCATCAAGGTACTCTTTATTTTCATCATCTTTGCACGAAAATACTGCTTACCCCACACTCATCCTGGGCACATAGCATGAGACTTTACTCACCGGTCCCTGTAAGCTCAGTCTGCCTTAGGCACTTTAGGAACTTGTAAAGCCACCACTTTATAAGGTCTTGGTACTTAACAGGAATTGCACGGCCAGTGTGTGGCCTGTCTTGTTTAAGGAGCTGCTAATACCCACCCAGAACAATGAAGATGCAATCCCATACCTGGACTAACAAAGGCAGGTTAATAAGAAACTCAAGAGAGAGTTAATAGAGAAAGAGCAGAATACGTGGTTTGATGAAGTTTTTTTAGCTTAGAAAATAACTTGTTTTCCCCAAATAGAAAGCCAACCCCAGTGTTTCCTCAGAAATTAAAGCTGGCTGTCTATTCAATCACCTGTGGTTAAAAAAAGGAATATGGCCAGGTGCGATGGCTCACGCCTATAATCACAGCACTTTGGGAGGCCAAGGTGGGCGGATCACTTGAGTCCAGGAGTTGAAAACCAGCCTGGGTAACGTGGCAAAACCCTCTTTCTACAAAAAATACAAAAAGCTATTCACAGGACTGAGGTGGGGAGGTTGAGGCTTTGGTGAGCTGAGATCGCACCACCGCACTCCAGCCTGAGTGACAGAGCAATACTCTGTCTCACAAAAAAATTAAAAAAAAAAAATATATGGTCATTAGTTAGCTATAAGGACTAAGATGAAAAAATTTGACACATTTATGTCTAATTTATAAAAGATGCCTTTTCTTTTATTCACCTGTAATTAATATACAAAAAGATTACACCTAAACAGAAAAAGAAGTGCTAGCAGTTGGTGAACGTCATTTTTAAAAATTCTTTTTTCTTTTTGAGACGGAGTCTCTCTCTGTTGCCCAGGCTGGAGTACAGTGGTGTGATCTCAGCTTACTGCAACCTCCGCCTCCCCAGTTCAAGCGATTCTCCTGCCTCAGCCTCCTGAGTAGCTGGAATTACAGGCATGTTCCACCAAGCCTGGCTAATTTTTTTTGTATTTTCAGTAGAGACGAGGTTTCACCATTTTGGCCAGGCTGGTCTCGAACTCCTGACCTCAAAGATCTGCCTGCCTTGGCCTCCCAAAATGTTAGGATTACAGGCATGAGCCACAATACCAAGCCAAAAATTCTTATAGTTACAATTTTTTATATTTAGCTCAAAATAAAAATATTTCTAAGTATATATTTAATACGCCTCCATGAATGTATTTACTGTAGCTTAAAAATAGGCTGTAGCTACCTAAGAAGATTTATTCTATTTTGTGCTTATTTATATTAGCTTCACTCATTTTACAAATTCTAGCATAAAATTAAAGTCCTAGTATTTGTTCTAAAACTCCTTTGTATCACCTGGTCTTTTACTTCAGATATTAGGAGCATCTTAATTTGTGGAGTAATTATTTTATCTGTGTGCAAAAATTCTTCACATAGATTATTTTGTCTAACAACCCTTTGAAATAGACAAGTCTGCTGTTATCCTTAATTGCCAGATTAAGAATTACAACTAAATAAGAATATTGATCCAAACAAGTCTCAAACCTAGGTCTTCTGACATGTTTAAGTTCTCCTGTATGTAATAAGAGTTTTCTAATAAGTTTGCCATATTGTATATGAAATAAACTAAATGCAGAGTAAGGTAACCTACTAGTGCTCCTGCACAGGTGGCAGGAGATTTCAGTTTTTATTAGTCTGTCATTTTTGTAGTATAACTTCTCACAAATTACCTAACCCATTTTTCCTTAGCTTTTCAAGAGTTAAAAGCGATTCTGTTGTTTTATTATTTCATGATACTATTATAACTGATTATTTCAGTTTGGGAAACCAAAAGTGTTTTTTAAAAATGAGTGACTAAAAAATTGTCAGGCTGGAGCTACATCACTAGTTGTAAAAATACACAAACCTTGATACCTGCCTTCAAGGAACTCATGTTCTAGCAGGGAAGATAGACATCTAACTTAAATAACAATAATGTAATCTAATCCTTTTCCCCAGCTACTCAAATTCACTGAATTTTGGCCAATAACACCTTCTAGTTAGGATTTTGTCTTTATCTGGAACCACCACAATTTATTGAAACATAGTACTGCTGATATACTGCTGTACAGAATGTCCAGCTGTTTCTGCTCTGCATGTTTGTAATTGGCTGCATGTTTGACCACAGCATATCTGTGGGGTCATTTAAGCTGGCAAATCAGGACCACAGAAGTTTTAGCTTTATTTCCTTTGTGTGGTAGCCTCTGGGTTTCTGTCAGTCACTTTGTAGTTTTGTCTGTTTGTTGTCCACCAAAGGCCAGAAAGGAGAGCCAATGCTTTAGGGGCAAAAGAGATACCAGAATACAAAACTTTAAAGGGGTTTTGATGAAAAGAAGTGCAGCACCAAGGCCTTCTCACTAACTTAAAATATGGCATATAGCAATACAGGATGTGTTCTGTCTGCATTGGAGTGGTCTATCAGATAATCTGAGAGTTTTTCCTATGGGATATTGAGGTGAAATCCTTCACCAGTTCCTAGAGAGATTTCTAGATTTAATTTTAGAGGATAAAAAGAAAGAATGCTGCCAAAATTCTTAGAAGTGAGAATTATGCTGAGAAACTTAAATGCCAGAACTAGATACTATGATCATTCTGTTTCATACTACCTTGGCTTTTTCAAGATATATTTTGGTGTAAACGTAATGCATTTTAATTGTTTTTTTTTAATGACTTTCCAAGATTTTTGTTAGTTTCTCCTTTGATCCTTACAGTAAAACATCTTTGCTGTGAAGTTGAACTTAGGAATCACAGTCACACCACATTTACCTATGTGTGATTTATACAGTTGGGTCACTAAGTAGGAAGAAAACATACATTCCAAAAACAAGAATTTAGATGAAAAATGAATTTGAGAAAAGAAGTAGAATATCAACTTTTGACATAGTGTTGAAGCTTTTGGTTATGAGGGATGGGGCTGACAAGTCACTCGTACTTTTACATTTTTAATTAATGTGCTCATTAGGAAAAAAATTGGAAAATTCAGAAAAATAAAAGGAAAAAGTTACCCACAATCCTATCATTCTAAGATAGATAACCACTGTTTATTAACATTTTGGTGCATTTCCTTCCAGTTTCTTTTTTTTATATACTTGAGGTCATAGTATGTGAACAACTTTATAGCTTGTTTTGTACCCTCAACATTTAACAGGAGATAAATAAGGCCTTTAAAATTATTTGAGGTTTGACGGTTATTTGCTTCACAAAACAGAAAGTGGAATGTTCTTAGCACTTTTTTGAAGATACCTTCACCCTAGTGACTTCATCTACATTACTACAATTTATGTAATTGTAATTCTCAGGAATAACACTGTGCCCAAACAGAAGCATTGCCACCCATGTCATGACTGTTTTCCCCTCAGAGTAGGCCATGGTCTAGTAGTAGCAAGACACACAAGAACGAGCCCCAGGGTAGCAGATTGCTGGCAGAGAGTCACAGGGCCTTCCTAGTGGTCATCCATGCTTCATGCCCCTCCTGCATGCGGGCCAGCTCCAAGTTGTTTCAAACCTTTGTCTTTTTAAGGTCCTAGTTTTGCCTGAATCTTATTTTCTATTAAAGAAACAACTCAGAATTACTGGACTTGAAACTTGTAGGCCAAATGCAAATTTGAGGAAATGGAAGGTCAAATACGCTGACAAATTCATAATTTTAAGTGGAGGATGCCAAAGGGAAAAAAAAAAGTTCTATCTTTTCAACTAAAAATATTATACCACTCTCTGGAGATCAGGGATTGCATGCTTTGGGGCTCTGAATTACAGGTATCTAGCTATCACATTTTAAAATGGAAGTGTTCAGTTCATTCAGTATTAATTGAAAATAATTTTTCAATGTATTGAAAAAATAACTAGATTTTACAGGAAAACAAAAATGAATAATAATGATCTTTACCCTTCTCAGTGCCTTTACTCAGTAGAGGAAGATGGATGTACAAGTTGTAGAATCATAGGCAAGTTAATTTAAAAGCAAGGAAGGAGAAAGTAGTTCTGGCAAGAGACAGAATAATGCATCATGAAGGAAAAGGATATGAGAAAAAAAAATATGGGTTGAATTTTATCTTGTAGAGATACGCAAGACAATTAAAAGAGCCTACACAAACATACATCCCAAAGAAGCTCAAGGCACATTCCAGAGATCATGAGCAGCTTTCTTTCAGTTTTGTTATTTCTTTTGTAAATAGCTCTGGAGAGGATGCAAATAAATATACAGAAGAGAATTTAAATAGACCAGAATTCTGTTACCCAGAGAAAAGTTCCATGAATGTTTCTAGTCATCTTTCTATGCATATGATTAGATTAGATTAGATTAGAACATGACTAGCCTTAAAAAATTTAATAAGGGTTTTAAAAAAGATTTGAATAGAACAGATTTTCAGTGGTGGTTCAGCTATGCTCACCTCCTGGAGAAATGTCGCTGATGTTTTTCCTTGCACTCATATGCCTGATGCAGTGCACATGTTCATAAACAGTCACTGACAAATGCCCATGTTCCTTTGACAGCAGTTCAGATTTTCAAGACAGCAAATCTCTGTTGAGCACGTGTAAACCAGGCCACGTGCTTACAGATGCCTGATACTCTTGAGTCGAATTCAGAGCTGAATCCAAATGAAAGATGAGTGGCTCCTAGAGGGAGGTCATCCCAAGTTCATTTCCTGTTCATGAGCCAACAAATAACTAACTGGGTAGATCTATGTACATTTTCTGTAACATAATGAATACTTCTTGACTTGAAATATTACTTTTTGTCCAAAAATGGAAATTTTTCTATTCTAAGATTTAAAATTTCAATATATAAAGAAGAATAAAGTACAAATTAGCTGAAATCTTGCCATACAGAGGTAAAATATATTTTTTAGTCCTTTGGCTTCTGACAGAGATAAAATATTTTGGCAGATGTTTACCCAGCCCTACGCCCTCTCCCCACAGTGTGTGGGTGTTTTTTTCCTACTCCAAAAATTGTGGTCATCTTTTTGTATCAGTAAATATCAATCAGTAATGTACATTTTGATACAAATTACTAAAACGTTCTGCAGCTGTTTGCTTTCCCGCCAAAATTTATGCCAGCAGTAAGTATAATCAGTCTAATTTTGGGGGTAAATTTTATTGATGTTTAACAGAAAAGTTCACAAATTGCAAGTTTTCAGCTTAGTGAACTTTTAAAATGTAAACACACTTGAAAATCCATCATCTACATCAAGAAACAGAACATTACCAGCATCCCAAGAAGCCATCCTCATGCCCCCTTAAGTCACTACTTCCGCAAGGGTGACCACAGTCCTGTTACCCAATTTGTAATCTTTCCTAATGTGATAGATAAAAATAAAAATCTTATTTTAGTTTCTGGTTACTTTTCTGAAGTTACTGCTTAGATTATTTATAATATTAATTGGGGTGGGGTGCAGTGGCTCATGCTTGTAATCCCAGAACTTTGAGAGGCCAAGATGGAAGGATTGCTTGAGACCAGGAGTTCAAGACCAGCCTTGGCAACATAGTGAGACTCTATCTCTAGACAGAATTTTAAAATTAGCTGGGCATGGTGGCATGCACCTGTAGTCCTAGCTGTTTGGGAGGCTGAGGCGAGAGGATAGCTTGAGCCTGGAAGTTCAAGGTTATAGTGAGCTATGATCACACCACTGCACTGCAGCCTGTGCAACAGGGCAAGACCCTGTCTCTAAATAAATAATCAATCATTGTTAGGCCCAGGTTTTGGAGGTTTAATCTCCTCCTCAAGAGAAATAAATGGCATCTGTTTAAGGTTGCAGAATGTGAAATGACTTGGCATAGCTGAAAAGAAGCAAAGATTCTACAGTATGACCTTTGTGATATATTATTTTCTCAGTAAATAGTTTCTTTGGGATAGGCACTGTGATTAAAAAAATAAAAGCATCTTGAGTTTTCTTTGAAGTGACAAATTTGCTGGAAAGATCAGTACTTTCTGCTGCTGGAGAGTATATTCTGTTTATAAACATGAATGAGGATGTGAATAAGGCTAGAAGATGACCTCTGCTGGAAGTTTCTGGTATGATTTGGAGGAAGGAGCACTAGTCTTCCCTGGTGGCTGCTAGCCTTTCATTTAGTTCAAGCCTGCCAGCCTCTAGCTTTTCCTTGCAACTTGTCTTTTCATTTTTCTTGTGCTATTTTCTGCTATGATAGCAAACTTTGCATAACAAAATGTGAAGTTTTCCATGTGACATTAACTTAGTAAACATTTTAGCAATTGACTATTAAAATGAAATGTGCATAAACAATTTGCCAGGTTGTATCTTATCACAAATATAGTCATGTGCTGCATAACAACATTGCAGTCAACAACAGAACACATATAGACAGTGGTCCCGAAAGATTATAATACTGTATTTTTACTGTACCTTTTCTGTGTTAGATATACAAATAGTTAGCATTGTGTTACAACTACATAAAGTACACAATATGGTAACCTGCTGTACAGGTTTGTTGCCTGGGAGAAACAGGCTATACCATATAGCCTTGGTGTGTAGTAGGCTATGCTATCTAAGTTCATGTAAGTACACTCCACAATATTTGCACAGACAAAATCGCCTAATGATTGTTTCCTAGAATGTGTCCCCGTTGTTAAGCGACACATGACTGCAATGAAATTCAGTCCTGGAAGGAAAAGAAGAAGTAACTGGCTGTTCTCTTTTTCTCCAGGAATCGACAAGGAGAACGTTGAACTCTCCCCTACCACTGGCCACTGTAACAGTGGACGAACTCGCCACGGATCCGCAAGCCAAGTGCAGAAGCAAAGAAGCGCTGGCAGTTTCAAACGTAATAGCATTAAGAAGATCGTGTGAAGCTTGCTTGCTTTCTTTTTTAAAATCAACTTAACATGGGCTCTTCACTAGTGACCCCTTCCCTGTCCTTGCCCTTTCCCCCCATGTTGTAATGCTGCACTTCCTGTTTTATAATGAACCCATCCGGTTTGCCATGTTGCCAGATGATCAACTCTTCGAAGCCTTGCCTAAATTTAATGCTGCCTTTTCTTTAACTTTTTTTCTTCTACTTTTGGCGTGTATCTGGTATATGTAAGTGTTCAGAACAACTGCAAAGAAAGTGGGAGGTCAGGAAACTTTTAACTGAGAAATCTCAATTGTAAGAGAGGATGAATTCTTGAATACTGCTACTACTGGCCAGTGATGAAAGCCATTTGCACAGAGCTCTGCCTTCTGTGGTTTTCCCTTCTTCATCCTACAGAGTAAAGTGTTAGTCCTATTTATACATTTTTCAAGATACAAGTTTATGAGAGAAATAGTATTATAACCCCAGTATGTTTAATCTTTTAGCTGTGGACTTTTTTTTTAACCGTACAAAACTGAAAGAACCATAGAGGTCAAGCCTCAGTGACTTGACACCATAAAGCCACAGACAAGGTACTTGGGGGGGAGGGCAGGGAAATTTCATATTTTATAGTGGATTCTTAAGAAATACTAACACTTGAGTATTAGCAATAATTACAGGAAAATAAGTGCGACCACATATATCTTAACATTACTGAATTAAAACTATGGCTTCTAAGTCCTTATCCAAACTCAGTCATCCAAACTAGTTTATTTTTTTCTCCAGTTGATTATCTTTTAATTTTTAATTTTGCTAAAGGTGGTTTTTTTGTGTTTTGTTTTTTGTAAACCAAAACTATACTAAGTATAGTAATTATATATATATATATATTTTTTCCCCTCCCCCTCTTCTTTCCTAACTAATTCTGAGCAGGGTAATCAGTGAACAAAGTGTTGAAAATTGTTCCCAGAAGGTAATTTTCATAGATGTTTGCATTAGCTCCATAGCAAAATGGAATGGTACGTGACATTTAGGGTAGCTGATATTTTTATTTTGTTAAATAATTTCCAAGAATAGAGTATGGTGTATATTATAAATTTCTTTGATAAGATGTATTTTGAATGTCTTTTAATCTTCCTCCTCCTCTCCAAAAAAATCAGAAACCTCTTTAAGAAAACATGTAGGTTATATATGCTAGAATTGCATTTAATCACTGTGAAAAGACTGGTCAGCCTGCATTAGTATGACAGTAGGGGGGCTGTTAGAATTGCTGCTATACTGGTGGTATGGATTATCATGGCATTGGAATTTTCATAGTAATGCAGATCCAATTTCTTTGTGGTACCTGCAGTTTACAAAATAATTTGACTTCAGTGAGCATATTGGTATCTGGATGTTCCAATTTAGAACTAAACCATATTTATTACAAAAAGATATTAATCCCTCTACTCCCAGGTTCCCTTTATATGTTAAGATATAATGGCTTTGAGGGGGGAAAAAATAAACCTAGGGGAGAGGGGAGTTTCCTGTAGTGCTGTTTCATTAGAGGATTTCAGTAAATTAAATTCCACAGCTAATTCAATAAATAATGGTACATTTAAGTGTTCTGATTTTAATAATATATTTCACATTTATCCACACAGTAACAATGTAATATGTTAATGTAAATAAAATTGGTTTTGATACTCAGAAATAACAAGAATTTAATTTTTTAAATTTGTTTACAGTCCTGGGAAAAGTAAGAATTATTTGCCAAAATAAGAGGAAAGAAAACCTTAGTATTATTAATGAGTTTACCATAGAATTGTTGGAAATACTGAAGACAGGTGCAATTTACTAAACTTTTGTTTTTAAACTATTGTAGAGGCTGCATTAGAAGAAAATGTTTATAATGACAGAGCAACTATGACTATATAAAAAAGCTGAAATTAGAACTGTGTTTAGAAATAGATCAGTAACCCAGTGCCAAGGATGCCAAGCTGCCACCATGGTCTTGGCTCTCCCACAACCCAGTGTTTCTGGGGTAAGTTTCACAGTTTCTAGGCCCTGGAATAGCAGGCAGTGTAAGCCTTTGATAACTTTAGTTCGATGTTTTTCTTGTTTTTGTTTGTTGGTTTGGTGCATATGATAGTGGGTGTTATGCTATTTTGCTCTTCCCATCAAAATAAAGAAACTTCCAGAGGTTTACTGTTAAAAATACTGATATTTCCATAAACGGGTTTACCAAGGGTGTAGTATTTCATACCGCCTGAAATGATCAGCATTGGCACAAATCAAAATTCAGCCGCCTTTGAAATGCAAAAATACCTTTGACTAGTAAGTACATCCTAGGAGTTTGAAAACTTAACTAAGGTTTAAAATTTACCTTGTTTAAAGAACTTCTGACTTTTGAGGAAAATCTAGCTTTCCAAGTAACTAAAATGTACATGAGATAAACCTCTCACCACTATGTGTCCCTTGAGAAATGCAACACTTTTTTAGTCTTCATACTTGTAATCTATAAAAGAAATTCTGAAGTTTAGACCAAGTTGCCCATTTCTGCGTAATTGACATAAGTTCTGTTAAAAATATTATAAGTAATTCGTTTCGGTTTGTAGATGTTTCCCCTGACTTGTTAAAGAGGAAACCAGGAACTCAGTCATGTTTTTGTCCTGGATAATCTACCTGTTATGCCAGTACTCCCATCCGAGGGGCATGCCCTTAGTTGCCCAGATGGAGATGCAGTTCAGTAGATTTGGGGCAAAGTGGCTACAGCTCTGTCTTCCATTCACTCAACACCTGTTCATGACTGAGCCAGGTGCCCAGGACACATCCTAAACAGTCAGCTTCTATCCTGTGTCCTAGTTGGGGAGACAGAGTGCCAGCCAGCAACCCTCCCAGGTTTGTAGGTTTTAGGGGTTTTCAGTTTTGTTTGGGTTTTTTGTTTTTTGTTTTTGTTTCTACATCCTTCCCCGACTCCCAGGCATAATGAGGCATGTCTTACTCAATGTTATGCAATGGATTTAGGCAAAAATTCATTCTTAGTGTCAGCCACACAATTTTTTTTAATGCAGTATATTCACCTGTAAATAGTTTGTGTAAAATTTGACAAAAAAAGTATATTTACTATACTGTAAATATATGTGATGATATATTGTATTATTTTGCTTTTTTGTAAAGCAGTTAGTTGCTGCACATGGATAACAACAAAAATTTGATTATTCTCGTGTTAGTATTGTTAACTTCTTTTTGCGACTGCGTTACATCATTTAAAGAAAATGCTGTGTATTGTAAACTTAAATTGTATATGATAACTTACTGTCCTTTCCATCCGGGCCTAAACTTTGGCAGTTCCTTTGTCTACAACCTTGTTAATACTGTAAACAGTTGTACGCCAGCAGGAAAAATACTGCCCAACAGACAAAATCGATCATTGTAGGGGAAAATCATAGAAATCCATTTCAGATCTTTATTGTTCCTCACCCCATTTTCCTCCTTGTGTATGTACTTCCCCCACCCCCCTTTTTTTAAGTAAAATGTAAATTCAATCTGCTCTAAGATATGAGGAGTTATTTAATTTCTTCAGATGTATCGAGCTCTGTTTTCTTCCCCCCGAGTCCTCCCAATCTTTTGAAACATTAAGGCCATTTTCCTTAAGGATGTTTTTGGCTCTCCTACTCCCCGTGAGAAAGATCTTTCCATTTCCAGAACTTCTCCACACTAAAAGTGAAATATTTTTGTGAAATGCTTTTTTAGGGCCTGCCAAACTCAGGTGAGTCTGTTCTCTGGGATAAGCTGGCTTCTCTTAAAATGAAGCCAGTCAGAAATGTCAGGGCATCCCAAGATTGACCAGTCAGAGGGCAGTTCTCTCCAACTTTTCAGCTTTCCCGCTATAGAATCTTCTGTGACACTACACGTGTATACAATGTAAACCACCTCCCCTGGCTCAGCTGCCCCGTGTTACTATTTTACTTACTTGATTATGTGGGTTGCCTCCCCCAATCAGTGGAGAAAGAACACAGCCCAGACCCAGTGGACAGGACAGAGCTATCCTCAGAAGGGTAACAGTGTCTGATATTGAACAAAGGACTAAAAAAGACCAGGTGATAGATACCTGCAGGTCTGAGGCAAGTACTTGTCTGTTTATGGGCAGGCCTGGAAAGCAGGGGTACCTCACCTGGAGAGCTTGCTAATACACTGGTCCCCATCCTAATCCCCCAAGGTAAAGGCAAACTCTCCAAGGATGGGCTGTTGGGAGAAAGAGTGTGTGTTTAAACTTCTTAAGCGATTTTACGGAGCACTCAGTGGTTTAAAGACCATTGGAGTAGAGAACTGAAAACTCAAATACTGCAAATAGCTGCCTTTTCCCTGTAACCTAAAGCATCTTAGTCCAAACTAGGGGATGTTTTTAGGATAGTGACCCTCTAGATCAGAGCTCTCCCTTCCTGGACAACAAGCTCCCTGAGGACGTGGGCGACTTAGTACATCTTGTATGGGCCTCTCTGCCTGTTCTTTGCTTTGCTTTCTGGGACACCCTTAGGCTAGTCTAGCAATTCTGAACTGCCTGGCTTGAAGAGTTGATTCCCATGGGATGTTGAGGAGGGGCCAGAGGTTCTGGAAGAATAGTAAAAAACCTACAACCAAGTGGTAGCATCTCAGTATTCCTCTTCCACAAAGTAGCCCATCCCCCCCCATCACCAAGGGAAGCCCCTAGTGGTGGCAGGCATCTTGGGAATTTACCTTCATTACTAATTCTCCCTTGTCTACCAGTAGCACTTCTTAACCTGCTCACTGCCCATCAGAACAGCCTCTGACAAAGCTGCATCCAAATTCTTTAAAGGGCAATTCATTGCCCCAAGTAATCTGCCAAACCTGTCTTCATTTGGAAATCAGTCTTCATATTCAGGTGAGTTCCACTTAAGACCCTTTTAGCTGCCAATTTAAAAGAAGCCCTTTTGCAATGTTGATTATGTTTCTATAAATATTAGAACCAGCCGGGCGCGGTGGCTCACGCGTGTAATCCCAACACTGGAAGGCCAAGGCAGGCGGATCACTTGAAGTCGGGAGTTTGGGAAACATGGTGAAACCCCATCTCTACTAAAAATACAAAAATTAGCCGGCCATGGTGGCTTATGCCTATAGTCCCAGCTACCAGGAGGCTGAAGCAAGAGAATCACTTGAACCCGGGAGGTGGAGGTTTCAGTGAGCTGAGATTGCACTTCTGCACTACAGCCTGGGAGGTAGAGCCAGACATTGTCTTAAAAAAAAAAAAAAAAAAAAAAAAAATAGAACCATACTACAGCAGCATAGTCACTGTTGGTTTGAATCTCTCACATTTTGTTCTTTTAGAAGTGCTGCCTAATCATAAGTTTCATAAAGTAATGTGGAGTTATAATTTTAATCAGTTGGTTTGGCTTTTTTAA
Organism: Homo sapiens; assembly: GCF_000001405.40. NCBI lineage: Eukaryota > Metazoa > Chordata > Mammalia > Primates > Hominidae > Homo > Homo sapiens. Next base: position 31,379,541 of record NC_000017.11, read on the forward strand.
AAAATTGTCTTCTAAAAATCGGTTTATACTGTGTGTGTACATACATACTACATATGCATATGTGGATGCGTATTTCAGGTTTCCAAAACAGCTTGATACATTTTACCTACATTGGGCCAAATTATTTTGTCTTTTTAAATTTTCTCAAAAAGGTCATATTGCAAAATTATTCTAGGTCCTTTACTATGTCTTTATGCTGACAGTCAAGCTAATAGTGATCAAGAGCATTATGCTTCTGGGGTTACAAGGTTCAGAACTTGCCCCATTGGCCACTTCCTCTATATAAAATAAGACAGTCACATTGGAATCTTAATAGGGCCCTTTCCTGCTCAGAAGTTCAGAAAGCATTGCCTAAATTAATATTTTTAAGGGAAGAAAATGTTGACAGATGCAACCTTAGCTGATTGTTCAAAAAAAGTTTTTCCTTTGGTTATAATTGTAAATACAAAAGAAGAAAGCTTGGCCTTTGTCCTCTATGACCTCATGACTTAGTGGGGAAAACAGCCACACAAACAATGACCACAGTGTCCCAAGGTGTGGGTGGGGTTTTTAGAGGGTCATGGAGTGACTGGCATGGTTGGCAACTGAGGAGGTGGGTCTTAAAGAATGACCAAGAAGTTTGTCCAGGTTGAAATGTGTCCAGTGAGCAGTTGAAAATAGGGTTTTGGAGTATTTAATGGACAGAAGGTAATCAAGTCCGTTAACAGACTGGCCCAGAGACGGATCACGAGGTCAGGAGATCGAGACCATCCTGGCTAACACGGTGAAACCCCGTCTCTACTAAAAATACAAAAAATTAGCCAGGCATTGTGGTGGGCGCCTGTAGTCCCAGCTACACGGGAGGCTGAGGCAGGAGAATGGCATGAACCTGGGAGGCGGAGCTTGCAGTGAGTGAGATCGTGCCACTGCACTCCAGCCTGGGTGACAGAGCGAGACTCCATCTCAAAAAAAAAAAAAAAAAAGAGAGAGAGGAGACTGGCCCAGAGAGGGCAAGTAGCAGATAAGTGTTTAGGCAGAAAGCAGCACACCACAGGAGATTGGCTTCTCGTGTTATTTTTCTCCATTCTTTTGTCCCACGTTGGGGAATGCAGCTTAATTTTCTACATTTACAAAGTATATGGGCCAGGCGCAGTGGCTTACGCCTGTAATCCCAACACTTTGGGAGGCCGAGGTGGGCAGATTACCTGAGGTCAGGAGTTGGAGACCAGCCTGACCAACATGGAGAAACCCCATCTCTACTGAAAATACAAAATTAGCTGGACATGGTGGCACATGCCTGTAATCCCAGCTACTCGGGAGGCTGAGGCAGGAGAATCGCTTGAACCAGGAAGCAATGGTTGCAGTGAGCCGAGATCGCGCCATTGCACTCCAGCCTGGGCAACAAGAGCGAAACTCCGTCTCAAGAAAAAATAAAAACAAAAAATACGTGAAGATATGCCTTAGCCCCAGATCACAAAAATAGCAACACTTTTTCTATCCTGGCAATTATAAATGTTTTGAGTCTGGCCCAAAGTTGAAGTAGAAAGAAATTGATGGTAAAGAGATACTTTCTTTGCAATTTGGTAATTTGTGAATGGAAGGCAGAAAGGAATTAGGTGATCTGTGCCTTCATTAAAAAAGACTCCACAAATACCACCCTTACTCATATCTAGGATTCTACAGGAGACAAAAATTCATTATCAAAATACCAAGTCTTTTTGAGTGTGCAGCAGTCATTCAGCAAAACATTTTCTGGGTGCCTTGTTGTCACTCAATTTGAGCACCAGCACCTCTTGGAAATGCTTTCTGATCTCCCATTGGCTGAGAGCCCTTCTCTTGCTTCTGTGACAGCTTCTCTATACAACAACTTTGTAATCATCAACTATCTTCCTATGTCCCTGGTTAGGATTATGAGCCTCCCAGTGTAGGGAACATGCTTTGTTCAAAGGTGCTCAATAGATAGTTGTTGAATAACACTGAAGGCTTTATGTTATAAAGAACTATATAAATAGAATGGGAAAATCCCCATACACAATAGCAACCCCAATGCAAAATCCCTAACAAAATAGAGGTGACCTGTGTAATAAAGACCTATTGAAAATTCTAATCCAGACTTTGAGATTTCACAGATCAGTAAAATTTCCAAAATACATTTCATCAACTTATGCATTTAGAAACAAGAAAAAAATATATCTAACATAGTTTTTTTGTAAAACGCCATTTCAACTCTGAGTAGTGGGGGAGGGAATCACAGGATAAAGTACAGTTCTTTAAAAGAAATTAGTTTTGCTTTATAAAAGTCACTATGTTGTCCTCAGTTTTCTCTCATTGCTGCTTATTTTTCTCCACACAGCACTGCTCAGCACGCAGGCATGTGAGGAAGCTGGGCTTAAAGGAGACTCCAGCAAATGGAGAGACAGACCACAGTCCTGGGTTGGAAAGCTGAATATCGTTGAATGCCAGATCTTCCCAAATAAATGAACTGGCTTAATACAATTCTGATCAAGATGCCAACAAGAAGAGAGTGTATCCAGACAAAATGATCTTTGGAAAATATTCTTCACCTTGTGGAATAAACAGGAAAGCATGGCTAACAACGGGTTGTCGAAAACTTCCTTATTAGGTAGTAAAACAAATTTTTAAATGCTTAAATACTAATGGTAATTAGAGTAAATATAAAGTGGAACAGGCTAGAAGGTCCAGATTATGCTTTGATTTTTTTATTTAAAAAGACAAGCATGAGTAACTCCCAAAGTGTATTGGCTTCAAAGCCACAAAAGCTTATTTCTCACCTCTGCTACATGTCCATCACCCGTTATCAGGAGGCTCTGCTCACCCTGATGTCTTGGGACTCCAGAGTGAGTGATCAGCCATCTCTGATCACTCACTCATTTGATCTACAAATGGCTAGCCATCATGCCAGAGGGAAGGAGCTCAGGCTGTAATGTCCAGCCGCTGTGATGATGGAAATGTTCTGCTGGAAGCTGAAACAGAGGGGTCCCATTTTCATTTGTCACATTAGCAAAGACGTACTTAACTAATATTGGTGCCAGTCCAGAATGTGGTGCAATGAGTTCTTCCTGCACTTGGCCTCATCTTTCTGTATTACCAGTTCCATATCTGCACTGTCCAGGACAGTGGCCACTAGCCACATGTGGCCATTGAACACTTGAAATGTGGTTAGTGAGAATGGGAAACTAAACTTTTATATTAAATAAATGTAAATAGTTACATGTGGCTACTGGCTGCTAGATTGGACAGAGCAGCATCTGGAAGCTCTTGCATCAGCAATTAAAGGCTTGAGGACAGATACACAGTCACTTTTCACAGTCATTGCCAGAACTTGACACACAGCTTCACAAAGTCACAAGGGTCAAAAATCACTATCTTCCTCTGTTCAAAAGGGAAAGAGCTGGAAACATTGGCCAAGAACATTAATGACTCCTACAATAGGGAAGGACTTTGTAAGCTTAAAAGCAGTGTAAGTGCAGTGGCTCACGCCTGTAATCCTAGCACTTCAGGAGGCCGAGGCGGGTGGATTGCCTGAGCTCAGGAGTTCAAGACCAGCCTGGGCAACATGGGCCTCTCTACCAAAATACAATACGTTCTCGGGCGTGGCGGCATGTGCCTGTAATCCCAGCTGCTCAGGAGGCTGAGATAGGAGAATTGCTTGAACCCGGGAGGCGGAGGTTGCAGCGAGCTGAGATTGTGCCATTGCATTCCAGCCTGGGTGACAGAGCAGGACTCCGTCTCAAAAAAAAAAAAAAAAAGCAGTGTAAGCTTAAAAGCAGAAATCCTAAGGGTCCCGCATTGACTGCCTAACATTAAAATGTCCCCATGTCCAAAAAAATCACACACAAAATTAAAAGGCCAACCAATAGGGAATTATAAAGAGTTCATAAAAACTCATCTAAAGAAAAAACCTAAGCAGAAAGAAAAATGGGCAAAGAACATGAATGGCCAATCCACAGAAATATTGTACCAACTCCTGTTTATGATGGAAAAGGTCATCACACTCATTAGTAAACAAAAAGAAATACAAACTGAAACAATGGGATACCTGATACATATTTTCACTTGTCACATTAGCAAAGACACTTAACTAATACTTGGTGCAGGTCAAGAATGTGGTGCGATGAGTTCTTCCTGCAGATGGCCTCATCTCTCTGTATTACCAGCCTTAAAAATGTCCATACTGGCTGGGCGTGGTGGCTTATGCCTGTAATCCTAGCACTTCAGGAGGCTGAGGCAGGTGGATCAGCTGAGGTCGTGAGTTTGAGACCAGCCTGACCAACATGGAGAAACCCCCGTCTCTACTAAAAATACAAAATTAGCCGGGCGTGGTGGTGCATGCCTGTTAATCCCAGCTACTCAGGAGGCTGAGGCAGAAGAATCACTTGAACCCGGGAGGCGGAGGCTGTGGTGAGCTGAGATTGCGCCATTGCACTCCAGTCTGGGCAACAAGAGCGAAACTCCGTCTCAAAAAAAAAAAAAAAAAAAAAAGTCCATACCATTCGCCCTAGTAATTATCTAGGAATCTATTCTGGAGAAACAAATGGTAAAAGAGTGAAGACTTTCATCAAAGTATTATAATATCAGAAAACCTGAAGACAACCAAAATATTGGTTAAATTATCTACATTCATCCAGCACTTTCTGGAAGCTGACCACTTCCTTATGCAGCCTTTAAAAATGGCCTAATAATATTTAAATTTTGGGAGGGAACTTCCAATAAAATCAAGAGTTTTAAAACCACATAAGAGGGCTAATTCCCAATTATATAAATACAAATATATGTGTATAGTTTTTGCATAGGATAAAGAAAAGGAAATGTATTGAATGTTAACAATATGTATGGCTCACTTACTCCTTTTTGTGTCTATCTTCTAAGCATTTTACAATGATTATTGCTTTGAAAACAAAAAGGGTTTTAAGAGATGAGGATAATGCTTACTTTTAGTTGTACTAAAAAGGATGTTTATGATAGCAGAGTTTAGGTATTACATTAACTACCACCTCTTGGATGTTTTTACCTTTATCTTTTTCCTTTTATCAAAAGGTAGCTCTTTACTAATTCGGATTACAGGGAGCTGGGTTTGTTTTCCTTCCTTAGGGGAGTATCAGCATAACTAGTTTAGAGTGGTGCAGGTGAACTGCTGTCAACTCCGTAGGCCAACCCTAAACCTTCACTGTTATTTTATAACTTCTACTCAACAGCTTGCAACCTTTCAAGGTTAACAAGGTTGATGGGGAATGGTCCTTGCTCTCAAGAAGCTCGTAGGCGGCCAGGCACTGTGGCTTATGCCTGTAATCCCAGCATTTTGGGAAGCTGAGGCAGGTGGATCACCTGAGGTCAAGAGTTCAAGACCAGCCTGGCCAACATGGTGAAACCCCATCTCTACTGCAAATACAAAAAATTAGTAGCCGGGCGTGGTGGCTCACGCCTGTAATCCCAACACTTTGGTAGGCCGAGGCGAGTGGATCACCTGAGGTCGGGAGTTCGGGACCAGCCTGACCAACACGGAGAAACCCTGTCTCTACTAAAAGTACAAAATTAGCCAGGGATGGTGGCATGTGCCTGTAATCCCAGCTATTTGGGAGGCTAAGGCACAAGAATCGCTTTGAACCTGGGAGACAGAGGTTGCAGTGAGCTGAGATCGCACCATTGCACTCCCGCCTGGGCAACAAGAGCGAAACTCCATCTAAAAAAAAAAAAAAAAAAAAAAAAAAAAAGCCAGGCATGGTGACAGGCACCTTGTAATCCCAGCTACTCGGGAGGCTGAGGCAGGAGAATCGCTTGAACACTGCAGAGGTTGCAGTGAGCTGAGGTCACGCCATTGCACTGCAGCCTAGGCAACGAGAGTGAGACTCCATCTCAAAAAAAAAAGAAATACATGGTGAAGGATGTGCACATTTAACTATAATTCAGTCATTTTCCTCACCTCTTTTGGCTTCCAGGCACCTGTTCCCGCTCCTCCTATGGCTCTGACAGCACTTCCTTCACCTGCCTCTTAACTCTCGGCTCTTGACCCTGTGTCTGTTTTCCTAATCTTGGAATGATCCCATCATCCCTGAGAAGACATCTGGGCGCCCTGGCCAGGGGAGACAGCTGATGGGCAGAGCATCCCTGTGTGTGCATCACGAACACACTGTAGAGTCTGCAAAGTTCTGTGAGGGCAGAGCAGTAAGGGCAGCTGACTCAGGGAAGGCTTCTTGGAGGGGGTGGCATTTGAAGGATGGCAGTGGGGGTGGTGGAGGGAGGACAATCCAGGCAGAGGGAACAGCATATGCAAGGCAAGCCAGGCATTTCACTGATCAATTCCATGTTGAGTCACTGTCTTGGAGTCTATGCCACACAATGCCTGGGATATAGTAAGTGCTCAATAAATGTAAACTGAGTATAGTAGATGATGTTACTGCCCAGCCATGTTTTACAGAATGGAGAGCATCAGGCTGTAAAGGGCCTTCCTGCTTGCCGCTCACCCTGAGGATTGAGTTTTTCTTTTAGGCAGAAGTGGGCAGTAGAGAAGGCTCAAAGCCAGGGAATGTGAGTGGATTTGACTCACCAAGGACACTGCTTCCTAAGCCAGGAGGGAAATATTGGTGCCCTGCCTGGAAGTTAGTTTCAGGGGCCATTTCTGCAGCTGACAGAAGGATCTGGAGCCCAGTTGGGTAGAATAAGTTAGGTTTTGGCATTTCTTCTTAGAATCCCGGAAGGAATTTTAGCAATCAGCCGGTCCTGCTTCTAAGGGTCAGAGAAGATTCTGGATACCCCTCACATCAACAGCTCATGCAGCAGAGGAAAGATGAGGTCTCAAGGTGCCCCCCTGCACCCCAAGTGTGCCCTAGTCCAGCCAGGGTCCTCAGCACTCCACAGGCAGGGCTGGCTGTGTCTCCAAGCAGGGGCCTCTCTGCTTTTGCTCACAGAAACATATTCTGGGATCAGTGAAGAAGGAAAATAAGTTCACGGCACCTTCTTCCCCTTCAAAGTGATAATTATTCATGGGTTTAAAAAAACCCAGCAGGTTGTGAACAGGAAGTAACTGAATCCTGCCCCATTTCCAGACAACATGGACAATGAAGTCAAGGCTCACAGATGAAAATACAGAAATGTTCCCCCTTTTAGACTGGTTCTAAACTGCTCCATACTGACACACATAATCACCACCCAGGTGCCAGGTACTGTGCCAAGCGCTGGGCGAGGCATGACGCAATCTTTTTTAAATTAAAAGCCTGAAGGACCTCTACAAGGTAGAAAAACTGAAGCTTAGAGAAATTAACCTGACCAGAGTCATGGGGCTAAAAGAGCAACAGATGTTGGTGCCCAGCTCAGCTGTTTTGAATTCCAAAGCCTGGCTCTTCATAATCTTTGATAACTTCCACATGATATTCATCCCATCTGTATTCATTTCTCATGGCTGCTGTGCTAGCTCCCACAAACTTGGTGGCTTAAAACACCAGAAATTTATTCTGTAACAGTTCTGGAGGCCAGAAGGCCAAAATCCAGGCATCAGCAGGGCTGTGGGCCCTTCAGAGGCTCTGGGAGGGATTCTGCTCCTTGCCTCTTCTGATGGCTGCTGTTGCTCCTTGGCTTATGGCTGCACCACTCCAATCTCTGCCTCTGTGGTCACATTACCCTCTCTTTATGTGTCAAATCTGCCTCTGATCCATCCTATAGATATGTGTGATTGCATTAAGGGTCCACCTAGCTAACCCAGAATAACCCCCCTGTCTCCAGATCCTGTTGTTTTTTTTGTTGTTAGTTTTTTTTTTGTTTTTTTTTTTTTTGGAGGCAGGGTCTCACTCTTGTCACCCAGGCTGGACTGTAGTGGCATGATCTGGGCTCACGGCAACCTCCACCTCCTTGGCTCAAGCCATCCTCCTGCCTCAGCCTCCTGAGTAGTTGAGACTACAGATACATGCCACGATGCCCAACTAATTTTTGTATTTTTTAGTAGAGACAGGATTTCATCACATTGCCTAGGCTGGTCTCGAATTACTGGACTGAAGCAATCTGCCTGCCTCAGCCTCCCAAAGTGCTAGGATTACAGGCGTGAGCCACCACGCCCAGCCTCCAGATCCTTAATTACATCTGCAAAGACCCTTTTTCTAATGAGGTAACATTTACAGCAGGGGTCCCAACGCCCAGACTGCAGACCATTACCAGTTCATGGCCTGTTAGGAACCACAGCAGGAGGTGAGCGCCGGGTGAGTGGGCATTACCGCCTGAGCTCCACCTTCCGTCAGATCAGTGGCATTAGATTCTCATAGAAGCGGGAACCCTATTGTGAATGGCGCAGGAGGGGGATCTAGGTTGCGCACCCCTTATGAGAATCTGAAGCCTGATGATCTAAGTTGGAACAGTTTCATCCCAAGACCCTCTTCCCCCGACTTGTATGAAACCAGTCCCTGGTGCCAAAAAAGGTTGGGGACCACTGATGTACAGGGATTGGAATATAGATATCATTTAAGGGGGCATTTTTCAGCCTACCATGCCATATTTGTCCATTCCTTAATTTATTCCTACACAGACCCTAACTATGTGTGTATGGGCATTATTTAGGAGCTACAGAAATCAGGAGAGAAATAGACACAGTCCCTGCTCCCAGGGACCTCATGGTCACTCCTGTGACCTTTCATACAGTTTCCCAGATAATCCGGTGATAGACAATAGGAGTAAGATGGTAAGGATAGTCACAAGGACAATAGCTGTCACTAACCAGCAGCACTGTTCTGACACTTACAATGTATGTATTAACTTACTGACTCTCACCACAGCCTTATCCATACCTGTAAGTGGGCTGCAGTCTGTACTTTTCACTTCTCTGCAGGAGCACATGGGAGAGGTGGTCAAGGTGGGCAAGGAGTGGGGTGGTCATGAAAGGCTTCCGGTAGGAAGTGCCACTTCCACAACACAAGGACAGGAATTAGAGAAAGTGGAATTGGGTGGGGGTAGGATTGAGACCTCCCACCCACTAAGCAAAGGGAGGCAGGAGGGAGCCTGGATGCTCCCAGACTAGGGTTAAGGAGAGGCAGGAGAGTATGAAGACACTGCACAATGCCAGCTCAGGCAATGGTGGCCATTGAGTTTTCAGCAGGGGAGGGACCTGATCAAACTTGTTTCTTCCTAGAGAAGGGGCCGGAGTCCCAACTGTCCCTTCCATGTATATTTCCCAGTATATTTCCAGCCTGCCCAGGCTGCTGCAGCTGTTGGAAATCCCCTGGAGAATCAGAGGTCACCTGGAGGAAGCGGAGGACAGAAAGGAGGCTCCGCGCCTTCCCGCCCTATCCATGGGGACCTCTTGCTTTCCTGGAGCAACCCCCTTCACCCTGCAGCCGGCCCTGACATGGGTATTCTCTTGCTGCTTCTGCTCGGGGCTGCACTCTGAGCTCTTGGATCAGGGTTTTGGGAGCCCTAGTGGTCCCAGGTCCACTTCCAAGGACCCAAGGACTCCATAAATTGCACCATCTCTGAGGGACCTTTGGGTAGGCACTCAGCCATTTCTGCAGGCCCTCTTGGGCTCCTAGAGCCTGGCACCTCAGTGTAGATCACACTGGGCCATGACTGCCCCCATCAAGTTCAGCAAGTGGCTGCACCCCTTTCACTGTCTCCCTAGCATACCCAACACAACGTAGGTGCTCAACAAAAACGTGACAACCCCAGAAAGAATGCCTGTGACGTGCTTTGCTGGCCCCAGCAGCACAGCGGTGAGCAAGAGACCCAGTGCCACTGGTGGGGGAGGCAGGTGTCCTTCAAACCATCGCCCACCAGAGACAAAACTGCAGAGACCTGGGCAAGGAGAGTCCGGTCAGGGAAAGCTCTCCTGGGGGATTTTTGAATTTGTGATGATCCTGTCTTTGACAAGAACTGGCTAATCTGGTTGCGGGATTCTGTCTTGGTTCACTTGGGATTTGTTCATGCTCAGGTCTGAGGTCCCCGCCTCTGCCAGCTGAAGTGGGTGAGTCTTCCAGCTCCCCTGTCCCCAGTTAGGGGGCATTCAATGCCAGGCTGAGCGCGGAGAGCCATTTCTGCAGCCCCCACCAGGGGGCAGCCCCAGCTCCTGGCCATCTCCTTTCTGTGCTGAGCCCCTTGGGTGAGAGAAAATGGCACGAGCTGACCTTGGACGAACTAATATCGGGGTCCCAGGGGCAGGCAGCAGCCCCCAGCTTCCACTCCCTACCTCCTTGCCAGGGGGCTGGCTGGATCTCCAGCAGCCAGTCTCTCCCAGCCAGCTGCTTGTCCTTATTCTCCACTTCCACCTCCATTTTGCAGGGTAGGTCGGGGGAAAGCAGCATTGCTTAGATTCGCTCTCATCTTCAGTTGCCCTAAAAGGAAGGTACTATTATCCTCACGGTACAGGCGAGGAAACCGGCTAAAATATGCTAGTATCCTGCTGAGCGGCATCCAGCTAGCAGAGACGCTCCTACTCAGCCGAATACCCCTACTCCACTCCCACGGCCTCCCCTTTCCCGCTTTCTCACATTTCGGACTCCTCAATCCTCAGAACCACAGGTCTCTCTTCCCAAGAGGTGTTGCCTTTCGTGGCTCTCAGACGAACTGAAGGGTCAAAGGAGAGTAGCTAAAAGCCAGGTTCATCCCAGGAGCCGGGGCTGGAAAGAAGAGGTCCCCGCCCACTGTCAGAAGGCAAATGGCAGTCCCTGCGCAGGATATATTCAGGGTTGAGCAGGAAGACCACAGAGGTACAAACCGAGGCCCAGCTAGGGGAGGCCATGCAGTTCACCCCGTACTCCCTGTCTGCGCCACTACGTTGCTCCCGGCTCCTCACATAATGGGCGGGCCCATCCCCTCTGGGTGGGGCTTCCTCTGGGCCCACTCTTGCCTGGAGATCAGGGACTTGAAGGTAATTAAGACATATCTTGCCCTGGAGGGCTTCCCAGCATGGTAGGGGAAATGGGCATCCCACTAGAGAATTAAGAATTAACTGGGCACCTGGAAGAAGGGCTTAGAACTCAGAATAGAAGATAAGATGGCGTGCCATCAGAGAAGCCTTCCCGGAGGAGGAAACCTCTGTGCTGAGCATGACAGCATAGGTGGGAGTAGACTCAGCCAAGGCCTTTTTTTGGGTTGGGGCCAGTCGTTGCCACAAAGACCTGATGTGCCGAGCAAGAAGGTGGAGAGAAGAGCCCGGCCGGGTCCTGCAGGGCCCCGAGGCTGGGCTGGGAAGTTAGCACAAGCTGGGGTGGAGGCTCCGCTGAGCACTAATGGGAGGAGGCCAGGGTCCTGACCTAGAGCCTGCGGCCAGCGGGACAGAGATTCTGTCCTGGATTCTCTGAGCTTGGGGCATGCGGGCTGCCAGGGAGGTGTGATGGTGGGAACCCGGCGAAAGGGAGGAAGCCTCTTCCAGGCGTGGAGCAGCCTTGGGCCCTGAACAGGCAGGCCTCTGGAAGCGCCTCGCTTTTCCTCCCTCCGGCCTCATCCTGGTTTTCTCCTCATCTCCCCGTCGCAGGGTCCCGGGTCCAGGCTGGGGTTCAGTTGCCTGCTCCTCCTCTCTGTGCCCTCCCCCGCCCGATGGCCCCACAAGTGCTGTCTTGCAGGAGAGCGCCGGGAGACCGCAGGGCGGAGGTGAAGAACGGAGTCCAGAGCCCTCCAGAGATGGCAGCGAATCCCGGCCCTGCCTCTTGCCAGCTGTGTGGCCTAGAGTGAGTCCGACCTCTCTGGGCCTCAGCTTCCTCCGGGATGAATGCAGTCACGGAACGCGCCAATGCAGGAGGCCCCCAGGACATCCTGAGCGCTCGGGAGACGCCAGGCGCGGCAGCGGGCACGGATAGCGGAAAGGGGCGCGACCCCGCGGAATCCTCCGGCAGGGCAGGGCCTTTGGGTGGCTCCGGGTGTCCAGAGGAAGGGGTGGGCTCGGGGACGCGGAGGGAAACTGGGGACGCGGAGGGAAACTGAGGTCGCGGAGGACGCGGCCGTTGGCAGCTCGCTGCGCCTGCCGGCCCCGCGTGGGCCGCCCCACTCGGGAGGACGCGGGCTCCTTTTGTCTGCAGCGTCCCCGCCGCCGCCGCCCCCGCCGCCTCCCCCTCTCCCTCCCATTTTCGCCGCGGCCCCCGCCCCTCCCCTCCCCGCCCCCTATTGCCCCTCCTCCTTCCCCTCCCCACTCTTCTCCTTCCCTCCCCTCCCCTCCCTTCCCCTCCGGAGCGGCTGGGGCTGCGGCGCCGCTGCTGACACGGATCGGCCGCGGCCGCCACCGGGCGGAGGCTGCGCGGCGCAGACCCAGACGGGCGGCCCCGGAGGGCGCGCGGCGATGGCGGCGGCGGGCAGGCGGCGGGCGCGGCGGGCGAGGGGTCCGGGCTGAGCTGCGGGCCGGCCCGGATGGCGGGCGGCGCGGGCTGGTCGGGCGCCCCCGCGGCTCTGCTGCGCTCCGTGCGCCGCCTGCGCGAGGTGTTCGAGGTGTGCGGCCGCGACCCCGACGGCTTCCTGCGCGTGGAGCGCGTCGCGGCGCTCGGACTGCGCTTCGGCCAGGGCGAGGAGGTAAGCTGGCCCGACCCCAGTCCCGGCCCGGGGACCCCAGCCCAGCCCCGCCGCCCCTCCCCCAGCTCCCCCGCCGGGTCACCCGCGTGGCCCGAGGCGGTGGCCTCCCTCCCAATCCCCTCCCTCCGCCGGAGCCCAGGACCTCGGCCCCCCCCGGGTATCCCTGGCCCAGCCGGGCCCTCGCTTTCCGCCCCCCGGCGCCCGTGCCCCGAGCGTCACGCGTCACGCCTAGGGTGGCTTCTGCGCCCACCTTCCTTCCTCGGCCATGCAGGTCCTTCTGAGCGGTCTGCACATCCACCCTTGTCTGGGGGAGAGAGCTGCCAGAATCCGGCCCTAGGCTCCCCACCCCACCCGGCGCTGCGGAGACCAAGATGCAAGGGTCTGTGTACGTCCTGCTGGGCCGGGCCAGGGGGTGAAAGGGACCGGTAGGGGTGCTCTGCAGCCTTGGCTCCTCGGCTGCACACACCCTGCCCAGACACGGAAGGAGGTGTCTGCTGGGGCCACCGTGTACTCCCGGGCCAGTGTCGGGTGACCTCTCATTCAGGCTCTGCTGGGCAGCCAGGCTGGCAGCTGGCTGTGTTGGTTGCAGCAGGCCAGGCAAAGCCAGGCTCGGGGAGTGGTGGCTGAGCAGAGGGCTTTCATGTGGCGGGGCCGCATCTATTTGGGGAAAGCAGGACTTACGTAGATTGTTAACAGGGCTGGAAGCGGAGGGTCGGTGCCGCCAGTAGGGTGGACGGAGTCATATCACTAAACGCACACTACACCAGTGTCCTCTGGTGCCACCGGCATGGGGACTGGGGACTGTGTCTCAAGGGGAGGACAAGACACCCACCTGGCTGAAATGGTCAGGGGTTTCCCCTGGAGCCAAAAGCCCTGAGAAGTGGGTTTCCAAGGCCATCTAAGGCCTCAGGCCCTGCATGGGGGGCCTGGGGCCATGGGCCTCAAATGGGCACTGGCTGGCATTGTGTTCCCAGAACAGGTCGGACCAGGCATTTCAGAACATGGGAGAAGCTGGGTGATGGCCAGGTTGGGCCCGTGCCTCTGCGTCACCAGAGAGTGGGAGGCGATTGAGAATCATCTCTCCACCCGCACCTGGGCATGGGCCGGGACTTGTGAGTCGCTGAGAGCTGTGGGCAGAAGAGAGTGAGGCAGCTTCAGGGCTTGAGAACTCAGGTACCCACCACAGGAAAGACCACTGCAGTGCCTGTGAGAGCCCAGACTGCCCTCTGCGGGGCTTTGCTGAGGGACACTGCCTGCTGCCACCATGACCCTTCTTCCCCAAAGGCCAGCCAAGCCCTTCCGTTTTTCCAGTGGCTCCCATCTGGGGCAGGCTGAGCAGACTCCTGGCATGGGGATAGTCGCGCTCCTTCCTCTCAGAACACAGACTGCAGGTCGGGTAAAGAAGCTACCAGCTCTGGCTGAAACCTGGAGTCCCCGAACTCAGAGCCTCAGTAGTGGGAAGGGCCTCCCAACAACCTCTGGCAGGGGCCACCGGCCTCAGCCACGTGCCCAGCAAGCCTCACCCACTTCTCCCCCAGCTGGACAGTTCCTGCCATTAGAACCTTCTCCCTCATACACTCTAGAGACAGACCTGCTTGTCACTTAGTCATCACCGTTCTGCACGGGGACTCACATAGGTCTCTCTTCTTTGGGGGAGCCTTTAAATATTTGAAAATAGCACTCCTGCCCCTTCTCTCCTTCCCAGCTCCATACTCCCATTTTCCCTTCTCCAGGCCAAATACCCCAGTTCCTGAAGCCCTAGGCCATTTCCATGTGACCCAGTAGCCAGACCTCTGGCTTCTGGCCTTGGAGCTGCCATCGACTAATTCTGTGATTCAGTTTTCCTAGCAATAACATGAAAGGGCTGGACAAGCAGACCGCCCCCCGCCGCCCCCACCAGGACTATATTAGCCCCAAGACCTCACACATATGCACACAGCTTAGGGTGGGGCTGCCTCTGAATGGGGCACTGCACTCTGCTTATATTAAGTTTCTGGCCACCGAAACCTCCAGGGATCTGTTTTAGAAACCTCTGCCAAGCCAGGGATTCTCCACCCTTCGGGGAGGGTCAGTGATTTTTTTCTTTTAAAAGCATACTCTGAGATTACTACAGAAGCGGTGGATATGCATTGCAGAAAACTGGAAATAGGGACAAGCAAAATAAAAAGTATTGTGTCCTATCTCTCAGGCAGCGCCTCAATGACACTTCTGTCAGACCTTTCCAGAGCTGTTTCCATGCTTATATGTCAATTTTCTCCAGAAAATGAGATCATACTGTGCATACTGTTTTGTAACCTGATTTTTTTTGCCGGTAAATGATCATGACTTTTCTGCTTCAATAAATTTTCATCTGGTTTAATATGCAGACCTTTTTCAGATTTCCCTATTTGACCCCAAAATGTCCATTTTTGCTGTTTCCTCTCCAGGACTGTGCAGTGTATGTGGTTGTTGTCACCTTTTAGTCTCTCTTACTGTACACAATTCCTTTTTCTTTTCTTTTCTTTTCTTTTTTCTTTTAACAATCCTGGCTTGTGGAAGCATTCGGGCCTGTTGTCTGTCAGTAATTTCTGGAATCTAAGCCTGTTTCTTGGCCCTTATTCCCATTTAATTTCGTCTTGTTCATTTCATCACATTGTATCTGTCAAGAAAGAGAATCTAGCATCCTACCTCTATCACTCTCAGCTGTGCTGCTGCCTGCGGGCTGGAGAAGCAGTGCTTGGTGTGTCTGAATCCACAAGGCTGGTTAAACATTGCAGGGCAGGACCATGGACAGGGCCCCGAGGCACTTGTAGGGGTGGTTTTCGGCTTATGCTGTATTGACCGAGACCCGTGGAAATATATTTTGCATCTCTACTCACTACCCATCTTATCCCCTGATGCATTAAAAAATCGGAGTGTTGTTTTCCAGCGGTGGGGTGGCGGGGGGCGGGGGGGGGGGGCTCCCTTACGAAATGCAGTGTACTCTGACTGTTTCTATTTTATTTGTTTTAAAATCAGGCAGTGACATTGATTTCCCAGCCACTTGTGCTCTGGGATGGATAATGATCATTCATTAGATATGTAGTTCAGTGAACTTAGAGCTGATTGTCCACAGTTTACCACCTACCCCCAGAATACCAGGGATACCAGGATCAAATGCTTTGCAAAAACCAAAATATACTAGGTCATAAAGTATGAAATAAATATCCATGAGGCCATAATGAAATATATATATGTATAAATTATTGAACAGATGATAATAAATAAATAGGAAAATCTCTCGTATAGAAGAAATCTGAATAACGTATGTTGATAATTGCCCCATTGAGGAAGTGAAGCATAACGTCCCACCGTGTAAGCATGAGATGTGCGTAGTGGCTTCCTTATAAAGGGTAGAGTTTGGAAAGTGGGGGGAACAGCAACTGTATAGTGGAGAAACCCAACAAACACTGTCTCAGAAGGTGATCAAGGACAACATCGATAGTGACAGATTGTGATGATGGCATACACCCTTGGTGTGATGTGGTGAGAATAGAACTTTTCCTCTGTGGTCTTCCTCCCAAACCAGTAATCCCAGTCTAGTCCTGAGAAAAATGCCAGACAAATCCCATCCGAGAGGCATTCTACAAAATGCCTGATTAGGACCTCTCAAAATTGTCAAGGTCATCCAAAACAAGGAAATTTTGAGACACTGTCAGAGCCAAGTGGAGACTAAGGAGGCAGCTGACTAAATGCAGTGTGGTGTCCTGGATGGGACCCTAGAATCAAGAAGAGGACATTAGGTAAAAACTAAGGAAGTCAGGATCAAGTATGAATGTTACTTAATAATGTTATTTATGGATTAGGTTAGTCCCTGATAGTTCCCTACTTTGTTGACCTAGGTATCACAGCAGAAAAGAGGAGACAATGGGCCGGGCGTGGTGGCTCATGCCGGTAATCCTAACACTTTGGGAGGCTGAGGTGGGAGGATCACTGGAGCTCAGGAGTTCCACACCAGCCTGGGTAACATGGTGAGACCCCCCATCTCTACAAAAAATACAAAAATTAGCCCGGTGTAGTGGCGTGCACCTGTAATCCCAGCTAGTTGGGAGACTGAGGCAGGAGAATCGCTTCAACCTGGGAGGCGGAGGTTGCAGTGAGCTGAGATTACATCGCTGCACTCTAGCCTGGGTGACAGAGTGAGACCCTGCCACAAAAAAAAAAAAAAGAAAAGAAAAGAAAAGAAAAGAAAGAAATGCAGATTTTTGAGGGATGGGGGCACACCACTGCCCTGATCCTGAAAGTCTACAATGCCAGGGAGCAGGACTCTGATAAGTATGTAACATGATGGCTCAACATCCTGACCCTGTGTTGCCTTCTGATATATTGCATTGTCTCCCTAACCTCTTTAGGCCTCTATTTACTCATCCATCAAATGGGGCTGATCAGAGTCCCCATTCTATAGGGTTATTGTGGGGTTTGAGTGAGTTAATACATACAAAGGGCTTAGTCCAGTATCTGCACAGAGTAGGCATAATATCAGAATTGCTGGTGCTCTCCTTGTCATTATTATTATTTTCTAAACACTTGCAAGCATTTTTGAGAGGCTGTTCTAGGCTGGAGATTTGCTAGGAATTGAGGTCAAGATCTGGCACCGGCCTCTGTGTGCTCAACTCACCCTCCTTAACCAGCTGTGGTGTTCCTGCCCCTCTTACGTCCCCTCGGCAGTCAGAATGGTAGACATTGAAAGCAGCCAGAGATGTCCTGGACCACACTTCCCTGTGACATGGTCCTCTTCCCTTTCCAGTTTGAAGACCGTCCTTCTTGCTAGAAAAATAGAAATAAGAATCACCAAGTAGGCCTCTCCCATGCATTAACACAGCACCATCTCCTCTGGACAGTGGGCCTGTCCTGCCTGCTTGGAAATGAAATGATGGTCCCCACTGGGCTCCCTGAGTCCTCAGGTCCCCTCTGAGCTAATGCCTGCTATGGGGGAATTGCTAGTGCCACTTGGGTTAAGCCTGGGTCTTTGAAATGGCAAAGGGGTTGGGGTGCTAGGATGGGCTGAGACCGGCCAGGAGCCAGCCCTGGGGCTGGGATCGATGTCTTTTGAGATACGTGGCTTCCAGGAACAGGAGCACCTGGAACTAAAGCTCCTCTGCTCAGGAGTAGCAATTGGATAACAGGGAAGAAACAACTGTATCCCCACAGCTGTGGCTGGAGGAAGGGGTGAAGGGGAAGGTAGGGCCAGATCAGTGGTTCCCTGTAGGCAGTGAGACCTAGGCAGCCAAGAGTGGATGTGTATGAGAGAACAGGGGATGGGGAGCAGGATTGGAGGCAGGAGGCCTCCTCGGGACTGTGGCACATGGTAAGAGAGGAAGAGCATCCTAACTTGGGCAGTGGCGGGGGGTGCAGAATTGACAGGGGCCTGGAAGGCCGGCAAAGTCCCAACGAGCTACTCCCAAAAGGTGATAGTTAAAGGTGCTCTTTTGAGACCAGGCAACCTCTATGTGCCCCACCCTAATGAGGCTACCATGCAGAGTGACAAGGCTGGCACATCAGAAGGAAGGCCCAGGTGCCCTGAGCCTGGCAGAAAAGGTGGGAGTGCCTGGGACCTGAGGTGGAAGCAGGACAAGAGTGAGCCCAGAGAGATGTTCTCTTTCCTATGCTTCTGGGAAACTGTGCTCCTGAGGTTGGAGGTCATCATGGAAGTGGGGCCAGGGCTGGGGATCCCTTGGGGCCTGGGGATGGGCATGTGGCACCACACTCTGCATTGAGGCGGGAGGACGAGTCCTAGCTGGGGCACCCTCTGGCCTCTTGTGCCCACCAGTTTGGCTGTGCTGGGAGGAGGCCAGATGCAGAAAGTCTGCTGGGACTCATCCATCTTATCAGACACGCCCCTGCCTTTTTTTTTTTTTTTAATTGAAACAGGCTCTCGCTTTGTAGCTCAGGCTGGAGTTCAGGGGTGCATCATGGCTCACTGCAGCCTCGAGCTCTTGGGCTCAAACCGTCCTCCTGCCCCAGCCTCCCAAGTAGCTGGCACTGCAAGTATATGCCACCATGCTCAGCTAATTTTTTGTCAGACACTTTTTTTTTTTGAGACGGAGTCTCACTCTGTCACCCAGGCTGGAGTGCAGTGGCTCGTTGCAACCTCCAACTCCGGGGTTCAAGCGATTCTCTCACCTCAGCCTCCCGAGTAGCTGGGATTACAGCCATGTGCCACCACGCCCAGCTAATTTTTTGTATTTTTAGTAGAGACAGGGTTTTGCCATGTTGGCCAGGCTGGTCTTTTAACTCCTGACCTCTGGTGATCCACTGCCTGAGCCTCCCAAGGTGCTGGGATTACAGGCGTGAGCCACCACAGCTGGCCTGTCAGACACTCTTGACGAAGCCTGAATCCATTTGGCAAAACCTTGCTGAGTTCCAGCGTCATTCCCAAGACACTGGAGTTCTAGAGAAGGAGGAAATGCCAGCGTTGAGAGACCGTGCCATGGGGGGTGGGGGGTGTGATCCCTGCCTCCATTGGTGAGACCTGAATGGGGGACATATAGACCTGAGTAGGGGGAAGAATCAGCCCTTCCCATCAGCAAGACGTGCCCTCCGAGGGATATCAGTGGGTAGAGAACCTTGAACCATCCACAAGCTTCCCTTATGGGCGTCCAGCCCATGAAGTGTGACGTTCCCCCTTGTACAGGTGGGTCACGAGGCTGGACAGGCAGCGTGGCTTTCAGACCTGGCCCTGGCTCTGAGGCTTAGGAGCCTTCCCTAGCACCGGGAAGAAAACCAAAGAGGAAAAGAAGAAGAAAGGACCGGACAGAGGGAGGAGAGGCTGGGCCAGGAGATTCCTGTGTGCTGCCTGGGCTGGTGGGCGGGGAGTAGGGAGCCCAGGAACCTGGGAACGGGGGCGATGGCTACAAAGCCACCCCTTTTTCCTTCAGCAGGGCCTCCACTGCCTGAGAAGTTCGGCACTGGGCAACACTGCCTTGGAGGGCAGTGCATTGCTAGGGTGGGCAGCAGGCTCCTGGACAATGGTGCCCCGGCCTGGGCAACCTTCGGCCGGCAGGAATAGGGGTGTTCACAGGTCCACATGGAGGAGGGGTTCTGCCTCAGCCCTGGAGTGTAGGGCGGAGGGCTCCTTCCCTTCCTGTTGCAGCACCCCTTTGGCCCACTGAGCAGTCATCCCCACCCCAGCCCTGAGCAGTGCCACCAGGAACAGTGCAGAAGGGGAACCTGACAGCTGGCTGAGATAGACTCTTAGAGCTGAGTCACACCAACCTGGGCGGGATGGAGGGGAAATGCCCGCTGGCCTGGAAATGGCATATGGCTTGCCCAAGTCACTGCTGTCCTCCTAGCCCCAAGTTATTGGGTAAATGCGCTGAAATTTTTATAGAGTTGATTTTATGGAAGTATCCCTTACATTTACCCTTAACACGGGTCCAGATTTAAAAATTTTTTATTCTAGGCCAGGTGTGGTGGCTCAACCCTGTCATCCCAGCACTTTGGGAGGCCGAGGCGGGCAGATTGCTTGAGGTCAGGAGTTCGAGACCAGCCTGGCCAACATGGTGAAACCCTGTCTCTACTAAAAATACAAAAATTAGCCGGGCGTGGTGGCATGCGCCTGTAGTCCCAGCTACTTGGGAGGCTGAGATAGGAGAATTGCTTAAACCCGGGAGGCGGAGGTTGCAGTGAGCTGAGATTGCACCACTGCACTCCAGCCTGGATGACAGAGCGAGACTCAGTCTCAAAAAATAAAAATAAATACATAAATACAAATAAAAAATTTTTATTCCTAGGCCCAGCGCAGTGGCTCAAGCCTGTAATCCTAGCACTTTGGGAGGCTGAGGCAGGCGGATCACCTGAGGTCAGGAGTTCAAGACCACCCTGGCCAACATGGTGAAACTTGTCTCTATTAAAAATACAAGAATTAGCCGGGCGTGATGATGCACGCCTGTTATCTCAGCTACTCGGGAGGCTGAGGCAGGAGAATCGCTTAAACCCAGGAGGAGGAGGTTGCAGTGAGCCGAGATTGCGCCACTGCACTCCAGCCTAGGCGACAGAGTGAGATTCCATCTCAAAAAAAAAAAAAAGCCATTTTATTCCATTAACATCTTGGGTACCTACTGTGTGCCAACCCTGCCCTGGGCACTGGGAAATAGGAAACAACAGGGACCTGGGCTCGCATTCTGATAGGGGTCGCAGAAAAGAGGCAAAGGAATAGAAACAACTGTCAGGTGCGGGTAAGTGGCAGAAAGAAACATTAGTGCCGAAACAAAAGCCAGTGTACTTAGAACAATGTCATAGATGGCTATTGAGGTGGAGCCCAGAATGAAATGGGGGCTGCACCTTGCATATGTCTTGGAAACGTGGTCCAGGCAGAGGCAGGAGCCTGCCCAGGGGCTTAGAGGCACAGTGAGCCCGAAGACAAGGGTGGGGCCAGTTCCTGTGGCCTTCCCTGCAGGGGCTTTGGCTTTCTTGGAATGAGATGGAAGCCCCCAAAGGGTTCTGAGCGGAGGAGATACAGGATCAGACTTAGGTTTAATGGGGACCACCCTGGCTGCTGTGTGGCTCCTCGGAGAGGCAGAAGGGGCCGGGGAGAGGCAGGGAGACCAGCACCAAGGCTAGTTCTTCACCCAGGTGATGGGCGCTGGGGGCCAGGAGCAGAGGAGAAGCCGTGGAGCAGTGGCTGGATCTTGAAAATGGAGCCGATTGGCAGTGGGAGTGAGCAAGAGGAGACTTTGGAGACAAGCTGCCGTTGCTGGGTGGGGAGGCAGAGAGGAAGAGGGCTGGGTGAGGACTCGGGAGCTCCACGTTGGCCTGTGAGACCTGAGTGCAGCTGTGGAGCCAGTGGCGATGGACAGGTCTGGGGACCACGCTTCAGCCCCCACCGCCTGGCACATCCTGGGCTCTTTCTCCCTTTCCTTCTACCCTGGCCCTGGGGTCTCATCTCATTGCCCACAACAAAGGAGTTTACAGAAGCTGACCTAGGTGTGGTCTGGCCCCCTTTAAAAGTGAGGCTTGGCCGGGAGCGGTGGCTCATGCCTGTAATCCCAGCACTCTGGGAGGCCAAGGCAGGCAGATCACGAGGTCAGGAGACCCAGCCCATCCTGGCTAACACGGTGAAACCCCGTCTCTACTAAAGATACAAAAACAAAATTAGCTGGGCATGGTGGTGGGCGACTGTAGTCCCAGTTACTCGGGAGGCTGAGGTGGGAGAATGGCATGAACCCGGGAGGTGGAGCTTGCAGTGAGCCAAGATCACGCCACTGCACTCCAGCCTGGGCGACACAGCGAGACTCTGTCTAATTAAAAAAAAAAAAAAATGCCAGGCTTGCCCCAGCATCTTCAGATTCTTGGAGACTCCCCCAGGGGCCATAGCTTAGGGTCACCAATTCCCTGCAACCTGTCACCCCTGAGGTCACTGCTGAGGACCCATTGTCCATAGCTTCTGTGCCCTTGAGGGCAGGATGAGCAGAGCAGCCCAGAATCCTTATAGGTTTCTATAACAACCCATGACCCAAGACGGGGAGCAGGCTCCATACAGCTGTAGCCCAGATTCCAGCTGTAAGGACCTCTGGCTTCCCTGGAGACCAAGGCCTTGAGTCCAACACACACTGCAGTTGCTGTGGCTCAGGGCTTACAGGCGCAAAACCCGGAGAAGATTGCCAGCTTCCTCCAAAGTGTTTGCTGATGACACATGGGCCTGCAGTGGGCACTGTCCCCAGGAAGATCCCAGTCTAAGGCTAGCACCTGGACAGGATAGACAGAGGATTGATTTGAACCAAAACAAAAACCAGAAGGGGAGTAGAGGTCATTCAATGAGACTCCCATTCAGTGCCTGCATCACTCAGTAGCCAAGAGACAGGGACGCGCTGCCTCCCAAGGCAAGCCCATTCTCACCTGGCAGGGCTCTGGCTGAGTTCTTGTTCATATAACGAGCTGAAATCTATCTCCTAGAGTTCCATCTGCTCACACTTCCTCCACCCATTCATCCAACCATCTGCCTGCCGGTTCACCTAAGCATCCACTTACCCATCCATCTACCCATCCATCATCCCTTCCATCCATATATACCCAACCATGTACCTCCTGATCCATCCGTCCAGTGAACCGCCCATCCAACAGTCCATCCACCCATCCATTCATTAGCCACGCACCCCTTAGTCCACCCATCTGTTTATCCACCCTTCTGCCCACTTCCGTAGCCTCCCCATCTGTCCATGCATCCATCCATCCATCCATCCATCCATCCATCCATCCATCCACCCACCATCTACCACTTCCTGAGTATCAGTCATGCAAAAGTCCTAAGCACAGACCCAGGGATGGGGACTGGTATTTTCAGGGAGTGACAAGTGTCTCCATGTGGTGAAAGGACAGGGAGGGCAGGGAGACTGAGAACTCAGGCTGGAACAGGGACCAGATGGTGACTTTCGGGAGGGCTCAGGAGCTGGGAGGGTCTGAGTAGCTCAGATGAGTTTTGGATGAGCAGCAACACCTCAGTGCAGTGATTCCTGCCCTCTATGGAATCAACTCTTTTTTATGATTTCTCACTTCCCACACAGGCCATTGGGTCTGGCAAGAGCTGGGACCTTGCTGAAAAATGTGAAGGCTCAGATTATTTTATTTATTTTTATTTATTTATTTATTTATTTATTTATTTATTTATTTTTGAGACAGAGTCTTGCTTTGTCGCCCAGGCTGGCGTGCAGTGGCGCAATCTTGACTCACTGCAAGCTCTGCCTCCCAGGTTCACGCCATTCTCCTGCCTCAGCCTCCCAAGTAGCTGGGACTACAGGCGCCCACCATCACTCCTGGCTAATTTTTTTTTTGTATTTTTAGTAGAGACGGGGTTTCACCGTGTTAGCCAGGATGGTCTCGATCTCCTGACCTTGTGATCCACCCGCCTTGGCCTCCCAAAGTGCTGGGATTACAGGCGTGAGCCACCGCGCCTGGCCAGATTATTTTTAAAGGTGCTTATTATGATAGGTGGACCTCAGTTTCCTTATCTGTAAAATAGAGGTCATACCCCTATTTGTGGCACTGTTGTGATGGTTGGAGATTGAATATATAGAGATATATGAGTATGACTGAGCATGGTGGCTATTGCATCATTTCTTCACCGCCCCGCCCCCCCGCCCAGCCATGACCCACATGGGTACTGCGCTGCCCTCAGTCCTAGGACTGCACCTCTGACCCCTTTCTCTGCCCAGTACACCCCAGGCATGGGGCTCCCTTGTGCAATGACCAAAGTCTTCTGCAGCCACTGGTGATTTTCCATGGACAGAGAGGATATGGAGACCCAAGGACTCCAGGACCCACCAAAACTTGCTGGCTGCCTTTGTATTTCTTTCTTTCTTTCTTTTTTTTTTTTGAGATGGAGTCTCGCTCTGTCACCCAGGCTGGAGTGCAGTGGCGCAATCTCGGCTCACTGCAACCTCTGCCTCCCAGGTTCCAGCAATTCTCCTGCCTCAGCCTCCCAAGTAGCTGGGACTACAGGAGTGCACCACCACACCCAGCTAATTTTTTGTATTTTTAGTAGAAACGGGGTTTCACCATGTTGGCCAGGATGATCTCGATCTCCTGACCTTGTGATCCACCCATCTTGGCCTCCCAAAGTCCTGGGGTTACAGGCATGAGCCACCGCGCCCGGCCCTGCCTTTGTATTTCTTAATCCCTTTCGTCATCACGGCAACCAGGAGCCTCCATGAGGTGAAGTGACTTGTCCAGGGTCTTGAGTAACTGGTGGAGCTGGGATTAGAACCCAGGTCTGTCAGGTTCTAAAGCTGCCTTTTTAGCTTCCTGCTGTGGGGGTCTCATGTTCTTAGAAGGTCAGAGGAGGGAGAGAGTGACCTGATCTGAGTTCCAGAAATCTAACATTGGAGAAATCTGAAATTTGAGACTTCCTCTGGCTGGGGACTTTGAGCCTGGGGTGGTCTCGGTTGGGAAATGCGCAGATCAGAAGTAGGTCTGGGCTCTGCAGGATGGGCGGCCAGGGGCCCTCTCATGGGCACTGCATCCCAGCACTGGGCAGGGAGGGAGGCTGCCAGCGAACTGTGCCCAGAATTATGCATCTGCGCCACTTCCTGTTCAAATGGTGATTCCATGGCCCCAGGAGGTGCGCATTTCTCTGACTGCTCCGATTTCCTGCCAGGCACTCATAGGTAATCCTCTGCAGGCCCAGGCTGTGTGGGGCTGAGTCTTCTTTGTCTCCAGTTGGCCGCCCCGCCAGCCCGTGGACCACACACTCCTGTTCCTGCATCCTCCTCGGCCTGCACTGCAGATCCTCCCCAGTCAGAGGCCCTGCAGCCCCAGCCGGCCTTGGCCCCATCCTGCTCTCCGCCCCGTCCCCACTTCCACTTTTCTACTGCACCTCAGATCAGGCCAGGCCATCTCTCAGGTTCTCTCCCTGCCCTGGGGAAGTGACTGGGAGCTGGGCCCTAGTGTCAGACACATCTGGTTTGAGACCCAGCTCTGCAACTTACTTGCTGCGTGACTCTGAGAAGTTACTTAACCTCTTTATGCCTCAGTCTCCTCATCTGTATAGTGGGGATAATATTAGCAATGCATGTTAAACCCTCAAAACGACACGTGACATAGTGTCACATATGTTTGTTAAAATGACCGTTACCACCACCTCTAGGTTTTCTGAGTCAGCTGTCTGATCCACTCTTTTACAGATTTTTTGAGGTCAGATTCTGTGTCATGTTTGGGGCCAGAGGGTATACAGATGAGTAAGATAGGATTCCTTCCCTGCGGTGGGGGCGGGGGACTGACATGGAAACCAGACCTGCGGGAAGGGTGCGGGCTTGTGCAGGTGTGGCTGAGGCATGAAGATAGGAGAGTCACTCTGCCTGGGAGATGAGAAAGCCTTTCTGGAGTGGGACTTCAGAAATGGATGGCGGGGCTGAGTTTGGAACAGGGTCTGCCAGGGTGGAGGGAAGGACAGGTATGCCAAAGGTGAGACCTACCTGTGCAGAGGCCCACCTGCAGGGGTGGAGGGGCTGACCAGGCAGGCTGGAGGCAGGAGGTGGCAGGGCTTGATTTTATCCCAAAGGTTTCGGGATAAAATGTTGAAGAGGTTTAAGCAGAGGGCCACACAGCTCTATTGCCTTTAGACAAACCCACCTAGAAGTAGCGTGGGTTGGGGAGAAGGGGCTGAGGTGGGAGGCTTCTGTCCCAGTTCAGGGGCAAGGAGAGGGGACCCTGAGGATGGAGAGAAGGGGAGGGTCAGAGGGAGGCTCCCAGGCGGTCTGGAGGCGTTCACATGGGTCCTCCATGATTCCCACCTCCATGACTGGGTGCTGGAGCCCTGAGCCCAGCGCAGGTGGCACTCATAGGCCTGCCAAGCTCACGCAGCCTCAGGGCCTGCCCTTGCTCTCAGGAATCATTTGAAGGGCAGCTGATCTTTTTTTTTTTTTGAGACGGAGTCTCGCTCTGTCGCCCAGGCTGGAGTGCAGTGGCGTGATCTCGGCTCACTGCAGCCTCCACCTCCCTGGTTCAAGCGATTCTCCTGCCTCTGCCTCCCAAGTAGCTGGGACTACAGGCATTTGCGCTGCCACACCCAGCTAATTTTTTGTATTTTTAGTAGAGACGGGGTTTCACTGTGTTGGCAAGGCTGGTCTGGAACTCCTGACCTCAGGCGATCCGCCCTCCTAGGCCTCCCAAAGTGCTACCGCACCCAGCCTGCTCTTTATTTTAAAAGCAAAAAAATTATCAAATATTGTTCTTGATATAGAAATTTAAATTACTTTATACTTAGTTTTTCTTAGTTTTCTTTATACTTAGTTTTACTTTTATAGTAGGAAAAAGAAAGCTAACTAGCACTGAATTGAATTTCTGTACCTTAAAACCCACATCTGGTTATGATTGCCTGGTGTGAGCTATCGTGACCCTTTTTCACCTCGAGGTGTTTACTGTGCCTGAATCTGTTCTAGAGATGGTGGTGTCTCCTCCCTCTCCCACCCCTGCCTCATCCCAGGCACCGACTGGCCCTCACACCAGTCACTATTAGTGTCTGCACTAATAGTGCAGACACTCTGCTCTGCCCAGCCCAGCTCACTGAGCCCAGCCCACCTGGCAGGGCACCTGGGCCAGCTGGTCAACCCCTGGGCTCAGCTCCTGCTCTGGTGCAAGCAGGGTGGGGCCCAGGGATACTTTGCTCCCCAGATGATGCCCTCCAGAGGGCGGAAGGGGGGTTGTCTGGAGCCAGGCTCACTGCAGAAAGCCTGGAGGAGGAGTCCTGGGTACCCTGAGCTGAGCTGCACCTCCCTCAGTACCACTGACTGTCCCTTGGGCTCTGCTCCCAGCGCAGGCGCTCAGCTGCCAGCCAGAGGAGTGGCCTCTGGTGTGGGCATCTCACAACCCCTGACCCCCAGGAGGCACGTCCTAGACACTGTGTGGGTGGAATCCAGGGCCTGTCTGCTCATTTGTCTGGCCAGAGGCACTGGCTTTGGGCTTCTGGTCACCTTTTCTAAAAATGGTCGTGTCTCCTCCTTCTGTCTCCCCTGCCTCAAAGCAAGCCTTGCTCCAGGCACGAGGGTGCTGTTTCTGCACGACCCCATCAGCACTATTATTTTAATGTATTTGTTTCTGCCAGTTTGATAGGTGTGTAATGGTATTTCACATCTTGTTTACACTTGCATTTTTAATTGCTCATGAGACTTTGCATTTTTTCCATGTTGCTATTTACTCTTGGTATTTCTTTCTGCATAAACTGTCCTATCGATCTTTTTTCAGCATTTATCAAGGGGAATTTTTGTTTTGCCCTTTATTTTAAAGTCAGTTCTATATATTTCAGCACTGTTTGTCATGCCATTTTTTCTTGCTCTGTTGCTTTCCTCTTTCTCTCTGTTAATCATATCTTATTGCTCAAAAGTTTTCCTGTGTGTGAATATGTTTTCTTTCAATTATATCACATCTGCTTTGTTTCTGATTATATCTATCACTTCTTTAGTAGTTAGACACTTATTTTCCATCTCTAACAAGAATAAATAAGCCATTTTGTTTATAACCCCCAGTTAACTCACCAACTGTTTAGTGTTTTGACACATTTGTTTTTTTGTTTCACTTGATTTTTTTTTTTTTTTTTTTTTTTTTTTTTGAGACAAGGCTTCGCTCAGTCACCCAGACTGGAGTACAGTGGTGTGATCTTGGCTCACTGCAGCCTCAACTTCCTGGGCTCAAGCGATCCTCAGCCTCTTGAATAGCTGGGACTAACAGGTGTGTGCCACCACGTCCTGCTAATTTATTTTTATTTTTTGTAGAAATGGGGGTCTCACTATGTTACTCAAGCTTGTCTTGAACTCCTGGGATCAAGCAATCCTCCTGCCTCAGCCTCCCAAAGTGCTGGGATTACAGGCATGAGCCATCGTGGCTGGCTTTCACCCTACCTCTTATCTGTCTGTCTTATCTATCCATCTATCATCTAACTCCATTTCTGTTGTTTTGTTTTGCTTGAACCATTTTCAGTAGATGAAAGACATCTTGACCTTTCTCCCATAAATACTTGACAGTTTCCTGCCCAAATGCAGTGCCATGATCACCCAGGGATTTCACATTAATTCAGCGATGTCATCTAAGATTCAGCTCATAATCAGATTTCCCTAGTTGTCATAACATTGATGTTTCTGAGGAGTCCAGGCCAGTTGTCCTATAGACTGTCCCATCACCTGGATGTGTCTGTTTCCTCGAGGTTAGATACACAGTAAGCGTTTTTGGCAGGGACAGGTGGTGGTGTGTCCTCAGAGCATCTCATGAGGGGCCACATGATGTTCATTTGTTCTATTTTGGGGATGCTGAGTTCAATCACTTGATTAAGGTGGTGTCTACCTCATCTATTCAACATAATGGTACTTTTCCCCTTATAATTAATAGGTAATCTGTGGGACCATACCTTGGGACAGTGTAAACATTTGGTTTACATAATAGTTTTAGCATCCACTGATGCCCCTTGCCTGAGTAAATTACACTGGTGGTTGCCAAATGGTGATTTTTTTCTAATTCTCTCATTCTTTCCACAGATAGAGCATTGTTCTGTTAAAAAAAAAAATTCTTTCCTTCCACCCCCCTTTTCTGAGTATCACTATGAACTTGTGGCTCCTTACCTCCCCAGCCTGTCATACCTTGTTACCTTCATTCTTTTTAATGCTCAACAGTTTTTTGTTTTGTTTTTAATGCAACATTATAACATTTTGAGCATTATGACTTGGAATAATGTATTTTTAATTGAAACAAGCCAATCATTATTACCTTTTAAAAATCCTTCTGATAGTCTTCATTATTTATGGATTTTGAAGAATGTAACACATTTTTCAGGGTCTGTAACGGGTATTGCATTCAGTCTATTAGATTAGAGAGTGCTGCCATCTTTACATACTATATTTAGTCCTCCCAATAGGAGCAAAATATTAACATTAAAAATAGGTGTTTTACAATTGGACTAAATAAATGTTTAATATTTAATGTGTTTTATTACTGCTGAGAATTAAGTACTTTTTTTCCATTGATTTTTTTCCTAGCTGCATGTCACTAGCATATAGGAATATAATTGATTTTTTGTAAATGTTTTCTCTAATCTCACCACTGGTATGAATTCATTTATCATTTCTAGTAGTTTTCTGGTTGATGACTTTGCATTTCCTAGGTAAGCCATGCCATCCAGTTCAAAAGTCATTGTTTTGTGTCTTCTTTTGAGTTCAATTACTTTTTCTTCTGAGATGGGAGCCGCCAGCATTTCTAGAGCTAAGCGGGGTGGGCACAGGAGACATCGCCCCAACTGACATGTGCTGGAACATTGGCCACAGGCCCAGCTGTGAGTCAAGGAGAACAGCTGGGGCAGGGGCAGTGGTCTTAACAGACAGGGTCCCAAAGGAAGTGGTGAATCCTGAAGAGGTCGAGGCTGGTGTTGGCACAAGAGGTGGCCTAATAGAGAGGGAAGGGGGCCAGCAAGAGGCCATCAGGCCTCCTGCTATGGTTCAGGGGAGGACTCCAGCCTCATGGCAGAAAAACCAAGTCCCAGGCAGCAGAGCAGGGATGATGGACCAGATGAAACATGCACACAGACGGCCGCAGAGTTGATCCGGGCAGCCAGATGCAGCTAGCTGGGCTGAGGCTGTTCCCTGGCCCGTGTGTGGTCTTGGATGGTGGTGGAGCCAGTAGGGATAAGGGTTGGTAAGGGATGGTGGAGGCAGGACCCCATCATCCTTTCCTTATAATTTTTTACAGTGGAGAGACAGTAGCTTCCTACCATTAAGTACCTTGTCAGTACTTAGGTTTAGGTCAATATTCTTTTGCATATTAATAAAGACCACCCCCTCTCCGCTCCGTTCTCCTTTTGTTAGAGTCTTATTCAAGACCAGATGGTAAATTGTATCAAATGTCTTCCCAGCATCTATTAAATGTTTCAACGATGCTTGCTATTTTCCCAGTTGATGTAAAGAATTATGCTTGGAATGGATGAGTCTCCACTTGGCCAGGCCTGGTCAGGTGCCCATCCTCAGCGGCAGTCCACCCAAATCACAGAGAATGGGGAGGAGCAGCTCCCCAGAGGAAAATCAGGGTGCACTTACCAGGTGAGGGGCATTGCAACGTTGGGTAGAAAGAAACTCCAGATGTGTAGGAAAACTTAGCCTTTTAGCCCAAGCTCTCTTGGTTCCCACCCTGCACTCAAGGAGCAGGGAGGAGCATTTATTTCTGTGATTCTCCTGGCATGAGGACAGATGCTGGGTTTCTGCAGCCCTCTGCCTCCAACACAGGGTGTTGTACTGGTACACAGTACTGGGTTTATAGTGTGTAACAGGGGCACAGTGTTACTTAACCGACTGGGTGAGTAAACAAATAGAGTGCAAGGGGACCAGCCCGGAACCCAGGAGCCCCAGCTCCTCCTGAGCCCTGCCCCCAAAATCTTGTGATTTGGAAGCAAGTTCCTCTCTGCTTCTTGAGGCTGCTAGATGGTTTGGGAGGCAGGAGGGCTTTGTGATCAAGGACTCAGTGTCTGAACGGGTCAGAGGTCAACTCCCAGATTTCCAGCTTGCCGGCTCTATGACCTGGGATGGGCCTCTGTACTTCCTGGTGCCTCACCTGCGAAATTGGGATGCGATACTGTTCCCCTGAGAGGGTTCTCATGATGCTAATGAAAGAAGGAGGGTGAAGCACTTAGCACAGCCCTTGTGCATCCTAAGCCCTTTACCGAGAGGAGTTATTAGGGTGCACTCTGTGTCTTTGGGGATATTTAGAAGAGGAAGTTCTGCGCTGGTTATAGATTATTTGGGGCTCTTGTGGGGATAGGGATAAGTATCCAAGTCCATAAGTCACTGGGATTGTGCGCTTGCTGCTGCCACCACGTGGTCCCAGGATGATGAGGATGATGATGATGATGAAGGAGAAACATACCTGCACCTGCGGCTGCAGATACAGGGGTAAATTGAAAAGGTGGTATTGCATAGTAGAAAATAGTGCAAGTTGGGCTGGGTGTGGTGGCTCACGTCTGTAATCCCAGCACTTTGGGAGGCTGAGGTGGGCGGATCACTTGAGGCTAGGAGTTGGAGACCATCCTGGCCAACATGGTGAAACCCTGTCTCTACTAAAAATACAGAAATTGGCCAGGCATGGTGGTGCGCACCTGTAGTCCCAGCACTGCACCGAGGGGGCTGAAGGGGGCGGGGGCATGGTGTCACACCCTTGGAGGGGCTGGGACTGCTGTGGGCTGAGTCTGCCTGGGAAGGGGTGATGGCACAGCCCTTCTGTTTCCACTGTTGCTGCTGGGAATATTCCCACTGCCACCACCTAACCACCTTTCTGCCAGCCTCAGAGGGCATGTGCCAGCTCCAAGACCAGGGCCCTGGTTGAAGACCAGCTCCTGCCACTCCCTGCTGGGTGAGGTCCACCAGCCGCCCAATCTGGATTCCCCTCTCAGGGTCTCATCATCAGAATCTCCAGGGGAGGCCCTGGAAAATGCAGCTTCCAGGGTCCCACCCTGGTGAACAGGCTCTGCAGATCTGTGTTGAGATGACAGGATGAGAATCCCTCCCATCTTTCCACCCTGGATGGCACACGGTTTAATGGAGGATGCGTAGGCCCTGGATCAGAATGCCAGGCTCAAACCTCACTTTCCAGGCCGGGCGCGGTGGCTCACGCCTGTAATCCCAGCGCTTTGGGAGGCCGAGGCGGGTGGATTCCAAGGTCAACAGATCGAGACCATCCTGGCTAACATGGTGAAACCCCGTCTCTACTAAAAATACAAAAAAATTAGCCAGGCGTGATGGCGGGCGCCTGTAGTCCCAGCTACTCTGGAGGCTGAGGCAGGAGAATAGCGTGAACCTGGGAGGCAGAGGTTGCAGTGAGCCAAGATCGCACCACTTCACTCCAGCCTGGGCGACAGAGTGCGATTCCATCTCAAAAACAAACAAACAAACAAACAAACAAAACAACCTCGCTTTCCTCTCTTCTAGCCCAGAGATCCCAGCTAAGTCCCTGACTCTCTGGAGCTTTGGTTTTCTGGTTTATTAAGTGAGGCCAGTAACTTCCCTCCAAGGGCTCGCATGAGGATAAACCAGGGGAAGGGTGTGTAGGTGCCACACGCCTGAGTCCTTTCTGATACCCAGGACTCTGTTACACTGGTCCTCCACCCCAGGCCTCTGAGCTACTTTCTTTTGGGAAAGAGGTTTAAATTATAAATAAGGGCCTCAATCATGGATGAGGCCTCTTGCCTCCTGCCGTGCTTGCTGGAAAAGAACTTTGCCTCTGCAAAGAGCGTCTACAAAATGAGTAGACTCAAGACCTCCCCTGTGGCCCTTGGCCCTGCCATACGGGCCCTGAGGAATTTGCTGAGCTGCCTGGGGGTGCCTCCCATGAGGACAGCTACTCAGACTGCAGGGCGTCCTTCCGAGGAGAAGGTGCAGTTGCAGCAGAGAGGAAGCGAGGGCTAGAAAGCCTGAGACATAGACAGCCCCTCTGGCCATCGTCCTTGCCTCAGTCGGGGCTCTGGGAGGGCCGCAGCCAGGCTGGGTAGGACCGAGCATCTCATGAGGGGCCGTGTGAGGTTCACTTGTTCTGTTTGGGGATGCTGAGTTCAATCACCTGGGGAGCAGCTTGGTCCTGGGAGGACCCACCAGAATTTCTCCTCCCCAAGTGAGTGCATCAGTGCTGGCAGCTGAACCCACGAGCTGCAGGCAGGGGTGTGGAGCAAGTGAACCTAGACAGTTCATCCTCTAGGGGTGACTGCGCACACCACCACCCTCCTCTCACACAGATGCCGGTTTTGCCATGGAAATGGCCCATTTAATGTCCTGTGCAAGGGAGAAAAGCTCTAGATCCCCAGAGCAGGGGTCCCACCCGTGTCCAGCAAACAGAGGGAGGAAAGGGTATTCTGATCCAGCAGTTGGTCAAGCAATGTGGAAATGGAGCCCGCTCCCCCTTCACTTTAGTCCAGGAAAGCCTCCGGGTAAAAATGCTGACTCCAGCCTAACCTGTCTCAAACTTACGGATTTCAGAAACCTTTCTACATGTAACACATTGACACTCTCTAAGAAATGCCATCCTGGTGATCTTGGGTGAAGGACTCAACCTCTCTGGGTCCCACTTGCTTCATCAGTGAAACTGGAACCTTAATCCCCATCCTGCCCTGTCCCATCACAGGGACCACGGATAGGAAGGGGCGGGGCCACCTTAATCTCTGCTGCCCACAGAGCCTGGGAGCTCCTCTTGTCCCCAGCCCCTGGCTAGACCTGGCCCAGGAAATGTACGTGAACACCAGTGAGTCCCAGGGAGCAGGCAGACACCAGGCGCAGATAGGTTTCAGGTCCTCTGCCAGGGCTACAGGCTGCACCTCCCCTGGGATCCAAGTGGGGTTTCCGTGGTGGAGAGATTGACCAGTGGGCAGTGAGGTGAGGAGCAGTACCTGCCCCATTTCACAGGCAAAAAAACTGAGGCTCAGAGAGGTCGGGGTCTGCCAGGGCCTCATGGTACGTTTGAAATTCCATTATGGGATTCCCAGAACAAGTCGCCCTTCTCACTTGCCATCTTGTGTTGTACTGACAGCAACAGTGGAATTTCTGCCTGGAGCCACTGTATTTTGCTTTGTTTCTGTAGCTAAACCTCAATTTACTGAAAGGCCATGAGGTGTCCTGGTTAACTCATTTTCTGGGGAATGGAGGGAGGACTGGCGGGAGCTTTTCAGTTTGAGTCTAGTTGAAGTGTCAGAGCTGGGGAGCTCGGCATGTTTCGGATGGGGCGGGATAGATGGGTTAGAGGAGGCAGGGTCCAGGGACCACAGCTCAGAGTGGCCCAACTCCTGCAGGCCAGCACCCCCCTTTGATGAGCAGACATTCCCATGTAACCTTAAATAATGGGTCTAAAGCCAACCAAAGCCCACAGCGAGCAGCGCCTTTCAAACTATGCTGAGAGCCAGAGATGTCAACAGAGGGCCTCACACGGAGGGCACGGAGGGAGCTGTCCTTCCATAGGCCCCCCGAGAAGAGAGTGTCTTCCCTCTTCCCCCGCCCCCATATTTAGCCTCCCCCTGCCCTCCAGCCACTGAGAACAGCTGGTGGTTCCTCAGACCCTTCGAGCACCTCTACGGCCTGGCCTTGGCTACCCTCTCCCTCCTCCCTCCCTTTTGCTCACACCAACGCCCCGCTTCTTGAATTCCCATTCCCCACACCTGCTGTGTCAGTTCTTCCACCTGCAGTCCAGCATAACCCCCTCCTCCTCCAAGGCCCTTCCACATCTCCCAAGCCCTCTGGGCTGTCTGTCTCCTCTGGGCCCCAAAACTGCAAGGATTTGGGGTAACACCTTCGAGGGGGTTACATTGTGATGGATTCTGTCTTATCTTCCCCTACAGTGCTATCAGCAGTTTTTCAAAAGAGTCATAAGAGTTTCATTGAGTTTTTTTCCCCGAAGTTTAAAAATGATCCAGTTCATATTTTAAATTCAGCCAGTTAAAAATTGCTGGAAGAAGAGGTGCAACGACTGGCTGTCCCAGCTCATGAGGTTCACGGGTGTCCGCAGCTTCCTGACCAGCGTCCAGGCATGCTCTGCCTATGAAAGCCTCATTTATCCCGAGCCTGCTCTGTGTCAGCTGCCAGGCTGTCTTGATATGCCATCCCCTCTCAGTCCTAACACATGATGAGGCAATGATGTTGCTCAGGGAGGTTGAGTCATCCACCACTGGTCACACAGCTGGGAAATGGAGGAGGTGGGATTCCAGCTCAGCAATGTCTGCCTCCAGAGGCTGGGAGCCACGCTACCCTGCCTCTGGGCGTGTGGCAGTATTAACAGTCACCTACACACTTTTATGCTATTCCCGAGGCTATTTTTATTTCACTCAAAAATAACTCCAGGACATCTGTTCCTTCCCTGGGAGCTTCCTGGGAGCCTCTCTGTCTCCCCACAGGCCAGTCAGTCTGGCTGAAGAGCTGTGGAAACATTTGCAAAAGGAACGGACAGATGGGCGGATGCCTGCAGAGGCCAGTCCACTTCAGAGACCACCCAGGCTTCTGTCACTTTCGCTCCTATTCAGACCCCAAACAAAGCCCTTGTGGGTGGCCGGAGGGATTCTGTCAGCCCAGACTCAGGCTGTGAATGAGGGGCCACCTGATGACACTCAGATGGATGGAGGTGTTGGCGGTCCCATAAAGGAAGATGTCTCCAGCTGTGGCGGCTGGGACAGCGCTTCCCAGGAGGCGGTGGCCTGGGTACCATGTCACTGGGCCATGGTGCTGGCCAGCCCTCTGGATGTCTAGCCACCCTGGCCAGAGGCACTCCAAAGCCGCACAGGCCCTCTCCACCTCCCCTCCCATCACCACCTTTTATCCCAGTGGGTCCCTGAGGCGGGGTCCTTCATTGGGCAGGGGCCCTCCAGCTGTGAGAACCAGGAAGCAATGCAAAATAACTTACATGCTGAGGCAAGTGTATTCTTCCTTATAACACAAGGGTCCAAGGTAGGGCAGCTCCAGGGCTGGTTCCTCAGGGGCTCAGAGGCACCAGCTAGGACCCAATCCCCTTCCATTGAGCTTCCCAGCGTTGACCCAAGAGGGCATCCCTTCTCCAGCAGGGGAAGCAGGGAGGGGACAGCTTCCTGTTCATGGGCCCCACCCTCCAGAGACAGCCTCTCCCAGAGCCCCCTGCAGATGTCTTCTCATGGCTTATTGGCCAGAGATGTAGAACATGCCTTTGCCTGAACCAATCACTGGCAAGGGGGAAGAGCCCCCCGGAACTGGCTTGGTCCAGTCAGAACTCATGCTCCAGGTTGAGTGGCCCCAGGCACCTGGTCAGACAGGAGGTGGGCACCTCAGGCCCAGGGGGCGCTCTACGTGGACAAAGAGGAGGGGAGGGGCAGGATAGTGGTGACTGACGAATCTGCCTCCGTTCTTGTCATTATTTCTTGACTTTATAGAAGAGGGGAAGTAAAAGGCTCGGAAGAGAGGTTGAGTAATTCCCCAGGGCCACACCCACTCCAAGGTCCCCAAGCCATTTACTTGTTCCGTGGTGAAGCTCCAGTAAATGGAGGCATTTTTCTCCCAGTCCTCTGACCCCGTCTGCTTCTCCACTCTGGTTTTCTTCTCTTCCTCCCCCCAATCCCCATGCCCACCCCAAACATGCCTGAAAGCATTACGATCATAGAGACTTCAGAGCTGGAAGAGACATTCAATATTAATGTTATCCAGTGCTGTCATTGTCCAGATGGGGAAACTGAGGCCGAGAGAGGGGAAGGAGCTCAGCGAGACCACTCAGTAAAGCAGTCTGTGGTGGAGCTGGGACTGGATGGAGGGCCCAGGAAGCACAGCATCCCTGAGATTCTCAGAGGGTCTCAGGGACCACCCTACTTTCTCACCTCAGCCCCCCTGCGGACGGTCTCCGCAGCCTCCCAGCTGGCTGGTGGCCCCTCTGCCTGTCCCTTCCCGGGGGAAGGCTCACCCTCAGGCCCCCTTTATGCATCTTTGCACCTGGCACATCCATGGCACTCTGCAGCCTCTGATGTCCTTGACTCATAGTCTGATCTGATCGTCACAGCGGTCCTGTGAGCTGGTCGGAAGTGCATTATAGATACAGAAACTGAGGCCCAGAGAGGCAACAGGGCTTGCCCGAGGTCACGCAGTGGTACCTTATCGAAGCCCAGGCAGAGCCCGCTCTCTCGGCATGCGACCTGTGCAGTCACTCAGGGATTAGTGCTCTGGGGTTGCCTTCTTGAAATTCGTGGTAATGTTCCCCTTTGCCCTGGGCGCCACTAATTGCGGAGCTGGTCCTGGGCCCGGGGCTCCTGACTCCTCCAGGATGCTTTCCACAACCACATACCCCCTCTACCAGTGGCCTACCCAGGGTAAGTCTGACTGATTCCGTGGGACAGCCCTTCACATGGAGGGGAGCGGGCTTAGGGAGTGGGAGCAAGACAGTGGGATGTTTTGGCCTGGGCTCAGGGTGCAGGAACTGGAAGGACCCACTTTGGAAATGCCTCCCTCATCCCTTGTCTCAGGCCGGTGTTGCTGAAGTTCTTGCCTGGCTCCCTTCCCATCCTGGCCTCAGAATTAATGGAGAGGGCCAGTGGCGGCCTGTGCCCTTTGTCCCACCGGCCGGCCTGGGGGTGGCGGCTCCAGAATACAGGGTCCTATTGTGTGCCCTGATGTCAGGCAGCTGGACTGCTGGGAGTGAGGATAAACAAGCAGCTGGAGCATCTCGCCTGAAGCCCCAGGAGAGGGCCAGAGCCCCTGCAGCAGCAGGAGAAGGGGCCAGTCTGAAGAGGGACAGAGCTAGGGGCAGTTGGATTCCAACCCTGCCTGCTGTGCGGTGAGGCCAGCACAGCAACAGGGTCCACTGCTGTAAGAGGGGAATGACTGGCGGTTTGGCTACTTCACAGGGCTGCTGGGAGTGATGCACTTGAGTGCTTCGAAGGCTGCCTGACACCAGCCAGCTCTGCCGCTGTCAGCACTTGCCCCTGTGCTTCCTATCGCCCATATTCAGGATAAAGCACATACAGGCCCTTTGCCTGGCTCGTAAGCCCTTCTCTTTCAGGCCTGTTCCCTCTCTCTTTGGCCCCATCTCTTGATGACGCCCCCTCCCCATATTCCTTCCATCCACCCCAGACCCCCTGCGTTTGCCAGCATTGCCCCCTCTCCCTCTCCTGTTCCCTCTTGCTGCCCTTCACGTCCTTCCCCACTGTCCCCCTCACCTGGCCAGCTCCTAGCAGGAAACCCTGCAACTGGTCCTGGGATTTACGATGCCTCCGGTACCCCAGTGTCCTCACAGGTGTCTCCTGACTGTAAGGCCTCCAGAGTGGCCACCCCTGAGCAAGGATCTGGCCCCAGCACCTGCCTCACCTCCTCCAGAGGGTCCCTTCCCCAGAAGCACTGCCAGGGAAATCTAGGCTCCACGTGGGTTCAAAAGGCACTTCCCGGCCTGCTGCAGGGAGTCTCCAGGTGCCCAGACCTGCCACTGTCTTTGTAGGCCCCTCTCACCCCACAGGCACTGTCCTTTCCCCTCTTTTCCCATCTGTCTTCTATTGTGGCTGCTAAAACAGCATAAAAATGCTGGGGAGTTTCAACTTCACCCTACTCCAAGCCAAGCCCTGAAACCCCTTTTGTGGATATAGACGATGTCAGGTGCCCAGCCAAGCCCAGGTTAGTGCCTGGGGTAGCAGGAATTGCCACTCCGATGCCCATGGGGGCCAGGAAGGAATGCAGCCTAGGTGGGGCTGCGGTGGGGAACTACTTGAGATTTGGGGGTTCCCATAGACAGCTGGGGAGCAGAATACATTCCCTTTCTAAAGAGTGTGCTTGAATTCAGCTGTCGCTCATTGTTGCTGTGGGGGAATATGGGACCTGTATTGCCAGATCTGATTTTTCAAGAAAAGCCAGGGGCTGGGCATGGGGGCTATGCCTGTAATCCCAACACTTTGGGAAGTCAAGGCAGGAGGATCACTTGAGGCCAGGAGTTCAAGACCAACCTGGGCAACATAATGAGACCCCATCTCTACAAAAAATTAGCCAGGTGTAGTGGTGTATGCCTGTACTCCCAGCTACTTGGGAGGCTGAGTTGGGAGGATCCCTTCAACCTGGGAGGTCGAGGCTGCTGTGAGCTATGATCATGCCACTGCACTCCAGCCTGGGTGACAGTGAGACCCTGTCTATAACAAAAATAAAAATAGGCTAGGCGTAGTGGCTCATGCCTGTAATCCCAGCACTTTGGGAGGACAAGGCGGGCGGATCACCTGAGGTCAGGAGTTCGAGACCAGCCTGGCCAACATGGTGAAACCTCGTCTCTACTAAAAATACAAAAATTAGCTGGGTGTGGTGGCAGGCACCTGTAATCCCAGCTACTCAGGAGGCTGAGGCAGCAAAATCGCTTGAACCCGGGAGGCGGAGGTTGCAGTGAGCCGAGATCGCACCATTGCATTCCAGCCTGGGAGACAAGAGTGAGACTTCGTCTCAAAAAAATAAAATAAAATAAATAAAAATAAAAATTTAAAGTCAGATATCCAACTTTGTATGTGCAGTTCCCTTGATTTTTTTTTTTTTTTTTTGAGACAGGGTCTCACTGTGTCACTCAGGCTGGAGTGCAGTGGCACAATCACAGTTCACTGCAGCCTTGACTTCCCGGGCTCAGGTGATTCTCCCGCCTCAGCCTCCGAAGTAGCTGGGACTACAGGCGTGCACCACCACACCTGGCTAATTTTGTTCATTTTTTGCAGAGACAGGGTTTTGCCATGTTGCCCAGGCTGGTCTGGAACTCCTGAGCTCAAGCGATCCTCCTGCCTTGACCCACTCCCAAAGTGCTGGGGTTACAGCTGTGAGCTACCGTGCCCAGCCAGTTCCCTTGATTTTTAAAGAAAAATTTTAAAAAATTGTTTTTACTTTACATACAGTAAAATTCGCTTTTTGGGGGTGGGGGAAGAAGTGTCACTATTTACATAGACTCCTGTGACTCCCACTGCCATCAGGGACAGAACGGCTCATCCCCCAAATTCTCTCCGGCTGCTCCTTTGTCTTCAGTCCCTCCTCCTCGCTCTTGGCACCCACTGATCTGGCTTTGTCACTATGGTTTTGCCTTTTGCACGTAAATGGAATCATACAGTTTGTAACCTTTGGGAGTGGTTTCTTTCCCGTAGCATAATCATTTGTTCTTTTTGGTTAGGGAACACTTGCTTATCCATTCACTTGTTGAGAGACACTGGGGATGTTTCTAGGTTTGGGTGATTATGTGTAATGCTGCTGTGGACATTTTTGTGCAGTTTTGTGTGGGTGTGTGTGAATGTAAGTTTTCATTTCTCTAAGATAAGGAAGGATAAGGAAGTTCCCTTATATTTCTACTTTGTTGAGAGTTTTTTTGTTTTTTTTTTTTGGTATCATGAATGGATGTTAAATTTTGCCACTTGATTTCTCTGCATCTTTTGATAGGTTTTTCTTCTTTGGTCATGTTTAGATTACATCCATTAGTTTTCAAATGTTGGGCCAGCTTTGCTGAATAAACCCCATTCGGCTGCTTGTCTTGTTATATTTTTCATATATATCTCCTGGATTCGATTTGCTAATATTTTGCAGAGGCTCATTGCATCTGTGTTCATGAGGGATATTGGTTTGTAGTTTTCTTTTTTCTTTTTTTTTTTTTTTGAGACTGAGTCTCACTCTGTCGCCCAGGCTAGAGTGCAGTGGGGCGATCTCGGCTCATTGCAAGCTCCGCCTCCCGGGTTCACGCCATTCTCCTGCCTCAGCCTCCCGAGTAGCTGGGACTACAGGCGCCCACCACCATGCCCGGCTAATTTTTTGTATTTTTAGTAGAGACGGGGTTTCACTGTGTTAGCCAGGATGGTCTCGATCTCCTGATCTCATGATCCGCCCACCTCAGCCTCCCAAAGTGCTGGGATTACAGGCATGAGCCACTGCGCCCAGCAGGTTTGTAGTTTTCTTATATTGCTTTTGTTTGGTTTGGGTAACAGGGTATTATTGCTGGCCCCATAAAACGAGTTGGGAAGTGGCTCTTCTATTCTCTGGAAGAGGTAGTGTAGAATTTATGTATATTTTCCTTAAATACTTAGTGAAATTATCTGGTCCTGAGGTTTTCCTTTTTGGAAGGATATAAATTGGGAAATTAATTTCTTTAATCACTCAAGGACTGTTCAGATTATCTATTTCTTCTTGCATGAGTTTTGGTAGTTTGTGTTTTTCAAAGAATTGGTCCATTAGCTCATCTAAGTTGTAGAAATTATGTGTGTAGAAGTGTTTCTAGTGTTCCCTTATTAGCCTTTTAAAGGATGTAAGACTGTAATGATATCTCTGTTTTCTTTTTTTTCGAGACAAGGTCACACTCTGTCACCCAGGCTAGAGTGCAGTGGTGTAATCAAGGCTCACTGCAGCCTTGACCTCCCTGGCTCAAGCGATCCTCCCACCTCACCCAACCCCGGTAGCTGGGACCAGAGGCATGTGCCACCATGCTTGGCTAATTTTTTTAATCTTTTGTAGAGATGGGGTCTTGCTATGTTGCCCAGGCTGATCTTGAATGCCTGGTCTCAAGCGATCCTCCCACCTTGGCCTCCCAAAGTGCTGGGATGACAGGTGTGAGCCACTGTGCTCAGCCTCATTTTTTATATTGGTGATTTGTATTCTCTCTCTCTTTCTCTCTGTCATTCTGGTTAGAGATGCATCAGTTTTGTTAATCTTTTCAAAAAAAAAACCAGATTTGGGTTTTGTTGATTTTTCTCTACCAGTCTCATTTTTAATTTTATTAATTTCTGCTCTTATCTTTATTATTTCTTTCCTCCCTTTTGCTTTGGGCTTGAATTTTATGGTATTGTATTTTCATTTTCATTTAGTTTAAATTATTTTTATTTTCTCTTGAGACTTTGGGGCTGGGTGCGGTGGCTCATGCCTGTAATCTCAGCACTTTGGGAGGCCGAAGGGGGTGGATCACCTGAGGTCGAGAGTTCAAGCCCAGCCTGACCCATATGAAGAAACCCCATCTCTACTAAAAAATACAAAATTAGCCAGGCATGGTGGTGCATGCCTGTAATCCCAGCTACTCGGGAGGTTGAGGCAGGAGAATTGCTTGAACCCGGGAGGCAGAGGTTGCAGTGAGCCGAGATCACGCCATTGCACTCCAGCCTAGGCAACAAGAGCAAAACTCCATCTCAAACAAACAAACAAACAAAAAGATACTTCATCTTTGACTCATGAATTATTTAGACACATACTGCCTAATTCCCAAGTATTTGAGGATTTTTCAGATGCCTTTCTGTTTTTGATTTTTTTGCTTGTTTTAAAATTTCTTTTCTTTTCTTTTTTTTTGAGACAGTCTCGCTCTGTTGCCCAGGCTGAAGTGCAGTGTGTGATCTCAGCTCACCGAAATCTCCATCTCCCAGGTTCAAGTAATTCTCGTGCTTCAGCCTCTCAAGTAGCTGGGATTATAGGCACAGGACACCATGCCCAGCTAATTTTTGTATTGTTAGTAGAGATGGGGTTTCACCATGTTGCCCAGGCTGGTCTTGAACTCCTGACCTCAAGTGATCCACCTGCCTCAGCCTCCAAAAGCTCTGGGATTACAAACGTGAGCCACTGAGCCCTGAGACTGATTTTTAGTTTAATTATATTATAGTCACAGGACTTTTTTTTTTTTTTTTTTGAGACAGAGTTTTGCTCTTGTTGCCCAGGCTGGAGTGCAATAGCGCAATCTCGGCTCACTGCAAACTTCGCCTCCTGGGTTCAAGTGATTCTCTTGCCTCAGCCTCCCTAGTAAGCTGGGATTACAGGTGCCCACCACCACGCCCAGCTAATTTTTTGTATTTTTAGTAGGGATGGGGTTTCACTATGTTGGCCGGGCTGGTCTCAAACTCCTGACCTCAGGTGATCCACCTGCCTCAGCCCCTCCCAAAGTGCCAGGATTATAGATGTGAGCCACCACGCCCGGCAAGACATACATTTATAATTTCAGTTTTTAAAAATTTGTTGCCAGACTCTGTGGCTCATGCCTGTAATCCCAGCACTTTGGGAGGCTAAGGCAGGAGGATCTCTTGAGGCCAGGAGTTCGAGACCAGCCTGGGCAACATAGTGAGACCCCCCGTCTCTACAAGAAAATTAGCTGGGCGTGTTGACATATCCCTGTAGTCCCAGCTACTCGGGAGGCTGAGGTGGGAGTATTGCTTGAGTCTGGGAGGTGGAGGCTGCAGTGAGCTATGATCACACCGCTGCACTCCAGCCAAGGTGACAGAGTAAGATCCTGCCTCCCCACCACACACAAAAAAAGTATTATAGTTTGTTTAATCGTCCAAGATATGATCTACATGATCTACCTTGGTGACAGTTCCATGTTTACATGAAGAGAACGTGTATTCTGCTATTCTTGGGTGGTGTGTTCGATAAACATCAATTAGGTTAAGCTGGTTAGTGGTGGTATTCAGACCTTTTAGATCCCTTGTTGATTTTTCATCTAACTAGCTCTACTGTTAAAAATTAGATTTTCTATCTAACTGGTTATATTCTCTAGAGGAGTGTTGAAGTCTCCAACTATGATTGTCAATTTGTCTATTTCTCCTTTCAATTTTATTAGTTTGGCTTCATGTATTTTGAAGCTCTGTTTTTAGGGACATATGCATTTAGGATTGTTATGTATCTTCTTGGTGAGTTGACCCTTTAATATAATGTTTGTCTGAATCCTTGGTAATTTTCCTTGTTTGGATTAGGCAATTTCTGTTGTTCTATCACTGTTTGTACTGTGATTTCCGTTCTGCTATTGATCCAATCCAATGAACTTTTATTTCATATATTGTATTTTTTAGTTCTAAAATTTCCATTTGGTTCCTTTTTTCTAGCATCTATTTTTCTGCAAGAATTTCGAAATTTCCATTTATTTCGGATTGTTCACCTTTACTGAACCATGGAGCATGGTTATAATAACTTTTTTAAAGTCTTTGTCTAATAATGGCAACATCTGGGTCATCTTAGCATTGGTATCTATCTATTGATTGCCTTTTTTTTTTTTTTTTTTTTGAGACGGAGTCTCGCTCTGTCACTCAGGCTGGAGTGCAGTGGCACGATCTCGGCTCACTGCAAGCTCTGCTTCCTGGGTTCATGCCATTCTCCTGCCTCAGCCTCCTGAGTTGCTGGGACTACAGGTGTCTGCCACCACGACCAGCTAATTTTTTGCATTTTTAGTAGAGACGGGGTTTCACCATGTTAGCCAGGATGGTCTCTATCTCCTGACCTCGTGATCCGCCCGCCTCTGCCTCCCAAAGTGCTGGGATTACAGGCGTGAGCCACCGCGCCCAGCCTTTTTGTCTTTTGTCTTGTACATTGTTGTCAGCTTTTCCTGTTTCTTTGTATGTCAAGTAATTTTGGACTGTGTCTTGGACATTTGGAATACTGTAAGACACTGGGGCCTGTTAAAATCCTCTGAAGAATGTCAGTTTTTTCTTTGTTTGTTTATTCGTTTGTTTTTGAGACAGGGTCTTGCTCTGTCACCTAGGCTGGAGTGCATTGGCATGATCATGGCTCACTGCAGCCTCAACCCCCTGGCCTTAAGCAATCCTCTTACCTTAGCTTCCTAAAGCCTTAGGGTTACGAGCATGAGCCACTGTGCCCAGTCTGTTTGTTTGCTTTTTAAATCAGTTAGGTTGACGCCTCAGATCCCAACCTGCCCTCTGTGAATTATAGTTTCAATGTCAGTTCAGTTTTCAAAGCCTTTGCAGTGCTATTCAGATCCACCCCAAGTATACATACTCCA
Organism: Homo sapiens; assembly: GCF_000001405.40. NCBI lineage: Eukaryota > Metazoa > Chordata > Mammalia > Primates > Hominidae > Homo > Homo sapiens. The sequence continues at coordinate 31,423,671 of NC_000017.11, forward strand.
GGGGCCAGTCTGTTCAGTCTACACTGTAGTTCAGTTCTCAGAGTCTTTGGTAGGTTATTTGGGGTCAGTTCCATGTATGTGCAGCTCAGGAGTAGGCTAGGACCTCAAATACAACAACTTTATGGGATCATATTCTCAAGCTCCCTTCTTTCTGTGATGCCGCCCTATCCAGCTTCCAGGGGCCCCTTTTTCTCATTTTTTTCCAGGTAAAAGATTTTCCCTTTCTCGGAGTTTTAGGTCCCCCTGTGTGACTGCTACGGCTGCTGCCACCACCTAACCTTTGGGACAGGTTTTACCTTGTAGGGAGGGGGCTGGGAGAGAAAAAAGACCCAGGGCACTTCTCCCACTCGATTTTTCCCAGGAGGCCCCCCTTTCCCGGCTTCTCATCAGAAAGAGAGTTTCTTCCGTAGCTTTTTCTCTGTGCACCTGCTGCACAGTTCTGGGATTTGGGCTCCTGAGTCTAGGTCAGGAAATATGCAAGCTCACCACCGTATTCATCTTACTTAACGTTTTTGTTTTCCTCCCCAATTCACCTTCCACTATTCACTTTTCACAGTCCTTGTGTAGTTGTTTTATGTCTTCTGTCAGGGTTTTTAGTTATAATCAATGGGAAAGCTAGACTGTAGTGTGCTTACTCCATCTTAACCAGAACCAGGAGGCTTGCTTGGCTTTAAATATTGGCATCTAATTTTAAGTCTGTCCTCAAGCCACATCTGAGATGCTAGCTGGCCACCTCTGCTTTAGTGGCACAGTGTCTCAAAATTAATTTTTCTTTCTTTTTTTCTTTTGAGATGGAGTCACAATCTTGGCTCATTGCAACCTCCCGCCTCCTGGGTTCAAGCAATTCTCCTGCCTCAGCCTCCCCAGTAGCTGGGACTACAGGCGCGCACCACCACACCCAGCTAATTTTTTTTTTTTTTTTTGAGGCGGAGTCTCGCTCTGTTGTCCAGCCTGGAGTAGAGTGGCACGATCTCGGCTCACTGCAACCTCCGCCTCCCAGGTTCAAGTGATTCTCCCACCTCAGCCTCCCAAGCAGCTGGGATTACAGGTGTACACCACCACACCCTGCCTAATTTTTGTATTTCTAGTAGAGATGGGGTTTCACCATGTTGGCCAGGCTGGTCTCGAACTCCTGACCTCAGGTGATTCACCCATCTCGGCCTCCCAAAGTGCTGGGATTACAGGTATGAGCCACTGTGCCTGGCCTAATTTTTCTTTTAATACTCAAATTCTTAAGCAAAAGTTGTCAGTACCAATGCCAGTTTTTCTAGATTAAAAGAGAGCAGAATACAGATTTATTCTTTCTCTGGTCAGAGCAAGCCCCTAAACCTGTCAGCATAATAATAGTGATTGCAATTATTTTAGCAGAAATAATAATTACTGGCTAAGGGCATGGAGTCTGGAACCAGGCCTCTTGTGTTCAGCCGTCTTCTACGAACTGTGTGACCTTAATTCTGAATGACTTTGCCTTTCTATGTCTCAGTTTCCTCCCCTGTAAAATGGGAATAATAATGGTATCTGCTTCCCAGGTGGTGGCGAGGATTAAACAAATTCATATGCATAGAGCGCTCAGAACAGTGCCTGGCACAAAGGAAGGCTCGCTAAGCATTTGCTTTGATTCCCGTGAGTAATGGCTGACGTTTATTAGGCACCTTGCCTTGCAGACAGCTTCACAGCGGCAAGATAAGCCGGCTTATCTCACTTGCTCAGATGAGGCAGCTGAGATTTCAGAAAGGCAAATGGCTTGCTTGAGTCCATCTGGCCTTCAGACCTTGAAATTAGGGAGGCGTGGGTGGCTGGGCATGGGTTCAGGGAGTATCTGGCTGGTAATCAATCAGACAGCAACGGCAACGAAGCTTTTTAACATCATCTGGTCTGAGCTAGAAGAGATGTGACCCAGGGGACTGAGTGGGGGGAAAAAATCAGCTCAAAGAGAAAGGCAACAGAAATAGAAGGGGAAGCCTGGTAATTGAGTGGCCCCAAAAAGGAAAGATCAATATTTTACTTCCAGTGAACAACCAATTTCCCTGGCAGCAAGCTGGGGCCCAGCTGTGTGTGCTTCAGTGACAACAGCTGCTTCTGCAATGCCTGCCAGGCCTGGCGAACCCGTCTCTCCTGGCCTGGGAGCCAGAGGGGGAGCCCCAGGGCTGCCCAGCCACGCATGGTGTGTGCCCCAGGGTGGGGGCGGCCCCCAGCTCCCCTGCCTGGGGCCCAGGCTCCCCACGAAGACCACATGGGGTGGCTATTTGCTATGCTCCCTGCGTGACCTTGAGCAAACCCCTCCCCCCGCTGGGACCTCGCTTCACCAACTGTGAAATGACGGGCTGGGTCAGTGGAATGTGTCTGGCCGAGGACCATCTGTGGCAAAAGGTTACCTGATGTCCAGGAAGGTCGAGACTCTTTGTGATCCAAGGCGAGGGGTCCCCACGTAGTGAGTAAAGCTTCTTTGATGCTCAGGGCGCCAGGGGATAGAAAGAACACTTTAGTGCAGACAGCCCCGTGAGAGTCTCTGGCCCAGGAAGGCAACAGGGAGCAGTGGCTGACTCTCTGGGGTCAGTAAGACCTGGGTTCAAGAGTTGCCACTACAGGTGGGCAAAAATTTTAAATTTAAAAAAAGGAAAATAAAAGGGGAGCGTTACCACTGCAGTGACTTTGTCTAAATGTCTTACCCTCTCTGAGCCTCAGTCTCCTCAATTTAAAATGGGGGACTATAATAATAGCTACTGTTAAGTTTGCTGTGAGGATTAAATGAGACTATGTGTGAACCCTCCGTGGACTCCAAGCATTTGCAATACTTCTCCACATAAATGATGCTGTTATTTATTTTAAAAATCACTGAGCCTGTGGTTGATGGTATGTATTGGTAATAACCAGCATGCATTGTTCTAATAATTTCACACCTGTTTTCTTTTTTTTCTTTTTCTTTTCCTTTTTTTTTTTTTTTTGAGACGGAATTTTGCTCTTGTTGCCCAGGCTGGAGTGCAATGGCACCATCTTGGCTCACCGCAACCTCTGCCTCCCGGGTTCAAGCGATTCTCCTGCCTCGGCCTCCCAAGTAGCTGGGACTACAGGTGCACACCACCATGCCCAGCTACTTTTTCTTGTATTTTTAGTAGAGACGGGGTTTCACCATGTTGGCCAGGATGGTCTCAATCTCTTGACCTAGTGATCTGCCCACCTTGGCCTCCCAAAGTGCTGGGATTACGGGCGCCAGGCACCACGCCCAGCCCAATTTCACACTTGTTTTCTAAAGGGCAGGACATCAGTGTGCCTGGCCATTTTTGTTTTTTGTTTTTTGTTTGCTTTGAGACGGAATCTTGCCCTGTCACCCAGGCTGGAGTGCAGTGGCACAATCTCGGCTCACTGCAACCTCCACCTCCCTGTTTCAAACGATTCTCCTGCCTTAGCCTCCCTGAGTAGCTGGGACTACAGGTACACATGACCACGCCTGGCTAATTTTTGTATTTTTAGTAGAGACAGGGGTTTCTCTATGTTGGCCAGGCTGGTCTCGAACTCCTGACCTCAGGTGATCCACCTACCTCAGCCTCCCGAAGTGCTGGGATTATAGGCATGAGCCACTGCGCCCGGCTGGCCTGGCACTTTTGTGGCCACTACTCTGGGGCTGCCACTCTTTGAAGAGCCCTGTGGGAGCAGCTGTAGAGAGGTCACAGCCTGGGGTGTGCCCCCGGTTGCAGCTTGGGCCATGGCGTGGGTGCTTCGGGGACCATGCAGTGGCCCTCAGTACCCCATCTGTCTGCCTGTCATCAAACAACCCCACCCCCACCTCTGTCCCAGGTAGGCTTTTGCTGGCAGAGGAATGGACAGCTCGCCCCACCAGTGTCTCCCAGCCTCAGGGAGCTGTGGACACAGGGATTACAGAATCCAAATCCCTGCACTCCTGCCTCCTAGGTGGACTTGAGGTGAGGGTCCTCATCAGTCAGTCAGCACTCTGTGGCCGACTCCACCCTTGACTTGCTTCAGAAATAATGAAGGCAGAGCCCTGACCTTGGAGAGGACTGTAGGCCTGAGCATGGGAGGCTGGAGGGTAGAGGGTGCCCTGGCTCATCCCCACATTCACAGGCCCCCTATAATGCCAGCGATGCAAAGGCAGGAGGAGAGGAGGCGGAATGCCAGCCAGGATGGTGGGTGGGCTCCCCTGCAGCCCTGCAGGTGGCACCTGGGCATTGCTATTCTCAGAAGCCACGTCATTGCCTGGCAGTGTCAGAGGCTGGCATGGCTGGGGGGAGGGGGCAGCTGCAATGTTGAGGAGGCTGGCAAAAAGCCACTTTCCTCCTTTACTGAAATTTTGCAGGTCTTTCCTGAGAGCCCACTAGGTACCAGGTTCAGGGAGGTTCACAGAAAGAATGTGGCACGGCCCCTCTGCCCTTCCCTCACCCCAGACTCACCCCAGAGTGGAAAAGCAGGGTCAGCTGGAATCAAGATGCAAGCACAGAGCCGCCAGGTTCCAGGCAAGGAGAAGATGGTTAGGGTGGGGCCTCTTTGTCCACTGCTCACCTTCCAAAGCCCACTGGGCACAGCCCCCATGGTGCCAGGCCACCGGCAGTGACCAGGGCTTCAGACCCCTGCTGCAGCTGCCACGCTGTGGGCATGCAAGAAAAACGTGGTCCCTATAAATAGATGAATCCCCAACGTGGTTTGGCTTCGGTGCCTGTGATGGGTGGTGTGGTATGCCGGCGAGTCTGCCTGTGATGGCGTGAACACTGACAACAGTGACTGTGAGCAGTTTCCTGCATGCTGTGCTCTGCAGGCCCCGGGTGCCCTCAGATCCATCATCTGCAGCCCAGCCTGAGCAGATTCTGGAAAGAGCTCATCCTGGCCTGGCTGTGCTATAGATACTGATGGTGATTATTAGGGGGAGCGGCAAGATGCCTGACAAGGAGTGTGAGCGTGTACACATGTGTATGCACTATTGTGTATGTGTGGCTAGCCAGCAGAACCAGCACCTACCACCATCAACCCCTGAAAGAGTGCCTGGCATGTAAGAGGTGCTCAGTCATCACTTGTTGAATAAGTGAGTGAATGAATGAATGAATGCTTGTATGGGTGCTGTGGGAGGGCTGCCACTAAGTTTTAGAAGCAGTTTTAGATTTAGAAGCAGGCTTCTGAGCCAGGCGTGGTGGCGTGCCTGTAGTCCCAGCTACTTGGGAGGCTAAGGTGGGAGGATCCCTTGAGCCCAGGCATTTGAGGCTGCAGTGATCTATGATCATGCCACTGCACTCCAGCTTGGGCAATAATGTGAGGACATGGCTCTTAAAAAAAAGTTGTTATTATTATGATGATGATGATGATTATTATTATTATTTGAGACGGAGTTTCACTCTTGTCACCCAGGCTGGAGTGCAGTGGCGCGATCTTGGATCACTGCAACCTCCACCTTGAAGGTCAGAGGTTCTCCTGACCTTGGAGAGGATTGTAGGTGTGAGCAAAAACAAATATTATGAAGCCTCTACTATGTACCAGTCACGGTGCAAGCGACCAGGTATACAGTGGTGATCAGAATGGACAGGGTCCTTGCCCTTAGGGAGCTTACTTTGTAGAGAGAAGATATAAATTAATCAAATTATCCCACACACATACAACTACATGAAAGAGTATGGAGAAACTAAGGCTAAGGCTTTCTGCAGTGAGGTCGGGAGATACTCACACCTGCTAAAGTTCAAACCACACAATATCCCAATAGACTTGGGTGTGCAACCGAAGTCATGATCTGCCAGTCTCCAGCATTTCTCAGCTGCGAGTGCCCTGACTAGCTCACCAGTCAGAAAGGCTTTGCAATCTAGGATTTCTGCCCAGCCAATGAGCTGCCTCTGAAAACAACTTTCTGTGGAAATCCTCCGTAAAAATTGGTCTCCTGGCTGGGCGTGGTGGATCACGCCTGTAATCCAAGCACTTTGGGAGGCCAAGGTGGGCAGATCACCTGAGGTCAGGAGTTGGAGACCAGCCTGGCCAACATAGTGAAACAGCCTCTCTACTAAAAATACAAAAATTACCTGGGCATGTTGGCGGGCGCCTGTAATCCCAGCTACTCAGGAGAGGCTGAGGCAGGAGAATCTCTTGAACCTGGGAGGCGGAGCTTGCAGTGAGCTGAGATTGCGCCACTGCGCTCCAGCCTGGGCAACAGAGCGAGATTCCATCTCAAAAAAAAAAAAAAAAAAAAAAGAATCCTTCCTCCACTTGCCTCCTGGGATGCTCTTCGGGGCTGTCCTGATCCCGTGTACCTGAATTGCAATTCTTTGTTTCCCAAATAAACGCTATTTCCTTTGACCTCCATGTCAATCTCTTTTTAGTTAACAATAGCAAGTTGCAACAAATTGTTTGAAGGGAAAGTATAGGATGCTACAAGACAGGATAGCAGCGGGGTGGGCCCTGATTGGATGGGGGTGGTCAGGACAGACCTGTCTCAGGGAGGGACGTTTCATAGAGGTACAAAGGGAGACCTGAAGGATGAACTGACATGGCGAATGGGGAGGACAGCTGTCCAAGTTGTAGGGAATAGCATGTGCAAAGGCCCTGGGGCAGAGAAGAGTGTGGTGGTTTCCGTGAGGAGCTGACCAAAGGCCAGTGCAGCTAGAGTACAGTGAGTGATGAAGAGCATGGGAGGAGAGGGAGTGGAAGGGGTCAGATCACATGGGGCCTTGTGGGCCGTGTTGTGGAGTTTGGATTTTTTTTTTTTTTTTTTTTTTTGAGACAGAGTCTTGCTCAGTCGCCCAGGCTGGAGTGCAGTGGCGTGATCTCAGCTCAATGCAACCTCTGCCTCCCAGGTTCATGCCATTCTCCTGCCTCAGCCTCCCGAGTAGCTAGGACTACAGGCGCCCGCCACGACGCCCGGCTAATTTTTTTTGTATTTTTAGTAGAGATGGGGTTTCACCATGTTAGCCAGGATGGTCTCGATCTCCTGACCTCGTGATCTACCCGCCTCGGCCTCCCAAAGTGCTGGGATTACAGGTGTGAGCCACCGCGCCCGCCCTGGAGTTTGGATTTTTATCCTAAGTGTGGTGGAATGATACTGGAAGGTTTTAAGCAGAGGAGTGGGTGACACGATCCAGTTAGACTTGCATGATCCAGGAGAGACAGGATGATGGCTATGACCAGGTGGGGCTCCTGAGAGGTGTGGGAAATGAGGGAGCTGTGGGATACAGTGGGAGCATGGATTGAATGTGAGTGACAGTGAGCAGACGCAGTGATGCTGAAGAACCCTGCAGTGGCAGGAAGGGAGGGAGGACGGGGTCAGGGAGTGGGACATTTGATGGGTGGTATTGGAGGGGGTGATCACTGGGTTGACCAAGGGACTTGGTGCCTGAGGTGGAATATGAGGCAAAAAGAAAGTCAAGGATCTGAGAGGCCGGGGGTTGATGGGTCATCCACACAGCTGCAGGAACCCCCAAAGATGAATTGTAAAAGCAAAAAGCTGGAAATAACCAAAATGCCCAGCTATTAGGGGTGGTGAAGTAAATTATGATGAACCCACCGGGCAGAATGTGTTACAGCCACTAACAACGTGGGTTGTACACACCAAGCAGCATGGAAACTGTTTCTGTCCTACCTCCTGTTACACGGGAGAGAAACTCTCCAACCTCAGGGATGGCTGACTCTGCCAGGTGAAAACTTACTTCCTTATTCATCTAACACTCTTCATTGAAGTGCAAGGTACAAATAGAACAGAAAAGTTCATCAGCCACCAGTGTCCATCTCAGTGAGTTTCCCCATCTAGCCAGCACCTGGAACAAGAAATAGAACAAGAGAAATGGTGGGATTTCTGGGTCATTTACAATGAGTTTGTGTCTGTTTTGTGTGAAAGAAACCAATTTTAAAACATCGGCAGAGCCTCGGCTTTCATTGTGCAGTCCCTGGGGGAAGGAGGCTCGGCCCCTGAAGCCGTGTGCTCAGGGAGGGTGTGCTCAGGGAGGAGCCGGTGTTGGCTCTGCTTTTCTTTGCCCGAGTTGTCTGTCACCATGGGGAGAATAAAGTGGCCCCATGGCTGATACTGACCCCAGGGTGAGGGTAAGAGGACTGGGCGGGGACACTGGTGTCCCTCCCTCCCTCCCAGCCTCCCCACCCAGCTCCCTGAGTCTTCGGGAGATCCTTGGGTGTCTCACACCTGTCCCTGCTTCATTCCCACAGGTGGAAAAACTTGTGAAATATTTGGATCCCAACGACCTGGGGAGAATCAACTTCAAGGACTTTTGCCGGGGGGTGTTCGCCATGAAAGGTGAGGTCTTCCCGGGAGGCTTTCCCAGGCGCTCTCCGGTCCTGCCCAGCTGGGGAAGCTGGTGTGACTGGGGGCCCAGCCTGGATTCCTCCCCACAGGGGTCCCAGAGCCCAGGATGGGCCAGAAGTCGGTTCTGCCTCTGGCTTCCGGGGGGGCCAGAGGAGAAGGACACTGTTGCCCCAGCCGTGGGGGGCTGTGGTCTCACCCATGGAAGTCACTTCTGCCCTTCCCCTTGTCTGCCCGCCTCTGGAGAAAGCCTCCTTCCCTGCTTTTCTGTCCTCTTCCTCTCTCTCCCGCTCTGGGGTGACCAAACCCAGTGAGTCTCCTGGGATGTGGGAGGGACTCCACTTTTAAGACCAGGGCAGTCCTGGGCAAACCTGGACAAAGCGCTGGTCACATGACTGCCCGCCTCCCTCTGAGCTGCTGCTTTTGTGTCCTCCCTGCTCCCGCCTCCTCTTTTTTTTTTTTTTTTTGAGACAGGGTCTGGCTTTGTCGCCCAGGCTACTGGAGTGCAGTGCCACTATCATGGCTCCCTGCAGCTTCAACCTCCTCGGCTCAAGCAATCCTCCTGCCTCAGCCTCCTGAGTAGCTGAGACTACAGGAGGTACACCACCATGCCTGGCTAATTTTTGTATTTTAAGTAGAGATGGAGTTTTGTCACGTTGTCCAGCCTGGTCTTGAACTCCTGAGATCAAGTGACCCTCCCATCTCAGTCTCCCAAAGTTCTGGGATTACAGGCATCAGCCTCCATGCCCTGCCCTCTCTTCCTCTTAATTCTTCCTAATTCCTGCCTTTCTTCCTTGCCCCTGCTTCCAGTTTTAAGGGGACAATATAAATCCCTCTGTCTTGTCCCAAAAATTCAAAGGCCAGTTGTGAGAAACTTGCAGGAATCAGAATATGGCCACTCACTTACTACTAAGCTGTTTATCTGAGACAGTGAGGGCCAGGCACGGTGGCTCACACCTATAGTCTCAGCACTTTTTGGGAGGCCGAGGCAGGCGGATTGCTTGATCTCAGGTGGATCACTTGAGTCCAGGAGTTTGAGACCAGCCTGGCCAACATGGCGAAACCTCATCTCTACAAAAAATACAAAAAATTAGCCGGGCATTCTGGTGTGTGCCTGTGGTCCCAGCTACCTGGGAGGCTAAGGTGGGAGGATCACCTGAGCCCAGGAAGTTGAGGCTGCAGTGAGCTGAGGTCACGCCACTGCACTCCAGCCTGGGTAACAGAGTAAGAACCTGTCTCAAGAAAGAAAAAAATCTGAGACAGTGGCATAGGTCACCAGCCAGGTGGACTTGCTAAGGCCTCCCCACTAGCTGCAGAGAGAATGCAGTCACTTCTGGAGTCCCAGGGTGTCTGCTTATCTGTGAAGGAAGCCATGGTTTCCTGTCTGCGGCTCAGATCAAGTTTAGCCCTTTTCTGTGGGGTGCCTATGAGTCCTGGGAGGGTGGAACGATGCAGGGTGAGGGATGAAGGGAACCAAATACACGGTGCAGGGGGCACAGAACACAGAAGGTGCCCAGGGAAGGTTTTCTGCGTGGATTTGACAATGGGCCACTGCAGGCTGCACCTGCCATGTGCCTGTGCCAGGCATTTTGTCAGGTCCCCCTCCCAGTTCAGTACAACCTTGGGGCGTTTGGTTGGGATCTCAGGAGCGAGGCCAGCCGTGTACAGAGTCAGCAGGAACTGCAGCTGTCCTGCGGGCAGCCCTGTCCTGGACGTCCCAGGGTCTGCAGGACACGGGGGGCGCCCAGCCTCGGAGGAATGGGTGTGTTTGCTTTCTCCAGAGGCTGGCACAGTCGTTTGGAGTCCCTGCAAGCCAGGTGGGCAGCACTGCCTTAGGTCCCCTCCCCCAGGAAGGCCTCCTTCCTTCCTGTTGCCCCAGCCTGCCCTCTGTGTGTGGGAATTAGTCCCAGAGGACAAGGGCCTCTTGCAGCTCCCTCCACAGTGCCTTGAGCTGAGTTCCCCACCGCCTGGGCTCCATCCCTGCCTTCCAGTGCTCAGCTGGCCTCCTGGAGCCTCGGGCCCCCACCTCAGCCCTTCCCACCCTATGCCCATTAGTCAGAAGCAGAGCAGCCGTCCCAGGCTGAGGCTCAACCCCTCACTGTCCCGTGTGTCTGCCTGTCTGCGCAGGGTGCGAGGAGCTGCTGAAGGATGTGCTGTCGGTGGAGAGCGCGGGGACGCTGCCGTGCGCGCCAGAGATCCCAGACTGCGTGGAGCAGGTAAGGCTTGGGGGGCCTCAAGGACCTCCATGGCTCTGCCTCCTCCTTCTTGGTCTTGCCTTTGCTCCATTTTCAGTATCTGGGAGGACCCAGAACCTCCCTCTGAGGACCCTTCTTGAGCATCAGAGTCAAGAAATAGTTTTTGGAACAGGAGCCCTGAGTCCCCTTGGGAAGCCCCAGCAGAATGTGTAACAGCTGGGGGTCCTCACCCAGCAACTTTATTTCCCATCTGTGGCACGGAGGAGAGACTGAGTTCCAGACAGGGAAAGTGGCAAGTGGAGGGGAGGCAGGACTAGAATTGTTTCCTTTTCTTCTGCACCATCGCTCTCTGAGCTGAACGCTTCCTGTTTGTTTGTTTTCAAACAACAACGAATTCTCCAATTCTCTGACACTAACTGGTGTCCAGCAATCAGTTCCACCTGCCACTAACTACCCAGCATTAGCACAGACTCCATGAGTCAAGGTCAACTCCATGAGACTGCCCCACCTCCCACGCCAGCTGCAGTTCTTCCTGGATAACTGCAAACACAGGGTTCCCAGGACCACCTCCCTCGGGCTGGGTAATTCACTGGAAACACTCAGGAAATGGTTGTACTTACGATGATCAGTGTATTACAAAGGATACAACTCAGGATTAGCCACACGGAAGAGATGTACAAGACAGGGTATGGGGAGCAGGGATGCAGAGCTTCCGCACCTTCGCTTAGGGGCGCTGCCTCCCAGCACATCACCGTGCTACCAGCACCCGGGCTCTCTGCATCTCATTGTTCAAGAATTTGTAGGCCTGGCGTGATGGCTGATGCTTGTAATCCCAGCACTTTGGGATGCTGAGGCAGGAGGACAGCTTGAGCCCAGGAGTTTGAGAGCAGCCTGGGCAAGATGATGAGACCCCGTCTCTACATAAAAACTTAAAATTAGCTGGATGTGGTGGTGCACACCTGTAATCTCAGCTACTGGGGAGACTGAGGTGGGAGGAGCACTTGAGCCCAGTAGTTTGAGACTTCAGTGAGCTGTGATTGTGCTACTGCACTCCAGCCAGCCTGGGTGACAGGGCCAGACTCATCTCCAAAAATTAAACAGTTTTTACAACCCAGTCTCCAGCCCCTCTCCTCTGCCTGGAGGTTGGGGGTAGGTGGGAAGGTGAGAAAGTTCCCACCTTATTGTATGCTTGGTCTTTCTGGTGACCAACCCCATCCTGAAGCTCTGTATCAGGAAGCGGGACAAAGACCACAGTCCCCAAGGCTCTGTTTTTCTGTTATCATTGCCTAATGGTGTGTTTCTTATGAAACTTTGAACTAGTTTTCCAAGCAGTGCAGCTTCATCCTACAGAGAAACAGTTGAAGGTGCACAAGCTGACAACCAGCGAGGTCCCTCCTGGTGGCAACACCCAGAACTAGAAGAGGATGATTTTGATTTCTTACCCAGCCCAACCCCCAAACCTTTTCCCCAGTTCTGATGGGTGCCTCCTCTGGACCCCAAAACATGAGTATGTTTATAGCTGAAGGAGATCCAGGACCCCAGAGGCCACTTTGGCTGATGGTAGGCCTCTTGGAATCCAGCTGGGTCGTGGGGTCAGGGTTAGGTTCCCTGGGCAGGACTGGAGGAGGGACAGTCCACAGAGAGGGACACAGTGCTGAGGGCTGCCAAGTCCATGGTGGCAGAGACCAAAGCCAGGCACCAACTGTGGGCCAGGGCCCCCAGGCTGGGAGTCAGGTGGCTAGGCCTCAGGCTGCTGTGCTCAAAGCAAGAGCCCTCAGGGATGCGTGGAGATAGCTGGGCCCCAGGCCCATGCCCATGCCAGCAGTGATGGCTCCAGGCCTGTCTTGATGGGTCCAGCAAGCAGGGGTTGAATATGTATTTGGGGCCAGCTAATGGAACCAGGATTAGGAAAGAGGACCTCCACTGTGGGACAAATACTGAGTGCCCCAGGAACTTTGCTGGGGGGGCCCTTCCTGGATTGCTGAGCAGGAGGCAGCGTGCAGAGGTGTGCAGGACTGGGTCCATACCCACGTGGGCCACCCAGGACAGGCCATGGAACCTGAGCACGTTCTTCTCAACCCCGCTGAGCGTCAGTGTCCTCAACTGTAAAACAAGGCTTGCTGTGCCAATCTGGAGGGTCTGTTGTGAAAGTTCAGTGGGAAGACAGACCCCTAATACGTGCTAATTCCTCGCCGCCTGCTGCTGTAAGAAAATGGTGCTGAAGTTACCATTTGCATTTTTCAGTTTACCCTCGGATACTGGTGTTGCAAAATTATGTTAAAGTAAAGCCCTGCCCCAGGAACTGGAGGGCAGAGTGGAGCCGAGGCCTGGGGAGAGGGGGTGGGAGTTGGGGTAGGGGTGACGTGTTCCCTGTAGTCTTTGGCTGCTTTTGTGGCCCCCACATTCTGCCATTCACACCTCTGGAAAAGGTGGCACATGGAGAAAAGATGAGCAGGGGGTGCAGAAGAGTGGGCCTCCACCAAGGTACTCTTTTTTGTAAACCGATATTGCTTTCCTCCAAAGTCTAGAGGTTATGGGAAAGCAGAAAGAAAGACCGCGTCAGCCTATCTCAGCAAGCCTGGTGCTTCTCCTTGTTTCTTCATGGGACTTTGCAATCCTATAGGTTTTTGTTGCTTTGGGTTTTGTTTTTTGTTTTTTTTTTGTTTTTTTTTGTTTTTTGTTTTTTTTGTTTTTTTTGTTTTTTGAGACGGCATCTTGCTCTATCGCCCAGGCTGGAGTGCAGTGGTGCAATCTCGGTTCACTGCAAGCTCCGCCTCCCGGGTTCATGCCATTCTCCTGCCTCAGCCTCCTGAGTAGCTGGGACTACAGGTGCCCGCCACCATGCCCAGCTAATTTTTTTTTGTATTTTTAGTAGAGATGGGGTTTCACCATGTTAGCCAGGATGGTCTCGATCTCCTGACCTCATGATCCACCCGCCTCGGCCTCCCAATGCTTTGGATTTTAAGCTTCTCGTGGGTGAACTCCTTTCTGCCCTCCATGGAGGTCTGGCCCCGGCTTGGTTGGCCAGAGCCTAGTGAGATGGCGGTAGCTGTGGACACAGTGGCAGCCTTGTTCATTATGCTCGCTGGGGCTGCTTGGTTGACCTGGACTCCATTCCCTACCATGGGCTTCTGCGTGTTGGCAGGGAGAGGAAGGGGGCACAATCCGAAGACCAGCCTGACGGGGCAGACGGCTTCTGGATTGTGAATGAGTCCTCTTCCTGGCTTAGGCTCCTGTAATAGCAAGGTCAAGACCACAGCTCTGCAGATGAGGTGTCAGAGTGGGCTGGACTGGGCAGGTCCGAATTTCTCAGGCCCGGCTCTCTGCGCCCTGCTGTGTCTTAGCTGTCCCCTAGGGGTCAGTCTGAGACTGAGAAGAAGCGGGTGCCTGGATCACTACGTAGGCTTCCCAGATGCCCCCAGGGAACGCAAACCTGAGGCATGATTTGAGGAGGTGTGGGGATGACACACAGATGGGATGGCAGGCGCTCCATCCCTGTGCCATGCGTGTATGTTGGGAGGTGAAGCTTGTTTTTCGGGCACAGCCCCCTCCCCTCAGGGTGTGGACGGAGACCTCTGACTTAACCACTGGATGTGGCTCGTAATTAAAGCAGTGAATGCTTGAGTGCTGGCTGGTGGGCCAGCAGCTGCCACCTGGCCCCTGAGAGCACCCTGCCCTTCTTGACCCCCTCCCAGGCCCCGAGAAGCCTCTAGCGTTGGGCATCAAGCAGGGGCCCCTGGGGTTGCTGTCCAGACCTCAGGCCAGTGCAAGTCTATCCCGGGCAGTTGATGCCTGGATGCACCAGTTCCTGACCTTACTGGATGTGGCTCCACCTGCGTCCCCAGAGCCCTGCGAGACCCTGGCAGAGGGAAACTTTGAGGCTTGGGAACCCCAACTGTTGAGCAGGCTGTTGAGAGAGTTTCCTGACCCAGGGAAATTTGCTTCTGGTCAAAGGGAATGTTAGGTGTGTCCTGAAGGACTCCCCAGGTTCCCTGGGTCCATGCATGGGGTCCCTGGAATCGCCCTGGGAGTCCCTCTGAGACTGTCCTGCTCAGGCTGCCCATCAGCCCCCAGTCCATATGCTATAGGGGCCCCCGTGGGGAGGGGGCATGGAGACACGTGGAGAGCCCGACACTCGGGTGCTAAAGGCAATGGGATAGTTGCTAGGGGCCCGTGGTCACCCCTCAGCAGGCAGTAATGTGAACCCTAATCCTACAAGTGCTGTAAGGCCCTGGGCCCTGTTCATCCACCCTATGGTGGATGAAATGGAGAGGGCATCCAGCCACCTGCCCCTCCTGTGTAGCCACCACGCCAGCAAATGGTGTCAGTAGCCTCCAACCCAGAGAGTCATCCTCAGCGCCTCCTCATGCAGCTGCCTTGAGTCCTCTGTTCCCCACTCACCCCTGCCTCCCCCTTCCATCACAGCCACTGCCACCCACTGACCGGGCGTCCTCCTGTCCTCAGCCTTCCTCTCTCCACACCCCCATCCCGCTCCTGGGACCCGTCCTTACCAAGGGATGAAAACCAACATCAGCTCCTACCCACTACTCTAGCCTCATCTCTCACCATGGTGCATCTCACACCTAAAACTGGCGATACCAAACCGCTCCCCGTTTCCTGAGAAAGCCATGTTCTCTCTTGCCTCTGAGTGTTATCTTTCTCCTAGGATGTCCTCCCTCCCGCTTCCTTGTCAGGAGCTAACGTCTACTCACCTTTTTAAGACTTACTTGCCGGGAGTGGTGGCTCATGCCTGTAATCCCAGCACTTTGGGAGGCTGAGGTGGGAGGATTACTTGAGCCCAGGAGTTTGAGACCAGCCTGGACAATATAGTGAGACTGCTTCTCTTAAAAAAAAAATTTTTACTTAGGTACCGCCTCCTCCAGGAAGCCTCCCTGACTCCTTCTGCCCCAGCCCAAAGGAGAAGGACCTGCACTGAGCTTCCTGGGGGCCCTTCACCCTCTACCACTGCCTGAACCTCACCCTTCATGACAGCCAGCCCCATGTCCACCCAGTGGCTTCAGGGCTCAGGCTGAGCTCCTCCTTTTCACCCCCAGGACAGCACCCACAGCAAGCATCGTTATCCATGCTCCTTGGGTGTGTCTCTAAGTATTTCTAGAACTAGGTATCTGGAAGCAGAATTGCTGTGTCAAAGGGTATGTAGATTTTGTTTTTTAACAGATACGGATGAAATTTTCTTCCACAAAGCCTGTACCATTTGTATCACCCAAGCACTATATGAGATTGCCCCTTTCCCCATGGCCTTCGCCAACCCCGGAAGCCATCCATCCACCTGCTGGTCTCCGGCCTAGCAGCCTGAGGGGAGGAAAGCCCATTGCTGCCGTCCTCTGTGCTGCCCAGCTTCCTAGGGAGGCGGACCATCTTTTTCTTATCTTCCCATACCCTCTGGATTTCTGCTTTTACGAATTAGCTATTCATATTCTTTGCCCATTTTCGATATGGTTGTTTGTCTTTTCCTTATTGATTTATAAGAAATCTCTGTATATTCTGTTTTTTGCTTGTTTGTTTTTTGAGGCAGTCTCGCTCTACTGCCCAGGCTGGAGTGCAGTGGCTCAATCTCAGCTCACTGCAACCTCTGCCTCCCGGGCTCAAGCGATCCACCTGCCTCGGCCCCGCAATTAGCTGGTACCACAGGCACACGCCACCACATCCAGCTAATTTTTGTTTTTTTGTTTGTTTGTTTGTTTGTTTTGTTTTTGGTAGAGACAGGGTTTTGCATGTTGCTCAGGCTGGTCTTGAACTCCTGTGCTCAGGTGATCTGCCCACCTCGGCCTCCCAAAGTGCTGAGATTACAGGTGTGAGCCACAGCAACAGGTTGAAATCTCTATATATCCTGATTATCAATCTTTATGGATTTTGCTTGTGTTTTAATCTTGTTTTAGGAGTGTTTTATTACACAGAATGTTAATTCTGATGTCATCATTTATCAACCTTTTTATGCCATTTGCATTTTGTGTATCATTTTGTGCCTTCTGTACCTCCAGGCTATAAACATATTCTCCTATATATAGTTTTCAGATACTTTTGAGAAAAAGAAGTATTTATGCTTAGCTCTTTTATCCACCTGGAGCTTATTTTTGCTTTTGGTGGGAGTAGAGATCTGGCACTCTTACTTCCTCAATATGGCCAGTACTTTGAGTTCCTAATGTTGAATAGTCCCTCTTTCTCAATTGATTTGAAATTTTATCTTTATTGTATGCTAACTTACCTTATATACGTAGGTCTCTTTCTGGACTCTGGTCTGTTATATTGATCTGTTTGTCTACCTACTTTTAAGCCAAAACCATAGTTTCAGTTACTCTTGTTTATAGTTTGATATCTGATAGGGAAAGGCTCTCTCATCCTTCTTTGTTTCTTTAACCTTTAAGGCCAGGTGCGGTGGCTCATGCCTGTAATCCCAGCACTTTGGGAGGCCAAGGCAGGTGGATCACCCGAGGTCAGGAGTTCAAGACCAGCCTGACCAACATGGTGAAACCCCATCTCTACTAAAAATACAAAAATTAACCAGGCATGGTGGCACATGTCTGTAATCCCAGCTACTTGGGAGGCTGAGGCAGGAGAATCACTTGAACCCGGGAGGCGGAGGTTGCAGTGAGCTGAGATCACGCCATTGCGCTTAAGCCTTGGCGACAAAGTGAGACTCTGTCATACACACACACACAAAAACAAATAAAAAAAACTGTTTTTTTGTTATTCTTACATATTTTCTTTTCTGGAACAGCCTTTTTGTCAAGCTCTATTGCAAATCCTGTAGGAGATCATATTTGAAATTAAATTTGTGCATTAATTGAAGGAAATTGGCTTCTTTACAATATTGCATTCTGTCATCCAGGAATGCATATATCTTTTCATTTATTCTGGCCTTTTATGCCCTCTAGGAAAGTTTTCTGTTGTTTTTCTTTTTTGGTTTTTTGGGTTTTTTGAGATGGAGTTTTGCTGTTATTGCCCAGGCTGGAGTGCAGTGGCTGGATCTCTGCTCACTGCAACCTCTGCCTCCCAGGTCCAAGCGATTCCCCTGCCTCAGCCTCCCTAGTAGGTGGGACTACAGGTGCCCACCACCATGCCCGGCTAATTTTTTGTATTTTCAGTAGAGATGGGGTTCTACTACGTTGGCCAGGCTGGTCTCAAACTCCTGACCTCAGGTGATCCTCCTGCTTCGGCCTCCCAAAGTGCTGGGATTACAGGTGTGAGCCACCGCATCTGGCCGGAAAGTTTTATAATTTTCTTAAATAGGTTATGCACACTTTCTTCTTAGGGTGACTATATTTGGAGTTTTTGTGCTGATATGTGTAGGATCTTTTTGCTATGATATTTTATAACTGGTTACAACTGATGTATAGGATAGGTTTTCATTTTTGGTGTTAATCTTGTCATGATAACCCTATTAAACTCTCCTTATTTTATTTATTTATTTATTTATTTATTGAAACAGGGTCTTGCTCTTATTGCCCAGGCTGGAGTGCAGCAGTGTGATCTCGGCTCACTGCAATCTCTGCCTCCCGGGTTCAAGCAATTCTCCTGCCTCAGCCTCTCGAGTAGCTGAGATTACAGGCGCCCACGACCATGCCTGGCTAATTTTTGTATTTTTAGTAGAGACGGGGTTTCACTATGTTGGCCAGGCTGGCCTCGAACTCCTGACCTCAGGTGATCTGCCTGCTTTGGCTTCCCAAGGTGCTAGGATTAGAGGTGTGAGCCACCATGCCTGGCCCATTAAACTCTCTTTATATTTAATAGTTTATTTATATGCTATTTTCTATCATGCTTAATTCTATATAACAAGGTAGCCATGCTGCCATTTTAAATTTTAAATGGCAACATGATATTTCATCACATGAAGACAACCAAATTTATATACCAGTTTCTTATTGTTGGGCGTATATACACTTTTTTTTTTTTTGAGACGGAGTCTCACTCTGTCGCCCAGGCTGGAGTGCAGTGGTGCAATCTCGGCTCACCGCAAGCTCCGCCTCCTGGGTTCACGCCATTCTCCTGCCTCAGCCTCCCAAGTAGCTGGGACTACAGGTGCCCGCCACCACGCCTGGCTAATTTTTTTGTATTTTTAGTAGAGACAGGGTTTCACTCTGTTAGCCAGGATGGTCTCGATCTCCTGACCTCGTGATCCACCTGCCTCGGCCTCCCAAAGTGCTGGGATTACAGGCGTGAGCCACCATGCCCAGCCAGGTGTATATATATATTTTTAACGTAATTTGGGGAATGAACAAAAGCAGTGTAATAATCATTCTTATAGCTAAGTATTTCCCCACAGCAGCAATCGTTGCTTTAAAGTAAATCAGAGGTTGGCAAATTACAGACCCCACGAGCCAAATCTAGGAGCTTGTTATTGTAAATAAAGTTTTACTGGAACACAGCCACACCCATTTGTTCACATCTTATCTGTGGCTGTTTTCACACTACAGTGGCAGAGCTGAAAAGCTGCCACAGAGGCCAAATGGACTGCAAAGCTTAGAATATTTACTGTCTGCCCTTTACAGAAAAAATTTGCCAACCCAGACGGTAAATTCAGGCAAGTGGAAACTGTTTTATGAAAAGGATGCAAAGGCTGGGCGCGGTGGCTCATGCCTGTAATCCCAGCACTTTGGGAAGTGGAGGCAGGTGGATCACCTGAGGTCAGGAGTTTGAGACCAGCCTGACCAACGTGGTGAAACCCCGTCTCTACTAAAAATACAAAAATTAGCCAGGCGTGATAGCGCATGCCTGTAATCCCAGCCTCTCGGGAGGCTGAGGCAGGAGAATCCCTTGAACCCAAGAGGCGGAGGTTGCAGTGAGCTGAGATCGTGCCATTGCACTCCAGCCTGGGCAACAGAGTGAGACTCTGTCTCAAAAAAAAAAAAAAAGAAAAGGATGCAAAATATTAAAACTGCCTAATACTAATCTGCCAAATTCCTCTGCAGGAATCCCATCAGGATTGCGTCAGATTCCTGCTACCCTTTTGATACTGGTGTTGCTGAGTTTTCAGATCCTTTAAATTTGAGAGGCTAAAATTAGAACCCCTCTTTTGAATTATAATACAGTTTAACTTCTTAAAGTACATTTTTTGGTCACTAAGAGGGCGTTCTTCATGAATTGCCTGTCGACATTCTCCACCCTGGCTATGTTTACTTCTATTGAGTATTTTTTAAGAACCAGAAATATAACTTTTTGACATACATTAAATTTTTTCCAGCTTGTTATTTATTTTTAACTTTGTTCATGATACCAAATTTAAAAATTTTTATAGCCAATTCATCATTCTTTTCCTTTATGGCTTCAGCCTTTGGTGTAATGCTTATAAATGCTTTCCCGCCCAAGATTGTGAAACTGTTCTGTTTTATTTTTGTGTATTTGATTTTTAATTCGTAGAATTGACTGATGTCTAGAGTGAGGTAGGGATCCAGTTTGCCTTTTTCCTGTCAGTTCCTCTTGCCCTCCCTCACCTGGCTGGAACCAGCAGCTTCTTGCTAGGCTATGCTTACGCACGCAGTCCCCTGATGGCAAAGGAAGTGAGGTTTGCCCGGTGCAGTGGCTCAGGCCTGGAATCCCAGCACTTTGAGAGGCCGAGGTGGGCAGATCACTTGAGGCCAGGAGTTCAAGACCAGCTTGGCCAACATGGCGAAACCCCATCTTTACTGAAAAAAAAAGAAAAAAATTAGCCTGGCATGATGGGGCATGCCTGTAATCCCAGCTACTTGGGAGGCTGAGGCACAAGAATCACTTGAACCCAGAAGGCAGAGGTTGCAGCCAGCAGAGATTGTGCCACTGCACTCCAGGCTGGGCAACAGAGCAAGACCCTATCTAAAAAAGAAAAGAAGAAAAGAAATGGGGTTTGCTGGGAACCCAGACCTGAGCCTGAGCCCAAATTGGCTCTTTTGCTCATATTCAGAAGGGGCTTTGCCAAACCCTTGTCTTCCTGGAAGTTTTTAAAATGATGATAACCTGTGCCTCTCTCTAGAACTTGCTGGGGAGGAGGCCTACAGCCTGAACATCTAAGCCCACCCTCGCTTCATTTCATCCATCCTGAAACAAGCATTTCTAAAACCACTCATGACAATGGCACTTATAAGTTCTAAAAATACTTTTCCTGACAAACAGCACTGTGATTCACTGTGCTGGTGGAGGTGTGGGTGGGGTGCCATGCTCCCACTGGTGTGGTGGCAGGAGGGAGTTTCAGAGCCCAGGGAAGCAGCCTTTCTACTTATATCTGGCCCCAATATATTTTTCTATGTTTCAACACCCCCCCCACCCTTCTAAAGAGAAAAAAAAATCTACTTATCCCAAGCCTCAGAGCTTCTGTAAGATCCTCGATTTGTGTCTTTGGGAAATAACTCAACTCTGATTAAGCCAAAGGTGGCGGGGATGGAAGCAGTGCAGATATGGAAGCCCCTTTTGTTCGTTGCCTCAGCCTGGTCTGCCCTGGACCGTGTGTCTTCTACCTCCTACCCCTGACCATCCCTACCCTAGAGACGCTAAGCTGAGCTGGCCAGCAAGTGCTACTTCCCACGGGCCACCTCCTGCCTAACCCAACCCTGACGCCCAAGTCCACATGTATCTTTAGAACCTACTCACCAAGTTAGAGCTTGACAAAACCTTGGAGAGGCTCCTTACATCCCGTCTTTTTAAAGCTGAGCAGGAGGGAAAAATTTGGGTTTTATGAACCTGTAGGACATTAACCACCTTCGTATATACCTTTCCAGTCTCATTTCAGCATCCTTTCTTTCCCTGATTACATAGACTTTGATCCCTCCCCTTCTCCTTTGGATGAGTTATCCCTACCTGCTGCTTCCCTCATTAATGAGTCTAGTGCAGTGCATTTTTGAAACAGTAACTGTGGGAAACACACAAACACAATCACATGAGGGCAGATGTTCTCCGAGAAAGCACGGTCGAAACCAGTGGGGACTCTGGGTTAGCAGGGCCTATGGTGCTTCATGTGTCAGAGGCTGAACTGGGATATCAGTGGAGATTCTAAACTCACCATCCAGTTTATAAACCTCTGAGGGCCCAAGCTCCTGCTGCAGATGGTGCAAGAATAAAGAGTAGATCACTTTTACTAAACAAAGACCTAGAGAGTTGACTTGGTCTCCAACTTTTTATTTTGAAAATTTTCAACCTTCAGAAAAGAGCAGAACAATGAATCCACATATATCCTTTGCTTGGATGACAGCTGTTAACATGCTGCTAAACTGAGTTTCTCTGCCCCTGTGTTTGTTGGTGGGGTGCATGTGCATACATACTACTTTTTTTCTGGACCATTTGAAAGTTAGTTGCGGACATGACACTTCATCCTTAAATACTTGGCCATTCCTAAGAAGGACACTCTCCTATGTGACCACAATATAGTTATGACTTGCAGGAAACTTAACATTGGCACAATTTGTTACCTATTGTAAAATCTACATTCAAATTTTCCCAATTTTATATATATATATATATATATATATATATATATATATATATATATATTTTTTTTTTTTTTTTTTTTTTTTTGACACGGAGTCTTGCTCTGTCACCCAGGCTGGAGTGCAATGGCGTGATCTCCGCTCACCGCAACCTCCGCCTCCTGGGTTCAAACGATTCTCCTGCCTCAGCCTCCCGAGTAGCTGGGATTACAGGTGCATGCCACCACTCCCGGCTAATTTTTTTTTTGTATTTTTAGTAGAGACTGGGTTTTACCATGTTGGCCAGGCTGGTCTTGAACTCCTGACCTCGTGATCCACCCACCTCGGCCTCCCAAAGTGCTGGGATTACAGGTGTGAGCCACCGCACCCAGCCATCCCAATAATATTTTTATAGCTTTTATTTTTATCTCAAATCTAATACAGGATCACACAGTAGTTTAGTTGCCATGTTTCTTTAGTTTCCTTTAATCTAGAAGAGTTCCTTGGCTTTTTTTTTCTTTTCTTTCTTTCTATTTTTTTCTTTTTTTTTACTCCTAATGACATTGACCTTTTTAAAAACTTCAGGCCACTTGCTTCGAAGAATGCCCCTCAATTTAGATTTGCCTTTATTGATTTTCTGGTCCTTTGGGGTACTGCAACTTAAATTTAAATTAAAAATAAAATGGTGTGGCGAGGAGGGGGCCAGGAGGGGAGTTCTACTGTGTTTATTTTTCAAGTCTAAAACACATTTAAAATGCATATTGTTGGCACCCACTCAGTGGGCCTCAGTTTTCCCAGCTGAAACATGATCTAAACACCCCTTGCAGCTTCTGTCCCTTCTGGCATTTGGGGAAAAATAAATGCCTAATTGTGTGTGTGCGGCCGAGCGTCCACCCTTGGCATCTCTCAAATTGTGGGGAGGCAGCCGGCCTTGGTACTTTCTGGCTCCAGGAACACGCCATGGGCCATTGAACGTCTGTGCGATGGGTAACGTCTGTGCGATGAACACTGTACACTGGGTACAGTGTTAGGAGGTGTGGGCTCTTATACATGACCAGGCCACATCTCCATCCTCTTTGGGCTGAGATTAGGACATTGGAGTAGGTGTATTTGTCTCCTGAGAGGGGCAATCTCAAGAGAAAACTAGAAAAGACCCCCCCCACGTCTTTGGGGGGATTATCTGAGATAATGTGGGGAAGAAATCCAAGCCCCTAAGATACACTGGACGGTGCTTCTCCGGGTACCTGTGCCCGAGGGAGATACCAGCCACTTGCTGGGACACCAGGGGGCATCTTCCTGGAGCAGCAGATTGCCTGGAAGAATTGGAGAAAACATTGTCCAACATTAAAACAAACATGGAACATAATAAACATATTTTGAAGATAAGAAAGAAGCCTGTAATCCCAGCACTTTGAGAGGCCCAGGCTGGAGGATCCCTTGAGGCTAGGAGTTCAAGACCAGCTTGGACAGCAAAGTGAGACCCCCATATCTATTAATACAAAAAAGACAGGCGGGTGCCGTGGCTCTCGCCTGTAATCCCAGTACTTTGGGAGGCCAAGGCGGGCGGATCACGAGGTCAGGAGATCGAGACCATCCTGGCTAACACGGTGAAACCCCGTCTCCACTAAAAATACAAAAAATTAGCCGGGCGTGGTGGTGGGCGCCT
This sequence comes from Homo sapiens, assembly GCF_000001405.40. Classification (NCBI taxonomy): domain Eukaryota; kingdom Metazoa; phylum Chordata; class Mammalia; order Primates; family Hominidae; genus Homo; species Homo sapiens. The sequence goes on from NC_000017.11 coordinate 31,447,161, forward strand.
GTAGTCCCAGCTACTCGGGAGGCTGAGGCAGGAGAATGGCGTGAACCCGGGAGGTGGAGCTTGCAATGAGCCGAGATTGTGCCACTGCACTCCAACCTGGGCCACAGAGCGTGAGACTCCGTCTCAAACAAAACAAAACAAAACAAGACAAAAATTAGCTGGGCTTGGTGGCAAGCACCTGTGTGTCCCAGCTACTTGGGAGGCTGAGGCAGGAGGATTGCTTAAGCCCAGGAGATTGAGGCTACAGTGAGCCGTTTGTGCGACAGCACTCCAGCCTGGGCAACAGAGCAAGATCTCATCTCAAAAAATAAAGTAAAATAAAGATAATGAGAAAGACTTTTATCAATTTTATTTTACTTTATTTTATTTATTTATTTTTTTGAGATGGAGTTTCACTCATTGCCCAGGCTGGAGTGCAATAGTACGATCTTGGCTCACTGCAACCTCCGCCTCCCGGGTTCAAGCGATTCTCCTGTGTCAGCCTCCCAAGTAGCTGGGATTACACACGCGCACCCCCATGCCCAGCAAATTTTTGTATTTTTAATAGAGACGGGGTTTCACCATGTTGGCCAGGCTGGTCTCGAACTCCTGACCTCAGGTGATCTGCCCACCTCCACCTCCCAAATTGCTGGGATTACAGGCACAAGCCACCGCGCCCAACTGCTGTATTTTATTTTTGAGACAGGATCTCACTCTAGCACCCGGGTTGGAGTGCAGTGGCGCGATCTCAGCTCACTGCAACCTCCACCTCCCAGGCTCAAGCAATCCTCCTGCCTCAGCCTCTTGAGTAGCTGGGACTACAGGCATGCACCCAGCTAATTTTTGGATTTTTGGAGAGACAGGGTCTCACTATGTTACCCTGGTTGGTCTTGAGCTCCCGGGCTGAAGCGATCCACCTGTCTCGGCCTCCCAAAATGCTAGGATTACAGGTGTAAGCCACCGCGCCCTGCGGGAAAGACTTTTTAAATTGTTTTGCTTTAGAGGCTGCTCTTTCGAGTCCCACTTCTACTGTAGACCCATGTCCATCTTCTGCTGTGGGGCCGCTTTATGTAAGGTATTACTGTTATTGCTATTTTGTTTTCCTTTTCTTTTTTTTAAGAAACAAAGTCTTGCTCTGTTACTCAGGCTGGAGTGCAGTCACTGCAGCCTCAACCTCCCAGGCTCAAGCAATCCTCCCACCTCAGCCTCCTCAGTAGCTGGGACCACAGGCTCATACCACCACATCCAGCTAATTTTTTTTTTTTTTTTTTTGGCAGAGACCGGGTCTAGCTATGTTGCCCAGGATGGTCTCAAACTCCTGGCCTCAAGCAAGTCTCCCAGCTGGGCCTCCCAAGGCACTGGGATTACAGTCATGAGCAACCTCTCCTAGCCCTGTTTTCTTGTAATAAAGTAAATGCAGTGTTCATTTTAGTAACAAAACAGGTCTTCACTGGGAGGGAGAAATGAGGAAATTTGACCCCGCGTGGCTGAGGCCTGGAATGAGCTCCATGGGCAGGCTCCAGGAATGATGTAATTTTGCCTCCTCTCAAGGCTGGCCTCAAGGAGGCCTGATTCCAGCCCTCTTTGTCTGGGGCTGCCCTGAACCTGTAAGAATCCTTCTGACCAGATCCTCCAGACACTGCAAATTCTCACCCAGGTTGCTCAGAATCCTGGAAAGAGCTCAGGTTTGAGTCAAACGGGCTGAGTGTGGGTTCTGCTTGACCACTTTCTGTGTGTCATTTGGCAAGTCGCTTCACCTCTCTGAGCCTTTTTCATTTCTGCCTATCTAAAATCAGAGTCGTCAGCCTGATTTTCAGTGTTGTGGTGAGAATGCAATGGATTAATGTTTCTAAAGGTTCCTGAGGAGACAGGTCCCCCAGTCAGTAGTACCTATGCCTGCATTCTCTGTACCACTCAGAACCCTCAGGGGAATCATTCAGGACACAGGGGACAGAATTCCCTCCCCTTCCCATTCCCAAAGTCACCAGCCTGCCTCCACCTGCACCCACACTTTCAGCTTGCTGCTGGGATGGTGAGTGGCATGACCCTGCTCTGACACAGGCCATGCCCTCCAATCCCAGCTCCTCACCCGCACACCGCCTGAACACTGGATCCCAGCCCCTCCTGCCAACTCAAGCACTCGCCTTCACAAACAGCCCCTCACCCACAGCACCCGCACCACGCCCCTGCTGGGTCCTTTCCATTCGCTTCTGGAGCTGACATAATAATGCCCTTCCCATGGGCAGGGAAGCACCCGCTTGACCACACATCCTGGCTTTCTTTCCTTTGGTCTATTTCCTCCAAAGACTGGTCTCAACTCCCTTTCTTGCCTCCCTTTCTCTCTGTTGCCACTCCCAATGATGTCTTGGCCCCTCTGTTCTGCTGAAACACTTCTCACAGTCACCAGGGACTTCTTTTTGAGACAGGGGTCTCACTCTGTCACCCAGGCTGGAGTGCAGTGGTGCAGTCCTGACTCACTGCAGCCTCCAACACCTGGGTTCAAGCAATCCTCCCACCTCAGTCTCCCAGGTAGCTGGGACCACAGGCATCTGCCATCATCCCCAGCTATTTTTATTTTTTGTAGAGATGGGGGTCTTGTTCTGTTCCCCAGGCTGGAGTGCAGTAGTGCAGTCCTAGTTTGCTGCAGCCTCAAACTCCTGGCCTCAAGCAATCCTCCAATCTCAGACCCCCAAAGTGCTGGTATGGCAGGCATGAGCCACCTTGCCTGGCCACCAGGAACTTCTCACTGGCCAAATCCAAGCATCAGTTCTCTAGTCACATTTTTACATAGTGATGGTGTGTGGTGAATAGATCAGGGTAATTAGCATATCCACCATCTCCGGCATTTATCATTTCTTCATTTTGGGAACACTCGATAGTCTCCTAGCTACTGAAAACTCTGTATTATTGTTAATGATAGTCATCTTACAGTGATGTAGAACAATGGAACTTATCCCTCCTCTAGAACTGTAACTCTGTACTTTTAACAAACGTCTCCCTACTCTCCTTCCCCTGCCATTCTCAGCCTCTAGTGTCCTCTGCTCCATTCACATTTTACTGGAACCCTGGGCAGGGCCTGGCACAGCCAACCTCTCCCTTCTCAGATCGTCCTTTTAGCTCAAGCCTTCCTCCTACCTCTCAGGCTGCTTTTCTCCCCGCACACCACCCCCCCGCCACCGGCTTTATTATTATTATTATTATTATTATTATTATTATTATTATTGAGACAGAGTCTCCCTCTGTCACCCAGGTTGGAGTGCAGTGGCGTGATCTCAGCTCACTGCAACCTCCGCCTCCGGGGTTCAAGCGATTCTCCTGCCTCAGCCTCCCAAGTAGCTGGGATTATAGGACGGCGCCATCACACCCGGCTAATTTGCATATTTTTGGTAGAGATGGGGTTTCACCATGTTGCCCAGGCTGGTCTCGATCTCCTGGCCTCAAGTGATCTGTCCACCTCAGCCTTGCCCGCCCTCCTCCTGGGTCCCTTTAAATGGCGCTGGGTCTCAGGCCTCGTCCTCACCCCTATGCTTCCTGCCTGCCCACTCCCCAGGGGAGCTGGTTGGTCCCAGAACTCTAAAAGCACCATTACCCTGAGGGCTCCCAAGATAGTATTTTCCCCTCCGACATTGCCTTCGGCTCCAGTCTCTTCTGTCAAACCTGTGGCGCACCCTCTGCATTTCCACCATGTTCCAGGCTACACCCTTTGATCTGATCCAGCTCCGTCCCCTCAGCCCCAAGAATGTTTCCCCAGGCTCCCCATCTCAGTAAATGGCACCACCTCCCCTACCTGGTCACTCTGACCAAGGATCAAGTCATCCTTAATTTCTTTCCTCCTTCCACATCCAACCCATCATCACAGCCTAATGGTTTTACCTCCAAACTATGTCCCGAGCCATCCACTTCCCTCCACCTTGGAGGTTACACCCCAGTCCCAGCAGAGCCGCACCCTGTACCTGTGCCCCGATGGCCTGCATTCTCTCTTGTTTTTTGTGGTCCATATGACACCGGAGTGTTCTTTAAAACTTGTAACTCCTAGTGGCTGGGCATGGTGGCTCACACCTATAATCCCAGCACTTTTGGAGGCTGAGGCAGGTGGATCACCTGAGGTCAGGAGTTCGAGACCAGCTTGGCCAACATGGTGAAACCCCGTCTCTACTAAGAATACAAAAATTAGCTGGCCATGGTGGCAGGCGCCTGTAATCCCAGCTACTCAGGAGGCTGAGGCAGAAGAATCACTTAAACCCGGGAGGCGGAGGTTGCAGTGAGCCGAGATGGCGCCACTACACTCCAGCCTGGGCAACAGAGCGAGACTCCATCTCAAAAAAAAAAAAAAAAAAAAAAATTGTAAGTCCCATCCTCCTCTCCCTTGCATAAGAGCCTCCAGTGACAAAATCCAAAACCCTGACTTCCCACTGTGGCCTCGAAGGTTTCACTTTTGCCTGAATCTTTGACCTTGCCCCTCCCAGATTCCCGGTGACTCTCACTGTTCAGCCACCCTGACCTGTTTTCTGTTCCTCAAACTGCCCAAGCGAGTTCTGCACAGGGCCTTTGCCTGGCTTCCCCTTCACCTAGAACCCTTGTCCCCCAAATCTTTGCACAGCTGCCCTTGTGCCCTTCAGGTTTCAGCACAAATGTCACCTCCTCAGAGAAGCCTTCCCCCACCACCCTCTCAAGAAACTCCCTCCCCACCCTGCCCCCATCACTGCCAGAGCACCCTGCTTATTTCCTTGAGTATGCACCACTGTTAGCTGCATGTTTTTTTAATGGCTGTGTAATAGTGATACATGTTTTTGGGATACATGTGATATTTCGATAACTGCATATGTTGTGTAATGATCAAATCAGGGTAACTGGGATATCCATTACCTCAAACCTTTGTCTTTGTGTTGGGAACATTACAATTCTTCTAGCTTTTTGAAAGATACAAGAAATTATTAACTATAATTTCCCTGCTGTACTAGCAAATACTAGAACTTATTTCTTCTCTCCAACTGTATCTTGTTTGGCACAGTCTTGATCATCTATGTGTGTCCTGTCATCCCCCACTGGCCTGTAAGCTCCGTGGGTCCAGGGCTTTGCCAGTGTCATTCACTGCTGCACAGTGCCTGGCATAGAGAGGCTGTTGGTGCAGATTTGTTGCACAAGCAGATGGATGAATCTCAGATGTGGAATGTTGACTCTTTGTCAGGGAGGGATGGGCTCCCACCTAGGAGTCTCCGAGGACCAGCTCAAAGGCTGTAAAAATCATGCCCTGCCTCAGTGCTCTGGGGGATTAGAAAGGGGGTGCCTGGATTCTCTGAGACTCTGCAGCTGGGCTCTCTCGCTTTCCTGTGCGTGTCAATCACTGATCTTAAGAAAATGCAGATTCTGGTTCACAGGCCTGGGTCTGCGTTCCTAGCCTGCTCATCAGCAATGGTGGTGCTGCTGACCTCAGATCTCTCTAGCAGCGCTTTTGTAACTTGCAGGTCCTGTGCCATCTTTCCCCCTACATGCCATGGGACCACGCGGAAAGAGCCAGAGGGGTCCCTTCATTGCCTCCTCTGCCCCTCCTCCCTCCATCCAGCAGCAAGTGTTATTTGTAGCAGTCACTGTCACCTCCGCATGTGGTGAGGCCTGCTAGGTTTCTGTCTCCACATTTCTGTTACTGTGACAGACAAGACGGATTCTCTGCCAGGAACTGTGCTCAGCCACTTGCTTCTGGCATTGCTGTTTCCTCTCTGTGCACCTCTTATTCAGGCAGACTCCTGGGGGATGTTGCCCCTGCTGGAAGTCAGGCCCAGTTCATTGCCCTAGTGTGGGATGGGGCAGCTGACCCCGCGGGGAACTGGGAGGCATTACCGAGAGGTTTCCAAGCTTTGGTTTCAGGAGTACAGGTATAGGCCTACCTGACTGGCCCTGGGGGCAAAATGTTCATTTAAACTTGGGGAGAGGCTGGGCACGGTGGCTCACGCCTGTAATTCCAACACTTTGGGAGGCCAAGGTGGATGGATTGCTTGAGCCCAGGAGTTGGAGACCAGCCTAAGCAACATAGAGAGACCCCATATCTACAAAAAAATTAAAAAGTAGCCAGGCATGGTGGCGTGTGCCTGTAGTCCCAGCTACTCAGGAGGCTGAGGTGGGAGGATCACTTGAGCCTAGGAGGTTGAGGCTGCAGTGAGCTATTATATTATCACACGACTGCACTCCAGCCTGTACCATAGAGAGAGACCCTACCTCAAAAAAAAAAAAAAAAAAAAAAAAACAAACCTGGGGAGAGTTTGGGACCTTTGGAGTCCAAGAGTTCTGAGTTTGAATCCTGATGCTGTCACATACTACTTGGGCCACGCCGAACAAGGAACTTAGCCTCCCTGAGCCTCACTTTCTTCACTTGCTAGATGGAGGTTGTAACTCGTGTCTTCCTCCCAGGGTCGTTGTCAAAATGAAACATGAAAGTGCATGGAAGTAGGAGGTCAAGGCAGGTGAATTACATGAGGTCAGGAGTTCGAGACCAGCCTGGCCAACATGGTGAAATGCTGTCTCTGCTAAAAATACAAAAATTAGCTGGGCGTGGTGGTGCATGCCTGTAGTCCCAACTACTAGGGAGGCTGAGGCAGGAGAATCACTTGAGCTGAGATCGCACCACTGCACTCCAGCCTGGGCACAAGACTCGTCTCAAAAAAAAAAAAAAAAAAAAAGAAAGAAAAGAAAAGAAAGTGCATGGAAGGCTCTCCGCACTGTGGAAAATACTGGCATTTCTCAACTCACAATGCATAGATTGTGAGACATATCATGGTCCATTGAATATCTTTTGACTCAGGGGTGGTGACCAGGTGCTGATAGCAAGGCCTGGGGCCCAGTCCTCCTCCCACAACCGCATCCCCCCCAGCCCCACCCACAGCCACCTGCTGCTCTAGCACTAGCTAGAAAAGTCAGCCCCTGGGCATTCTCAAGAATTGAGCCCACCCCTTTGTCAGACCATTCTCCCAGGGCAGAGACTGGCCTGATCACATGAAAACCACACCTGCCGAGCCAGAGGGCAAATGCTCCAACATTGTATTAGAGAGATTAAACAGCTGTTCTCAACCAGATCATTGCTACATTCCATTTCCTGACCAGGAAAATGAAAATGGCTGTCATAGAAGACAGAGCATAAAGTCTGATTCTTTTCTTTTTGAGATGGAGTCTCGTTCTGTCACCCAGGCTGGAGTGCAGTGGTGCGATCTCAGCTCACTGCAACCTCCGCCTCCTGGGTTCAAGCGATTCTCCTGCCTCAGCCTCCCGAGTAGCTGGGACTACAGGTATGTGCCACCACGCCCAACTAATTTTTGTATTTTTAATAGAGATGGAGTTTCACCATGTTGGCCAGGTTGTTCTCGAACCCATGACCTCAAGCAATCTGCCCACCTTAGCCTCCCAAAGCACTGGGATTACAGGCATGAGCCACTGTGCCTTGCCTAAGTCTGATTCTTAAGATGGAAACTCAGTCAGGCGGCCATGGCTCATGCCTGTAATCCCAGCACTTTGGGAGGCCGAGGCAGGTGGATCGCTTGAGGTCAGGACTTCAAGACCATCCTGGCCAACATGGTGAAACCCCGTCTCTACTAAAAATACAAAAATTAATCAGGCCCGGTGGTTCCTGCCTGTAGTCCCAGCTACTCGGGTGGCTGAGGCAGGAAAATCGCTTGAACCCAGGAGGCAGAGGTTTCAGTGAGCCAAGATTGTACCACTGCACTCCAGCCTGGGCAACAGAACAAGACTCCTTCTCAAAAAAAAAGATGGAAACTGTCTGTGGGCTCTAGGGAGGCAGTGGAGGTGCCAGGTGAACTGACGATTAGCACCACAGTGGGAACAGGCAGGAAGAGGACTGGTCTCCAGTCTCTGGTCTCCTGTCTGAACAAGTCTGTAGGGGAGGAAAAACTTCTCCTCTACCCTTTTATGTTATGTCTGCAGTCTGCAAATAAAATTGAGCAAAGACAGATTAATAGAAAAAAGGCATACGAATTTTATTGTTGTTTTTAATTTTACATGCATGAAAAGCCAAAGAGATGGTCAGACCCAGGGTTTATATACAATTTTGACAAAGGAAGATAAGTTGTGGGCAAGTAACTAAACAAGGAAGAGGGGGATTTGGGCTCCTAAGGGCAGTATATTCTGGGAAGGTAGCTAGGAAATGTGTGTTAGATTGGGGGTGGTGGTTTAGATGTGTTATACAGATACATAACCTCCCCATTGGATTTATTCTCCTTTTCATGGGACGGGAGAGGGGGGCACATTTACAAATGGAAATTTATGCCCTACTTTCAGGCACCTAAGGGGAGGGCAGAGAGCTCATCCTGTGTCTGCTGTTTCTCAGTTGCCTTCAGCTCAAAATAATCCTTATGCCAAAGTGGCGTATTGCAGGGTGGCATATTTGGATCCCCTTCAAGTTCCTGCCTCAGTCCCTTCCCCAGTCCTCTGCCTTGTACACATGGGTACCTCACTGTACCTACTCAAACTAGGTCTCCTTTGACCACAGGGAGTGGGTCTGCTCTGATAATGTGTTGATAATTGGTTGACTTTACAACCAATATTTCAAAACAACTGCCTTATCGAGCCCAGCCTGGGGTTTCTGTCTTGTGCTGTGACTTGCAACATTCTTGGTCAGACCCCTTCTCCTCAAGGGAAACTTTAATCTAGGCTGAAGGGGCCTCTGAGATGGGTACCAGGCAGGAGGCATGTCAGGACCCTTACCTGCTGCAGTGAATGTCAGCTTTGCCACCTTCAGGGCTGACGCTCCCAAGGCAGCTGCACTCACCCTCCGCTGAGAGTGCCATCCTGGGCTTACAGGCAGAGGCTCAGCTCTGACATGTGATATCGGAGAAAGTCAGTCATCTTCAGCATCTTCAGGTCATGTTAACCCTATTCCTTTAGATTTTCCATTATCTATCCTAATACCAAGTTCCGTGTCAGAAAGCGCTGTTTGCTCTTACCTCCTTGCAAATACGTCTTTACTGTTGTACATTTTGTTTTTATTCTCACGGCTCATTGAATATTGCTTCAATTTCATTAGAATTGCTACAGGAAACCTTACAGCTGATTTGTCATCCTGTGTACTCTTTGATCCAATATATTCTTTTTTTGAGACAGGGTCTCACTGTCACCCAGGCTGGAGTGCAGTGGCACAATCTTGGCCCAGCCTTCTAGGCTCAAGCAATCCTCCCACCTCAGCCTCCCAGGTAGCTGGGACTACACACATGCGGCACCACTCTCAGTTAACGTTTGTATTTTTTGTAGAGACGGGCTTTCACCATGTTGCCCAGGCTTGTCTCGAACTCCTGAGCTCAAGCGATCCGCCCCCCTCAGCCTCCCAAAGTGCTGGAATTACAGGCGTGGGCCACCCTGCTGGCCCCTAGTACATTCTTTTTAGGATTTTGTACCAGAAAAGAAGTCCTTCCTGATGAAATGATACCTTTTTACATCAGATAACAAGAGTTACAGCATAACTATCCCCTTGCTGTCCTTTTTGGTTTTGGTAAGTCAGAAAACTTAGAGCTAATGAGACTGGTGAATCAATAAAATCTGCCTTTCCATTTAATCATTTACCTCCTTTTTCTCTATGGTTTATTTTTATTTTTACTACTCTAGCTATGAATGTGTCTTTTATTGTAAATAATTTCATAGCTGTCAGGAAGAGATAAAAAGGAATCTTGATTTACTAAGGAGAGACTTATTAAAGGATTATTATTGCCTGGGGGTGGTGGGGAGGGGACTATTCCAATGGAAGCGGGAGCATTGCAGTGGGAGAGAGCACTGACCAGAAGATCCTCCTGCACCTCCAAAGTTAAGCCGAAAGGGTTGTTCTTTTCTAGGCAAGAGTAAACAAGGCTTGAAAGAACTGGTGCGGGGAGGTAGGTTGAAAAGGTGGCCTGGTCCTGGGGGCCTGTCTTAATGCAGGCCAACCTGTCCTCCGGAGGGCTGTAAGGAGGGATAGTGAGTTGCTCAGGTGAGGGTGGCCAAAGTTCACAGAACTGGGGGAAAGAGAGAAACTAGAGTTTAGTTAACAAGCATCGTGTTTTAGGTAGAGAATGGGAATTTGGAGGGCCTTCCTCACAGGTTCTCGACTGTGTTCTCCTGGGGGACGAGGACCAGCTTCATGGCTTGCTGTGCCCTGCGCTGGGCCTGACCAAGTTACTTGGTCCCTGTTTGTTCACTGACGTTGACTGAGGGCCTTTCCAGAGTCAGGAGCTGACCTCTCACAGAGATTCCAAGAACTAGCAGGTCACACTCTCACCTCTCCCCAGGGGTCCCCAGTTCCGGCCATGCCCTGTGTCCTCTCCTTCTCCTCAAAGGGGTCCCCAGGCCTAACCTGGGGAAGCACTATCCATTCCCTCTCTCACCCCACCCCAGTCCCCCCTGGAACTGGCTTCCTGCCTGCTTCTTCCCCTTTCTCCGGGGTGGGGCGGGACAAGGTGGAGGGAGAGTGGGAAGGAGAGGAGGAGTCACCCAGCTGCCTCCTAGGACTGATAAGAGACCCAGCGGGAGCTTTGAAGGCTGTTACAGCCTGGGGGTGGGAGCAGGCCTGACCCCCACCACCCTCACCCCCAGCCCCGCAGGTGGCCACACCCCTCCTGCTGCCCTACCCTCTGTCTCTCAACTTGGCCCTTTCTGTGCCTCTGTGCTCTCTCTCTTTGTGTGTGTCTCTGTCTGCATGTGTGCCTCCCTCTCCGTCCCTGACTATCCTCCCTTCCTCTCTCTCCTTTTCCCCTCCCCGCTCTGTCTCTTCTCTCTATCTGCACCCCATCTCTCTCTGTCCTGAAGTCTGCATTCTCAACACAGGGAACCTTCCAGTCTGACCCAGGTCTCAGCAGGAGCCAGACAAAAGGCCTTGAGGGAAGGGACAGATGGAGTGTCCCCATGCTAATCTCCTTTAACCACCCCCAGCAGACCAACCCTGCCAAGTAGGTACTGTGGTACCCATTTCGCTGATGAGGAAGTTGAGGCTCAGACAGCAGTTAAGACGTGTGTCCAAGGCCTTGGGGCCACAGTGTGCAGGGCCAGGATTTTTAGCTGCATCTGATCCAGTTGCCTCAGAATGCGGGCTGAGTCCACCTTTCCTGAGGCTCCTCAGGTGTCCCAGGCCTCTCCTCACTCCCTCCACCCCATCCCTGGAGGCAGGACCAGAGGACTCCTTTGAGGAGCTGCATAGCTTGGGAGCTGCGCATCAGGAGCATCTGCAGTGCTGCAGGACCATCTTCTACCCAGAGGCATGAAGCAAAGTATCATGGGAGCCCCGCAGGGCATTGCGGGGAGGCAAGATTCTCCCAGCCCCTTCCTGCTGCTTTTGGAGGCCTGAAGATGGCTCTGACCTGGATATAGGGGGTCCTAAAATGGAAGCCCTTTGGTTGAAGAGGCAGGTGGCACTGAGCCTGCCAGCTGGGGCTGTGCCAGGGGTGTTTGGAGGTGCCTCTCAGAATGGGCCTTCTCTGCACGGGAGCCTGGGAGATGCATCAAGGAAAGATGTACCAGCTTCCTGGCTGTGGGGCTTCTGGGGGTCTTCAAAATGCTCATGTGCACCTCTGGGCCTCCCAGCACAGAGGTGGAGGCAGTTTGCCAATGTTCTTTCCTCTTGGAACCCTTCATGCACCAGCATCTTTGTCACATTAGTGAAGAATGGACTGGCCTTGTGGGTCACCCAGGGTGTGAAACACGTTTGGGGCGAAGCTGCCACTTCCTCCCCAGGAGAAAACAGAATGTGGCCCTTGATAGCAGTGTGGGGTTTAGCTGGCAGCTGTTAGCCCAGGAGCTGAAGACCTGTGGCTACATGCACAGTCATGTGTGTGAATCTGGTCCCTCTATTAGCCAGGGTCACTGCTACCTAACTCCAAGGGGCACTATTATCACTGTAGTCTATGGAAATTGTGCAGTACCCAACCTGTGCAGCTGAACATGGTAGTCCTGATCTCAACTCTCACTCATCATGTCTGACAGTTGCAATGGCCTCTCTGCTGACTTTCTGCCTCTAGTCTGTTCCCTCTAGTATTGCCTACACCCCCTGCCCCGTGTCAATTCCCCAGTCCTACCCACCTCCAAGTCCCTTCTCCCCTCAGCCACCTGTCAGAGAGATCTACGAGTACTCTCAGCTGTTCAGGGATCCTGGGAGTAGACTCCTTCCTCTGAGATGGATGAGCCATGTGGTCTTGGGCAAAGCACTTAACCTCTCTGAGTAACCCCACACTGGTATCACTTATTCTCATTTATAAAATGGGGGTAAAATGCCCATCAGGTTGTAGTTTTCTTGATCACTAGATTCTTAACTCCAGGAGGCCAGATACTCTCATTCCTCTCTGTACCCACATCTGACACATCCTCAGTTCCGGTGAGCGTTTTATTATTATTATTATTATTATTTAACATGAATGGTACCATAAAGCATTTGTTGAATAAATGAGCGCATGTCACTTTGACCAAAACCTTTCTGCAGCTTCCACTCCCACGCCTGATGGGTTAACTCAGGACTTCCCAGGCACTGCTGCCCTTTCTACTCCTGGGCTTTTGCCCATGCTGTTCCCTCTCCTAGAATTCCCTGTTTCTTGCAGCACTGTCATCTTTGACACAGCTCGGCTGCCACCCAGAAGCTTTTCCAGCCCCTCCCCCCACCCAAAGCAGCCTCTTTATCCCCCACCAGTCCCTCCCCACGGCCCCAGATACCTCTGCCTGACAGTGGGTTGTGCCCCAGAGGGGCTCCTCTGTTGTTCTGGACACAGGGGTGGCTGGGACTTTACCCTCCTGGGGTCCCAGGGCTTGTGTGGAGCCTGGGACTGGCTCAGGACAGAAGTACACAGAGTGCTCTGGAAATTGGTGGTGGCCACAGTGCTCCTGCCTGCCTTGCGGTCACTCCCGGCCCTCTCAGGTGCCTCTTGAGGAAAAAGCCCTGCTGCCTTCCCAGACACAAGCCCACCATGGGCTGGGACAGACCAGACTGCTAAAAAGCCTGGCTGGAATGGGATGGGGTGGGCACTTCATGGTCAGGCTTTGGGGTCCATTGAAAAATGTGTCTTTGGGTCTGGTGGAGGAGCAAGCACGTTGGAGACTCATGCCTGATGCTTTGGCTTACTAGGCTGTTGTTTAAAAAATAAAGTGCTTTTCAAATGCTTAACTCAGAACCTGACCCAAAGTAAGCAGTGGATCAGTGTCTGCCGTCCCTGGGAGCAGGTGGTGTAGACTCACCTTAGAGCATGGACGTCAAGAGTCAGAAGGACCTGGGTCCGAATCACAGCTTGGCCCTTCCCCGTGAGACTTTGGACAGGTTGTGTCATCTCTGAACGTTGTTTTCTTTGCCTGTTAAATGGGCATGACCCTAATGTACTCCTCAGTCTTGTTGAGAGGATACAGGAGATAAATTAGAAGCCGCTGGCATCAGTTAGGATGTGTGTTAGAGCCTGACAGCAAGACAGAGTGCTAGAAATGTTGGTGGCTATAAATATTACTACTTGCTTCTATTTTCTGGCAAAGAACCATTAATTTCTTGGACCTCTTCATTTTCTCTCTCCCTCCAAGACTAGTGGTAGCAGGTGGCTTTCTCTCTGGGACCATTTTTTCACAGACACAAAGTTGAGTGGGTGTATATATAGAGACATATATATATTTCTTCAAGACAGGGTCTCACTCTGTCACCCAGGCTGGAGTGCAGTGGTGTGATCCTAGCTCATTGCATCCTCCAAATCCTAGGCTCAAGTGATCCTCCCACCTTGGCTTCCTGAGTAGCTAGGACTGCAGGTGTGCACCACCACGCCCGGCCATGTGTGTATTTTTAATCGCTTCACAGGAGTTACCACACACAGCTAGTTTACAGCATTGTGCTGTAAATGCTGGCTGGGTCATGTGTCGAGCCCCCTACCACCCACAGCCTCCCCTGTCCACCAACTCTCACCATCCACAGACCTCCAGAGCCCCCACATACACCACCATGATGCCCCCCAAATCCACAGACCCCTACTCATAGCCCTTGCTGCCAACAACCCCCCTGACTCCCACCCTTAGCTTCCTCACCACCCTTATAGCCCCACCTGTCTGATAAAATACCTTGAGGCCATTTGCAGCAGAGGTGCAGGTGTGCAGATGAGGCAGAAAAGCCCCTCCACACGCACAAGCCTGGGCCTGGCCTTGGACTCAGACATCATCTACGTCCACATCTCCATCCACCCTACAAAGCCCTCACCAGTTCCTGAGGTGCACAGCTAAGAACCATCACCACGATACCAGGCACTTACTGAGCACTTAGCTTGGCACTGAGCACTGATGTAAGCCCTGGATGCTCAAATAAAAATGCATGGGTTACCTTGATGCAGGACTTCTCAGAGCTTTAATATCCCAGCGCCCCTCTGGATGCCAAAGAGGGAGATGAGAGTATGCAGCATTTGCAGACTTGGCCAGGGCAACCTTTCTTCAGCTCTGGAGCATACTTAGGAACATTCTGTGTCCTTGACATTCCTAGTGTGGTCCATGGACTCATGCGTGTCTCATCTGCAAATCACCTGGGATCTCAAACTCCCAATGTCAGGGGATCCACCTGCCTCGGCCTCCCAAAGTGCTGGGATGACAAGCATGATCCACTGCACCCAGCCTTTTTTTTTTTTTTGAGACAAGGTCTTGCTCTGTCACCCAGGCTGGAGTGCAGTGGCACGATCTCGACTCACTAGAGATACAGAATCTCACTACAGATACAGAATCGAAACCCATTTCTACTGAATGGGAATCTGCATTTTAACACCCTCGGAGATTCATTCATGTGCTCATTAAAGTTTGAGACACACTTTTGTTGGTCACAGGGCTGGACCTTGGCCAGATATTGGAATCACCTGGGGAGCTTTAAAAACTAATGTGGCTGGGTGCGGTGGCTCATGCCTGTAATCCCAACACTTTGGGAGGCCAAGATGGGTGGATCACCTGAGGTCAGGAGTTCGAGACCAGCCTGACCAATATGATGAAACCCCCATCTCTACTAAAAATACAAAAATTAGCTGGATGTGGTGGCAGGTGCCTGCTGTAGTCCCAGCTACTCAGGAGGCTAAGGCAGGAGAATTGCTTGAACCTGGGAGGCAGAGGTTGCAGTGAGCCGAGATCGTGCCACCACACTCCAGTGTGGGCAACAGAGCAAGACTCCATCTCAAAAAAAACAAAAAACAAAAAAAAAAACAGGGCCTAGGTTCTACCTCCAAATTCTGATGTAATTGGTCTGAAGTTTGGCTTGGTCATTGGGAGTTTGAAAAGCTCCCCAGCTGATTCTGATGTGTGGCCAGCAGCATAGATGAGTGAACATTAGAAAGGGTCTGGAGTATCCGCTTGGAAATTTGCAGGGAAGCATTTAAAGTCTTGGAACAGCCCCAGCGAGGCACAGGGAGAACAAGGGACTTTCCCGAGGTCTCATAGCTGGCTGGTTGCAAAGCCTCCACCAGCACTCAGTTTCCTAGCACCAGCCTCGGTCCGGACTCTTAGCGTCATTATCTCCACACCATCTTCTATTTTTTCTTCTCTTTTATTATTTTATTTTATTTTTTGAGATGGAGTCTCACTTTGTCACCCAGGCTGGAGTGCAGTGGTGTGATTTTGGCTCACTGCAACCTCCGCCTCCTGGGTTCAAGTGATTCTCCTGCCTCAGCTTCCAAAGTAGCTGGGATTATATGTGCGTGCCACCACGTCTGGCTAATTTTTGTATTTTAGTGGAGACGGAGTTTCGCCATGTTGGTCAGACTGGTCTCGAACTCCTGACCTCAAATGATCCGCCCGCCTCGGCCTCCCAAAGTGCTGGCATTACAGGCGTGAGCCACCGCGCCCAGCCTCATACCATCTTCTTGAAAATTCTCCCTCCTGATCCTGAGCCTCAGCTTCAGTCCTCAAACAAAAGCCTTGATTGGGTTCTGATCATGAGGCCGCCTCTGCACTTACTTTGCTGGCTGCTGGCTCAGGGCTCCAGCAAACAGTCCCAAAGCCAGTAAAGCTTAAGCCATCAACATGAGGAGGCGTTAACACATTGTAACCACCAGAGCATAGTCCCATTATGTAAGGAGTCCTGCTGCAAGGCCGCTCAGCTTAATGGAGAACACGAGACTCCAGGCAGGCCTGGGTTTGAGCCCCAGCCCTGGCACTTGGCAGCTGTGCTGCCATCATGACCCCTTTAGCCTCTCTGAGCCTCATCTTCCCTACCTGTAAACTGGGCACAATGGTAATCCCCTGCTACAGGTGGTGTGCAGATCATATAAGATAAAGAAGACGATGAGTCCCGCAGTGCCCTGGCGTGTGGTGGGCACTAGATCAGAGTTAGTTGGGGTCGTTGAGGGCTCTCAATTTTGGCACCAACACAGGAGGCCTGGGGTTCTCAGCTGGCCCCAGCATCTCAAGTTTCCACACAGCAAGAGCACCCAGAACCTCCCTCCACCAGGCCAGAGGCAGCCAGCATGTGCCTTTCTCTTCTCCTCAGCTCACTGCAACCTCCGTCTCCCAGGCTCAAGCGAATCTCCTGCCTCAGCCTCCCGAGTAGCTGGGATTACAGGCACCTGCCACCACACCTGGCTAATTTTTTGTATTTTTAGTAGAGACGGGGTTTCACCATGTTGGCCAGGCTGGTCTCGACCTCCTGACCTCAGGTGATCGCTCGCCTAGGCCTCCCAAAGTGTTGGGATTACAGGTGTGAGCCACTGCGCCTGGACTTTTTTTTTTTTTTTTTTTTTTTTTTTTGAGACAGAGTCTTTCTCTGTTGTCCAGGCTGGAGTGCAGTGACCCGATCTCAGCTCATTGCAACCTCAGCCTCCTGGTTCAAGCTATTCTCATGCCTCTGCCTAATGAGTAGCTGGGACTACAGGTGCATGCCACCACACTCAGCTAATTTTTTGTATTTTTAGTAGAGGCAGGGTTTTGCCATGTTGGCCAGGCTGGTCTTGAACTCCCAACCTCAGGTCATCCGCCCACCCCATTCTCCCAAAGTGCTAGGATTATAGGCGTGAGCCGCCGGGCCCAGCCTCTTCTCCCCATTTGTTTCTCCTGTGCCAGACCCGCAGGTTCAAGGATCATACTTGCCTGTGTTTGAACATGGCTATGAGGAGACCTGTGCTGTCAGTGTGGGGGACCCCCCCAGCTTTCTCAGGCTGATCAAGCAGAAGTTGGCCATGCCGGCCAACAGTTGGTGGCATTCTTCCCATCTCGTGGGCCCACTCATGACAGAGCAGCTGTTACTGTCATGGTTATTTTATTTTTATTCCTCCCTCTGGGAGCCCAGAATCAAAGGGAAACATCAGCACTGCTGCCTCATTACAGAGAGCAGAGAAAATGGGGATGGGGATGGGACATTATCTCTTTTTTTCTTTTTTCTTTCTTTGAGACGGAATTTCGCTCTTGTTGCCCAGGCGGGACTGCAGTGTCATGGTCTCTGCTCACTGCAACCTCCACCTCCCAGGTTCAAGCGATTCTCCTGCCTCAGCCTCCCAAGTAGCTGGGATTACAGGCGCCCACCACCACACCCAGCTAATTTTGTATTTTTAGTAGAAACGAGGTTTCACCATGTTGGTCAGGCTGGTCTCAAACTCCCGATGTCAGGGGATCCACCTGCCTCGGCCTCCCAAAGTGCTGGGATTACAGGCATGAGCCACTGTGCCCGGCTTTTTTTTTTTTTTTTTTTTTTTTTTTTTGAGACAAGGTCTTTCTCTGTCACCCAGGCTGGAGTGCAGTGGCACGATCTTGGCTTACTATAACCTCCGCCTCCCAGGCTCAGGCAATAGTCCCACCTCAGCCTTCCTAGTAGCAGGAACTACAGGCACGTACCATCATGCCTGGCTGATTTTTGTATTTTTAGTAGAGACAGTTTCGCCATGTTGCCCAGGCTGGTCTCGAACTCCTGGGCTCAAGTGATCTGCCTGCCTTGGCCTCCCAAAGTGCTGGGATTACAGGTGTGAGCTACAGTGCCTGGCCTGGATATTCTCATCCAGGGCCTACGGGCAGTCAGTGGAGACTATCTGGGGTGACATATTCATCTTACAGATGGGGAAACAGGTTGCACAGAGCCTGGAACTTCCCAAGGCTATGTTGAGGCCAGACTAGAACCTGGTTCTCCAGGCTCCAGGTCTGAGGTCTTTCCCCTGTAGTCAGGAAGGAATCTAGGTTAGGACTCCAAAGTCCTCCTCAACCAGTGTGTCCATGTTAAATGCAGATTCCTAGGCCCCATTGACTAGCCCAGGATGTGGGTGGACCTGGGAATCTGCATCCTTAGCACGCTCCCCTAACCAAAGTTCTAGAATGACTGCTGTGACCTCTTTCCATTGGCCCCAGAGCTCCAGGCCTATGCTCCGGGACTCTGTGCTTCAATCCCACATTACAACTCACCATTCAAGAACTGCAGCCCCTCAATACGGATGGCACCCTGTTAAAAAAAAAAAAAAAAAGAACCCCAGCCCCTGCTGGGCGCAGTGGTGCTCCTGTAGTCCCAGCTAATGGGGAGGCAGGAGGATCGCTAGAGCCCAGGAGCTCTGGGCTGTGATGCTCTATGTTGATCGGGTATCTACACTGAGTTTGGCATCAATATGGTGACCTCCTGGGAGCAGGGGACCACAGTGTTGCCTGAGGAGGGGTGAACAAGCCCAGGTCAAAAACAGAGCAGGTCAAAACTCCCGTGTTGATCAGTGGTGGGATCGCGCCTACCAGTGGCCACTGCACTCTAGCCTGGGTAACATCATAGCAAGACCCTGTCTTTAAAAAATAAAAAAAAGAGCCAGGTGCGGTGGCTCATGCCTGTAATCCCAGCACTTTGGGAGGCCGAGGCGGGCGGATCACAAGATCAGGAGATCGAGACCATCCTGGCTAACATGGTGAAACCCCATCTCTGCTAAAAATTAAAAAAAAAAAAAAAATCAGCCGGGTGTGGTAGCACGCGCCTGTAAGTCCCAGCTACTCGGGAGGGCGAGACAGGAGAATCGCTTGAACCCGGGAGGCGGAGGTTGCAGTGAGCCGAGATCACGCCACTGCACTCCAGCTTGGGTGACAGAGTGAGACTCGGTCTCAGAAAATAAAAAAAGAATCCCAGCCCCTGACTAATCTACTTCATTTACAGCATTGCTTATCTGGTGCACTTGAGGACAGTGGGTCCCAGGGGAAGGAGGCAGAGACAGTGTCATGTTGTGGTTAAGGACATACACCCTGGACCCAGGCAGCCCGGGATTGATTCCTGAATCCGCCACTTCTAGTCCTGTGACCTTAATGTGTTTCTTCCCCTGTCGGTGCCTTTGTTTCCTTTCCTGTAGGTGGTGATGCCTTCCTCCTAAGGTGTTATGAGGATTAAATGAATTAGTAAAAAGTACTTAGGTTAGTGTCTATCGCATAGTTATGTGCTAAGTGTTAGCAGCTGTTACACCATTTTACAGGCTGAGAATGTTATGCAGAGAGATGCTGAGACTTTGCCGAGGTTATGCAGACTCTGAGTAGCAAAGTTGGTTGGGGCTTCTACACTCGTCCCACATAGTTCCTGCCTGGGCGTCTACCGCCTTCCAGTGCCAACCGTGGCTCCGCTGGTAGATTATAGCTTGGCAGAAAAAGACCCTCTGCACTCCCCCATTCACTCATGTACCTTCCTACACACTCTGGGGTTGGGGTAATTTCCCCAGTCCCAGTAGCCAGGAAGGCAGAGTCTATGGAAACCAGGTGGCCATACAGAGCAAAGTTGAGCTTCCCTTAGCCCTCAGAGTCCCTAATGGGGACCCAGGGATGCTACCACCTTGAGTCTCAAAAGCTCAAGCTTTATTATGTCAATTCTTATTTATACTCAAAGCTTATTTCCATTTTTCTGGACAAATTTACACTTCAAATCTCTGCATTTTGGTTTAAAGGAATGTTCTCAAACATTGGCTCTCCTGGCTCTTGGTGTCAACAAGACCACTTCCTTCCCTGTCTGGAGAAGAAAATGGAGTTAAGGCCCAGTGTCCTTAAACCATACCTCCTGCATCTAGCTCCTGAGTATTTCTTTCTTTTCTTTTCTTTTCTTTTCTTTTTTTGAGATGGAGTCTTGCTCTGTCGCCCAGGCTGGAGTGCAGTGGCATGATGTCGGTTCACTGCAACCTCCACTTCCCAGGTTCAAGCATTCTCCTGCCTCAGCCTCCTGAGTAGCTGGGACTACAGGCGCATGCCACCACACCCAGCTAATTTTTGTATTTTTAGTAGAGACTAAAATGGGGGTTTCACCAAGTTGGCCAGGCTGGTCTCGAATGCCTGACCTCAGGTGATCTGCCCGCCTCTGCCTCCCAAAGTGCTGAGAATACAGGCGTGAGCCACGGTGCCTAGCCACTTCCTAGTATTTCCAGAAAAAAACAGAAAGCAGTCTCTTCTTGGTACTCCCCTTCTTCATCCTGCCCTCAGTCTTTCTCTCTGACTTAATTCTCTTCTCTGAGTGGTTCTGATGCTAAGTTTGGCCCAGGGACATGACAGAAGTCTACATCCCCACTGATCTCAGCCTCAGAATGGGCTTTGTGAGCACATTCTGAAACTCTCCACCTGGGGAGAGAGTAGTCCCAGCTACTCTCTCTGCTCTGAGGACTGAGGGACTGAGTGAGGCCATTCAAGCCTGTGGAGGGCCCAGGCACACACTGCCCCACTCCTGCCACCCACCGCTCTCCATCTCAGTGCCCAAGGGAGGGCAGCTCCATTACCGCTCTTTTCCTCTTCTCCCATCCCTGCTGTGATAGAATCTGCCCCGAGCTTGGGGCCCATTCTAATTAAGGTAACTGAATGCCCAGGCAGCTGAAACCGGCCTTTTGCAAAATAGCAAGTGGAAGGCCTGCCCTTGAGGCCCAGCCTGCCAGCTCCTGTTTGCCCTTGCCTGGTGTTCGAGATGACTGGGCCCTGCAGCCCCAGTGAAGGAGGGGCCTGGGAAGGGGAAGGGGACAGAGAGCAGGTTTATTCGGGGTGAGCTGCGCTGGTCCATTGTAGTTTGCACTCAGTGCTTCCAGGAGCTGGAAAGGCAAACAATAGATTTGGGTCACGAGGGGTTGGGGGAGGAGATGGTCAGATTTAGCAGGATTCTGATGCCAAGTAGCTGGTGCTTAGGGCTCTGGGCTGTGAACTTGGGACTCTTCTGATCAGAGCCTCTGTCTCCCTTCCTCGCTTCGTCTCCCTTCCTCGCTTCCTCTGCTCAGACCCCCACACACATGCAAAGCTGGCCTCAGGCAGACACATGCCACCACTGTTCTGGGCTCCTTTCCTTAGATTTGAGAGGCCTGGGGCAGAGTGGAGAGGGCTTTGGTCCTGCATCCAAATCCTGGCTCTGAATGTCCTTGCGCAGGTTATTTAATCTTTCTGTGCCTCAGCCTTCTCATATGCGAAATGGGAAGAGCAATGCATTCTCTGGTGGATCTGGGTTGTGTGGGGCCTGAAGCTCTTACCACATGTAGAGCCCTTTTTAAGGTAAAGAATTTCTGGCTGGGCACTGTGTCTCATGCCTGTAATCCCAGCACTTTGGGAGGCCGAGGCAGGCGGACCACAAGGTCAAGAGATTGAGACCATCCTGGCCAACATGGTGAAACCCCATCTCTACTAAAAGTACAAAAAATTAGCTGGGTGTGGTGGTGGGCACCTGTAATCCCAGCTACTCAGGAGGCTGAGGCAGGAGAATCGCTTGAACCCAGGAGGCGGAGGTTGCAGTGAGCCAAGATCGCACCACTGCACTCCAGCCTCGTGACAGAGCAAGACTCTGTCTCAAAAAAAAAAAGGAATCTCAACATCTTGTGCAAAGTTTACAAACACTTAACCATGTGAACACACTGGCAGGGCCCCTCTGGAGCACGTGAGGGTCCTAGAAGCTTAAGCTCTGTTAGCTTCACAGTAAATCCAGATGTATACATGCCTACCTGATAGGACTGTGAGGGATTAAATGAGCTCATATTTGAGCTCCTAGAACAGTGTCTGGCACAGAATAAGCCCCTCGTAAGTATTGGCTTTCATTCTTATTGCCCTCAGGGTTCCTGTGAGCATTAGACATTTGCAGATTGCCCAAGTAACATCAAACGTGGTGTGGGCAGATGCTGTGCACCTGACACATGCATTCATTAGCTCATCTAATATGTAGCGTTCACGATGGGCCAGGGGCTGTTCTGAGCACTGGGGAACCAATGGCCCCTCTTAAAGCTTTCGGTCTGGGAGGGGTAATTGGGCAGTTACTCACACACATAGGCAGGTCCAAATGGAATGAGGACAGGTGCTATGAGAAAACAAGGCAAGGCCAGGCACGGTGGCCCATGCCTACAATCCCAGCACTTTGGGAGGAGGATCACTTGAGCCCAGGAGTTTGAGACTAGCCTGTGCAACATAATGAGATCTTGTCTCCACAAAAATAAATTTTAAAAAAAATGAGCTAGGCATGGTGGTGTGTGCCTGTAGTCCCAGCTACTCAGGAGGCTGAGGCAGGAGGATCACTTGAGCTGAGGAGGTTGAAGCTGCAGTGAACCATGATCATGCCATGCCATTGTACTCCAGCCTGGGTGACAAAGTGAGACCCTCTCTCAAAAAAAAAAAAAAAAAAAGCGAGACTATATCTAGGAGAAAGAAAAGATTTTGATTTGGGGCATAAGGAAAGGCCTCTTTGAGACATTACGAAAGAGTAGGGAAGAATTCTTATTCTCATTTCTGGTTTGCTTGCAGTTTCTGCATGTCTATCCGTAAGGCAATCTGGCATGGTGACATTAATTAAAGCAACTAAACCGTTTGGCGGTCCAACTAAAATCTAAGCAAATATTGTCTCCTCTGAGCCTCTCAACAACTCTGAGATGAGTAAGCGGAGACCCAGGCAAGAGTGGCTTTACCTGAGCTGACATAAATACTAAATGAAGGAGCTGGAATTGAAATCTCCACCTGACTGCCTCACAGGTCCTTCCTTCACACCATGTGCCTGACACAGAGCAGGGGTGCCCCTGCAGACTCATGTGACCTCATGACCTTCTCAGAGGCCACACAGTCTAATCTCCTCCCCTCTCACTGTGGGAACAGAGGAAGCCGAGGGCCTGAGAGTCGCTGCTTCTGAGACCCATCCCACATCCTCTGCCTGCCACTATCAAAGTGGTTGTGACCTCCCTGGGGTAGCAGAGTCCAAGAACAGTCAGTCTCCCAGACACAGGAAGCCCTCCTGTGGTCCTCAGGCACCTGCACCATGGGTATGCAGATCTGGCCCTCATTGATGCAAACACCAGCCCTCTCCTGGCTTTCTGCTCTACCCCCTGGCACATTTCTTCCTGGAAGGGTGATTGATGCTCTGCTACTTGTGGCCTTGGAGGTGCTCACAGTGAGAGACATGAGATGCCTTAAAACCATGAAGGTCAGAGTTCAAAAGGCAAGTAGGCAAGCAGGGAGAGCCCAAGTATTGGGCCCACAGAACTACAGTAGGGAAGCAGGCTTATATCTGAGCATCCCCACAGGCCTGGCAGAAGCAGGAATGGATGATACATGGCTCTCATGATCCAATGGAGGGAAGCAGGTGCTTAACACATGGGCTGGGTGTGGCACCATGGGGATGAGTGCTGCCTAAGCACCTACCATGTGCCACCCACTCTGCTAGGTGCATGAAGCCAGTTACTGAGTGGGCCTCTTAACTGTCCTGTGTGGTAGGTACGTTTATCCCTATTTCACAGATGTGAGCACTGAGGCTCAGAGAGGCAAGTGAACATTGTCTCCTCTGTAATGACCGTCCCCTATAAACTCCTGGCAGGAGGGCCTTGCCAGCTGAGTCATGGCACTCATCATAAAGGCTTCAAGGAGGAGGGGAGTCATTATAGAGGAGACAATGGGCCACATAGTAGATGCAGTTTTCTGTAGAAGTTTTATTTTAAAAATCAATGTTATTGTTTTTAAATACAGAAACTTTTGATATTTCCATTAGCCCTGGTTAAAAGCTGAAGGAAATGTTTTAAAATCATATGTCATAAAAGTATGTCTGGGAAATGGAAGGTTTTTTTTTTTTTTGAGATAGGGTTTCACTGCCACCCAGGCTGGAGTGCAGGGGTGCGATCATGGCTCACTGCAGCCTTGGCCTCCTGACCTCAAACGATCCTTCCACCCCAACCTCCTGTGTACCTGGGACCACAGGCACACACCACCATGCCCAGCTAATTTTTTTTTTTTTTTTGTAGAGATAAGATCTTACTGTGTTGTCAAGGCTGGTCTCAAACTCATGGCCTCAGGTGATCCTCCTGCCTCAGCCTTCTAAAGTGCTGGGATTACAGACGTGAGCCACTGCGCCCAGCTGGAAATGGGAGTTTTTTAAGTGTCCAGGATTATAATATTTGGTCACATATCAGTGCCGGAGCACTCATAGAAATGCACACATACTGAGGTCACAGGAACTAACTGCTTTAGACATGTTACCCCAGCCAAGCCCCCAACAACCTCGTGAGAGAGATACTATTCCTATCCCCATTTCACAGATAACAGGCTCAGCTGTCAAGCAGGTCACCCAGCTGGGAAGTGGCGGAGCCCAGCTGCAAAGTCAGGGCTGCTGAAGGGGAGAGAGGTGGCCGTGTGCCCAGCTGTGAGCAGGCTAGAGGTGCTGGGGGACAGTCTGGGTGTGCACAGAAGCAGCTCCCGAGCTCTCGGTGCTAATGTGAGGATGAAAGGCCCCCACCCTGCTGCTGCCCAGTGGGAGAGCCTGACGCTCAAGTTGGCGATGAGCCTTGCAGGCTGGGCCTGGATGTGTGTCTGAAACAGGGAGCCTTTTCAGGTGGGGAGGCGCCCTGGCTGAAGCCCTCAAATGCAGAGTCACGGGGCCGGGCGCAGTGGCTCACGCCTGTAATCCCAGCACTTTGGGAGGCAGAGGTGGGTGGATCACAAGGTCAAGAGATTGAGACCATCCCGGCCAACATAGTGAAACCCCATCTCTACTAAAAATACAAAAAATTAGCCGGGCGTGGTGGCGAGTGCCTGTAATCCCAGCTACTCGGAAGGCTGAGGCAGGAGAATAGCTTGAACCCGGGAGGCGGAGGTTGCAGTGAGCTGAGATCGTGCCATTGCACTCCAGCCTGGGCAAAAAGAGCAAAAGTCTGTCTCAAAAAAAAAAAAAAATGCAGAGTCACAGAACAGGAAAGGGGCTGCCCACCTGAGGTCAGGTCCCCAGACCTTGGCTGAGCACCGCCCTGGGCTCATAAAGAACCACTGTGCAGTGCCGCGTGATGAGTGCTCCCCCCATACCCAGCGCAGGGAACCTGGGGAGAGAGTGGCTGGTTCTGCCCTGGGGGTCGGGGCCAGCCGCAGGGAGCTGGCAGCCAAGCTGGGCCTTACGCGCTGAGTCATGGCTCTCATCATAAAGGCTTCATTCAGAGACACGGCCACAGGCGGCCCCAGCGCTCACCATCCCTGGTCCTCACAACCGGCCCAGGATGAATCCCAGCCGCACACCAGGGATACACCTGCGCACAGGAAGACATGGTCCCTTCTCTCAAAGAATTGCGGTCTGAGGGGAGAAGCAAGACCATGAACACGGAAATAAGTCAGTAGCGCCCATGCTGATAGAGAAAGTGCATCAAGAAGGCGAAGCAGAAGGGAAGACAGGGATGGCCATGGTGGGGGTTTTTCTCTAGGAAGAGGGCCTCATGCAGGAGGTGACGTGAGCCGAGCCAGACAGAAGTGAGGGATGGAGGCCAGGCATGGTGGTTCATGCCCGTAATCCCAGTACTTTGGGAGGCTGAGGAGGGTGGATCTCTTGAGGTCAGGAGTTCGAGACCAGCCTGGCCAACATGGTGAAACCCCATCTCTACTAAAAATACGAAAATTAGCTGGGCGTGGTGGCAGGCACCTGTAGACCCAGCTACTCAGGAGGCTGAGGCAGGAGAATCGCTTGAACCTGGGAGGTGGAGGTTGCAGTGAGCCGAGATTATGCCACTACACTCCAGCCTGAGCAACAGAGCAAGACTCGTCTCAAAAAAACAAAAAAGAAAAAAGAAGTGAGGGATGGAGGCACGTGAGGTGGGGGAGTGGGAAAGAGCTTGGCTGTTTGGTGGCTGAGTGATGGGAAGGTGGAATGGAATGGAAGGAGGACCCGGGCAGAGGTTCTGAGAGCACAAGCAAGGAGTCTGCACAAGAGGCCAGGCAAGGGCTTTTAGCTGGGAAATGACAAGACCTGCCTGATGTTTTAAAAATATCCCTGGCCAGTCACAGTGGCTCACGCTTATAATCCCAGCACTTTGGGAGGCTGAGGCAGGTGGATTGCTTGAGGCCAGGAGTTCAAGACCAGCCTGGACAACAAAGCAAGACCCAGTCTCTACCAAAAAAAAAAAAAAAATTAGCTGGGCATGGTGGCATGTTCCTGTAGTCCTAGCTACTCGGAGGCTGAGATGGGAGCATCACTGCAGCCCAGGTGTTAGAGGCTGCATGAGCTGAGATCACGCCACTGCGCTTCAGCCTGGGCGACAGAGTGAGACTCTGTCTCAAAAAAGAGCCCCTGCAGCACCTGGAGGAAGACAGCACTGGAATCGGGAAGAGTTAGGTGGTTGCATTTGTCCAGGGAAAAGAAGGTGAGAAGGAGGCGGTCAGCTCGGCCAGGCTGCCAGGACTGCTGATGTAGGTGGAGGAAAGAGCCATCCAGGGCTATTCCATGGTCCTCACCTGAGCTCCTGCATGGAGGTTGGTGCGATTTGCTCAGCGGGCATGGAGGGAAACTTGACATTTGGGTGGTAAGCATGTTAATTTGAGCTGCCCACTGGATAGTCAGTTGAAGTCGTCTGCACACTGTGGTATGCATCCACATCCCCTTGAGGTCCAAGGCCACCTGCCAGAAGTGTTGGCTGCTGCAGACCGTCCCCAGGAGCCAAAGGGGCTGCCTTGCCCAAGATGACAGACCCATCCTGGGGCAGCCCTCATCTGAAGGCTGGTCCAGGTGGGGACACAATGATTTTGCCCCCTTGCCTCTTTCTGGGCAACTTTGAAGGACTATCTTGGCTCCAGATGCCCCGGGGATCAGCTGAGGCTCATTGCAGCTGCAATGCAATCCACTTCTCCCTCTGCCCATCCTGCATCCCTTGTGCCCTCACAGGCCAAGCCCTAAGACATTCCCCAGTCAACTTCCTCACAGGCAATTGGATGCATTTAGTTCGGAGCTCCAGGAAGAGGTCTAGGCTGGGTGGCAACAATGTGGGGTGGGGACATCAGCACTGGTGGAATTTAAAGTCTCAGGCTAGGTGAGAAGGGAAGAGGATTGAAGCACAGAGCATGCCAACCTTGAGAGCTGAGGAGGTTGGAGGGGTGGTGCCCTGGAACCAAGCTAAGAAAGGTTTAAAGGGACCAGGTGCGGTGGCTCACACCTGTAATCCCAGCACTTTGGGAGGCCGAGGAGGGTGGATCACTTAAGGTCAGGAGTTTGAGACCAGCCTGGCCAATATGATGAAACCCATCTCTACTGAAAATACACAAGTTAGCCAGGTGTGGTGGTGCATGCCTGTAGTTCCAGCTACTCGGGGCTGAGGCAGGAGATTCACTTGAACCTGGGAGACAGAGGCTTCAGTAAGCTGAGATTGCGCCACTGCACTCCAGCCTGGGGGACAGAGCTAGACTCCATCTCAAAAAAAAAAAAAAAAGAGAGAAAGTGTTTAAAGGAGAGATCCGGTGCCTGTAATCCCATCTACTTGGGAGGCTAAGGCAGGAGAATAGCTTGAACCCGGGAGGTGGAGGTTGCAGTGAGCCAAGATTGCACCACTGCACTCTAGCCTGGGCACGACAGAGCGAAACACTGTCTCAAAAAACAAAACAAAACAAAACAAAACAAAACAAAAAACAAAAAAAAAACAGAGATTCACCTCACCAGGTGCTATGAGGATTGTTAAGGTAAGATGAGGACCCGTGACACTCTAGTTAGTTCATTTCAACCGCTGTGGTGTTCAGGGAGGAACTTGAAGGAACGTTTAAAGCCAGGGGCATAATGTGGTGAGGAGAGGAACTCATAGAGAAGGAGAAATGGATGATTCAGAAGGGGAGGGCAGGAGCAAAACCTTGAAGGGGATGGGGTCCAGGGCCCACATGGAAGGGTCCATCTGTGAATAATGCTTTGTATCAAGAAGAAGGCAGAGTAGAGGCACCTGTGCAGGTTGGTGTGTAGAGCTGGTGGGGAGGTCACTGGGCATGGTCACTGGCTGTGAGTGAGTGGTGGGAAGCAGTGCTGGAGATGAGAAGACAAGAAGAGAGGAGAGTCAGCTTAACCTGCAAGTCTCCCAGCTGCAAAGGGCACTGGTGCGCTTCAAACCTGACTCTGGGCTTCATTCACTGGAAAAAGCACAAAGAAAGACATTCTAAGCTGTCAAGACGTGGTAGGTTCAGCAAATAATACTAGTTACAGTAAAAAGATGTGAGCTGTTGCTACGCTTAAGCATTCGTCGTGCATTCTTTCATTTAACAAGCCATCCCTCAAAACCCCTGTGACACAGATACAGTTGGTCCTTATTACTTGCACATTCTGTATTTGCAAATTTGCCTGCTTGCTGAAATTCATTTGTAACACCAAAATCAATACTCGCAGAGCCTTTGTGATCATTTGCAAACATTCTCACGGTGGTGAAGATGTGAGTTGCCCAACGTGCATGTTCCCAGCTGAGGTCAAACAAGGCGACAAGCGGCCTTCTTGTTTCAGCTCTCATACTGTAAACAAGTGTCCTCTTCACGGTCTAGTTAGTGCCACGTTTTCTGCATTTTTGTGTGGTTTTTTTTTTTTTTGGCGATTTTGCTATTTGAAATGGCCCCCAAAGGCTGTCTAGTGTTCCTAAATGCAAGAAGGCTGGGACGTGCCTTGTGGAGAAAATAACGACTGAGTGTTAGATAAGCTTTGCCCAGGCATGAGCTACAGTGAGTTCAATGTTAATGAATCAACAATATGTATTAAATATAGTGTCTTTAAACAGAGACATGCTTAAAACAAGGTTATGCATTGATCGTTTGATGAAAATGTTGTGATCAGAGGCTCACAGGAATTGAACCAGTATTTCCCCTAGGGGCAATGGTTCAGTATTCACGATTCTGTGTTTGTAGTGACTTCATAGAGCATAACTACTGCAAATAATGAGAATCGACTGAACTTTTTTTTTTTTTTTTTTTTTTTTTTTTTTGATACGGTGTCCTCCTCTGTCACCCAGGCTGGAGTGCAGTGGTGCAATCTTGGCTCACTGCAATGTCTGCCTCCTGGGTTCAAGTGATTCTCCTGCCTCAGCCTCCCAAGTAGCTGGGATTACAGGCACGTGCCATCACGCCCAGCTAATGTTTGTATTTTTAGTAGAGACGGGATTTCACCATGTTGGCCAGGCTGGTCTCAAACTCCTAACCTCAAGGGATCCACCCACCTCGGGCTCCCAAAGTGCTGGGATTATAGGTGTGAGCCACCGTGCCTGGCCTCGTGTGTACTATTAACTCTGTTGGTCACATAAGAAACCAAGGCTAAGAGACTAGACGAGCTACAGGTAGTAATAGCAGAGCTGGGGCTGAAACCTGGGCTGGTGGGGCACTAGGGGGCTTCACCCCATGAATGTGGCCTTGTGATCCAGTGGGGACCACAGGGGACCTGGCCTGGAAGAAAGGTTTCTTTTTTAGGGCACCCCATGAGCAGCCTGCCTCCCCACTGCACTGGCCTCTCCAGTTTCTACGTGAACACAGAAGCTCCTTCAGCCCTCCTGGGCTGCAGCCACAGAGCTGTTGCTGGGCCGTGGTTTTCCCCTAAGTGGGTGGAACAGTGGCTCCGTGTCCAGAGGCCGGGCACCTTTGGTTTTCCTTTGCCCAGCCCAGCCCTGGCAGGGGAGGCACAAAGGAGGCATCTGTGACTGAGCACGGAGGCCAGCCAGTCTCCCGACACCAGCCCATCCGGTCTGCTGTGGCCTCCTGTTTATTCAGGGGATAAACTTGGGCAGGCCCCAGGGAGCCGCCCTCTCCCCAGCCCCACCACCTTCTCCACAGGGCAGAGTCTGCAGCCCTTCTTCTGTCTTTTGTGGGGTAGCTTGCGTGTTGTGGTTTGGGATACTTCTTCATCCCAGCATCACTGAGATAATTTAGGAGACAATTGCGGGGGACTCTGCTTTCAGAGTGGAGTTACAAGCCCTTCAGTGTGTGTCCTTCCAACCCCAGAACAGACTCAGAGTCGTCATCGTCCACTGTCATCCCGCCTCTCAGGAGGCCGCTAAATCTGAGACTAATGGCTGCCACCTGGAGTGTTCCTCAGGCAGGGAGCAACCACACGACTGTGAGGAGGGGGCACTTACCTGGTGGGGGGCTCAGTGCTCCCCTGTGGGGCTGAGGAAGGAGCCTGGGCTTGGGGAGAAGCTGGGTGCTCCCCGCCCACCCTCCTTGACCCATCAGATATAGATGAGAAGCCACGGCTGGGAGGGTGCGAAGCTGACAGCAGAGCCCCAGGTCCCCAGACAAGCTGTGGGGAGAAGAGCAGCGCGGGCGTCAGAGGCGCCTGGACAGGCAGCCGGCAGGTCCACAGCAAGGCTGCACCTTGTTCTTCCTTGGTCTCTGGGTGGCCAGCACTAGGTCTGGCCTGCGGTTTCTGCTCAGTGATTCTTGTTTGAGTAAATGAATGACGGGGTGAATGAATGAATGGTCTTGGTTCTATGATGGTTACTTTGGGGAAGTTATTTTATTATACAAAACCGAGCCTCTCTTTTTTACATAGGATAACGGCTAGGTGCACAGTCTCTGGAGCCAGGCTGCCTGGGTTTGACTCCTGGCTCTCAACTTACTAGCTGTATGTCCTTGAGTAACCTCTCTGAGCCTCAGTTTCCCCATCTGTAAAATGGGGATAATACCTGCCTCGTAGGGTTGTCGGGAGGATTAAATGAGCTCATATCATGTGAAGCACTAGAACGGAGCTTGTATATATTAAGTGCTATGTGGCCATTTGCTGTTAATACTTTTTTTTTTTTTTTTTTGAGACAGAGTCTCTGTCACCCAGGCTGGAGTGCAGTGGCTAGATCTCGGCTCACTGCAACCTCCACCTCCTGGGTTCAAGCGATTCCCCTGCCTCAGCTTCCTGAGTAGCTGGGATTATAGGCGACCACCACCACACCTGGCTAATTTTTGTATTTTTAGTAGAGACGGGGTTTCACTATGTTGGCCAGGCTGGTCTCGAACTCTTGACCTCAAATGATTCACCCGCCTTGGTCTCCCAAAGTGCTGGGATTACAGGCATGAGCCACCGTGCCTGGCCAGCTGTAAATACCTTTAAGATGAACATAACGTCTGCCTTCCGCGCGTGTTGGGAGCCTGGTGCATTGTTTGCCCAGGTGTGCTCTTCTCAGAACACTGATCCCTTGTGTTGTTAAATGTTAAATAAGAAGGGTCCTGTCCAAGCCCAGTTGCCTTAAGGAAGCCTGGGGTTAAAAGCTAGGGAGGCTTCTCTCCTGCAGAGGTGCCTGTGACATCTTCAAGAGGGAGTGAAGAATTTCACCGGCTGATTTGACCACAGATCAATTTCTTGCTATCAGAGTGGGATGGGGTTTCCACAAAACACGTCTTTGAAGACAACAAATACTGCTTCCTTCCCTCCCTCCCTGGAGCCCTGGCCTCATACTGCTTAGCTTATCTGGTAGCAGCCAGGGAAATGGCAGGATGCATCTCCCTGGGCTTAGAACTGGGGCAGGAGGCAGCAGCCAAGTCAACAGCAGGTAGTGGCCAGTCCTCAGCTCTAAGCCAGCAGGTAGGACTGCAGAGGTGCATGTGGCAAATCATAGACACCTGATGTGGGCTGCCACTGACTGAGACACTGCTGAGCTGGACAGCAGACACCTGCAACCCAAGGATGATGAAGAGGAACTTGAGGCCTTTAATTGCTCATGGTCTTCAATCATCCTTACCAATTAGTTTCTGCTGCTTCCCAGGCAATTCCGGTTGCTGTAAGTAAGCCAGTGATGCAACAAGAGAGGCAGAAGGGAGTCCTGAACGTGGGCCAGATCTGGGTACAAATCTTGTCTCTGCCACCACTTAATCCTCTTGAGCCTCAGTTTCCTTATTTGTTTCATGAGTGCAGTAACATCTACTCTACAAGATTGTTGGATTAAATTAAGAAATGAAGTGGCTGGCACATAGTACATAGCTGTTATCAACAATAGGCTGCAGGGAAATGTTCTCTCCTTGGTTTCAGGGCCCTTGTCCAAGGTTCCCATTAGGTAGAGGAATTGTTTCTTCAGAGTTGAGATCTGATGTGTCTGGGAAGAGGGCAGCCTGACTTGAGAAGGTCTCTCACCTTTCAAATGCCCATCTCAGGAACTTCAGAAAAGGCTTCCGCTAATTCAAAAATCAAGTCCTCAGCTTTCCATTGTCTGTGGGTGAGGGATTCTCAGTCCCATTCAGGGCCCTAACCATTCCCCAGGTGATTACTGTGTGCCAGACATGTTAGGAGCTTAAGTCCAAAGACACCAGGGGCATGGACCCTGTCCTCAGGAATTGCAGAATGGTAGGGGACCTGACAGGAGGCCAATCCTGACAATTCAGTGTGTTCCTCTTAGTAACACAGCTTGTGATTGAGGCATAGACATCATGAAGCCAAGGAATAATTTATTATCACTGGAGAAGACAGGGAAGGCATCACCTGGGAAATCATACCTGGGTGGAGTTTTGAAGGATGAATAGGAGTTTGCCTGGTGGACAGAGGAGGCCAAAAGTTTGGTACTAAAAACAGCATACCTACTCTACTCCCAACCACCTCCCTTTTCTAGGATTGGTGTGGGTCCATCTGCCGTTAGCAAGCTTTGTGACTATAGGTAAGTCATTTCTTCTCTCTCGGCCTGTTTCCCATTGGTGAAATGGGATCCCTTCCAGCTTTAATGCATTGTGATTTCATGTTTATATAGGCCTAGATAATTGTTTTAAAGTCCTCATATTTGCAAAACACGGGGCAAAAGTCTTTGACTTTTTCTCTTCTAACGCATCTCCCAGTCTTACAAAGTTGGTTGTACTCTCTCCATTTGACTGAGGAGGAAACTGAGGCTCGGTGAAGTTACTTGCCTTTAGCCAATATGTGGCAGATCCAGGCCTCAAATCCAGGTCTTCTGGCCCTGAGTTCCACTGTTTCTCCACTGCTCCACACGGCCTCTCACCCCACAAGCCCTCGGCGGCTGCACATAAATGATCCTTGACAGATTACTGCCTCACTCAGGCCCCTGTCAGATGTTACTGCTGACAGTTGGGGAGGAGGAGGAGCGAGAACATTGTGTGCCAGGATGCCAGGCCTCGGCCCTGAAGGAGGAGCTTATGAGAAAGAGGCAAGCAGGGAGGCAGCAGGTAGGACATTGAGCATGGTCAAGAAAGGCTGTTTTGGCCAGAGAGTGGATAAATGATAAAGTCTGGAGTAGCAGGCAAGTGCACAGCCACCCTTTCCTGAAGCAAAAATTGGTGCCTAAATCCATAGTGAAAATAGTCCCCCTGGCCGGGTGCGGTGGCTCACGCCTGTAATCCCACCACTTTGAGGCCGAGGTGGGTGGATCGCTTTAGGTCAGGAGATCGAGACCACCCTGGCCAACATGGTGAAACCCTCTCTCTACTAAAAATAAAAAAATTAGCTGGGTGTGGTGGCACGTGCCTGTGATCCCAGCTACTCGGGAGGCTGAGGCACGAGTATCGCTTGAACCCAGGAGGCAGAGGTTGCAGTGAGCCGAGATCACGCCACTGCACTCCAGCCTGGCGACAGAGCCAGACTCCAGACTCCGTCTCAAAAAAAAAAAAAAAAAAAAAAAGAAAGAAAATAGTCTCCCTGCCTCCAGGGTCTCTCTATGCCCATACCCTGCTTTGTTTTTCTTCAGAGCACATATTATATATGTCACTCATTAATTTATTGTTTCATCATCTGACTTCTCCCACTAAAATGTCAGCTCCACAAGAATCAACCAAGACTTGGTACTGATCAAGGCTGTGTCTACAACACCTAGAACAGAGCCTGGCACTAACTGTTTTGAACAAATGAAGGAATTAATGAAGGAATGACTGAAAGAATGAAGGAATGAATGAAAGAATGAAGGAATGAATTAAAGAATGAATGAAGGAATCAAAGAACAAACGATCCCTTCACCTGTGATCATGTCAGCACCCACTGTTGTCAGCAAGCCTTTAGCAAAGCAGTTCCCAAACTGCTGCATCAGAATCACTGGGATCTTTAAAAACTGCCAACACCTGGCTTCCACCGTGACATTCGGATTAGGTTGCCATGGGGTATGTTATTGACATTTTTTTAGGTTCAAGTGATTCCAAGCGTTTTTTAAGTTCTTCAAGTGATCCTGATGTGCGGTGCAGTTTAGGAACCACTGCTTTAAAGGGTTGTCCACTCCTGAAAAAGGGCAGTCCACTCCTACAAAGCTTCTAGCTGAGTTAATAGCCAATCAGAGACATGGGTAGTGGCACGCAGGGTGGGACCTCTGTGCTGCCCAAGTCTGGGAGGAGGTGGGGAGGGTGAGGTGTTTGGGGAAAGGAGAGTTGTTTTTGCTGCCTGGGTTTTGCTGTCTGGGTAACTCTGATGTTACCAAGAGTAGAGGAAAACGAAGTTTTTCTCCTTGCTCTCACCCAATTCAAGTCAAAAGAACACCTTGCTGGACTTCCTCCTCCCCTGCCACCTCCTCTTCTTGGATGACTGAATGAGTCAGGGGGCTTGTTTGTTAGGGAGGAAACACTGGTTTTCTCACCATTTTCCCCCTTTCGTTGAGCTTGAATGAGTAAGAAAACCCATTGTTTATACATGCACAGGTTGACACAAATAGAGCTTGGAGCTTCTGAAGACTCAACCTGGGCTCCAGAGTCAATAAGACCAGGTCCCACCCCGTCTGCACAGCATCCAGCCAGATGTTACAAGAGAACCCAGCCCCGGGGGCAGGCTGGTGAAATCATCCCGGCCAGTGGACAGTCACCAACACCGGAGTGTTTGCCAAGGGAAACACCTTGTTTCCACAGTCCAAGATCCTCTCCTGGGCTGGCACAGAGTTGCAGAATTGGAAGAGACCTAAAGATGTGCTGTCCAGCTAAAAGCTCTTCCAGGGGAGGAGTCTGAGGCCCAAAAAGTTAGGGAGAGCCCAGAACCCAGGCCTCCTGCATCTTCACTGGGTTTGGTGGGAAGAGGCAGAGGAAGGAGTGGTCAGAGAAGATGCCAGCTTAGTGCAGACCCCTAGACACATCCCCACTGGCGAGAGAGGGCTTTTGGATCCAAGAGTCATTCCCATTTTTTTTCTAAATAAAAAATTGGGGGCCAGGTGCGGTGGCTCACGCCTGTAATCCCAGCACTTTGGGAGGCCGAGGCAGGCAGATCACTTGAGGCCAGTTCAAGACTAGCCTGGCCAACATAGCAAAACCCCATCTCTACTAAAAATACAAAAAGTTAGCTAAGTGTGGTGGCATATGCCTGTAATCTCAGTTACTCAGGAGGCGGAGGCACAAGAATCACCTGAACCCAGGAGACAGAGGTTGCAGTGAGCAAAGATCGCACCACTGCACTCCAGCTTGGGCGACAGAGGGAGACTCTAAAAGAAAAAAAAAGAAAAAAAAAAGAAAAGAAAAAAAATTAGGAATGACTTTCCTTTGGGGTCAAGAGGCCTCTGCAGTCTCAGAGTCCTGCCTATTTGCTTGGTAGTCCCTTCCCTAAGCCACTGCTTAAGTCATCAAATACTGAATTTACCACCTGGGATGAAAGCTGAGATTTAAGAGTTGTAGCTGAACTTCCTGAGCGTGGAGTCAATGGACCTCTGAGAGAGAGGTGAGAGAGGACAAGTACTTGTGGTAAAGTCCTAGCCAGCTGCCAGGGGGGCTTTTCCACACATAGAGCCCCAGCTGGGCAGAAATAATGTCCTCTGGCCGGGGGCAGTGGCTCACACCCATAATCCCAGCACTTTGGGAGGCCGAGGCGGGCGGATCACGGGATCAGGAGTTCGAGGCTATCCTGACCAACATGGTGAAACCCCGTCTCTACTAAAAATACAAAAATTAGCCAGGCGTGGTGTCATGCGCCTATAGTCCCAGCTACTCAGGAGGCTGAGGCAGGAGAATCGCTTGAACCCTGGAGGCGGAGTTTGCAGTGAGCCGAGATCATGCCATTGCATTCCAGCCCGGGTGACAGAGTGAGACTGCATCTCAAAAAAAAAAAAAAAAAAAAAAAAAAAAGTAAAGAAAGAATGTCCTCTGTGTGTGCGTTGACAGAATCAAGCCCTGCTAAGATGGACCAGGTTTGACTGATGCTCACAGTCCTGATTAATGACTGGTGTCCACCTTGGAGAGCACTAGACTGAGAGTAATGCAACCTGGCTCTACTCCTGGCTCCACCACTAACTGAGTGTGCTACTTGTGAGGGGAGATGCCATTTCCCACCTCTGGGGCTCATTCCCCTGTCTGGGAAATGGTTATACTATACCAGTGATTTTAAATATTTTTAAAGCCATAGAACCCTTTATTCACATGAAGTTTCATACAGAAGACAGCATGTACAGCAGACAGAAGTGGAGCTATTTTTGTGGTTCCCCTGGAGCACATCTTCCCTTTTGCGAAGTCTCCACAGAACCCTGAGGGTTCCAACAAACTCAGTTTGAGAACAACTTGCCAGACTTTTTGTTTTAGCTCCAATACTATTTATGTCAGCTGTTGTTTGTTCACTTGGCTAATATTGGTTGGCATCAGTTGCTTGGCTAATGTTAACATTAGGTAATGTTCAGAAGGGTTCTTTTCTCAAAATAATGATCATGAAACCATATATATATATATTTAGCCAGTCGTTCCACATGGCCCCAAACATGTGCAGAATGTTGCTTCTTTACACCATCCAATGTTGAGCTAACTCTTGCATGGTGGCAGCGAAAGAAAATAGACACAGAGAGGCCAGGCATGGTGGCTCATGCCTGTAATCCCAGCATTTTGGGAAGCTGAGGTGGGGGGATTGCTTGAGCCCAGGAGTTTGAGGCTACAGTGAGCTATGATTGTGCCACGGCACTTCAGCCTAGGCAACAGAGCAAGATCTTATCTTTTTTTTTTTTTTTTTTTGAGACAGTCTTCCTCTGTCACCTAGGCTGGAGTGCAGTGGCACAATCTTGGCTCACTGCAACCTCCACCTCTCAGGTTCAAGTGATTCTCCTGCCTCAGCCTCCAGAGTGTCTGGGATTACAAGCGCTCGCCACTACACCCAGCTAATTTTTGTATTTTTAGCAGAGACAGGGTTTCGTCACGTTGGCCAGGCTGGTCTCGAATTCCTGACCTCAGGTGATCTGCCCGCCTCGGCCTCCCAAAGTGCTGGGATTACAGGAGTGAGCCACTGCGCCGGGCCTGACATTGTCTCTTTAAAAAAAAAAAGGAACCTCACAGGTAATGCTAAGAGACCAGGGTACCTAACTCAAGACCTTCCTTCCCCACATCCTCATAGGTGGTGCTATGCTCAGAAGGCAGGATTATATTTCCTATTAACTCACTCTTAGCCCCCGTTTGAACCAAGGACACTGAATCCTAGCCTGTGTTAGAGCCCTCAGATCCCATATTCATCCTGTGTCTAATCTCACCCATCAGATACAGTCACCATCCCCACCCCACCCCCCACTGGACTATCATTGCTTCTCTGAACCCTGCTGGAAAGTGTTAGCCCTTCCCTCAAAAGTCAGGGTCCTAAATTTTCCCTCAGGCTGCCTCTAATCCTCACCTCTGTTCCCCTCAGCCTCTTGCCATAATGATCATTAGTAATAGCTACTGTTTATTGGTTACCTGCTCTGTGCCAGGCTCTGTTCTATGTATTTTACTGGTCCTGATTATTTTGATCCTCACAATAGTTCTAAAATACATACTATTATTATCTCCAATTTAAAGATGAGGAAATTGAGACACTGGGACTTAAACTTGCCTACGTTCATTTAGCAACAAGGTGGTAAAGCCAAGATATGGCCCTTGGCCCCGGCACCCATGCACAGAACCAGTGCGTCAGACTGCAGCTCACTCATGCTGCTGGTAGTGACTAGGAACTGCCATTTATTGAGCACCTGCAGCATCTTAGGCATTGCACTAGACACTTTATCATTTCATTGAAACTTCACAACTGCAAGAGGAAATGTCTTATTTCCATTTTCTAGAGGTAGAGACTGAGGCTCCAAAACATTGACTTCCCTTGATAAGTGGAACCGGGCAGGCTTCAAACCCAGGAGTGTTCAATGCATCTGTGGCCTTTCTCTGTCACTCTGCTTTTAAGGACAAGTACCTGCAGACATTCCCCACTCCACTACCTTTGAGAAAAATAAAGAAGGACCTACTGATACCACCCGTTCCATAGAGCTCTTGAGAAATGTCGCTCAGGCTGCCCATGGTGGGGACAGGGAGGGGGCTTGACAGGCCTGACTTTCTCCATTGACCTTCTCTGGGAGAGAGTCACGACCAGAGAAGGGATGATCACCCTTGGTTTCTGCTTTTCTTTCTTGGTTCTGGACGATCCTGTCATGTGACCTGCTTTGAGCCTAATAATCCTTAGGGGCAACATCGGACTTGGAAGGGAAGAAGGGAAACCAAGATAGAACCCCTGGACTCAGCCACATCCTAAAACCTTTTGGGACACTGCTGAGCTTAAGGTCTCAGGGTGGAGATGGGAAGGCAGATAGAGTGGGCCCAGGGTGCATGGGCTCAATCGCATACCACACCTTTGAGGAGTGCCTAAAATTAAGTGTAGTCACTGTGCTAGGGTGTACAACATCCTGTGAGGTACCATTCCCATCTTACAGATGAAGACATTGAGTCTTAGAGAAGTAACAGAACTTGTCCCAAGACATCTGGGAAATAAGACTCAATTCAAACCCAAGTCTGTTTGATTTCAAAGCCAGTGGTATGATACACCACATAGGTACTCTTATTTTTTTTTTAAATAGAGACAGGGTCAGCCAGGCGCAGTGGCTCACGCCTGTAATCCTAGCACTTTGGGAGGCCAAGGCGGGCAGATCATGAGGTTAGGAGTTCAAGACCAGCCTGGCCAATATGGTGAAACCCCGTCTCTACTAAAAATACAAAAATTAGCTGGGCGTGGTGGCACACACCAGTAGTCTCAGCTACTTGGGAGGCTGAGGCAGAAGAATCGCTTGAACCCAGGAGGCGGAGGTTGCAGTGAGCCAAGCTCACGCCACTGCACTCCAGCCTGGGCAACAGAATGAAATATAAATCTCAAAATAAATAAATAAATAAACAAATAGAGACAGGGTCTTGCTGTCAACCAGGCTGGAGTGCAGTGGTGCCATCATGGCTCACTGCAGCCTCAAACTCCTGGGCTCAAGTGATCCTCTTCAGCCTCCCAAGTAGCTGGGACTACAGGTACGTGCCACCACACCTGCCTAATGTTTTTATTTCTAATTTTTTGGTAGGGATGGGGTCTTGCTGTGTTGTCCAATCTGGCCTCAAATACCTTGCTGTGTTGTCCAAGCTGGCCTCAAATACCTAGCCACAAGTAACCCTCCTGCTTTGGCCTCTCATAGGCACTGGGATTACAGGCATGAGCCGCCACATCCAACCAACATGTGTGTTCTATATGATACACCACAGTGCTCCTGTGTGTTAGAGACTGTGGGAGCGGACCCAAACAAGAGAAACAGTCTGGCCTCTGCACATATATCTCTGAACAGCAAGGCATACTTTCCGAGGAGAGGGCTGGGGCAGTGGAGTTTCTCTTGGGGCCACAGCTCTAGCTCCTCTCTTAGGTGGCTCTGGCCAGGAGGCCCTCCTGTACCTAATGCTGTCCCATTTGGAAAGTCCCCAGCAGTTCTGGGAGCTCCAGCGGCTGCTTTGCCTCAGAGACAAGCCCTGGTAAACATAGGGGCCGCTGCGAATTTACTGGCAGGAGAGACTGAGAAGGAAGTTGACAGCCAAGAGGCAGAGAAGTGGGCAAAGCTGGTGCGTGTGTGCATGTGTGTGTGTGCATGTGTGGGTGTGGGTGGGTGTGTAGGGTGGTGCAGGACCAAAGCACCCAGATGCCCCACTGGTCCTGCCCGTACCAAAGTGCCGTTGCCACTTTGTTGGCCAGTGAAGACTCAGGGAAGGCAAAGGTGGCTTTGAGCCAGACAGGAAGATAAATCTCTCCCCTCACTCAAGTTATATAGTGCAACAGCAGGTCAAAGGGCAACCACATTTGCAATATTTGCCGCTTTACATTCATCTCATTTTTGTCTTTTTAAAGTCCAGGGCATGGTTAAGAGTGATGGGGGGATGGGGAGTACATTTTTAAACATTTAATTTTTTGTAGAGACGAGATGTCGCTATGTTGCCCAGGCTGGTCTCAAACTCCTGGCCTCAAAGATCCTCCGCCTCGGCCACTTTGTCTGAGCCACTGTGCCCGGCCTGAGGACACATGTTTGACATAAATAGTATTTACTAGCATTCAACAGGAAGGGTCCTCTCCTTTTTTTTTTTGGTTCTTTAGTTCTCGTTGCCGCTTGGTTCTTTGTGTTCCTGGGCTGGTTATGGAGATGGTTCCGACTTCACATGAAAAGGCTGGAAAAGTTGTGGGTAGGACTCTGGATGAAAGTCAGCCTAGGCGCCCCCGGACTCATTAGGGGGTGGAGGCGGCGGCGGACCGTGTGGGGCGGGGTGCGCAGTGTGAGCCGGGGAGCGCCGGCCGGAATCTCACAGTGCGGTGACAAAAAACCGTGAGGGTGGCGCAGAACGGGCAAGAGACTACAGCGCCTACCTGGCAGGGGCGCGAGCTCACACGCCGACTCCTGGAGTCCCAGCCAGGGCTGCCCTGAGCTGGGCGCGCCCAGGCGAGCTCCACCTCCGGAGGCGGGGCCGGCCGCGCGGCCATTGGTCGGCGCCCTGGAGCCACCTGCCCCTACCTTGGGGGCGGGGTTACCTGGGCCCCGCCCCGCGGCTCGGGTTCCGGGGCCGCGTCCCTGTCCTCCGCCCCCGCCCCCGCCCCGCCCCGGCGCGAGGCCCCGCCCCCGAGTCCCGGGGCCCAGGCGCCTCGTGATGTCACCGCAGCTTGATACAAAGAGCCCTTCGGCCCACGCGGGTCTCCCGGCAACGGGCGGGGGCGGGGCCGCGCCTTCCACTGGTGCCCAGAAGTGCGAGCGGCAGCGGCGCGGCCGCGATTGTTCCTGCGCTTCGGGGCTGCCCGCCGCGTCCCCGCGCGCCGCCGACCCGCGCCCGCTGGCTTCCGCGCCTCTGCCGGGGAGCGGCCCGCGGATGCGCACCCCGCCAGCTCTCGGGAGCCAGGTAAGCGGCGGCCCCGGGGCTGGCGCTCGCAGGGCTCCGGCGGCGCGCACCTGGCTCGGCCCGGCCCGCGGCCCCGGGAAGTTGGCGGAGAGCGGACTTGGCCTGGGAGGTCGTGTTACCTGAGCCATCTCGTTCGGCCGCGAGTAGAAGCCGCTGCCAGGTGCGCGGGTGGCGGCTCCTTCCCCAGCGCAGTTCCAGGAAGTGCTTTTAGTGGACTAGGAAGGGGGCTCGTCTGCTGGGGCGCCTCCCTGGGGACCCGACGGCGGGCCCCACCTCCGGCCGCAGCGCCCCTGCCCTCCTGCCCTTGCGGGATCGGCGTGGTACCCAGCGCCGTACCCTTGGGCCGGGTCCCCGAGGGGGCTGAGCGCCGCGAAGTTTTTCTGTAGCTCTTGGCGGCTGCACAGAGCCTGTTTCCTGGCTTCCCCCGTCCCTCTGGGATGGTGGAGGTGGGGAGTCCTCGGGGCCAGCCCAGGTCGTGGTGTGGGGCCGGGGCCCTGCCTCTCCCCAGCCGAGAAGCTGCAGTGGTGGGAGGTGTGTTGTGGCCCTTGAGGCGGCCGGTCTGGCCCGGTGGTGGGAGCTGTTGGCACAGCCGCTTCTCTGTGCGGGCGACAAGTGTCTCCAAGGTCCTGGCGGCGCAGTCTCTGGAGAGCGTGTCTGTGCTGTGGGGAACTGGGTTCCGACACAGCCCCGCACCCTACTCCTCGCCCATGCAAACTCTCCAGTGCCTTCTCTTTCCCTTTTCCCTCACCCTGCTCTCCCACAGAGGGCTGGAAATGACACCTCACTCGCCCCGAGGGCCATGCCAGTTTTCCTTGACTGACCGATTTTCTCAAAGCAATGTGAGAGGTCTGGGTCCTGTCTCTGCACTTAGCCTCCACCAGGTCTTGGAGTGGCAGCACCCTGGGCTGGTTCCTGGTGATCCACCAAACTTCTGCCCTGCCCTGCCAGAGCAGGAGGCAGGTGGCATTGGCTTGGGCTTCTGGGACGCTGAAAAGCAATGGGGCAGGCACATTCCTTAGAACATCCCCAGGTCCTGGCCCAGCTGAAAGGTGGTTACAGTGGTTGCTGGGATGGGAAAAAGGAGACTCAAAGGGGTCGGAGGCAGTACTAATTGTGTGCCACTAGACCTCTGCAATGGGAGCGCTCTCACTCCCCCCCATATCCTCCCCCCACCAACTAGCCTTGCGTTGGTGGAGTGCCTGAGTCGCTGCCTTTGACTGGGGTCTCCCCCAGGTGCTGGCACCCTGGCACTGGCCCAAACCTTACCCTGCTTTCTGGCTTTCGGGGACTGTTGATTATGTTCCCAGGGAACATTACACACGGGACACTTCCCTGCCTTCAAGGTGTTTGCAAGCTCAGGCAGTCTGAATACTGGGTCTGCTCTGGGCCTGCCCAGCTCTTCTAAGTTGATTGCAAGTTGCCTGCAGTTGTCTTTGAGGTCCCTGTCACTTCACAGGGGAGAGTGTCGCCTGGCGGGGTGAGGGAAGCCGCTAGGGTTCTTCACTGCAGAAGGCAGCACCCCTTGGGCAAATGCGTAGTGGAGAACAGCTTCGGAATTTGAAGGGGGGGCCTGGACTTAGGCGAAGGGGGTGGAGTAAATGACTAAGGCCAGTAGAAGAGATAAGACTGGGCCGGAGGCGAGGGGCGGGACTAGCCAGGCCAGGTGAGCCAGCTGGAAGGCATGACCTTTGCCCTAAGGGAGGTCTGTAGGAGAGACTGCCTGGAGCCTGCCCTCGGAAGGGACTTTTAGGCAAGTGGGGGAGGAAAAGCAGAAGAAATTAGAGGGCCCATTGGGTTCTAAGCCACCTCCTTTGGGGTTCCAGGGGCAGCCTGCACTCGGAAGGCTCTGGGCTGCAGCTTGAGATACTCCACCGGCCCTCACTCTCCCTCCCGACCATCTGTGCCACTTCTAAAGCATGCTAGTGCCTTCCTAGCCCCTTCCCCTCCTGGTAGGCAGGCTGCTTCAGACCCAAGGTTTTCTCTTTGGCCGTTCACCTGGGGCCCTTGCAACTCCCTCCTTCATCTGTACCCGTAGGTATCTGGCAGTCCCCGATCTGGGCAGCCCGTTATGCTGAGGTTTTTCACAACTGATTCTGTTCTGAGGAGACTTCGCAATTTCACTTTATATGTTTTAGGTATGGGTAAGGAGGGGGTGAAGGGGGTAGGAGAGGCTCCCAATGAAATAGCAGGTGAGCAGTTCCCAGAAGGCAGGCATCTCCGAATGAGAAAGGGCATGCTGTTTCCTGGCACAGGGCTCATTGTGTTTGAAAAGGAAGCATCTTTTTTTTTTTTAATTGAGTTGAGACAGGGTCTTGCTCTATGGCCCAAGCTGGAGTCAAGTGGTGTGATCAGGGCTCACTGCAGCCTCCCACCCTCCCAGGCTCAAGCAATCTTCCCACCTCAGTCTCAGCTGGGACTACAGGTGTGTGCCACCCTGCATCTGGCTAATTTTTGTTTTTGTTTTTGTAGAGATGGGGTTTTGCCATGTTGTCCAGGCTGGTCTTAAACTCCTGGGCTCAAGGGTTCTGCCTGCCTCACCTTCCCAAAGCGCTGGGACTACAGGCATGAGCCACCACACCCAGCTGAAGCATCTTTATCTGTTCGTGCCTGCTGTCTGGTGTTAGCAGTGGGGCACAGTGCCCTGGCCTTGCCAGGCATACAGAACCCCTGGGGCTGGACTCTGTCTTCCTCTGGGTCAGCTCTGCTGGCTCTTGACTCAGGAACTGGGCACCTATGGCTTCAAACACTGGCCTCGAAGATCAATGCCCAGTTACTTCATCTCAGGTCTCATGGCTGGATTATTGGGTGGTCCCATCCATACCAATTAGGCACCACAAGACAGGCCTGCCTATTTGGCAGTCCCACCTGGTGCCTTACTGGATGTCGTACGATCTTTGCCCCTGAATGGTACCACAGTCTCCCTCACCAGGAGGCGTTTCAGGACACGGAGGCTTCCCCATTTCTGTTTGCTCAGCCCCCAGCACATTTCCCAGTACAGGGCAAGTGGTACTGAATTCATTCACCAGATTCTTCGTTGCCTACTTTGTGCCAGATTCTGTGCTGGGCACTGGAGATACAGCAGTGAACAAAACAGACGAGAACCCCTGCCTTCAAGGAGCTCGCAGGATGGTAGTGAGGCAGGTAGAGCAGTAAAACACGGAGTATGGGAGTTGGCAGGAGGAAGAGCAGGGAAGGGGAGGGAGTGCTGGGTTTCAGAGTCAGACAGGGAAGTCCTCACTGAGAAGGTGACATCCAAACGAAAGAGGTTCAGGCAGAGAAAAGAGGAACTGCAAGGGCCCTGAGGTGGGACGGTGGCTGGCATGCTATGTCTGTCCACAGAACTACAAGACAGGATGTGATTGGAGAGCAAGCCAGGGCTGGGGGGACAGGGGACAAGCTCAGAGAGATGGGGGACCACCCAATGCTGTGACAACCCAGAATCCCAGGAGGAGGAGGAGAGGGGACTGACAGTACAAGTGAGACTAGAAATCCACAGGCACGAGCTGCCTTCCATTGCTCTGCCCTTCTCAGAGCCTCCGCGTCGAGGGGATTTGGGCATTGAGGCATTTCTGGAGGACAGGCTTCTGTGGCCACTGCTGCCACAGACTTCCCTGCCCTCAGCTTGAG
Source organism: Homo sapiens (assembly GCF_000001405.40). Lineage (NCBI taxonomy): Eukaryota > Metazoa > Chordata > Mammalia > Primates > Hominidae > Homo > Homo sapiens. Next base: position 31,491,900 of record NC_000017.11, read on the forward strand.
TTGGGTCAGACGAGCCTGTCCATGTGAACGTGGAAACATTTCCTGCCAGACTATGCTGTTGCCACCACACGAATCAAACCAGCAAAGGGCACGCCGGCGATGTGCATACAGCTGTGTCTCTGACAGCTGCCTGGGCCTGCCTGCTGTTCCCACGGGTCAGCTCCTGTCGGGTAGGGACAGGTCCTGCTCTCAAGGCTCATAAAGCAGCCAGCAGCCTGCCCGTGTTTTCCGTACTCTGGCCTGTGTCACCCAGGCTGTCTCCTCATCTCTTGTCTGATCCTCAAGGGTTCCCTGGCCTCCCTCTTCACTCCCTCTGCCTGTGGCAGGCAGCAGCACAGTTCTATGGGGTCCTAAGGACCCCAGGGAGTCACTCCCACATTTGAGCAGCAACTTTGGGTTTAGTCTGTCCAGGTTAGGGCCCCAGATCATATATATGTGTGTACACACACGTGTGTTTGCGTGTCATGCGGCATTCGGATGGGGCATCCTGTTCATCCACCCCCCTGCTATGGGGTGGCTGAAGGTTGGGGTGCCCTCTGAGTTTTTGGTGGGTGGGGCTTCAGCAGGGTGTCTTGGCTACCTCTCCTGGCCAGCACATGTTATCCTGGGAGGATTTGTAGCTTTGGGCCTGACCACGGTTCCAAGCACCATGATCTGGAGCCCACACTGGGTGGCAGGCTGCAGAGAAGGTGCCCCCAGAAGCCTGGACTGCACCCTTATCTGTTTTCATTTGGAGCTATTTTCTCATTATCTCATGCCAAGTGTCTGACTACACATGGCAGTCCTTCCCCAAGTGTTTGCAGCTTCATCATAATACTGTTAATTGAATGGAATTTGTCATTGGCCAGCTTCTGTGGACCCCATTCAAGGCTGAGTGGATGCTGGGGGCGCCCAGCTGGCCTTGCTCAGAGGGGTCCCGAGCGTCTTGGTGCTTCAGGAGCTGAGCCCCCCTCAAGAGCATTGATGACAAGAGCTCAGATTCTCAGAACCCCCCTGAGCACCCAGACAACCTTGGTGGTTACTTCTTCACTTTTTCGCATGACCTGGAAAGGAGATGAGACGGGGAGGAGAACATAGGCAACCAGAAGGACGTGCAGCCTACAAGGGTCGTATGAAGGTCAGAGGGGTGGCTGTGATGGCCCAGAGCTGTGGGGTCTGAGTGACCTCCAGCCCAGAACCGCCCAGCAGGCCAGTGCTAGTCATGCCAGCACTTCCAAACCCACTTCTTGACTGACCTTAAGAAATGGGAAGTTTTCCAACTGTTGGTCACATTTTTAATTGATCTAACCTGCTTCATCTTCCCAGACAAGTGGGTTCTTTCCCAACAATGTAAACATTAATTCAGATGAAAACAAAGCTCTGTAGAAGTTATTAATATCTGTGGCTCTGCTCATGGGAGCCTTTCTCTTTTGAGGTACCAGAAAGAGGAAGGCCTAAACAGAACTGGAGTGTGGGAGAGTGGGCGGGCTCTCTCTCTTTAGTCATCTGTGGTCACCCCCCACCCCCCTGCGCTGTGCAAGCCTGATACCATGGAAAGGGAACCCACATTTCAAATAGCTGCTGCTGCTCCGGTGAACTTGGGGTAAGGGAGCTGAGGGGTGTCTACCCTCTGCACCAGACTCAAGTCTCCCTCCTAGAATAGGAGCGAGAATAGCAGCAAGTCCCTGCCCCCTGCTCCCTCGTTTTCCTGGAAGAAATGCCTACCTAAGACACAGACACCTGCATCCCACGCTTTGTCACCCAATGCCTGTTTCCTTAAGGAGAAAAAATGGGCGCCAGAAAACTTCTAGGTCTAGATCCTGGCTCTGTTGCTCGCTAGTTGTGGAACTTTGGACAGGCGACCTCACCCTTCTGATTTCACTTTCCCTGGCCTCACTCTTCACTCCCTCTGCCTGTGGGCAGGCAGCAGCATGGTTCTGTGGGGTCCTAAGGACCCCAGGGAGTCACTCCCACATTTGGGCAGCAGCTTTGGGTTTAGTCTGTCCAGTTTAGGGCCCCAGATCGTATATGTGTGTGTGCACACACGTGTGTGTTTGCGTGTCAGGCAGCATTCAGATGGGGCATCCTGTTCATCCACCCCCCTGCTTTGGGGTGGCTGAGGGTTGGGGTGCCCAACAGGTAGAATGGGGTTGATAATAGCACCTGCCTCGCAGGGTGATGGTGAAAATAAAATGAGCCATGGTGATTTAAGATGCCCAGTCTAGGTTCTGGCCTTTACTTAGTTGACACTCGTGGACGGTTAGATGGTTAGAGAGGCAGGCCAGTTTAGTACCAAAATGCCTTCAGAGTCAGGCTGTCTCTGGGTTCAGATCCTGGCTCTGCCCCTTGCTATTGGTGGAATCTTAGACAAGTTATTTAATTTCTCTGTGCCTCAGCTTCCCCACCTGTAAAACGAGGATGAGGCTAGTACCTCCCTCACAGGGTTCGTGGTAAGAGGATGAGGCTAGTACCTCCCTCACAGGGTTCGTGGTAAGGCTCAAATATGTAAATGTATGAAAAGCACTTAAAACTGTGCTTTGGGGTGAGCTGTTATTCTTAGTTCCTGCAGGCTTCAGCTGGTTTGATTGTTGTGACTAATAACCTTCGCACCTAACAGAATGTCTTGCCGGGGAGTGTCATGGCCCAAACAGGAAGGTGGCAGCGGAAAAACTCCATTACTCAAGGGCCTTTGCAAGAGAAGCAAAACTCTACTTCCTCAGCTTCTGTGGGTTTTTAAATCTTTTTTTTCAATTTTAATTTTAATTTTTTTAAAAAAAAAGTAGAAATGAGGTGTTACTATGTTACCCAGGCTGATCTCGAATTCCTGCCCTCAGGTGATCCTCCCACCGCGGCCCCCCAAAGTGCTGGGATTACAGGCATGAGCCTCTGCACCCAGCCAGCTTCTGTGTTTTTAACAAACCTTGCTCGGGCTCTGCAGATACAGATTCTGGGTCTGGGGTGAAGTGACTAGCATTTGTGTGGCAGTCTGTGAATGAGATGTCAAGCAGCTTCCGAGGTAACAGACTTCTCCCCAGGTTCAGTGAGGGAGACTGTACCTAGCCTGTCCTTCCAGAGGCTGCTCACACTGCCAGGCTGTGGCTGGCCTGCCAAGGGGAGGATGGCCCTCCACACCTCGGCCCACCTGCCCTTCACCTCCAGCCAGGGCCTGCCTGTCCATCCACCTGTGCCTAGCTGGAAAAGCTGGCTTGGAGCAGTGCTGCCCATCTGCCACTGCCAGCCCCCAGCATCTGCCTTATTAAAATGCTGAGGCTCTGGCTGGCCACAAGCCCCAGGAGATTTGGAGAAAAGCCAGACAAAAAGGTGCAGGCTGTGCCACCGCCCAGCCACACTGGGTGACTGCCCTTGGTAGTTAACCACAGAGTCATCCAGCTTGGCTGCCCAGAGGTCTATAGCTCCACTCAGGCGAAGCTGGCTAGCCTGGCCTAGCCTGGCTGGTTAGGTGGGCAGGACAGCCTCCACTTGACTGATTTTTTTTTTTTTTTTTTTTTTTTTTGAGACAGGGTTTCGCATTTCTGCCCAGGCTAGAGTGCAGCGATACAATCTTGGCTCACTGTAGCCTCGACCTCCTGGGCTCAAGTGATCCTCCCACCTCAGCTGCCTGAGTAGCTGGGTGCACCACCACTCCCGGCTATTTATTCATTTGGTAGAGATGAGGTCTCACTATGTCACCCATGCTGGTCTCAAACTTCTAGGCGCAAGCAATCCTTCCACCTTGGCCTCCCAAAGTGCTGGAATTACAGGCATGAGCCACCATGCTTGACTCGTCTGACTGATGTTAGGCAACCTTGAATTGATGGTCTCCTGGTGAAATGAGGGTTCTTGTTGACAAGGCAGGTCTGGCCAACACATTTTTGTATGATTATCTGCACGATTGCATCAGTTATTAGCAAAGAAGGATTTTATAGCAGCAGGTGTGTGCTCATGTGCTTGTGTGGAGTTGTTGACTGCCCTTCACTGCACACACACAGTCTGCGGAACTGTGACTGAATCCCTGTTCCCTACTCACACTTACATGGTATTTTCTGGGATTCTAAGGCACATTCTTTTTTTCCTTTCCTTTTTTTCCATTTAACATCTTAAATTGGAATGTGTCGCACATTTGCGGATTATTATAATTTGACAGCGCCTTTTTCTTGGCATACTTGAAATAACGGTGCATTGTAAAATCAGAGGTGTCTCAGATTTAATGAAATAGAAACTAGGTAACCTCTGGGGAACTTATATAATTTGTCCAGTTCCTCCAAGGATGCAGGTGGAGCCACCTTGTAGTGGTGGCAGATTATATGAGGGGACCCTGATGTGGTTCAAGGGGACAACCTTGGATTGGGCTTAGATTCCAGCTTTATGGCTCGCCAGCTGTGTGGCCTTGGCAAAGTAGAGCGACCTCTCTGAGCCTCGGGATTTTCCTCCCACCACATATGAATCGTGGCTCCACAGTTGTCATGGCTGTGTGCAAGGCAACATTCCCTGTTTCTCTTGCTGGGTATCATCTAAGGTCTGCCCCGTTCCATCTGGGTTAAGAGGGAAAATGAGGGCTGGGAGTGGGTCACTGGCCTTCCCAAGGGAGCAGAGGGAAACTGGTGTTCCAAGGGCTTCTTGACTCAGTTTATAATCCTTGGACATTACTCTTCTTCCCTCGTCCTTCTCCCCCTTTGCCTGAGTTTTCATTTTCACATGTGTTTCCTTTTAGCAATTTTCTTTCAAATCTCTCCTCTCCCTTTCTGTAAAGTCTTCCCACATGTAGCCTCTTTGAAGCTCCCTGGGGTGGGAAAGGGGAGGAGGGCTCTGCCTGATGGCCTGGATGGCACAGACCTCAGAAGCCCAGTGTGCTGTGGTCCCTGCAAGCTTCAGCTCAAGTCCAAGTTCTGGTACCATCAGCGTTGCTAACTGCCATTCCTGTGGCTGCAGGGTCAGCCTGAGTCCACTCCAGTGCACAGTGTTGTCCATGGGGTGCTGGATGTCGCATCGCTGAGAGCATTTGGTATTCTCTGTACCCTCCTTGCTGCGTTAAAATCAGACCTGGTTCAAATCCCAGCCCTGCGACCTTTCACGAATTACTTAACCTCCTTGAACCTGTGTATTCTCATCTAAATAGTGGCTGATGCACAGAAATACCTGGCACACAATAGGTGCTTAGCAGATGCGTGCTTTCCTTGTTCTCAAATGTTTAAGACCCCTTTGTGGACAGGCACGATGGTTCATGCCTGTAATCCCAGCACTTTGGGAGGCCAACGCGGGCGGATCACCTGAGGTCAAGAGTTCGAGACCAGCCTGACCAACATGGTGAAACCCCATCTCTACTGAAAATACAAAAATCAGCCCGGCGTGGTGGCAGGCGCCTGTAATCCCAGCTACCTAGGAGGCTGAGGCAGGAGAATCGCTGGAACCCGGAAGGCAGAGCCTGCAGTGAGCCGAGATCATGCCACTGCACTCCAGCCTGGGCGACAGAGCGATACTCCATCTCAAAAACAAAACAAAAAAAAAACTGCTTTGTGCTTGTTTAGGTGTTAAGGATCTCGGGGAGTGCCAGCCAGTGGCACTGCTCCTGAGACAGACGGAGGAGTTCTGGGCAGGGGGCAGTGGCAAAGGCACAGGGGCCTGTGTGAGCAGGATGTGTCAGGGGCCCCGTCCTTCAGGATGGCTGGGCTGCAGTGGGGTGAGGCAGGACGGAGAGAGAGGAGGAAGAGTGGTGGGGTGGGCACCCAGTCGGCACCTACAGGGGTGCACATGACAAGGCTGCACAGGGTCTGGCTGGAGCAGTACAGAGGGTTAGGTGTGGGCTGTTCATGGAAGTCGGGGCTGAGTTGGGGAGGCACCAGGAGACAGCCACATGGGGATGTCTGGGTGACAGTGGCCCCCAAGCAGGGGCTGAGTGTGCGCTGCTGGCTAGAGGGAGGCTTTAAGAGCAGGTGATGGTTTTAAACCTTGTTTTCCTTGGAGATCTTCTCTCTGCCCCCTCCCTCTTGAGATTCCAATGAAAGCCAGTAGCCCAACCTCCTCAGTTTTGTGTGTAGTGTCAGAGATTCGAAGCCCCCTCTTTGATGAGGTGGTGCTTATGCCCCCTGTGCATAAGAAGCAGCATGTGCTGAGGCATTGGGGTGGGTAAAGGTGCCCAGGAGCCTGGGGTACTAGGGAAGGGGAGAGGCAGAGCATGTCCTGAGGCTGAGACCTGCTGGAAGGGGCTTTGCGAGCTGCTCTCAGGAGCTGGGCCTGGTTCTGTGGGCAGTGGGGAGCTCACAAGCTCTTAGAGGGGGTTCCCAATGGACTCCCTGGGAGGGAGAGTCTCCACCCCATGAGCCCCTAATGCCCTCTCACCTGTCCCCACTGCGAGAAAGCCTGCCCTGGCCGGAGGCCCTAAGCTGAGCTCTGGCCAGCTATGCTTGAGTGACACCCCCCAACCCCCCATGCAAGACAGCAGCTTCTGGAACACGAAGCTTGGGTAGCTGGGTCTAGCAAAGGCCACAGGACAAAGAGAGACACCTGAACTGAGCTTGCTGGGAAGACCATGGGGGCTATGTGCTGATGGGAGGTACCAGAAGATGGGGCAGGGAGGAGGAGAGGGTTATAAAAACCAAGGGCTCTGGCAGGAGGCCCTGCAGGGTTGGGAGGAGGAGAGTCACCCTGCTGACCCTGACCTGCCTGCTCCAGAAGGGCGGGTCACGTGGAGCCTTGGCCATTGGCTGTGGGTAAACATCGGTGCTCTGCTGGCTGTTCAAGGCCTGAGGGTTCTGTGGCAGAGGAGGAGCTGGGTGGGAACCCACCCTGGCTTTGGACCGTGGGTCAGCTCCATCCAGGCATGCTCTCCTTGAGTTGGATAGTGGCCTCTCTCTGGAAAGTTCCATGTCACCTCTTTGGAGGGTGCTCCCCTGAAAATGTAGCCTGACCTACCCGGTGGACTCTACGAGAAGAAAGAGCTGGCCTGAGCCACTGTTTTCCCTCCCAAACCTTCACTTTGAGTGAAGTGTTTTTATCATCGCTCCTCTTATCATGATGGTAAAGTATGGAGCCCCCAAAGCAAGCCCCACAGACTCTTGGTTGTGTGAGTAATTAAGCCCTCTCTTCAAAAAGCCACATCTTGAAAAGCTATAATTTGTAGCAAAAAATAGCTGCCCGTTCCAAGAACCAGGAGAGCCCTTTATACGCACCCCATTCAACTGCAGCACGTTACTTCGCTTTTGAGTTGAGTTGCTGGGACCTCTGGTCCATGCTTTTCTTGGGGGAACCAGAGATGCAGTGGCTGCATGGGAACTGGAGCTTCCGGTAGGCATTTGGGAAATCTTTTCTGAGAATTTAGATGGGACGATTTAAATTAGGGAACTCCTGATTTGGGTTTGCATGGCCCCAACTTTTTGTGTGACTCCAAAGGGGAGTAAAGAGAAAAACTGCAGGATACTTCAGGGGAAAGTGGATGAGACTCTCTGGACACCATTCCCCCACTTTTTCTTTTCCTTCTTCCTTTCTTTCTTCTTTTTTTTTAGATAGAGTTTCACTCTGTCGCCAGGCTGGAGTACAGTGGCACAGTCTCAGCTCACTGCAACCTCCTACTCCCTGGTTCAAGCGATTCTCCTGCCTCCGCCTCCCGAGTAGCTGGGATTACAGGCACGTGCCACCGTGTCCAGCTAATTTTTGTATTTTTTAGTAGAGATGGGGTTTCACCATGTTGACCAGGATGGTCTCAATCTCCTGACCTCGTGATCCGCCCGTCTCGGCCTCCCAAAGTGCTGGGATTACAGGCATGAGCCACCGCACCTGGCCACATTTCCCCATCTATAAGGAGGAAAATGATAATTACTTGCAGGGAGTTTACCACCTCTGTAAAGCACAGAGCAGACTGGCCACATGGTAGGCGCCCTAGTATGTCAACTTTGTTCTCTTTCTCTGAGTTGTGGCTCCACTAGCTATTTGTAGACAGGAGATCTTTGTGGCTTCAGGTAGGTGATGGGGGACTGAAAGCTAAGAGGAAAAGCCTCCCCTGACCTGCAGCTTCTCTTTGAGCTGGCATGCCTGGAATTCTTGGGGCTGGCTGCTGGGTTTGTTTTCCAGATGTGGAAGCAATTTAAGTTCTGTTTTCTTAATCCCCAACAGTTTGCCTCCGAAGTCCACATTCTCATTTGAAAATCAAGGCCGTTGGCTCTGTTTGCAGGGCAGAGGGTAGGCTAGATAGCCTCTTCAAACCCTTTTTGTTTAGGAAATGGGCTTACTGGGGCACTCAGATCTGGGACCCAGGGCATTCTTGGGACAGTCACACCCCATCCAGGACTTGGTTAAAAGGTGAGTTCACTTTCTCTGTGGGTTTTCCTTGGAGATGATTCACTGAGCTAAATTCAGCTGCACCTTGGTTACAAACCAGCTCTAGACCGCTGTGGAGTGGCGGGGGTGGGGCTCGGGTTTGGGCCATGTCACAGGCCAGCTGGCGTCCCTCTGAGCAGGGTGCCCACGTGTCCCGGGGGCAGTAGCGGCCCTCCTTCCCACACTGACCACAACAGAGGGAGGAAAATGCTCCAGATGTCAGGTAGCCAGAAATACTGTCTGGCACGGAGAAACTGGTAATATCTTGTTCAGTTACTGAGCGCTGCTGGTCACAGAGGCAGCCTGACCCAGGATAAAAGGCTCCTTGTGTGAGGGCCTGTGGCTCCAGGGCTAACTGCTGATTTATTCTCTTGTAAAGCAATCGCTGTGTAGGTAAAATACCTTTTACATTTGTCTTATAACTATACTAAATACAGTTTTGGGCAAACAAAAATTGCCTTTGCAATTCTAACGTCTCTGAACTGTGCATATGCTTCTCTGAAATTGAAATAGAATACTTATACTACTGAGAGAATGCACAAGAAAATGGAAGTGGCTGGGCATGGTGGCTCATGCCTGTAATCCCAGCACTTTGGGAGGCTGAGGCGGGCAGATCACGAGGTCAAGAGATCGAGACCATCCTGGCCAACATGGTGAAACCCCGTCTCTACTAAAAATACAAAAATTAGCTGGGTGTGATGGCACGCGCCTGTAGTCCCAGCTACTCAGGAGGCTGAGGCAGGAGAGTCGCTTGAACTCGGGAGGCAGAGGTTGCAATGAGCCGAGATCGTGCCACTGCACTCCAGCCTGGTGACAGAGTGAGACTCCATCTCAAAAAAAAAAAAAAGAAAATGGAAATAACTTACTTAGATTGGCATATAGTGTTTATAGAATGCCATCCTGATAATCATAGATTCACCAAGCTTTGATTTCAACAAAATATCATCTCTTAAGAAGTAGCAGTATTTCAAACTAATCGTGAAAGAGAATAAGAGAATACAACTTTTTTTTTTTTTTAGGACAGACCAAAAATAAATCCCTGAGTCTCTTGAGTAGGTTCTGGAAATCCAGTTACAGATGCTCCTTGATGGGGTTACGTCCTGATAAACCCATTGTATATTGGAAGTATCATAAGTTAAAAAAAAAAAAAGAAAAAAATGCGTTTAATACATCTCACCTACCAAACACCATAGCTTAGCCTAGGCTACCTTAAATGTGCCCAAACACTTACTTTAGCCTACAGTTGGGCAAAATCATCTAACACAGAGCTTGTTTTACAATAAAGTGTTTTATGTCCCACGCAATTTATTTTTTGTTGTTGTTGTTTTGTTTGATTTGGTTTGGTTTGGTTTTTCTTTGAGATGGAGTCTGGCTCTGTTGCCCAGGATGGAGTGCAGTGGCGCGATCTCGGCTCACTGCAAGCTCCGCCTTCCGGGTTCACGCCATTCTCCTGCCTCAGCCTCCCAAGTAGCTGGGACTACAGGCGCCCGCCACCACGCCCAGCTAATTTTTTGTATTTTTAGTAGAGATGGGGTTTCACCATGGTCTCAATCTCCTGACCTCGTGATCCGCCCGCCTCGGCCTCCCAAAGTGCTGGGTGTAATCCACCGCACCCAGCCCATCCCACGCAATTTATTAAGTACTATGCTGAAAGTGAAAGACAATGCTCTTATGGGTACTTGAAGTATGACTTCTACTGACTGTGGATCACTTTGCACCATCATACAGTTGAAAAATCAAAGTGAGCCCGGGCATAGTGGCTCACGGTGGCCTGTAATCCCAGCACGTTGGGAGGCCAAGGTGGCTGGCTGCATCACTTGAGGCCAGGAGTTTGAGACTAGCCTGGACAACATGCCAAAACCCCATCTGTACTGAAAATACAAAAATTAGCCAGGCGTGGTGGTGGGCACCTGTAATCCCAGCTATTTGGGAGGCTGAGGCAGGAGAATCACTTGAACCCAGGAGGGGGGTGTTGCAGTGAGCTGAGATGGTGCCATCGCACTCTGGCCTGGTTGACAGAGCGATACCTTGTCTCAAAAAAAAAAAAAATTGTAAGTCAAACCATTGTAAGTTGAGGACCATCTGTAGTTCTCTTTAAAGGTTGAATTGGCTGGGCGAGGTGGCTCACACCTGTAATCCTAGCACTTTGGGAAGCTGAGGTAGGTAGATCACTTGAGGTCAGGAGTTCAAGACCAGCCTGGCCAATATGGTGAAACCCCATCTCTACTAAAAATACAAAAATTAGCTGGGCGTGCTGGTGGGCACCTGTAATCCCAGCTACTTGGGAGGCTGAGGCAGGAGAATTGCTTGAACCCAAGAGACAGAGGTTGCAGTGAGCTGAGATTGTGCCACTGTACTCCAGCCTGGGTGACAGAGCAAGACTGTATCTCAAAAAATAAAAAAATAAAGGTTGAATTGAATTGACCTTTAAAAAGTTCTCTTTTGTTATCAGGGTGAGAAGGTGGGCGAAAAATCCAGACTGAGCTTGGGTTGGGGTTTCCATGAAGCCTTCCTAGGGGAGGAGAAGGGATATTGGTATATTGGTCTATTGGTCTGCTACGGCTGTCATAGCAAAGGACCACAGACTGCGTGGCGTAAACAACCAAAGTGTGTTTTATCACAATTCTGGAGGCTGAAGTCTAGCATCAAGGTGTCAGCAGGCTTGGTTTCTTCTGAGTCCTCTCTCCTTGGCTTGCAGACAGCCATCTTCTCCCTGTGTCGTCACATGGTCTTTCCTTTGCGTGTGTCCTAATCTCCTCTTATAAGGACACCAGTCACATTGCGTTAGGGCCCACCCATTAGGACTTCAATTTAAATGAATTACCTCTTTATTATTATTATTATTATTTTGTTGTTTGTTTTAAGACAGAGTCTTGCTCTGTTGCCCAGGCTGGAGTGCAGTGGCACTATCTCGGCTCACTGCAACCTCCACCTCCCAGGTTCAAGTGATTCTCCTGCCTCAGCCTCCCGAGTAGCTGGGACTACAGGCATGTGCCACCACGCCTGGCTAATTTTTGTATTTTTAGTAGAGACTGGATTTCAACATGTTGGCCAGGCTAGTCTCGAACTCCTGACCTCAAGTGATCCACCCACCTCGACCTCCCAAAGTGCTGGGATTGTAGGTGTGAGCCTGCAGTTCAGCCCGGCCTGAATTACCTCTTTAAAGACTATCTACAAATACAGTCACATTCTGAAGTACTAGGGATTAGGACTTCAATATATGAATTTTAGAGGGAACAGGATTCAGCCCATAGCAGAAAAGGGTCTTGGGAACCTCCTTCAAGGGAAGGGGGAAGAGGAAGAGGAGGGTGGGCAAAGCCTGGCAGAGTAGAGGGGAGGCAGTTCTGCTTTCAGGCAAAGGCCCATGGGTGAGGGACCCCCTGGGGATGGCTCTTGACCACCTGCTCTATTTGGAAACATTTCTAGGACTGTTATGACTGTGAATGGTCTTTTAGAGGCCGGATCATTCTTATGACCTCAGCCATCCATTGCCGCTTGATCTGATCATTTGAAACCAAGACTGCTCGTCGTTCTGTTCTCATTTCATCCTTGAAGCTCATGTTGGTCTGTTCGGGCTCCAGTTTCTGTGGACTCTACCCGCTAGGATAGTATTCTTTCAGGATGGCTTCACTTTTTCATATTCTTTTAAGTAGAGCCAGACCTGTCAGGAAAAAGCGAATAAACCGATCAAAAAATCAGCAAAAGATCCGAATAGACATTTCTGTTATATGTAATTTATATAAATGGAAAACAGGCATATGAAAGGTGCTCAACATCATTGATCATCAGAGAAATGCAAATGAAAACTATAATGAGATATCATCCCATCCTAGTTAAAATACCTTTTATCCAAAAGACAGGCAATAACACTTTTCCTTCACTAGTTCAGCAAATTTGGGGCAGGCTATTTTTTCATGTTTCCATATAATGTTTACTACTACTTCTTTTTTTTTTTTTTTTGAGACATTGTCTCGCTCTGTCACCCAGGCTGGAGTGCAGTGGCGCGACCTCGGCTCACTGCAAGCTCTGCCTCCTGGGTTCACGCCATTCCCCTGCCACAGCCTCCCGAGTAGCTGGAACTACAGGCACCCACCACCACGCCCGGCTAATTTTTTTGTATTTTTAGTAGAGATGGGGTTTCACTGTGTTAGCCAGGATGGTCTTGAACTCCTGACCTCATGATCCGCTTGCCTCGGCCTCTCAAAGTGCTGGGATTACAGGTGCCCGCCACCACGCCCGGCTAATTTTTTTGTATTTTTGGTAGAGACAGGGTTTCGCCATGTTGGCCAGGATGGTCTTGAACTCCTGACCTCATGATAAGCGCTCGCCTCGGTCTCCCAAAGTGCTGGGATTACAGGCGTGAGCCACCGTGCCTGTCCTGTAACTTTCAAATGAACCAAGTTTCTTTTCAAATGAGCCATTTGAAAAGAAATTAGACTAAATATTATCAAAACTAAGGACATTTTCCTTCACAACTATATGCCATTAACACACCTGACAAAATTAAGCATAATTCCCTAATATCACCCAATATCTACTCCAGATTCCATCCTCCTTGTTTATCCTCAAAAGGTCTTTTACAGCTGGTGGTGGTTTGTTTGTTTGATCTGGGATCTAATCAAGGATAATATTCGGTTTCTATGTCTCTCAGTTAATCTAGAACAGTGGTTTGCAAAGTGTGGTCCTGGGACAAGTGGCATCCGCATCACCCGAGAACTTGTTAGAAATGCGTTTTCTTCCAGCCTGCCTCAACCTTTAGAAATGCATCTTCCCTGTGGTGATGTGTAACTTCTATCCCATTTTTCCGTTTGGTAGAAGTTAGATCCTAAGGCTTGATTTGAATTGAGTTAAATACTTAGTTAAGCCCACACTATAGGTGATGCTGTGTACCTCTTAGGCATCGCGTTGGGAGGCCAGCGCCTGGTTCTTTCCAATTAGTGATGCTAAATTTGATCTCTGCATTAAAGGGACAGTAGTCTGTGTTCTCCCTGGTAGAGGTATGTGGGGTGCTTTGGTGTTTTGCAGCAATCTGTAGGGTGATTCTTCGGTATTGTGCAAGTATCTAGTTTTTCATTAGCCTTTAATCTACTGGTGTTATTCTGCAGTTGTTGAGTGTAGTGTTCTGTATGTATCAGTCTGGAGTTTGTGTTGTTCTGGTCTTCTGTGTCCTCTCTAATTCTCTTGTTTGCTTATTCCATCAGTAATAATAATAATATATAATAATTATTATATATTAATATATAATTATTATATAATATATAATAATTATTATAACATATAATAATAATTATAATATATAATATATAATTATTATATTATATATAATAATTATATATTATATATAATTATTATATATTATATATAATAATAATTATAATATATAATAATATATAATAATAATTATATATTATATAATAATAATTATATATAATATATAATTATATAATAATAATTATATATAATATATAATAATTATATAATACATAATTATTATAATATATAATAATTATATATAATATATTAATAATATTATTATTACTATTATTAAAGACAGAATCTTGAGCTCTGTCACCCAGGTGCAATCATAGCTCACTGTATCCTCGAACTCGTGGCCTCAAGCAATCCTTTGGCCTCAGCCTCCCGAGTAGCTGAGATTACAGGCATGCACCACCTGGCTATTCTTTTTTACTTTTTTTTTTTTTTTGTAGAGATGGAGTCTCATTATGTTTCCCAGGCTGGCCTGGAGCTCCTGGCCACCTGCCTTGGCCTCCCAAAGTGCTGGCATTACAGGTGTGAGCCACGTTCAGCATGTTCCATCAGTTTCTGAGAGAGGTGAATTAACAGCTCCCACTTCCCATTCTGTTAAGTTTTGCTTTATGTTTTGAGACTGTTAGATGCATAGATATAAAAGTGTTACATCTTGTTAAATTTCAATTGTGTTTCTTGTAAGTGGTATGTAGTTGTTTTTAATTTACTCTGACAATATTGATCTTTTAATAGGATTATTTACTCAGTTTTCTTTAAAAGTATTACTGATGTGGTAGAGTTTTAATCCTACATAATCTTTAAGTTTTTAATTGACATACAATTGTACATATTTAGAGAGTACAGTCTGATGTTTTGATACACATGTGTATTGTGGAATGATCAAATCAGGGTCATTAGCAAAACCATCACTTCAAACACTTGTCATTTCTTTGTGGTGAGAACATTCAAAATGCTATCTTCTAGCTATTTTTAAATACACATTGTTGTTAATTGTAGTAACCTTACTGTGCAATAGAACACCAGGACTTAGTCCTCCCATCTGACTATAGCTTCGTGCCTGTTGACCAACCTTTCCCCGTCCTCCCTTCTCCTACCCTCTCCAGCCTCTGGTAACCACCATTCTACTTTCTACTTCTATGGGATAACTTCTTTAGATTCTACATAGGAGTGAGATCATGCTGTTTGTCCTTCTCTACTTGGCTTATTTCACTTAACACAATGTTCTGTAGGTTCATCCATGTCACAAATGACAGGATTTTATTCTTTTTTATGGCTGAATACTATTCCATTGTGTATATATACACCCCATTTTAAAAATGCATTCATCTGTTAATGGATACTTAGTTGACTCCATATTTTGGCTATTGTGAATTGTGCTTCAATAAATGTGGGAATGCAGATCTCTCTTTGACATACTGATTTCTTTTCTTTTGTTTGTATACCTAGTAGATGAATTGTTGGATCATATGATAGTTTTAAATTCTTTGAGGAACCTCCATACCGTTGTCCATAATGATTGTTCTATTAATACTTACAGTCCCAACCGGGCACAGTGGCTCACAGCTGTAATCCCAGCACTGTGGGAGGCCGAGGTGGGCGGATCATGAGGTCAGGAGTTTGAGACCAGTCTGGCCAATATGGTGAAACCCTTTCTCTACTAAAGATACAAAAAATTAGCCAGGCGTGGTGGCATGTGCCTGTAATCCCAGCTACTCGGGAGGCTGAGGCAGGAGAATCGCTTGATTCCGGGAGGTGGAGGTTGCAGTGAGCCAAGATCGTGCTATTGCACTCCAGCCTGGGCGACAGGGTGAGACTCCATCTCAAAAAAAGAAAAAAAAGGTTACAGTCCCATTAACAGTGTATAAGAGTTCCCTTTTCTCCACATCCTTGCCAGCATTTGTTATTTTCTGTCTCTTTGATGATAGCCATTCTTATTAGGGTGAGGTGGTATCTCATTGTGGTTTTGATTTGTGTTTCCCTGATGATTAGTGATGTTGAACATTTTTTCATATACCTCTTGGCCATTTGTGTGTTGTCTTTGGAGAAACACCTATTCAGATCTTTTGCCCATTTTTAAATTGAATTATTTGTTTTTTTGCTATTGAGTTGTTTGAGTTCCTTATGTATTCTGGCTATCAGTCATCTGTCCTTTTGGATGATTCAAGCATTTTTTTATTCCTTCATTTCTCTCATCTATTATTATTATTACTATTATTTTAAGATATAGGGTCTCACCATGTTGCCCAGGTAGGCCTTGAACTCCTAGGTTCAAGCAGTCCTCCTGCCTCAGCCTCCCAAATAGTTGGGGATACAGCCATGCACTGCCATGCCTGGCTTAGATTTTTAGTAATATGTTTTGTTTTATTTTATTTTATTTTATTTTAACTAATTTATTTTTAGACAGGGTCTCACTCCCGTTGCCCAGGCTGGAGTGCAGTGGCACCATCACAGCCTCGACTTCCTGGGCTCAGGTGATTCTCTATCCTCAGCCTCTCAAGTAGTTGGGACAACAGGCATGCGCCACCACACCTGGCTAACTTTTTGTATTTTTTGTAGAGATAGGGTTTCACCATGTTTCCTATGCTAGTTTCAAACTCCTGGGCTCAAGTGATCCAGCCACTTCAGCCTCCCAAAGTGCTGGGATTACAGGTGTGAGCCACTGTGCCCGGCCCGTTTTTAACTCCCAACCTTTGACATGCTCACTTGTTATTGGAACGGAAGTGGCACAGTGGGGAGAGAGGAGTGAGAGCGTCTCCCCACAGTGGATGGCTCAGCTGTTCGGGATGTTTCCAGTGGGATCACACCATGGTCCAGGGTCTGGTCTGCATCCTAATGGGCTTGAAAACCAGATCTTACTGGCTTTTCCCACACCCCACAACTTGAGTCCACTCATGCTCACTGATTGTCCCTAAATGGACCTGCAGAGCCAGTGGATCCCCTTGTGGTGAGAAATGCACTCACATGAGCTTGGGCAGCCCTTCTCTCCTGTCTGTCAGCAGGCTTCTGGGAGTGGGTGCTACGTGAACTTGGACACAGGGGCCAAGGGCTGGACAGGTGTGGAATGTTGAGCCAGGCCCCACCGCCTTTGGGGCAGGCTGGATGTGCTGGCCAGCCAGACCTGACACCTCTGGCCAGTGCCTGGGTGCACGCGGCCCGGGTCGGCCTCAGACCCTCCCTCTTGGTGCTTCCCAGGAGACCACTCGCTTAGCCCCTCCCTGAGGACAGGCTCTGTCTTTAGATCCCTTAGTACTTCAGTCCCTCTGTCAGCCTCAGGAAATGTGTGCATCTCTCTTAGTTGAGCTCCCAGGAGGTTATCTGACATCTCTCATTTCTGAGTCTTTCTGGGAGCCTCAGCACACACCCCGCTTCCTCTCTGTGGGCTCCTCTGACGCTGCCTTATCAGCAGTGTGTGTGTTGGGGTGAGGTTGTGAGATCGGAGAGAGAGACAGCTCAAGAGTTGTGATGAAAACACTGAAAGAAAGGCAGTGTGGGCTTCAGCAGCCCTTCCTCGGTGATGTTTGTGCAGCAGCAGAACTTGTTGAGTGACCGCCTTTGCTTTATGTAAATGTCATGAGTTCTGGAGAAACACAAGCATGGCTTTCGCTTTCTTTTCTGTTCAGCACCAACCTGAGGTTCCACAGCCAGTGTGTGCCAGATCCAGAACTGAACCAAATCTGCCCAAGAGCCTCAGTCTCCACATCTTCAAGCCCAGGAGTTTGAAACCAGCACAGGAAACGTGGTGAAACCCTGTCTCTACAAAAAATCTGTAAAATAGGGTGATTTATTACCTCCCTCTGGGGGTGATGCAAGAAGCCTGCTTGCTTCTCATGTGAAATGAATGAGCACCTGGGGAACCCCAGTTGTCCCGGTTGCCCCCGCTCCTGGGGTCTGCAGGCCCACCTTAGGATGGAAGTGGAGCGCAGCAACCAGGTGTCTACACAAGATCCACTCCTAGAAGCTGCAGGGCGGGAGCAGTGGGCCCTGCTGAGGGGTGGTCTTGAGCTCCTGGCCACACCCTTTCTGGGGTGAGTTTCAGGAGGTGGATCCGGGGCCCCCGGCTGGGAGAAGAGAGTCTGGAAGCTGCCCTGCCTTGGCTGCCATCCCCTGGGAGGGAGTTTAGCTGGAGGAATGGGGCACTGGGTCCCTCCCTGACACCCCGGGGCCTCTGAGCCACTCTGGGGATGGAACGTAGCAGTGCAGCATTTCTTCCTGATCAGAGCGGGAAGCTCTGGGCTGCAGAGCTTTGATCTCACAGTATGTGGTCAGTCCCCGGGGCTGGCTGAGGTGTGGGATGATCCCTCGTGACCTGGCGACCTGGTGCTCCCATGCTTACCCCTGGCTCTGTTGGGGTGAGCCGAGGCCTCATGTCTGAGCTGAGGTTGCTTGTTGTTCAGAAGGCAAGGCCGAGGCACTGCCTCTGGGTGGATGCTTGAACCCCCTTTATCCCACCCTTGCCTTGGCTGGTGCCTGGGCAACTCTCTGTTGAACCAAAACCTCTTATCAGCAACTGATAAGTACCCAGCCTTGCATCTGCAGAGCAAGGCCTGACCCAGAGCCAGGGTTGGCAGCTGCAGCAGGAGTCCGTTACAGCCAAGATTGCGTACCAGTCTCTGCGGCCACCACCTTTTCATGATGAGAGCAGCCAAGCCACAGTGGGGTGTGGAAGACCCCAGCCCTAGCAATCACATCCCTTCCCTGTGGACCTGGGGACATTGGCACCTATGAGTTAGCTCAGTAAGCTGAATTTCCTGCTGCCCATAGGAAGGACCCCGTGAGACCTTGACCTGGCCCATCTCGTTCCAGAGCTGTTGGTTGGCTGGGAGTGGGGTGAGAGATTCATCACAGGCCTAGCCCTGGCAACCGCTGGACTCCCCTACACTAGGCTTAGTGTGTGTCCACCCCCACCGCACACATGCACACCTTCCCAGCGGCAGCGCTGCACGTGTGCCTGCTGGTGCCTTGCTGCAAGGGAAGTGGGCATGTGCCCGCCCAAGCTATTTTTACCCTGCCTTGTCCCCACAGAGCTGTTCTTTGGCTCTGAGTTAGTGCCTGGGGAATGAGGCCGTTGCCAGGGCTGGGGGTGGATGAGCTGGAACCTCGGAGCTTCTTGGACTCCCTTCCCCAGGCAGCATCTCATCTTAATGCTTACTAAAGGGTGTGACTCGTGTGCAGGGCGACCTTCCATAAGAGTGGGCAGGAGAGGACCCTGGTGGGGAGAAAGAGGCACTGATGTTTGGAGGGCAGGCTCTGGAACCTGCAGGTCTGGCTTCCTGCAGCCAAAAAAACCCAGCCGAGCTGCAGCCCAGTGAGCCACGGTGGGTAGAGGGAGAGGTCCCAGGGGCTGGATGGGAGCCAGGAGGCCAGGAGGTACCCTGGATTGTTTTCCTTCAACACAATGACGACAATAGTAGTTCAGTTTTGGGGTGTGGTGGTGTGTACCTGTAGTCCTAGCTGCTTGGGAGGCTGAGCTGGGAGGATCACTTGAGTCCTGGGAGTTTGAAGCTGCAGTGAGCTGTGATTGCGCCACTGCATTCCAAGGGTTTTTTTGTTTTTGTTGTTGTTTTTGTGTTTTTGTTTTGTTTTGTTTTGTTTTCTGAGCACTTTCTGTGTGTGCTAAGACCATAAAGTGCTTAGGATGTGTAGCAGCTCATTTAATCCTAATCACAGTTAACTCCATTTTATAGATGGGGAAACTAAGGCACTGAGCAGTTCAGTAACCCTGAAGCTGCAGAGCTCATGAATGGTGAATGGTGGAGCAGGGCTCTGGCCTGGCCGTCTACTCCAGAGCTTGTCCTTAACGCCACCCCGCGCCTCCTTTTGCCGTGTGTTCCGCGCCCTCATGACACAAGGCATTGTCCTAGTTCCCTGTGGCAGCCTGCCAGGCAGGTGGTTCCCTCCCCGTGTTTACATCAGGCCCAGAAATTAAACAGCTGATCCAGCATCAGACAGTCAGGCAGTGACCACACCAGAGTCGGCACCCAGGTCTCAGGGTCCTGTGGCTGTGCTGTTCCCAGCTCATCATACTGCAGTACAGTATGGTTCCACCACCTGCCATGTGCTCTCTACAGTGCTAACCACTGGGGTTCTGACATGTAAATCCCCATAGCTACCCACTTAGGGTCCTTGCTCTCACAGGGAAGGTGGACATGTGGTCACTTGGGGTCCATGTACTCTGTGTGTCAGCTCAGGGAAACGCAGGGTGCTGGCGTGTGCCTGTGAGGTGGCTCCCCATGGGGGAGGTGGGGAGGGAGAGGACCAGATGCTGCATCCGCTCTGAGAGTGTGGACAGTGTGGCATTGTTGGCCACTCTGAGGCTGGGACGGCCCCCACGTGTATTGATACTTGGCCTTTTCAGCAGCCCTGAATTCATCCCTTGCCAACTTCCTACAAAAGAAGGGGTGACTTGGGGCCTGCTGGCAGGCGAACACGGCTCTCAAGACTGGAGAGGGCCCCACGGCAGGCTGTGTGCCTCTAGGTTCCCACTCCCTGCTGGGGACAGGGTGGGACAGTGGGACAGCGAGGTAGGGGTGCAGGGGATGCAGACCTGCCCTGCCAGAGTGGCTGGCTGGATCCTGTTCTCCAGCTCTCTCCAGAATGCCCTGGCCTCAGGTAATTCCTCAGCTTGGCTTCTCTGAGGAGGGTGGGCGTCCCTCCTGGCTGCTCGTCTGTCCAGGACATTGCTGGCTGACCAGCCGGGGACCCATGGCTGTAGGAATAGCTCACCCTCTGTTGCCTGTAGCCCCTCGTGAGGCCAGGTCAGAATTTACGGCTCCTACCGTGACCGACTCTCCGGTGTAAATTGTCACGTGTGGCCCCCTAGAGCTGCCACTGAGGTGGAGTTGACTGGCCCCATTCTGTAGGTGAGGAGCCAGGTGCTCACAAAGGTGGTCACTTGTCCAAGGTCACATGGCTTGTAAGTGGCTGGGCCAGCAGGGCCGGAAACCCAGACTGCTAGGCCCCAGAGCTGAGCCCTCACCCAAGCCCACCCCCAGGGGCCTCCTGGGGCTTCTGGAGGAACACGCTGCTGCATCCGCTCTCTCCCTTCACCCCGGGGTCCGCTGGCAGGTGGAAGAAAGCCTGGGGTGGTGTGGCCATGTACCAGCCAAGCCTGTGGGCCTATGGTGGCTGGCCCTGTGTCCCAGGGTACAGGGAGCTGTGAGCTCAGGGCTGGCTCTGGGTCTTGAGGGACAGAGCCCTGGCAAGTCAGACTGTGCCAGAGACGATGCCCGGTGCTGCCTCCTGAGGATACCACACTGTCCCTTCCCCAAAGGCCCCCAAAAGAGCAGACACAGCCTTTCTGTGCAAACCCTGGGAACACCAGGCCAAGCTCCAGGCCTGGACATGTGTAGGGTCCCTGGGTGGTGACTGGACGGCCGTGTGTGGACTCCTTTTTCACACAGCAGGCGGGAATGGGCAGGAAACCGGGGCTCTGAGAGGCAGTCTTGGAAGCTGCCCTGGGCACAGACCTTACTTGCTGACCCCGGCCACCTAGAAACATGAGCTCTGGGGAGGCCCTGTCCCTGCCCCACCACTCCTGCCAGCCCTCCAGAGCCAGGCTTGGGTGGGCGCCTCTGTGGTGAGGATGTAGACCGTGCAGCTGGGGTGAGCGGGCAGCTCTCTGGGCATCCTGACGAGCATAGTGCGGTGAGGTGGGGTGATGGTATCCTCTCCCATGACCCCCAGTCTACTTGGAAGTATGCTCAACAGGGGGCTCCGCGTGATTCTTACCTGCAGGCAGCCTGGCCGGAGAGGAACCCACCGCCTCCAGAAGTCTGTGACCCCCAGGCCATCTGGAAACCTTATGAGGGCAATGTTTTTATTATGGCCAAGTTCTTCCTTTTCCTCTGCAACTTTATCTAAAAAACATACAAAAGGGAAATTGGCCAAGAAGAGTCCTAGTATGCTTGACTCCGAGTTCTCCCAGCCCATGAATGGTGGCTCAAGGAGAGAGAAGAGGCTGCGTTCTGGCACCTTCCAGCATCTCCCCTCCAGGCCGGCGGGAGAAGGAGCAAGGGCTTCCACCAGACCCTTCCCCAGAGGGCCGGGGAAACAAGAGCTGGGGCTGGGGACTTTGGCCCTCAGGGAGGAGCAAGGGTGACCATGGCAAATACCAAACCAAGGGGATCTTGGGACAGGCATAAACCAGTACTGTCCTGGGCTAACCAAGGCGTGCAGTAAACTGTCTTTATTATATTTGAATTTAGGGGGCAAACTACTAGAAATGGTTTTAAAGTTATAATTAAAATTTCCGATTGCCTTGGACAAACAACTGTGGGTTGAATGAAAAAGTATTAATGTTGGGAATAGCCATTTTTAAGAGAAAAAGCTGGAGAGAGTGTGTGCGCATGTGTGGCCAGGCAGGTGAGGACTTGGTGTGTCAGCCGGGTGTCAGGTCCCTGCAGGCCCTCTGTGAACTGCAAGGTTCCAGGGCAGCCACTCTCCCACTCTGAGCCTCATCTTCCCCAGGTGTCAGACGGAGCTGATGAATCCCAGATCTCTGCCCTGTCTACCCCAGGCAGCTCGCACGGGGCTGTTGTGAGGGATGGGGTGTGTGAGACAGGCGAGGAGCTTGCTGAAGGGCTGGGCAGATGTGGACTCTGCTTAGTCCAAGGCTGAAAGCCTGCCCGAGGAGGTGGTGGTCTTCTTTGGAGGGTGGGAACCTGGTGCCCCTGCTTCTGCCCTGCCTGTGCCTGAGCCAAGCCATTTGAGGCTGCTCTCTCCACCCGGTCAGGGGCTTGGGCCAGCTGCTGGGAGTATCAGGACGCTGCTGTAGATGTTGGGTGAGAGGGCCCGGTGGTTCCACCTGCATGTCATGAGCCAGGTGTTAGTGGGGCAGTGCCCGGCACACACTCGGCCTCTGTGTCCTCGTGTCAGTGGCCAGAGGCCACGTCAGACACCTGAGGAGCAAGGACGCTGATCTGCACTGGGCCCTCTGCCTGCCTCTGGGAGCTGGTGGGCCATAGCCTCCCCAGGATGTGGCTGTAGGGGGAAGGTGGGTGTTGGGGAAACAGAATCATGTCCGGACCCGGCTGTAAACTCCCACATGGCCCCAGGCAAGACCCTTCACCTACAGAAAGGGGAAAAGAGGCTCAGCTCATCGGGCTGCGGTGAAGTCCAGAAGAAACACCATTGCCAAGTTGCTGAGCTCTCACATGAGCCACAGGGCGGGCATTCCCAGCAAGGGGGAACTCTCGCTACCCGTGTGGCCAGGAAGGTGAAAAGTTTGCAGTTCTTCCTGGCCAGGTGAAAGAACAGACCAGGCGCATTGTCCTCTGAGAGCCCCAGGTCTCTTCTGGTCTCCCTCCTGCCTTGTTTCTCTTAGGTGTCCCCGCACTAACCTGCAGTGTCCTGTGAGGGCGTTAAGTGGATGGACGTGGAAGTTGCTGCGTTAGGCGGCATGCTAAGGAGTCATAATTAGTCACATGTCCCTATAAAATGTGCTCTCCTTGTTGTCACCATGAGGTTTGAAAATCCACAAAGTGTGGGAGGTGTCAAGGATAAATGGAATCAAGTGTGTGGATGCAAAGGCAGGCGGGGTGGGGGGCCCTGCCCTGCCCTGCCCTGCCCTCTGGCTGGAGGACTTCTGATGCGCTACTCTTTGAGCCTCTGTTTCCCCATCAGTAAAATGGGGATAATGATCACTGCCCTGAAGAGCTGTCATGAAGCACAGGTGGGATAATATGTGAATGCCCAGCTCGGTCTCTGGAACCTAATGGCTGCTCAGTGATGCTGGTTTCCTTTTGTTTCTACTGGGATGCAGCTTCAGGCTTGGGGATGAAGAGCTTGCTTAGGGCACAAGATGTGATAGGTTGGGAGCCATGTGACCAGATTAATGACATGTGGGTGGAAGGGGCCCTGGGAACCCTGGGGGGATTCTCATTACACAACCTCAGTCTCCACAGTCTCTGCTGTTGGCGTGCCCGGCTCGCTGGTGTACGTGTTATTGGTCCATCTGGTGCTCAGCCTATCACAGCACAGGCAGGAACCAGGCTCATGATAATATTGCCATCTATTTTTAGCCCAGGGGTCTCCTGGTGGGGACGGACCCCCAGGAGGGCTGCCAGCTCACTGGTAGCAGCAGACGGCTGCACATGTCTGGGCAGGCACATCCAGGCCTGTCGCTGAGCAGCTTCTTCAGCTGTCTGAGACTCCAGGAGGCTTTTCACAGCCTGTTTCTGTTGCCCTTCTTGTAGTCTCGGGACTGCAGGGTCCTTTAATAGGGTGCCCTGCCAGCCCTGGCTGAGGAGCACACCAAAGAACCTTGGGAACAGGTTGACATCTCCAATGGGTCAGGTAGAAGCGGTGCCACCTGAGAAGTACCTACTTCCTCAGAGGTGAAGTGGCCCCAGTAAGTGATTTACAGAGAGCTGCCCCTCGGTCTAGGGCCAACTCTGAACCAGGCCGAAGCTCTTCTATCTGATGATTTAACAAAAGGTGCCAGCATGTCTTTATCACACACTGTCATTATGCTGGGCCCCAGACCCAGCACAAGCAACGCTCAGAAGTGAGGCCTGGCATTCTTGCTCCCAGCAAGGCTGTGGCAGGGCCCAGACAGGCAGTTGCCTCCTGGGCTGGGCATCACATCTTCTGGCCAGGGTTTATTCATTGAGGTCCTACTGTGTGTCAGATGCGAACGTGAAATACCTCATTTAATCAGCACAGTGATCCTGTAAGATTCCATTGCCATTCCTGATTTACAGAAGACAACTGAGGTTCAGAGGTGTTCCATGATGTGCACAGGGTCATGTAGGGTGGATCCCAAGTTGTGCAGCTTTCACTGCACCATGTGGCAGCAGACTCTACTAGATCAGGGTTGTTGGTCCTAAAAGCTGTTCAGTGTGACTGTGCCCTTACACCGTGCACCAAGAAGCCTTCTAGAAGCCGTTTGGCTTCCTCTGACAGACTTTTGTGGTGGTTTTACCAGTGGAGGGTGTCCAGGTTCTTAGCGTCTTGAACAAAAATTGGACAAAATGCACAAACAAAACAAAGAATGAAGCAACAAAAACAGAGATTTATTTTATTTTATTTTTTGAGACTCAGTCTTGCTCTGTCACCCAGGCCGAACTGCAGTGGCGCTATCTTGGCTCACCGCAAGCTCCGCCTCCTAGGTTCACGCCATTCTCCTGCCTCAGCCTCCCGAGTAGCTGGGACTACAGGCATGCGCCACCTCGCCCAGCTAATTTTTGTATTTTTAGTAGAGACGGGGTTTCACCGTATTAGCCAGGGTGATCTTGATCTCCTGACCTCGTGATCTGCCCGCCTTGGCCTCCCAAGTGCTGGGATTACAGGCGTGAGCCACCGTGCCTAGAGATTTATTGAAAACGAAAGTACACTCCACGGGATGGGAGCAGGCCCAAGCATAGGGGATCAAGAACCTGGTTGCAGAATTTTCTGGGGTTTAAATACCATCTAGAGGTTTCCCATTGGTTACTTGGTGTACACCCTATGTAAATGAAGTAGTGGCCCACAGTCAGTTTGATTGGTTGCAGGAGGGGACCAATCAGAGGCCAAAGTGAAGTTACAAAGTTACACCCTATGCAAACATCTGATTGGTTGCAGAAAGCAATCAGAAAGCAACCAATCAGAGACTAAAGTGAAGTTACAAAGTGATATTCCTATGCAAATTAAAACTTAGCCTGTGACCAGCCTGATTGGTTGCAGGAGGGGACCAATCAGAGATACTCTCAGTTTTTCATCTGCCAGGCAGAAAAGGTTGGGGGGCGAGGAGGCGGTGCGGGGGGGGGGGCGGTGGGGGGGGCGGGGGGGAAGGGGATGCAAAGGGAGTAGCTACTTGGGCTCGGAAAATTGGGGTTTTCCTTTTGATTTAGCTCTAGGAAGTCAGTGTGAATCAGCCTTATGTTCCCTGCCTCCAGACCCTATTCTGCCTCAGTGGGGGCTCTGATGTGCCAACCAGGGTGCCCTGAATAAAGTGGCTAGCCTGACTGTGGCCCTTCTTCGTGGATGGCTGTTCCTGGGAGTTCTAGCTCCTCACTAGATGCTCATGAGTCAGCCAGTATGAGAGGTCCCTGGGACTAATCACCTGCCAGGTGTTCCCACGCTTAGGGTTCGGGATCTGGGCCTCCTGTACCCAATCCCTGCTGTTTTGGCCTGGCTGATGCCCTTGTGGTCTGATTGGAACACTGAGCCCTGGGAAGCTGGCCTCACTTATCTTGTCTCTGCTCTCTCTTTCCCAGGGCAGCGAGGTCACAGGCCCCACCTTTGCTGATGGCGAGCTCATCCCCAGGGAACCCGGCTTTTTTCCCGAGGACGAGGAGGAGGCTATGACGCTGGCGCCACCTGAGGGCCCCCAGGAGTTGTACACAGACAGCCCCATGGAGAGCACTCAGAGCCTGGAGGGGTCTGTCGGGAGTCCTGCCGAGAAGGACGGGGGACTTGGGGGCCTGTTTCTGCCAGAAGACAAGTGAGTTAAAACCACCTGAAGCTCCATATTTGCCCTCTCAGCCCAGAAATGTGGTTCTTGGAAAGTGTCTCCAGGAAGTAAATTTGAAACATGCTCAAAATTTGTATCAGAGGCATTAGTGTCATGGGTATTCTGAATAGCACAAGATTCTAAGCAGACTAAATGCTTAACAGTAAGGGATAGTTTTGGAATTTTAGGCAGCTGTGCAAAGTCAAGTTTTTAAATTTAATTTTACTTTATTTTCAGTCCTAGCTGTGCAGGCAAAGGGAGTTTTAAATGACTAGTTAATAATATGAGATATATGATCTCAATTAGTTTTAAAAAGCAGGTTGTGGCCAGGCATGGTGGCTCACACCTATAACCCCAGGACTTTGGGAGGCTGAGGCAGGAGGATCGCTTGAGCCCAGGAGTTTAAGGTTACAGTGAGCTGTGATCACATCACTGCACTCCAGCCTGGCAACAGATCAAGACCCTGTCTCAAAAAAAAAAAAAAAAAAAAAGGGCAGGTTACAAAGATGTCCATGAGATCAGCTTTGTTAAAAACACAAACATATGCCAGGCAAGTGGCATGTGCCTGTAGTCCCAGATACTTGGGAGGCTGAGGCAGGAGGATCACTTAAGCCCAGGACTTCTGGGCTCTAGTGCACTATGCCGATCGGATGTCTGCACTAAGTTCAGCATCAGTATGGTGACCTCCCGGGAATGGGTCACCACCAGGTTGCCTAAGGAGGGATGAACTGGCCCAGGTCAGAAACAGAGCAGGTCAAAACTCGAGTGTTGATCAGTAGTAGGATCACACCTGTGAATAGCCACTGCACTCCAGCCTGGGCAACATAGCAAGACCCCATCTCTAAAAAAACCAAAAAACAACACACAGACATATGTGTTAGGAAATGCCTAGAAAAAAATTAATCTGGAAAATTAAGCAGTTATTTCTGTATGGTGGGATGATTTTTTTTGTTGTTGTTGTTGTTGAGACAGACTCTCACTCTGTCACCAGGCTGGAGTGCAGTGGCATGATCTCACCTCACTGCAGCCTCCGCCTCCCGGGTTCAAGCGATTCTCCTGCCTCAGCCTCCCGAGTAGCTGGGACTACAGGCGCGTGCCACCATGTCCAGCTAAGTTTTGTCTTTTTTTTTTTTTTTTTTTTTTTTTGAGACGGAGTCTCGCTCTGTCGCCCAGGCTGGAGTGCAGTGGTGCAATCTCAGCTCACTGCAACCTCCACCTCCCGGGTTCATGCCATTCTCCTGCCTCAGCCTCCCAAGTAGCTGGGACTATAGGTGCCCACCACCACGCCTGGCTAATTTTTTGTATTTTTAGTAGAGATGGGGTTTCACCATGTTGGCCAGGATGGTCTTGATCTCCTGACCTCGTGATCCACCTGCCTCGGCCTCCCAAAGTGCTGGGATTACAGGTGTGAGCCACCGCACCTGGCCAGTTGATCATTTTAATTACTTCCCATCTACTCTGCTATATTTTCTATATTGAGCATGTACTCCCATAATCAGAAATGTTATTTAAAAACAGTATTAAGACCTAAGTGACTTCCCAGTGAAGCAGTTTCACCTTTAACTTTGGTGTTGGCAGAAAGGAGTCCCTTCCATCTCAGCCCTCACCAAGTCTCTCGAGGGATACAGTGCTGTGGGGTGGTGGGAAGCTGCCACCATTGTGGCTGAGGAAGCCGAGGGGGTTGCAAGTGGCAGCCCCTTACCAGAAGGTGATGGTTACGACTGCTGCAGGGATTTGGAGAGGGAAGAGAGGGGTTCCCATGTTGGTTGAACCACATGAAATTGACAACTTTTAATCATTTCCATCTTCAAAAAAGTAATTTCATGTGGTTCAACCTAGTATATCTCAATGCAGGGTTTCTCAAACTCAAGTGATTCTCAGAGTCCTGATGTTCTTGGTGGGGCCCTTTGGGTCTGTGGATGGAGAAGAGGGGCCGTGCTGCTCGTGCTGCTCTCTGGGAGCAGCCTTGTAATCCCAGCAGTTTGGGAGGCTGAGGCGGGCAGATCACCTGAGGCCAGGAGTTTGAGACCAGCCTGGCCAACATGGCAAAAACCCCATCTCTACTAAAAATACAAAATTAGCTGTGCATGGTGGCAGGAGGCTACTCGCAGCTACTCAGGAGGCTGTGGCAGGTGAATCACTAGAACCTGGAAGGCAGAGGTTGCACCAATGCACTCCAGCCAGGCGACAAAGCAAGACTCTGTCTCCAAAAAAAAAAAAAAAAAAAAGACAAACTTAAAAAATAACACAGTATAACAACTATTTACATAGCATTTACATTGCATTAGGTATGATAAGTAATCTAGAGACGATCGAGTATACAGGAGGATATGCATAGGTTGTATGTGAATACTATGCCATTTCATATCTGGGACTTGAGCATCCTCAGATTTTGGTGTCCACAGGGGGTCCTGGAACAAATCTCTCTTGGATGCCAAGGGATGACCATACTCAGTCTTACAGTATCTAAAATTTTAGATCCATTTATATTCATTTTCTGTATTACTCCGAATGTTTTTTTTTCCTCTCCTTAAAGTGAAAGCAAGTTTATTAAGGAAATAATAAAACAATGGCTACTACAGAAGCAGAGCAGCTACTCCGAATGTTTTTTTGTTTGTTTTTTTGTTTTTGTTTTTTTTGAGACGGAGTCTCCCTCTGTCGCCCAGGCTGGAGTGCAGTGGCACAATCTCGGCTCACTGCAAGCTCCACCTCCCGGGTTCACGCCATTCTCCTCCCTCAGCCTCCTGAGTAGCTGCGACTACAGGTGCTCGCCACCACGCCCGGCTAATTTTTTGTATTTCTAGTAGAGTTGGGGTTTCACCATGTTAGCCAGGATGGTCTCGATCTCCTGACCTCTGATCCGCCCGCCTCGGCCTCCCAAAGTGCTGGGGTTACAGGCGTGAGCCACCGCGCCTGCCACTACTACAAATGTTTTAACAAACCTTTCAACAACTATTTGATATTCCACAATTTAATAATTTACTAACATTATAATTTAATAATTATAATTTGATCTAGCTGTAGCTAGACAATTAGGTTGTAAGCAGTGTTTTGCTACTGTGGAGTAGCATGGGTAGAATTGGTTTGAACTGTAGAAATGGTTTCTGTGGTGAGATGTTTCCCTTTAGATAGGGTCCCTGAAATGTACTTACCAGGTCAAGAGCTACAAACTTAATCGGTAGTGCCAATTAAAGGGAAATGCCTGTCAGTTTCCCCACCACGGGCTGTGGCTGGGGACCCATGAGTCCTCCTCTGACTTGGGTGCTCTCGGACCCTCAGGTCCCTGGTCCACACTCCATCCATGACGACCTCAGACCTTTCTACACACTCCACCACCTCGCTCATCAGCAATGAGGAGCAGTTTGAAGACTATGGGGAGGGTGACGATGTGGACTGTGCCCCCAGCAGCCCTTGCCCCGATGATGAGACCAGGACCAACGTCTACTCGGACCTGGGGTCTTCGGTGTCTTCCAGGTGGCCCCTTGGTCTGGGATGTCATTTGGGGTCAAAAGTTGCAGAAGCAATTTAAGCACATCCTAGGGGGTGGGGGGGTGCGAGTCCTGAGCTGGCCCTTTTCCTTTGTCCTCAGCTACTTGAGTTCTGCTCCTGGGGCTTGGGGTTGCTACCTTCGCACCCTGATTAGGGGTCAGGAGTTCCTCCTGAATTAACTGACCTAGGAGGCTGCACACTGGGGGCCACGGGGCTCTGTGTCATCTTGTATCCTAGAACCTCAGTGTTGAAGCATCCTTCCAAGTGACCCCTGTGATCCCTTCTCACCCACCTGAGTCACCACTTTCTCTGAAATGAGCTCGCAGTTTGCCTTAGCTGTTAAATGGGTATGCCTCACTGGCTTCTCTTTGAGCGTGTTGGAGAAGGGATGATCTGTTGCTATATTTCCACTCCCTGCCCCTCCCCCGTAACAAGGTTCAAAGGTACTGGGGACTCAAGTAAAGTCAGCTCAGCAGGGTGGTGTAGGGCACCAGACTGGACAGCAGTTAAGGTGGTGATTCCTTTCCCTCATGAATCAGTGCGGGGCAGACGCCTAGGAAAATGCGGCACGTGTACAACAGCGAATTGCTAGATGTTTACTGCTCTCAATGCTGCAAGAAAATCAACCTGCTCAATGACTTGGAAGCCCGACTGAAAAACCTGAAGGCCAACAGGTGAGGCCCA
The DNA here is from genome assembly GCF_000001405.40 of Homo sapiens. Taxonomy (NCBI): domain Eukaryota; kingdom Metazoa; phylum Chordata; class Mammalia; order Primates; family Hominidae; genus Homo; species Homo sapiens. The sequence continues at coordinate 31,522,060 of NC_000017.11, forward strand.
GGCCCAGCTGGGGGGTGAGAGGCCGGGGGGCCAGGGCAGGGCCTGGAGGGAGAAGCTACGGGCATGGCGAGGCGACCCCTGCTGTCTGGGCAGGTGAGAGCTCTCAGAGGAGGGTTGATCCAGGGGCTTTTTCTGCCACAGGAAATCAGGCTGTTTCTTCTCAGGACCAAGCTGACTAGTGAATTCCTTTCAGTGGGAGGGAAGAGCCTTGTCCTGCACTGTGGTGTCTTACAGCTAGGACAGAGTAAGGGAGTGGACTAGAACCCCTCTGTTCAATGACTGTTTCCTTTCTCTCTCTAGCCCCAACCGAAAGATCTCCAGCACGGCCTTTGGACGGTAAGGCCCGCCTCGAGGGAGGGCAAATTGAGTGCTGTCCCCATGCTGCCCACTGGCCGGGGCTCCCTGCCAGCAGCCCGGACTCAGCTGGTGCCCGCATGTGGCTGAGTGAGCAGAGGGGAACGAGGCCATCCCAGGGCAGTGCAGCCAGGGCAGCGTCACTTCTGAAAAAGAGGGGCCAGCTCCTCCCTGCTCTCTCCCCACCCCTTGTCCCTTCTTCAAATCCTAGGTCACCTTGACTTCAGGCAGGCATGCCAGGGATGCCCTGAGAGAGACAGAGCACCCCACAGCGTTCAGTGCCCTTCCTGCCTCTTGGAGCTGGCAGCCATACTCAATAAAGAGACCCCGGGTTTCCTGCAGGCGGGGATCTGGGCATGAGTGTGCGCCATTGGGGCTGGTCACTTTGCTCCGATTAAGTCCTGCGGCAGTTCAGTGTGGCCCCAGGTCCACACTCAGGGCTCTGGGAGCTGGCAGCAAGGGCCCAGGAGCTAGGTGGGTTGGCCTCTTGGCAGAGACCCTGGCTGCTGCCTATCAGGGAGCTGGAAGGGGATGTCACTGGGGGTGGCAGCTGGATTTTGCCTCAGGCACGGGTTAGCTCAGCAGGCCCAGTCCCACCCCAGCTCACTGCTCTGCAAGGCCTGGAGAATTCTCTGCCTTTGCCATCCCCCAGAGTTCCCAGAGACGTAGCAGGAGCCAGCTTGGTGGAGAGGCTCAAGCCTCAGGAGGCCCAGACCCTCTTCCAGGGCCATGGAGCTGGGCTACCTCCTTGGGGGCTTCCCCACTGGAAGAGGAGGGGGCTCACGTGCCAGCTGAGGTCACTGGGTAGCTGCAGGCCAGCATGCTGGCGTGAAGAGGGTTCTGAGGCCGCAGGAGAAGCTGTGCGTCATTGGCTGTGTCTGCCAGGGGACCCCGGGGGTCTGTACAGCCCATTTGCCATCCTCTGGGCGGGGTGATCCGCTGAGTTTGGCAACATTCTTCCTCTCAGGCTGAGTGAGGGCAGCCTCCTTAAAGGGGCAGACCCCCTGGGGTACTGGATGCTCGCCTAGCCAGTAGTGTGAGTAGGCCCCTGTCTCTGGAAGGCCCCTGCAGCCAGACACCCTCCTCCCACCCCTGCAGGCAGCTCATGCACAGCAGCAACTTCAGCAGCAGCAATGGCAGCACCGAAGACCTGTTCCGGGACAGCATTGACTCTTGCGACAATGACATCACAGAGAAGGTGGGCCTTGGGTGGCTGGAGAAGGGACTGAATGCATGCCTGCTCCCAGGGGAGATGGGGTGCACTCAGGCTACTGTCTGGGGACTTGGGAGACCCTGTACCTGCCTAGGAATTGGGGGCAGGTGGCCCTGGTCACGTGTTCCCCACTCCCCCACCCCACACATGACCGTTCTCAGATACACAGTGGTTTGGAGGTCCTGCTCATGAACCTCATGGCGTCGAGGTTCTCGGTTCTGTGGCCTCAGAGGTCTTCTCCACCCCACCCCGGCCCCCTGCTGCAGGTAAGCTTCCTGGAAAAGAAGGTGACAGAGCTGGAGAATGACAGCCTGACCAATGGGGACCTGAAGAGCAAGCTGAAGCAAGAGAACACACAGCTGGTGCACAGGTCAAGCAGGCAGCGGCGCTGGGGGCTCGGCCGTGACGCTGGGGAACAAAGGGGGGTCCATCTTGCTAAGACCTCCAGGAGGAGGCAGCCTCATGCCTTTGCAGCTCTGAGGGTCTGTGACGCATCAGCCTCTTGTCACATGGCCCTGCCCACATGTGGTGCCCAGGACAGGACCTTAGGGACAGGGAGACAGGTTGGAGCTTGACCTTGGCTCTAGGCCCAATGGATTCTACCCCCTGAGGTCTGAAGCCACAGGGCTGGTCCAAGATGGGAGTGGGGATCCACTGTGTCTCACTCATACAGTGACAGGAGCCTGACGTCCCTTCCTAGGGACAAGCTCTGCAGGGGACAGGCCAGTGTGAGCTGGGCGGTGGGAAGGGTCCAGCACTGCTGCTGATGGAGGTCCCCTGAGCCTGCCGTTCCTGATGCTGTCTGCAGTGGTGGATTCAGGGTTTAGTTGTCCTCACCAGATGGCATGACCCTTGGGGGACATACCCTGGCCAGGGGTCCGGTCCTCCAACTTGTCACAGGGCCCAAAGATGGGCCCTTTTGTACACCCCAGAAGGTCAGCCTGGTGGAGGGGCTGTTGCCAGTGAGACGTATCCCAGACCGAAATACCAACCAGGCTGTCACTGGGGTGCTCACATCTACGTGCCCCTGGCCCTGTCCCAGGTCTGGGGCAGACTTCAGGCCACCAGCCAGGATGTGCCTATTTTGGGAGTCAAGGTGCCCAATAAGCTGAATTATTAATCAGAGGGGTGGCCGGGAAGGAACAGCACAAAAAGAAGAGGTGAGGCCTGAGGTGGTTCCGGCCAGGTGTGGCTGCAGGGACTGGTGGGGGCGGTCCCTCCCTGTGCTGCCCTGAGCGCCCCACCTTCTGACTGCCAGGCCTGCCCCTCCATGGCATGTGTGACCGACACCCCCTCTATATGTGCGGTGTCCCCGTTCATCTCTCTGAAAGCTACTGGCCCACACGCCCTCAGTGGACATGCCAGTGACTCAGGGTCTCGGGGCCCAGGGTCCCCCGTGCCACAGCCTGGGTTGGGGTGAAATGGTGCAGGCCCCAAGAGCTTGCCCATTGCGCTGTCCTCAGGGTGCATGAGCTGGAGGAGATGGTGAAGGATCAGGAGACCACGGCCGAGCAGGCTCTGGAGGAGGAGGCGCGGCGCCACCGCGAGGCCTACGGCAAGCTGGAGAGGGAGAAGGCTACCGAGGTGGAGCTGCTCAATGCCAGGTGGGCCCCTCCACCGAGCCCCCTCCCTCAGAGGGACCCCCTGTCCTGGGGCAGCCCTGTGGGATAGGCGCTATCCCCATTTTATAGATGGGAATGTGAGGCTGAGGGGCAGCCTCTTGAGACTTTCCAGTAGTAACAGTTCCACTTTAATACCACGAGAAACACAGAGGCATGCTCTTCAGGAAGTTCGCTAAGGAATGTTCCCAGGAGCGTGGCTCACATTTGGTAATGCAAACCACACAAATGTCTGTCAGAGAAAAGGGCCTGGGCTGGGTCTCACATCCAGGCCTGGAGCGCCCCCTGCTGTCAGGTTCTCCCCTGACCCCTGGTGGACTGAGCCAGAGCCCCAGGGCCAAGGTAAATGGAAAACCCGGCTCCTGTGCCTTGCGTGTACCTGTGGCTTCGTCATTGGAACGTGACGCAGGCGGGACAAGGAGCAGCCCCGGGCCAGGGATCTGAGTTGGTCTCCCATTAGCTCCATGGCCTTGGACGTACTGGGTCACCTCCCTGTGTGCCCCACAGAGCGGCTGTGTGGGTGGGTGAGCCGATGTAAGTCCAGACCCTGCCCACGGGTGAGGGCTATGATGATGCCTCTGTGATGAAGCCCCTTTGCGGCCCTTGACCGAGGCCGAGGAGGCCGCCTGGGCTTCTGGCAGAGAGGACAGCTGCCCTGGCACTCCTCAGGCCCCCTGAGGCCCCAGTCTCCATGCTGAGGCTTCCCAGAGTTGCCGAGCCCCACCTGGCGGCTGGTGGGCTGCTGAGCAAATGACTGGGAGTTGGGCTCTCAGGCAGGTACCTCCCTGCCCCCGTGTCCCTGCCCCTGTGCAGTTTGGTGAGGAGACTTCCCAACTCCCCGGTGTCTGAGACCTGCTTTGCTAAGTTACCCACCAGGGGTTCATTTTACATTTTGACTCTATTCTAGAAGCTGCTGTTTTGCATCTGTTTCTGGAGGCTGGTGCCTAGTTAAGGGTGACTGCTCTCGCTCAGCCCGCCTCGGCAGCTGGCCCAAGAGAGGTGGCTGGGACACGGGAGGTGGTAAAAGACAGTGTGAACCTGGGCCACAGGACAAAGTGCAGAAAGCCAGCCCTCGGGAACTGTCTCCTAACGTGTGCCCGTCACACAGCTCCGGGGGCGCCATTCGTGTAAAATATCCGAGTGGTGTTCCCAGAGTCCTGCCGTATGCTTGGTTCCCTACCACTTCCACCCGCTTGGGGCCACCTGCTGGTGGTGGGGCTGAATTCCTCTCTGGAGCCCAGAGGGCAGTGGAGGCCCAGAAGCCATCCTTCCAGGAAAGAGGACATGATGGGGAGGTGGTGGGTTGAGAACGGGATGCTCTGCAGGAGTCACTGCCAGAAGTGACCCTGTTCAGTTCTGCTGCCACCGACGGCCCAACTCACCTGCACCTATTCTCAGACCATTTAAAACTGACCTGAGGCCGGGCACAGTGGCTCACGCCTATAATCCCAGCACTTTCGGAGGCCGAGGCAGGTGGATCACGAGGTCAGGAGATGGAGACCATCCTGGCCAACATGGTGAAACCCCATCTCTACTAAAAATACAAAAATTAGCCAGGCGTGGTGGTGCGCGCCTGTAGTCCCAGCTGCTCGGGAGGCTGAGGCAGGAGAATCGCTTGAACCCGGGAGGCAGAGGTTGCAGTGAGCTGAGGTCACGCCACTGAGACTCCGTCTCAAAACAGACAAACAAACAAAAAACTGACCTGAACACCCAGGCTCTGTCTTCTTGTGGAATCCCTTTAGGATTCCCTTTGTGGAATTCCTGTGTGAACGCTAACACAGAGGATTATTACTGTCAGAGCCCATGCCTGTGGTCATCAGAGGGAGGTGCAGTGAGCGCTCAGAGAAGAGCCCTGGATGAGATGCTGTTGGCGGAGAATGAAAAGCCAATATGATCATTGCCTTCAAGTTACAGAGTCTAACAGGAGGGCCCAGTCACAGAAGCCACAAGAAGACTGTTTCTCCATCTAGCAGAAAGACATCCCCGTGTTGTCTGAGGATCTGAAGGATGCATACAAGAAGAATCTGCGTTCCTACTCTCTAATGAATGTTTCCACTTATTGGAAAAATAAAGGCCACGTGTGGTGGCTCACTCTTGTAATCCCAACACTTTGGGAGGCCAAGGTGGGCGGATCACATGAGGCCAGGAGTTTTTGAGACCAGCCTGGCCAACATGGCAAAACCCGTCTCTACTAAAAATACACAAATTAGCTAGGCGTGGTGGTGCATGCCTCTAATCCCAGCTATTCAGGAGGCTGAGGCACGAGAATTGCTGAAGGAGTTAGAGGTTGCAGAGCTGAGATTGTGCCACCTCACTCCAGCCTGGGCAACAGAGCAGGACTCTGTCTCAAAAAAAAAAGAAAGAAAATAAGAATGATAATTTACTATTTTGCTTACAAATAGTCCTTACTATTTTGCTTTGGCTGATAGGAAGCTCACGGCTAAATTGTCTTTGACATAATAATCATATTCTTTCTCTCAGTTGGTTTCTGGTATCTTTCCTCTGGGAGGAAGCAGAGAATCACTGCAGACTGGCAGGCGCTTATCAGATAGTCTACATTCCAGGTTTCTGAGATTTGTCTTTCTCCTTTCGCCAGGGTGCAGCAGTTGGAGGAAGAAAATACAGAGCTTAGAACAACAGTGACTCGGCTCAAGTCTCAAACAGAGAAACTGGATGAGGTGAGCAGCAGATCCAGGCTTGGAGGGGCAGGGCTGGCCATCGGGAGCCTTTAGTTTATTGCTTCTGAAATTCTAAACAAATGCCGCACCCCCTAAGAAATGCAAAAAAAGTGAATAACAACTTGTGTTTCTGTATTTCTGATTTTCCAAGTTTTCTACAGCGAATGTATTTATTACTTTATACAATGGAGAAAAATTAGTTTTAGAAAGAGGTTAGCTTCTATTTGGGCTAACACCTTCAATTCAGGTTGCATCTAGCATCGTTGAAGGACTTCAGAGGCCTGAGGTTTTTAGTTGTATTTCTAGAATCATCGGGGCTCTGGCCGTTTCTGTAAGCCAAGACTCAGGGCTCCGTCTAAGGGAGCTGGTTTCACTGTGCATCTGCCTCGTGAAGATGGCTGACCAGACCCCAGGGACACCCCTGGACATAGTGAGCCCCTCTCTGGGAACTCTCCTCCCCTGATCGGGTCTCCCTGCTCCAGGAGCGGCAGCGCATGTCTGACCGTCTGGAGGACACCAGCCTGCGGCTCAAAGATGAGATGGACCTGTACAAGCGCATGATGGACAAGCTGCGACAGAACCGCCTTGAGTTCCAGAAGGAGCGGGAGGCGACGCAGGAGGTAGGTCCCAGGCCAGCAGGCACCAGGGCTCCTTCCAGCATCCCTGCTCCTGCCAACCTGCTTCTCTCCCTCGCAGCTCATCGAGGACTTGCGGAAGGAGCTGGAGCACCTGCAGATGTACAAGCTGGACTGCGAGCGGCCAGGCAGGGGCCGCAGTGCCTCCTCTGGCCTAGGCGAGTTCAATGCCAGGGCCCGCGAGGTGGAGCTCGAGCACGAGGTCAAGCGGCTCAAGCAGGTGGGTCTAGCAGTCTCTGTGTCCAGTGGGGCAGGGTGGCCGGGCCCACCACGTGGGTTTCCTGTGCAGGATCTGTGGTAGGGGAGCCCAGAGCTGTAGCAGCACTGCCTGTCTGCTTCTCAGCAACCTGTTTGCCAGGGCTGACTGCCCCATTTCACAGCTCAGGAAAATCGATCCAAAGATCTCTCCCTTACGTCTATGTAAGGAAATAGACCCTGCCTTGGTGCTCAGGGTGGAGGATGAGACCATACCCAGCTGCAGTATAGTGCCTGGAGGCATTGGGTTCTCCCAGAAGTAGACCCTCACCCAAGGTTCCTTTTTTTTTTTTTTTTTCCCAAGAGACAGGGTCTTGCTCTGATACCCAGGCTGGAGTGCTTTGGCACTCCATAGCTCACTGCAGCCTTGAATTCCTGGGCTCAGGTGATCCTTCTGCCTCAGTCTCCCTAGTAACTAGGACTACAGGCACACACCACCATGCCCAGCTAATGTTGTTTTTGTTTTTTGAGGCAGGGTCTCACTGTGTTGCCCAGGGTGGAGGGCAGTGGTGTGATCACAGTCACTATGGCCTCAAATTCCTGGGCTCAAGCAATTCTCCTACCTCAGCCTCTCGAGCAGTTAGGACTACAGGAGAGCACCACCACACCTGGCTAATTTACTTATTTATGTATTTATTTCCAGAGATGGGGTCTCCCTATATTGCCCAGGCTTGAACTCCTGGGCTCAAGGGATCCTCCCACCCTTAGTCTTTGAAAGTGTTGGGATTACAGGAATGAGCCACTGTGCCTAGCCAGAAGATTACATTTCAAGGAGCGCTGCCTTAGCTAGAGACCTTTGGGTGGGGGAGTGGATCAGGAGGAGGCAGTGGCCAGGTGGTGCTGGGTGAAGTGTCAGCTCTGCCTGACCCTGCAGGTGGAAGAGCCTGCAGCATAAATTATCCTTCTGAGTTTGTTCCACTGGGGACAAAGGTGCTGGTGGCTGTGCTCTCACAGAAATCCTAAAACCCCAACCCTTCTCCTAGTCTAGGGGTGGGGTGCCCAGGGTCCCAGGTGTGAGCATTAGGGCTCTTTAGGCAAAAGCTGGAGTGTGAGACCGGTGCATGGGATCTGGGCGGGTCCGCCTGGGTCAACTCCAACCAAGCAGGATTCGGAACGTGGCTGCTGGGGGAGCCAAGGAAATGAGCTGGCCAGCCTGCCCAGAGAGCCCAGAGCATCACTTCCTTCACTGGGCTGCTGGGTGGGTGATGTCCCTATGCAGGGCCTAGGGAGGAAGGGATGGCCAGGAGCCTTGGCTGCGCTGAGCAGGGCTGTAACTCCTCCACAAACCCTGTGCACTCCCAGGATGCCAGTCCCCTGGACCAGGACCCAGCCCTCCTTGCCCCCAGCGCTTGGCAAAGGCTGCAACATCTATGGCCCCTTGAACCAGCCGTGACACACACCTGTGGGAATGGCGCTGGCGGCAGGTCGGGGACGGTGGATGTGGAGAAGTGGGTTCCAGTGGGCTGTGGATGCCTCTTGGGGTTGATGTCGCCTTCGTCCTTCTCTCTGTAGGAGAATTATAAGCTGCGGGATCAGAACGACGACTTGAATGGGCAGATTTTGAGCCTCAGCCTCTACGAAGCAAAAAACCTCTTTGCTGCCCAGACTAAAGCCCAGTCTCTGGCTGCGGAGATAGACACCGCCTCGCGCGATGAGGTAACCACACCACCGGCTCTTGCTTTGGGGCCTGGCCGCCCTCTGTGATTCCTTCTCCCGGCCCCCACCTGCCCAGAGTGAGAAAACCAGACCAGGGCCTGGCAGAGAGTCCCATCTACAGCTACCCCACATGACAGGGCAAGGCTGTGAGCAGGGGAGGGGGCTGCTGGAGAAGTTAAGTCAGCTCTGAGTTCCGCCTGTGCTGGAAGGAGTGCGGGTTTGGTTCAGAGTGGAGTGTGAGTCTTAGGTCGGCCAGAAAAATGCCAACATAGCCAGCTGAGTGGATCAAGCTGTGACTCTGGGTTAGGCTATCACTCCCGCTCTTCCCAGTCCAGAGAGGGAGGACATTAGCATTTCCCCAGCACCTGCTTCTGCGGTGTGTTTTCACTTAATCTCCTGATGACTCTGAGGCTTTAGGAACAGCTCCACATTCCAAGCTGGGAAGGTGGAACCCAGGACCACCCAGCTAGGGAGGGAGAGGGACCCAGCTCTCTCCAAAGCCAAAGCCTACCCTTCCTGCCACACCAGAGTATGCTTATGAAAGATCAGGCCTCCAAAATGCCCCGGCTGCATTGTAACATGAATTACAAGACACTCTGTCACTGAGCCTCACCCTCTGCCTGGGACACGGGGTGAAGAGCTGACCTCTGTCCTCAAGGAGCTCCCAGGTGAGCTGGGCCCCAACCCCTGGGCAGAGGCAGCATGTCAGCAATGTCCGAAAGAACACTGCCCTGGAGAAGAGCAGTGTGGGGCTGGGGGTGGGGAGAGGTGTTCCAGGCAGGAGACAGCTCCCCTTTGGAGTCTTAGCGGCCCTGGGACTTTGTCAGTCTTGATTTTAAATGACTTTGGCTAGTGTTTTCTACTTTTGCAAAAAATTACCCACACCTGGGCCCCCTCTACAAACTGATCACATTGGAATCTCTGGGGGTGGGGCCTGGGCACCTGCATAGGTAATACTAGGGGCTGAGCCACTTCGACTCTGGTCCTGGCATCCAAATGCTGAGGCTGTCCTGGGGCCCACCTTGCCCAGGATCTCCTGATGCCCTCTATTGTCAGGCACTGGCCTGCGACAAGCCTGGGAGTCTGGACTCTGCCTGCACCCTATCCCAGGCCCAGCCACTGACCCGTCTTTCCCATTTCCTTCAGCTAATGGAAGCCCTGAAGGAGCAGGAGGAGATCAACTTCCGGCTGAGGCAGTACATGGACAAGATTATCCTCGCCATCCTGGACCACAATCCCTCCATCCTCGAGATCAAACACTAAGGCACGGGGCTGGCTGCAGAGCAGCCTTAGGACCCTGGGACCAAGGGCAGACCCTGCCCAAGGATGCAGGCCTAAGCCGGGCCTCACACTCACACTGTAAATGTCTCTCTGGCCACCATGCGTTACGTGTACCCGTGTATATGTGGGGAGGCTGTGCACACGAGCGAGGGGTGAGTGGCCGTGGCTGTGGGCAGCATCCACACGGTTAGCCGTGCATGCACTTTGTGGCCCCTTTGCAAGGGGCAGAGGGTACTGGAAGTGGGAGGAGGCAAGGTCTGCTATCAGGAGTTACTGTAAAAACAAGAACTGGAAGCTCGTGTTTCCGGTACTGGGTAAAATGATTCTACCTCTGGGGATAAGGATTCACATTCGCTCTAGTACGATGGGCTCTTTCACCCCACTCCTAGTCCCCTTGGGAGTGGGAGCAAAATTGTGATCTTTCCTAGGAGTTTGAATGCCCCATATTTGTGTCCTCGCCAGCTCTTTGGCCACCTTTCAAGCCCCAGTGTTCAAGCTCAGAGAGGATGAAGGGGCATCTGGAGGGTCCATGAGATGGGGCCCTCACCAAATGCCTTGGCCACCGGCCAGCAGCCCTCTGTGATGTGTGTGCAGAGTGAACAGAGGACTCAGGTTTCATAGCAGCTAGTGCGGGGCATCCTCATCCTGTACCTATAGAGTTCGTGCACTCCCCCATCCATGCTACCTACCTCCCCGTTTCTGTTTCAGTTTTAAGACAATGAAGCAGCATTCACTGCGTCATTGTAACATGAAGGGATAAAAATGAAGGAGAAGGAGGGTTTGGGATGGGTGTCTAAGGCAGGAGTTGACATCGGGCAACCAAAGAAATGAGTTTTGGGGAGGAACACAACTCCCATCCCAGTCAGTTTCCTTCCCATGGCTGCATCTTAAGATGGATGCACGGAGAAACCGTCTGCCTGGCTCCCTGTCTTCATTCTCCACGCAGCCTGGTGATGGCAGGCCTGGGTTTGGATTTCAGAATCCTAGCTCCGGGCTCCACTCGTGTGGCAGCAAGACTGCTTCGTTCCAGCGTTTAGAAACACACCTGTATTTGATTCTCAGCCAGGGGAGCACTCGCTGCACTGGTGGGAGGCGGTTGGGAAAGTTGCAGGAAAACCTTAGTCTTCCATCCTTCTGACCCATGGTGGAAATTCACACCATGGATTTTTAATGGATCTTTGTTCTAGGCAGCTGGGAATAGACATGGTACTTACCTTAGAGTTTTCCAATTTATCTCAATTTTATATGGCTTGTGATTCATTTTCTTAATCCAAATATATATAAACGTGTGTGGTCTTATTCTTCCCCCTGCAGTTTCTTGCTTTCTTCAGCACATCTTATAGTATGAGAAGGAAGGTTTGGGCATGTTGGGAAGGGCGGTGGAGGGGGAGTTGCAGAAAGAGAGGGCAGTGAGGGTGAGGAGAGGGGATCTGGGGACTTGGGTGTGACACCTGCTTGACAGAGGCAGGGCTGTGGCCAGGACCAACCTTCAATTCCATTCCAATCAGCCTTTGCATTTGTTGGATCTCGTGGCTTCTTTTTAATCTTTTGTTGGGGATTAGTTTCATGCTGCACATAATGGGGTTGCACTGGTCTGACCCAGGACTTTGGAGCCACCCACACTGGGAAGACTAGGCTAGGCAGTCGGTCTTCTAGGAGTTTCTCAGCCCCTTAGGACGCGGGTCTCCTTGGGCTCCCCCAAGGGTTCTGCGAAGAGGCAGTGGAAGAAGGCATGAGGAGAGGGTCTCTTGAGAATTTGCCAATAGGAAGGAGTGGCCACGGCTGAAAGGAACAAGACAGATCCTGACATAGCTTTGGCCTGGGTGTTAGGTCAGAAGGAGTACTGGTGCGTGGGGGCCTTACCCCAGGGTTGAGTATTTTATCTGTAAAATGTTATCTGCCCTTTGGCTGCATTGGAATTTCAGAGAAGGCTGCAGAGGCCTGGGTTACACAGCCTGAGTCACAACGTGGGAAGGAATCTCTGCCACGGGAAAGGTGGGCGGAAGCAGCTGGCAGCCTGGGGCGTGCTTCAGGCTCCTCCCTCTAAGGGGCGCCATGGGAACAGGCTCCGGAGGGAGCCGGCGTCTGAAAGGCCCCCGGGACCTGCTGCAGTGCCAGAGGGGCCTCTGGAGCAGGCCTGGCTTTTAAATGGGGGGCTGAATTCCAGCTCACACACACCTCAAGTCCAACCTTACTTTCTTCAGCCAGAATACATTTCTTGTAAAACCTGGCTTGTTGCTTGGCTTTTAAAGATGGTGTATGTTTGTAAAAATATTCTTCTGGGCTCAAAAGCTAGCTTGAGGGGGCAGATGCCCCAGGTGTCCCAGCTCCACAGCCCCTGGCAGATCCCAGACCCCTTGGTGGCAGGTCCCAGAGCCTAGGTGGTAGGAGCTTGATCTTTGTTTCTGCCCTTACCCCTCAGTAGTGGGGCTGCGAGGTAGTAGACAGGATGCCCAGTTAAGTTTGAATTTCAGATAGAAAATAATTTTAGAATAAATATGTTCTATCTAATACATGGGACAGATGTTATTTTTAGAGATAGGATCTTGCTCTGTTGCCCAGGCTGGAGTGTAGTGGTATGATCATAGCTCACCACAACCTTGAACTCCCAGGCTCAAGCGATCCTCCCGCCTTAACTGCCTGAGTAGCTGGGACTACAGGCATGCACCACCACGCCCAGCTAATTTTTCTTATTTTTTGTAGAGACAGGGTCTCACTGTGTTGCCTCACTCGAGCTGCTGACCTCAAGTGATCCTCCCACCTCAGCCTGCCAAAGCACTGGGATTACAGGCATGAGCCACCATGCCTGGCCAGGACATATTTGAAATGGGGAGATTTTAAAAATTCTGATGATTAGACTGAATCCTCAGACGTTCTGGTTTGATTGTTGTGGGTGTAGCCCAGGCATGGGATTTTTTAAAGAGCTGCTCAGGTAATTCCAATTTAATTGCGTGTCCTACTTGGGTTTTTTGTTTGTTTTTATTGTTTTTGCTAAACCTGGCAACCCTACCGAGTAGGGATTAGCAGTAACTTATCTGAAATTTAGAGGTGTTTTGGGGGTGGGGCGAGGGTTTCTGTAGTAGACTCAGATTTTACATGGCCCTGAGCTGCCCTTGCGTTCAGTTGGAAGCCACGCAAAATGAACTGAACCAGGAGTGAGCTTCGTGTACATTATCTATTAGAAAATGAAGTACCTTCTGGTTCAGCTAGTCCCTGTGCGTTGAGAGGCTTTAAGAAACTTCTAGTAAAAATGTTTTTTTCTTTTAGCTTTGAATTGGCCAGAGTTTATCCTAGATTATTTTATTTTAAATTGGTAGAATTCTTTGCGAACTGTCACAGAGAAATTCCTTTTCATGACTTTATTTCTGACCTATTAAAACATGAACAGGCCAGGCATGGTGGCTCACGCCTGTAATCCTAGCACTTGGGAGGCAGTGGCAGGCGGATCACTTGAGCTCAGGAGTCCTAAACCAGCCTGGGCAACATAGTGATACCTTGTCTCTACCAAAAGTTAAAAAAAAAAAAAAAAAAGCTCAAGAACCTGCACGAGGGCCTAAAACAGTGGGCTCAGCTTTGGCTGTGCATTGGAATCACCTGGGGAGATTTGTAAGCTTCTGCTGTCTGGGCTGAACCCCCAGAGGTTCGGATTGAATTGGTGTGGGGTGTGGTCCAGGCATCGAGATGTGTAAAGACCTCCCCAGGTGATGATATGCAGTCCGAGGTTGAGACTGCCCTGTCCTGCAAGGTCGTTGGCCAGAGGTAGAGGAAACTGGTCAAAGTGGCTGTTGGGCTTGTCAAGCCCGTGGCTGAATGACAGTGAGCTCTCTTGCTGGGAGGGTTCCTTTTCCTGTTGTTGAATGGTCCTGGCCTGCAGGATGGGAGGCCAGATGCCTTCAGGAGCTGGTGGATCCAGCTGTTCTCACCAGCCTGGAGGTTAGCAGACCAGAGTGGGTGGGCAGGACCTTGGCCTGGTGCCCCTGGAATCAGTGGGTGGCATGTGTTGGGATATACTGGCTACAGGCTCATCTCAAAGAGCAGGTAGAACAGAGTCAGCAGGGAACTGACAGGTGGGGCTGTCCCCCTGAAAGCAGCCGCAGAAACAGCTGCCACCTATTTGCATAGCTGAGCAGGAGGACATACTGTCTTTGTGGGTTTTGCTTCTGGTCTGTTTCCTGACTGGGTTGATAAAGGGAGTCCCAGCTCGTTCCCTGTTAGCCAAACCAGCATCCTACTCACACACCGGACACTCCAGGTGCTAGTCCACTGGTGCTGGTGTTCAGGGGAGTTGGGGGGGGGGGGCGCGGGGACAGAAGCGCGGGTTCTTGGTTCCAATGAGGGACTTAGCAGAAGCCTCCAGGGGCCAGCAGGGCCAGGTGAAACTGGGAGAAATGAAGCCCTCTGTGTCCTGTGTGTGTGGTGGGGTTTAATGCATTAGCAAATTTAAACTTAAAAACTAACTCTAGGCCGGGCACGGTGGCTCACACCTGTAATCCCAGCACTTTGGGAGGCCAAGGCAGGTGGATTGCCTGAGCTCAGGAGTTCGAGACCAGCCTGGACAACATGGTGAAACTCTTGTCTTTATTTTTTTAAAAAAACAAAAAGTAACTTTCGATGTGATCATACCAGGAAAGTTTTGCGTGGTCACCATGCCAAGAAAATGACTTTGGTTGCCCAGCAGATCCACAGCGACTCTTTCTCAAGGGCTACTGTGGATTCTAGATTGAGGAAAGGGGCCACTTAGGACTCAGTGCTGGTATCCTCCACAGTCCTTTCTCCCAGACTCTGGCCCTCCCTTTGGGACCCAGGAAATCCCCTCTAGGGTGACGCTGCTGGCTAGGAAGACTGAGGTCTGCTGCGCCAAGGGGCCTCAAGTTAGAAGGGCCATGCCGTCAGTGGATGACTTTGAGCGCTGATCCTAGGGACCTGCCAGGTCCTCACTTCCTGCCCTGGGTGCACACATGAATGGGGCAGCCAGCAGGAAGCGGGAGAGGCTGGAACCAGGAGCCTGCCCTACCTGCATGGCAGGACAACTCTGAGGCCCTTCTGCCATATTCTCTGCTACCCACCAGAGAAAATAGGCTGCCTTCTAGAAAGATTTGTTTCTAAAAGCGTAGACCCTGGGGAAGTATAATGTCACCATGCTCACCAGGCGAGGTTTCCCATATGACCTCCCTGCCCCGACCTCGTAGGTTGCTCCTTTCCCCATCTGTAAGGTAGAGATGTCTGCCCCGGAGCTACCAGCTGGGGATGGCATCCAGGCCATGTCTCCTGCAGGATCCAAGTGCTGTTGTCCCCAGGGTGACCCTGCCTCCTGCTGGGGCCCATCCGCTTTGCTGTGCTGCACAGGCTGTTTTCATCTGCATGGTTTGGGGTCTTTGTCCTTGTGCCTTTTCTTCCCCATCGCCACTGTACAGGATTTTCCACATTGCCCACTGCCTCCTTTTCTACATCGTCTCATCTCCCTGGCCTTTCCCGAGCCCTGTAAATGTGTACTTTTTCAACGTGCCTCCCCCAGGTGAGGCCAGCTCTCCCGGGCACATTCGTCCACAAGGATCAGGCCCCACTTACCCTTGGCTCGCTCAGCCTGTAGACTTGGTAACTTTGTACAGAATCTTTCATTATTGTCTTAAGCATGGGGGGCTAGGACCCACTTAGTCCCTCCTCCAGCCTGCAGCTAATTTAGGAGCCTTGCATTCCAGAAAAGGGCAACTTTGTGTAAAGCAGCTTCTCCCACAGAGCTTTCCCTGCATTGTTAGTGATGTCGGGCAAAGCATCACTCTTTAACCTGGGGCATTGGCCCCAGCAGGGATATCATGGGACCGCAGCCGCTCCGTGCACTGTCTCTGCCCCCAGAGGAAGCCCTGTCCATGGTTCCTGGTGCACGGCCACAGGCCTGCCTTGAGGCCACCACATCTGGTGTCTAGAACAGCTGCGGGCCCCACTTGGGCAGAAGGAAGAGGTGCTAGCTGCTGCCCCTGCCTGCTGTGAACACCTGCCCAGCCCTTCCTTGTCTGCTGAGGTGCTCAGACCAGAGTGCCATTAAATACCAACTGATGTCACGGAGCGGACGGTGCATTGCCAAGGACTCACAGCTGTGGGCTCCCTTCCAGCTCCTCCCACTTTCTTGGCTGGGTCTTCTGAGGCCTACGTGGAATGAACTACACATGTGGCCTCATGCCCAAGGGTTTGTTAGATGGCCTCTGACTCTGTGGGATTCAACTTGACTTTTTTGCCCCAGGAGGCTCTGTCTGGAAACAGGCTTAGCTTTAGTGCTGGGGTGGGACCTGCCCTGTGGGCCCCAGGGAGGGGACAGTGGGGGTGAGGCCCTGAGGCTGTCCAGGGTCTGAGCTCTTTGCCTCCAACCTGCTTCTGCCCCAAAAGGAACAGGCTGTTGGTGGCAGGCTCCTCCCGGGGAGCTGTACTGTACAGACCAAGGTGTAAATAAACAGTTTGCTCTTCTCGCCTGACTGAACCATGAGTTTCTGTGGTTGGGGGAGGGTGGGCAGAAGAGGCCTGGTTCCAGGGCTCACAGGGACAGATGGTCTCCCTTAAAAAGAGCAACCCCCCTGCCCCCCACCAAGTTTGTGGTTCCCAGGGTGGCTGGTGCTGTCCCCCAGGGGCAGGGTGGAGTGGGGCGGTGTCACTCTTCAGTCCCTAGGGGAGAAGACGTGGATCCCAGAAGCCTCTTTAATGCCACCATTCCAGCCACAGGGCTATGATGTTTGGAAACTTTGTCCTTTGTGTGGCTATGTTCTTTCCCACTGAGGTCTTCCTAGGGGTCCAGTGGGGTCCCAGTGCCATGCTCCCTCCATGTCCGCCGCTGTGGCTCCCCAGGGTGACGGCCCAATGCCTCCATTCAGGACTGGCTTCAGACCTGCCAGTGCTTGTCTCTGCCACACCATCAAGTACCAAGGTGGTCCCCAGTTGAGTCAACCAGACCCCTGGATTTCTGCCTTCTGTCTGCTCCTTCCTCTATTACAGGATTCCAGGCATGGAAGTGGCTTCACAGGTGGCCCCGGCCCTCCACCTCCCAGTGCAGGCCCTGGTGCCATGAGTCCTCCAGGGAGGGCAGACAGTTCCTCACTCACTGGACTTAGCCTCCTGGCTCAGGAGACGTCACCTCCAAATCCTGGGAGTGCTGTGTCCTCTTGGATCTTTATTGCCTCTTTCCTCTTTTTTTTTTTTTTTTTTAAAGATGGAGTCTTGCTCTACTGCCCAGGCTGGAGTGCAGTCGCACAATCTCGGTTCACTGCAACCTCCCCCTCCTGGGTTCAAGCAATTCTCCTGTCTCAGCCTCCCAAGTAGCTGGGATTACAGGCACCCAACACCACACCTGGCTATTTTTTGTATTTTTAGTAGAGACGGGGTTTCACCATGTTGGCCAGGCTGGTCTTGAACTCTTGAGCTCAAGTGATCCACCCACCTTGGACTCCCAAAGTGCTGGGATTATAGGCGTGAGCCACCGCACCTGGCCAGTTCCCTCCTTCCTCCTAATATTCCTTCTTTCCTTCCCAACTTAGGCTGCCAGATTTGGCTAGTAAGAATACAGGATGCCCAGTAAAACTTGAGTTTCAGATAAGTAGTCCAACGAGCCTCATCTTTACTTGATTACAAATAGGGTCTTTACATTGCGAAGACCCTGTTTCCAAAGTAAGCTTGCATAGGTATCAGGGCTTAGGACTTCAACATATCTTTTGGGAGGACACAATTCAACTCATAACACCTATTGAAGGAGGTCCTTGGAATTGCCTCAGTTTACCATCCTGGAGAGAGGTGGGAGCGAGCACTGCTGTGTGTACAGGCTGTACCCTCTCCTCTGCACAGGTGTGTTCCCCATTCACCCATTTTGCAGAACATTTCCTTACAGTCCTATTAAAAATGATGTCATCCCTGTGCCCCCTTGAGGCCACAGCACCTGCTAAAGGTGTTTCATTGTTGGATTCCATTGACTCACCAGGCCCTCAGTTAGAGGGCCCTTTAGGGTCATCGGCTGGGCCCAGGCCAAAGCAGATGAATGGGTGGATAATATCTGAGCACAGAAATCACTCAACCCGCCAGCATCATCTACCGAGCACCACTGTGTGTGCCAGGCACTGGGAATTGGTACAGGCAAGGCCTCTGCCCCGTGAAGTCCCCACGCTCCTGGGGGAGGGGAGAGACATAATTCATTTCCAGGGTGATGAGCACTACCAAGAGGAAGATATGGGGGGCTTCAGGAGCTGGGGGCAAGTGGATTGAGCCCACTCAGGCATCAGGTATGGCTTCTCTCAAGGAAGGAGCCTTTCAACAGAGCTCTGTAGGATCTAAGGGAACTCAGACTGTAGGATCTAAGGGAACTGCCATGGGGAGGAGACTTGGAGAAACAGCCCTTTCAGGGTACTAGAGAGGGGGATAGTGGAGGGCTGCAGCCTAGCCAGGTGGTGTAGAGTCTAGGGGGCCAAGGGTGGATCTATCACATTCACTCACTAAGCAGATGCTTTACCAGCACCTAACAGATGCGGGGTGCAGGGGAGGTGCTGGGCTCGTGGCACAGGGAGCCTCTAGAATGTACAAGAGAGGTTCTTAAAACCATCCCACCCCAGCAATTCTGATTCCATTGGTGGGGAGTGGGGCTTGGACACTGGGATGTTTTTTAAAGCTCCCAGGTGATTCCAAGGTGTAGCCAATGGTGAGAATCATGGGGTATAAAAAGGGCACTTAGACTCACCTGAGGAGGCTTCAACTGAGACTTGGAGGAGGAGAGGCTGGCCAGGTAAGGGAGATGGGAGGGCAGGGCGGAAGCAGGAGAGGGAACAGCAGGTGTGGAGGCCTTGCCATGGGGAGGAACTACGAACCAGCTAGCTCAATGGTAAGCGGGACTGTGGGGACTACGCCAAAGCATTTTAAGCTGGGGGTGGCCTGGTCAGGTCAGTTTCAGAGTTGGGTGGTGAGAGGTGAGGGCAGCCTGGACTGGGGTGTGTCTTAGCTGGGACTGACCTGACAGAACACAACAGGCTGGGAGGCTTACACAGACACTTATTTTCTCGCAGTTCTTGGGGCTGGAGGTCCAATCTTGAGGTGCCAGTGGGGCTGAGTTCTGGTGAGGCCTCTCTCCTTGGCCTGCAGACAGCTGCCTTCTCACTGTGTGCTCACAAAGAGCTCATTCTCTACTGTCTCTTTGTTGTCTTAGAAGGACACCAGACCTGTTGGATTAGGGCTTCACCCATATGACCTCATTTAACCTTATTTACCTCCTCAAAAGCCTCATCTCCAAATACAGTCACACTGGGGTTAGGGTGGTGGGTGGTTGCTCGGGTGAGGGAGTCGGACTTCTCACAGCCTTGCTGGGAGGGTCTACGTCAGCTAGGCCATTTCTCCAGAAAATGATCAAGCTACTCCCCAGGGCGGAAAGCCCCTCATTCTTAGAACCAGGCTTCAGGCCCAGGTCCCTTGGGAGCAGCAGGCGGCAGCACCACTAACCACTGGGTCCAGAGACCCATCAGGTCAGCAGCCGGGGTGCTCTGAGAGGGTGGGACCAGTTCCTCTCTTTTGGTTAGTCCAGCTGGTTGTCCACTCTCTCGAGCCCTGGGGAAGAGGATTTGGCCTAATTCCTCCCTCTACCACCCTCCCCTCCCAAATCCCTGAGGCTAACCCAGTGCTTGGCCCACAGAAGGCACCAATGAGGTGGTTATTAGATTGCTTGCACTTGTTTAGGGCTTACTCTAGACCAGGCAGTGTTCCAAGTGCTTTGCATGTCCTGGGTTATCTGTCCCTCACAACTCCCTATGAGGTGGGTAGTATTACAGATGAGGAAACTGAGCCACCACAGGTGAACTCACTGGCCACATGTCACCTGGGATTCAAGCCCAGGCAGCAGGGATTCACCTGGGATTCAAGCTCGGATGGGGCGGGGTCACTGCAGGCTGGGAAGGCAGACAGAACAGTCAGGACACATGCTGAGCCCTGGAGCCTGGGTCCCCTCTCCAGGAACGAGGGGTTGTGACATGAGCACAACTGGAGCAGAGCCAGGAGGTAGGGCCTGCAGCTCTGCTCACAGCCATGCGGGGCAGAAGAGAGGACCAAGAAGGGTGGCAGCTCCACTGTGGCTCAGCCTGGCTGGCTGGACTGTGCCTTAAAGTGGGCTGAGGGGGTCAACCCTGCACCAAGTCCACTGGGAGCGGTTGGGGGCTCCAGGGCCCAGGACCTCTGTAGCCAGCTTGAAGCCAGACCTCCCTGGAACTAACGAGGTGACTGGGATTAGGGCTGCAGGAAGTTCCCCTCACTCTCCTGCCACCCCTGGTTCAGGTCTGGCTCTCACTTCAAACTCCAAGCTCTGACTTTGGTATCAGGCTTTGTCTTAGGCTCCATACTGGTGTGGCCTTTGGGTTTAAAAAGGAGCTAGAGTTTCTGAAAGGCCCAAACCCAGGGTGCAGAGGTGCTGAATTATGAGCCTACTTCCTACAGCCTGCTTGACAGCACCAAGCCCACGGGAGCTTGTGGACTCTCGGCCCTTGCTTTCTAGCCCAGCTGGCCCCTCCAGGGAGAAATACCTTTTCCAGCTCTGCCACCACTTGGCCATGGTTTCAGGGTTGGCTTTCCCAGCTTACCCAGGTCAGCAGGCAGCCCCTGACCAAAAGGTGGACTTTGCCAAGCTCTGGCAGAGCCTGGGCCAGACCCTCAGACCTTGGTTCTGCAGTTGGGGGGCTATGAGCGTGGGCTCTGAAGGCCATCAGGGCTGGAAGGAACGTGGGAGAGTATCTGCTCCAAATACTCCCACTAGTGAGCCCTCAAGATGAGACCATTTTTTGAGGTGGGGCAGAGACAAAGGAGACCCACTTTGTATCTCTTTACATCTTTGTAAAGATTGAACCCAGCCCCAGGACTGAGTTCAATTTGTGTCTACTCTCAAAGTCACAGAGCCAGTGAATGACAGGTGTGATACAGTCTCCAAAGACAAGTACCATGGATTTATTCCCTCCCTGGGTGCAGGCCACTATTCCACTGAGAGGTGAAGTTTATTCTTCACCTCTTTGAATCTGGGCTAATTCTGTGACTGCTTTGATGAATAGATGCAAAAATGCATCACTTGAGGCAGAAGTGACATTCTGGGACTTTTTTTTTTTAGACGAAGTTTTGCTCTTCTTGTCCAGGATGGAGTGCAATGGCGTGATCTCGGCTCACTGGGTTCAGGCAATTCTCCTGCCTCAGCCTCCTGAGTAGCTGGGATTACAGGCATCCACCACCATGCCCGGCTAATTTTTTGTGTTTTTAATAGAGACAGAGTTTCTCCATGTTGGCCAGGCTAGTCTCAAACTTCTGACCTCAGGTGATCCACCTGCCTCAGCCTCCCAAAGTGCTGGGATTACAGGTGAGAGCCACTGCGCCCGGCCCATTCTGGGACTTCTGAGCTCTAACCTTAAGAAGATCAGCAGCTTCTGCGTCCTTCCTCTTAAAATGCACCTTCTTGGAAAACCCAGCTGTGAGGAATCTCAAACAGCCACGTGGAGAACTGAGGCCCCAGCCAAGACTAGCAGGAGAGTGAGGCCATCCCAAATCCCCAGCAACCACCAGATGAAGCAGAACTGCCTGGTCAACCCACAGAGCCATGGAAAACAATAAAGTTGTTATTTTAAGATCTAAATGTTGGGGTAGTTGATTAGACACAGCAGTAGGTACCTGAAACACCAGGGCCTCCAGTTTCCTCTCCACCAGGCTTCCTCTCAGAAGATCCCCCATCCCAGAAGGAATCCAGCCTGGTTGACAGAGCCCAGACCCTGTCTCTAAATAAATGAATAAAGCCAGGCGTGGTGGCTCATGCCTGTAATCCCAGCACTTTGGGAGGCTGAGGCGGGCGGATCACGAGGTCAGGAGATTGAGACCAGCCTGGCCAACATGGTGAAACTCCATCTCTATGAAAAATACAAAAATTAGCTGGGTATGGTGGTGGGCACCTGTAGTCCCAGCTTTTCGGGAGGCTGAGGCAGGAGAATCGCTCGAACCTGGGAGGCGGAGGTTGCAGTGAGCCAAGATCGTGCCACTGCACTCCAGCCTGGCGACAGAGTGAGAATCAGTCTCAAAAAATAAATAAGAAATAAATGAATAAATAAGTGGCCACATATTCTCCAAAAAGTCTCAAGTTGCATTGACTTTCCCTCCTATTAACAGCACCTTAATTTAGACCTTTTCTGGTGGCTGTGAAATTTGATCAAAGGGAAAAGTGTCAGGTGTTACTGTACCAAAGGCAGAAGGGTCAAGCTGGCATTTCATTCCGCTGTTCACTTTAGCAGTGGATAATGAATCTTGCTCAATGTATAATTAACACAGGGCTGTAGCTAATGGCTAACTCTCCCATTTTGTAGATGAGGAAACAGACTAAATGGAGGCTGAAGGGACACTGTACATGGCCTCTGCCAAAGTTACCCTGCATCACTAACTTTTGCCTACTCCATACAAATAACCAGCAGCCCACAAACCTAGAATGGAAAGGTGTGTAAGCTGTATATGGCCTCCTGTATCAATGAACTATTGCTTCTATGTAACAAACCACCCTCAAATCCTAAGGCATACAATGATTTATTACCTTCCTGATTCTGTGGTAGGCTGGCAGTTCCTCTGCTGGGTGTGCCTGGGCTCGATCTTGCAGCTGCATCCAGCTGAGGCATCAGCTGAGCTGGAAGGTCCCAGATGGCTACCTGACATGTCTGGCAGACGGTGCTGGCTGTTAGCTGGAATGACCCTCGGGGCCTCTCAACCTTCAGTAGCTAGACTGCCTTTCTTCCACAGCATTCTCAGGGCAATTTCCTAAGACAGTGGAGGCAGAAGCTGCCTCTCTTGGGGCCTTAAGCTTCAGAACTTACATAACATCACTTTTGCCACATTGTTTTAGTCAAAGCAAGCCCCATGGCCAGCCTGTACCAAAAAGTGGGAGAAGAGACTCCACCTCTAGGTGGGAAAAGCTGCAAAGAATTTGTGACTGCATTTAAGCTATCCCACTTATTTATGAGACGGAGTCTGGCTCTGTTGCCCAGGCTGCAGTGCAATGGTGTGATCTCAGCTCACTGCAACCTTCACCTCCCAGGTTCAAGCGATTCTCCTGCCTCAGCCTCCAGAGCAGCTGGAATTACAGGAACCCACAACCACGCCCAGCTAATTTTTTGTATTTTTACTAGAGATGGGGTTTCACCATGTTGGCCAGGCTGGTCTTGAACCCCTGACCTCAGGTGATACACCCGCCTGGGCCTCCCAAAGTGCTGGGATTACAGATGTGAGCACCGCACCAGGCAACCACCTATTTAAAACTGCAACCCGGGCCGGGCACGGTGGCTCATGCCTATAATCCCAGCACTTTGGGAGGCCGAGGCGGGCGGATCATGAGGTCAGGAGATCGAGACCATCCTGGCTAACACGGTGAAACCCCGTCTCTACTAAAACTACAAAAAATTAGCTGGGCGCGGTGGCGGGGGCCTGTAGTCCCAGCTACTCAGGAGGCTGAGGCAAGAGAACGGCGTGAACCCGGGAGGTGGAGCTTGCAGTGAGCTGAGATAGCGCCACTGCACTCCAGCCTGGGCGATAGAGCGAGACTCTGTCTCAAAAAAAGAAAAAAAGAAAAAAAAACAACAACAAAAAAACTGCAACCTGGCCAGGCGCGGTGGCTCACGCCTGTAATCCTAGCACTTTGGGAGGCCAAGGTGGGCAGATCATGAGGTCAGGAGATCGAGACCATCCTGGCCAACATGGTGAAACCCCGTCTCTACTAAAAAAAAAAAAAATACAAAAATTACCTGGGTGTGGTGGTGCGCGCCTGTAATCCCAGCTACTTGGGAGGCTGAGGCAGGAGAATCGCTTGAACCCAGGAGGTGGAGGTTGTAGTGAATTGAGATAGCGGCACTCTGCTCCAGCCTGGCGACAGAGCAAGACTCCATTTCAAAAAAAAAGCTGCAACTCTCCCCCTCCTGAAGAACATCCTAGCCTCCTTCCCTGCTGTATTTTTCTCCCTAGTACTTCTCACCAACTGATAGACTGTATGTTTTGCTTATTTAAGAATGGAAGCCCCATAAGGGCAGAGATCTGTGCTGCTTAGTTCACCGCTATAGCCCTAGCATTGAGAACAGTATTTGGCACACAGTAGATGCTCAATGATTTGCTGAAGGAATAAATGACTAGGTGCTCTTATGACCACGCTGTATGAAGGTGAGTAAGGCTTGATTCCTGCCCACTTGGAGCTCTGTGTTCCAGAACCAGCTCCTAGGCCTACCCAGCTGAGAAGTGGACCTGGGTGAACCCACAGTGACCCCACCAAAGGGCAACTACAATGTGGCCCAGGGTTGATAATGATTCATAGCAGGGGGTCAGAGAGGAAAGAATTCAAAAATTATTTTTCTTGTTATTTATTTATTTATTTTTTAAATGGAGTCTTGCTCTGTTGCCCAGGCTGGAGTGCAGTGGCACAATCTCGGCTCATTGCAACCTCTGCCTCCTGGGTTGAAGCAATTCTCCTGCCTCAGCCTCCCAAGTGGCTGGGACTACAGGTGCACACCACCACACCTGGCTAATTTTTGTAGTTTTAGTAGAGACAGGGTTTCACCATGTTGGTCAGGCTGGTCTTGAACTCCTGACCTTATGCGTGTCAGTCACAGAGACCAGCCCCGTTTTTGTAAAAGAGACTTTTTTTTTTGAGATGGAGTCTCACTCTGTTGTCCAGGCCAGGGTGCAATGGCATGATCTCGGCTCACTGCAACCTCTGCCTCCCAGGTTCAAGCAATTCTCCTGTCTCAGCCTCCTGAGTAGCTGGGATTACAGGTGCATGCCACCACACCCAGCTAATTTTTTGTATTGTAGTAGAGATGGAGTTTCACCATGTTGCCTAGGCTGGTCTCGAACTCCTGAACTTGGGTGACCCACCCGCCTTGGCCTCCCAAAGTGCCAGGATTACAGGCATGAGCCACTGCAACCGGCCTTGTAAAACAGACTTCTAAAGAGCAGTTTTAGGTTCACAGCAAAACTAAGCAGAAAGCAGAGTTCCCTATATACCCATGGCCGCCGTATCTCCCTAGTCTCCCCTGCCATCAACATCCTCCACTAGAGTGGTACATCTGTTACAACTGATGACCCTGCATTGACACATCATCATCCAAAGTACATAGTTTACACCAGGGTTCACTCTTGGTGTTGAACGTTCTATGGGATTTTTTTTTCTTTATTTTTCCCAGCCCAGAACCCCTCTATGGGTTTTGACAAATATATAATGATATGTATCCACCATTATATCATGCAGAATAGTTTTGCTGCCCTAAAAACTCTCTGTGCCCTATCTACTCATCCTTCCCACCCCTCAACCCCTGGCAACCATTGATATTTTTACTGTTTCCACAGTTTTGCCTTTTTTAGAATGTCATATAATACAGTATGTAGCCTTTTCAGTTTAGCTTGTCTCAGTCCGTTTTGTGCTGCTAAGACAGAATACCATAGACTAGGTAATTTATAATGCACAGAAATTTATTGGCTCGTGGGACTGAAGGCTGGGAAGCCCAAGATCGAGGAGCTGGCATTTGGTGAGGACCTTCTTGCTTCATCAACCCAGAGGCCGGGCAAAGAGAGGGTGGGAAGGCAAACTTCTTTTATAAGAAAACTACTTGCTCTATAATGAACCCACTCCTTTGAGAATGGCATTAATGCATTTATGAGGGTAGTGGCCCCATGACCCAAACACTTCCCACTAGGTCCCATCTCCAAGACCACCACATTGGGGATCAAGTTTCTAACACATGAACTTTAGGGGACACATTCAAACCATAGCAGTAGTATGCATTTTCACTTAGTAATATACATTGAAGATTCTTCTGTGTTTTTTTCATGACTTGGTAGTTCATTTCTTCCTTTTCACAGACTTAATTTTTCAGAGCAGTTTTAGATTCACGCAAAACTGAGCACAAAGTACAGAGAGCTCCCACATACTCTCTGCCCTCCCAACTGCACAGCTTCCCCTGAACAAGAGTTGTGCACTTGTTATAACTGATGAAAAGGTCCACTTTATTTTTTCTTGTGCTGTGTTGTCCAGGCTAGGGTACAGTAGCACAATCATAGCTCACTGCAACCTTGAACTCCTGAGCTCAAGTGATCCTCCTGCCTCAGCCTACCAAGTAACTAGGACTATAGGTGCTATCATGCCTGCCTTGTTTTAGTTTACTTTTTGTAGAGATGAGGTCTCACAATATCGCCCAGACTAGTTTCTAACTATTGGCCTCAAGTGATCCTCCCACCTTGGCCTCCCAAGGGAAGCCTGGGATTACAGGCATGAGCAACCATACCCAGCCTTTTGCCCATTTTTAAGTGAGTTGTTTGTTGTTGTCGAGTGGTAGGAGTCTAAATTTTATTTTGGATAGCAATTCCTTATTAGATATCTGATTTGCAATATTTTCTCCCATTCCACAGATTGCCTTTCATTCTGTTGTTTCCTTTGCTGTGCAGTTTTTATAAAGTCTGACTTGGTCCTATTTGTCTATTCTTGCTTTTGGGGTCATATCTAAAAAAATCATTGCCACATCTAATGTTGTAGACCTTTCCCCCTGTTTTCTTTCAGGATTTTTATAGTTACAGGTCTTATGTTTATGTCCTGAATCCATTTTGAGGTAATTTTTGTATATGGTGCTAGGTTAGGGTCCAACTTCATTCTTTTGCATGTGGATATGCGGTTTTTCCAGCATCATTAGTTGAGTCCAGAGATCCGCCTGCTTCGGCCTCCCAAAGTGCTGGAATTACAGGCGTGAGCCACCGCGCCTGGCCGAGTCCAGAGAGTTTTTAAAAGCATAGAGAGGAGGCCAGACACGGTGGCTCATGCCTGTAATCCCAGCACTTTAGGAGGCTGAGGCGGGTGGATCACCTGAGGTAAGGAGTTTGAGATCAGCCTGGTCAACATGATGAAACCCTATCTCTACTAAAAATACAAAAAATTAGCCGGGAGTGGTGGCAGGTGCCTGTAATCCCAGCTACTTGGGAGGCTGAGGCAGGAGAATTGCTTGGATCCGGGAGGTGGAGGTTGGAGTGAGCCGAGATCGTGCCATTGCACTCCAGCCTGGGCAGAGCAAGACTCTGTCTCCAGAAAAAAAAATCTGCACACAAATAAGGCTTAATTTGGCAGTGGTGGTGGCAGGGTGGCTGTCCCCAGCGAGCATGAGCCCTGCCCTGAGATAAGGGCTTCTCTTCCCCCACCCATGCAGACTCACCTCTCTCCTGGAACAGATGCTGTGGCCACAGGCCAAACAAGA
Source organism: Homo sapiens (assembly GCF_000001405.40). NCBI lineage: Eukaryota > Metazoa > Chordata > Mammalia > Primates > Hominidae > Homo > Homo sapiens. The sequence continues at coordinate 31,548,994 of NC_000017.11, forward strand.
ACAGGGGGACCTAATTCCCCCCTTTATTTAATTTAAAGAAAATAAAAGATTTACCAAAAAAGTATACAGTATCCTAATAGGCACTCGTGTTCCCACCTCTGCCTCTTCCATAGACTAGAAACAAAACAATGCCAATTAAGTTAAAGTCCCCTTTGTCCCCCATCCCCAGTCCCAGGCTCCCTCTCTGTTTTTCCAGTAAATTTTCACGTGTGTTTCTGGGCTCTGCCTAAGCTGACAATCAGTCCTTTGAATCCGCATGGTTCCTTTTCATCGTGACCTACTGTTCCGCGGTATGAGAGACCACATGATTCTGCCATTCGGGTCGCCATGTCATCCCTGGGGGCCTCTCCTAGCGTGCCCACCTCGGCTCCTCCGGGGCAAGGTCATCCAGGCTACACAGATGCTCAGGGTCCTCCTTGCCAGGGGCTGCAAGGGGAGCGAGCTGAACCCGAGGAAGGTCGTGCTTCGTGCAGGGCCAGCGAGGGAAGGTCACCTCCCGGCGCCCCGAGCCTGGCCCCATGCCCCAGGCTCCCCGCGTCTTCCTCGGAGCGCTGGCCCCGTCCCAGTCCCCGCCCCCGGCCGCGCCGCCCTTCTTGGCTTGCGCCCTGGTCCCCACCAACCCCGCCCGAGCCCCCACGGACCCTGCCCGGCCCGACGGAAATGACCCGGCCAGGGTCACACACGGCCCCTGCCCGCTCCGCTGCGGCCATCTCCGCTTCCGCTTCCGCTTCCGCCGAGGCTTCTTTCCGACTCAGGCACGGCTCTGTGCCGTAGCTTTCGACCCCACCGCCAGGCCGCTGCCCGCTCTAGGCGTGGGCTGGGTCTCGGGGCATCGCTCGCGGCGGGCGCGGGGCGAGAGAGGAGGGAGGAGGGCCGGGCTTCTCAAGACGCCGGTTCGGGTCCCGCAGGCGGCGGGCGCGGGACCTGCCCCTGACCGGGCGGGAGCGGTGCTCGCAGAGTCAAGCCCGGGCTTGCGGGTGGGGCTTGCGGGGGCGGGACCGGGGGCGGGGCCGAGGCCGCAGCTCCCAGCCGGTACCACCTCCCCTCCACTGAGAGATTCCACCGGTCCCTGGGCTGTCAGGCGCGGTGGCCAAGTGGTAAGGCGTCGGTCTCGTAAACCGAAGATCGCGGGTTCGAACCCCGTCCGTGCCTGAGACCCGAGGTAGGGCTTTGGCTGTGGGGAAGTCGGGTTTTCTCCACGTACGCCGTCCCTTCTACGTGGCATTTTTTCCATTTTCGGATTCTGCTCAGTCGCCCTCCAGTTCGTCTCCTGCCCCGGGCTCCGCGGTCGGCGGGGGCCGGTGCACCTGGGCTTCGAGACTCCAGGGTCCACCTTACAGGTGAGCTCGGCCCCCGCCGCGCCGCGTGCGCCCTCGCCGCCGGTCCCCGCGTCTCCTTTCCCCCAGCCGCATTTCGCAGAGCCGGAGTCGTCTTCACTGCTTCGCCAATGGGGACACTAAGGTCCAGGTGGCCCGCGGGGACTCGGGTCCCGCCCGATTTGCGAGTGTTATGGCGGGGCAACTTTCCAGAGAGGGTGCCTGAGTTTCCCGAACGGTGGTTTCTGGATTGTTCTTTGGAAGGTGAATTATGCAGGCCATGCGCACTGCCTGTCTTCCTGTCTACAAAGCAAACCAGATTGTTCAACTGGTGGGTGCTTCTTTTCCAGTCCTGGTGAACTGATCCTTTGAATCTGCCCCCAGCCAGTTATGACACTCCCCACATCATCTCTAGGATAAACAGTCTGATTTAACATATTAATAACATGACATTGAGCGCCTCCTCCCATTCCTGGACCCTCTTTTTGATACACTGCTCTGTCTGTCCTCCTCTTCAATTGTAACACTCCCTACCGAACATACTACTCCAGACAGAGTCTTATGAATGGAACTTCACCTCCCTCATTCTATACCCCATACTTCTGTTAATGTAGCCCTGAAAAACCACATTACTTTCTCTGAGGCCTGTTGCACAGATGACCATGAGGAGCTTTAGGTGGACTGAATGTCAGAAGAGTCTCAGGTTATCAGAAGAGAAGGTATAGGGCCCAGGCAGCAGAGAAATATTGACCTTTTCTCTAAGATCCCAATAAATGGAAGAGACGCTCTTGGCTTTTGAAGGTAATGCCGAGCTAGGGTGTCAGTGTCATCATGAAAGTGTTATTAAATACAAATTGAGGCCTTTTTTGACAAGCGCCTCAGCCTAAACAGAGTCCAGATATTCAGGCATAGAAATAGGAAGGTGAAAAGTCCTGCTCTACTGGATATTGCCTTGAATCCTGTCCCTTCAAATTCCTGATGAGAAGGAGCTTCAAGACTGAACATTGTGTTTTCCGTTTTTTTTTTTTTTTTTTTTTTTTTTGAGACGGAGTCTCGCTCTGTGGCCCAGGCTGGAGTGCAGTGGCGCGATCTCGGCTCACTGCAAGCTCCGCCTCCTGGGTTCACGCCATTCTCCTGCCTCAGCCTCCCGAGTAGCTGGGACTACAGGCGCCCGCCACCATGCCCGGCTAACTTTTTTTGTATTTTTTAGTGGAGACGGGGTTTCACCGTGTTAGCCAGGATGGTCTCCATCTCCTAACCTCGTGATCCACCCACCTCGGCCTCCCAAAGTGCTGGGATTACAGGCATGAGCCACCGTGCCCGGCCAAACATTGGGTTTTCTGAAGGAGCTGGAGCAGAGAATTCCACCCCAGCGGAGGGCAGAGGGACAAGCCAAGCCGAAGTCAATATAAGAGAAATGCAAGGGGCCGGGTGCAGTGGCTCACACCTGTAATCCTAGCACTTTGGGAGGCCAAGGTGGATGGATCACTTGAGGTCAGGTGTTTGAGACCAGCCTGGGCAACACAGCAAAATCCCATCTCTATAAAAAATACAAAAACTGCCAGCCGCAGTGGCTCACGCCTGTAATCCCAGCACTTCGGGAGGCTGAGGCAGGCAGATCACTTGAGGTCAGGAGTTTGAGACCAGCCTGGCCAACATGGCGAAACCCTGTCTCTATTTAAAATACAAAAAAATTAGCGGGCATGGTGGCACATGCCTGTAGTCCCAACTGCTCTGGAGGCTGAGGTGGGAGAATCGCTTGAGCCCAGAGGGTCGAGTTTGCAGTAAGCTGAGATGGTGCCACTGCACTCCAGCCTGAGAGACAATGAGAAACTGTCTCAAAAAAAAGTGCAAGGTACAGAAGAGGTCAGTGTAAAGATTTTGGGGAAACATGGGCTTCCAAAAGTGAAGGACCAGAGGCAGGGGTCAAGTATGGATTCCAGGTCAAGTTTTGTGAGAGGAACTAGAAGTGAAGGCAAGTCAGATACAAGCACCAGGGTGAGCCTGGGGAACAGAAATCTTGTAATTACCTTGAAGGCCAGCAGGTATCTACATGCACCCCTGTGGAGCCAGGGGTAGGTCATTGGCTTAAAGAATAAGGACAGAATTGAAGGCAGGGGCAGAAAGGGACACATATGTTGAGTTTGTTGCATGACCTCCATTAAATCGCTGATACTCCCTGGACTTCAGCTTCCTTAGTTGTAAAATTCTACAGTTGAAAGAGCTATGTCCTAAATGCCTTGTGTCCTGAAATTCTAGGTTTCTACCTCAGAGCCTGGACCTTGCAGAAGCAAGGGGATCACAGGCCACCCCACCCATCATAGTAGCCCCTTCTGCAATGGGGCTTGACCATTGCAACCTCATGATGAGATGTGACCAGGGCTCCTCCATCCAGGGAGTTATAAGCAGTCCTCCCTGATGGGAAGCGCTGGAGCTGCAAAGGCTCCGCCCATGCTGGTTACCCCTGGTAGAGTCCTCCCTTTTGCTCCTCCTTAGTGTCCAGGGCAAAACATAGGGCCTCTGGTACTGCATTTTGAGAGCCACGCAGGCAGACACAGTCATTTGTGGGCAGCTAAAACCTCCAGGATATTTTTTAAAACATAGACCAGAATTTGGCAAGTCTATATATTATGCCTCATTCTATAAGTTTTAGCCCAATACCAGCCTGGAGAAATATGCTTTTTTTTTTGTTGTTTTTTTTTTTTGAGACGGAGTTTCACTCTTGTCACCCAGGCTGGAGTGCAGTGGTGCGATCTTGGCTCACTACAACCTCCGCCTCCTGGGTTCAAGCAGTTCTTCTCCCTCAGCCTCCCGAGTAGCTGGGATTACAGGCACTTGCCACCATGCCCGGCTAATTTTTGTATTTTTAATAGAGACAGGGTTTCACCATGTTGGCCAGGCTGGTCTCGAACTCCTAACCTCGTGATCTGCCTGCCTCAGCCTCCCAAAGTGCTGGGATTACAGGCGTGAGCCACCGTGCCCAGCCCAAGAAATATGTTTTTAAGTCTTTTACCATACAATAAAACAAATTTGAAAACCACACAAATCAAGTGAATGCCTTAATGAATTATAAGGGGAACACTATCCAAATTAGAGAATTTTGCCGGATACCCCAGAAACCCTTTTTGTGTGTCCCCCCCTAATCACAACCTCCCCAGGGCCATAAGTATCCTTACCCTCTAATCACTTCCTTGCATTTTAGTTTATCACCTAATTGAGCATCGCGACATCTTTGTACACTATAGTTTAACTTTGCTCATTTAAAAAAATGGATAGAAGCTTTTTTTTTCAATCAGGAGGTACCCCTTCCTTCCCTTTCATTTCCTGGCAGTGTGTCTGTTGAGGACCCTGGGCCACTGCACCTGGAGGGTTTCCCACAGTCTAGATCTTGCTTACTGCAAACTCTTGGTGCAACCCAGTAAGCTCCTCAGTCCTCAGTACTTCCTGCAAATCAAATTGGCAGTTAGATCCAGACGCTGGATCGGAGTCAGGTTGGTTGCCTGTGGCGAGACTCTGGTATTACCTCCTCTGAGAAGCCTCTGATTCCCCCAGGTAAGGAGTCCCTCAGTTTCTTGTCTGGGACCCCTCTGTGTGTCTCACACCATACTTGGAAGCCCCTTAGGACTTGGATGGTGTCTCACTCATGTCTGTGTTTCCAGCAGCTGGAACAGAGACAGAGCCTTGGCACAAGGAAGGTCCTGACCTGAAGGGCTAAGGAAGACTTCCCTGAGGAGTGACATTGTGGCTGGGCTCTGCAGGATGAATACGAACTCACCAGAGCACAACCAGGTCTTGGGTATCTCTGCCCTCATTCAGTCATCTTTGACACTCAAATATCATGATCTAGGTTGCATCTAAGCAGGCAGGGGTTCTTTTCTTTCCGCAGTGGCCTCTCTAACCTGCAGGTAAAATCAATTTTTGAATTAAGAAACAAATTCTCATTCCCTGTAGATGGTTTTATTAGCAAACCCCAAAGGTCTAACCCCATACTTGGGGACAAATTTACCAATTTGGAATAATACACTGATAGAAATGAAACCAGCCAACCCTCTCATTTCACACTGCAGAAACAGGCAAAGAGAAGGAAAGTGATTGTTCTAGGTCACCCAGAAAGCTCTACTTTTATCATAGATATTATGCTTGTCTACAGCATGAGCTCAAATCTTCTAGGAAAAGTCATCTTCATTATTAACTTGACATGCACCCAGGAGATGGTCTATCTCTTTGCCAGCCTGTAGGCCAAACTGGCACCTCACTTGTCAAACACTCATGCCTGATCGATAGGAACAGCAGATGGTGACCAAAATCACTATACTTGATTACAATATTAAGGCTTTAGGGGCAAGAGAGGGACACAGATATACACTGTCAAAGGTTGGAATCCCCAGAAGGCAGACCCCTAGACAGAGCTTAATGTGCAGAATGCTTATTCCACCTGGGAAAGGGTGGGAAGCAGGTGTGAAATGAGGGAGAGCCCCCCTCCCCCACCACTCACTGGATGTGGGCTGTCCAGAGAGCTTAGACTAGGCGGCTCTAATGGCAGAAGACAGTCTGTTGACAGCACTCCAAGCAGCTGGGACAAACCCTTTCTTGAAGGGGTAACATGGCACAGTGACCATCACACACAGAGTGGGAACTTAAAGACAAGAATCAATTCAGTCACAGAGAGTGAGGGCAAAGATAAAGCTCATAGGCCAAAGGCTTAACTTCTGGATCAAGGGCTCTAATATTTTCCAGACATGGGCTTTGGCTACTGAAAGCATTTCAAAGAACACTGAGTAAGAGGGCTGGGACCTGGGGCCAGTAGGGATCACTGTGTGACCTCACTTCCCAGGAGTCATCCTCAGCATCACGTGCAGAAGGCCAGCCTGGGTAGGGAGCCTCAGGTCACCTGCCTCCTCCCCAGACCCCATCATCCAGGAAAACTGAATTCAGCTGAAAGCACAGCCATGGCATTGCTGAAATATGACAACACCTGGAGACAATGGATTCCTTTCTGGGGAATTTACCCCTCTGCTGCTGCTTGAGGGCAAGCGTCCTGTCTTCTCTTCCCCTGGTATATAAAATGAGGCTCTTCATTTGTTGGCTGAATGAATGAAGGTCAGAAAAAGAAAACTCAACTTCTCATCCTCCAGTAATGGAACAATCAAGTTGGGAGAAATCACAGAGAAAAAAATCACGTCCCAATTTTGCTGATGAGGAAACTGAACTTCAGAGGCAGGAAATAACTCTCAGAAGGTTGCAGAGAAGGTGAGGAATCGAAACAGGCCATAAGCAGTGACAAGTCTGGTAATGCCAGAGTAGTTTTTCTGCAGTAAAGATTTCCCTTCCTGCTTGCCTTTCCCCTGATTCTGGGGCTCTCCCTTGGTCCAGATCATTTGGGCCGAGAGAAACAAAACCCAGGTGCATTGCCATCTAAGCAGAATATGCTGAGAAAATCACCCTCACAAATTCCATAGTCACCTACAAAGTACTTCAGGTTATCACCAGCCCTTTTCTCCCTCTGGTCCCCAGGATGCGTATGTCTTCTCTCAGAACTCTTTCTGGGCCGGGTGCAGTGGCTTACACCTGTAATTCCAGCACTTAGGGAGGCTGAGGCAGGAGGATCACCCGAGGTCAGGTTTCACTAACATGGTGAAACCCCGTCTCTACCAAAAATACAAAAATTAGCTGGGCATGGTGGCGGGCGCCTGTAATCCCAGCTACTAGGGAGCCTGAGGCAGGAACCTGGGAGGCGGAGGTTGCAGTGAGCCGAGATTACGCCAATGCACTCCAGTCTGGGCAACACAGTGAGGCTCTGTCTCAAATAAATAAATAAATAAATAAATAAAAATAACAGAGAGATGTTAATATCATCATCATCATGGTATGTTCTTGAAGTTCTCAAACAGCAGGAGGTAACCCTGTTAAGTGAAACCAATTTAACAGCTTGTAAACAGCATTCTAAAAATGAAACGGTAACACAGAATATATATTTGAGTGCATAAGAATTGTTTCATAAAACATTTGTTTTACACATGTACATAGATACATACACATATATACATACGTACACACACAGGTATTTCCTATCATGGGGCATGACTGAGTTTGAAAGCTACTGTTCTAAGGCAACATTTCTCTAAAGATGATTGAAAGGAGTGTTTTTCTTTCTTTTCTTTTTTTTTTTTTTTAATTTTTGAGACAGGGTCTCACTCTGTTGCTCAAGCTAGGGTGCAGTGGTATGATCACAGCTCACTGCAGCCTCAACCTCCTGAGCTCAAGTGATCCTCCCACCTCAGCCTCCCGAGTAGCTGAGACTACAGGTGCGCGGCACCACGCTTAGCTAATTTTTTTTGTTTGTTTTTGTTTTTGTAGAGACATGGTTTCGTCAGGTTGCCTAGACTGGTCTTGAACTCCTGAGCTCAAGCAATCTGCCTGCCTTGGCCTCCCAAAGTGCTTGTGGCTTACAAGCCTGAGCCACTGCGCCTGGTCTATTTTTCTAACTTTAGTAATTTGCATTTGCATACCACTGCCATTATTGTTGTCATATCAGAATACTACCTATAACATTATTTACTAAATTCTTGTCTTTGAGTTGGCTCACTTTAACCATTTTTGCCTCATTGTAACAGCAATATTCAGAAAATTTATATTTAATACTACATATTACATTTTTTTCCATCTAAAACCATCTCTCATATGAGCACCACCTTTTGGGAAACGCTGGTGGCAAGGAGTGTCACATGCAAAAGCCCCTTCCAGAAGTCAAGCTGGGAGCCAGAAAAGCTGTATGATGTTGGGATGTTGGGTGAGCCCCCACCCCCTGCCCCCGGGGTCCTTCTCTGCCCCTGGAGGCAGGCCCAGTCCTGCTGCTGGGTATCCCAAGTTCTTGTGGTTGACCTTCCCGCAGTGGCCACCTCAGGAAGAAAAGGGCAGGCCCTATCTGCCTGTGGACTGGATCTTTCTTGGGATGTTCCCGCCAGTGGAAAAGGCCAGGACCTCGATCTGCCTTTCTGTAGTGAGCTGCATCCTGCTGCTGCCCCAAGATCGAAGAATTTCCTTTCTTGTCCAGCTTTGATTCCATTGATGGGATTAGGCACCCCCCACGGCCGTGTCCTTTGATGTGGTCAGGGGGTAGCAGGGAGATTTCAGGCCCAGGGAGCAAATCTTAATCTTCTTCGAGCTTCTCTGGGATCAGCACCGGGGTAAACCCATTACAACCCTGCCCTTTCATCCCCCCAGGACACCGGCTCCTCCCGGCTCCTGAGTCTCAGAGATCCTAAGGGTTTGTCAGATTTGGAGCGAGCAATAAAAGGGGAAGAGAAAGCAGAACACTAACTCCAGACCCCCTCCAGCCCCGGCTGCATCTCCAGCAACGTCAGGGCATCTTCTTTCTTCCCTTCTAATCCTGCGCTCCCACAAAATGGCGATTACAGAGGCCTGGGGCCAGCGCTGTCCATGCCCCAGCACTGGGCATCTCTGCCAGCGCTTGGCCGCCATCCCTCCCCCAGCTACGCACTCCTGGGAGCACCAGCTCCTGGACATGTCCTACCCAGGGATCCCGATGTGGGGATCAGATAAACCAGATATACCACTCAACCCTTACCAAAGTGAAGTTTAGAGACAGGGTCTCCCTCTGTCACGCAGGCTGGAGTGCCGTGGTGCGATCATAATTCACTGTAGCCTCTAACTCCTGGGCTTCAGCGATCCTCCCACCTCAGGTGTGTGCCACCACGCCCAGCTAATTTTTTTTTTTTTTTTAACTTTTTGTAAAGACAGAGTCTCACTATGTTCCCAGGCTGGTCTCAAACTCCTGGGCTCAAGCAATCCTGCCTTGGCCTCCCAAAGTGCTGGGATTACAGGTGTGCGCCACCGTGCCCAGCCTCATAGTGAGATTTAAAGGCATGATCTGGGTTGGTGAGGCCAGGAAAGAGAAGGCAGGAACATAGCTAATATCTATGTCGGGACACAAACAGATATGTCACGTTATTTTCTTTAAATGGCTCCAAATCTCGACCTGAAGAGGTTGGGAAACTCAACCTCAGTGGTTATTTGGGCTTCCCCATCACCCACGGTGCCTGGAATCCTGGCCATCTTGAGGCTGGGGATCTTGGTAGAGGCCTGGTTCAGGTCCCAGAGGAGACACGCAGTTACTCTCCCACATCCTGGCGTCTCCGGAGAGACAGTGGGGCAGCAGGTCTCCACCAAGGGGATTCCACTGACCTCCCACCCCTCGCTAATCTTGGGACAGCTCTTACTCAGCCTCAAAGCTTTTCTGTCCCACTCCTTTTCCACAGTCTCCCTAAAGGAACTCAGCTTTTCAAACAGCACAGCCAGGAAGAGAGGTTGTCTGCAGGCCGCTGGAACTGGGAGTTGAAAGCACGAAATTTTAACATCTCAAGAAAGTATGCTGCCCGGTACTATGCTTGGCACTTTAATTTATAATCTTTGCCACCAAAGCCCTGCCAGAAGTGCCCGGCGGCTCCAGGTTCTAGATGGGGAAGTTGAGGCCGGCGGCAGGCGCGCTCCACCGGGCGGGGGCGCGGCCCGGGAGCGGAGCGGCCGGCAGGGGGCTCCCCGCGCCGGTCTCCGCGGGAGGAAGCGCTGGCAGCTGCTCGGACGGGTCAAAGGAGGAAAAGGGAAAATTACTGGGCTCCGGGGCGGGAAGGACTGCGTGACTGGGAGGAAGGCACTCCAGACTGTCGAGTAGGGCCGCCCGCGTCGGGACCCCATCCCCGGGGCAGTGCGGGCCACCCGGGACCTGGGAACCCGGGCCACCCCCCACCGCCGTCAGGGTCTCTCCCGCCGGTGCCGCAGGCTGGAGCGGGCGTCGCGGCCGGGGGCGGTGCCGCCTAGGGGCGGGCGAAGGGCGGGCCGGGGCGGGGCGCCGTCCGCTCGGCTCCGGGAGGCGGTGCGGGCGGGCGCTGGCCGCGTCCGCCCGCCGGGAGCCGCGGGGCGCGCAGCCTTCCTGATGTGTCACCAGCACGTGGAGCCAGGTCGGGCCGCGGCGAGCAAGCCGACCCCCCCAACTTTCGAGGGGTCTCGCCGCCCCGCTCCTCTCCCGGCTTCGTCGGGCTCGCTCTCCTAGCGGAGGGGGCGGCGGCGGCCCCCAGGTCCCGGGCAGGTCGAGCGAGGCCACGGCCCCCGGCCAGGAGTTCGAGGGGCTCCCGGAACGTCGGGGCGCGGGCCCCGGCTAGCGGCTATGGCCCCCGTGCCCAGGCAGCGGTGCGGGCTCGGCCTTGCGGGAGGGTGCGGCCTGCTGCGAGAGGTCGGCCACGGCTCCTGCCCCGCGCCCCGCGCCCCTCGCCCGCCGAGCTGAGCGCAGGTAACCGAGGCAGAGCGGAGCTGGGCCTCGCAGGCGCGGCGTGGGAGCGTGGCGAAGTTTCTCGGCGCATAACTCTTGCGCCCCACTCGGGAGTGGGGCTGCGGTGGGGAGGCTTTGGTCCCCGCACCTCCCCCTCCCCCAGCGCTGTCCCTCGGCCTGAGCCGAGGCGGCCCGGGGGTGGCGTGGAGGCCGCCGAGCGTCGTGTAACCCTTGGAGGGCTGGGTTTGGAGCCCGCGACCCGAGGTCGGGCGGGGCGGTGGACTTTCCCGGGGAACGCCGCCTGAGGGACACCCAGAGCTTCGGCGGAGCGGAGCGCGGTGCACAGAGCCGGCGACCGGACCCAGCCCCGGGAAGCCCGTCGGGGACGCACCCCGAACTCCGAGGATGGGAGCTGAGGGCTGGGTCTTTGCGGGCGAGATGAGGGTGTCGGATCAACTGGCCTACAAAGTCCCAGTTCTCGGCCCCCGGGACCAGCGTCTTCTCCCCGGTCCTCGCCCCAGGCCGGCTTCCTCCCGGGCTGGCGTGCGCTCCGGCCAGGCTGCCTCTCAGGTCCACGCTGGAGAAGGAGTGGTGAGGTGCGCTCGCCCCGGCTGCGTGCGGTGATTCGGGAAATCCCCGCACTTCGCTGGAGAAATAGCGACGCTCTCGGAAGTGTGAGTCGGTCACTGCTTGGGGTCCGTACCCTTTGGGCAGACGTGGACCGCGCCCCGGCGACCTGGGTTGAGTGGACAGACGGGACCCGGCTTACCCATGGGCCAAGCCCTGCCACTTACCGAGGCCTGCCCTGCTGTGCTTTCCAGGGCGGCAACCTTGAGCTTGGGGGTGGGGAGAACGGGGCCTGACTTCTAGAATTGCCCCTGGGGAGGTGGGAAGCGGAGGTTTGGCCCGGTGGCGCAGGAAGCCCCTGTTCCTCTCCCAAACACCATTTCATTAAAGATGGATCTTTGTGGATGTGTTCCCAATGGCCGGTCTTTTGTTCCCTGACCGATGCAACATAATGTGGACCCACTCTAGTCCTCTTCAAGTTTTTTGCTGGAATTCCTTAAACTCTCCTTTAAAGTCTCTTATCTATTCCTCTAGTGCGTTTGCTTCTACTCCCCGAAAACAAAAACCCACCAACCCCTGAAACCTCGGGTTTGCCTGGTGTTGGAACTTTGGTTATTTGTCCTTTGTTTGTGTTGTGTTTTTGGCTCTTGGCCGTGGAAAAACATCTGGGGACATGCAGTGAGGTGACTTGAACTGTGTGAAGAACTGGTTGACAAAATAGGGAACGTCTGGTCCCTGTCTTACTTGGCTTTGGAAAACAGGAGAGGTTTTTAGGAGCTGGGAGGAGGGAGGGTGAGAGGGAGGAACCATCACGGCCAGGTTGGCCCACCCCTTGCCAGGTCGTGTAAAAACCCATTCAAGAGGCATTTTCCCACAGGCTCCCTGCCTCTGCAGGCCACGTGTAGAGTAGTCCTTTGCAGGCGTCCTGCCCATACTGTTGTCCCTGTTTTGGGGGCATGTGGGAGCCAACACAGGGGAGTCAGGTGTGTGGTAGGCAGTCAGGTGTGTTTTGGGGTCAGGGAGGCAGGTTTGGGCCTGGGAGGCCAGGAAGGGACATACCCCGTCCTGCAGTTGGCCTGACTTTTGTCCATGTTAGCTTTGTCCTGGAGGCTTACCCAGTGGAACATGCAGATGTCAGAATTATGGGAGAAAAGAGTTTGGCCATGGGGTAGATTTCTGAACATCTTGACAAATTCTTAGTTTGGAGACAAAATTGTCTAGGAGTGGAACTGATGGGAGCTTCAACTGGAGACCTCGCCCCTAATTAAGAAAAATGCTCTTTGGAGCGCTGAATCAGCTTGGGAAAACAAAGTTCTCCCTTTGAACCAATGCCTCTCCCAGCCCTGGGGATCAGTGTCTAAAAGTAAATGAAGTGGAAATCTCCAGAATATTGCGTGGTCATAAAACATCCCAGAAGTGGGCTGGAGCAATGAGATGCCGAAAAGCAGGCCTGGCTGGCTGCCCTGCACCCACCCTGGAGGGGACCGGCTGGGGAAGGTGGACTCACAGGGCTGGGAATGAGGCCTGAGGAGCACTGTGGTGCCCCCGGCAGTTTCCCTCAGGCTGTGCCCCATTCTTTCTGGGTCTGGCCAGGGCTTTAGAGATTTTTAGGAAATGACTTGGTGCTTCGTTTCTTTGGGGGAAGTGAGTGATTAGGTTTTTCCTTCTTGGGTTTTTTTCCTTTGCAAAATGTGATTGAATCAGCTATGCAGTAGGCTGGGCTAGCCTGGCCTCCTGCAACTGATTTATGCTTCCGTGTAAGCCGTTGTATTGAGGAATTGTGTTGTAGTGGAGAGCTTTTTGATTTTGCTCTCTCTTGAATTCATAGTTTCCTGGAGCAGAGGCCTCCTTCCTGGCTCCTACCCCCACCCCCAGTCCCTCTTTCAAAGATGGGTACCTCAAGGTTTCAAGGGGAAGTAGCTTGAACATAGACTGATTTACCCTGGAGCCTTCTTCAGGAAGCAGCTAAATGCAAGGTAGAAAGCTGGTAGGAGGGGGAGGGTTTTAGCGAGACCTGCAGGGAGACTGACGGAAGACTCCTAAAAATCCAGCTGGACTCCCTGTCCTGCCTACTGGGAAGAAACTTGCATTCCCTCAACTCTTAGGTAAATTGCAGACTGGTGAATAATTAACCTTGCCTTTTTGGCTTTTTTTTTTTTTTTTTGAAAAAGAAAAATCCCAACCTATGAAAGATTGAAGATCAGTTTTTGTCCAGCAGGATCGGAATGACAAAGGAAGTATTGGGAGAAGCCAGTCCTCTCATCTTCACTCCTAGCAACTCTGGAAGTTCTGAACCTCAGAAGAAATCCCTCCGGGGTTTTGTTGGTGGCCATCCCTGCCGAGCCCCTGGCTGCTTCCCTGGGTTTCCTTTGGTTCCTCTTTGCCCAAAGCTGAGCTGTCTGAATGGTGAGGATTCTCTCCTCCACTTTGTCTAGCAACAGCTTGGCCCTTGATACTGCAGGAGGAGTTAATTCCGCTGCTGGGCCAGTCTACAGCCCTCTGCGCGGGCTGGTAAATATTTGGCCAGTCTCAGTTCTTTTTACACAAAAGAACAGCACTCCTAATCTGTGATAAGTCCCTGAAAGAGAGTTGTCTCAGAAGCAAGGGATCATTTTGGTTTCCGTGAAGGGTTTTTTTCTTGAAGCAGCCCAGTGTGAAGGCCATGGAGGCGCACTTTGCGTCCAGATGTGCTTGGGTTCCAACTGCGGCTCACCAGCTGCATGGCTTTGGCCCAGTGACTTCTCTGTGCCCCAGTTTCTTCTCTTGCGGGATGAGGGTTATGATACCTACCTTGTAAGTGTGTGGCGAAGCTTACGAAAGATGTATGTCAGGGTGTCTGGCACAAACCAGTAGATCTCCGACTGGTAGTCTTTGTCCCCTGGCTCTTTTTTTTTTAATAAAGATTTTCAAATTATTATTTTATTTCTTTTTCTTTTCTTTCTTTTTTTTTTCTGGGACAGATTCTCACTCTATTGCCCATGTTGGAGTGCAGTGGCACGATCTCAGCTCACTGCAGTCTCCACCTCCCATGTTCAAGCGATTCTCCTGCCTCAGCCTCCCGAGTAGCTGTGATTACAGGTGCCTACCACCACAGCCGGCTAACTTTTGTATTTTTAATAGAGATGGGGTTTCACCATGTTGGCCAGGCTGGTCTCGAACTCCTGACCTCAAATGATCTGCCTGCCTCAGCCTCCCAAAGTGCTAGGATTACAGGTGTGAGCCACTGTGCTCGGCTTGTTTATTTTTCTTTTTTTTTTCTTTTTTCTTTCTTTCTTTTTTTTTTTCTTTTTTCTTTCTTTCTTTTTTTTTTTTTTTTTGAGACAGATTCTCACTCTGTCATCCAGGTGGAGTGCAGTGGTATGGTCTCTGCTCACTGAAACCTCTGCCTCTTGGGTTCAAGTGATTCTCCTGCCTCAGTGGGATTACAGGCGTGTACCACCATGCCCAGCTAATTTTTTGTATTTTTAGTAGAGATGGGGTTTTAACATGTTGCCAGGCTGGTCTTGAACTCTTGGCCTCAAGTGATCCCCCAACCTTGGCCTCCCAAAGTATTGTGATTATAGGTGTGAAATACCACGCCCTGCCTTAAATTATTATTTTAAATTAAAAAAATGATGTTTAGATGCCACGATGTAGGTGGCAGTACCTTAACTATATGCGTGTCGTCAGGCCCAAGGGCCTCTTCCATCCTTGTCAAGGGGAGTGCTAACCTTCTCTCCTTTCATACAATCCAGCTCTCTTATTTTGAATCTGCGTGTATATACATGTTGGTTGAGACCGGTGCAGAGTGATTGAGACTCGGGCTTGTGGGTCTGGTAGGTTCGAGGACTAACTCCATCGCTTGGGAGCATGTGGCCTTGGGCAAGTTACTTAATCCACTGGGAACAGGGGTATCGTAACCATCAGATGGGGATACTGTCTGGGATTCCCATCCCCTATATGGGTCTCAATCCTCTCAGTTTCTGTGGTCTAACAACTATGTGCCAGGGACTGGGCCAGGCAGAGGCTGGGGTATCCGTTAGTAAGATGGGCACGGTCCCTCGCTGCCTGCTCTGATTTTTGCCCCAGCTCTGAGAGCAGATTAATGGTATTGTAAGTCCTCATTGTATGGTTGAAGTCGAGACTCAGGGGAAGAGACCCTCCCAGAATCTCCCAGCTTGCCTCGGTACCATAGGAGCAGGACCCCCAGGCTTCCAGGTGCAGCCTCCCAGGTCGGAAGCCAGCAAGCTGGGGCTGTAGAACAGGAGGTGGCTGGGCCTGGATTCGCTGGCACTGAGTCCTTAAAGGAACCCTGGGTAGCAGATGTGGCCGCCTTGTACATCTGCTCAGCAGTGCATCACTCCTAAAGGCCCAAAGACTCGTCCGGTCCTGACACTGAGCACGTTTCAGAAAAGGTCCCAGGAAAGACATTTGAATTGCCACAGCTGCTCAAGGCTTGCTCCCTCACTCATGCTGTGGGCAAACTAAACATCCTCTAGTGGGACCAGGCAAGCAGGGGACAAAATGGAATGGGGGTGCGGGGGAGGAGAAAATAATTTGATATTCCAAAAAATGCTGCAGAGTAATCATTTTGGGGGTGAAAATCAGAATTTCTTGGGACTTAGACTTTTTTATGGCTCAGTGGTGTTTTTCTTTAGAATTTTGGACTGGAGGTAGGGATAGACCATAATCTTTTCAGCACCCAAGAGCCTTCAGCAGGCCTCACTGGCTCTGGGCAGGGGGCAGGGCTTACAGGACCCAGAGCAGGTGACATCTTACCCACTGTGGATACTTCCTCCCTCCTCCCTTTGGCACGGTCTGAGGAATTTTGAAATCACCCCATAGCCAGACCCCTTGCATTTGCTGCCCAGGAGAACCGGGCAGGGAGGTGCCATGCGGAAAGTCCCGCTGCCTGATTTTCCTCTGAGCTCATCACTGCAGCCTGAGAGCCCCCTTCTCTGTCAAGTGGGTGACTGAACTGAATACACCAGACCCCCCTTGGCATTCTTCTAAGATCCTAAGGAGGAGGAGCTGAGGAAGGCACGGGGTGGAGCCTGGGGCTGTGGTTTGGAGGATGGGAGGGCTGGGGGAGGGATTCAGAGATTGCAGCTGGGAAATTTGGATCGGCCTATGAAGACTTTGTGGTTCATTCTCATGAAACTCGCTTCCTCTCACTGGATTTCTGCCCTGGGGGATGTGGGGTTCAAGTGAAAACACTGGCTTTTCCTTCTTGGTGACTGAGGCTTAAATTCTGGTCTCCCAAGCAAATATTTAAGAAATAACTCTCTTTTCCCTCCTTGTCCATTGTAAAACAAACCCTCTTTTTCGCCCATGTCTCCCACCCTCCTGAAAAGAATTCGGTTGTCTTGCTGCTTACTAGCTGGTAGCACCTGGCTTTCCAGCAGGCTGGTTGAAAACAGAAAATGCTTCTCTGCTTAAGACAGGGAAAGGGCGTGGGCTTTGGCATCAGAAACCTGGCTTTCCTGTAGACTAGCTGTGTCGGGCCTGGGGCGTCTTCCCAAGACTCAATTTCCCTGTCTGTGATAATACGTGCCTACTTCTCAGGGCATTATAAGGACTGAACAAGAATGTCTGTGTGAAACACCAGGCGCATGGTCGGGGGTGGTACATGGTAGTTCTTCCCGGGTGACACCATATTCATCCCAGGGTCCATGGGACAATGAGGTCAAAGAAGGACCAGCTGAGGCTGGTGTGCCTGCTTGCTGGCTTAGTATCTGGGGAGAAAACACTGGAAGAAAAGCAAATCCTTGCTGGTGGGGTGTGGGGGTGAGTTTGTGTGGGTCCTGCCTCTTCAGTGAGACATGTCTACCACTTGGGAGGGGCGTAGGGTGGAGGTGGGGGGCCAGGAGTCACAGCCTTTTCCGGGGGTTGGGTTCATGCGGCCGCCACTTAAGCCTATCTGAGGGGAGAGGTTAGTGGGAGAGTCAGGATGAGTTTCTGCTGAATTCCTTCTTGTCAAGCTTGCTTTTGTGGGCTTAACATGAGAAGGGTGGGGAGGGGGCCATATCTTAAAAAAGAGAAAGGCTGGGTTCAGTGGCTCGCGACTATAATCCCAACACATTAGGAGGCTGAAGTGGGAGGATCAGCTGAGGCCAGGAGTTCAGACCAGCCTGGCCAACATAACAAAATCTCATCTCTACAAAAATAAAAAATAAATTAGCTGGGTGTGGTGGCTTACACCTGTAGTTTCAGCTACTCTGGAGGCAGGGGCGAGACAGGATTGCTTGAGCCAGGAGTTTGAGGCTGTAGTGAGCTATGGTCACACCACTGTACTCCAGCCTGGGCAACATAGTAAGACCCTGCCTCTGAAAAAGTAAAAGGAAAAATTAGTCAGGCATGGTGGTGTGTGCCTGTAGTCCCAGCTACTCAGGAGGCTGAGGTGGGAAGATCGCTTGAGCCCAGGAGTTCAAGGTTACGATGAGCTGTGATTGACTGGGTCACTGCACTCCAGCCTGGGCAATAGAGGAAGACCCTGTCTCTCTTGAAAAGTGTCTTTGCTTTTGAAACTTCGAGGGCGATTAAACAGATACTGAAGTACAAGCAAAATGTTAGTCTTCAACTTGCCCAGCCAGACCACTGTGTATCTGGGAAAAGTCAACTAGACTGCTTGCTCCAGCTGGTTGGTCTGGTTGGTGTGGAGGGTGAACCCTCCTCTGGCCCGAGGCGTACACCCTCTCTCCTCCTTCTGTGTCTGGTGATGGCAAACGTTTATCTTTGCTCAGGCCTGGGTGCACGCTAACCTCGGCCAAATCTCTGAATGTTCAAACATCTGCCAAAATACCACATTTCGACAATGGGCCTTCTCTATAGAGATGAGGTTACGGGGGCAGTACTGGGATGCTGGAAAACCACTTAAACTAAACTGCGGGAAGGGGCAGGGTCCAGGATCCTGACTTTGAGTGTAAGGGGTGGGGAAGGAGCAGGGGGCAGCTCCTTGCCATACAGAGAGGCCTGAGGACCAGCTCCCTGCTTCCAGAGCCGGAGCGGGGAGGGGGCTGCTGCCAACCTATCTTGGCATTCTCCCTTTCGTCCTTGGGGTAGATTTCGTTGTAATTAGACAAGTTGTGACAAATAGCCCATTGGTCTTTGGGCTGGAGAATTGTGCCGAGTCCTGCCTGGAAACCCAGCCTTGTTCACTTGGGAGCCATAATTAGGCAAGAGAACAGTTCATGAGCCCTTTGATTCAATAAAGACCCTTTTATGATGTTGGTTTTTCCCAGAAAAATCATACCACTTTGCTCCATGTATTGCATTTAGATGTGTAATCATATTAGAGCTAAGCAGCCCAGGGGACTGAAGTTGTGTAGCTGGGGTTGTAGGGGCAGAAAGGTGCAATCCCTTTCCTCCCCGTAAGGGTCACGGCTGACATTTCTGTAACAAAGACAGGTTAACAGGAGAAAAGTTTGACAAATTTATTTAATCAGTGTTTTACATGACATGAGAGCCTTCAGAAGTAAGACCCAGAGAACCAGGGAAAACTATTTTTATGCTTAGATTGGAGGAAGAAGGGACAACCATCTAGGAATGTGATAGGACAAAAAGGGTACGACCTAATGTAATAGACAGAGGGGACCACCCAGCAAGGCCTGTCTATTCAGATGCTTTTTGGCCTCACTGTGCAGCATGTCTGGGGCGTATGGGGCAGGACCCCTTTGGGATGAGGGGTGAGAAGGGAGAGAGTGACCTTTGTAGATACTATGTCTTGCTTTGGGGGAGAGGAGTTCTACTTCCTATGACCCACCTTGGGGAAGAGGAATTCTGGTTTCTGTGCCTGGCTGCTGGGGAGAAAGAGGGGCAAGAGACAGAAGGGTGGAAGAAGGTCAGAGAGAACTTGCTTTCTCCTTTAGTTCAAAGTGCTCAGTGTACCAAAGCGCCAGGCTCTGGGGTATTGTGTTCTCAGCCCCATGGCGTAAAGCCTGTTACCCGGTCTTCAGAGAAAAACAGTGTCCTCAGAAAAAAAGAAAATGACAAGGAACACTTCTAAAGATTTTCTCTCTTGTCATCTAAAGAACATTTTCTCCCTTCAGAGTGAGAAGTGACCCAGGGGGAAAAACCAGAAAGTGAAACTAACTTGACAGGCCAGTGGCAGCGGCAGCCCCTGGTGCCTGCCCTCTGCAGTCCTGTGTCGGCCCAGGCCACGCGTGCCCAGCATGGTCGATATTTGTCAGACGGATAGCACGTGTCCAGCCAAGGGCCAGAGAAAATGCCCCCAGAGGATGCTTGCATCCTTTCCACAAAGAGTTGTGGTCAGCCCACTGGGGTCTCCACCGGGGTGGCAGGGCTGCAGATGCTGGTGTGTGCAGGTGGCAGTTCTCGGCCTCCTCCTCATTGCCTCCCTGTGAGGGGCAGTCAGCCCTGACTACATATAGCCCTGGAGCTTGCGGGCAGCTTTCAGCTCGTTGGGAAGGTGTGCTGGGCCTGCGACATTGACCGGACAGTTCTTCCAGGCATGAGAGGGATGCCCTGCCCAGGTCGCTGTCACAGGCACACCCCCTCCCACCAGCCACCCTCTTGCCTTCTTACCCCAAGACCATGTTGTCAGGCAGGCCAAAAGCATTTCCCAATCATGGAGTCAGATGTGTCCCAGAAATCTGCCCTGTGCCCAGGAGAGGTCGAAATCGCCAGTGGAATCAAGAACCTCTTTCCCAATTTGGGGTTTAGAAATCTCTGGCAATGAGGAAATTTCTGGTAGTCATTTGTAAGAGTTACTCTATTAAGAAATAGAGATAGAGGGTATGACATTTCAGAATGCTAAAATTTTGTTGCATTAGAAAGGGGGAAAATCCGTTTACTTCCCAAACATCTGGTGGGAGTTATCACCAAAATATATTTTCAGATATCCTCTAATGCAGAAAAACTGTATTTTATAGGACGTGGTTTATCTGTTTGTAGATAATGTGATTAAAATACTTCTGCAGTGTCGCTACTATCTTAAGGTGACTCTTTTTAACCTTCATACTGTAGGCTTTTTAAAAACACATAGAGATGGGGGTCTCACCGTGTTGCCCAGGCTGGTCTCGAACTCCTGGGCTCAAGCAATCCTTCCACCTGATCCTCCTAAAGTGCTAGGATTACAGGTGTGAGCCACCATGCATGGCCTACTTAGGCTTTTTGGAAGATACTTTACACTTTTTGGAAGAAGTGCTATTTCTTCTGGATACTTTACACTTTTTGGAAGAAGGGCTATTAAGTTATATATATGTATACATTGCTTCCCCCCCCGCCCCGCCAAAGGAGTATAATTAGAGCATCTGAAACCAGATTATCCAATTAGTACATTTTTCTAATTAGCTGTTAGGATTTCGTGATGAGATAAATTATTTTAGATTTCCAAGTGGAACTTTGGCCACAGGGAGGCTCTAAGGAAGTACACAGGGGAGAAAAATAATGGGTTTTTAAAGTTTTGACTCCACCCACTCACCTGCTCCCCCAAAAACCTAATGTGCCTGCCCATGAGGCAGCAACAGTGACCAGAAAACAGTTTCTTTTCCTTGTTCTGAGTAAATGGAGTTGGAAGAATTATTCATTTATATTGGCTTTTCTTTGTTCCTGGTAATGAAGCAGGCAGACAGGGGTTGGCTTTAAATGCTATTTTTTCTACATTTTCATCAGTCATATTAGTAGCTGTTCTTTGGCAGAAAAAAAAATCTGGTGATCAGGATTAATTCAGAACCTATTTACTGTGAGCCTTGTATGTGCTTTCTCTGTGCCAGGTGGCAATGAAGACCGTCTGTCAGGGGGATCGGGGGGATGTCCTGTCAAGACCCAGGGGATGAAGTCAGGACCCAGCTTTTGCATTTTGTAACTGTGGTTGATGCAGGCCCACCATCCTTTGTCCAAAATTCTGGATACGCAAGAAAACTGGATACTGAACGTTGTTTTTGCCGCTAATTGAATGGGAAGACCTGACCCAAACTGACAGACTATTGGAGTCCATATTTATCCTGGGGAGTGTGAATACTCATGGGTTTCCCTGCAGAGATATTAATGTTTGATTATGGGTGCTGCCTTGCTGGGGTGTTACATAATATGTGGCATAGGCACCACATTCCCTTTCTAAAACTTGAAAAGTTCTGGAACACATGGCCTGAAGGTTTGGAGTAAGAGACCCTGCCCTGGAGTAGCGTCCACTTAAGACTACAGCAGCCGTGTGCTCAGAGTCCCTGCTCTGCCAGGGCCCGTTTCCACTTCAGCCATAGGAGGAGCCTGAAGGCAGATTGAGAGTCCAGCTGACCAGTGGGTGAGATGCCCAAACAGCTGTACCGCCACCAGGGCAGGTGACTTGGCTGCCCCATGACCCTCAGAGGCCTTCCCTCACCAGGTGCCAAGCAAAGATTGTTCAGAAGCAGATTCTGTTCTGCTGTCATTGTGAATACATCAATGAATGAGTACATCTATGTTCTAATAAAACTTTATGAGGGCCAGGTGCGGTGGCTCACACCTGTAATTCCAGCACTTTGGGAGGCCGAGATGGGCAGATCACTGAAGGTCCAGAGTTTGAGACCAGCCTGGCCAACATGGTGAAACCCTGTCTTTATTAAAAATACAAAAAGTAGCTGGACATGATGGCGGGTGCCTGTAATCTCAGCTATTTGGGAGGCTGAGGCAGGAGAATCACTTGAACCCAGGAGGTGGAGGTTGCAGTGAGCTGAGTTTGTGCCGCCGCACTCCAGCCTGGGTGACAGAGTGAGACTCTGTCTCAAAAAAAAAAAAAAAACCCAAAAAACAAAACTTTATGAAAACAGATGGTGGGCTGGGATGGCCCTTTGGCCAGAGTTTGCTGATGCCTTGTCAAAACGATAAATGCATCCTTAAACATACTGTTTTCTTCCACAGACTTTAGCCCTGCCATCTGCCTGCCTGGTCTGCTTGTCTTGTTCCCCACCCCTGGCCAAGTGGAGTTGCCTTAAAGAGATAAAAGTTGTGCCTCTAGTGTCAGTACCCACCCCTTGCTTGGCTCCTCCAGATGGTCTGGAAACATAGATGGAAAGCAGGCGCTGCCCTCACCGACCTGGCCTCGGTAGCAGGAGTGTGTTTTTGTGTGGACAACTGCAGTTGGGCCCAGGTCCAGCCTTGCTGACGGCTACTCACTTGGGCCTCCACCCACTGATGAATTTTGGGGGCAGAGCCAAGCCCCAAGATATGTTGGCTGGCAGCCTGGGGCCAGGCAGGGCTGCTGTTGTGGGAGCCCAGTCCCAGGTGGGTTTGTGAGGTGTACGGGGAGTGAGGGGTTGAGAATGAGTGTTTTCAGAGCTGATGTGTTCTTAGCAAAAGAATTTCTGGCAGAGAGAGGTTGATTATCGTAAACCCAGCGGCTCTGATGGATGAGTTTCAGGTCTCCTGGCTTGTTCATTCCCAGCCTCGGAATGTCCAGCAAGGGCGGGGCCAGCCTGCGAGGCCAAGACCTCTTTTCACTGCATCAGAAGTTTAAATCCAGTTGAGCCCTCTGACTTGCACCTCTGTAGTGGTCTGGCCTGGGGAAGACTGGCTGGGGTGGACAGAAGGAGGGCGGGACCCTCAGAGCCCACTCTTCTAGTCTGTGTGCTGGAATCACCCCTGTCCTCCCCAACCTCCAACCCCGTCAAGCTGCACCAAGGATGTTTGGCCTCTGACTCAAAGAAGGCCTGGCCTTTCCAGGCTGCAGGGCCAGATCCTCTCAGCCAGCCCCTGCAGCAGGCCCCAGCATCCCAGAGAGGCAGCGGGTCCCTGTATGTGCTCAGCACCTTCTCTCTGTAGGCGGTTTCTCTCCCAAGACATTTGAGACTTTTGCCCTCTGCCTGGTCACCTTCTTTCCTAGCCAGGATAGGGCTGGTGGATGGTTTTGTTTTTTTTTTTCCTTAAAGCCAATTCCAAACAAGGGCTGATATTTAGTTGGCCTTTCTTTTTCTTCTCTCATGGTTTTGTGGGTTGCTGGCACTTTAGGGACTCTGTTCAGAGTGGAGCCTCCTTACTCTACAGCTCGCTGGTAAGCCCTGGTGGCCCATCAGCCCACAGAAGGGGGCACTCACTCAGGTGAGTATGAATATTCACACTCCCCAGGATAAATATAGACTCGAAATAATAGTTTCTAGTCAGTTTGGGTCAGATTTTCCCACTCAGTGACAAAAACAACTTTCATTATCCAGAGTTTTGTTTGAGTTGAGAATTTTGAATAAAGGGTGGTGGGTCTGCATCAACCACAGTTACAATATGCAAGAGCTGGGTCGTGACTTCATCCCTTTGGTCTTGGTGGGACATCACCCTGACCGGTCCCATTGCCACCTGGCACATGATGCACCTCAGTCGTCAGCGTGTGCCCAGCCCAGGGCCATGCAGAGTGAGCACTCAGGGAAGGCGCATGGAACTGGACTGGGTGGCTGGTGTGTTTGGTGATAGGTTAGCTCTGCTGTCAAAGCCAAGCCCAGGTGGGTCACTGTCACATACCCAGCACGGTGTGAGGAGCTCCTCCAGCCACTCTCAGGGGCAGCTCTCCTGACCCTGCCTCCTTGATTTTGGACCAGGCGCTTTTGTTTCTGGGCCAAGCACCTGCCTGTAGCAATGGGTGTGGGGACTTGGGTTTTGCTTTGCTAGTGGAGAATATGGCTGGGATCTGGGTTAGGGCAGAAAGCTCAGGTAGATGACAGGTGCCAGAGCAGTGGTTCAAACTTGGGAGAATCACAGCAGGAGCCTATTAACAATGCAGATTCCAGGGCCCCTTGATAGACCTGGGAAGGGGGGTGCAATCAGCATTGTTAATAAGTTTGTGTGATTGTGAGGCAGGTGGCCCCAGGATTGTGCTCTGGTTGGGTGGACCAATAGGTAAAGCACAGTGTGATGAGCTTTGGGATGATGGAATGGGGAGAAGGAAGGGGCTGTAACCCAGGGAGAGTCTGGGGTCAAGGAAGGTCACCCAGAAGAGGTGAGCTGAGTCTTGAAGAACAAAGCAGGAATGGTAATAATAGCTAATCTTGATTGAACGCTTTGTGCCAGGCACAGTTCTAAGCCTTTTCCATGAATGAACCCATTCAGTCCTCCAGACAACCCCTGAAATAGGTAGTAACCCCAGACTCACACAGGAACAGACAAAAGCACTCGGGGTTAAGTTGCTGGCCCGAGGCTAGTGAGTGGTGAGCTAGGTCTTGCCTGCTTATTGCACGGCACCACGTGGGGTAAGGTGTGCCAGGCAGCGGGAGCAGCTCAGCACAGTGATGCAGGTGTGCTGTTCAGTGGTTCAGATGATGCAGAACCTAGTGTGGGGGGACTGCTTCAGTTCTGCTTTGTTGGTGGAGAATATGTCTGTGATCTTGGTTAGGACAGAAAGCTCCGGGTGGATGACAGGTGCCAGAATGTCAGTTTGAGAGGGCTGAGGCTGGAGCTGGCAATCGGGATAGCAGGCACACTTCCTCACAGTCTGAACTGGAAGGAGCGTGGAGTGTTGGGGAGAAGATGCAGTGTCAGTGCCCAGGGTGCAGCGAGGCACGGGCTGGCACCCTGACCCAGCCCCCTTCCCAGAGGGGAAGAATTCGCTATGGCCCAGCCCCTGCCCTTGGGGTCTGAGGGGATCCACTTTTGTTAGGAGCCTGCTACACACTTTGCTTTCTTTCGATCCTTACATTGCCCTTCCAGGTGGGCTTATTATTCCTATTACAGATAAGAGAGCTGAGGCTGGGAAGCCGAGTAATTTACACAGGGTCAGGTCATACAGCAAGTTAGCAGGTAGTGGTGCCAGCAGCTGGCTGTCTTTTGTGGGGATGTGTTTTCACCACAGCGGTGGCAACCTGTGTCCTGACAGGCCAGGTTCCTGCATGGACAGTGGGGCCCCCAAAGAGCAGGTGCAGTGCCAGGCTGGACAGATTCCAGCTGTGCCGGGGCCTTGGGCAAAGTGGCCTGGCCTCAGGAGACACGTTTCCTGTTGCTGGGTGACATTCCACAGGTGGGAGGCACATGCAGGACCTCATTCCCTAGGGGCCTTCCTGGTCTGGGCCCTGATGCCCTGACGCTGGGGTTGACCCTCTACTGCCCTGGAGGCTCACCTGGGCCTCGGGACAGAAGGGATTGTCCCATTAAGGAGAATCCTCTACGAGTCTCTGATTCTGGAAGCTCTTGTTTTTTATCCTCCCATACAAAAAACAAATTGGCCACCAGTCTCTTCCCTTCTTTTTGGCCACTGTCTCACCATCTCCTTCACCCAACCTTGGTTTCTTTCAGCCTGTGCTTCCCAGCAGAGCCTGTGGGCTTGTTGATTTGAACCCAGAAACCACCTAGGACATTCCAGAGGTCTTCACACTTGTCTTTGTTGCCCATTGTAGGCCGTTTTCATAGAAGGGTATTGGGAGGACCTGCCTTCCCACTCAGGCCAATGTGAAGCTGTTGCTCTTTTGCTAAGGGCAGGGTGGGATATGGCCGAGAATTGGTGGGCGGGCCTGAGATCCATTCAGCAGCACCCCAGGGCGTGCTGTTTCTCACAGGTTGCAGCCTCTTCCAGCCCCTTTGCTTTCTGTGACAGAGCTGAAAGTCTCATTTCCTCTTTGGCTTTCCCTTTGAAATGGGAGAGAGGGTGGTGGGAGCTTAGCTCCTTCCAGGCCCATTTTACAGGCAGAGTAACCAAGGCCGCGACTGCTGGAGAGAAGCGGAACCGGAGTTCCCGTGCCCATTCCTGTTGGAATCTCCTGTCTGTGTGCCGTTCTTTAAGATGGGCTGGAGAGAGTCGGGGCAGCTCTTCTCCCGGGTTTTCAGGCCTGGGTTGCTCTTCTGGGCACTTCCTGGTGTTTTCTTCTCTTTGCCTGAATCAGGCCTGGCCTCAGGCCTGGTTACAAGAAGGTTGGAGGCTGGCTGTCTTGTGTTCATGTGTCACGCCAGGCCTGAGACCATCATTGTCTCTCTGAGATGGTCCACGCCCCTCCTGTGAACACAGGGGCTACAGACTATAGTATAGTTCTTGCCACGTTCCCGAGTTTTGGGGGCTGCTCTCCACATTGGGATTCCACCAGGATGCTGGTCTGCAGTTTCCTGCAGGCAGAAGGCGCTGGGTTCTGAGTTGGCTTTAGGTGGAACCCAGGTCATTCCTGGGTATGCCTTGGGAGGGCGGCGAGGCTGGCCGCAGCTGGGCCCGGCATCGGAGAAAATTGTGTCTCTCTGGAGACCCTGCAGCCTTCCCACCCACCAGGGAGCTTTCCATGGGCTGTGGGGAAGGCGTCAGTGTCGGGTGAGGGAACACCAGCTTCACCTCGGCTCATCTGGGCGTGGCAGACGACTGCTTCCTCACCTGGAGAGTGTTCAAGGACAGCAAGAAAAATGAGGGACTTTCAGGGGCAGCTGTGTTTTCTGACTCAGTCATAATGCCCCTAAAAATCCTTATTGTTCTTGCAGTGTGCATCGGGCAGCGGCCAGCAACCTGCCTCTCACCCACCTGGCCCTTCTGGGAGGACCGGGACTTCCTGGGGTCAGATTGGAATGTACGTCCAAAATAAGAGTGAATGGGGATTTGCTGATTATTAAAACAATTTTGTTTGCGTGCATTTTTAGCATCTTCTCTTCTGGTGGAGGATTGGAGTGGCTGAGGGTCGGGAGGGCTGGACATCAAGATATTCCTGTGCAGGTTGGAGCCCAGGAGGGTGCAGGAACTCCCTGGTTTGTGTGCAGTGAAGGCCTGGAAGAGCCTAGCTGCACGTGCAGTGCCCAAGGAAGGTCATCTTCCGGGTCAGTGATGTTAGAGGCAACAGAGTTGGGCTGGACAAGATGCCCCCCAACCTTTCCTGAGAAGTTGAGGCAGGAGTAGAGGAGGCATCTATCTGCGCAGGAACTTGCATTGTATTTTAAAATAGAAGGCAGCCTGGCCAACATGGCAGAACCCCATCTCTGCTAAAAATACAAAAGTTAGCCGGGTGTGGTGGTGTGTGCCTGTAGTCCCAGCTACTCGGGAGGCTGAGGCATGAGAATTGCTTGAGCCCAGGAGTTGCAGGTTGCAGTGAGCCAAGATTGCACCACTGCACTCCAGCCTGGGCAACACAGTGAGACCTTGTCTCAAAAAATAAATAAAATAAAATAGAAGGAGCCTCAGAATCCACTGTCTGTCTGAGACCCAGTGAACTAGCCATTTTGAAAATAGAACAGTGAATTGAGGGTCTTTCCCCCTCTACTGTGACCCTGGAGCTTGCTTTTCCTTGACTGAAAGTCCTCCATCCTTATTTCACTTCATGGATCTCCTCCATTCTCAGCAGGTCTCCCTACCCCTGCCCTATCCAGCCCCACCCTGCAGATACAGTCATGCACTGCCTAACGATGTTTTGGTCAACGAGGGACCGCATGTAGGACAGTGGTCTCATAAGATTATAACACTGTTTTTACTGTGCCTTTTCTGGTTAGGTACACAAACGCTTGCCATTGTGTTCTAATTGTCTACAGCATTCAGGATAGGAACGTGCTGTACAGATGTGTAGCCTAGGAGCAATGGGCTCCCCCACCTAGCCTAGGTGTGCAGCAGGCTATTCACCATCTAGGTTTATGTAAGCACACTCTGTGAGGTTGGCACAATAACAAAATCACCTAACAATGCCTTTCTCAGGATGGATCCCCGTTGTTAAGTGACACATGACTCTATTTTGACCAGCCAAGGCTTTTGGAGGTCCTGGGGGATTGTCGAGAAGCAGAAATACCTTTTTTTAAATTATTATTATTATTTTTATTTGTTTTGAGATGGAGTCTTGCACTGTCGTCTGGGCTGGAGTGCAGTGGCGCGATCTCAGCTCACTGCAACCTCCACATCCCAGGTCAAACGATTCTCCTGCCTCAACCTCCCAAGTAGCTGGGATTACAGGCGTCTGCCACTATGCCCAGCTAATTTTTTGTATTTTTAGTAGAGACGGGGTTTCACTGTGTTGGCCAGGCTGGTCTCGAACACCTGACCTCATGATCCACCTGCCTCGGCCTCCCAAAGTGCTGGGATTACAGGCATGAGCCACTGCGCTCGGCTGAATCCGATTTTTCTGAGACCTATTTTTTTATTTTTTATTTTTTTGAGACACAGTCTCACTCTGTTACCCAGCCTGGAGTGCAGTAGCTTCATCACAGCTCACTATAGCCTTGACCTCCAGGACTCAAGGGATCCTCCCACCTCAGCCTCCCAAGTAGCTGGGATTTACAGGCACCCACCACCATGCCCGGCTAATTTTTGTATTTTCAGTAGAGATGAGGTTTCACCATGTTGGCCAGGCTGGGTCTCAAACTCCTGACCTCAGGTGATCCACCTGCCTCGGCCTCCCAAAGTGCTGGATTACAGGCATGAGCCACTGCGCCTGGCCAGAAATACTTTGTTAAATCAATTTGTGATATGCCTGCCTTCCCCAACAATGCCAGTCCACCAAACCCGAAGCAACAGAATCCTGCTCTCCAGGGGAGACTGGGCTGGTGGCTTGCAGTGAAGGACAGGTGGGGAGATGGACAAAGTGACAAGCAGGACTCTGCATGCCCCAGTGGGTCCACTCTATGTCTTACTGCCCTCATGGGTCAGCAGGGGAAGTTTACCCTTGAGGTATTTCCAGGGTCTCTAGGTGCAGCTCAAAAGCTCTCGTCACTGGAGGAGATGACCACGTGTGCTCAGCATTTGCAGAAGTCCAACTGCCACGATCTTCCCTGCAGCCCAGCCCTGGCTCCAGTGGGCACTGGCCGGTGCTACTGTGACTACCTCCACATGAGCTCTCCCAGAGACAGTTTTGAAGGAGCTGGGTTTGCTCAGGAGCCTTGGCTTTTTTCTGCACAGGGCAAGGACAGCTCCAAGGTAAAGTTTAAACATGATGGCATTTATCCTTTCTTGGTAAGGGATAGGTGGGGCTCCCATGAAATGCTATTCTCGCAACCTCCAACGGACAGGGGTGTTGCAAAGGTTCCTTCATCCCCGATCAGCTTCCCTGCCATTTGCTCCCCTCAACCATCCCCTCCCATGGGGCCCCTTTCTCCTGCCCTTCATTCCCCTGAACCTCCTTGTTCTTACATGTGTTCCTCATTCTTTTTTTTTTCCTTCTTGACATAGAATCTTAACTCTGCCACCCAGGCTGGAGTGCAGTGGCCTGAACCAGGCTCACTGCAACCTCTACCTCCTGGGCTCAAGCGATCCTCCCACCTCAGCCTCCCGAGTAGCTGGGACTACAGGCGCACACCACCATGCCTGGCTAATTTTTGCATTTATTGTAGGGACAGGGTTTTGCCATGTTGCCCAAGCTGGTCTCAAACTCCTGGGCCCAAGCAATCCTCCTGCCTTAGCCTCCCAAAATGTTGGGATTATAGGTGTGAGCCACTGCACCTGGCCAGTTCTTCATTCTTTACCACAAAACATTTGCAAAAGATAATACATCAACTTTTTTGGTTTTTTCTTTTTTTTTGAGATGGAGTCTCACTCTGTCACCCAGGTTGGAGTACAGTGGCACAGTGGCATGATCTCGGCTCACTGCAACCTCCGCCTCCCAGGTTCAAGTGATTCCCCTGCCTCAGCCTCCTGAGTAGCTGGGATTACAGGTGCCCGCCACCACGCCCAGCTAATTTTTTGTATTTTTAGTAGAGATGGGGTTTCACCGTATTAGCCAGGATGGTCTCTATCTCCTGACCTCATGATCCACCCTCCTTGGCCTCCCAAAGTGCTGGGATTACAGGCGTGAGGCACGGCGCCCAGCCTACGTCAACTTTTTAAAAGAGGCAATATATCAAACATAAAACTGATTACTGTTTTTTCCCAATTATAAAATAATTGCCTTCTACTATAGGGCATTTGAAAAATACAAAGGGGCCAGGCTTGGTGGCTCATACCTATAATCCCAGCACTCTGGGAGGCCTAGGTGGGCTGATCACTTGAGTTCAGGAGTTTGAGACCAGCCTGGGCAACATGGCGAAAACGCCGTCGCTACAAAAAATACAAAAATTAGCTGGGTGTGGTGGTGCATGCCTGTAGTCCCAGCTTCTCAGGAGGCTGAGGTGAGAGGATTGTTTGAACTCGCGAGGTGGTGGTTGCAGCGAGCCAAAATCGCTGCATGGCACTCCAGCCTTGGCGACAGAGCCAGACCCTGCCTCCAAAAAACAAAACAAAACAAAACAAAAAGAGATGGAAAGGGCTTATAAATGCCCATACCTAGAGATAATGTCTGCTAATTAAATCTATCTTTCCAGCCTTTTTAACTCATGCCTGTACTTCCCCACCCAGTTAGCAGGATTGGGACTTTTAAAAGGGTCAGGCTCATAACTCATTTGAGCAATGGCCCTGTGCCCTCAGGCCAGAAAGCCTTTATTTTCTTTTTACCAAGCAGGATATGCTGTGGGCCGCTGCTGGCCTCTGGCCAGGAAGCTCAGTGATCTTGCTGGAGGGTGTTTGAGCAGCACCAGGTCTCTCT
The DNA here is from genome assembly GCF_000001405.40 of Homo sapiens. NCBI lineage: Eukaryota > Metazoa > Chordata > Mammalia > Primates > Hominidae > Homo > Homo sapiens. The sequence goes on from NC_000017.11 coordinate 31,579,518, forward strand.
AAACCAGGATTGATGAAATTGTCAGTGAGGATGCCGGACAAGAGGGCTTTATCCCGTCTGATTTATAAGTGGGCGGCTGCATTGCTTCTTGACCTGGCTGCACAGAAGAATCACTTGAGAGCATTAAAAACATGCCAATGCCTGGTCCCATGCAGGACCCATTGGATCTGAATTGCTGGGGAATGAAAGGGCCCAAAGACTGGTATCTTTGTTTTTGTTTGTTGTTTTTTATTTGTTGTTTGTTTTTTTAACACAGGGTCTCTCTCTGTCTCCCAGGTTGGAGTGCAGTGGCTCGATCTTGGGTCACTGCAGCCTCAATCTCCGGGGTGCAAGTGATTCTCCCACAGCCTCCCAAGTAGCGTGTGGTGTGTGCCACCGCGCCTGGCTGGTGGTTGTTTTTGTTTTTGTTTTTGTTTTTGAGACAGAGTCTTGCTCTGTGGCACAGGCTGGAGTGCAGTGGTGCGATCTCGTCTCATGGCAACCTCTGCTTCCTGGGTTCAAGTGATTCTCCTTCCTCAGCCTCCCGAGTAGCTGGGATTACAGGTGCCCACCACCTCGTGCGGCTAACTTTTGTATTTTTAGTAGAGACAGGGTTTCACCATGTTGGCCAGGCTGGTCTCAAACTCCTGGCCTCAAGTGATCTGCCCGCCTCAGCCTCCCAAAGTGCTGGGATGACAGGCATGAGCCACCACGCCCAGTGCCTGGCCATTTAAAAAATTTTTTTTGTAGAGACGAGGTCTCACTATGTTGCCCAGGCTGGTCTTGAAGTCCTGGGCTCAAGCTTCCCAAAATGCTGGGATTATAGGCATGAGCCACCACACCTGACCAGTTATTATTTTTTTTTTTCTTATGTTCCTCAGGTGAGTCTCTTAAGCAATCAGAGGAGAACTGTTGGGTTAAATGCCCACAAGCTAGAGATGGAAGAGGTTTCCTCCAGCTTTGCCTTCAGAGCCCGATCAAGGGATGTGACCATTTGCAGTTGGCCAACTTTCATTTCCGTTACTGTCTCTGCTGCTCAGTCATCTTTTGATCCTCATTTTGCAAGCAGAAAACTGAGGCTAAGGGGATCGGGGGACTTATCTGAAGACACAGAATATGGCAGAGATGAGATGTAAAATACACAACTTCTGACCCTCCAGATTAGTGCTGTTTCAGTAGTACTAGTCATTAGTATTCATGATGAGCATATGGATCATAAGAAGCATATTCTTGTGCTTAATAATAATTGGACACTTGGTCATCACAGTATGCTGAGGCGTGGGTAGGGGCTGCCCCAGCAGGGTGAGTCATCATCCCCTAGTTTCCCAATGCTCTGTGTCCCCTGCCAGCCAGCCTGGACCCACAGCTGCCCGCAGCCTGCCCTGTTGCACTAATCCCAGCTGTGGGCACGGTGAGATTTGGCCCCATTTTACACATGAGGAACAGGCTCAGAACACTCAAGAGGCTTGGCCCATGTCACCCAGCTCTCCTTGCCTGGACAGAGGCATCTAGGAAGGAACACAGCCCTGCATGGGGCTTGCTTGTCTGAGTCCTCAGGGACAGAGCTCTACTGGGGGTGCCCAGGTCTCTAGCAGACTGTCCCTGCCCCTCTCTCCTTCCTGCCCAGCTCAGCTCCAGAGGCCTGGCCTGCGGGCAGGCTGGGCAGGCAGCCAGCGCAGGGAGCTAACGATGGGTGCATTGTCGGCTCCAGGAAGTGGTCAGCTGTTCCCTGGCAGGTCTGCAGAGCCGGAGGACCAGCCTGCCTTGCTCGTGGAGGGTAGAGATAGAATCTGGGAGCTCAGAACACCATTTTCCCGGAGCCCAGTGGCTCTGGGCCAGCCCTCGGGCTTCCTTTGGAAGGGAGGGCCCCGTGTACTCCTCCGCTCCTTCCTTGCTTGGCATTGGCCCTCTCCCTCCTCAGTCTGGCTCTCACCGTCCCCCGGCCCAGCACTTTGCAGCAGAGTGTACACTCTTGGCAGCGATGTCCATTAAACCTGCTTCCCAGAAAGCAGCATGGCTGTACAGGCAGATTCAGCCAGCACCTTAGTGGGAGATGGGGCAGTGGGCATCAGCTCAGGCTTTTCTTGCCCAGGTTCCCTGGGGAGCTGGGTTGGAAGATAGCCCTAAGCTGCCTTGGCTTCCTGCTTCCTGGATCAGAAGTGCCCTCAGCTCAGTCAGCAGCCTAGCCGCTGGACAAGGCTGAGACAAGCGCTTTGACCTCCTGGAGTTGGGCTGGGACGAGCCTTTGCCTGGGAGTCTGATCAAGGCGGTCACTGAGCTGAGAACCTGGGGTAAAGCTCCCTGCTGAGCCTGTTGCCTCATTTGTTTGATGGGTGCCATAGTTCCCTGTAGGAATGTGGGTACTTTCTAGGCTTCTTCCAAATAGATACAAGAAATTGTGGCTGCCTTTCCCTTCCCGGCCAGGAGTACACTTCAGCAGAGAACTCAGTGATGCCTGGCATGGGGAAGATGCCCAGTGAATGGTGGTTGCCCCACACGGCTCAGGAAATGAAGTTTGGGTCACAGCCTGAGGATGGTGCCTTCCATCCTTGACCCTGCAAGGACAACCTTTCCTGACAGTCTCCTCCCTGGGTGAAGTATTGGGACAGTGGCTCTGGACTGGAAAACTGAAGCTTTACCTCTTTGCTCTGGATTCCCATCAGGTCTAGATTGCTGAGGCCCAGCGCCCACAGAGGCATCTTCCCCTCTAGGGGGTTTGTCCTATAAGCCCGGACTCCGTCAGCTCCGAGGCACTCCTGCTGGGCCTGGGCCAGAGTGGCTGATGTGGAACTGCTCCCTCCCCTGCCAGCTTCCTTGGGGTGCAGACAGCCCAGCACAGGCAGGAAGGGCTTTCTGTTTGGCTGGACTGGTGGGGAAGCAATTAGTGCTTACTTTCTGTTTTGATTCTTGTAGCTAATAGGCAGAGTTTGTGATGTCACGGAAAAGCAGCCTTGGGCCCGCGTGGGTTTGAGGTCTGTCCCTGATAGTCTGGCCAATGTGGAATTGTCTGGAGGTAGGGGTGTATGCTGACACTACTCCCTGGGTATGAGGTGGCCATCTGTTGGCTTTCCATGCCCCCTTCTGATAATACCTCTTTTAATACCTCTTTTTTCTGTTAATAACTTCAGGAGATCACTTCTCCCCTACCCTGTATCTCTGGGGTTCTGGTGTGGCCAACCCCAAACCCTGGCTTTAGACACTGGCATGTGTTCCAGGCCTGGAGGCCAAGTCCTGAGACTCTGCCATGGGACATCTGCAGCAGTTATGGGGAAAGAAGCATTCTTTTTCTGAGGGAGTTGCTGTATTGATAGGATGTAGGCTGGGAACTGCTGGTGGCCATCCTGTCCTCAACTTGACAAAGCCAACAAAGAGGAAAGAAAATGAAGAGATGAGGCCAGGCACCGTGGCTTGTAATCCCAGCACTTTGGGAGGCCCAGGTGGGCGGATCACAAGGTCAGGAGATCGAGACCATCCTGGCTAACTCAGTGAAACCCCATCTCTACTAAAAATACAAAAAAATTAGCTGGGCATGGTGGCGGGTGCCTGTAATCCCAGCTACTTGGGAGGCTGAGGCAGAAGAATGGCATGAACCCAGGAGGCGGAGCTTGCAGTGAGCTGAGATTATGCCACTGCACTCCAGCCTGGGCGACAGAGCAAGACTCCATCTCAAAACAAACAAACAAAACAAAGAGATGGAGAGTATGGATCCAGACATCAGTGAGCCCCTGGATCCAGCCATGCCTGAAACCAGCTGCAGCCTGGACTAACCTGATTTTGTGAGCCAATACATTTCTTTTCTTTTTTCTTTTCTTTTCTTCCTTCCTTCCTTTCCTTTTTCTTTTTCCTTTTCTTTTTTCTTTTCTTTTTTTAGAGACAGGGTCTTGCTCTGTCATTCAGGCTGGAGTGCAGTGGTGCAATCATAGCTCACTGCAACCTCAAACTCCTGGGCTCAAGCAATCCTCCTGTCTCAGCCTCCTGAGTAGCTGGGACCACAGGCACATGCCACCACACCCGGCTAATTAATTTTTTTTTTTTCTAGTGATGCGGTCTTGCTGTGTTGCTCAGGCTGGTCTCAAACTCCTGGCTTCAAGTGATCCTCCCACCTCAGCCTCCCAAAGCACTGGGATTATAGGTGCGAGCCAGTGTGCCTGTCCTTTTTTCCCTAAAACCAGCCTGAGTTGGGTTTCTGTCACAGAAAGGGTTTTAATACAGGCAGTGTTTTTCTTTGGTCTTGTATTTTTTAAAATAAACTTTATTGAGGTATACTTTACATGTAACAAAACCCACCCGTAAGTGTATAATTCATAAGTTTTGTCAAATGCGTGCACCCTTGTAACTATTGCCACAATCATGATGTGGAATATTTCTTATTTGCCCCTAAAAGTTTCTTTATCCCCTTTATGACCAATCCCTCTGACTCAGACAACCTTGATCTGCCTTTGTTTTGCAGATTCATTTTGCCTTCTCTAGAATTTCATGTAAAGGTCATCATATAGCATGTACTCTTTTGTGTCTGGTTTCTTTTACTCAGCATGTTTTTGAGACCCATCCACATGTTGCATGCATCTCAGTAGTTCGTTCCTTTTTATTGCTGGAAGGCATTCTATTATTCTATTGTATGGGTGTGCCACGGTTTGTTTAGCCATTTATCAGGTGACAGATATTTGAGCTGTTTCCAGATATTGCCTATTATGACTAAGGCTGTTTTGAACATTCACGTATGTTTCTTTCATTCGTTGTATGGGCGTATGTTTCAATTTTTATATCTAGACATCAGCCTCATTTTACTGTTGAGGAAACAGGGTCAGAGAGGTAGAATGACCTGTCCAAGGTCACATGGCTGATGAACCTAGGGCTGGTGCAGGGAACACAGCTGGACCAGTGAGGTAGCTGGAGGAATGGCACCTTTCTCCTTTTGGGTATTTGGGTGTCCCTTCATAAATGGAGCTTGGGACTGCTTGGAAGGTGCTCATGGAATCCTGGTAGCCAAGAACATCATTGCTGGGAGGGACTGTCAAGATGTCTCCCAGCGTCTGTTCTCCCTTTCTCCTAATAGTAACACTCCCTTTCCTTGGAGAACTGCTCCCCTATCGCTCTATCTGGTCCTGGAGCATTTTAGCCTTCTTGGTAACCCAGTGGTCACATGACCTTGGTGAGCCAATCACACCCTGGATTGGTTCAGGGACTGGACATGAGATCCAATCAGAGTCCTTCCCTGGAATATTTGGAATTTTTCCCCGAAACTCTAAGGAGGATATTTTGGCCTTAAGCTAAGTTGAAATTAATGCATCTTATCCAGTGTTAAAGAAAAAGCTGGAAATGTGGGTGGGTGGCCCTGGGACCCTGAGAGGTAGGTGCCTACCATGTGCCAATGATCATGTGCCATAATTCTCACCTTTCACCTGTCTAGACCAATGTTATTTTCCCCCTGTGGATTCCAGGGCTTGAAAGATAATATCTACTAAACCCCATACAGGAAGCCAGAATCCACTTCCCCAAATGTATTCTTCAAGGCATATGCACAACTCACTGTCTCAGCTGACTGCTCCATCACTACACAAGCCAAGGGAAGGACCTGGAGTTGAAATCATTCCAGCCGTAGGCAAAGAGGACGATGATGATGATGATGATGATGATGATGATGATGATGATGAGCTTGGCACCAACAAATTATGGACTCCTCCCAGAGGTCTGGAGGATGTCAGGTTGGCAATCTCAGTTTAGTCCAGCTGCCCATTTCACAGATGCTTCAGCCAAGGAAACTGAGGCTCGGAGAAGTTAAGGCCTGGCTGGAATGTGGCTGTGTCACATGCATCTTGCTTGCCTCATCAGATCCTCGCAGCTCCCCCACCCGTCAGACCATTGGCTGCTTGCTGGGCCTTGGCCACAGCCAGGGCTGAAGGACTCCATGGGGTCCCCGCAGTTGTTTCCACAGCTAAAGCCGACCAGCTGCTTTTCCAGCCTGACTTCTCTGAGACCACATCCCAGGAGGACGTGGGACCTGGCTCCCACATGGCTGCTAAAGGGGCTGGAGAATGCAACCCAGAAGTGGGGTGGGGGCGAGAGAGTTCTATGGGATGACCTTTGAGCAATAGGAAATGGGAGGGTAAATTCCTTCTTTCTCTCTCCCTTCCTGGAGCCAAGGTTTGCTTGCTGTGAAGTGGCAGCCGTGTGGTTATCCATCGTCTTGCCCTGCTTCCTATCAATTTCGTACTTCACTCCTCTGTTCCCTCATTCCTGCCCTGTGGAGCTTCAACCTCCAAATTAAAGCTTCAGCAATTAATTCCTTGCCGAAGGATATTTCCTAGTGAACCCAGGCAGCCTGGCTCCAGGATCTGCCCTACTCTACTCAGCAAACATTGAACCAGAGGATAGATGTGTGGGAATGTGAATAAATGAATAACTATCTGTGATATATTTATTTTTTATTTTTATTTTATTATTATTGCTTTTTTTTGAGATGGAGTCTTGCTGTGTTGCCCAGGCTGGAGTGCAGTGGCGCCATCTTGGCTCACTGCAACCTCCGCCTCCCGAGTTCAAGCAATTCTCCTGACTCAGTCTCCCAAGAAGCTGGGATTATAGGCATGCACCACCACATCCAGCTAATTTGGTATTTTTAGTAGAGACGGGATTTCCCCATTTTGGCCAGCCTGGTCTCGAACTCCTGACCTCAAGTGAACTGCCTGCCTCAGCCTCCCAAAGTGCTGGGATTACAAGCATGAGCCACCGCGTCCAGCCTTATTATTATTTTTAAAAATAACAATAGAGACGAAGTCTCTCTGTGTTGCCCAGGCTGGTCTATTATTATTTTTAAAGATAACAATAGAGGCGAAGTCTCTCTGTGTTGCCCAGGCTGGTCTACAACTCCTGGGCTCAAGTGAACCTCCTTCCTTGGCCTCCCAAAGTGCTGGGATTATAGGCATGAGCCACTGCACCAGCTTTATCTGTGATTTATGTATCATTACTATGGGGATGGGAGAGTTGATAGGGGGCCAGGATGGTGCCAAATTCATCAGAGATTATTCCCCTTGCTGTCTTCCCCTCCATTCACTACATTTAATCAGTCAAATACTCTCTGATCTTCTGCTGTATTTCAGAGGCTATGGCCTCCCCACTAACCTCTCTGCCTGGTATAAAAGAATCCATACTCCCTGATCCTCCACTGAGGTATGAGATGCTGGCAAGGTACTCTGCCTCCCTGAGTGGGTCTGCCTCCCTGAGTGGGTCTCCCAGTCTGAAAAATAGGATTAAGAATGTTCTCACTGCCTAGGACCTCTGCAGGGCTTAACTTAGTTTGTGCCTGGTGCATGAGTGTAGCGGGCATTGTTGGGGCTGCCTGTGCCTCACCATGTCTTCCAATAAGTCCCAGTTTTGGGGCCCAGTCTCAGTCCCTACTGAGTAAATGGTGCTGTCTTCTACACCCCCTTCCCAGGCCTGCCACCAGATCCAAGTTCAATCACCACATCCCAGGCTTTGACTCCAAGAATTGGCTCAGGCCTGGGCATGGGACTTAAGTCTGGCCAGGCACTGTAACAGTGCCCCAAAGGTTTGCTGGAACGATCAGGAAAGAGGTACTTGCTCTTTGCTGAGATCATTGGCTTGCAGCTGCCAGAGGCCATTTTTACTATTCGGCTGTTTGAGAATGAAGTCAGTAGAATGAAGTCAGAAGGAAGTGGAGCAAGAGCCAGCACAGGACGCAGAGTCCCGATGATGTCTTTGTAGCTCCTGGATCCAGCCAGGCCAGAAGCTAGTTAATCTCTGGTAATTTTAGGAATGAAGACATCAACATTTTCCTTTTTATTTGCTTAAGGCAGTTTGAGTTGTTTCTGTGACTTAAAACCGAAATGATCCTGACTAATACAGTAGGTTCCCTATGAATGATCGCTGTGGTTATTGCAACTAATATTAGAAACACATCGATGGGAAGATGCAACCACGGGGATGCATAGGCCAGGTTCCTTCAGGGGCCACCGCAGCTCTTCACACATCATGCCCGGGATATCAGGTCCCAGAGGGTGAGTTTTTTTCTCTTTGCTGCTGATGTATCCCAGGTGCCTGGCAGATGGCAGGTGATTGGTAAACATCTGTTGAATGAACAAATGCAGTGGGCCCATTGTCCATTGTCTGGTCCAGTGCGCCCTGCCTCCCAGTCCCCATGCCAGGGTACACACTTGCTCTCCACTTATCCTTAGCTGACCTCCGAAGCTAGGAGGAGGGGCTGCCAGGAGTCTATCTTGGCAAACTGATCTCTTGTTTTTACAATTTCACAATTTTCCTAGAAAGTATCCTTTCTAGGGCCTCATTCATCCCTTTATTCATATATTTGATTTAAAAAAATCTTTATGAATGAGTGTCCATTTTGTTAAGTACTAGAGAAAGATGCAAACGTGAATACTATTTTGCCTGCCTTCAGGGAGCACCTGTTCTAATGGGGATTACACTGACAATTTTGGTGTAGTCAGGTTATCTTAGGCATTTGGATAATTTTCTAGTATCCTACAGACCAGATAATGAAACAACTCTAAGAAGGACATTTTGGCTATAAGCTAAATTGAAATTAATGCACCTTAGCTAGTGTTGAAGAAAAAGCTGGCAATGTGGATGGGTGGCCCTGGGACCCTGGGAGGTAGATGTCTACCTCGTGCCAAGCTCTCAGCTTCCCAAGCCAATCTATAACAACTGCCGACTTGGAATCACTGTTGCATCATACTGATGGAGAAGTAGGCTCAGAGAAGTGAAGTAATTTCCCTGAGCAGAAATGGAATCCGAACCCATAATTGTGCTGTAGCAGGGACCGTCTGGTCCTTGGAATTCATAAGACGTCTCAGTGGGCAGTGGCTGATTGTCCATTAGCTCTCATAGAACCTCCTGTGGATGTTGTGGCTCTTTCCACATTCACCCTTGGATAACAGTGATTTGTTTCCTTGTCTACATCTCCCATCCCAACTCCCTAGAAGAGCTCCCGGTTGCAGTCATCTCCACAGCTGTCATACTTGTACCTTGTACCAGGGACAGGCCCATGGTAGAGTCCCAGTGTCATGAGCTTCTGTTGATTTTTGTCCCCAGCATCTGTTCTCTCTTTCTTCTAATAGTAGCACTCTCTTTGCTCAGAGAACTGCTTCCCTATCACTCTATCTGGTCCTGGAGCATTTTAGCCGTCCTGGTAACCCAGTGGTCACATGATCTTGGTGACCCAATCATGCCCAGGTTTGGTTCAGGGGCTGGACATGAGATCCAATCAGAGTCCTTTTCTGGAATATTTGGAATTTTCCCCTTGGATCATGAGCTGTTAAGAATCTGACTCCAGCCAGGCACGGTTACTCACGCCTGCAATCCCAGTACTTTGGGAGGCCAAGGCAGATCACCCGAGGTCAAGAGTTTGAGACCAGCCTGGCCAACATGGTGAAACCCTGTCACCACTAAAAATACAAAAATTAGCCAGGTGTGGTGGCGGGCCCTCTAATTCCAGCTACTCAGGAGGCTGAGGCAAGAGAATTGCTTGAACCCAGGAGGCGGAGGTTGCAGTGAGCTGAGATTGCGCCGTTGCACTCCAGCCTGGGTGACGAGAGCAAAACTCCATCTCAAAAAAAAAAAATTGAAAAATCTGATTCTAGAGCTACCAGTGGCTGTATGGTGGAGCCTGAGAGAATGAGGCCCTGAAGCAGTCAGCTGAGATTATTAGCCCCTCTGCCTTTCTGTGTCTGGCTTATATGAGGCAATAAACTCCATCCCTTTTTTACCTTATTATTATCAAAATATACAAGAGCATAGTAACAAATCAAATACACGTTGAATATCTCTTACCCAAAAGGTGTGGGAGTAGAAGTGTTTCAGATACTGGATTTTTTTTAAATTTTGGAATATTTGTATTATACTTACGGACTGAACATCACAAACCCGGAATCCAAAAATTTAAAATGCTCCAATGAGTATTTCCTTTGCGCATCATGTTGGCACTCAAGATGTTTCAGGTTTTGGAGCCTTTTGGATTTCGGATTTGTGGATTTGGAATGCTGCCCCTATAGCACAAAAGAGCTTATAAAGAAAATCCCCAGCCTTCTGCCCTATTCTCCCCGCTTTACCCCAGCTGTACTCCAGACACAAGCTGTTTCACACATTTCCTTTTGTATTTTTTTCTGTAGTTACCCCAGTTACTAGATCATATGCTTACACACCTATTTCTTGATTTATAACTTTAGACCAATAGCCATCAACTTTTCTGTAAGGTACATGAGGATTTAGCTTATTTACCCTCCTAACCCCCTCAACTTTGAAATGTATAGTACATGTAGGTCATCTACTGATGACCTATATCTAATAGTTTATTTCTGGCCGGGCACAGTGGCTCACACCTGTAAATCCCAGCACTTTGGGAGGCCGAGGCGGGCGGATCACTTGAGGTCAGGAGTTCAAGACCAGCCTGGCCAACATGGCGAAGTCCTGTCTCTACTAAAAAATACAAACATTAGCTGGGTGTGGTGGCACGCACCTGTAGTCCCAGCTACTCAGGAGGCTGAGGCAGGAGAATCGCTTGAACCTGGGAGGCAGAGCTTTCAGTGAGCCAAGATGGCGCCACTTCACTCCAGCCTGGGTGGCAGAGTGAGACTCTGTCTTAAAAAAAAAAAAGTCTATTTCTTTTGTTCAACTTTAGACAGTGTTTTTTGTCTTCCCACCCTTTTTAGAATAAGAATAAATATGGATGCCCTTACCATTTTATCTGCTTGTTCACACCCTATCTCTGCCAGCTATAATTTTTTTTTTTTTTTTTTTTGAGATGGAGTCTCACTCTGTCGCCCAGGCTTGGAGTGCAGTGGTGTGATCTCGGCTTACTGCAACTTTCACCTCCCAGGTTCACACCATTCTCCCGCCTTAGTCTCCCAAGTAGCTGGGACTACAGGTGCCCACCACTGTACACTGTACACCACTTGTACCTTGTACCACCAAGGTACAAGTATGACAGCTGTGGAGATGACTGCAACCGGGAGCTCTTATAGGGAGTTGGGATGCGTGGTTAATTTTGTTTTTCTATTTTTAGTAGAGACGGGGTTTCACTGTTAGCCAGGATGGTCTCGATCTCCTGACCTCATGATCTGCCCCTGCTTCGGCCTCCCAAAGTGCTGGGATTACAGGCGTGAGCCACGGCGCCCGGCTGTCAGGTATAATTTTTGTATTGTCTGTGTTATTGACATTCACATTCTCTTCTCCACAATGTTTGATTGATTGATTGATTGATACAGGGTCTTGTTCTGTCACCCAGGCTTGAGTGCAGTGGTATGATCTTGGCTCACTGCAAGCCTGGGCTCAAGCGATCCTCTCATCTCAGCCTCCTGAGTAGCTGAGATGACAGTCATGCACCACCATGTGTGGCTGATTTTTGTATTTTTTGTAGAGATTGGGTCTCCCTATGTTGCCCAGGCTAGTCTTGAACTCCTGGGCTCAAGTGATCCACCCACATCGTCCTCCCAAAGTGCTAGGATTACAGGTGTGAGCCACTGCACCCGGACTGGTTATTTTATTTATTATTATTTTATTTATTTATTTTTTTGAGACAGGGTCTTGCTCTGTCTCCCAGGCTGGAGTGCAGTGGTGCAGTCATAGCTCACTGCAGCCTTGACCTCCCAGGCTCAAGCAATCCTCCCACCTTAGCTCCCCTAGTAACTGAGACTACAGGTGTTCACCACCACGCCTGCTAGTTTTTTAATTTTCTGTAGAGACTGGGGTTTTACTATGCAAGCTATCCTCTTGCCTCAGCCTTCCAAAGCACTGGGATTACAGGGATGAGCCACCACGCCCAGCCTTCCACAATAAATGTTTATAGCTTTGTCAACAGGTCGACTCAAAAGATTCCCAAGAAACAACATTTACAGGACTATGATTATGAAACGCTGTTTACTGTAAACTCTTTTAGCCAAAGCTAGTTTGATTTGGGTTTGTGTTGGTTATGGCCAATGTGTCCTGACTTATACACTCAAGTTTTGTTGAGTCGAATGAGGTGTGTCCACATGCCTTCAAACACAAGCGGGGACAGAGCTCACCCCAGGCCACCTCTGTGGGCCTGCCACTCACGCAGTCACAACAGAGCCCACCACTAAAAGGGTTCTGTGCTTTGTTTATGCTTTCACCATGTTGAAATTCTTAATAATTTTGAACAAAAGGCCCCATAAAATATGTAGCTGGTTCTGAGCTCACCATTTGCTGGGAGAGGCCTGTGCTTTCTGAGAAATAGTCTCTCTCCTTGGCCAGGGCTATGCTCCTGGGAGGGCCCTTAGGCAGGTCCGGAAGCAGCCATAGAAAGTAAGAGGGAAAGGCTGTGAACCTGAGGGTTGACTTGGTGAATGGACCTCACATTGGGAGGTCAGACTGGGCTTCTCCAAGTCCCTCTTACAAAGAGGAAACTAACCTTGGTGAACCTGGGGCTGTGTCAAGGAGATGGGATTATCCCTACATTTACAGAGAAGCATCAGGGCTGAAAGATTTGCCCAAAGGCCACTGGTTATAAATGGCAGGTCCTAGATTCAAGTCCAGGCCTGATTCCTGCTCCACCGTGCAGCCTCCAGATCAGTGCTGCGCATGAAGCAGCAGACCTGGGTTTGAGTTCTTGCCCTGCTCCCAATTTGCTGTGTGTCCTTTAGTGAGGGACTTGCCCTCTCTGGCCCACTTACCCTAGCAGTCCTTTGAGAGAGCTGATCAACTACAAAAGTCCCTTTCAAACAGAATCACTATGTAACCAAATCATAGAGGAGAGGAAGTCTCTTTTATAGATGGATTCCAGCTAATAAATGCTGAATGATTGAAATATAATGTCATTCTGAAGTCCTTAATGAATTAATTGCTTGAAGCTTCCATGGCTGCTAACATCAGGAACAAATAATTGGACATTATGTGCCTCCTAATAGAAGAATTTGATGCCAGCTAAGGACATGGTCTTATGTGTGTGTGTGTGTGTGTGTATCTATCTATCTATCTATCTATCTATCTATCTATCTATCTATCTATAACTTGAATCTGATCAAGCCTCTACTTCCAACTGCCAACTTTTAGGAAAAACAGAGGATAGAGGAACATGTTGAACTACACCACAGGGGAGCAATCCACAAAACCCAGATGGAGGAAAATACCACAAGACAAACAACTCGTTTCCTCCAGTAAATAAATTGCAAGCAAAAACAAAACAAAAACCTTGCTGGGTGTGGCAGCTCACACCTGTAATCCCAGCACTTTGGGAGGCCAAGGTGGGTGGATCACCTGAGGTCAGGAGCTCGAGACCAGCCTGGCCAACATGGTGAAACCCCGTCTCTACTAAAAATACAAAAATTAGCCAGGCGTGGTGGTGGGTGCCTGTAATCCCAGCTACTCAGGAGACTGAGGCAGGAGAATCGCTTGAACCTGGAAGGCAGAGGTTGCAGTGAGCCGAGATCGCACCAATGCACTCCAGCCTGGGCAACAAGAGCAAAACTCTGTCTCAAAAACAAAACAAAGCAAAACCTCTAGACCCAAAAACACTCAGAGAATATACTGACGACTGTAATGTGTAGACCTCATTTGGATCAAAATCTAAACAAACTGTCAAAAAGCAACTGTGTGACAATTACAAATTGGAACATTGACCTGCTCTTTGATAATAATAGCAACTATTGTTAATTTGTTTGTTGTGATTATGGCGCTTTGTTTTTTGGAAGGAAGAGTTCTTTTGAAGATATACCCTGAAATATTTATGGATGAAATGATGTCATGCCTGAGATTTGCTTCAAAACTGGCCGAGTGCAGTGGCTCACACCTGGAATCGAGCACTTTGGGAGGCGGAGGTGGGTGGATCACTTGAGGTCAGGAGTTTGAGACCAGCCTGGCCAACATGGGAAAACCCCGTCTCTACTAAACATACAAAAATTAGCAGGATGTGCAGTGGTGTGCACCTGTAGTCCCAGCTACTCAGGAGGCTGAGTCAGGAGAATCGCTTGAACCCAGGAGGCAGAGGTTGCAGTGAGCTGAGATTACACCACTGCACTCCAGCCTGGGCGACAGAGTGAGACTTCATCTCAAAACACACACATACACACACACACACACAGCGAGGAGGGATGTGAATGGGAAGGTGGGTGGGTCTGGATGAGGCAGGATGGGTCATAGGTCGATGATTGTCACAGCTGAGTGGTGGGTATATCAGGGTTTGTTATACCATTGTCTCTTTGTGTGTGTGTATAATTTTCAGTTTCTAGCCCATCGTAAGGGCCTGAGGGTGGGAGTTCTGCGGATGGCTAGCCATGCCATCTCGGAGCAGGGGTGAGGGCATGACTTTGGGCACACCAGGCCTCGCCTCTCACACCAGGCCTCGCCTCTCTCTCCCCACCTGCCTTGGCCAGGCTGGGCCCTGGAGTGTTGTGCTCACTAGTGCCCAGGCTCAGATCTTTGTGTTTGGATAAGCTCATGGAACCAGACACTGTAATTGTAGAACTCTGGCCCTCACTCTGGTGACTGTGTGTGAGCCACAAGCCGGGCTCTCCCCTCCCCGGGCAGGCTGGCTCCACATTCCAGGCACATCATCGCCTACGCCAGGCCATCTGGCCTCCAGCATGGGTGGGGAAGGTGCAGCAGCTGGTGAGAGCTGTAGGGGCATTCCCAGACACATTTCTCATGACATCCTTGGCGCTGGTAGCATGGCCAGCACCAGGCCAGGATCTAAGGACCTGGAGGGTCAGAGGGCCACTGTCAGGCCCACCGCCCAGGAGTGCTCCATGAAAGGAGTGAGTACCAGCCACCTTGGTGCTGTGTGACCTTGGCAAGACGTCTCCCCTCCCTGGCCATGGGTTCCCCATTCAAGAGGAGGCAGCTCAGTATTTCTCAATAGGGTGCTATTGACCCTTTGGGAGGGACAGTTCTTCCTAGTGAGCATTCCTGGTCCCCAGTCCACTAAATGCCAGCAGCAGTCCCTGTCACTGTGGCAACCAAAAAATACCCTACACATTTCCAACCACCCTGGGCTTGCAGACCACTGTGGGTCTTTAAGGGCCTTGCCAAGCCCACAGTTCTGTATATCTGTGCTTCTTGAGCATTTAGGACAAATTGGGTAAGGGAGGAGTAGAAACCATTACTGTTGCTCATAGTCTTGCAAGGGGATGAAATCTGGATGGGTCTTGAAGTATAACTAGGAGTTTGCAAGGTGAGCAAGCAATGGGGACCAGGGGAGGGGAGCGAAACGAATTCTAGGTGGAAGGATCAGCTTGCATGCGGGCATGGAGATGGGAAAGAACATGGGGTATTTGGAGAAGTGCAGAAATTCCCTGTGGCCCCAAGGTTTGGCCTGGGCTGAGAAGCCATGCAGTGGAGGTAGGGCTTCAACTTGTAGATAACAGGGAACCAGCAAGGCTGTTTGTTGTTTGTTTGTTTGTTTTGTTGTTTGTTTTTGAGATGGAGTCTTGCTCTGTCACTTAGGCTGGAGTGCAGTGGCATGATCTCAGCTCACTGCAACCTCTGCCTCCTGGGTTCAAATGATTCTCCTGCCTCATCCTCCCGAGTAGATGGGATTACAGGTGCATGCCACCACACCCCACTAATTTTTATATTTGTAGTAGAGACGGGGTTTCACCATGTTGGCCAGGATGGTCTTGAACTCCTGACCTCAGGTGATCCACCCACCTTGGCCTTCCAAAGTGCTGGCCCCAGGTCTGACCCAGTGAGGCTTTTTAAATGGGGCAGAAACTTACTTCCCCTCCTCCTGAGCAAGAGCAGGTTTTTCCACCCCAGTCCCTCTGGACTGAGAAATTACCAACGCCTGGGTGTGAATCAGGAGAATGTCTCACTCCTCATGGCTCAGGACTGCAGAGAATGCAATCGCACAGCTGGGATTTGGGGAGAGATTTAGAGGTGACAGTGAGAGAGAGAGTGGGCTCCTCATGTTTGTTTTGTTTTATTTTGTTTTTGAGACAGGGTTTGCCTCTGTCACCTGGGCTGCTGGAGTGCAGTGGCAAAATCATAGTTTGCTATAGCCTTAGCCTTCCAGGTTCAAGTGATCCTCTCATGTAGCTGGGACCACAGGCGAACACCACCACACCTGGCTAATTTTTTGTATTTTTTGTAGAGATGGGGGTCTCACTATGTTGTCCAAGCTGGTCTCAAACTTCTGGGCTCGAGCAATCCATCTGCCTCAGCCTCCCAAAGTGCTGGGATTGCAGGCATGAGCCACTATGCACACTTCTTAAACTAGATGAGAACACCATGGAGGGGAGAGTGTGCCTATGGAGTGAGTGTGTGTGAGGAGTGCATGTAAGGGGTGTGCTCATGAGTGTGTGTGCCCCACACATGCAGGCTGCTCATTCATTCATTTAATACGTGCCAGTTGCACAGGGAAAGGTGAACACATCCTGACCTGGTCCTCGTCCTCATGGAGCGTGGAATCCAGTGGATCCAGTGGAGGAGAAAGAAACAAGAAAACAAAATAAAACACATCCCAAAAGCTAGAGTGCGAGGCAGCTAGGGCGGGAGTGGGGAATAATGAGGGCCGGTGGGGAGAGCCTGCTGGATAGGTGGGTGTCTGATGGCCCTCTCAGAGCAGAGCATGGATGGTGGGCATCTGCTGAGCCTGGACCACCCAACTCCCTTTCCTCACAGGCCTTTAGTTTCTTTTGGGGAGGAACTGCCTCTTCTCTGCTGGACAGAGTCTACCAGGCTCCCTCTGCCCTGCCCTGCCATAGGGTGGACATGTGACCCACCTAGCCAGTAAGATTGTCCACTCCTCTAATTCATGGGCAGAAGGACAAGGACAGTCAGAGTCTCCCGGCTGCCTCCTGCCACGCATTCCTGCTCCCCACCCCCAATCTATGCGCTTGCCCTTCCCGCCTTTTGGCCCTCAGGAGCTGTCTTGGTTCCTGCCCTTGCCCAGGCCTGTTTTTCCAGCCTTCCCACCAATTTTCTGAGCTCCTGTGGGTGTGCCTATCTTGTGTGGGTTTGGTTTTGGCTTTTAAATGAGCAAAGGCAGAATGAGGGTGCCATGAGCACAGATGAGGCTTTTGGGAAACGCCCCCCTTCCATTGCACTGTTGGAAGGGAGTGTAGAGGCTGCTGTGTTTCCTGGGGCCGGCCACCTTGACACCGTGCCTGCATGCACGCAGCCCCCCAGCACGCTTCTTCACCAGCCAGCCTGAGTGCAGGGCCCTGGCCAGCCTTGCCGGGAGGAAATGCCAGCCCCGTTTCTTTAAGCCTCAGTCAGCCTCCCCAGGGACTCTTGACTGCCCTAATGCTTCCTCCTAGGCCTTGTCAGTGGTGCAGGCCTGGTCTGCCCAGAGCAGCAGGGCCTCCGGCAGGGGCCTGTGACTCAGGGCTCAGTCAGGCGGAGGCAGGATGTCAGTGCCATTCACTGGGCCACGAGGAATCTCACTCTTCTATTTATAGGCAGCGCAACTGCTGGCCCAGCCTGGCCAGAGGAAGTGGCTGCCACTGCCAGCGAGTCAGGAGCTACGATGAGGGAGGCATGGCGCTGCTCCCTCTGCCTGCTGGGGGGGATTTCCAGGTTAGGACCAGCTCTTCCACTGCAGAATGGTCAAGGCTGGGACAGGCCGGAACAATGAGCTCATGTGGCTTCATGACCCATCAACTGAGCAACAGGGTGGTGGACATGGGGTGGCTTGGTCTGTCATGAGCCTAGAAGGGAGGGCAGGATGGGGACCTCCCTGACCCTGCAGGGGGAAGAGGTAAGGTAAAGGCAGTGCCCAGAGCCTGGCATCCTGAAGTTTGGCCCCAGACAACTCACCCCACTCTTCCTGCATTGGGGTCCCAACTTCATCTGTCAGAGACCCCTGTCCCCACCTGCCATCTTGCCCCACACCAAGACGGCTGCTTGTGCTTAGGAAGCTAACACTGGATACCTACTGAGAGGTGAGCCCTGTCACATCCATTCCTGCATCCAGTCTCACAACAGCTACACAACATAAGCCCATTTAGCAAAAGTCAAAACTGAGGTCGAGAGTGGTTAAGGCACTTGCCTGGTTTTGGGTGTGTGCACAAATGTGCCCTCTATGCATAAGTGTTGTAAAATGTGATCTACCTTCCCATCACAGAGGAGCTGTGAGGGGAACTGAGATGGCTTTGGCCATTGTGAATCTGTTGCCATCTCTGTTGGAGTGCCCGTCTACATGGTTGACCTCTGTCCTCAGTTGAGTGTGCATGAAGCATGAAGGATTCTTGTGTTTGTTTCCTGCCCTGGACAAGGTGTCCCTGGAGGTCAGGAAGGGAGTCTTGCTCCTCCTGTGACCCTAGACCCCAGCTTGGATGGAGCTTGGCACCAAGCAAGTGCTCAGTAGACTACCTACCGCATGGGCCCGCAGAGTCTCCCCATCCTCAGACGTGGCCTCTTGCAGGCAGCAGCCCTACTGGATGCTCTGCTGCATTGGGTCTGCACAAGGGGCAGGTACTCAAAGAATGAGGATGGGGGGACACTTCTTCCCGAGAGGCTGCCTGACGGGGAACCCCAGGCCTTCAGTCCTCATGTCAGGTGAGAACCAATTTCTTGAACAGGAGGCCTTTCCGACTGAGTCCGCTGGGGCCAGTTCAGAGGAGACCAGCCTGGGGCCACAGTGGATATTGCAGATCTGCCCTCCTGTGACTGCCGGCTGGTCTACCATGTGTGCTGCTACCAAGGGGCAGGTTACCCCTCTCACCCCACCTGGCCGTGTTCGCCCATCCTCACTGACCCTGAGGAAGCTGGGAGCACCTGGTGAGCCTTTACTGAAAGGCCCAGGCCATTGTTCCAAAGCCAGGCAGAATGGGAGGGAAGAAGGAGGTGGGGGAGGCAATTGGGGTTGATACAAGATGAGGTCTCCCTGCCTGGAGCTCCAGAGGGCCCCTTCTGGCCTCTTCTGCAGTCCTTGGCTCATCCCCTTCACCTCCTCCTACAGGAAGCCTTCCCTACCTCCCCAACCAAAGTTCTCACCCTTCCTTCCTACCCCACCACATCTCTTCCTAAGGTAATTGGCAAACCCCAGGGCCCTTCCTGAGTCTTGCAAAGTTTGCAGGTCTGGCAGTCTCTACATGTCAGTGGCTTTCCTTTTGTGGGCAGGACCCCCTGAGGGGGAGCACAGGAGGGAACGTGGTAGGGGAGGGGTTGGCTCTGAAGGGCTCCCCTGAGGAAGGGAGGATGAGTAGGAGTACAGTCAGTGTGAGCAGAAAAGGGGTCCCAAGGGATGAAGATCTCAAGGAGGGGAGGTAAAGCTTCGAGAATGTGCAAGGAGCTCCAGAGGGTGGAGGGGGGTAAAGCGTGGAGTCGCAGGGTGTGGGGGGAAGTATTCCAAGGCAGGAGATCGGGGGCAGATCTCGAGGGCCTCAGGGCAGGCCAAGCTTTCTTCTGAGCGCAAAATTAGAGTCAGTCAAGGGTCTCAGGCAGGGTGCTGCTTTGCAGGGTGCTGCTTTGCAGGCTGGGGTAAAGGTGGAGGAGATAGGGTGGCAGCAGGAGGGCCAGCTGAGGATGGGGCGGTCTTCCTGCTGAGAGATGACAGCAGCTGAACTTGGGGAGGTGGGGGCAGTGGAGTAAATGGGAGGCTGGGAGAGAACTGAGAACTCTGATGTGGCCTTGATGCCCCCTCCCCAAGGCCCACCCATACTGGTGAGGATTGGGGTGACCGGTGTGAGGAGAGGGAGAGCCCCTGATGAGGCCAGAGTCCAGGCCCAGAGAGACCCCGTCCGCTGTGCCACACATGACATCATTTTTGTGTACTTAACACAAGGTAAACAGGGCTGGAAAAACCCAAGTACTCATTATCTGACTTAGTGGCTGCTGCTGGCTCCTTAACAACTGGTTTCCTGGGATTCTGCAGTTCTCCTGCAGAACGGACCCAGACAGAGGGGCTTCCCTCCGGTGCACAGAGAATCCTTGCCCAGTCCCTGTGCTGGGGGCTCGCTGACCTCTTCCTTCTGGGAGGCTTTGAGTCGTTCCCTACCAGTTCATGGGGCTGGGCCTGCTGAGGGCCAGGCGCCAGGGTGGGCGTTGTGGGAGCATGACGGAGAGCAAAGCCCAAATGTGGTCAGGGGGGTTTGGTTCTAGTGAGCAGGTGGGTTTGAGACCCCAGGAGCACAGGAGGGCAGTGGGAGCCCAGCAGGGAGGTTGTGGTAAGCACCCAAGCATGAGCTGGCCGAGTCCTGGAATCCCAGAGGGCACCTAGGAGGTTATCCACTCTTTTCTTTTTTTTCTTTTTTCTGAGGCAGAGTGTCACTCTGTCACCCAGGGTGGAGTGCAGTGGCACAATCTCAGCTCACGGCAACCTCCGCCTCCAGGTTCAGGTGATTCTCCTGCCTCAGCCTCTCGAGTAGCTGAGATTACAAACGTACACCAGCACACCTAGCTAATTTTTGTATTTTTAGTCAGGGTATTTTGTATTTTAGAGATGGAGTTTCGCCATGTTGGCCTGGCTGGTCTTGAAGTCCCGTCCTCAGGTGATCCACGTGCCTCAGCCTCCCAAAGTGCTGGGGTTACAGGCGTGAGCCACCACACCCGGCCCATTTTGCCATTTGATTCTACAGATGGGTAAACTGAGGCCCAGAGGAGTCACAAGACTCACTTAGAGTCATACTGGGAGAGAACCAGTGGCAGGACTAAAACCCAGGTGTTCTGATGTCGGCGAGAAATTGGCTGGCTCTAGAAAGAAAAACAAATTTAAGCATTAATCCCCTCCCCACTTCCACTCACCACCCAAACATGCACACATGTCACTTCTGCAAAATGTCAATGATCTTGTGAGAAATTTTTTCTTAGTGGGTAGGTTCCAAGTGCTTTCCTTTCACCCCCAGAACCCACCCCCAATCGAGGCCAGAGGACAACATTCCTTCCTGTGGAAATAGCCGAAGGGTGGTTGGGCAGGGTGGCTCACACCTGTAATCCCAGCACTTTGGGAGACCGAGGCGGGTGAATCACTTGAGGTCAAGAGTTGGAGACCAGCCTGGCCAACATGATGAAACCCCGTCTCTACTGAGAATACAAAAATTGCTGGGCAGGCGTGGTGGCACACGCTTGTAATCCCAGCTACTTGGGAGGCTGAGGCGGGAGGATCGCTTGAGTCTGGGAGGCGAGGTTGTAGTGAGCTGAGATCACACTGTTGCACTCCAGCCTGAGCCACAGAGTGAGACTCCGTCTCAAAAAAAAAAAAAAAAAAATAGCCAAAGGGTGACCAACAGCCGCCAGGCAGCCTCAGAGGACCGATTGTTTGCCACTGCTCTACGTGGCAGCACTGGGTGCCTCTGGCCCCAGTCCACCCTCCCTACCCCACTCCAGTCCTCCATGTTCCCTGGATGGAGGCCCCAGCAAGGCAAGAAACTTTCAAAGAGCCCAGAGGCACAGCAAGTTCCTGCACTAATGACACTCGGGGGCTCTGGGGCCTTCACTTGCAAAGCAAACCCTGAAAAATAATCTGGTGGATTTTGTTCTCTGCCTTAAAGAACAGCAACCACAGACAACAACAATATTCCTCTTTTTCTAATGTCAGTTGAGTTTAACAGACAGGCAGCACGGAGGAAAGCTGGAAAACTAGCCCTGCAGCCTTGGACAGATCCTTAACTCCCCTTGGGCCTCAGTTTCCCCATTGGTATCGAACCCTAAGCATTCTTAAGCTTCACTAATCTGTGAGTTTGAATGACCAGTTAATATTAATGACCAAAGCCTGCTCACCCTAGGCCCCTACTTCTGCTCCCAGGGCCTTTATAAGAGGGAGGCAGGAGGGTCGGAGTCAGAGGCAGTGACATGGTGGCAGAAGCAGAGGGAGAGAAGGCAAGGGTCAGCGAGATGCAAGGAAAGGGTCAGGAGCCAAGGCGGCAGGTGGCTTCTAGAAGCTGGAAAAGGCAAGGAAACAGATTCTCCCCTAGAGTGTCCACAAGGAACACAGCACCGCCAGCACCTTGACATGAGGACTTCTTCTCCGGAACCAAGAGAGTAAACGTGCGTTGTATTAAGTTATGAAATTTACAGTTGTTTATGACAGCAGTGATTGGACACTGGATGGTTCAAGAATAGAAAGTGGCTGGCTCAAGGGTAGGACAGACACCACTCCTGCTCATCTCAGGCCACCTGCCTGGCCTCCTCTGCCCCTTCTGCCCAGTCAGTGCCGCTTCTTTGGTGACCCTGAGACACAGCTACCTCTGTTGGCCTCACTTTCCACATGGGCTTCTGCAAGGGCCACCAAAGTCTGTGGGTCGCTGCCTGATCACCCTAGCAACTAGTGTTTGCAATCTTTTTTTTTTTTTTTTTTTTTTTTTTTGAGAAGGAGTCTCGCTCTGTCGCCCAGGCTGGAGTGCAGTGGCGCAATCTTGGCTCACTGCAAGCTCTGCCTCCTGGGTTCACGCCATTCTCCTGCCTCAGCCTCCCGAGTAGCTGGGACTACAGGTGCCCGCCACCACACCCAGCTAATTTTTTGCATTTTTCAGTAGAGACAGGGTTTCACCATGTTAGCCAGGATGGTCTTGATCTCCTGACCTTGTGATCCACCCGCCTCGGCCTCCCAAAGTGCTGGGGTTACAGGCGTGAGCCACAGCGCCTGGCCTTTTTTTTTTTTTTTTTTTTTTTTGAGACAGAGTCTCCCTCTGTCACCCAGGTTGGAGTGCAGTGACGTGATCTCAGCTCACTGCAACATCCACCTCCTAGGTTCAAGCTATTCTCCTGACTCAGCCTCCCGAGTAGCTGGGACTACAGGTGCGCGCCACCATGCCTGGCTAATTTTTGTGTTTTTATTAGAGACAGGGTTTCACCATGTTGGCTAGGCTCGTCTAGATCTCCTGACCTCAGGTGATCCCCCCACCTCAGCCTCCCAAAGCGCTGGGATTACAAGTGTGAGCCACTGCGCCTGGCCTCTTTTTTTCTTTTTGAGACGGATTCTCACTCTGTCACCCTGGCTGGAGTGCAGTGGTGCAATCTCGGCTCACTGAAACCTCCACCTCTTAGGTTCAAGCAATTCTCCTGCCTCAGCCTCCCGAGTAGCTGGGACTATAGGCATGTGCCAGCATGCTGGGCTAATTTTTTTTTTTTTTTTTTTTTTTAGTAGAGACGGAGTTTCACCATGTTGGCCAGGATGGTCTCAATCTCTTGACCTCAGGATCCACCCGCCTCAGCCTCCCAAAGTGCTGGGATTACAGGCATAAGCCACCACGCCTGGCCGGCATTTGCAATCTTTAAGGGACAGTGGTAGCAGTAGCTTGGCCTTTTTCTGGGTCCTGAGTGTTACACATACATGCGAGTGCATATGCGCCCACACACACGTGCTTGCACACACACACACACAGACACACACACACAAACACACGCTGTCCCCTGAACGCAGACCCACTGCCCGGCTAGAGCCAGCGGCCCCATGATTTAGGATTTTGTTCTCTGCCTGAAAGAACAACAACTACAGACAACAGGACCACCCTCACCAACAGCACCCAGGCTGGTTTCTGAGGGGAGCCCCCTATGCTGAATGTCCCTTACCTCCTCACTTCTTCGCAGGAACCCTCATTCTCCACCCACCCCACCCTCTCCAAGGTGGTCAGACATTCTCAGTAGGAATGTCCCCAGCTGTGGATGTGGTTCAAGGTTTCCGATTTCTTACCGAGAGGCCTCTCAGCCCCCATAGATCCACATGCAGAAAGTCCTCACTTAACGTCCTCTCGATGGGCTCTTGGAAACTGCAACTTTAAGCAAAATGACATACAGCAGGTTCTCAATGATGTCGTTTCGTCCCGTGTCATTTCCCTAATAATTGATTTCATTATACATCATTTTGTCAAGGTCACAGTTTCCAAGAACCTATTGAGGACGTTAACTGAGGACTTACTGTACGTGCTAGGGATGGGGTATGGAAGGTGCCGAACTCCACCTGCCATGAGTCGGCCAGGGACCAGCATCCAGGGCAGGACCTACCATGCCCATGTGGCTTGTAACCTGGCTGTGGGAGGGAGGTGGGTAATGGTTGTATATGAGCCCCCATGCCTCCCTGATCATTTTCTGGCCTGGACCCCTGCTATCGACGTCCCCTGCCCCTTCTCATCCTCCAGGTTTGTTTGTCCTCTGCCTCCCTTTCACCAGTGGTGTAAGCAAGCCCCCTTCCCGTGGCCCAGTTCAGCAGTTTCTTTCTGGAGAAACCACTGACAACAGTCAGTTTTGCAGGATCTTGGGAACATTTTCCTTTGAAAGACTTTTTAAGCTTTTATTTAATTACTCAAGTGACACATGTTCCCTGAAGGAAAAAAAAAAAGCAACAAACAGAAGTGATCTCTCATCCTACTTATATCCATATAGAAATAATAATCTGCTAAGCCACTGCTGAAGTCTTGCTATATATCTGATCTATTTCTAATAATCTGATATCTGATAATTGATCACTACTGGAATATTGTTTATTTGTTTTTAACACAGCCATGATCATATCACACATACTTCTCCAATGCAGGCTTTTCTCACACAGCAAATGTGTGATGAACTGCTTTCTGTGTCAGCAGACCTAACATCATTTTTCATGGTTATGTGGTATTTGCCGGTATGAATATGCTATATTTATTAAGTGAATTGTTGGACAACTATGTTGTTTCCAGTTTTTCAAAGCCATAAACAATGTTGCCTTGTAAAGACTTCTTTGCCCACTTACCCAGCTATTTCGGGAGGAGAAATTCCTAGAGGTGAAATTGCTTGGCCAGAGGTTGTGCACATTTTTAAGGCTTTTGGTGCATATTCCTGGCCCCCTCTTAAATCCAGACCCATTTCTTTCATGCTTTGGATTTGTCACCTACTTTAGCATTAACTCAAGGGCAAATAAATTTCAGTGGTGAATCTGCTATTTACAATTTTCTAGGCAGCTTCTGTCCATTAATATGCATGCATGAAAAAAATGACTCTAGTTTCCATTTTTAAAATGCCAAGCATATTCTCACCCCAGTGTTCCTGTGCACCTGGCTCTTCTTGGTAGTTTTGAGAGTTTTGGATTAAATTGTGTTTTTTTCCTTCTAGAATGAGAAGTCCCTAGATGAAGCCAAAGACAGTATAATTTCTCTGAGCCTCAGTTTGCTCATCTGTAAAATGGAGACATTATGAGTACTTTGCAGTATTTTCATGCAGGTGAAAAGAACCCAACTCCACGTCTGACATGATGAAATCTCCGAATTTTATCTGTCCTCTCCCTTCCAGGGCCAGGTGGGGTGTGCAGTGGGGCCTCTGGGCCCAGGTGTTGGCATTGGACACTTGGTTCCTCCTGGGCTCTGTTCCCAGCTTTTCCTACCCATATTTCCAGGTACCCAAGGCTAACTGCCTCCCCCAGAACAACCCCCAGATTCGTTCCACCTTAAAAGGTCCTTGAGCTCTCACTAGAACAACCAAACAAGAGAACAGAACATTAGAGAAAATTGCTTGTCTAAAATAGACAAATAATTTTCATTTCATCCTTCTTTCTGTGCTCCACTTTATCTGTCTTCTTGCTGTCCCTTTTTCTATATAAGCCAGGCACGAGGGCGATATTATTCTTCTAAATTCTCAAGATGGATTATGTAATAATCTAGACTGAAAAAAGAAAAGGCAACTGCTTGGTAAATGGACACGAGTCTTTGCAGCTATTTAAAAAGATAAAGCCCAGATCATCCTCGCCTTCCAGTACTCAGTAGTAGCTGATTGCCCTTATTCTTGGGTTTTGCAGAGAGTCCCAGCTGGGCCTGTTTGGAACTGTATTGCCCAACTTCCCTGATGATCAGAATCACCTGGGATGTTTATGACATTGCAGCTTCGTGGGCTCCAGTCTAGACCTTCTGACTCAGATTTTTCAGGGGAGAGGTCTGCACATTTACAAATGTACCTTGTATTTAGGTCTATACATTTACAAATGTACATTGTATTTAATGAGTGGCCCTGGATGATTCTTAACGTCAGGAAAATATGGTCAACATTGTTAATAGAAGGAGAAAGCCTCAGTTTTCAACTGTGTTTGCACATTAGGGTCTCCTGGGGACCTTTAAAAGCTCCAATGCCGGCCGGGCGCGGTGGCTCACGCCTGTAATCCCAGCACTTTGGGAGGCCGAGGCGGGCGGATCACGAGGTCAGGAGATCGAGACCATCCCGGCTAAAAACGGTGAAACCCCGTCTCTACTAAAAATACAAAAAATTAGCCGGGCGTAGTGGCGGGCGCCTGTAGTCCCAGCTACTTGGGAGGCTGAGGCAGGAGAATGGCGTGAACCCGGGAGGTGGAGCTTGCAATGAGCCGAGATCCCGCCACTGCACTCCAGCCTGGGCGACAGAGCGAGACTCTGTCTCAAAAAAAAAAAAAAAAAAAGCTCCAATGCCCAGTTATATCAGAATTCCAATCATCTTGAACCACATTCAGGGGTGAGTTGAAAGACCTCTGACATGGACCAAGAGTCCAGGGTTCTGAAAGAGAAAGCCCTGGCTTTGTCACTAATTCACTGGGTAGCATCTCTAGGCCCCATTTCCCATACATACAAAATGAAGGACATGGACTAGCCCAATGGGAAAATACTTTCTGTCCTGTGTGGCAGTCTGGTTGATGGGTAGCCGCTGTCTGGGTCACAATACTGAGAAGAGCTCTGAAGCAGGGACTGGGCTAAACAGGAGAGTGCCTTGATGGATTAATGATGTCTGCCATAGGTGCACAGGAGAGGTGTTGGCTGATACATTAACATGCAAGAGCCAAGTATCCCTGGACTAGGTCTTCTGTAAGGGCCCAATTAAGCCTCTGTGATGTAATAATAATGAACATAGCACCAGGTTCATTGTGATGCATAGTTGAGATAATCTATGCAAATAACACCTTGCAATATTTGAGGTGCTGTGCAGATGTTGGCTATTATAATAATAGTTATTATTTTAGTTCTTGGATGCTACTTCTTCAACACTTTTTAAGGCAGGGCCATAAATAGCAAGTGGCCTGTCTGGGCCAGGGTGGGATGAGGTGTGAGGTCAGAATGCAACATTGGAGGCCAGGCGCAGTGGCTCACACCTGTAATCCCAACACTTTGGGAGGCCGAGGCAGGTGTATTACTTGAAGTCAGGAGTTCGAGACCAGCCTGGCCAACATGGTGAAACCCTGTTTCCACTCAAAATACAAAGAAAAAAAAAATCAGCCAGCCGTGGTGGCGTGCACCTGTAATCCCAGTTTCTTGGCAGGCTGAGGCAAGAGAATTGCTTGAACTCGCGGGGAGAGGAGGTTGCAGTGAGCCAAGATCCTGCCACTGGACTCTGGCCTGGGCAACAAAGTGAGAGAGACTCCGTCTCAAAAAAAAAAAAAACAAAAAAATGCATCATTGGATGGGTAGTCGTATGGGATTACAGGAATGAATAGTTGAAAATATTAGAGATTTCAAAGCTAGAACTCTTTTTTTCAACCTGAGGAGGGAAATGATAGAGGGAAGACAACATACGGAGTTCTAGTTCCAGCATACATCTCTGCCCCAACCAGCCTACGGCCCATAGAATCTTTCTACTCTCAGGCACGATTATACTTAAGGACTCCATCCATCCATCCACACACACACCAACCCATCCACCCACCCACCCCGCTACTCATTCACCCATACATACATCCATTTACCCATTTATCCATTTATTGAGCATTTTCCACGTACCTGGCCTACCTAGGTGCTGGAAGTTAGTCAGGGCTGCTATGTTTCACAACACCAGGGGACAGCATTTACACCGTGGTCTTCGCATAGATCCACTGGACACAGAGTGAACAAGACAGATGGCCGGGTACAGTGCCTCATACTTGTAATCCCAGCACTTTGGGAGGCCAAGGCGGGTGGAACACGAGGTCAGGAGTTCAAGACCAGCCTGGCCAACACAGTGAAATCCTGTCTCTACTAAAAATACAAACATTAGCTGGGTGTGGTGGTGGGCGCCTGTAATCCCAGCTACTCAGGAAGCTGAGGCAGGAGAATCGCTTGAACCCAAGAGGTGGAGGTTGCAGTGAGCCGAGACCACGCCACTGCACTCCAGTCTGGGCAACAGAGCTAGACTCAAAGACAGACAAGGTCTTTGCTGGCATGGATCTTTCATTCTAAACAGGGGAAAGATAATAAACAAGCAAACGGTGAATCGGCAAGATCATCTGACATAGTGATGAGTTCTAAGAAACTGAAACAGAGTGATGGGGTGTGATGCACTGTAACAGGTGGGGATAGGCTGGGAACTTAGTTTGAATGGGATGCCCAGGAAAGGCGATATTGGAGTAAAAGCCTAAATAACCAGAAGGAGCTTTCCAAGTGAAGTTCTAAGGATAGAGCATATCAGACAGAGGGAACTGCAAATGCAAAGGCCCTGTGGTAGGAACAGTGCTTGGTACCAAAAGAATGCCAGTGTGGGCCGGGAGTGGTGGCTCACACCTGTAATCCCAGCACTTTGGGAGGCTGAGGTGGGCAGATCACGAGGTCAGGAGATTGACACCATCTGACTAACATGGTGAAACCCCGTCTCTACTAAAAATACAAAAAATTAGCCGGGCGCGGTGGTGGGCGCCTGTAGTCCCAGCTACTCAGGAGGCTGAGGCAGGAGAATGGCGTGAACTCGGAAGGTGGAGCTTGCAGTGAGCCGAGATTGCGCCACTGCACTCCAGCCTGGGCGACGGAGAGAGACTCCATCTCAAAAAAAAAAAAAAAAAAAAGAATGCCAGCGTGGCTGTGTTACTAGAAAGTAACCCAAGAGAGGGTTCTTGGACCTCAGGCAAGAAGGAATTCAGGGCCAAGTCCATAGAATAAAGTGAAAGCAGGTTTATTACAGAAGTAGAGAAACAAAAGAATGGCAACTCCATCAGCAGAGCAGCAGCATGGGTTGCTAAACTGAGTATACTAATAGTTTTGTTGGTTTGTTAGTTTGTTTTGTTGTTTGTTTGGGTTTTTTTAGATGGAGTTTCGCTCTTGTTGCCCAGGCTGGAGTGCAATGTCGCGATCTTGGCTCAGTGCAACCTCCACCTCCTGGGTTCAAGGGATTCTCCTGCCTCAGCCTCCCATATAGCTGGGATTACAGGCATGCCCCACACGCCCGGCTAATCTTTTATTTTTTGTAGAGACAGGGTTTCACCATGTTGGCCAGGCTGGTCTCAAACTCTTGACCTCAGGTGATCTGCCCACCTCAGCCTCCCAAAGTGCTGGGATTACAGGTGTGAGCCACCAGGCCAGGTCTGTTATTTCTTGATTATATGTTAAACAAGAGGTAGGTTACTGGTGAGTTTTCTGAGACAGGGTTGGGCAATTCCCAGAACTGAGGATTCCTCCCCTCTTAGACCATATAGGGTAACTTCCTGACATTGCCATGACATTTGTAAACTGTCATGGTGCTGGTGGGACTGTCTTTTGGCATGATAATGCATTATAATCAGCATATAATGAGCCATGAGAATGACCAGAGGGCACTTTCATGACATCTTGGTTTTGGTGGGGTTTGGGCAGCTTCATCCTGTTTTATCAGCAGGGTTTTTGTGACTTGTATCTTGTGCCAACTTCCTATCTCATCCTGTGACTAAGAACACCTAACCTCGTGGGAATGCAGCCCAATAAGTTTCAGCTTTATTTTACCCAGACCCTATTCAAGATGGAGTCGCTGTGGTTCGAACACCTCTGACAGGTGGAGCTAAGTGTATGAAGAGAATGGTATGAGATGGTGGAACTTTTGGCTTAAGCAACTGGGTGAATGGTTGATGCCATTTCCTGAGAAGGGAAGACTGAAGGAGGAACAGATGAGTGGAGAATTGGCTCAAGAGATCTATTTTGGCTATGTTGCCTTGAGGTGCATGTAAGATATTCCTGTGGAGATACTGAATAGGCAATTCAATTTAGTAGTCTGGAACTCAGAGGTTGGGTTGGAGGTATGGATTTGGGAGCTGTGGTAGACATGGAGTTTCTTGCCCAATATCTATACCCCTTTTCATGATAACTACCCTAATGTATGTTCCTGTGTCCATATCTCCCATACGCCTGGAGGGAAATAACGCCACCCTTGCACTAGTGGTGGAAGATAGAACTCAAGCCCAGGCCAATCAATAATCCCAACTTCTGGCCTTGTAAGTGGCTCTGGAGTGGGCACTTGACCCTATTTGGAGCAATACAATTACAGAAGACGAGTGTGAGGGTTTTCTGGTTCTTTCAAGAGCACTTGGGAAGAGGCCTCTCTCTCCCTGAACATGAAGAATCACATAGCCCTAGAAGCTGTTCACAGCTATCTTGCAACCACAAGCACAGCCAGGATTACAGTAACATTGATTCAGTAAAAGGTAGAGCTGAGGAATTTGGAAAAAGAGTAGTAAAAATCCTGACATTGAGTCACCAAAGCCCACCCTGCCTCAGAATTTTGTGAGATGCAAAATTCACTCAAATGTCTAAACTAGGTTGGGTTGAAATCTCTGGTACACACACACACACACACACACACACACACACACACACCAACTGATACTAGCCATGGGTTAGACGCTGTTGCCTAGGGAGAGTGTGGATGGGCCTGCACGTGAGTGGACCAGGAGGAAGGCTACTGAAAGTTTTCCAAAGAAGGGGTGCTGGGATCCCTGGACGCAGCCATCCTGGAAATTTTCCTATGTGGAGTCTGGGTCTCTTCTAGTGAAGAGAAAACCTCAGGTCTTTGTGCCAGACAAGCTAGATTTGAACAGCCTCTGCCATTTGCTTGTGGAGGAGTTTTGGCAACTTGCTGAACCTCTCTGAGCCTCAGTTCCTTCCCCTATTCAAAGGAGGTCACAGTAGCCACATCATAGGGTTGTGTGAAGGTTATGCAGTATAAAAACTGTGAGGTGGGGGGCTAGCTTTCTGCCCCTCCTTTCTGCCCTCTCCTTGGTGGTGACAAGCTGCTCTCTCTCAAAGCATATTGAGGGACGCTGAGTCATTTTTTAAAACTAAAAATGTTAAGTGCTCCCTCAAATGACTGTCTCCAGAGAAGCAGTTGATAGCCAAGCACATTTGTCCCTCCTTTTCATGCATGGATCACATTTTAGCATGAAAATAGATGCTCTAATTAGGGGAGAAAGGAGCCAGCATCTGCTGGCTGCTAAGTGATGGCTCACAAGGGACAGGGAGGAAGGGCTGCTTCCAGCACAGGAATGGGATGACCTGTGGGATGGCATCCCACCCTGAGAGGTCCCTGAGGGGCAGACCCGAAGGTGGGAAATACAGAGCTTTTGCTGAACTGGAAGATAATTCCTGGAGATGAGGCAGTCCCAGGGGGCCAGGATGCTGATTATGGAGGAGTCAAGCCTGCCTAACTCCTCTCCGCAAAGGGCAGATAGTGAGGTCCTCCCAGGCCACTGCCATGAGTCTTGTTATCTATGAAGGAGGCATTTCTTGGCTGGGTCCAAGTGTCAGCTCTGCCTCTCACTAACTCTATGACCTGGGCAATGCATTGAATGCCCTTGTACTTCTGTTCTTCCATCCGTAAAACATAAAATTGGGAGAGTCACGGCTGCTTCAGGTACACTCATAACCCAATGGGGGAAGGCAAACGGTATAACTCCTATTAAGGAGAATGTGGTCATTTCTAGTAAAATGACATATGCAATTGCACTTTGACCAGCATTCCTGTTACCAGAAAGGGGTCCTGATCCAGACCCCAAGACAGTGTTCTTGGATCTCACACAAGAAAGAATTCAGGGCAATTCCATAAAGTCAAGTGAAAGCAAGTTTATTAGGAAGGAATAAAAGAATGGCTATTCCACAGACAGAGCAGTCCCAAGGGCTGCTGTTTGCCCATTTTTATGGTTATTTCTTGAAGACATGCCTAAACAAGGGGTGGATTATTCATGCCTCCCCTTTTTAGACCATATAGGGTAACTTCCTGTTGTTGCCATGGCATTTGTAAACTGTCACGGCACTGGTGGGAGTGCAGGATGACCTAAGGTCACTCTTGTCGCCATCTTGGTTTTGGTGGGTTTTGGCCGGTTTCTTTACTACCTTGTTTTATTAGCAAGGTCTTTATGACCTGTATCTTGTGCCGACCTCCTATCTCATTCTATGATTAAGAATGCCTTAACTTACTAGGAATGCAGCCCAGCAGGTCTTAGCCTTATTTTACGTAGCCCCTATTCAAGATGGAGTTACTCTGGTTCAAATGCCTCTGACAATCCTACCCTCTAAGAATCTATCCCAAAACCACAATGGCAAAAATACAAAACATATATACTCAGTCTATTTGATACAGCATGATCTGTACTAGAAAAAGCCTGGGCTGGGCACAGTGGCTCAAGCCTATAATCCCAGCACTTTGGGAGGCCAAGGCGGGTGGATCACCTGAGGTCAGGAGTTCAAGACCAGCCTGGCCAACATGGTGAAACCCCTTCTCTACTAAAAATACAAAAATTAGCCAGGTGCAGTGGTGGGCTCCTGTAATCCCAGCTACTAGGGAGGCTGAGGCAGGAGAATCGCTTAAACCTGGGAGGCAGGGGTTGCAGTGAGCCGAGATCGCACCACTGCACTCCAGCCTGGCAGGAGAATAAGACCCTGTCTAAAAAAAATAAAAATAAAAAAATAAATAAATGAAAGAAAGAAAGCAAAAGAAAGAAAGAAAAAGGCTGGAAACAACCAAAATATCCGTCAATCAGGCTGATTGAATAAGCTATGATCCACCTATATAATGGAATACTATGCAGCTGCTAAAAAGAACAAGGATTATTTCTATGTGTTGCTTTGGCGTGATTGCCAGGATACAGTGTTACATGAAAAAAGTAAGATGGAGAAAATATGTTTAGTATACAGCCATTTATCCAAGAAAGGAGGGAGGGAACACACACACACACACACACACACAGACACCCCACAGAACTTTTTAATTGGGAGGATATTTTTAACTGGTTACCTCTAAGCAAGGGGAGGTAGAGAATGAGGTGGAAGGGCAAAGACAGAGTGTAGAATTCTCTGCAAGCGGTTCACAATACCATTCCCTCCATTTTTGTAAATATTTGGAATCTTTCATAATGCAACTTTTTATTTTTAAATGATTTTCCTTTCTTTACACTGGCCAGTGGACCAAATGGCACAGAACAGAGCCACCACCAACCTAAAGCCTTACTTTGGGCTTTTCTGTGAGAAACAGCAAGCCTTTTGTTGTTTCTTGTTTCTATGACTGAATGACATCTATTTGTTCTGCAGCTTCGCTCACTCTAACTAACACACAATCCCACCATTTATCTTCCAGGTCTTACCTTGGCCTTTCCTTCCTGGCTCAAAACCTGTGGGTTCACCTCACAGGTGAGCAACCTCCAGCTTGACCTCAAGTCCTTCTTTTACAATACGTTCTCAAGGAGACAGAAGCCAAGAGTCTGGGCCCTGCCTCTTCCTTAGCTCCGACCCCAGGCTCACAAAGGAATTGGAGGTACACTGGCAGTTCTATATGATTGCTGTCCACTTATTCTATGAGCAAGGGGACACTTGTTTTGGCCCAGTGGTTTTCATTATTCTCCTTCTCCTCCTCTCCCTCCTCCTTCTCCTCTCCTTTCTCCTGCCACCTCTCTCCCCTCCTCACCCTCCTGCCTCCCCAACCTGCTGTTACATATGACTTCTAGTAAGTCTCCTTAAAAGGAAGAGAGGATTTCCTTCTTTTCCCCTACCCCATCCCACTGCCTGAAATGTGGGTGCAATAGCTGGAGCTCTAGTAGCCATTTTGGACCCTGAGGACAAGAGTCACATCCTAGAAGTGACAGAGCAGAGAGCTGGAGGAAGCCTGAATCCCTGATAATTCTGTGGCATCACCACACCACACCAGGCTCAGGCCACCTACTTCTGAACTTCATAAAAGATGTGATAGTGTGGTCGGGCGTGGTGGCTTCTGCCTGTAATCTCAGCACTTAGGGAGGCCAAGGCAGGTGGATCACTTGAGGTCAGGAATTTGAGACCAGCCTGGCCAACATGGCGATACCCTGCGTCTATTAAAAATACAAAAATTAGCAGGGTGTAGTGGCGCACGCCTGTAATCCCAACTACTTGGAGGCTGAGGCAGAGGAATCGCTTGAACCCAGCAGTCAGAGGCTGCAGTGAGCTGAGATCAAGCCACTCCACTTCAGCCTAGGTGACAGACTGAGACTCTGCCTCAAGAAAATAAATAAATAAAAATAAAAGATATGATAGTATTAGAGAAATTAACTTCTATTTAAGCCATTGTTATTTTATGATTAAAAAAACCCAAACAGTTTAATCTATCCTAATTGATAAGTCTTTACTCCCCAACATCAGCTCAGGTGTGCCTCTGCAGGGCCCCAGACTACACTGAATACTGTTCTGGCCATAGGAAAATCAGCTGGTTATTGTGAACTGTGCTGACTCTTAGAGATTCTGCCCAGAACAAAACGTGTCAACTCTGCTCACATCGTGTTGACCAAAGCAAGTCATGTGGCCAAATCTTATGGCAATGGGGTGGGGATATAGAATCCCCTCAAGGGGAAGAACAGGGAATATTTAGAAATAATAATATGATCCATCCTAATAGTCAACAAAACCAAGGCCCAAAGAAGCAAAGTGGCTTACCTGAGGTTTTACAGACTACTAGGAGGCAGAGTTAGAATCCTGGTTGAGGACTAGTATGGTGGCTCATGCCTGTAATCCTAGCACTTTGGGAGGCCAAGGTGGGTGGATCACCTGAGGTCAGGAGTTTGAGACCGGCCTGGCCAACATGGTGAAACTCCGTCTCTACTAAAAATACAAAAATTAGCCGGGAGTGGTGGCAGGTGCCTGTAATCCCAGCTACTCGGGAGGCTGAGGCAGGAGAATCTCTTGAGCCTGGGAGGCAGAGGTTGTGGTGAGCCGAGACTGCGCCACTGCACTTCAGCCTGGGCAACAAGAGCAAAACTCTGTCTCAAAAAAAAAAAAAAGAACCCTGGCTGGGCTGATTTCAACTCTAATGCTCTTTCCTTTACACTTTACTATGTCTCAAAAGGAACACTTGATTTGGGAACACATAATGGCTTCGAAGAAGGCAGTGTTGGTGAAATCAGGCTCACCTACTAGGTCTTATTTCCATGATTTATCCCTTTCCTGCAGTCTTCTTTGGGGCAGCAGTTATAATCGCCCTCTCTTCTCTTCCCCTCTTTTGAAGTCCAAGGTATCAAAATTTATTACTACAGTGGAGACTAGGAAGTGCACCCCTGCCCAACTTGAGGAAGGATAACAAAATGTGTGGAGCAATGTGTGAAATAGCCTTCACATGCGAACACAGATATTCCCAGAGGCAAAGGCAACACAGTGTGACCATATTGGGACCTTTCCAATGAATTCAGATATTTTAAGGATATAGACAAAAGTCAGGAGGAAAGGCATATTCCTAAGTGGTATGCAGGAAAGAATTATGGGATATTGTGGGTCTTTACATTTTTCTCCTGTGTTGTGAGCTGTTCTGGTTCCTTCATCTTCCAAACCACTAATTCGATTTTCCACATAACCAATCCACCTTTCAGTAGTCAATGTATTTTAAATATTTAAATTTGCACAGTTTCTTTTACTCCCAGAAACTTTTTAAATGCTGTAACTGTATCTCCTCAAGAGTTTTTTTTTCCTTTTTCAGTTAATTTTCTTGTGTAATTCTTCCATTAGTTCAATAGCAGCCACTTGTTCAACTAACAAAAAAATGAGAAAAAAGAAAAAGAAGGGAAAGTAATAAAAACTCTAATAAAGAAAAAGCATAAAATAAAATTGGTAGGAATAAAATTGAGAATATCAGTTATAATACCAAGAGAAAAGATGGTCAAAGTAAATTTATAAAACAAAATATCTTATATACAAGCATATACTTATAGTTAAACAGTAAAAAGCGTAGAAAATAAAGGGATGGAAGAAAAATAAAGTAGTAGTGGTGATGTTAGTATCAGATAAAATGAAATTTAGGATCAAAGACATTCAATTGGTCAAAGAGGAACATTACATAATGATAAGATAATATTCTTTATAAAGAAGAGGTGGTAAACATAAGGCCTTATGAACCAAACAATATAGCAGGTAAATATAATATTTAAGGCAAATACTCCTAATGATACTAAGAGAATTTAATAAAAATTTAGGTATGGTGGAAAAATTTTAAATATCCCTTTAAGAATTTGACAAGTCAAGTAGTTAAAATATGAGCAAGGACTTATAGAATATGAGTGTTCTCATTGATAAGCTTGGTTTAATATGCTAGAATTTTTTAGACTTTTTTTTTTTTTTTTTTTTTTTTTTTGAGACAGAGTTTCACTCTTGTTGCCCAGGCTGGAGTGCAGTGGCATAGTCTCAGCTCACCACAACCTCTGCTTCCCAGGTTCAAGCGATTCTCTTGCCCCAGCCTCCCGAGTAGCTGGAATTACAGGCATGTGCCACTACACCTGGCTAATTTTGTATTTTTAGTAGAGATGGGGTTTCTCCATGTTGGTCAGACTGGTCTCGAACTCCCGACCTCAGGTGATCCGCCTGCCTTGGCCACCCAAAGTGCTGGGATTACAGGCATGAGCCACCGCACCTGGCCTTTTTAGTCTATTATGTATTTTTTTTATGTTAATGACACAGCTACCAAAGTCAATTCTAAACAACTAAAAATGTAATGGAAGGCCTGATAGCATAAAACCATCAATTCTTCCAAATTAATTTATAAATTTAATGCAATTTCAATGATATCTTCAACAGTCTTTTGAAGAGGGAAGGAGTGATTTTAAAGTAAATATAAAGAATAAATGTTCCAGAATAACCAACCAAATTATGAAGATGAAGAGTAGTAAAAGGAGACTTGTCTTACTACATGTTAAAAACTACTGTAATTGGCCGGGCACGGTGGCTCACGCCTGTAATCCCAGCACTTTGGGAGGCCGAGGCGGGCGGATCATGAGGTCATGAGATCGAGACCATCCTGGCTAACACGGTGAAACCCCGTCTCTACTAAAAATACAAAAAATTAGCCGGGCGAGGTGGCGGGCGCCTGTACTCCCAGCTACTCGGGAGGCTGAGGCAGGAGAATGGCGTGAACCCGGGGGGCGGAGCCTGCAGTGAGCCGAGATCGCGCCACTGCACTCCAGCCTGGGCGACAGCGAGACTCCGTCTCAAAAAAACAAAAACAAACAAAAACAAAAAAACTACTGTAATTAAGCTGGGCATGGTGGCTCACACCTGTAATCCCAGCACTTTGGGAGCCTGAGGTGGGCGGATCACTGGAGGCCAGGAGTTCGAGACCAGCCTGGCCAACACGGTGAAGCCCCGTTGCTACTAAAAATACAAAAAAATTAACGGGGCCTGGGGGCGTGTGCCTGTGGTCCCAGCTACTCAGGAGGCTGAGGCAGGAGAATCACTTGAGCTCAGGAGGCAGAGGCTGCAGTGATCCAAGATCACGTCACTTCACTCCAGCCTGGGGGACAGAGTGAGACCCTGTCTTACAGTTTGGTATAGGGATAGACCTACAGGTCAATGGAAGAGAACAGTCTAGAAATAAAACCAAATATATGAGAAGTATGTCAAAGGTGATATTTCAATTTGGTGGGGAAAAGATTGTTTAGTCAATAAATGGTGCTGGCACAATTGGTTACTCATCTGGAAAAATTGCAAAAACAACCCCTTACTATATTTGGAAAAATTAAATTCCAGTCAGATTAAAATGCAAATGTAAACAATATTATTTTAAAATTTAGCAGCAAATTTAAACATTTTATGTAACTTTAGCAAGATAAGAAATCTGAATGTTGTAAAGAAAAAGATTACATTTGACTATGCAAAAATAAACTTTGTTCAAAAACCTCACAAAGTCAATGATAGCACTTGGGAAAACTACTTTCAATACATATGATGGGTAAAGTATTAAATCTGTAACATTTCAAGTACACCAGAAATTGATAAGAAAAAGACAGCCTGGGCGCGGTGGCTCATGCCTGTAATCCCAGCACTTTGGGAGGCTGAGGCAGGTGGATCACGAGGTCAGGAGTTCGAGACCAGCCTGGCCAATCTGGTGAAACCTTGTCTCTACTAAAAAAAAAAATACAAAAATTAGCCAGGCTTGGTGGTGTGTGCCTCTAGTCCCATCTACTTGGGAGGCTGAGGCAGAAGAATTGCTTGAACCCGGGAAGCAGAGTTTGCAGTGAGCCGATATCGCGCCACTGCACTCTGGCCTGGGTGACAGAGAGAGACTCCGTCTCAAAAAAAAAAAAAAAAAAAAAAAAAGAAAGAAAAAGACAAATATTCTGATAGAATAAATGGATGCAAATAGGCAACTCTTGGAAGAGGAGCCCTAAATGGCCAATAAAAATGATGTTCAAGCTCTCTTGGAGTGAGGAAATGAAAATGAAAGGAACAAAGAAATAAAATCAGATTGGTAAAACAAACAAACAAACAAACAAACAAACAAGAACCCCAAATGATAAACTTCAATCTTGCTAAGGATGAGTAAAATTGGGCACTCAACATTGCTGGTGGGGAATGTTAATTGCTACAGCCTTTTTAGAGGGTGACCTGCATTGTGTATCTAATAAAATACACAATGCATATTCCACATGCCATGTTTGTATACACATGCTATCTCTGAAAGCATATCCGAAAAATTGGCAACAGTGATCAGTCATCTCTGGTAAGGGGAACCATGTACTGGAAAACGGGGATGGGAGGGCAACCTGTATATCATGAATAGTCTTTTTACCTTTGGAACTTTATGTTGTATTTGTATATATTTTTTAGCTAACAAATAAAGAAAATATTTGTAACATTTTGATTTGAGGTCTTTCCTCTCTTAAACACAGGCCATCTACAGCTATAAATTTCCGTCTAGCAACTGCTTTCACTGCATTTCATAAACTTCAGTATGTTGTGTTTTTATTTTCATTCATCTCAAAATATTTTCTAATTTCCCTTGTGAATTCATCTTTGACCCATTAATTATTAAGGACTGTGTTCATGTCCATATATTTGTAAGTTTCTCCAATTTTCTTCTATCATTGATCTCTAATTTCATTCTATTGCAGTTGAAGAAAATACTTTGTATAATTTCAATACTTTTAAATTTATTAAAACTTGTATTATGGCCCAACATATGGTCTATCTTGGAGAATGTTCCATGTGTATTTGAGAAGAATGTGTATTCTGTTGTTGTTTGGTGGAGTGTTTTATAGATATCTGTTAGATATAATTGGTTTAGTGTTGTTCAAGTCCATTTCTTTGTTGATCTTCTAGTTTAAGATCTAATTGTTCTACCTGTTGTTTACAGTGGATAATTGAAGTCTCCAGCTATTATTGTTGAATTGTCTATTTTTCTGTTCAAATACTACCAGTTTTTGCTTTAGTATTTTGGAGCTCAATTGTTAGGTGCAAATATGTTTATAATTGTAATATTTTCTTAATGGATTGACCCTTTTTAAAATTATTTAAAATTTCCTTTGTATCAATAAACAATTTTTGTCATAAAGTCTGTTTTGTCTGATATTAGTATAGCCATTCTGGATTTTTTAAACTGTTTGTCGCCTTTTTACTTTTTTCATCCTTTTGCTTTAAACCTTTTTGTGTCTTGGAATAACAGATGTATTTCTTGTAAACAACATAGTTAGATAATTCTGCCAATCTCTACCTTTTGATTGAAGTGTTTTGTGCACTTATATTTAATGTAATTACTGATAAGGTAGGATCTACATCTACCATTTTGCTATTTGTTTTCTATATGTCATGTCTTTTTAATTAATTTATTTTTAATTTTGTGGATACATAGTAGATATATAGATTTATGGGGCACATGAGATGTTTTGATACAGGGATGCAGTATGCAACAATCACATCATGGAGAATGGGTTATCTATCCCCGAAAGCATTTATCTATCCATTCCTTTATTATCGCATTTTGTGTTAAACAAATTTTTTTTTTTTGAGACGGAGACTTGCTCTGTCGCCAGGCTGGAGTGCAGTGGTGCAATCTTGGCTCACTGCAACCTCCGCCTCCCGGGTTCAAGCAATTCTCTTGCCTCTGCCTCCCAAGTAGTTGGGACTACAGGCACATGCCACCATGCCCGGCTAATTTTTGTATTTTTAGTAAAGACGGGGTTTCACCACGTTGGCCAGGATGGTCTCGATCTCCTGACCTCGTGATCCACCCGCCTTGGCCTCCCAAAGTGCTGGAATTGATTACAGGTGTAAATCACTGCACCTGGCCTTAAATAAATATTTTCTAGTGTACCATTTTATTTCCCTTGTCACTTCTTTGACTATTTTTTGAAAAATTATTTTCTTAGTGGTTGCTCTGGGGATTACAATTAAAGCTTTGCCCCTGTATATTCCCATTTCCTCTCCCCTCTTGTGCAAAAATTTAGACTATTAAAAATCTGTGTGAAAAGTTTTTACTCTTTGTATAAAATTTACATCTTTTTTATACTGTATGCCAACCAACACCAATTTTTAATTATTGTTTTATGCTGTCTTTGAAATCAGGACAAAAATGAGTTTCAAACAAAAAAATTTATACTGTCTTTTCTATTTACTTATGTAGTTACCTTTACAAGTGTTCTTTATTTCTTTATGTTGATTTGACTTACCACTCTGTCCTTTCATTGTAGCCTGAAGGAGTCCCCTTAGTATTTCATGTAGGGAAGGTCTGCTAGTGATGAATTCTCAGTTTTTATTTACCGGGGAATGTTTTCATTTCTGCTTCATTTTTGAAGGATAGTTTTAGTGGATATAAAATTCTCAGTTGTTTTTTAAATTTCAGCATTTTGAATATGTCATCCCACTGCCTTCTGTCCTCCATGGTTTCTGATGAGAAATAGTTTTATTCAGGATCGCTTGTATGTAATGAGTCATTTCTCTCTTGCTGCTTGGAAGATCCTCTCTTTGTCTTTGTTTTTCAACAGTTTAGTTATGATGTGTCT
This sequence comes from Homo sapiens, assembly GCF_000001405.40. Taxonomy (NCBI): domain Eukaryota; kingdom Metazoa; phylum Chordata; class Mammalia; order Primates; family Hominidae; genus Homo; species Homo sapiens. The sequence goes on from NC_000017.11 coordinate 31,620,277, forward strand.
TCAAGTGTATCTTTTTTACCTAATCCTACTTGTAGTTTATTGAGTTTCTTGGAAGTGCAGATTAATGTTTTTCATCAAATTTAGGAAGTTTTCATCCATTCTTTCTTCAAAATTCTTTCTCTTCTATCCCCTTTATCTGAGATTCCCATGGGACCTTGAAGATCTATTCTTTTTTTTTTTTTTGGAGACAGGGTCTCGCTCTGTCACCAAGGCTGGAGTGCAGTGACATGATCTCCACTCACTGCAACCTCCACCTCCTGGGTTCAAGCAATTCTTGTGCCTCAGCGTGCTGAGTAGCTGAAATTACAGGCATGCACCACCACGCCTGGCTTATTTTTGTATTTTTACCAGAGATGGTGTTTCGCCATGTTGGCCAAGCGGGTGGCGAATTCCTGGCCTCATGTGATCCACCCATCCCCGCCTTCCAAAGTGCTGGGATTACAGGCTTGAGCCACTGCACCTGGCCAAAGAATTGAAATTAATTGGAAAAACTGAGTGTGCTCTGGCTGGGAATCTTTTTTCTTTCTGTCCCTCAGACTGGATAACCTCAATTGACATATCTTTAAAGTTCACTGATGTTTTCTTCTGCCTGCTCAAATCTGCTGTTAAACTCCTCTTAGTAAATTTTTCATTTCAGTTGTAATTTTCAACTCCAGCATTTAGTTGTTTTTAATATATAATTTGTTTCTTTATTGAAATTCTTTGTTTGTTATCATACTTTCCTTTAGTTCTTTAGGTGTGGTTTCCTTTAGTTCTTGAGCATATTAAAAATAGCTAATTTAGGCCAGGCATGATGGCTCACACCTGTAATCCCAGCACTTTGGGAGGCCGAGGTGGGTGGATCGTTTGAGCCCAGGAGTTTAAGACCAGCCGGGGCAACATAGTGGGACCCTGTCTCTACAAAAAAAATAGATAATAATTAGCCAGGCATGGATTGCTTGAGCCCAGGAAGTTGAGGCTGCCAGGAGCTGTGATCGCACCACTGTACTCCAGCCTGGGCAACAAAGCAAGACCCTGTCTCAAAAAATAATAAAATATAATAAAATAGCTGATTTAAAGTTTTTATCTAGTAAGTGCAATTTGTGGGCCTCCTCAGGGAACGTTTCCATTAATGACTTCTCTCGTGTGTATAGGCCATGCTTTCTTATTTCTTTGCATGTCTCATGATTTTTGTTGAAAATGAACATTTGATATAATGTAACGTGGCAACCCTGGAAATCAGATTCCCCTTTCCAGGGTTTGTTATTATTACTATTTCTTTAATGAATTTCTTGACCTAATTCTATAAAGTCTGCTTGTATTCTCTGTCAGGCGTGGCCACTGAACTTTCTGATCAGTTAACTTACTGGTCAGCTAATGACCGGACAGATATTTCATTAAATGCTTGGAACCAGAAAGTCTCCCAATCTTTGCCAAGGACTCTGTGTGAGTTTGGGGCATGCTTCAGTGCTCAGCCAAACGGCTTAGAATCCTACCTTAATCTTTACTTTCTGTTTGCACAGTTTCAAGGCCAGCCAGAGGTGAGGGCTCAGGGCCTTCTCAGGTCTTCCTTGAGCATGTGCGTAGCCCTGGGCATGCACACTGTCCTGGGCACATGCATGGCCTTTTAGAATCCCAGGAATCTATCAGAGCTTTTCCTAGCCCCCTGAGGATACCTCTTTCCTCAATTTTTCCTTTTAAGTTTTTTGGTTACTTTGTTGTTTGTCCTGTAATTACTGCCTCAGACAGCTATGATATTAAACAATAGCTACTGAAACGGGTGCAGTGGCTTACGCCTGTAATCCCAGCACTTTGGGAGGCTGAGGCAGGTGGATCACCTGAGGTCAGGAGTTTGAGACCAGCCTGACCAACATGGTGAAACCCCCGTCTCTACTAAAAAAATACAAAAAAATTAGCCAGGCATGGTGGCGCGCACCTGTAGTTCCAGCTACTTGGGAGGCTGAGGCAGGAGAATCACTTGAACGTAGGAGCCAGAGGTTGCAGTGAGCCAAGATGGCGCCACTGCACTCCAGCCTGGGTGACAGAGTGAGACCCTGTCTCAAAATAATAATAATAATAATAAACAATAGCTACTGATTATTTTTGACAAATGCCCTCAGGAAAAAGGCTTTTTGTACTGAGCAAGTTCTACATCAGGTCAAATAAAGAGAGCCTTGCAAGTGGGGTTTTCCAGGGCACTGAGAGACAGTTCAAGTAGGACAATTTTCTGGGAATGGGGCTTTGATAGAGTGCCATTCCCTGTTGTAACCCCTTCAGTAGCTGGAAGACTGCTCACTTTCACCATGATTATAGCCTGTTCGTTCCCAAGGTTACCATGAAGCTGGAGAGAAGAGAACGGGAATAGCACAAGTTAATACCCAACTTATTTTTTTCCAGATGGCTATTCATTGTCCAAATACTATTTATTGCAAAGTCTGTCTTCCCACCCACCCCCTCGATTTGCAATGCTTATATACTGTACTAAATTATCCAATGAATTAATTCTCTCCTTTTGGACTTCCTAGTTTGTTCTCTAAGTTTGTCTATCTGTTCATATGCCAGTCCCATATTGTTTCAATTATTAAGGCTTTGAATTATATTAAAATAGCCAGTAAGAATATTACTTTCTCATTGTTTTCCTTTTTCACAGTTTTCCTGGCTGTCCTTGGCTTGTCTATTTTTCTGTATGAGCTTTCAGAATCAACTTGTCTGGTTAAAAATATATTGTTTGTATTTTTATTTAATTTCCACTGAATTTATAAGTTAATTATATATTAAGACCTTGTCTCTATTAGAAAAAGAAAAAGAAAATAAATTTTAAAAATCACAATAGGAATTAGAAACTATTTTGAACTGGATAATACAAAAATACTGCACATCAAAAGTTGTGGGATGCAAAGACATGCTTAAAAAGAAATTTATAAGTTTATTTTTATTTATTTATTTATTTATTTATTTTTGAGACAGAGTCCCACTCTGTCGCCCAGGCTGGAGTGCAGTGGCTCAATCTCAGCTCACTGCAACCTCCGCCTTCTGGGTTCAAGCCATTATCCTGTCTCAGCCTCCCAAGTTGCTAGGACTACAGGCACACGCCACAACACCCGGCTACTTTTTCTGTATTTTTGGTAGAGACAGGGTTTCACCATATTGGTCAGGCTGGTCTCAAACTCCTGACCTCAGGTGATCCACCTGCCTTGGCCTCCCAAAATGCAAGGATTACAGGTGTGAGTCACCGTGCCTGGCCTTAGAAATGTATAACTTTAAATGCATATACAAATGCTGTTGGATTTACTATAAGGTTACATCCTGATACACCCATCATAAGTTGAAAATATTGTAAGTCAAAAATACATTTAATACACCTAAATTACTGAACATCATAGCTTAGCCTAGCCTATTTTATGCGTGTTCAGAACACTTACATTAGCGTAAAGTTGGGCAAAATCATCTGGCAACACAGCACAATGAAGAGTGACCCGTGTTTACCCTCAGGATTATGTGGCTGACTGGCAGCTGCAGTTTACTGCCACTGCCCAGCCTAACAAGAGTATTGTAGGCATATTTCCAGCCTGGGAAAAGACCAAATTCAAAATTTGAAGTATAGTTTCTACTGAATGCGTATTGCTTTTCACCATTGTAAAGTTGAAAAATCATAAGTAAACCCATTGTAAGTCGGAAGCCATCTGTATTAGAAAAGAAAAAAGACTGAAAAACCAAAATGTTAAGTGTTCATGTCAAGATGTCAACAACAGAACAGCAAATTAAACTCAAAGAAAGTAGAAAGAAGAAAATAATAAAAAGCAGAAATTAAATGAAATTTAGAAAACAAACATATACTAGAGTATCAATAAACTACATGATTATCTCTTTGAAAGAATGAGGCCAGGTATGATGACTCATTTCCTGTAATAACAGCACTTTGGGAGGCCATGGCAGCAGGATTGCTTGAGGCCAAGAGCTTGAGACCAGCCTGGGCAATTTAGTGAGCCCCACATCTCTACAAAAAATTAAAATATTAGCTGGGCATGGTGGTGAGTGCTTGTAGTCCCATCTACTCAGGAGGCTGAGGCAGGAGGATCACTTGAGCCCAGGAAGTTGAGGCTGCAGCGAGTCATTATCAAGCCACTACACTCTAGCCTGGGCAACAGAACAAGATCCTGTCTCAAACAAAACAAAACAAAACAAAACAAGAATGGAAGGGACTGATAAACCCCAAGTAAGATTGATAAGAAAGAGATAGAGATACAGAAAAGGCATAAATAATGAATGGCAGCAACGAAAATGGAAATCTCACCATAGATTTCACAGATATTAAAAAGATAAGAAAAAAGATTGTGAGCAACTTTATACCAATAAACTTGAAAGATTAAATGAAATGGTCTGAGCAGGTGGGTTACACCTGTAATCCCAGCACTTTGGGAGGCCAATGTGGGCAGATCACCTGAGGTCAGGAATTCGAGATCAGCCTGACCAACTTGGAGAAACCTGTCTCTGCTAAAATTACAAAATTAGCCAGGTGTGGTGGTGCATGCCTGTAATCTCAGCTACTTGGGAGGCTGAGGCAGGAGAATCATTTGAACCCCGGAGATGGATGTTGTGGTGAGCCAAGATGGCACCATTGCACTTCAGCCTGGGCAACAAGAGCAAAACTCTGTCTCAAAAAAAAATGTACAAATTCCTTGGAAAACACAAGTTAGTAAAGGTGACATAAGAAGAAATAGAAAACCTGAATAGTCATATAACTATAAAACACATGTAATGCATAAAGTCAACTGACAAAGAAAACTTCAGACCTGGACAGCGTTACTAGCAAATTCTGCCAAACACCTAAGGAAGAAACAATGCCAATCTTGAAAATTCTTCCAGAGAATAAAATAAGAGATATTATTTCCCAACTTATTTTGTGAAGCCAGCAAGAGTTTTACAACAAAATCTAGCCAGAACACTTGGAGAAAGGAAAAGTATAGGTCAATCCCATTCATGAATGTAGGTGTAAAAATTCTAAACAAAATATTTCCAAGCCTATTTATGAATGACCAAGTTGGAGTTCTTCTAGGAATGCAAAGTTGGTTTAACATTTGAAAATTAATCAACATAATTTATCTCATCAACAGCATAAAGGATACAAAGCATATTATTATCTCATTACATAGAGGGGAAAGAGTTTTTGATAAAATTTAGCATTCATTCATGAGTTTTGTTTTTTTTGTTTTTTTTTTTTTTTTGAGAGACAAGGTCTCACTATCTTCCCCAAGCTGGTCTGAAACTCCTGGCCTCAAGCAATTCCCCTGCTTTGGCCTCCCAAAGTGCTGGGTGTGACCTACTCTACCCAGCATCATTCATGACTCTTCGCAAACCAGGAATGGAAAAGAACTTCCTTAACTTGAGAAGGGCATCTTAAAAAACCTACAGTAATTTTGATATGTAATGGTAAAATATTGAAAAATTTCCCTTTGAGATCAGGAACAAAATAAGGATGTTTGCTATCACCAATTGTATTTAACATTGTGTTAGCCTAGTACAGTAAGACAAGAAATTATTGAAAACGAAGAAATAAAACTGTCATTATTTGCATATAATATGATATATGATGTATAGAAAAGTCAACACAGTAAAATCCATAAAGAAAAGCAAGATAAGTTTTTTGTTTGTTTGTTTGTTTGTTTGTTTTTTTGAGATGGAGTTTCGTTCTTGTTGCCCAGGCTGGAATGCAGTGGCACAATCTTGGCTCACTGCAACCTCTGCCTCCTGTGTTCAAGCAATTCTCCTGTCTCAGCCTCCCAAGTAGCTGGGATTACAGGCATGTGCCACCAGGCCCAACTATTGTTGTATTTTTAGTAGAGATGTGGTTTACTCATGTTGGCCAGGTTGATCTCAAACTCCTGACCTCAGATGGTCCACTCACCTTGGCCTCCCAAAGTGCTGGGATTACAGGTGTGAGCCTCCACACTCAGCCCAGTTTTAAGAATTAATAAATAAGTTTAGTAAGGTATTAGAAACAAGCTCAATATACATTAATTCCGTTTCTATATTTCAGGAAAAAACGTGAAATAAAATAGATGCCATATGCAATAGCATAAAAATATAAAATACCTAAGAATAAATCTAATGAAATATGTTACAAAGTAAATCGCCAAAGAGTATGAAAAACAGGAAATAATATCCAATGGAGGAGTATACCATGTTCATGGATTGGAAGGCTCAACATTGTAAAGATGTCTATTGTACTCAAATTATTGTATAGATTCAATGTAATCTTAATCAAAATCCTAACTTTTTCGTGGAGCTTGACATGCTGATTAAAAAATGCATCTGAAAATACAAAGTACCAAGAATAGCCAAATCATTCTTAAATGAGGAGAAAAAGATGATGGGAGAACTTTTTCTATAAAACACCAGGAATTATTACAAAGCTAAAGCATGTAATACAATGTGGAGTAAAGACAGAAAAATTAATCAATGGAATAGGTTAGGAAAGCTTAGAAACAAACTCAGACATATGTGTGTGTGTGTGTGTGTGTGTGTGTGTGTGTGTATGTGATTTACAACAAAGGTAGCATTGCAGAGCAATGTAGAGAAATGGCAGTTTTTCCAATAAATGATGTTGGAAATATACATTCTTTCAAAGAAAGAATATGTACTATACAGTTCCATTTATGTGAAGTGAAAAAATGTGAGATAAATGTGGAAAGAGAAAGAAAGAGCAGAAAGGAAGGAAGGAAAGAGGGAGGAAGGGAGGAAAGCAAGGAGAGATGGAAATAACTTTTTGAGATAACAGAGGTAAGGTTCTTCAACACCTCATGGAGGGAAACACTTTTTGAATTAGGTCAAAGGAGGTAGCAGCCATAAATAAAATGATTGCTAAATTCAATTACATTAAAATTAAGAACTTCTGATTATTAAAAGATATTAATGGGATGAAAGGATAAGCCACAGTTGAGAGAAGATATTTGTAACCATAAACGGGTCACATTCATAATATATTTTAAAAATTCTTTCACATTAAGAAAAAGGCAAACAACCAAAAAGAAAATTAAGCAAGGGATTTGAAAAAGAACTTTACAAAAGAGATATTTAAATGGACAATAAACACATGAACAGATGCTCAACATGATTATTAATAAGAAAGATACAAAATAAAACACAGTATGATACTATTCCATATCCACCAGAATGGCTAAAATGAAACTGACAATAACAAGTATTAGCAAGCGTATAGAACAATGTTCATCCTCCCAGCACGACTGCTGATGGGGGTGCAAATACTACCACTCTGGAAAACTGACATTATCTATTTATTTACTTATTTTGGGAGGACAGGGTCTCACTCTGTTGCCCAGGCTGGAGTGCAGAGGTGCAATCTCACTGCAACCTCTGTTTCCTGGGTTCAAGCAATTCTCCTGCCTTAGCCTCCCAAGTAGCTAGGATCACACGTGCTTGCTGCCATGCTCGGCTAATTTTTGTATTTTTAGTACAGCTGGGGTTTCACCATATTGGCTAGGATGGTCCCGAACTCCTGACATCAAGTGATCCACCCACCTCAGCCTCCCAAAGAGCTGGGATTACAGGTGTGAGCCACTGTGCCCAGCCTGGAAAACTGACATTACTAAAGCAGAACATCCACATAGCCTCTGACCCAAGTTCATCCCTAGGCATATACTCAATAGAAATGCATGCACATGAGCACCAAGAAATACATAATGTCCACAGCAGCACCATTTATACAGCCAAAAACCAAAAACAACTCAGATGGTCATCAGATATGGAATTAATATATACACTGTGGTATGTTTAGACAATGAATCAGCTATAGCCTCATACAGAACCATGGATGAATCTCACAAATGTAATGTGGAACAAAATAAACCAGCACAAAAGGAATTATGTATAATTCCATTTATATGAGGTTCAAAACCAGGCAGAACTAAACTAGAGTTCAGGGGCACATGCTTAGTGAGTAAAGTCATAAAAGAAAGCCAGGAAGAGATTAACATTGAGATTGTGGTTACTTACATGGGGAGGGAGAGGTAGAGATTGGGAGGCAATATGAGGGAGGCTTCTGGGGTGCCGGAAGTGATCTATTTCTTTCCTTGATCTCTGTGGGTCGGTGGGTTGGGGGGCGGTGGTACACTGATGTTTGCTTTATGATCATCCATTAAAGTGTAGGTTTTTGTTTTATTCACTTCACATAACTATGTTATCTTTAAAATATTTTTAATGTTTGCTATAGATAATATTGCTGCCAATATTTAATAATAAAGACAAGAATGAAAATCATGGACAAAAATCTTTGGTTTGATTAGATTATATAATTAGCATTTTTAACTTGGATATCTGTTATCATTTTAGCATTTTCTCAAATAAGGTAATGTCTAGATGAATATTGAGTAAGAAATAGTGTTAGAAAAGATAAATTAATCCAGAATAAGCTGAAGCCTGTGAAATACACCAAAGAAAACACAAAGGGATTTTTATTTTTATTTTTATTTTTATTTTTTTAGACAGAGTCTCACTCTGTTGCCCAGGCTGGAGTGCAGTGGCATGATCTCAGCTCATTGCAACCTCTGCCTCCTGGGTTCAAGTGATTTCCCTGCCTCAGCCTCCCAAGTAGCTGGGACTACAGGTGTGTGTGCCACCACACCCAGCTAATTTTTGTATTTTTAGTAGGTACTGGGTTTCAGCACATTGGCCAGGCTGGTCTCAAACTCCTAACCTCAGGTGATCTGCCCACCTCAGCCTCCCAAAGTGCTGGGATTACAGGCGTGAGCCACCACCCCCAGCCCACAAAGGGATTTTTAAAGGTCTATTCACAGAAAGGAAAAAAAAAAAAAGTCAAGGACTGTCCAAGGCTTGGGGATTTTGATATAACAGAAACAGATAATGGGGAGAAAGCAGGACTACTCAGCTTTTATTTGGCTTCCGTCTTCATCAAGGAGAATAATTTTCAAACAGGAAAAGAGAGAACAGACCATTACAAAGGTGAAATTAAAGGCTGAGGTGTACAAAGAAACTGTCAAAATTTGCGATTGTGATCACAGAATAGTTAACACTGTGAGAAATCAGACAACTGAAGAGGGGCCAGAGGCCAGAAGACAAGTCAATATAATCACAGCTGCACAAGGGAGGGCCAAGTCAATGTACATCCCTGGCAAAAATCCAAAGTAAGGTACAGATTGTGGACGGTTCTAAAAAAAGGGACACTCATCTGGAGCCTCCAGTGAATCAGCAAGAACAGGTCTCACCAAACTGGGCTCATTTCATCCATTTGCAACATCAGAGGATTGAACATGTTGGATGTAGTTTATGTAGGGGTGCATGTGGGGATTTTTTTTTTAATTTAGAGATAAGATCTCTGTCATCCAGGCTGGAGTGCAGTGGCATGATCATTGTCCACTGCAGTCTCAACCTCCCAAGCTCAAGCAATCCTCCCACCTCAGCCTTCCAAGTAGCTGGGATTACAGGTGTAGCCCACCATGCCTGGCACATGGGATTTTTATACATTCGATATGGTTCAGTAATTTTCTAGAAGAATGGGGAGATATTGCAAATGGGAAGTTACCCCAATTGGGGGTCCTAAATTTTGACTGGGAAGACACAGGATCAGTGAGGATAGGATAAGTAATGCTGCAATAACAATGTAACTCCAAATTGCAGCGGCTTCAAGCAACAGTGCTCATGTCTCACTCCTGCTGTCTGCACACGGCACAGCAGCTGGAGGCTCTGCTCACATCTTCCTCGTTCTGGGACCTAGGCTGAGGAAACAGCCCTCACCTGGAGCATGGCTGGTCCCTCTGGCAGAAGGAAAGAGAGTACGGTGAGCCACATGTTGGCTCAGAAAACATCACCCAGGAGTAACAAGGCAAGTCTCATGGCCAAGCTTAACTTCAATGATAGTGAACAAATGCTTGGGGAGGATGAGGAACCAGGAATGGGTGGTGACCAGAATTAATCACCCCCACAGACCTAGTCTGCCAGCCATCTGCAAGCCATCTGCTTGCACATCTTGGGTAAGTGCAAGCTTACCCCAACAGGCTTTGGGCAAGAAGAATCCTGGCAGTGATTCAGCACCTGATCGGCGTCCCAGGAGTAGGGCCAAGTCAGAAGTATGAACTAGACTAGCCCATGGCTCTGGATAAAGAGTGAGGGCAGTATTTCCTCACTCCCCCCATTCTCCATGCCTGTCCTTCCTCGTCCCCAGTGCCTCTGCTTATCCTCATTTCTCATCCTCCTCTTTCCCAGCACTCGTGGATTTAAGGCTCTGAAATGATGTATACCTGTTTTTACTTAGCATTGCCTTTGGCAGCCTCTATACCTCAAAAACACCATAAAAAGCCAGGCGCAGTGGTTCATGCCTATAATCCCAGCACTTTGGGAGGCCGAGGTGGGCAGATCACTTGAGGTCAGGAGTTCAAGACCAGCCTGGCCAACATGGTGAAACCCCATCTCTACTAAAAATAAAAAAAAGAAATACCAGCCGGGTGGGATGGCACATGCCTGTAGTCCCAGCTACTCGGGAGGCTGAGGCTGGAGAATCGCTTGAACCCAGGGTTGGGGGCAGGGACGGAAGTTGCAGTGAGCTGAGATTGCATCACTGCACTCCAGCCTGGGTGACAGAGTGAGACTCCCACTCAAAATATATATATTATTATACCTGTTAAAAGAAAAGTTTTATTTTATATATATATATACCACTTACCCGATTTGAAATTGGAGAGATGTTCCTTGGGCTGGTTGGTCTGAGGACCTGAGGTGGTAGGCGGATCTCCCCACGGAGTGAGGGCAAGGACAGGGGACTGGTCTCCCAAAGGAGTCCTCCTATCCCAGGTCTTCGGCACCAAATGTCACACGCGTCCGTGTGAAGAGTCCACCAAACAGGCTTTGTGTGAGCAACAAGGCTGTTTATTTCACCTGGGTGCAGGTGGGCTGAGTCCGAAAAAGAAGTCAGCAAAGGATGGTGGGATTATCATTAGTTCTTATAGGTTTGGGATAGGTGTACAAAGTACATTCTCAAGGGCAGGGAGAATATTACAAAGTACCTACTTAAGGGTGAAGGAGAATATATCATATCAGTTAGGGTGGGGCAGGAACAAATCACAATGGTGGATATATACATATTTTCGAGATGGAGTCGCATTCTGTTGCCCAGGCTGGAGTGCAGAGGCAGGATCTCAGCTCACTGCAATCTCTGCCTCCCAGATTCAAGCAATTCTCCTGCCTCAGCCTCCCGAGTACCTGAGACTACAGGCGTGCATGCCTGGCTAATTTTTGTACTTTTAGTAGAGGCACGGTTTCACCATCTTGGCCAGGCTGGTCTCGAACTCCTGACCTCAAGAGATTCGCTGGCCTCAGCCTCCCAAAGTACTGGGTTACAGGTGTGAGCTGCCATGCCCAGCCAAGAAAAACTTTAGATGAATTAATTTTAACAGCGTTTAATGGAGCAAAGAACAGTTTGTGAATTGGGCAGCCCTCAGAACCAGAAGGGGTTCAGAGAACTCCGCAACGAGGTCCGGGAGTATTTATGTACACAAAATGGAAATGAGATACAGAAACAGCTTGACTGGTTACAGCTCTGAGTTCACCTTGTTTGAACGTGGTTTGATCTGTTGGCATCCTGAGATTGGCTGAAGCTTGGCTGCTGTGATTGGCCGAGACTCTGACAATCGTTACACAAAATATTTACTCATAAGTTAGGATTTTGGTTTGTTTACATACTGTTAGGTTGCAGTTAATTATGGGCTCAAGGTACAGAGAAATCCTCAGGCTAAATTTAGTTTAATTTGACATATCACTGCCTCTGAATTTCAGCAAAGAATTTGCCAAGTCACTCAGGGTGTCAGGCCTCTGAGCCCAAGCTAAGCCATCATATCCTCTGTGACCAGATGGCCTGAAGCAACTGAAGATCCACAAAATAAGTGAAAATAGCCTGAACTGATGGCATTCCACCATTGTGATTTGTTCCTGCCCCACCCTAACTGATACAATATATTCTCCCCCACCCTTAAGAAGGTACTTTGTAATATTCTCCCCACCCTTGAGAATGTCCTTTGTACGCCTATCCCAAACCTGTAAGAACTAATGATAATCCCACCACCCTTTGCTGACTCCTTTTTCGGACTCAGCCCACCTGCACCCAGTTGAAATAAACAGCCTTGTTGCTCACAAAAAGCCTGTTTGGTGGACTCTTCACACAGATGCGCATGACACAGGGTATCTTTACAGGCAAATGGAAAAGTGTGACTGGTTAATAGTAAAATCATGTGAGGTCAAGGGAGGCAGAACACCTTCAAAGAGGAATGATTAAGGAATTAGTGTAAACTTTCAAAGCGGGTGTTTAGTGGTGTGCCCTCAAATATTCAGTTCAGAATACAACAAAGTGATGCTCCAGATTAAGAGGAAAAAAAGAATGATTCAATTTTGTGAACACTTTGAGAAAAAAAAGTAAAGTTAGAACTTCACCATAATATCCTATTCCAAATCCTGAATCCCTCAGCGATTAAGGAGGTAAATGTGAAACACAAATTGAGGTCTGTAAGAAGATATAGATACACATATGGCCACAGAAAAAATTTTAAGTTGTGTAAAGCTTTTTGATTCCTCTTCCACTCAGTGAACTATTGAGTGTGGGGGATGGGGAGTTGGGAACAACTATTGTGTCCCCTCAGCAGCTCTCACACCCTGAGTGTCATGGAGTTGGCATCTTGTTGAGCTGAGTGTGATTCTAACATTAAAAGACAGATCACAGCTGGGTGCAGTGGCTCACACCTTTAATCCCAGTACTTTAGGAGGCTGAGGTGGGTGGATCACCTGAGGTCAGGCACTCAAGACTAGCCTGACCAATATGATGAAACTCTGTGGGGATAGGACCCCAAATCTGGCCATAAACTGGCACCAAAACTGGCCGTAAACAAAATCTCTGCAGCACTGTGACATGTTCGTGATGACCACGATGCCTACGCTGAAGGTTGTGGGTTTACCAGAATGAGGGCAAGGAACACCTGGCCCACCCAGGGCAGAAAACCACTTAAGGCATTCCTAAGCCACAAATAATAGCATGAGTGATCTGTGCCTTAAGGACATGTTCTTGCTGCAGATAACTAGCCAGAGCCCATCCCTTTGTTTCAGTCCATCCCTTTGTTTCCCCTAAGGAATACTTTTAGTTAATCTATAACCTATAGAAACAATGTTTATCACTGGCTTGCTGTCAATAAATATGTGGGTAAATCTCTGGGGCTCTCAGATCTGAAGGCTGTGAGACCCCTGATTTCCCACTCCACACCCTATATTTCTGTATGTGTGTCTTTAATTCCTCTAGTGCTGCTGGGTTAGGGTCTCCACGACCGAGCTGGTCTCGGCAAGTGGTGCCCATACATGGGGCTCAAACCCAGGTTGAAGGGTCACCAGAGTGACATTGGAGAACATGGAACTAAGCTGGAGGACACCTGAGTACTCTTAAGCAATCCCCGTGGTGAATAAGAAGGGGAGCTAGGAAGCATCAGGGTAACAATGGGACAAATGTAGGTTCTGGTTAATTCCACCTTGGAACCTTTTCACACTAACGATGAGGAGGAAGGAGAGTATAATGAAGTAACAGAGCAGGTTTGTTTGCCAGCTAAAGCTAAAGCAGCAAAGGAGGGAGAGGTTTGTCCCTACCCTTCTGTACCCCCTCATTATTTCAAAGAAAAAGAGTGGCCTGACCCTCCAGATCTTTCTTTTCTGGAGGACACTGGGCAAAAAGTAGTTGCCCCAGTGACTGTTTGAGCAGTGCCTCGAGTGACCACTCTCAGTTCTATTCAGGCAGGAATTCAGCAAGCTAGAAGAGAGGGTGATTTAGAGGCCTGGCAGTTCTCTGTTAGGATACACCCCCACGATCAACAGGGAAATATTATAGTTATATTTGAGCTTTTTCCTTGTAAATTACTCAAAGAATTTAAACAAGCTATTAATTAATATAGACCAGGTTCTCCTTTTGTAATGGGACTGTTAAAGAATCTTGCTGTCTCCAGTCAGATGTTGCCAGCGGGGACGGCAGGATTACTTCTAAGCAGGTCTAGTTTAAATTTAAAAGGAGTGCAAGTACATACAGGAGTCATTGATTCAGATTACAATGGGGAAATTCAAATTGTTACATCTACTTCTGTTGCCTGGAAAGCAGAGCCAGGAGAGCATATAGCACAGCTCCTGATTGTGCCATATGCGGAAATGGGGAAAATGAAATTAAATGAACAGGAGGGTTTGGAAACACAAATAAACAAGGCAAAGCAGCTTACTGGGTGAATCAAATTACTGATAAATGTCCTACCTGTGAAATAACTATTCAGGGAAAGAAATTTAAAGGTTTGGTAGATACAGGAGTGGACATTTCAGTCATTTCTCTACAGCACTGGCCATCCATGTGGCCAGTTCAACCTGCTCAATTTAACATAGTTGGAGTTGATAAAGCCCCTGAGGTATATCAAAATAGTTATATTTTGCATTGTGAAGGGTCAGATGGACAACCTGGGACTATTCAACCAATTGTACCTATAAATTTGTGGGGAAAAGATTTATTACAACAATGGGGTATGTCCCTGGTATGGGACTAGGAAAAAATTTGCAAGGTTTGAAGGAACAGCTTCAAGTGGAAAGACAAAGTTCCAACCAAGGTTTAGAATATAATTTTTGATGGCAGCCATTGTTAAGCCTCCAGAACCTATACCTTTAAAATGGTTAACAGATATGCCAATTTGGATAGAACAATAGCCACTGAGTAAAGAGAAACAGGAGGCTTTAGAGGACTTCACTGCTGAACAGTTAGAAAAAAGACACATAGCTCCAACATTTTCCCTTTGGAATTCTCCAGTTTTTGTAATTAAGAAAAAATCAGGTAATTGGAGAATGCTGACAGATCTTAGAGCCATTAATTCATTTATACAACCTATGGGGACATTACAGCCAGGATTGCCTTCTCCTGCTATGATTCCAAAATATCAGCCTTTAATAGTCGTAGATTTAAAAGACTGTTTCTTTACTATCCCCTTAGCTGAGCAAGACTGTGAATGGTTTGCATTTACAATTCCTACAGTAAACAATCTGCAGCCTGCTAAGCATTTTCACTGGAAAGTGTTGCCACAAGGCATGTTAAACAGTCCAACAATTTGCCATACTTATGTAGGGCAAGCAATTGAACCCATTCATAAAAAATTTTCACAGTGTTACATTATTCATTATATGGATGATATATTTGTGCTGCTCCCACTCAAGAAATATTACTCCAATGTTATGATCACTTGCAAAATTTGATTTCTTGCACTGGTTTAATTATAGCTCCTGACAAAATTCAGACTACTACTCCTTACTCCTACTTGGGGACCTTAGTAAATGACACCACCATTGTGCCACAGAAAGTAACCATATATAGGGATCAATTGAAAACATTAAACGACTTTTGAAAATTACTAGGGGACATTAATTGGATACGACCTGTTCTAGGCCTTCCTACCTGTGCCATGAGTAATCTATTTTCTATCCTTAGTGGAGATCCTAATCTCGCTAGCCCTTGGCAATTAACAAAAGAAGCTGAGGCAGAGCTGCAGCTAATCAAAAAGCAAGTCTATAAAGCTCAAATAAATAGAATAGATCCAGAGAAGACTCTAGATTTGCTATTTTTTTCAACTCAGCATTCACCTACTGGTGTTATTGTTCAAGAGCAAGATCTTGTAGAGTGGCTTTTTCTTCTACGTACTAATTCTTGGACTTTGATTCTTTATTTGGATCAAATCACTACTATAATAGGAAATGGGGGAACTCGGATTGTTAAATTACATGGATATGATCCTGGAAAAATTATTGTCCCTCTCACGAAGGCACAAATACAGCAAGCTTTTATAAATAGTCTTACTTGGCAAACACATTTAGCTGACTTTGTGGGTATTCTCAATAATCATTTTCCTAAAACAAAATTTTTATTTCAATTTTTGAAATTAACTAATTGGATTCTCCCTAAAATAACTAAATTTAAACAAATTGAAGGTGCTGAGAATATTTTTACAGATGGGTCTAGTAATGGTAAAGCTTCTTATTCTGGGTCAAAATGTAAAGTTTTCCAGACACCCTATACCTCAGTTCAAAAAGTGGAGCTTGTAGCTGTAATTGAGGTGTTGACTGCTTTTGATATGCCTATTAATGTGATTTCTGATTCTTCATACATGGTTCATTCCACACAATTAATTGAAAATGCTCGGTTATGATTTCATACAGATGAACAACTGATGACTTTATTTACCCAATTGCAAACAGCAGTTAGGAATGGAATGCACCTGTTTTACATCACTTACATTAGGGCTCATACACCTCTTCCAGGACCTTTAACTGCAGGGAATCAAATGGCTGATCACCTAGTTGCTATTACAATAACTAATGCTAGACACTTTCACAATTTAACCCATGTTAATGCCTCTGCTCTCAAACGCAGATACAACACTACCTGGAAAGAAACTAAAGCTATTATCCAGCAATGCCCAACTTGCCAAATGGTGTATTCCTCATCTTTTACAGGAGGAGTTAATCCTCAAGGATTGGAGCCTAATTCTCTTTGGCAAATGGATGTCACACATGTTCCCTCATTTGGGAGACTAGCTTATGTACATGTATGTGTGGACAACTTTTCTCACTTCATCTGGGCTACATGCCAATCAGGAGAGTCTTCTGCCTGTGTTAAACATCACCTTTTGCAGTGTTTTGCGGTGATGGGCATTCCAGCTTCTATTAAAACAGATAATGCCCCATGCTATATTAGCAAAGCTCTAGCTACATTTTTCTCTATATGGAATATTAAACACATTACTGGCATCCCATCTAATTCTCAAGGACAAGCCATTGTAGAAAGAATGAATCCCTCCCTGAAACAGCAGTTGCAAAAGCAAAAAGGGGGAAATAGGGATTACAGGACACCCCATATACAATTGAATCTAGCATTATTGACTTTAAATTTTTTGAGCCTGCCTAAAGGCCAGATGCTATCAGCAGCTGAACAGCATCTACAGAAACCAGCTGCAAAGACAGAAGCAGAACTTCTGGTTTGGTGGAGAGATCCAATAACAAAACGGGTAAAATAATAACTTGGTGTAGAGGTTATGCTTGTGTTTCTCCAGGCAAGAATCAACAATCAATTTGGATACCATCAAGACACCTGAAACCTTATCATGAGCCAAATGCTGAGGAAGAGATTCCGGGGGGGATCCCCCAGTTGCAGTCATGTCAAGACTGATGCTGAGGAGGACCCCAACTGTCACGAGCAACACCTGTCAAACACAGCCACCTACCTGGGGACAAATCAAGAAGCTGTCACAGACGGTGGAAGAAAACCTGAGGAAAGCAGGACAACCAGTCACAATAAGTAATTTAATGATAGCTATGATAGCAGTGATCACCATTGCCATGAGTATTCCTTCAACAAGGGCTGACACAGAGAACAATTATACTTATTGGGCATATTTATCAATCTTGGCTGGCAATAATGCCTGGATGCAATCACTCTGTGACACAGTTACACAGGCTTTCTGATCTCAGTATTTGCCATAATAAATCTGCTCCTATAATTGAGGCATACCTCCCTCAAAAACCTATTTCTAAACAGAATTGGAAGATTGCATTGGAGAACAGGCAGAAGTGCTGCACAACAATTCCTATGGAATCATTATTGATTGGTCCCCTAAGGGAATGTTTAGCTTGAATTTCACCTCTCAGTCTGCATGCCACGGCCACACTATGTTCAGCTGGTCTAAACAAAATGGTCAGATGGTAGAAATGGTAAGAAATACAGCAAGAGTTCCTATTATCTGGAAACATGGTGGTACAGTGCCACCTCAACTTCAAATGATATGGCCTGCTGTAGGAGCTAAACACAAAGATTTGTGGACACTATTAATGGCTCTTAAATAAGATCAAAATTTGGGAAAGAATAAAAAAGTATCTAGAAGGACACTCGACAAACTTGTCTTTGGATGTTGCAAAATTAAAAGAACAAATATTTAAAGCATCCCAGGCACACCTGATCTTAATGCCAGGAACAAGAGTGCATGAAGGAGCCGCAGACAGATTAGCAGCTATTAGCCCATTAAAATGGATCAAGACACTTGGGGGCTCTGTGATTTCAATGATGATTGTGCTTTTTAGTCTGTGTTGTTTGTCCTTTTGTAGTCTGCAGATGTGGATCCTGACTCCTGCGAGAAGTAGCTCACCGTGACAAAACTGCCTTTGCTTTTATCGCTTTGCAAAACAAAAAAGGGGGACATGTTGGGGATAGGCCCCCAAATCTGGCCATAAACTGGCCCCAAACTGGCCATAAACAAAATCTCTGCAGCACTGTGACATGTTCATGATGGCCATGATGCCCATGCTGAAGGTTGTGGGTTTACCAGAATGAGGGCAAGGAACACCTGGCCCACCCAGGGTGGAAAACCACTTAAAGGTGTTCCTAAGCCACAAACAATAGCACGAGCGATCTGTGCCTTAAGGACATGTTCCTGCTGCAGATAACTAGCCAGAGAGCCCATCCCTTTGTTTCCCATAAGGAATACTTTTAGTTAATCTATAATCTATAGAAACCATGTTTATCACTGGCTTGCTGTCAATAAATATGTGGGTAAATCTCTGTTTGGGGCTCTCAGATCTGAAGGCTGTGAGACCCCTGATTTCCCACTCCACACCTTATATTTCTGGGTGTGTGTCTTTAATTCCCCTAGCGCCGCTGGGTTAGTGTGTCCACCACCAAGCTGGTCTTGGCAAAACTCTTTCTCTACTAAAAATACAAAAATTAGCAGGGTGTGGTGGCATGCACCTGTAATCCTAGCTACGTGGGAGGCTGAGACAGGAGAATCACTTGAAACCAGGAGGCAAAGGGTGCAGTGAGCCAAGATCACGCCATTGCACTCTAGCCTGGGCAACAAAAGAGAAACTCTGTCTCAAAAAAAAAAAAAAAAAGACATCATATTTCACACAGTGCGGCCTCAGTGCAAGCCAACTACTTCCCCCAGAGCTTAACCAAAGAAACCATGATCCATTGCAGTAACTGAGGAAAAACTGGCCGTGTTGTACTAAACACCAGACAATGTCTCCAGCAGTAGTAGTGCCTTCTGTGCATGGGTTTCAGCTCACACTTAGGCTAAAAATCTGGTATCTGGCTGACCTTCCCACTCCTCCCCACTCTTCTCCAGCAGCCCTCTTCCCCCAACCCTGCTCTACTTTTTTTCCTCAGTATTATTTGTCACTTTCTACCATGTTATATAATTTACTTGTTTATTATGTTTATTGTTTATTATCTGCCCCCCCATGGGGTTCAGAGCATGTCACCCCAAAATATTCCACTTTGGCATATTGATTATTTTGAGCAAAAAGAAATTGAGAATCAGCCATTGTAGGAAAAGTTCTTTACCGCCCACTCCGATCAGTTCACTAAGCTGCCTAAAATAGAGATTTCCCTTTTAGTAAAGGAAATTGATTTTTATTTATTTATTTATTTATTTGAGACAGAGTCTCACTCTGTTGCCCAGGCTGGAGTGCAGTGGCGTGACCTCAGCTCACTGCAACCTCCACCTCCTGGGTTCAAGTAATTCTCTAGTCTCAGCCTCCCGAGTAGCTGGGATTACAGGCGCCCACCATCATGTCTGGCTGATTTTTGTATTTTTAGTAGAGATGGGGTTTCTCCATGTTGGCCAGGCTGGTCTTGAACTCCTGACCTTAGGTGATCCACCTGCCTCAGCCTCCCAAAGTGCTGGGATTACAGGCATGAGCCACCACACCTGAAAAAATTAACTTTTTTTCTTTTTTCTCAAGACAGAGTCTTACTCTGTTACCCAGGCTGGAGTGCAGTGGCGTGATCTCAGCTCACTGCAACCTCTGCCTCCTGGGTTCAAGCAATTCTCCTGCCTCAGCCTCCCAAGTAGCTGGGATTACAGGCGCCTGCCACCACGCCCAGATAATTTTTATATTTTTAGTAGAGATGGCATTTCACCAGATTGGCCAGGCTGGTCTTGACCTCCTGACCTCAGGAGATTCACCCACCTGGGCTCCCCAAAGTGCTGGGATTACAGGCATGAGCCACTGCGCCCAGCCCAGAAATTGACTTTTATAAAGGAATTTTTTTTTTTTTTTTAATTTGGAGTTTTGCCCTGTCCCCCAGGCTGGAGTGCAGAGGTGCAATCTTGGCTCACTGCAACCTCTGCCTCCTGGGCTCAAGTGATTCTCCTGCCTCAGCCTCCTGAGTAGCTGGGATTACAGGTACCTGCCACCATGCCTGGCTAACTTTGTATTTTTAGTATTTTTGTATTTTTAGTAGAGATGGGGTTTTGCCATTTTGGCCAGGTTGGTCTCAGACTCCTGACCTCAGGTGATCCACCCGCCTTGGCCTCCTGAAGTGCTGGGATTACACCTGAGAGACTGCATAACTAGGCAACTTTTATTCACCATACACTCCACACTCCTCCCTTATGTTTCCCATAATTTGTCTCTTCCCTGCCCCTTCAAAAGCCTCAAATTCTTGTTCCTTTCTGTAGCTTAGGATGACACATAAGCCTCAATTACCTGACTGCCTTCTTTATTTTTATCTTTTTTTCTCCCTTTTAATTTTAAGAGATGGTGTCTCACTGTCACCCGGGCTGGAGTGCAGTGGCTTGATCATAGGCTCATTGCAGCCTCAACCCCTGGGCTCAAGAGATTCTCCACCTCCTCAGTCTGCCAAATAGCTGGGACCACAGGTGAGCACCACCATGCCCAGGGGCTATTTTTTGTAGAGACAGGGTCTCACTTTGTTGCTCTGGCTGGTCTTGAGCTCCTGGGATCAAGCGATCCTCCCACCTCGGCTTCATAAAGTGCTGAGATTACAGGCATAGGCCATTGCCTGGTCCTGGCTGCCATTTCCCCGCCCCCCACTCCCCCTGAGACGAGTTTGGCTCTTGTTGCCCAGGCTGGAGTGCAGTGGTGCAACTTCGTCTCACTGCAACTCCCACCTCCTGGGCTCAAGCGATTCTCCTGTCTCAGCCTCCCAAGTAGCTGGGATTACAGCCATGTGCCACCACGCCCTGCTAATTTTTGTATTTTTAGTAGAGACAGGGTTTCACCATGTTAGCCAGGCTGGTCTCTAACTCCTGACCTCAGGTGATCCACCCGCCTGGACCTCCCAAAGTGTTGGGATTACAGGCGTGAGCCACTGCGCCCGGCCACAAGGTTTCTCTTTTAACAAAAAGTAGCCCCCAAATAATTTCTTTTCTAATAAAGAGCAGGCTGAAAAGTTGAGCTGCAGATATAGACAAGCAAGCTGGAAGCTTGCACGGGTGAATGCCGGCAGCCGTGCCAATAGAAAAGCTCTACCCTGAGGGCCTGACATATTCAACATGGAGGCTCCAGCTTCCCTTTTCTTTGTCACCACGTGTACAGTAAAAAAGCAGGCAACATGGCCCTGGCCAGGTAGCGAACCCATCTGCATAATACAAGATTCAGGTGGGGGGCCAGCTTCTGCACATGCTATGGCAACAACACACCTAGTCCTAACCAGTTCTTCGTGCACTATGCAAATGGCACACCTGGTCCAACAAACTTTTTGTGCCCTATGTAAA
Organism: Homo sapiens; assembly: GCF_000001405.40. Classification (NCBI taxonomy): domain Eukaryota; kingdom Metazoa; phylum Chordata; class Mammalia; order Primates; family Hominidae; genus Homo; species Homo sapiens. The sequence goes on from NC_000017.11 coordinate 31,641,846, forward strand.
TCAGACACCGCCTTCTCAAGCTCATCTATAAAGCCTTCTGCATTTCACCACATAACCAGCAACCCATTTTCTCATCCCTCTCTGCATGGAAAACCTTCTGCATTTCACCACGGAAGCAGCAACCCATTTTCTCTGGGACCCATCTCTAGCAGAGAGCTCTTCTCTTTCGCCTATTAAACTTCAGCTCTTACCTTCATTCTGGTGTGTCTGCATCCCAGTTTTCTGTGGCCGCGGGACAACAAACCTGGGGTATTACCCCAGACAACGATGCTGCTTCAACATGTCGTGCTCCCTTTTTTTTCTTGAGACGGAGTTTCGCCCTTGTTGACCAGGCTGGAGTGCAATGGTGCAGTCTCGGCTCACTGCAACCTCTGCCTCCCGGGTTTGAGTGATTCTCCTGCCTCAGCCTCCCAAATAGCTGGGACTGTAAGGCACCTGGCACCTGCCCAGCTACTTTTTGTATTTTTAGTAGAGGCAGGGTTTCACTATGTTGGCCAGGCTGGTCTCGAGCTCCTGACATCAGGTAATCCACCTGCCTCATCCTCCCAAAGTGCTGGGATTACAGGTGTGAGCCACTGCACCCAGCCTGTCTTGCTTTTTAAAATGGTTTTTAAAATTAATATGTACCATTGTCAGAGGTGTTTGAACCACAGTGACTCCATCTTGAATAGGGGCTGGGTAAAGTAAGGCTGAGACCTACTGGGATGCATTCCCAGGAGGTCAGACATTCTTAATCACAGGATGAGATAGAAGGTCAGAACAAGATACAGTCACAAAGACCCTGCTGACAAAACAGCTTGCAGTAAAGAAGCCAACCAAAACCTACCAAAACTAAGATGGCAACCCAAGTGACCTCTGGTCATCCTCACTGCTCATTACACACTAATTATAATGTATTAGCATGCTAAAAGACACTCCCACCAGTGACATAGTTTACAAATGCCGTGGCAATGTCAGGAAGTTGTCCTATATGGTCTAAAAAGGGGAGGAACCCTCAGTTCCAGGAATTGCTCACCCCTTTCCTGGAATACTCATGAATAATCCACCCCTTGTTTTGCATATAATCAGGAAATGACCATAAAAGTGGACAGCCAGCAGCTCTTGGGGTTGCTCTGCATATGGAGTAGCCATTCTTTTATTCCTTTCCTTTCTTTCTTTTTTTTTTTTTTTTGAGATGCAGTTTTGCTCTTGTTGCCCAGGCTGGAGTATAATGGCACCATCTCAACTCACCACAACCACCACCTCCCAGGTTCAAGCGATTCTCCTGCCTCAGCCTTCCGAGTACCTGGGATTGAGAGGTGAAGCCAGCTGGACTTCCTGGGTCAAGTGGGGACTTGGAGAACTTTTCTGTCTAAAGGATTGTAAATGCACAAATCAGTGCTCTGTGTCTAGCTAAAGGATTGTAAATGCACCAATCAGCACTCTGTAAAAACACACCAATCAGCGCTCTGTGTCTAGCTAAAGGATTGTAAACGCACCAATCAGTACTCTGCAAAATGGACCAATCAGCACTCTGTAAAATGGACCAATCAGCAGGATGTGGGCAGGGCCAAATAAAGGAATAAAAGCTGGCCACCTGAGCCAGCAGCAGCAACTTGCTCTGGTCCCCTTCCATGCTGTGGAAGCTTTGTTCTTTCGCTCTTCACAATAAATCTTGCTGCTGCTCACTTTTGGGTTTGCACCACCGTTAAGAGCTGTAACACTCACCATGAAGGTCCATGGCTTCATCCTTGAAGTCAGCAAGATCACAAACCCGCCGGAAGGAAGAAACTCCAGACACATCCGAACATCTGAAGGAACAAGCTCAGGACACACCATCTTTAAGAGTTGTAACACTCACCGCGAAGGTCCGCGGCTTCATTCTTGAAGTCAGCGAGACCAGGAACCCACCAGAAGTAATAAATTTCAGACACAGGATTATGGGCATGCACCACCATGCCCAGCTAATTTTGTTTTTTTTAGTAGAGATGGGGTTTCTCCAGTTGGTCAGGCTGGTCTTGAACTCCCGACCTCAGGTAACCCACCTGCCTGAGCCTCCCAAAGTGTATTCCTTTACTTTCTTAATAAACTTGCTTTCACTTTACTCTATGGACTTGCCCCAAATTCTTTCTTGCTCGAGGTCCAAGAACTCTCTCTTGGAGTCTGGATCAGGACCCCTTTCCAGTAACACTGTCATGATGAAGTGTGTGACACATTGTCAAGTGAAAAGAACAGGTTCTAAAATATTGATCTAATGTTGTTTAAAGATGTGTAGAAAAACTATAAGATTTTTTTTCCAAGGGTAACCTGTCAGTAGATCAATTGTTGAAATGACAATTATCAGTACCATATTATTATTATTATTATTATTATTATTATTATTAATGTTGTCTGTAGGCATTCAGGAGATAGCACAGAGGTCCTGCCCAATAATCCAGAAATCTCTTCATATTTTTACTGATTGTCATAATTACTGCTGTTTTGCATTTTATTATGATGGTTTTTTAAAAAGTTTCCTATAATAGATGAAGACTAGTGTATATATCTTCATTCTTCACTCTCTACCAGCATATTGTAAATACTTAATATTTTTAACCCTAAAGAAAATATGAACGATGCAAAAAAAAAAGTATAAAAAAGTATCTGAGGCCAAGTGTCGTGGCTCACCCCTATAACTGCAGCACTTTGGGAGGCTAAGTCCTGTGCAACGTGGCAAACCCTGTCTCTACTAAAAATACAAAAAAAAAAAAATAGCTGGGGATGGTGGCACATGCCTGTAGTCCCAGCTGCTTGGGAGGCTGAGGTGAGAGAATCACTTCAGTCTGGGAGATGAAGGTTGCAGTGAGCTGAGATAATGCTACTGCACCCCAGTCTAGGCAACAGAGAAGACTCTGTCTTAAGAAAAAAAAGAAAAAGAAAGCATCCGGAAAATAACACTAACATTAGCTTGTCTTTGGACAATTCGATTATGATTGAGTTTTCTTTTGCTTCTCTGTATTTCATCATTTTTCTATAATAAACATTTACAGATTGAACATGAGATAAGTAATTTTTAACCAAAAATGAACAAATTAACAGAATTAAAAGGCAAACAACAAACTAGGAAAAATAAATGCAATATAGTATATGTAATTGACAAAGGATTATGATTCATGACAGTTAATTTTACATGTCAACTTGACAGGGCCATGGAATGCTCAGATTAAACATTTCTGGGTGTGTCTGTGAGGGTCTTTCTGGGTAAGATTAGCATTCAAATTAGTGGACTTGGTAAAGCAGATTTCCCTCCCCTGCATTGATGGGAATCATCTCATCCTGGCCTGAATAGAACAAATGACAGAGGAAAAAGATAGGTTAAAAGATTAGTTTGGATCCTCTAGTAGAAGATCTCTCTCTCTTTCTTTCTCTCTCTCTCTCTCTCTGTCTCTCTATATATAGACCCCCTCAATGGTGGGGGTGTTGGAGAGCCCCAGTGGCCCAGAGCAGACTGTCAGATCCCAAACAGGGTGAAAACGGCATCCACAGAGAACTGGCCCACATGGGGTGCTAGAGGCAGAGCAGGGCGAGGAGGGGGCCAGTAGAGGAGGCCAGTGCAGCATGGGTGTGGGAGCCCACATAGAGTAAGGAGGATGTTCCCCCAAAGGGTGCCTGGTGCAAGAAGTCAGGCTTGAGAGGGTTGGGGTGGGGAGACACGCTAGCAGGGCAGGGAGGGCATCCACATGGGGGCAGTCCAGCATATGGTATCAGATCCCAAGCATAGCAAGGGGCATTTCCATGCAGGGATGGGTCAGGGAGAAGCCCAGCATGGGAGCTCAGTGTCTGAGTGGGGTGAGGAGCATGCTAGGCAGTGGGAGGTGTGGCTAAACATGGGATGCTGGAGCCTGGTGGGGTGAGGAGAGCGCCCATCCCAGTGGCCCAGTGAGTGATGTTGAAACACAGGTGAGGGGAAGAGAGTGTCTATGTAGGGAGGGGTCACTGGCACCTTGACACAAGATTTTAGAGCCCAAGAAGAGTGAAGGGGAAGGAGGCAGCACTGGTGATGGAAGAGTGACTACAAACAGGAGACTTGATCAAATAAAGATAACAGGAACCTGATTACCCTCTAACAGTGAAGACAGAGAAGGGAGTTACAAATATGGAAGAAAGAAAATGTTAATAAGTCCGGGGGCACTGGATTGAAATGAGAGGTATTAGTGTGAATTCATGATTTTTCAATACACATGTTGATATATAAATATAAGTGTGTATATGTATATAACATATAAATACATAGTTCCTAGCTCTGGACTGGGAGCAGTAACGCCCTAAGAACAATGAGCACATGTAATGCCCAGATTTTGGCTTCTACATACCATTCCCCAAAAAAGCAACCAGATCTCCCTGGGAAAGTGGCTGATTCTAAGACTTGCGGGGAGAGTACAAGATGAGCCTGAAAGCGAAAGAAAGTGCTCTAAGAATGAGAAATATGTCAACAGGGCGTAGCATTCACCTTCAAGGGCCCCTGCTAGCGAAATCTGTGGCAATTTAAGCATCAAAATAAATAATGAGCGCAACAGATTATAATTCATTAGATAAAATAACAAACTATGCATTTGTATGAATAGAAATGAATACATTGAAAGCCACTTGATAGGATGCAATAAGAACATGTTAGCACATTTGTGGTATCACTGCCAAAGATACATAACTGAATCCCGTCATGAAGGAACAACACACAAACCCAAAGTGAGGCACATGCTGCAAAATAGCTGGTCTATAATCTTCAAAAGCATCAAGGTAATGTTACCAAAACACTGGGCATTTGGTCTAGGTCCTGCTCCTCGTGGCACAGAAAGGCAATCACTGAGACACTAAGTATTGCCAAGGAAGAAGGCTTTATCGGGTGCTGCAGCAGAGGAGATGGGAGCTCAGCCTCAAATCTATCTCCCTGATTGACTAAAACTAGGGGTTTATACAGCAGGGAAGAAATGTAACAATGTATAAGAAAACAAGAACTAGGAAGGGCCAAGGAGGTATCTGGTGGTGATCAGGTGAGTTTCAGTTCTTTGATCCTTTTCTTGAGAGGCCTAAAGGTCCTTTCCTGAGGAAGGAAGTTGGATAAAACAGATACAAATTTCAAGCTGTAACAGCAGAAGGGTCAATTTCTATATTTATCCAAAAACAACTGTCTATGGGCCTACTGGGCAAGTTTCAGTAATATGAGTTTTGTCAAGACTGAGGAACTGGTTCAGACTGGAGTAGACTGAGGTTGGTCCTGAAGTGGATCCTTCTACTATAAAGAATATTTTGAGAACAGGAGGTCAAGCTTAAATAAAGTCTGAGGATTTGATGGAAGCAGTGTATTACTCAAGCTATCATAGCTGAATAACAGACCACTTAGTGAAATTTAGCACCAGACATTTGTGGGTCAGGAATTCAGAAAGGGCTCAACAGGGACAGTTTGTCTTTGCCCCAGGAGGTCTGGGGCCTCATCTGAGAAAACTTGAGCCTGGGGGTAATTCTATGGCTAGGGTCTCTGGAACCATCTAAAGTCTTGCTCACTCACCAGATGCCTCCTTGGCCCTCCCTACTTCTTATTTTCTTACACATTGTTACATTTCTTCTCTGCTATATAAACCTCTAGTTTTAGTCAGTCAGGGAGATGGATTTGAGGCTGAGCTCCCATCTCCTCTGCCGCAGCACCTGATTAAAGCCTTCTACCTTGGCAATACTTGGTGTCTCAGTGATTGGCTTTCTGTGTGACAAACTCACATGCCTGGTGCCTGGGTTGGGAAAACTCCAAGACCAAGACTGCTGACAGGGGCACCTACAGGTGTCCTCTCCATATATCCAGCTTCCTCACAACATGGTGGCCTCAGTCAGATTTCTTACATGGAGGCTGTGGGCTCCAAGAACAAATATTCCAGCAAACAAGGCAGAAGTTGCATCACCTTTCCTGTCTTGGCCATTGAAGCCACCTTCTGTTGGTTACAAGCAAGTCAAAAACCTGCCCAAATTAAAGAGGAAGGAGATATAGACCCTCATCTCTCTATGGAGGAGTGTTGAGGTCACGTTGAAAAAGAATATGTGAGGTTTAACATACTGCTGCAGCTGTCTTTGGAAACTACAATCTGTCACAAATATCAATGTTCATTTCCTGATTTTGCCAGTAGGACTGTGGCAATGTAGGAAACATACAGTGAAGTTTTTTGTTTTTGCTTTTTTGATGGAGTCTCTTTTTGCCCAGGCTGGAGTGCAGTGGCGTGATCTTGGCTTACTGCAACCTCTGCCTCCTGGATTCAAGTGATTCTCCTGCCTCAGCCTCCTGAGTAGCTGGGATTACAGGCACACACCACCACACCCGGCTAATTTTTGTATTTTTAGTAGAGACGGGGTTTCACCATGTGTGGCCAGGCTGGTCTCAAACTCCTGACCTCAAGTGATCCACCTGCCTTGGCCTCCCAAAGTGCTGGGATTACAGGTGTGAGCCACAGCACCCTTTCTTTAATAGTGCAGTATTTGGAGGCAGGGTGGTATGGTACATCAGATCTCAAGTGGTTCAGGAAATAAAAGACTTTACCCTGTATTCACAACTTTTCTGTAAATTTGAGATGGCTTCAAAATACAAAATACATACTAAAAGTTTAGTAGGAAAAAGATGGACATTCTGATAGAAATAGATGGATGCTTGAATAGACAAATCACAAAAGAATAAGAACAAGTAACTGATGTTTAATTAAAACGTTCAGTTATAGTTATCAAACAAAGGCAAATTTAAAATAGCAAGAATATGTCATTTTGCATAAATGTTTAAATGATAATACAAAATATTGGTGAAAGTGAAGGAAGGGCATTACCCTTCGGGAAAGAAATTCAGCAATGTATGTAATTCCCCAAGAAATTAAATGATCATTTGTGACGACATTCCAAATGGCTCCATGAAACATCACATGACACATGTGCCATAATTACTTCACCCAATGCCTTAATATTGACTATTTAGTTTCTTTAAACACATACAAATGATACTGCGATAAAAATATTTATATATGGCCAGTTATGGTGGCTCATGCCTGTAATCCCAACACTTTTGGAGGCCGAGGTAGGAGGATCACTCGAGGTCAGGAGTTCGAGACCATTCTGGCCAACAGGGTGAAACCCCTTCTCTACTAAAACTATGAAAAATCAGCTGGATGTGGTGACGGGTGCCTGTGGTCCCAGCTACTCGGGATGTTGAGGTGGGAAGATTGCTTGAGCCTAGGAGTTCGAGGCTGTAGTGGGCTATGATTGTGCCACTTCACCCCAGCCTGGGCGACAGAATGAGACTCCATCTCAAAAAAAAAAAAAAATATATATATATATATATATATAAAACTTCACACTCATCTAGAAGAGGAATTATTAAAAACTAATCCCCTGGGGGACCTTGAGGCACTTCTGTCTTGTTACTGAGTCTGTTTTAATGTAAAATGTGTAAAATGTGTTTTAACATTTTTACATTTTAACAAAATTCCGTACTGGTCTGTTCCCCACCAGGGCTGCCCCTCTCCTCTGCCTGGCCTCCAGAAGAGTAAGTATCACAGACCCAGATGTCCGTGGCCCACAGTCCAGCCCAGCCTGGGAACAGAGCCTCTCAATTATAGGCTGAGCACCTTAAATGACTGGCTCCTCAAGAGTCTGACTAACACTTGGAGAGGCAGAAAACAAGCTGTGTCAAGCGGCAGGAGCAGCAGGGCTTACATGGGTGCTACCTCCCCAGCCTCCCTGGAGGGGCTGATTTGGGTCACTTAGCTACATTGCAGGATGATCCTCACCCACTCCACTGGCACATGAGTCTTCCTGAGTCAGGGGCACCATTCTCTCAGGCCTTTTCTCTTTCCACAGGGCAGTCCTGCAGGCTGCAAGGGCTCCATGAGTACCTCGTGCCGTGAGCTCACGCCACCACATCAAAAACCTCACAGTGGGCCGGGCACAGTGGCTCACACCTGTAATCCCAGCACTCTGGGAGGCCAAGGCGGGTGGATCACTTGAGGTCAGGAGTTCGAGGCCAGCCTGGCCAACATGGTGAAACCCCCCCCCCCGATCTCTACTAAAAATACAAAAATTAGCCAGGCATGGTGGTGCACACCTGTAGTCCCAGCTACTTGGGAAGCCGATGCAGAAGAATCGTTTGAACCCAGGAGGCAGAGGTTGCAGTGAGCAAAAATGGCACCATTGCACTCTAGCCTGGGCGACAGAGTGAGACTGTGTCTCAAAAAAAAAAAAAAAAGCCTCACAGTCAGCTACTCTCCTTCAAATGCATCCCTCCCTGGAGCCTTTTGGGGCCTGCATGTCCAGGTCCCAGTCACTGCCCACCTCCCTGATTCCCTGGTGCAGCTGCCAACCACTTCCCAGCCCCCTGGCTGACTCCACTTATACTCTCTATCCCAGCTCCTACCCTAGCCTTCTCCAGGGACTTTGGTATTTGTAATACATGAAATTGACAAAGGAGTAGCTCCCAGAATATATAAAGAACTCCAACAAATCAAAAAGAAAAGGATACATTGATTTTAAAATGAGTAACCAGGTGTGGTGGTGTAAGCCTGTAATCCCAGCTACTCAGGAGGCTGACACGGTAGAATCACTCGAAGCCAGGAGGTGGAGTTTGCAGTGAGCCGAGATCGCACCACTGCCCTCCAGTCTGGGCGACAGAGCAAGACTCTATCTCAAAAAAAAAAAATTGAAATGAGAAAATAATATGAACTGCAGGGCAAAGAATATGAAATGTAGACCATAGAAGAGGAAGCCCAATAAATGTCAATAAGCACATGAAAGGTTAACTTCACCTGCGAAATGAAATTTTAAACAACACTGAGACACCATTTCACACCCACCAGCTTGGCAAACATGTTTTAATTTGACAATACCAAGCACCAGGCGAGGATTATGGAAAGACAGAAACTTTTATACACAGATGACAGTACTATAAATTGGAACATCTCTTTTGGAAGCAATTTGGCATTATTTCATAAAGTTTAAAATGTGCGGGGGCAATGACCCAAGTGCAGTGAATTAAAGGTGAATATAAATTCTTTGCCACTCATCCCAGTGACAGGTGGAGTCTATTTTGATTCTCCTCGAATCTGGGCTGGACTGTAACTTCTTCTGACCAAAAGAATGCAACAGAAGTAATGTTGTGTCACTGAGTCTCTCCCTCTTTAATTCTAGGATAATCCTAGGTTGGGAGCTAATAATTTCAGCTATTATAAGATGAATGATTAATTGCCTAAAATTGAAACAGCTCCTAGGAGAAGATTTTATGCCAGGATTGTTTAGAATTTGTACTCTCTCGTGGGCCAAGATGCCCATCTAGTTCTCTGAATGAAAGCTTTCAGGAGCTGTAATTTCAAGGCCAAGCCCTAAGAGATCTGCAGCCTCCCCCTTTGTGTTTAAATGTTCCTTCTTTTTGGAACTCGACATCATGCTGTGAGGAAGTCCAAGCTCCCTTCTGTGGAAAGACCACAGAGAGGAGCACTGAGGCACCAACCCTGCGAGGGAGGCCATTCTGGAACTTCCAGCTGTCCCAGTGCTCCAGCTGACACCATGTGCAACAGAAGACCCATCCACAGTAATGAATTATGATCACTGTGAGCTATAGGTTTTGAGGTGATTTGTTATACAGCAATAGGTAACTGAAACACAGAAATTCTTCTCCTAGGTGTACACTCTAAAAAAACTCCCTCCCATGGGCACAATGACACAGGCATATATATTTTTACTGAAGCATCGACTGTGATCGCAAAAATTAGAAACAAGCAAATGTCCATCAATAGGAACATGGGTAAATAAATTGTGGAATTGTCATGTGATGGAATACTATGTAGCTCTTAAAATTAATTAATCAGAGCTACATAGTCAGCAAGTGTAGAGCTCAATAACAAAATATTGCATGAAAAAATGAGAGTGCACATGATACCTTTTATGAAAAAGTTAAACTCATGCAAAACAATGCCATGTGTTGTTTATGGGTGCACGCATACATTTAAAGTACAAACGTGCAGAATGAGAAACAACAAATTCAGGATACCAGTCTCCTGTGGAGCGGGCAGGAGGATGGGGGTGAATGACACTAGGGAGGGCTTATGGAGAGCTTTAAGTGTGTCTGTGAGGTTATGTTCCTTCTATTTAAGATATGAAATAAATATGGTAAAGTGCCGAAATTTGGCAGAGCTAGGAAGTGCTTGATATTCTGATGCTAAAAAGACTTCATTTTATGAAAAGAAAGAGAGACAAAAAGAGAGGAGGAAGGAAGGAAGGAAGGAAAGAAGGAAGGGAGGAAGGGAGGGAGGAAGAAAGAAAAGAGCATGGGGCCTGGCACAGTGGCTCACGCCTGTAATCCCAGCATTTTGGGAGGCCGAGGCAGGTGGATCACGAGGTCAGGAGTTCAAGACCAGCCTGGCCAAGATGGTGAAACCCCGTCTGTACTAAAAATACAAAAAAAAAAAAATTAGCTGGTCATGGTGGTGGGCGCCTGTAATCCCAGCTACTTGGGAGGCTGAGGCAGGGAATTGCTTGAACCTGGGAGGCAGAGTTTGCAGTGAGCCAAGATCGCACGACTGCATTCTAGCCTGGGCAACAGTTGAGCGAGACTCCGTCTCAAAAAAAAAAAAATTAGCTGGGCATGGTGGCGGGCACCTGTAGTCCCAGCTACTTGGGAGGCTGAGGCAGGAGAATCACTTGAACCTGACAGGTGGAGGTTGCAGAGAGCAGAGATGGTGCCACCGCACTCCAGACTGGCAACAGAGCCAGACTCTGTCTCAAAAAAAAAAAAAAAAAAAGAAAGAAGAGCATGAAAGAATGAACCTCCATCCTCTGCCCAATGTCACACAGCTCATAATGGCGGGTCCTGGAGCCTCATTTTCATCACAGTGTGTGTCCACTGCATTCTATACTTCCATCAGTCCCACAGGGAGGCAGCTCCACTCAGAACACACTGTTTGATGCAAAGTCTGGGGGGTGGATAAGGTTCAAGGTCTTCAACCTAAGTACTTTCTGTGATCTGATGTTTGTGTCTCCCCAAAATTTGTTGAAATGCTGACTCCCTAGATGATGGTATTAGGAGGGGGAGCCTCTAGAAGGTGATTAGGTCATGAGATGAGAGTCCTCATAAAGGGGATGTGTTAGTCCATTTTGTGTTGCTATAAAGGAAGACCTGAGGCTGGGTAATTTTCAAAGAAAACAGGTTTATTTGGGTCGCAGCTCTGCAGGCTGTACAAGCATGGCACCAACACCACTCAGCTCCTGGTGAGGCCTCAGGAAGCTTTTTCTCATGGAGGAAGGTGGAGGGGGAGCAGGTGTGTCACATGGCAAGAGAAAGGGCAAGGGGGTGGGGGGAGAGAGAGAGAGAGAGGAGAAGAAGGTGCCAGGCTCCTTTAAATAACGAGTTCTCGTGTGAACAGTGGGAACTCATTCATCACCAAGGAGAGGGCACCAAGCCATTCATGAGGGAATGACCCAAACACCTTCCCTGAGCCCCCACCTCCAACACTAGCTTTCACATTTCAACATGCGATTTGCAGTAGAAAAACATCCAAATTATATCAAGAGACCCCTCACCCCTTCCACCATGTGAGAACACAGCTAAAAGTTGCCATCTATGAAATAGGCGCCAGGTCTTAAACTCCCTAGCCTCCAGAACTGTGAGAAATAAATTTTTGTTGTTTGTAAGCTCCCCAACCCTACTGGACTAAAACAGTGCTTTTACGTGCTATTCATATTTATGCTCTGGGGGAAGCCAGGGCACCCGGAGGGAGATGTGCTAGTCCTCCCAGGACAGGGCCGCTCAGTGGAGCAGGGGTTGGCGGCCCTTCCACTCTCCCCTCTCCCCTCTCCGTATCCTGGAACCAGGAACAGCAGCCAAAATCGTTAAGGCAGCGGTTCTCCAAGGCTCCCTAGGAGAGGGGTCAGTGTGGAACAAAATCTGATCCTTTCTGTTGTTCTTTTGGAAATGGGCTGTTACGGGGTGGGTGGACTACAGGGACTCCCATCTGCCCCAGTGAGCTCCACCAAGACTCCTTAAGAACTGCGCTTTGAGAAACTTGGAAACTGTCCAAAGACACCAATTTCCCTCATTTCCTCCCTCCCTCTGCTCTTCGCCTGCCCCCTTGCCTCTCCCAGACCGTTTCATCCCAGAGCCTTCCCAAGTTTCCAGAAGCCCTTTCTTCTTTCTTCTGTTTGTTTGGGGAGTGGCTCTCTCAGGCTTGTTCACCCAACAGCCCAGTGAGTCCCTGAAGAGGCTGGCACAGCCATCTCCCCATTTTCCCTGCAGGTTTGGAAGAGCAGCCTCGAAGACCGAGGAAGAACATGGACTCTGGAGTCTGTTACTGCCAGTTTTGGTTCTAGTACGTTAAACTCCTGAGCCTCAGGGTCTACATCTGCAAACTGAGGTGACAATGCTGGACTTCTCTAAGAGATGACCTGGAGGACCAAACTTATCTCCTGCCAGTGTTTCTCAGCGAGGGTGCTGGTGGTGTCTGAGGCAGGCTGTGTCTTCGTTATGAAGGAGTATCCCACATGTTACGGGGTATTTAACATCCCTGGCCCCACTCGCTCACACTCAGCAGTGCCTTCAGTCACTGGGACATCCTGGATACCCCAGGCATTTCTAAGTACCCCCTGAGCCAGCAGTCTCCCAATCGAGAAACTAAACTCCTCGAAGGCAGGGACCACGTCTTTGTGTTGCCAAAGCCAGGTGCCCAGTAGGGGCTCAATATGAGTTTGTTCCTGTCATGGACTTTTTTTTTTTTTTTTTTTTGAGACTTGAGTCTCGCTCTTTCGCCCAGGCTGGAGTGCAGTGGCGTGATCTCGGCTCACTGCAACCTCCGCCTCCCCAGTTCACGCCATTCTCCTGCCTCAGCCTCCCGAGTAACTGGGACTACAGGCGCCCGCCACCGCGCCCGGCTAATTTTTTGTATTTTTTAGTAGAGACGGGGTTTCACCATGTTAGCCAGGATGGTCTCGATCTCCTCACCTCGTGATCCGCCCGCCTCGGCCTCCCAAAGTGCTGGGATTACAGGCGTGAGCCACAGCGCTCAGCCTCCTGTCATGGACTTTTAAGAACAATGATTTTTAAAAATCCCTGCTGAGGCAACTGTGTGATCAGGACACACTCATGCACACACCGTACAGCACTCAAAGTCCTTGCCCCGGTGGCTCCCAGGCTGCGACTGCAAAGAGCAGCAGGGCCCAGCAGCAGCCAGGGGTGACAGACTGTACCACCTTATAAGTCCCGGAGCTCAGCGCAGCAGGCTTGGCCAACCAAGCCCTGCAGTGGGGCAAGGTGTCAGGCAGGATGTGTCAGAACCCAGGGTGAACCACAGAGCCTTCAGGGCAGAGTGACGTGACACTTCCAGTCAGACCAGCCTGACTGTAGGCGCTAAGGGCCTGCTCTTCCCCAGCCATCCAGCCAGTCTGTGTGCCCCTGGCTCAGCTTTACCCAAGAAGAACACGGACTCCTTGAGGGCTCTCCCAGCTTCTGGGAATGCCCTTAACACAGGCACTGGTCTCTTGGGCATGGTGCGGCACCCCTCTGAGCCTGCTTCCCGATCTTGTCAATAGGAATGCCGGTCAGTAGGAATCATCACACTGCCTCTGAAATCATATAGTATATGTGGAAAATATACTACATGGATGCCGCAATTCTGTGTATTCCTCCTTGCTTCTAAACCAAGAGACAGCCTGCTGCATCGGAAAAACCCTGACTTGAGGAGTTCGAGACCAGCCTGGCCAACTTGGTGAAACCCCACCTTTACTAAAAATACAAACAAATTAGCCAGGCGTGGTGGTGCACCTGTAGTCCCAGCTACTGGGGAGGCTGAGGCATGAGAATCACTTGAACCCAGGAAGCAGCGGTTGCAGTGAGCCGAGATCGTGCCGTTGCACTCCAGCCTGGGTGACAGAGCAAGACTCCATCTCGGGAAAAAAAAAAAAGAAAAAAAGAAAATCCTCAGTCCTGGCTTGGGTATTTTACTAGCCACAGGATTTGGGGTGAATTTGAACACCCATTTAGTTGTCAAATCATCAGAATAACGGTCGCTGACTTTCCTACTTCGTAGGAGCTGTTGTCACAACCAAATGAGCTAATAAGCCCAGTGGAAATATTTGTGTAGACTCCAAAGCCAACACACCCTCCCATCTTCCCCACCCCGCCTCTGGCCTGATGGTCCTGGAGAGGAGCAAGGCTTCCAATCCCTTCCTAGTCAGCCCCTCTGTGGGGACAGCTCCCTGACTTCCAGTGACTCTCTTTTGGAATTGCACATTTATTCATTCACTTATTCAGTAATCTGATTTCCTTCAACAAGAGGCTTTTTCTCTTGGCTGCAAAATCCATTTTTTCTTTCCTTTCACTGTGTCATTCTTTCTTTCCTTTTTTTTTTTTTTTTTTTGAGACAGAGTTTCACTCTTGTCACCCAGGCTAGAGTGCAGTGGCACTATCTCGGGTCACTGCAACCTCTGCCTCCTAGGTTCAAGTGATTCTCCTGCCTCAGCCTCCTGAGTAGCTGGGATTACAGGCACCCGCCACCACTCCTGGCTAATTGTTTTATTTTTAGTAGAGACGGGGTTTCTCCATGTTGGCCAGGCTGGTCTCGAACTCCTGACCTCAGGTGATCCACCCACCTTGGCCTCCCAAAGTGCTGATTACAGGATTACAGGGATTACAGGTGTGAGCCACTGCACCTAGCCCACTAGGTAATTCTTGACATTTTTCTCTGTTTTGCATGTTTTCTGTCCCTGAGAGTGGGAGACTTTGCCTGGCCCTCTCTTAGGGCTCAGCAAGCATTCTGGGCAGGGCAGGGACCTGTGCAAATGTATTGCTCTGGCCGGAGGCCAAAGGGACGGAGAAAAACTCCTTGCTCTCCACAACACCTTGCTCTCCAGCTTATTGTCTTGCTATAAGTGCAAATAAAAATCTAACTGGACATTATTGCATTGGCTGTTGTTGTTCTGGTAGATGTTCCACTTGCCTGTGAAAGCGGGAACCCTCATTGGGTGAGAAACCTCACAGTAATATGACTTATAGTCATGGAAATATATAGGGAAAATGTATACATAATAAAGTTATATTGATATATGTGTATGTGTATATATAGACAGAGATATAGTCAATTCTCGTTATTCACAGATTCCATATTTTCAAATTTGCCTACCTGCTAGAATTTATTTACAACCCTCGAATCGATGCTTGCGGCACTTTCACAGTCATTCGTGGACATGTGAAGAGAGGCAAAATATTTGAGTCACGCGCCACAGACATTACCAGCTGAGTTTGAACAAGGTGACACCATCTTCTCATCTCAGCTTTCATACTGCAAGCAAGTGACCTTTTCACAGTCAATTTAGTGACACGATTTCTGCATTTTTGTGCCTTTTGCTGGTGACCCCCAAGCCTGGTGCTGAAGTGCTGTCTAGCATTCCTGAGCACAGGAAGACACTGACGTTCCTTACAAAGAAAAATGCATGAGTGAGATCTGCTCCATTCAGTCATGGGGTATACTGCTGTAGCCCGTGAGTTCAATGCTAATGAATCAACAATATATATTGCTATAAGGTGTCTCTAAACAGAAACATGCAGCTGGGCACAGTGGCTCATGCCTGTAATCCCAGCACTTTGGGAGGCCGAGGCAGGGGGATCACTTGGGGTCAGGAGTTCAAGACCAGCCTGGCCAACATGACAAAACCTCATCTCTACTAAAAATACAAAAATTAGCCAGGAACGGTGGTGTACACCTGTAGCTCCAGCTACTCAGGAGGCTGAAGCATGAGAATTGTGCTTGAACCCTGGGAGACCAAGGTTGCAGTGAGCCGAGATGGCGTCACTGCACTGCAGCCTGGGTGACAGAGCGAGATTCTGTCTCAAACAACAACAACAACAAACAAAACAAAACTGGAAACATGCAGAAAACAATGTTATCTGTTGACCAGTTGATGAAAATGTTGTGACCAGAGGCTTGTGGGACCTAAGCCTGTATTTCCCCCTAGGAGCAATACTTCAGTATTTGTTAATTCAATGTTTGAGATGACTTTATACAACATATAGATCCCCTTCTATATTTGAGGAATTCCCCCCGCTCTGGGTCTTGGAGAGGCAAGGAGCTACCCTTCACTCTAGAGTCAGGGCAGGCCAGGGGGAGCCGGGCCCTGTCAATCAGACCAAGTCACACTCAGAGCTAGTGCCACACAGAAGGGAGGAGTTTGAGAGATTATCTGAAGCATCTCTGGTGGTGGAGATGGTGACTCCAGCACCAGGCCATTCTCTGGGGCCAGTGCTAGCAGGGTTGGAGGTGCAAGCCGGTGCAAGCTGTGGTGCTCATCGGGTCCTATACCTGCTCTGAGGGGGCTGCCAGGCACTGTTGCTGGGTGCATAGCCTGAAACCTGGTTCCCCAGTTCTCTAGTCATCCTTGGGTGACCCAATATCCTTCTAATTAAGTCTTTCTGTGTCTAAATTAGTTAGAGTTAGTTCCTACTGTTTGCAACCAAGAACCTAGTATATGTGTGTGTGCATGCATGTGTAGGTATGTGTGGATTTAGTTGTTATTTTTGTGTTTATTTCTTTACAAGTAAGTAACTGGGGGTTAAGAAGAGTTGGTGGAGGAGGCTTCACAGAGGAGGAGGTCACTGTGCTGGATCTTGATGGATGGCTGAAGGTTTGCCAGGGAACAAAGAGGAGTGTTATAGGCAGGGTGGGCAGCGGGTGGAGGAGGCATGGAGGAATGATCTA
Source organism: Homo sapiens (assembly GCF_000001405.40). Taxonomy (NCBI): domain Eukaryota; kingdom Metazoa; phylum Chordata; class Mammalia; order Primates; family Hominidae; genus Homo; species Homo sapiens. The sequence continues at coordinate 31,658,561 of NC_000017.11, forward strand.
CATGGCACACTCAGGACATTATGAGGCATTCAGGGAGGCTGGGGTTGTGGGAAGGTGAAGATGGCAGTGGGGCAGCTACAAGTCAATGGCAGTGGCTGGGAGGCAGGTAAGAAGCTGAGGCTCCCATTCTCTCCCCATTGTTCCCTGAGAGTTCTGCTCCACGCCCTCCCTGCTCTCATCTGCACCCAGCACAACTGCTTTCACCAGCCCCAGATCACATGCAGAGTCAAGCCATATCAATCCATTCTTGAGAGTGGAGAAAGCCAATTCACCTTCCAGCAGTCCAGAGAGAAGAGGTGTTTTTTATAACAAATTACAGAAGCACCATGTGAGGACATCAGAGGTGAGTTCCTCCAGAGATGCTGAATGAGAGTGTGACGAACTCAAAGCCAGACTGTCTTCATCTGCTCTGGCTGCCATATCAAAATACCATGGACGGGGTGCCTCAAATAACAGATATTTATTTCTCATAGTCCTGGAGGCTGGAAGCTGAAGATCAGAGTGCCAGCAGGGTGAGAGCTCTCTTCCTGGTTTGCAGATCACTGCCTTCTTACTGTGTGCTCACATGGAATGGGGAAAAGGGAGAAAGAGAGGGAGAGGGAGAGGGAGAAAGGGGGAGGGAGAGGGAGAGGGAGAAAGGGGGAGGGAGAGGGAGAAAGGGGGAGGGAGAGGGAGAAATGGGGAGGGAGGGGGAGAGGGAGAAATGGGGAGGGAGGAGGAGAGGGAGAAAGGGGGAGGGAGAGGGAGAAATGGGGAGGGAAGAGGAGAGGGAGAAAGGGGGAGGGAGAGGGAGAGGGAGAAAGGGAGAGGGAGAGAAAGAGAGGGAGAAAGGGAGAAAGAAAGAGATCCAGCAAGAGATCTTTCCCTGTTCTTATAAGGCTACAGTCCTAATGGATTAGGGCCCCACCCTTGCAAGTTTGTTTAACCTTAATTCCCTCCTAAAGACCGTATTTCCAAATACAGTCACATTAAGGGTTAGGACTTCAACACATAATTTCAGGGGACACAATTCAGTCCATAGCACTGACCTTCAAGGAGCTTCCTTGAGTGGGATGGAGCATGAGCTGGAAACCACAGACCAGAGTTCTCACCCAGACCGGCAGCGTGGCTTGGGGCAAGTCACTGGCATTACCTGGAAAATGAGAAGCTTCAGTGAAACCTCAAAATTCCTTCTGTCACTAAGATTCTTTGAAAGTCCCAGGGCTTTTTGCTTGAGCTAGGGTAGGGAGACTCTTCCTCAGTCCACAGCATCCCTGCAGGAAAAGTCGGGTCAGGAAGAGCTTGGCTGTTTTCTTTTCAGCTCTTGCATGAATATGCTTGGCACAGGGACTGTGTGTTCCCGTGGTAAGAGCTTCTTGTGATGCTGGGCCCAGGAGATCCACAGCAGGGATTCCAGTGTCCTGTGGGGAGGAGGTTGCTGTCAGAACAGAGGGTAGGAAAGCCAGGTGATGGGGAGTCAGTGGATTCTAACTCAGGGAGAGGCCCAGAATGAACAGATTTTCTAGCAGCATTGGCTGAAGGTGGAATCTGGGGAAACAGGCAGGGATTTTGCAGTTCGCCAAGCCCCACCGACTTCACTGCTTTCTATTTATGACTTCTGTTCTTTGTTACTTGACCACAATAAGGGATCTTTCCTTTCCTGCAAGAGTTGGCTCTCATAGGCTGGAAGTTTATGGAAACTCATGCTGGGAGGAGGGATGTGTGGAGAACAGCATGGTGTAGAACCTCACTTCTCAGTGTTGTCCTGGGCCAGTAGCATCGCATCACCTGGGAGCATGTTAGAAATGCAGAGTCCCAGGCCCCACCCCAGATTCACTGAATCAGAATCTGTATTTTAAGCAAGATCCTCAGGGGTTCCTGTGCATATTAAAGTTCCAGAAGCCCTGGCATGGTACAAGGAATGCCAGCCTTGATGCCAGCAGACCTGCTCCTAGGAATGGCTTTACTACTCTACTGTGTGACTTTGGGCAAGACACCATTTACCTCTCTGAGACCCAATTTCTGTAATACAGAGAGGCAAAAATAATTGTCTCTAAGGGAACCATTACCTTGCACTCAGAAGCTTTGCTTGGGATATATCGGTGTGTCCTGAGGTGAGGTCTCACCCGGCTTTGGAAACAATTACCCTGACTGCATTGCTCCAGTCACCTTGCAGGAATTTGGGGTTTTGTGAGCCACTGACGGGGAGAAAGGCAGCCAACGGTCTTTTGGAAACTGAGAGAGGAAAGGTGTTCCTGAGACCACTGGTGTAATGAGACTGAGAAGTCAACATATCTGGTCAAAAACAAAAACAAAAGCATATCCAGTCAAAAGGAAACAGGACCTCATTTTTGTGTGTGTGGAGAGGAGGTGATGGGGCTTTCCCTGCAGACCAGACTGAATTCGCATCTCATGTCTCAGGGCAGTTAGTTTAGTAGAATGCTTCTTAAACTTGAGCATCATGCCTAGAATCACCTGAGGGCTGGTTTTAATAGAGATTGCTGGACTCCACCCCAGAGTTTCTAACTTAGTAACTTAGTAGGTGCTAGGGACTAAATTGCACTCCCCCAGCCCCCTGTCAAATTTATATATTGAAGCCTTAACTCCCAAAGTGACTGTATTTGGAGATAGGGCTTTTAAGAGGTAATTAATGTTAAATGAGATTACAAGGGTGCAGTCCTAATCCAATAGGATTGGTGGCTTTATAGAAAGAGGAAGGCCTGGGTTCAAGCAGTTTTCCTGCCTCAGCCTCCCCGTAGCTGGGAACACAGGCATGCCCCACCATGACCAGCTAATTTTTTTTTTTTTTTATTTTCAGTAAAGACAAAGTTTCGCCATGTTGGCCAGGCTGCTCTCAAACTGCTGGCCTCAAGTGATCCACTCACTTCGGCCTCCCCAGGTGTTGGGATTACAGTTGCGAACCACCGCGCTGGGCCAAGAATGTGCATTTCTAATCTGGGACCACACTTTTGAGGATTGTTGGCTTAGTGCTTTTGGACTGACTGTCTCTGTCGGGGAGTGAATTTAGTTGATGGACAGGAAGGCAAAGGCAAGTGTCAGCATGTGTGGTTGGGTCAGTCTTCCCCAAATTGCTTCCTTGAGAAACTCAGAAATAAGTGAAGAAGGGCACCCAGGTGAGCGGGTCTCATCATGGAGGAGCAGGGGTCAAGGCAGGAGTGGGGCCAGGACAGCAATCCAGGTATGGGAACTGGGGTGCCCAGAGGGCTCAGTTCCAGGAACAAGGCAGATATTGTGGCACAGGGATCTGGCCCCAGGCTGACGGGTGCTGAGATGCCTGAGCCACAAGAATGGGCCCTGTAAATGCCCTGATTGAGCTGAGCCCACAGCTGGGAAGCACTGTGGGGCCAGGCAGCTCATGGTTCCAAGTCTCTGGGAACCAGGGCAATGGGTGAGGTGGGAACCCAGAAATGATGAAGCCCACTCCTGCTCAGCACAGACCTGGGGGATGTCACCCTTAGGCTTGATCAGTCACAGGGATAAAAGCCACAGGTTAATTCTCCTTCCCAACAAAGACTTTCCGTTTGCTGTCCTCCTGATGGTAGAACCTGGTGAATTCCAGTAAGACCTGAGAAATGGAATTACTCTCTGCAAAGGCAGGAAAACCTGTGCTATGCCAAGCTGGGGGCAGTGAGGAGGACATATTTCTGAGTGTCTGGAGCTCAGATGGAGCTCCCCACAGTGGGCAGCTTTCTGACCCTCAGTCCTTTTTTGTTCACAGATAGAAGTGAGCCCACAAATCTTTGCCAGCTAAAGAGCCTTTATAGACCACCTAGTTGACTCCTCATTTTAAAGGTGTGGTTGATATGTTTGGGAGGGCTGCCCTATTCTCAACACCTTCTCTAGGAATTGTCCCTCCATTCCTTTAGTTTCTGCTGAAAGGGCAGCAGTAGGCAGCCATCTTTGTACCATGTGACTCACTACTCTTTCCAGAAATATCTGATTGAATGAGAGGTAGTCATCTGACCTAAGGGCAGGTGACCTAATAGCCAATCTATCCCGAGCCAATGACCAGTCAGATTCAATCTCTCTCTCAAAAAATTGAATTAATTTAATTTATTTATTTATATATTTTGAGACAGAGTCTCACTCTTTCACCCTGTCTGGAGTTCAGTGGCACGCTCCGGAAACCTTGGACTCATTGTGTCACTTCCTTCCCCTCATTTACAACATCAAATCAATCATCACATCTTGTCTTCACTTCCTTAGTATCTCTCAGGCTCTGCTTCTCTCCCTACCCCTGGCAACCCCCTAATTATGTCCCCCCATCACTTACCTGGGGCCTACAGTGGCCTCTCCACACCAGCTCCTGAGTCTGTATGTTCCCTAACTCCTTCTAGAGCCAGGATGATCTTTTCAACATACAAGTATGATCTTGTCACTCTCCTGCCACTAGGTGTACAACCTCTTGCCTCTGCCTGTCTCTCCACCTCCTCTCATGCCTCTCACCACTCTGTTCCCTGCACTCCAGCCACACTGGCCTCCTTACACCTTCTCCAATCTGGAATGTTCTTCCTCCCCCACCTACTACCTGAAAATGGATCCCTTGCAGGGTATGAGAGTAGAGATGGAGAGAGACCTTGAACCCTGCAACGTATACCTGCATCATGCCCTACTCTTGCAAATTCCCCTTTGTTTCCAACCAGTGTTAACTGGGTTTTCAGTCATTCAAAATGCAAAGAGCCCTAACTGACTTAGTTTGTCTCCTTCACTCTGAGCTCCTAAAATTGAAGCTTGTGCCTTATTAATTTCTACACGGCCACCGAGAGGAGGCACCCTGTTTTCTCTGATGGGAGGAAAAAGGTGGGAGTTGAATCCAGGCTAGGCTGATCAGGAATGGAAGTGGGATGGGAAATGGACTTATTTTGTGTCAAATCATATGCTAGATATTTTACAAATATAACCCATGAGGTTGACATTATTTATTTCTAGATGAGGAAACTGGAGCTGAAGAGTAACTTGCCCAGGGTCCTGTTTCCAGTAATGGCAGAGGAACTTCTACAAGATCACAAATAACAACTGTGAACTCTGGGCAAAGATTTAAGAGAAAAAACTGCCTAAATGCACTGGAAAGCAACTGAAATCAGGCAAACACGAGAGGAGATCTGCTTAAGAGCAGGTTGGGGATGACAGAAGGAAGAGTCAATGAACTTGAAAATATGTCAATAGAAAGTATCCGATATGAAGAACAAAAAGGATTGAATAAAAAGAAAAGAGGAAGAGCCTCAGGGACTTGTGAAAAAATATCAAAAGGTCTAACATATGTATAATTGGAGTCTGAGAAGGAAAAGAGAGAATGGGACAGAAAAAAGTTTAAAAAAATAGTGGCTGAAATGTCCCCATGCTTGGTGAAAGACATACATTTACATACCCAAGAATTTTAGTGTACCCCAGATAAGCTCAAAGCTGGATAAGTACAAAGTACACACCTAGGCACAAAATCAAACTACTAAATACCATACAAAAGGAGACAAGTTTTAAAATAGCCACAGAAAAAACAACATATTTTATACAAGAGAAGAATGATATAAATATTGCTGACTTCTCATGAGAAAGGAAGTCAGAAGGCAGTGGAACATCTTCAATGCATTAAAAGAAAGAAAAAAACCTATCAACTCAGAATCATATATCCAGTAAAAATATATTTCCATAATGAAACATTCATGGCTGGGCGTGGTGGCTCACACCTGTAATCCCAGCACTTTGGGAGGCCGACGTCGGTGGATCATGAGGTCAGGAGATCGAGACCATCTTGGCTAACACGGTGAAATCCCGTCTCTACTAAAAATACAAAAAAATTAGCCAGGTGTGGTGGCACGTGCCTGTAGTCCCAGTTACTCAGGAGGCTGAGGCAGAAGAATGGTGTGAACCCAGGAGGTGGAGCTTGCAGTGAGCTGAGATCATGCCACTGCACTCCAGCCAGGGCTACAGAGCAAGACTCTGTCTCAAATAAAAAAAAAAAGAAAGAAAGAAACATTGATTCAGATAAATGAATACTAGCAGTTTTCATCATCATTAGACCTGCATGAAAGAAATGCTAAAGGAAGTTCTTCAGATAGAAGGGAAATGATACCAAAAGAAACTTAGATTACAGCAAGGAACAAAAAGCATCAGAAATGGCAAATGTGGGAAAATATAAAAGATGGTTTCCCTTTAATTTCTTTAAAATGCATGTGGTTGTTTGAAGCAAAAATTATAACAGTATATTGCTGGGTTTATAGTGCATGTAGATGTGATATACATGACAATTATATATCACATAAAAGATGAGGGGGCTTTGGTTAAAGAGTCTATAAACTTGCAAGGTTTCATATTCAACAAGAAGTACAAGTAACTTGCCAATGTCCTTTTTTTAATTTTTAATTTTTATTATACTTTAAGTTCTAGGGTACATGTGCACAACGTGCAGGTTTGTTACATATGTATACATGTGCCATGTTGGTGTGCTGCACCCATTAACTCGTCATTTACATTAGGTATATCTCCTAATGCTATCCCTTCCCCCTTCTCCCACCTCATGAGAGGCCCCAATGTGTGATGTTCCCCACCCTGTGTCCAAGTGTTCTCATTGTTTAATTCCCACTCATGAGTGAGAACATGCAGTGTTTGGTTTTCTGTCCTTGTGATAGTTTGCTCAGAATGATGGTTTCCAGCTTCATCCATGTTCCTACAAAGGACATGAACGCATCCTTTTTTATGGCTGCATAGTATTCCATGGTGTATATGTGCCACACTTTCTTAATCCAGTCTATCATTGATGGACATTCAGATTGTTTCCAAGTCTTTGCTATTGTGAGTAGTGCCACAATAAACATACGTGTGCACGTGTCTTTATAGCAGCATGATTTATAATCCTTTGGGTATATACCCAGTAATGGGATGGCTGGGTCAAACGGTAATGGTATTTCTAGTTCTAGATCTTTGAGGAATCCCCACACTGTCTTCCACAATGGTTGAACTAGTTTACAGTCCCACCAACAGTGTAAAAGTTCCTATTTCTCCACATCCTCTCCAGCACCTGTTTCCTGACTTTTTAATGATTGCCATTCTAACTGGTGTGAGATGGTATCTCATTGTGGTTTTGATTTGCATTTCTCTGATGGCCAGTGATGATGAGCATTTTTTCATGTGTCTATTGGCTGCATAAATGTCTTCTTTTGAGAAGTGTCTGTTCATATCCTTTGCCCACTTTTTGATGGGGTTGTTTGATTTTTTCTTGTAAATTTGTTTTTGTTCTTTGTAGATTCTGGATATTAGCCCTTTGTCAGATGGGTAGATTGGAAAAATTTTCTCCCATTCCATTCATTCCTGTTCACTCTGATGGTAGTTTCTTTTGCTGTGCAGAAGCTCTTTAGTTTAATTAGATCCCATGTGTCAATTTTGGCTTTTGTGGCCATTGCTTTTGGTGTTTTAGTCCTGAAGTCCTTGCCCATGCCTATGTCCTGAATGGTACTGCCTAGGTTTTCTTCTAGGGTTTTTATGGCTTTAGGTCTAACATTTAAGTCTTTAATCCATCTTGAATTAATTTTTGTGTAAGGTGTAAAGAAGGGGATCCAGTTTCAGCTTTCTACATGTGGCTAGCCAGTTTTCCCAGCACCATTGATTAAATAGGGAATCCTTTCCCCATTTCTTGTTTTTGTCAGGTTTGTCAAAGATCAGATGGTTGTAGATGTGTGGTATTATTTCTGGGGGCTCTGTTCTGTTCCACTGGTCCATATCTCTGTTTTGGTACAAGTACCATGCTGTTTTGGTTACTGTAGCCTTGTAGTATAGTTTGAAGTCATGTAGCATGATGCCTCCAGCTTTGTTCTTTTGGCTTAGGATTGTCTTGGCAATGTGGGCTCTTTTTTGGTTCCATATGAGCTTCAAAGTAGTTTTTTCCAATTCTGTGAAGAAAGTCATTGGAAGCTTGATGGGGATGGCATTGAATCTATAAATTACCTTGGGCAGTATGGCCATTTTCTCAATATTGATTCTTCCTATCCTTGAACATGTAATGTTATTCCATTTTTTGTGTGTCCTCTTTTATTTCCTTGAGCAGTGGTTTGTTGTTCTTCTTGAAGAATCCTTCACATTCCTTGTAAGTTGGATTCCTAGGTATTTTATTCTCTTTGAAGCAATTGTGAATGGGAGTTCACTCATGATTTGGCTCTCTGTTTGTCTGTTATTGGTGTATAGGAATGCTTGTGATTTTTGCACATTGATTTTGTATCCTGAGATTTTGCTGAAGTTGCTTATCAGCTTAAGGAGATTTTGGGCTGAGACTATGGGGTTTTCTAAATATACAATCATGTCATCTGCAAACAGGGGCAATTTGACTTCCTCTTTTCCTAATTGAATACCCTTTATTTCCTTCTCCTGCCTGATTGCCCTGGCCAGAACTTCCAACCCTATGTTGAATAGGAGTGGTGAGAGAGGGTATCCCTGTCATGTGCCAGTTTTCAAAGGGAATGCTTCCAGTTTTTGCCCATTCAGTATGATATTGGCTGTGGGTTTGTCATAAATAGTTCTTATTATTTTGAGATACGTCCCATCAATACCTCGTTTATTGAGAGTTTTTAGCCTGAAGGATTGTTGAATTTTGTCAAAGGCCTTTTCTGCATCTATTGAGATAATCATGTGGTTTTTGTCTTTGATTCTGTTTATCTGATGGATCATGTTTATTGATTTGTGTATGTTGAACCAGCCTTGCATCCCAGGGATGAAGCCAACTTGATCGTGATGGATAAGCTTTTTGATGTGCTGCTGGATTCAGTTCGCCAGTATTTTATTCAGGATTTTTGCATCGATGTTTATCAGGGATATTGGTCTAAAATTCTCCTTTTTTGTTGTGTCTCTACCAGGCTTTTGCATCAGGATGATGCTGGCCTCATAAAATAAGTTAGGGAGGATTCCCTCTTTTTCTATTTATTGGAATAGTTTCAGAAGGAATGGTACCAGCTCCTCTTTGTACCTCTGGTGGAATTCGGCTGTAAATCTGTCTGGTCCTGGAGTTTTTTTGGTTGGTAGGCACTAATTATTGCCTCAATTTCAAAGCCTGTTATTGGTCTATTCAGGGATTCAACTTCTTCCTGGTTTAGTCTTGGGAGGGTGTATGTGTCGAGGAATTTATCCATTTCTTCTAGATTTTCTAGTTTATTTGCATAGAGGTGTTTATAGTATTCTCTGATGGCAGTTTGTATTTCTGTGGGATCGGTGGTGATACCCCCTTTATCATTTTTTATTGCGTCTATTTGATTCTTCTCTCTTCTTCTTTATTAGTCTTGCTAGCAATCTATCAATTTTGTTGATCTTTTCAAAAAACCAACTCCTGGGTTCATTGATTTTTTGAAGGGTTTTTTGTGTCTCTATTTCCTTCAGTTCTGCTCTGATCTTAGTTATTTCTTGCCTTCTGCTAGCTTTTGAATGTGTTTGCTCTTGCTTTTCTAGTTCTTTTAATTGTGATGTTAGGGTGTCAATTTTAGATCTTTCCTGCTTTCTCCTGTGGGCATTTAGTGCTATAAATTTCCCTCTACACACTGCTTTGAATGTGTCCCAGAGATTCTGGTATGTTGTGTCTTTGTTCTCATTGGTTTCAAAGAACATCTTTATTTCTGCCTTCATTTCGTTAGGTACCCAGTAGTCATTCAGAAGCAGGTTGTTCAGTTTCCATGTAGTTGGGCAGTTTTGAGTCAGTTTCTTAATCCTGAGTTCTAGTTTGAGTGCACTGTGGTCTGAGAGACAGTTTGTTATAATTTCTGTTGTTTTACATTTGCTGAGGAGTGCTTTACTTCCAACTATGTGGTCAATTTTGGAATAAGTGTGATGTGGTGCTGAGAAGAATGTAATTCTGTTGATTTGGGGTGGAAAGTTCTGTAGATGTCTATTTGGTCCACTTGGTGCAGAGCTGAGTTCAATTCCTGGATATCCTTTTTAACTTTCTGACTTGTTGATCTGTCTAATGTTGACAGTGGGGTGTTAAAGTCTCCCATTATTTTTGTGTGGGAGTCCTAGTCTCTTTGTAGGTCTCTAAAGACTTGCTTTGTGAATCTGGGTGCTCCTGTATTGGGTGCATACCTATTTAGGATAGTTAGCTCTTCTTGTTGAATTGATCCCTTTACCATTATCTAATGGCCTTCTTTGTCTCTTTTGATCTTTGTTGGTTTAAAGTCTGTTTCATCAGAGACTAGGATTGCAACCCCTGCTTTTTTTGTTTGTTTGTTTTCCATTTGCTTGGTAGGTCTTCCTCCATCCCCTTATTTTGAGCCTATGTGTGTCTCTGCACATGGGATGGGTCTCCTAAATACAGCACATTGATGGGTCTTGAATCTTTATCCAATTTGCCAGTCTGTGTCTTTTAATTGGAGCATTTAGCCCATTTACATTTAAAGTTAATATTGTTATGTGTGAATTTGATCCTGTCATTATGATGTTAGCTGGTTATTTTGCTCATTAGTTGATGCAGTTTCTTCCTAGCATCGATGGTCTTTACAATTTGGCATGTTTTTGCAGTGGCTGGTACCGGTTGTTCCTTTCCATGCTTAGTGCTTCCTTCAGGAGCTCTTGTAAGGCAGGCCTGGTGGTGACAAAATCTCTCAGCATTTGCTTGTCTGTAAAGGATTTTATTTCTCCTTCATTTATGAAGCGTAGTTTGGCTGGATATGAAATTCTGGGTTGAAAATTCTTTTCTTTAAGAATGTTGAATATTGGCCCCACTCTCTTCTGGCTTGTAGAGTTTCTGCCGAGAGATCCACTGTTAGTCTGATGGACTTCCCTTTGAGGGTATCCCGACCTTTCTCTCTGGCTGCCCTTAACATTTTTTCCTTCATTTCAACTTTGGTGAGACTGACAATTATGTGTCTTGGAGTTGCTTTTCTCAAGGAGTGTCTTTGTGGCATTCTCTGTATTTCCTGAATTTGAATGTTGGCCTGCCTTGCTAGGTTGGGGAAGTTCTCCTAGATAATATCCTGAAGAGTGTTTTCCAACTTGGTTCCATTCTCCCCGACACTTTCAGGTACACCAATCAGAGGTAGATTTGGTCTTTTCACATAGTCCCATATTTCTTGGAGGTTTTGTTCATTTCTTCTTACTCTTTTTTCTCTAAACTTCTCTTCTCGCTTCATTTCATTCATTTGATCTTCAATCACTGATACCCTTTCTTCCACTTGATCGAATTGGCTACTGAAGCTTGTGCATGTGTCACGTGGTTCTTGTGCCATGGTTTTCAGCTCCATCAGGTCATTTAAGGTCTTCTCTATACTGTTTATTCTAGTTAGCCATTCGTCTAATCTTTTTTCAAGGTTTTTAGCTTCTTTGCAGGTTTGAACATCCTCCTTTAGCTTGGAGAAGTTTGTTATTACCAATCGCCTGAAGCCTTCTTCTCTCAACTTGTCAAAGTCATTCTCCATCCAGCCTTGTTCCATTGCTGCTGAGGAGCTGCATTCCTTTGGAGGAGAAGAGGTGCTCTGATTTTTAGAATTTTCAGCTTTGCTGCTCTGGTTTCTCCTCATCTTTGTGGTTTTATGTACCTTTGGTCTTTGATGGTGACGTACAGATGGGGCTTTGGTGTGGATGTCCTTTCTGTTTGTTAGTTTTCCTTCTAACAGTCAGGACCCTCAGCTGCAGGCCTGTTGGAATTTGCTGGAGGTCCACTGCAGACCCTGTTTGCCTAGGTACCACCAGTGGAGGCTGCAGAACAGCAAATATTGCAGACCGGCAAATGTTGCTGCCTTATCCTTCCTTGGGAAGCTTCATCTCAGAGGGGCACCTGGCTGTATGAGGTGTCAGTCGGCCCTTACTGGGAGGTGTCTCCCAGTTAGGCTACTCAGGGGTCAGGAGCCCCCTTGAGGAGGCAGTCTGTCTGTTCTCAGATCTCAAACTCCGTGCTGGGAGAACCACTACTATCTTCAAAGCTGTCAGACAGGGATGTTTAAGTCTGCAGAAGTTTCTGCTGCCTTTTGTTCAGCTATGCCCTGCCCCCAGAGGTGGAGTCTACAGAGGCAGGGAGGCTCCTTGAGCTGTGGTGGGCTCCACCCAGTTCAAGCTTCCTGGCCACTTTGTTTACCTACTCAAGCCTCAGCAATGGTGGGCGCCCCTCCCCCAGCCTCGCTGCCACCTTGCAGTTGGATCTCAGACTGCTGTGCTAGCAGTGAGTGAGGCTCCATGGGTGTGGGACCCTCCAAGCCATGCTCGGGATATAATCTCCTGGTGTGCCGTTTGCTAAGACCATTGAAAAAGCACAGTATTAGGGTGAGAGTGTCCTGATTTTCCAGGTGCCATCTGTCACAGCTTCCCTTGGCTAGGAACGGGAATTCCCTGACCCCTTGCACTTCCCTGGTGAGGTGATGCCACGCCCTGCTCCATGGCCTGCACCCACTGTCTGAAGCCCCAGTGAGATGAACCCAGTACCTCAGTTGGAAATGCAGAAATCACCCGTCTTCTGCATCGCTCACCCTGGGAGCTGTAGACTGGAGCTGTTCCTATTCAGCCATCTTGGGACCTCTGATCACTGCCAATATCCTTTATAGTCAGGAAGTGGTAGAACAAAGTGTGACTAATGTCCAAATCCCATCATTCTCTTTCTGCTACAAGAGAAAAGAAAAGTGAAAGGGTAGAAGGAGAAGTCGAGACAGGGAAGAGACTCGGGCAGCTTCAAATGGCTTCAGGGGCCCAAAAGCTGCTGAACACAGAGGATTCCCAGGCTTCGGAGTCTGACCTAATGAATGACAGGGCATAGGGATGAGGCAGCAGGAGGGGCCAAAGTGAAGACTCACCTTCCCAATAAGCCTTGCAGTCAGACCTTGTGTCTGAGCAGATGTGCCTGGAAAAGTGACCTCCAGATGGGTTAGGAAGGTCCCTATTGCCACAGTGAATCCTGCCCTTGCCCCCTGGCCAGGGAGCAGCTAATCCTCCATGCCAGCTATCCAGGCTCCCTGGAGTCTTTGATAAAGACCTGGACAAGGCAGATTGCAATTCTCATGGGAGGGAGCTGGGGTGGGGCAAACGTGTTCCTCCAGCACTCCCAAAGCCAGCCTCAGCCAGGCGTGGCAGCTCATGCCTGTAATCCCAACACTTTGGGAGGCCAAGTCAGGAAGATTGCTTGAGCCCAGGAGTTCCAGACCAGCCTGGGCAACATGGTGAAACACCATTGCTATAAAAAATACAAAAAATAGCTGGGCATGGGTGGTGTACTCCCGTAGTCCCAGCAACACAGGAGACTGAAGCAGGAGAATCAATTGAGCCCTTGAAGTCAAGGCTGCAATGAACAGTGATTGCACCACTGCACTCCAGCCTGGACAACAGAGGGAGACCCTGTCAAAAAAAAAAAAAAAAAAAGCCTGCCTCGTGGCTTCAGTTCCTGCAATGTATCTGATGTACCTGGGGCCAAAAGCCTGGACTCTGGGCCAGCTCTGTGTCCCGCACTACAGTTGAGGAAAGAGATCAGAGAAAGGGACAAAGGATAGATTTGGGTCTTGATTCGGAATAACCCAATTCTTTGCCCACAGGAGTAGAAAAGATGGAAGATGTGCCCACTATTTCCCTAGGGTCCCTCAGCTCTGAGTCCCCCTTCTACACTGGCTCAGTGATGCCGGGCTGGGCTGCACCTCTGCAACTACAGTGCCCAGACCCCTTTGCCAGCTGGCTTTCTATTTGGTGCTATCTCTCCATAGGAAGTCCCGGAGAAGGATCGGAAGGCAGGAGAGGGGAGAAGGTGCTTTTCCCTTCCCGTTTGTTTGCTGTTCCTGTCAGTGCAGCCCAGCAGTGGCAGCTGGTCCAGTCTCCAGCGTCCTTCAGCATCCCGGTGCCAGCCCTCCTCTGCCTGCTCAGAAAGAAGAACCCTCGGAGCTGGCCAGCACTGCTCTTAGTGCCCAAGCTCCACCCTTCCAAGCTCCTAGTTTCCTGTTTTCTTCCCTTTCATCCCCCCAGCCTTAAAGGTGATGGCTGCTTTCTATAGTTATTTTCTCTGGGTTTTCCTCAGTATTCTGTTTTTTCTCTTCCTGCCAGGTGTAACCAAATCCTCATATTAAATTTCCCCTGTTGAGATCCTGGCATGATTTCTCTTTTCCTGACTGGCTTCTGCTGATTCAGAAAGAAACAGAGCTGCTTCTCCAGGGAGCCTGCTGTGTTTTACAAGACACAGAGTGGGACTGAGGGCAGGGGAGGGGCTTTGGGCTAAGGTGGTCCTGAGTCCAAATCCCTTCTCTGATTTTACCCCCTGAGTGACTTTGGGCAAGCTACTTGATTTCTCTGCACTTCAGTTTCCTCACCTGAAAATCGGGTTAGTAACACAAACCTGATTCGTCTTCAGTACCAGAGACAAAAAACCAATTTGAACTAATTAGGCAAAAGGATGAAATTATTCTGGAAAGTTTCCAGAAAAGTAATCATCAAGTGCAAAGGGCAAGAAGGCAGGGGTCTGGCTCACCTCTCCTAGAACTGGAATCAGGAACTCAAGTGCATTGAGGATCTCTCTGCCCCTCAGAGCTGCTTCCCAGTTTGTGGTCCCGATTCTTATCACAGAGCATCTTCTCCATGTGGTGGAGGAAGATGTCTTCTCTCAGTTTCCAGACTCTTGCCTTCACAGCTTTGCCCACAGAAGAAACCACTCCTCCTGGTGAGGCCCAACTCAGTAGTGTCCAAGGAAAGGCACAATTGGCCAGGGAGGTTATGAGTTCATCCCTGCACACACACTGTTACCTGGGAGCAGGGTCACATAAGGGATGACAGCTGCTGGTCAGCGACAACACGTCTAGATCTTGCAAAAACCCGGGCATTGCCACATGACTCTTCCCGTTTCACAGATGAGCAAGCTGAGGTTCAGAGGAGGAGGGGCTTGACCACAGTCATGCGGCTTTCATCTAAATAACAATACCGGACATTATGTCATTAAAAATCAGGTTACGGCCGGGTGGCTCATGCCTGTAATCCCAGCACTTTGGGAGGCTAAGGCAGGAGAATCACTTGAACCCAGGAGGCAGAGGTAGCAGTGAGCTGAGATCACGCCACTGCACTCCATCCTGGCAACAGAGCGAGACTCCGTCTCAAAAAACAAAACAAAACAAAAGAAAAAAACAGGTTATTAGCTGGGCACGCTGGCACACACCTGTAATCCCAGCACTTTGAGAGGCTGAGAAGGGAGGGTCACTTGGGGCCAGGAGTTCAAGTCCAACATGGACAACAAAACGAGAACCCATCTCTACCAAAAAGAGAACAAAATTTTTTCGAGACAGGGCCTCACTCTGTCGCCCAGGCTGGAGTGCAGTGGCACGACCTCAGTTCACTGCCCCTTACACCTCTCGGATTCAAGGATTCTTGTGCCCCAACCTCCTGAGTAGGTGGGATTACAGGCACACACTGCCATGTCTGGCTAATTTTTGTATTTTTTGGAAGAGACAGGGTTTCGCCACGTTGGCCAGGCTGGTCTCAAACTCATGGCCTCAGATGATCCACCCGCTTTGGCCTCCCAAGTGCTGGGATTACAGGCATGAGAAATACTCTTTTTAATTAGCTGGGTGAGGTGGTGCACGCCTGTAGTGGTAGCTTTTGGAGAGGCAAGGCAGGAGGATCACTTGAGTTTAGGAGTTTAAGGCTGCAGTGAGCCGTGATCACACCACTGCACCTCAGCCTGGGTGGCAGGGTGAGACCTTATCTCAAAACAAAAAACCCGAGATAACTGGCAGCTCTGCAGGCTTAGAGGAAAGCAACTGGATGTGGGTGAGTGTAGTGCAGTAGGCAAGGAGGGAAGAAGGCTGCATTTGCTTCATGCCTACAATGTGCCAGGCACTGGCGGATCGACACAGGAGAGCCATGCCTCCAGTGTCTATCCTGTTTTGAAAAGAGAAGAAAATGAGGTTCAGAATGGTTCCATACCCAATTCCAGGCTCCACAGCTTAGAGGCAGGGCTGGAATTCAAACCCTAGTCTTGCGGGTTCTGTGCATTACTCATCGCAGTAGCTGTATGCCTAGGCCCCTCGGGAAGTTTCTGGCTATTGGACAGACTCAGATTGGATGACATTCCCTGGCTCCATTTCCTCTGGTTTTAGATGCCAGCAGAATACAGGTCCCTCTGGGCATCGTGGCATTCGAAAAAATGCAGGGAAAGGGTCCACAGAAACTAAAAATGATGATCAAGGGGCAGAAAGGGTTTTCTGAGGAAACGTAAAGACAAACTGGGCTGTTGCATTGCTGGTGACCTGCCTCTGGCACTTCTCCAGCTGTATCTCTGCCTGACCCTCCAGCCACACTAAATTTTTTACAGCTTCCCGAATATGTCACTGTTTTCTGCCTCCACGCCTTTGTAGAAATTGCTTTCTTTACCTAAAACACCTTTCCTACTCCCATCCAAACCCTGCCTTCCTGACAAACTCCTATACATCCCTCAAAACCGATTTCGGTCATCTCCTCTGTGAAGTCCTGTTTCCTAGCAGTGGACCCTTCCTGCTTCATACCCTAGGGTTGATTGCTTCTTTTTCTTTGTCCTCAGCACACCTAAGACTTCCTCCAAACTGGTGATTCTCCACTCCCATGTGCAGATCTGCTTGCTGCATCAGAATCACCTCAGGAGTGATTTCAAGATAGTCAAGCCCAGGCCCTGCTCTGGGAGAATCTGACTCAGACTCTGGAGTGTAGCCAGATGTCAGAAATAAGTAGATTGTCCAAGTGCTTGTGATGCTCAGCCAGGTGTGGAGAGCACTGAGGTGCACCCCTGGAAGGCAGGACCTTCTCCATACCAGGGCTTGGCTCAGAGGAGTGCACAGTGAGTGGGGAAGGAAAGAAGGGAGTGTGTCCAGCATTGGTTCCTTCCCGTGGGTTCTTGGTCTCGCTGACTTCAAGAATGAACTTGTGGACACTCATGGTGTGTGTTACATTTCTTAAAAATGGTGTGTCTGGAGTTTGTTCCTTCAGATGTTCAAACATGTCCAGAGTTTCTTCCTTCTGGTGGGTTCATGGTCTCGCTGACTTCAGGAGTGAAGCCACAGACTTTCGCAGTGAGTGTTACAGCTCTTAAAGGTGGCACGTCTGGAGTTGTTTGTTCCTCTTGGTGGGTTCGTGATTTCACTGGCTTCAGAAGTGATCCTACAGACCTTTGTGGTGAGTGTTACAGCTCACAAAGGTAGTGCGGACCCAAAGAGTGAGCAGCAACAAGAATTATTGCAGCTAGCCAAAGAATAAAGCTTCCACAACTTGGAAGGTGACCAGAGGGGTGGCCAGCTTTTATTCCCTTATTTGGCCTCACCCACATCCTGCTGATTGGTCCATTTTACAGAGCGCTGATTGGTCTATTTTACAGAGTGCTGATTGGTCTGTTTTTACAGAGTGCTGATTGGTGCGTTTACAAACCTTTAGCTAGACACTGAGCACTGATTTGTGCATTTTTACAGGGTGCTGATTGGTGCATTTACAAACCTTTAGCTAGACACAGAGCACTGATTGGTGAGTTTTTACAGAGTGCTGATTGGTGCGTTTACAAACCTTTAGCTAGACACAGAGTGCTGATTGGTGTGTTTACAATCCTATAGATAGACAGAAAAGTTCTTGGAGTCCCTACCTGACCCAGAAGCCCAGCCGGCTTCACCTCTCAGGAGGGAGGGAGGGAGGGAGAGAGGGAGAAAAAGAGAGAGGGAGGGAGGAAGATAGGGAGGGAGGGAAAAAGGAAAGGAGGGAGGAAGGAAGGAAAGGTGGGAGGGAGGGGAGGATAGGAAAGAGAGAGAACGAAAAAATAGAATGAAAGAAAAATGGGGCTGGGTACGGTGTCTCAGGCTTGTAATCCCAGCACTTTGGGAGGCCAAGGTGGGCAGATCACCTGAGGTCAGGAGTTTGAGACCAGCCTGGCCAACATGGTGAAACCCAGTCTCTACTAAAAATAAAAAAAACTAACTAGCCGGATATGGTGGTGGACACCTGTAATCCCAGCTACTGGGAAGGCTGAGGCAGAGAGAATCACTTGAACCTGGGAGGCGAGATTGCAGTGAGCTGAGATGGCACCACTGTACTCCAGCCTGGGTGACAGAGTGAGACTCTGTCAAAAAAAAAAAAAAAAAGAAAAGAAAAAAGAAAGAAGAAAAAGAAAAATGGGAGGAAGGAGGGAGGAGGGAGGAGTGGGGAGGAAGGAAGAGAGAAAGGTGAGTAGAGACAGGTGGGAGGATGAAAATGAGCATGATCCAGGTATGAGCAGAAAGGGGCAGGAAGCTGGGGTCTCGGGTGTGATGCCTCTAGGCCATTCTACCTCACCTCTTGTTGGCAAAGATGCCACTTCTAAAGTTAGACATACAGGGGTTTGAGTCCTGGTTCTGCCACTCACCAGCTGTGTGTGCCTTGGCAAGTCACTTGACCTCTGTTTTCTCTGCTTACAGGTGATAACTGCTGTGCCTGCCTCACCACAATGTTCTCAGGATTTAGCAAGCTCTTATGATCAGCACCTTTCAAGCATTCGTATGCACGAGAAGCAGCGGGGGATTTGTGAAAATCTAGGTTCTGACTCGTTTATGTTGGGCTGGAGCCTGGGATTCTGCAGTGGACTCCAAGTGGAGTCTATGCTGCTGGTCTGTGGACCAACTTTGAGTAGTGAGGATACAGATAAAAAGTCAGACACCTTTCCTCTCAGGGAACTTACCTGATTCTCTGCAACAGGTTGGGAACGAGGCCAGGAGTGCCCCTTTACAGAGCATGTTGTGTGTGCCAAACCTGGTGCTCAGCCCTACCACGCCCCCCTCACTGAGCTGGGAGGCCCCCGTTTTCTCAGAACTTGAGCAATAATGATCATGCCTTGTTCAAATCACACTGAGTTTCCTATTTCAACTGTAACAAGTTTTCGTAAACTAGGTGGCTTAGAAAGCACATTTATTCTCTTATGGTTCTGGAGGCTGGAAGTATGAAATGAGCCTTAGGGGCTCAAATCAAGGTGTCTGTAGGGCTGATTCCCTCTGGAGGCTCTGGGGGGAATCCGCTCCCTGACTCTCCTAGCGGCTGCTGGTATTCCTTGGCTTGTGGCCGCATGACTTGAATCTCTGCTTCTGTTGTCACATTGCCTCATTCTCCTCTCTCTGACCTCCTGGCTCCTTCTTATAAGGACCCTTGTGATTACATCGAGTCTATCTCCCCATGTCAAGAGCCTTAACTTTCTTATATGCAAAGTCCATTTTACCATGTCAGGCAATACAGTCACCGGTTCTGGGGATTAGGGAGTGGATTTCTTTGGAGGCCATTGTTCTGCCAACCACAACTGTCCAGGCCTCTCATCAGAACCTCCCAGGCCAGACCCTGACCACAGAGCTTAGGATGCACATCCTCTCCCTGGAGGAAATCTGTCATGATCCCTTTGCAGTCCAGGCTCTGAGCTGAAGCGGTGGCCGTGAGAGGGACTCATTCCTTAGCGTGGATGCTCCCTCTCCATGCATTGATCTCCCAAGAGTCAGAAGCTGAAGGAGCAGGGCCAAGGTCATGCTGTCCCTGGAGCCCCGGAGCACATGCTTGCCATAAGGCACACTGCTCATAAGAGCCAGGCCAGAGGTGACCTCTCCGGCAGCAAATCCATCAGGAGAAAATTGATAGGAAGGCCAGCCAGAAGATGGACAGAGCATTGTTAAGGAGGCAGGAGTGGTTGGACATTGACAAGGAAAAGGAAGTTGAAAAAATCCAGCTTGCTTTTTTCCTAAAACAGTTATTCCCTTAACCCCATGGTCCCTGAGACAGTGGACGAGCTGGGCTGACTGGCTTAGGGGTCACATATTCTGAGCCTATTAATGGCTTTTGGAGGCAAGCTGGGTGACAGGTACCCATTCCTGCCCAGTGTCTGGGTCAAAGGATGGACCCACGAGGCAAACGGATCCACCCCTTGGCTTGCCCACCATAGCTATCGGTGCAAAGACAGTGCTTTGGACTTGGAGGTAGGGTGGCCAATCGTCCCAAATTTCCTGGGAATTTGATGAGAAAACTGGGACACATTAGTCACCTTACATGTAGGAAGCTGTAAAAACCCAGCAGTGGGCTTGGTTGCTGCCTACCCTCCAGCCCCAGGCAACTTGGCAGGCCTCCTAACACCTTCAGCTGGCAGGGCCCATCACTGTTACAAAAGATTCTCCAAGTGAAGCAATGCCAGTGGTGACAGCTGGAGCTTAGGGGCTGCTGGAGAGGACAGCCCTCTCCATTGGGGCTGCTGAGTCACACTGGTTCAAGGTCTGGGTGATTCTAGAGCCTGATTTCTCTCAAGTCACTAGGGATGGGCAGAGGGGGGGCTCAGGCTGGAAGGAGAAAAGGGAGGAATTAAATCCCAAAGTTAAGATTCCACTGCAAAAGCTGAATGCCCATTCAGAAGCCTGCAATGAGAGCATGGCTTTTCAGCGTCAAAGGTACCCGTGCTGGGGGCCCTGGACCTGCTGCTAGGAGGAAGTGTGCTGTGGTGGGAAAGAGAATGCTGGGGCCGGACAGATCCTGGATTTCCTGCTTCCCAGCAGAATGACCTTGAGCAAGCCCCCTAGTGTCTCTGAGTTTTTCTCACTGGAAAAAAAGAGGCTAATGACACCTCTGTGCAGAGTTAAGGCAATAAACAACCAATGTGTGAACTTGCCTAATACCCAGTAGGTCGCTCCTGTCTTCAGGACCAGACCAAGGTCAATAGGAAAACAATTTAATAACCAGAGGCTGCCTGGTGAGCCTTGAATTAGAGTAAAGGGAGTTGGATAAACCCAGGGCTGTTTATCCAAGCCCTGGACCCAGGGCCCTTCCCTCCCTCTCTCTCCCTCTCTCTCTTTCTCTCTGCTGCTCCTTCTTCAGTTATTTCTTTTATTTTTAATTTTTTTGAGAAAAAGTCTTACTCTGTCACCCACACTGGAGTGCAATGGTACAATCAAGGCTCACTGTAGCCTCAGTCTCCTGGGCTCAAGCGATTCTCCCACCTCAGCCTCCCAAGTAGTGGGGACTACAGGTACACACCACCATGCCAGGCTGATTTATATATTTTTGGTAGAGATGGGGTTTTGCCATATTGCCCAAGCTGGTCTCAAACTCCTGAGCTCAAGTGATCCTTCTACCTCGGCCTCCTAAAGTGCTGGGATTACAGGCGTGAGCCACTGCACCCGGCTCTTCTTCAGTATTTCTTACGAGTCCCCTGGCCCTCCCATCCTTCCAGCAGTCCTTCGTGTTGCCTGTGTTGCGGATGGTTTGATCTAGCTCCATTATATGACACACAGACACTCTGCTAGGCTTTTTTAATTTTTTTAACATAAGTGATTTAATTTGACCGTCCAGCAACCCGTTGGGGGTAAGTATTGCTCTCCCCATTTTACAGATGTGGAAACTGAGGTTTGGAGAGGTTGAGGAAATATTACTTAGGGTCATACCAATTCAGGGTCACACCTCCAGGTTTCAAATTCAATGCTTTCTCCCTGTGAGGCAGACCCCACAACAGGGGTCATGTTAGTAGGGTGTCTCCTGCAGAGGATTTAGGGGGGCAGCCCACCCTAGCTGAACTGCCACGTTCACACAGCATCAGGAAGGCACCATCATCCTTTGGGCCACTTCCTGATTACAGGACTGGTAGAAGGTTCTTTTCTAAAGAATATGGGCTCCTTCTCAGTCCCCAATCAGCTGCTGACAGGGAATGTCCCAGTTCTCCCATCTGACTTACCACCCCTGATCCCTCACCTCAGACGGTGTGGGCCAACCTTCCACCGCTAGAAATGGAAGTGACAACCGCAACTTCCTTTTGTGAGACAAAAGGGAATTTATTACATTGGGTAGAAAAGGATATACTCAAGTAGGAGTACGACACGTAGAGAGTCAGGGAAAAGTCCCCAGTCTTGCGGCTTCAGCCTGACGTGTCTAGAGTCATTTCTGTTTTACTGACTAAACTCTTACTGTTACACAAGTTTGAACACACTCACATGCTATCTATCTACACACACACACACACACACACACACACACTCACACGGAATTAATAAACATGCATTAAATAAAACAATAGCATCTACACCAGGAGGGAGTTAGTGGAGTCAAACTGATTTAAGAATCTTTCATTGTTTTGGTGGAAGTTGAAGGTTTTGATCAACTTTTGGCTTTGGTAGATTGATAATGCATGTTGCTGGGTGCGGTGAGACACCTGTAGTCCCAGCTACTCAGGAGGAGGATGAGGTGGAAGGATCACCTGAGTCGAGGAGTTTGAGACCCTGTCTCTCAAAATAAAAAAGAATGCGTGCTGCACCTTCTGAGGTAATCACTAAAAGAATGGGAAAAGATGTTTTTACAAATTAAAATTAATTTTTTTTCTAGAGTCAGTTACTCCCAAGAAAAGGGCAAGAAAGGAGACAAAAAGCAATATGGGGCAGGCAGGACAAATAGAAAACAAAATAAGATGGTAAATGTAAACCCAAAGATACATAGTATATTGATTATATAATTATTCTATTAAAGGGTAAAGATTATCAACATGATTTTAAAATAAAAATTCAACTATGCGCTTTTTACAAAAGATACATTAAAAACACATAAAGTGTAAATGCAGAAGGATAGAAAAATATAAACCATGCAAATCCTAACCAAAAGAAAACCTCTGTATAGTATGTTAATTATTGTAAATATCCATGTTATTAATAGCTGACAAAGTAGATATTAAGTTAAAAGAAGTTACAAAGGCTGGGCGTGGTGGCTCATGCCTGTAATCCCAGCACTATGAGAGGCTGAGGCAGGCGGATCACAAGGTCAGGAGATGGAGACCATCCTGGCTAACACGGTGAAATCCCGTCTCTACTAAAAATACAAAAAAATTAGCCAGGTGTGGTGGTGGGAGCCTGTAGTCCCAGCTACTCGGGAGGCTAAGGCAGGAGAATGATGTGAACCCAGGAGGCAGAGCTTGCAGTGAGCCAAGATCACACCACTGCACTCCAGCCTGGGCAACAGAGTGAGACTCTGTCTTAAAAAAAAAAAAAAAAAAAAAGGTACAAAAGAAAAGAGGATCACTTCGTAATGGTAAAAGGGTCAATTCACCTAGAAAACATAACAATTATAAGTCATGTGCAAAAGAATTGGAAAGGAAAACTAAAACTGTCATTATTTGCAGGTGATATAAACTTCATATATAGAAAATCCAAAAGGATCTATAGGTGAATTATTAGAATTAATAAGAAAGCTTGACAATATTGGTAGATACAAATTTAATACAAATAAAATCATTCACATTTTTGTATATCAGCAACCAGAAGTAAAAAAAAATGTTTTTTAAAAAAATTATTTACAGGATCATCAAGGATAGTATATTACTAGGAATAAAACTAACAAAAGGTGTGCAATCTGTTTGTGGTATAATTATAAATATGTACTGAGAGACATTTTAAAAAGACTTCAAAAAAGCAGGAACATACCTTCCACCACATACAAAAGTTAACTCAAAATAGATCCCAAACCTAAATGTAAATACTGAAACTATACGAAGAAAACATAGTAGAATGCCTTTGTGACTAGGGTTAAGCAAAGATTTCTCTCTTTTTTTTTTTCTTTTTTTTTTTTGAGACAGTCTCACTCTATTGCCCAGGCTGGAGTACAGTGGCGCCATCTCGGCTCACTGCAACCTCTGCCTCCCAGGTTCAAGTGATTCTCCTGCCTCAGCCTCCTGTGGCCGGCTAATTTTTGTATTTTTTGTAGAGACGGGGTTTCGCCATGTTGCCCAGGCTGGTCTCAAACTCCTGACCTCAGGTGATCCCGCCCGCATCGGCCTCCCAAAGTGCTGGGATTACAGGCGTGAACCACCGCAACCGGCCACAAAGATTTCTTAAATATAACAAGAAAAGCACAATCTGTAAATGAACAATTTCATAAAATGAACCTCATCAAAATTAAAGCTCTTGCTCTTCAGAAGGCACACAAGAGAATAAAAGGACAATCCCACACTGGGGGAAGAAAATCTTTGCAAAGCAAATATCTAAAAAATGAGTTATATCCAGAATATAAATAATTCTCAGAACTCAATAATAAGAAAACCACCCAGTTACAAATAAGCAAAAGATTTGAAAAGACACTTCACCAAAGAAGATATATACACATAAGTTCACACTTTGGGAGGCCAAGGTGGGTGGATAACGAGATCAAGAGATCAATACCATGCTGACCAACATGGTGAAACCCCGTCTCTACTAAAAAAAAATACAAATATTAGCAATCGTGAAACTCTGTCTCAAGAAAAAAGAAAAAAAGGAAAAAAGTTCAACATCATTATGAAGGTGAGGGTGGGGTGTGTTGGGGAGGAGGGATTATACTGGGGCAGGAAGAAATCTTAGCCACTGATGGATATGTTCATTATCTTGATGGTAATGTTGGTTTCATGGGTGTATACATATGTCAAAACTTATTGAATTGTACACTTTAAATATGTGCAATTTATTGTAAGTCAAGCAAACCCCATTGAAGCTATTTTTTAAAGGACTTCAATAAAAGCAGAAATATACTTTGTGGGCTGGCAAACTCAACAGTCTTCCCAATCTGATTTATAAATTCAATACAATTGAATTAAAATCTCTGCTACTTACCTTTTATTTTGTGGAACTTGATGCGCTCATTCTAAACTTTATATGAAAATGCAGAGGAACAAGAATAGTTCAGAGACCCTTGAAATTTCCCTCACAAGGTAGAAGAATTTGATTCACCAAATATAAAGATTATTATAAATCTGTAGTAATCAAGACAATGTAGTGTTGGCTCAGGGATGGAACAATAGACCAATGGAACTGAAAAGAGAGTCCAGAAATAGGTTCCTGCTAATATGGGCACAGTGAATGATAGAGATGGATTGCAGAGAGGGAGAAAAGGGGGGACTTTGCAATAAATAAATGGGTCTCGAGTAGCTGAGTATTCATATTGTGGGGAGGGGGTGAAAATTGTACCCTTATCTCACACCATACACAAAAATCAATTCCAGATGGAATAAGAACCATGATATATGTCAGAGGCATATTTTTTATCTTATCTTTTTTTTTCTTTTTTGAGATAGGATCTCATTCTGTTGCTCAGGCTGGAGTGCAGTGGTGTGATCATAGTTCACTGCAGCCTCAAATTCTTGGGCTCAAATGACTCTCCCACCTCAGCCTCCTGAGTAGCTGGCATTACAGGTGCCTGCCACCATGCCTGGATAATTTTTGTACTTTTAGTAGAGAAGAGGTTTCATCATGTTAGCCAGGGTGGTTTTGAACTCTTGATCTGCTTGCCTTGGCCTCCCAAAATGTTGGGATTACAGGCATGAGCCACCATGGCTGGCAGAGAAGAAATTCTTAAACACATTCACAAAAAGTACAAATCATAAAGGAACACATTAATAAACTCTACTACATTAAAATTAAAAACTTCTGCTCTTAAAAGAGGGAAAAAAACAATTCACAGAGTGAGGGAAGATATTTGCAACTCAAAGAATTGACAAAAAAGTAGCAACAAGACTATATAAATACAACCCAACAGCAAAGACCCAGTAGCGCACACCTGTAATCCTAGCACTTCGGAAGACTGAGGCAAAGCAAATCACTTGAGCCCAGAAGGTCCAGGACAGCCTGGGCAACATGGCAAAACCTTGTCTCTACAAAAAATATAAAAATTAGCCAGGCTGGTGGTGCACGCCTGTGGTCCCAACTACCTGGGAAGCTGAAGTGGGAGGATCACCTGAACCCAGGAGATTGAGGCTGCAGTGAGCTGCGATCATGCCACTGCACTCCAGCCTGGGCAGCAGAGTGAGACCCCATCTCAAAAAAAAAATTGGCAAAATTCTTTCTAGGCACTTTATAAAAGAAGAAACCCAAATGGCTAATAAACACATAAAAATGTGCTCAATCTCATTTATAATCAGGAAAATGTAAATTGAAACCACAAAGAGATATTACTACATACATGCCATAAGGACAGTCAAATTCTGACACTACCGAGTGCTTAGTGAGGATGTGTAGCTGCAGGAACTCTTATACACTGCTTATAAGAACAATAAATTGGTGCAACCACTTTGATTAACAGTTCAGCACCTTCTGGTAAAGTTGAATAAGTAGAAGCATACTTAGACGAACTCATGCAGTGTATCTGCACCAAAAGTGATGAACAATGAATGTCTAGCAGCTTTCTTGTTAAGCCAGAATACTAGAAATAGCCCAGATCTCCAAAAATAGTAAATCAGATAAATGAATTGTAGCATATTCATAAATGGAATGCCATATAGCCATGGAAATCGACAAACTATAGCTATATGCAACAACATAAATGAAGCTTACAAATATAATTTTGAACAAACAATACAAAAGAATACATTTAGAATAATTCAATTTCTTTTATATATATATGTCAAAATATGCAAAATGAATGTATCTTGTTTAGAGGTGAATACATAGGAGAGATGATAAGCAAATGAAAAGCAAGAAAAATATTATCTTGAAAGTCAGGATAGTAGTTATTTCTGGGAAGAGGGAGGGGGTTGTCAATGGAAAAGGTACATAAGGGGGCGTCTTGGAGTGCTGGTAATATTCTAGGTGTTCAAGACCAAAGAGCCTCTTACCCCTGGCCAATGACTGTGGTTAGGGGAACTCCTTAAGCTGATTGACTTAAATCTAGAGTGCTGAACCAATCCCTGGCAAGAGAAGTGAGATTATTTAAATTTAGATCAACCCAGGTCCATCCCTAAAACTGTGGTGGAATGGGCTGCCCCTGAGGCACACAGACCACTTGGGAAAAGAGTGGATATCTGAATAAAATCATAGTTCTTTTAAGAAGAAGGAGGAAATAAATGCTGAGAAGGTACCCACCCACATCAACTGTAACCCTAATTCAGCTGCTGTGATTAAATATTCACAGTTACCATTCCCGGCACTACCCACACTGGACCCCAGAACCCTTTTATACCACCCCACCACAAGGCATGGGGGTCTTTGTGTTACTCCCTCAGGATTATAGGGTCCAGGTAAGAGCCTGGACACAGTTGAGTCCAGGTCATTGGCACTCCCCATGTGTCAGGAAGGAGAGGAGAGGAACATCTTTCCTTATTTAGTTCTCTTATTCAAAGAGGGTTCTGCTTCCCATCTGTTCTGGGATTCCCCTGAAATAGGAGAGGCATTCGAATGCCAGGTAGTCAGTGGGGGTTGGGGAAGAAGGAAGAACACCCTTTGATTGACAAACCCTGTCCAGATCCATTCCTCCCTTCGCCCCGCCAACAGCCTTGTATGGTAGATATGGGTGTCACTATTTCCATTGGCAGACAAGGAAACTGAGTCAATGTAAATACCTTGACCAAGTTCATACAGCTAATAAATGGCAAAACTCAAACTTACATCCACCGCTTTGACTCTGAAGCTGATTCTCTGCCCACAGCCTCAGGCTGCCTCCTATTAAAGAGCTTCAGATTATTAATAATGGGAGCAGGTTTGATTGGGAGAGCAAGTGGTTTCTCAGGAAATGTCTCAGAGATGGGAGGCTGGGTCACATTCTACCCAGGACCTTCCTGGAAACTTCAGTCCTCAGGAGGCTGGTCCTGCCGAGTTAATGGTTGGCTATTTTGGTCTGCACTTGGCTAATCTGCAAGTCCAACCCACCCATAACCACCATCCTCACCCCCACCCATAACTCAGTATCCAGATAAAGACTGGAAGGGAGGATATTCCAGAGACTGGATATGGACTCCCTAGGGTGATCGGAATCAAAGAATCTTTCTCCAAACCAACCCATTACCCTACACAGAAATTCTCTAGCACCATGAACCCATGACTGAGCACCGCTGGGGGCAGGCACCACCTCCTCTGCCAGCTGCCCATTTGAATGTCAGGTGGCCTCCTTGTTAGAACCCCTGACTTCCATCAAGTCAAAAGCTCCCTCCATGTAATGTCCACATCCTGGTCCAGTTCTGGCCTTGTGCAGGGGGTAAGTGTCCCCAAGACATTCCTTCAGAGAGAAGAGGGAAAAAGAGGATTGGGATGAAGAGATACAGGGGTAAGGACAAGGCAGAGAAAAAAGATTTTCTTCTTCAAGGTAAAATTCTGAGTCCTGAAAGCTGCTCCCCAGACCAGAATTAAACTTAACACTTAGGCCCTGAGCTCTAGTGGATCGTGCATATCACAAACCCACAAAAATAAATAAATTGATTAACAAGTACTGGATTGCCTGTAACTCGGGATCCTGCCTCAGCCCTGGCACAGCACAGCCCCAGCCCTAAACAGCTGCTCTCATGACTAACACCGTCCAGACCCCAGGAACTGCTTCAACGCTGTTACTGTCCAAAGCTTTACCTTTAGATACCACGAAGGTTTGTGGGTTTTGCCAATGCCAAGGTTGGACACTGAGCAGAGAGGATGCAAGCAGCAGAAACACTTGAGTGAAAGAAAGAAAAGACACATGAAATAACTTGCAAAATCTTTCCTGTCACATAGCAGGAATGGGCCAGATCCTTGCATTCAATGGATCACATTTTCCAGGGGCGTTGAGTTGTTTTCTCGCTTCTTTGATGTTCCTATTAGTTGTTCTAGAGCTATTAATAAATTAATACGGCATTCTCAAGACTTGCACAAGAGTGGTTGAGGGACGCTTTGCAATCTTAAATAATTCATATTAGTCTTAGATTTGTATATATCTAGGTTTGGACATAATATACATCAGTGGTCCCCAACCTTTTTGGCACCAGGGGCTGATTTCGTGGGAGATAATTTTTCCATGGACAGGGTGTGGGAAATGGTTTCCAGATGAAACTGTTCCACCTCAGATCATCAGACATTAGGTTCTCATAAGGAGCACACAACCTAGATCCCTTGGCCAGGCACGGTGGCTCATGCCTGTAATCCCAGCGCTTTGGGAGGCCAAGGCAGGTGGATCACTTGAGGTCAGGAGTTTGAGACCAGCCTGGCCAGCTGGTGAAACCCAGTCTCTACAAAAAATACAAAAATTAACCAGGCATGGTGGCGAGCACCTATAATCCCGGCTACTCAGGAGGCTGAGGCAGGAAAATTGCTTGAACCTGGGTGGCGGAGATTGCAGTGAGCCAAGACTGTGCCATTGCACTCCAGCCTGGGCAACAAGAGCGAAACTCCGTCTCAAAAAAAAAAAAAAAAGGAGCACACAACCCAGATCCCTCACATGCACAGTTCACAATAGGGGGTTTGAGCTCCTGTGAGAATCCAGTGCCACCACTGATCTGACAGGAGATGGAGTCATGCACTAATGTGAGCAATGGGGAGTGGCTGCAAATACAGACGAAGCGTCACTCACTCTTCTGCCACTCACCTCCTGCTGTGCCACCCCATTCCTAACAGGTCATGGCCTGGGGGCTGGGGACCCCGATATACATGAAGCATGATACTAATTCTTTACATTGTCAGACCTTGAATTGCAGAATTGCAATAGCTTTTTAATAAAAATATTTAATAAGATTTAATTAAATTATCAAAAAATAAAAATGATTTTATTAAATAACTTTATTAGTTTCATATTAATGATAATTTATATTTTACCTTTAATTTTAATAGATAATTTGGAACAGGGGTCAACCAACTTTTTCTCACAGGGAAAGACAATAAACATTTTTTACTTTTCAGGACATGTGATCTCTGTTACAACTACTCAAATCTGGTGTTGTAGCAAAAAAGCGCTGTAGACAGTATGTAAAGGAATAGATGTGGCTGTGTTCCATAAATGCTTGTTTACAAAAACAGGCCCACAACCATGGACCTTATTTTGTTGATCCTTGATTTAGAAGATAAGAACTTTTTTAAAAAACAAAATCATTTTTAATTTTTTACACTCACCTCAATTTGATGAAAATACTTTTTTTTTTTTTTTTTTTGAGACAGGATCTCACTCTGTCACCCAGGCTGGAGTGCAGTGGCATGATCTCGGCTCACTGCAACCTCCACCTCCTGGGTTCAAGTGATTTTCATGCCTCAGCCTCCTGAGTAGCTGGGATTACAGGTGCGCACTACCACGCCTGGCTCATTTTTTTTTTTTTTTTTGTATTTTTAGTAGAGACTGGTTTCCCCCTGTTGGCCAGGCTAGTCTCAAACTCCTGACCTCAAATGATCCACCTGCCTCGGCCTCCCAAAGTGCTGGGATTACAGGTGTGAACCACCACATCCGGCCTGATGAAAATACTTTAAAAAATTTATTTTATTCATGCAAGTTTATGGGTTACATGAGAAAATTTGTTACATGTACCTGAAAATACATTTGAATACATTTTTTTAAGCTCATTACTACTTAGGGAGGTCAAGGTGGGAGGATCACTTGAAACCAGGAGTTTGAGACCAGACTGGGCAACAAAGAAAGACTCCATTTCTATAAAATTTTCTTTAAAAATTAGCCAGGTATGGTGGCATGTGCCACCCAGCAACTCAGGAAGCTGTGGTGGAAGGAATTTGAGGCTGAGCCAAGGAATTTGAGGCTGCAGTGAGCTATGATCATACCACTGCACTCCAGCTTAGGCAACACAGTGAGATCCTATCTCTAAAAATAATAATAATAATGATAAAGCGGATTACTGCTATCAATAGAACAGAAATTATGCAAAAATATTAATCATAACCATAATTAGTGATTTTTCTAAAAATAAGGCAGGAAGGGCCAGGTGTGGTGGCCCATGCCTATAATCCCAGCACTTTGGGAGGCTGAGGTGGGCAGATGGCTTGAGTCCAGGAGTTCGAGACCAGAGTGGGTAACATGATGAAACCCTGTCTCTACAAAAAATACAAAATTTGGCTGGGCATGGTGGCGCACGCCTGTATTTCCAGCTACTTGGGAGGCAGAGGTGGGAGGACTGCTTGAGCTGAGGGGGTGAGGGTTGCAGTGAGCTGTGATCATGCCACTGTACTCCAACCTGGGTCACAGAGCAAGACTGTGTCTCTAAATAAAGAAGGCAAGAAAACAAATTGTATGAAGAAGAAAAATAATTAGTGATTTATGTATGCTTTTGTTTTATTGCTCATCCCAATATTACTGGCCCATCAACAGAGTTTATTTATTTATTTATTTATTTTTGAGATGGAGTCTCTCTGTTGCCCAGGTTGGAGTGCAGTGGCGCAATCTCAGCTGAATGCAACCTCTGCCTCCCGGGTTCAAGTGATTCTGGTGCCTCAGTCTCCCGAGTAGCTGGGATTACAAGCACGCGCCATCATGCCCAGCTAATTTTTGCATTTTTTAGTAGAGACAGTTTTCACCATGTTGGCCATGCTGGTCTCGAACTCCTGACCTCAGGTGATCTGCCTGCCTTGGCCTCCCAAAGTGCTGGGATTACAGGTGTGAACCACTGCACCCAGCCAACAGAGTATATTTAGTCATCTAAAATAGTCTTTACAGTTAACATTTTTTATATAAGTAGAGAGAATACACTCTAAAATAATGATAAGTAGCATAATAAATACATAAACTAGTAACATAGTAGTTTATTATCATTATCGAGTATCAGGTACTGTACCTAATTTTTTTTTTTTTGAGACAGTGTCTCACTCTGCACTCTGTCACTTTGTCATCTAGGCTGTAGTGCAGTGGTAGGATCATGGCTCACTGCAGCTACTTCCCAAGTAGCTGGACTTAGGAAGCATGGTAGCATGCCACCATGCCAGTCTAGTTTTTATTTTTTGTAGACACAGGGTTTCACCACATTGCCCAGGCTGGTATTAAACTCCTGGCCTTAAGTGATCCACCCGCCTTGGCCTCCCAGAGTGCTTTGATTACAGGCGTGAGCCACCATGCCCAGCCTGTACATGTTATACTCATATGACTGGCAGTGGAGTAGGTTTGTTTATACCAGCATCACCACAAACATTTGAGTAATGCATTGCACTGTGACATTATGATGGCTACAACATCACTAGGCAATAGGAATTTTCCAGCTCCATTGTAATTGCAATGGGGCCACCATGGTATATGTGGTCTATTGTTGATTATGATGTCATTATGTGGTGCACAACTATAGTACCTTCCATGTAAGGTTGCTATGAGGATTCAGTGAGATTGAAATACTGTAAGGAAGGAACTTACACTTCCCGTCACAGATGCAAAATGTCAGCTGATGCCATGGATAAAGATGTTACTAAATATGTTGCCCAGCATTAAAAAGGAATAAGGATGCAAATTGCAGAACAATGTGTACAGTATTCTACTTTTTTTATTTTTTTTGAGACGGGGTTTCATTCTTGTTGCCCAGGCTAAAGTACAATGGCATGATCTCGGCTCAGTGCAAACTCCACCTCCCGGGTTCAAGCAATTATCCTGCCTCAGCCCCCCGAGTAGCTGGGATGACAGGCATGCGCCACCACGCCTGGCTAATTTTGTATTTTTAGTAGAGATGGGGTTTCTCCATGTTGATCAGGCTGGTCTCAAACTCCCGACCTCAGGTGATCCGCCCTCCTCGGCCTCCTAAAGTGCTGGGATTACAGGTGTGAGCCACTGTGCCCAGCCTATTCTGCCTTTACTGTAAGGAGAATATATTTTTTAAATCATATATTTATAGTTTCTTATTAAGCTTAAAATCATGACAGAGAATATTCTGGAAACTAATGCCAATATTGACAGAGGAGATTAGGTGGGGGTGGGGGAGTGGGATGGAGTGTATGAAGAGGTTTTTTGCTGTTTCCCTGTTTATGTATTTTATTTTTGCATTTGAACCATGTGAATGCAATTCTTATTTATAAAATCAAATCAAACCTTTAATTTAATATTACAAATGTGTTGTAAAGAGCTGAATGCAACACTGTGGCTAAACCAGGTAGAGCAGTTCTCTCCCCTCCCTTGACCTAGAGGCTCCCTATCTGCTCAGACCACGTTAGCCTCCCAGACCACGTTAGCATGTTTTCACCTCTGCACCACACACCTCATCCCACCCGGCTTCCAGTCAGCAAACTCACTGAGGTAGTTGGCCTGGCCCTTGGCTGCAGTCGCCTGCCCTGGCAGGGCCTGGCTGTCATTGGGGGACAGTGTAGTGAACATCTCTCCCTCCATCTCTTCCTCCCAGGAAGGCTGCCCACAGCCCAAGCACAGGGCTCACACTCTGTCTGGCTTTGGGACATACCTCCCACCCTGGCAGGGGGTCGCTTGTTTGGACTTCATGATACCACTGCGGGCCCATGATTCCAACTCTGCTACTTTGGAGCTGCCTTCCCAGCTCAGGTTAGGTGCTGCCCTCCTGCCTGTGGCTCCTTCCTGTCCTGGACCCTACACTTGGACCCCCAGCCGCCGCCTGGCCCCTGCTTAGGCCTTAGTCCTTGCTTGCTTGGAAATTCTGTGCTGGCCCCCAGCCTGTGCTCTGAGCATGCCCTCCCAGCCCCCTCGGGCCTCTCTGGGCCATGCCCTGGAGGAAAATAATATTAATAATAACAACTGCAGTGCCTTTGAGAAGCCAGCAGTTTGGAGTGTGGGAAAGATAGCTATAAGGTATATATATATATTTTTGATTCCTCTTCACAGTTTAGGACAGAAATAACCTATTAGAGGAAAATCTTGCATCTACATTGGAAGCCAAGAAGAGTCCTTCACATGCCAGAAACAATGAGGACTTTATGCGAAGTACAGAGCATGCAGGACCAGGTTAGAGAAGGACCTTCGGGACCAGCCCCCAAGCCACCTCGCCTGGGAGAGGCATGGACTCACGAAAGCAACAGCTCTCCAAAACAGGAAAGAATAATCCGATTGGATCCCTGGGAAGCAGGGTGTAAAACTGCAGAACTGAGCCAAGACGTGAGTCCCTGCTCCCCCATCCCTCCTGGCCATTCTAAAGCTCAACATGCACTCAAGAGAACCGTTTCCCAACCTCGTTAGCAATCCCATCAGCACCCATAAATATGTTTCTATTGACTTCTGTTTCAGTCTTTAACAGTATCCTATGAACTATTTCAGTAAACAGTGCAAGGCAAAGGAAAAGAAGATTCAAAGAGCAGAATAAATCTTTAAAATGTGAACATAAGCTCTGGCCAACTCTGCCTTGGTCTGCCAAGGAGGAGCTTAGGGCACTGACTGAGACACAGCACACGGACCAGGCACGGATGTGGCCATCAGGGCTCTGCCAGCATCTCCAGCAGCGTCGCTGAGTGGAGAGGGAAGGAAGCTTCCAGAACTAGAACTAGAGAAGAAGGCTGGCTGGAGTGACAGAGAGAAAGAGAGAAAAGGCTCAGCCAATCACAGAGTTGCGAGGCACCTCGGAGACCCTCTGGTCCTCCCCGACTGTGATGTGGCACTTGGGGGCTCTGTCAAGGACTGTCCAGGTTCAAATCCTGGCTCCACCACTCACTAGCTGTGCACTCTCTGGTCTCGGTTTCTTAATCTGTAACTTGTGGATAAAAATAGCATCTGTCACATAGGACCTATGTCAGCATAAAATGAGATAATTCACATCAAGTCACTTAGCTCAGGCACTCAATAATCATACGTGACATGATATTACACACAGGACTTTGGGGGCTCTGAGAAGCCCCAGGGACGTCCCACAGTCCAATCTCTCTCTCGAGAATGATTATCTCCCAAATTCCTTTCATTAATTCCCCACCCCCACCCTACCAGTTCTCCCAGAGATGATTAGGTTCTGGGAACAGGTTGCCACAAAACATTAATTTGTTTAAGCTATTTATTATGTAAGATAGTGGTTGAATATCTGGCCCAAGACAGTTAATGGTGTTCCTGGGAGGCTGGCTCATTCAAAACCAAATCATGGGTCAGGTGGCAGTTGGTGAATGTAGGGACCAAACAGCAGTGTCCCGTAGCAGAAGGAGCCCAGCTCTGGGACACAGCCTGGTTCCCACCACTTGTGTGGGCCTTGGACACATTGCTTAACTTCTCGGGCCTTTAGTTTTCTCACTCATAAAATGGGCATGATCATACTGTCACCAGGATTGCTGGGAAAAGCAAATGGGGTCATATATGTAAAGGGCCCCCAACATTGTGGAACTGACCGAATGGTGTCCCCACAAGTCAGGAGATCCAGTTGGGATTTCCAGCTTAGCTGGAACTTCA
Organism: Homo sapiens; assembly: GCF_000001405.40. Taxonomy (NCBI): domain Eukaryota; kingdom Metazoa; phylum Chordata; class Mammalia; order Primates; family Hominidae; genus Homo; species Homo sapiens. The sequence goes on from NC_000017.11 coordinate 31,693,472, forward strand.
GGCAAGTCATTTCTTTGTCAGGATCTGACTGGATCATATGCCTGAAAGTGTTTTAATGATGACAAAAATTTGCATCTTGTTTACTCAGCACTCTTACATACTGGGCCTCACTGATATCTCTGAGGCTCAGAGAGGTAAAGTGATTTACCCAGGGTCACACAGCAAATGAGTGGCAAAGCAGGAGATAAGACACTAGTTTTGCAACTGTAAATCACCAGCCCTTTCTCTCTATGCCTGTTTGCCCCAGAGCTTGGGGCTGTATAGGCTGGTGGGCAGGCTCACCCCCACATCAGCCTAGGCCCTGGCATTGCTTACCAGCTCCTTCCCCACTGGTGAGGGGACCCAGGGAATATCTGCTGCTGTCCCCAGGGACTGACGTGATGGGGCTAGGTTGTGAGCCCTGGTCGGTCTGCAAGTGTCAGATAGGATGATACATTAAAAGCACAAAGCACAGCACTTGGCTTCTCTCAAATCCTCCATAGATGTCAGTTAGCTTGAGTACTGCCAGATTAGAAGCTCTCGTGGGCAGGGATTGTGTGTTTTGTGCCTATAAACTCTGGTAACTACTAACTGAGAAAAAACACACAGTACCCTGGGGAAGAGCAGGAGTTAGGACTGTGGCCAAGAAAGAATGCATGAAAGAGACAGAGAAGAACGGTCAGGGAAGTAGGAGAACCAAGGCGGTATTTTAGCCTAGAAACTAAGGGAGGAGAGAATGTTCAGGAAGGAAAAGGTCATGGTGTCAAATGCTGCCAAGAGGCTACAGAGGGTAAGAATGAAGCTTTTTTCCTTTGGATTTTGCACTTAAGAGCATGAGAGGCCTTTGTAAAGGTGTCAGTGGGGTGATCAGATGGCAGAGGACTTCATGGCCAAGGGAGAAGAGACAGAGAATTAGGGGGCTCCTTCCAGCACAACCAGAATAACTAGCACTTATGGAGCACTTGACATGTGCCCACCCACTGTGAAGCATATTTTGTACAATATTTCAGTAATTCCTGTCAACATCCTGCAAGGTGTGCTATTGTCCCCATCCTAACATGATAAGATCAGATGGCTTAAATAATTTCCCCAAAGTCACACAGCTAAGAAGAAGGAGATCCAGGAGTTAAGCATGGTTCTCTTTGATTTCTTAACTTGAGTCTTAATCAATGTAGGGAAGAGAGGAAGAATAGCAGAAAGGGGCCCCAAGGTGGCAAGGACCCAGGATCTGGGACTCAGGAGGTTGAGGATGCCCCCTTCTTCTGGGTGCTGTCTATCTGAGCCACTTAGTCTAAACCAAGAGTTACTTTGATACCATACATAGTTTTACAGGCTGAAGGAACTTCTCTGCACCCCTGATTCCATAATAAGCCCTTTTGGCAGTGTGAGCCAATGAGGAAGCTTCTGGAAGAGAGTTGAGCCCCGAATCCTTTGAAGATTAAAACAGGCAGGGTATGGTGGCTCACACCTGTAATCTCAGCACTTTGGGAGGCCGAGGTGGGAGGATTGTTTGAGGCCAGAAGTTTGAGATCAGCCTCGGCAACACAGGGAGACCCTGCCTCTGTGAAAAATAAAAAAATTAGCCAGGTATGGTAGCATGCACCTGCAGTCCCAGCTACTCAGGAGGCTGAGGCTGGAGGATCACTTGAGGCTGGGAGGTGGAGGCTGCAGTGAGCCGATATCATGCCACTACACTCCAGCCTGGGCAACAGAGGGAGACTCCCTCTCAAAACAAACAAACAAACAAACAAACAAAAAACAACCAAACCAACAACACACACACACACACACACACACACATATACACACAGCATTCACATGAGCATAATGTTCAAATTTCCATTATCTCAACTGGTCCTCCAACCAGCCCATGGTGGACACACGGAATCATCCCATTTGACATATGTGAAAACTGAAGCTGAGAGATTTTGTCAGGAACTGAGGCATCTGAGTGCTACAGGGTTCTGCTGAGAGTAAACTGAAATCTTGTTCTCTGACCAATCCTGCCAAGAGACCAAGGAGAAGGAAATCACAGAAGACAGTCCAGGACGAGTCATTCATTCATTCATTCTGCATTTATGTGTTGACCACCTACTATGAGCAGACCCTGTTCAAGGCAGAGATTTAGAGGCAGAAAGACAACAATCCCTGGCTTCAAGCTGGGGAGACAGACGAGAAAACAGATGGTGACTCAATACTTCTGTAAGTGCCAGGGAAGCCCAGAGGCCTTGGTGCAAGGATGCTGGGATGGGAGGGGCTGCACTGCTAGGAAAGGAAGCTTGAGGTGCAGCGCTACACCCCTGAACATGAGCAATATCTTCCCCATTCTGGTGCTCTTATCAGGACAGGGCAGCCAGACACCAAGACACCTGTGGGTGTCCTGCCGACCCAGACAGCCCCGTCAACAGACCTTGTGCTGTCCACTTTCTCTGCAACCTCAATAGCAAGCCCCGGCCAGACACTGCCAATGGGCTGAGGTCTGGGGACAGAACCTGGACCCAGCATGAGTCAGGCTCAAGACAGTCTCATCCTTGCTAGCAGCTCTGCGTGACCCGGGCCACTCAACTCACACCCCTGAGCCTTGATTTCTTCATCTGTCCAGTGGGGTCAGGCCTACCCCTATAAGCCACCAGGAGAATGAAATGGGGTCATGTCCATGGCAGGGCTTTTTCAGCCGTGAATCTCTTTACGAAGAGCAGAGGCTTTTTGTCCAAGGCTCCTGGTGCATTCCCAGCACTGAAGTTCGGGACAGTCCTCGCCTCCCGACAAAGGCAGTGGATGAGTTAATTCTTAAGCTCTTCAGCCCGTGGAGAGCAGAGGCAGAGCAAAGGGCAGGCCTAGAGGCCTCTTTTGGAAATGACAAGATCCATTTAGCAATCAATTAGCACAGTCCCCAGGCTCCGGGCCTGCACACTCGGCAGAAAGAATGCGTCCTGCTGCACTGATTAGAAACAGATGCGCTGGCAAACAGAGCTGGCCGAGCAGGGCCGGAATTCCTGGGCACCCAGCTCCTGGCTGGGAGACGGGATTTGTTATTACATTCTGGGCACCGACACAGGGAGGGAGGCCAAGGAAACCAAGCTAAGAGAGCAGCCTGCCTGGAGAATGTCTACCTTTGAGAAGATTCAGAGGCAGGAGGGGGAAGAATGTTGACTCTGTTAGAAATAATCTGGGATAAAATTAGTTCAGCCAAATACAGAATATGACTTTTGACCAACAGATGCTAAAATTCCAAATGTGACAAGGCCGACAGATGAGGAAATGAGTGACTTGGGAGCTTGGCAAGTGGCAGGAGGCCTGAAATCTCTGGTGTCTTGGAAAATGACGCCCCCATTGCCAACCTCATTTACAGAGCTATTGTGTACAGGGCCCCGCAGCAAGCCCTTCGTGTGCTATCTCATTTATTGATCACAGCCACCCTCTTATTTCACCCATTTTGCAGATGAGAAAACTGAGTCACACATAGGTCCAGCAACTTGCCTAAAATTGCACGGCTAGTAAGTAGCAGATCCAGCGCTTAAAGCCAGCTGTCTGACTTGAGAGGCCCCTCTCTTGGCCATGATGGTATTAATTCCTCTTCTTTCAATTCATTCCTTCTCCCTTAACAAATGAAAGGGCAGCTTTGAGCTCCTCTACCACAGTCTCGAAGCACTGCAGGAAAGGTCCACTGCAGTGTCCCTAACAGTGGTCAGCAACCTCGGTTATACTCTCCCAGTGACGAGGGGCTCACTGTCTCTTAAGGCTATGCTGCCTCTAATCTTGGACAGTTTGCAAGGTTGGCCAGTCTTTCTTCTATTAAGCCAAAAGTTGGGTCCCTGCAAGCTTGAGGCGTCCCCCAGCAGTGCTGCTTCTGCCCTCCAGATTCCCTTAGAAGGCAACTAATTCTTTTTCCCTAGGACCATACCAGGCCATAAGGATGGCCCTATCTTTATTTTTTTAAGCAGAATAGCCTCTGTTTGAGCAGCTGCTGCCAGCACGGGCAGCTGTGGTGCTCTCATCTCATCACCGACACATTCCCCTGACACCTTCCAACCCATCGATGTCCCTGGTGGGTCCGGGCATGGACGTGAGGGTCAACCAGGTCTCCCATCTCCCAGCAGCACAAAATGGAACAGCCTTTAAAATATTATTTTAATATGGTTTGTTTGCCATTACAAGAAAGATACATTCTCACTAAAGGAAACGTAGAAAATGCAGTGAGCAGAGCAAAAGTGCCTCCCCAGAGAAAGAAAAATCACCCATGATTCCACCTCCAGCCTTTTTTGCTATGCTTCATTTTTAACCTTGCTTCGTTTATTCTATAGCTACACATCGCATCCTACCCCAAAACTGGAGAGACAGACAGGAGTACACAGAAAATCACAACTTAGCAGGACAGAAAACCTGAGCAGAAACCACTGTGGGAACCAGTATTGGGGCAGGAAAACCTGAACCGTAACTGGTAATTGCTGGAGTCTCAGCGTGGACGAGTCTGAGAGTAAAACCCCGAGGGAGCCCAGTTGCAGGCGAGCCCTCACTCTTGTGTGAGTCTTATCTACAGGAGCTCTAACAGCTTCTCACAGTGATGATCAGAGAAAAATCCAGTGTTCCCAGCAGGAGGAGGTGAAAAGTAGCCATTCTGAAATGCACCAGAGCATTCTGTTCTCTGTAAGAAGGATGGCCGGGCGTGGTGGCTCACGCCTGTCATGCCAGCACTTTGGGAGGCTGAGGCGGGTGGATCATGAGGTCAGGAGTTTGAGACCAGCCTGGCCAATATAGTGAAACCCCATCTCTACTGAAAATACAAAAAAATTAGCCGGGCCTGGTGGTGGGCCCCTGCAATCCCAGCTACTCGGGAGGCTGAGGCAGGAGAATCGCTTGAACCCAAGAGGCGGGGGTTGCAGTGAGCCAAGATCACGCCATTGCACTCCAGCAGGGGTGACAGTGCAAGACTCCATCTCAAAATAAATAAATAAATAAATAAGGACTGCGCTCAATACAAACTGTTTTATCATAGCCTAACCTACTGGGGCTTTATGAGAGCCCAATAACCCGGGGGAAGAGAAATAGCCAACTCTAGCCCCCTCTAGCCACCCTTTTCCACCTAAGGAGGGGGTACTGAGAATCACTTGTGAAGATCACAGCCCAAGGGCACAGGCTCACCAACAGACTGAGGCCTAATCACAGGACTATCGAACACTTCCTTTCCCCGCAGCATCTGACCACCAAATCACTAAAGGCCTGTTGACTACAGTTCCATTTACCCAGTACATCATGTCTGGCCATCAAGAAAAAAATTACAAGGCATACCAAAACACAAAAAAACACAGTTTGAAGAGACTGAGCAAGCATCAGAACCAGACTCAGACATGGGAGAAATGTTGGAATTAAATCAGACCAGAAATGTTTAAAAAACTATAATTAAGATGCTAAGGGCGACCAGGCATGGTGGCTCATACCTGTAATTCCAGCACTTTGGGAGGCCAAGGTGCTAGGATCACTTGAGACCAGGAGTTTGAAACTCGCTCTGGCAACACAGCAAGACCCCTGATTCTACAAAATATTTTAAAATTAGCTGGGCATGGTGGTACGTGCCTGTAGTCCCAACTATGTGTGGGAGGCTGAGGTGGAGGATCGCTCGAGCCTGGGAGGTCGAGGCTGCTGTGAGCCCTGATCATGCGCCACTGCATTCCATTCTGGGCAACAGAGCAAGACTCTGTCTCAAAAAAAAAAAAAAAAAAGCACTCTTCATTTCTGTTACCACGCTTCTGATCTCTAGCAGAGAATCATACAAACAAAAACTGAGGGAATTTGTTGTTAGTAGACCTGCCTTGTGAGAAATGTTAAAAGAAGCTTTTCAGAGAGAAGGAAAATTATATGTCAGAAACCTGGATCTCCATGAAGAAAGGAGAAGCACTAGAAAAGGAATAAGTAATGGTAAAATAGAACCACAGGATGTCACAACTGGAAACACTCTTAAAGATCATCCTCTCAAGTTGTGGATGGTAGAGCTGAGTCCAGAGAGGGCAAGTGACTTGCCCATGGTCACACAGTGGCGGTGCCTGGCCAGGAGCCAAGGGCTTCCGGCTCCCAGCTCAGGGCTCTCTCCACTGCCACGCCCACATGGCTCAAAGTGAGTATACTCCCAGACAGCCAGGGAGGGCTCAAGTTAGGACAAGGTTTGTTATTCTTTGACACTAAGAGGAATAAATCAATCAAGTCATTCTTAGCTAAAACAAGTGACCTCTTACCAAGAGTTCAAATTTAATCATAATAAATAAAAAGAGGGAATGGAAATCAGCAATGGTGCAGCAGACCACAGATGAGGTGATCTGGAAGCACACAGAGCACTTCCATTCTCCTCGATGGCCACTCTCTCTCTCGCTTTCCTTCTTCCTCTCTCCTACGCTCTCAGTTGCCACCACCAACAACCCCTTTGGGGTCATTAGACTTGCAGCTCTTGGGTATGAGGTACTGACATCTTGACACCTGGAGAAGAGAGTGGGCGCACAGGACCACACTCTCCAATCAAATCAGATCCAGAGGGCATGACTAGAGGGGGAAAGTCTTCCTATGACTGCTGGGACGGGTTAATTTGTGGAAAACAGAAATGTAAGTGGACAACAACATCTAGAAATCCCCTTTACCAGCACGGAACTTCCAGAGACTTAAGTTGCTTCACATCTCTGGTATCAGAGTCCTCATCTGTCCAATTTATTCTTTCAATGTATTCCACAAAAATTTCTTGAGTGCTTGCTGTGGGCCATGATCTGCTGGGCACTGGGGGACAGCCAAGAGGTTTAAAGATCTCGGTTACCAAGAGAAACTAAGAACAAAAGAAGAGAGGCTGGGCACAGTTGCTCGCACCTGTAATCCCAGCACTTTGGGAGGCTGAGGCTGGCGGATCACTTGAGGTCAGGAGTTCGAGACCAGCCTGGCCAACATGGCAAAACCTTGTCTCTACTAAAAATATAAAAATTAGCCAGACAAGGTGGTGTATGCCTGTAATCCCAGCTACTCAGGAGGCTGAAGGTAGGAGAATCACTTGAACTCAGGAGGCAGAGGTTGCAGTGAGCTGATATTGCACCACTGCACTCCAGCCTGGGTGACAGAGTGAGACTCTGTCTCAAAAAAAAAGAGAATATTAATTAAATACTTTTTTTCTTTTCAGGCATTATAATAGGCAAAAGGGACACAATGATTAACAAAAACAAATAGTAAGCCTCATGGTCTTGGAAATAGGATTCACTTAGATAACCTGAAAACTCTCCCACTAATAGGCACCTAGAAATTATGGATAAAATACAATAGCTGGCCTCTGAAAAGCAGAGCTAAGAGCTCAAGTGAGTAAGGAAATTCCCAGGGACCAAAAATTGAGAGAGGAGTAAATATCAAAGGAATAAGCTTTTGAGTTAATGCTGTAGTTGTATGGGGTGGGGGTAGGAGGTAGAGGGGAGTGAAGAGGTTATAAGGAAGCTTTTCTGCTCTATCCTAGTCTCTGAGTGGGAAAAAATCTCCCCCAAGGGCTGGAACTGTGGGGCTTCACCTCATGTCAGGTGAGAAAGTTTGATTGTACTCCTGCAGTCCAGGAACTCCCAAACTGGTCATGTAACCTAATGACTATCTTCAAGACAGTGACACCCCTAGGATTCCTGACAGTAACAAACACAAAACTACTCTGGAGGGCATGCTCTCAATGAAGGCTGCGTATGATTCCCACAGAGAGAGGGCTACCATAGATGAGCTCATAGTCCAAAATTACAAGTTATGTATGTGAGCAAGAATCAGACAGAGTAAGCAATAGATTTGATCAACCTTGCCAAATGTTCAACCATTAGAACAAACATAGAAACTTCAAAATAAGTAAGCCTTAAATAATTAACAACATAAAGGAAGGGGCTCAAAACAAGAAAAAGAAAGATGTCATTACAAAGAACAAGCATATTTGGAAAATGCCCAACTTGAACTGTAGAACTGTATTTTTCTGTAGAAAAATACAGAAAGCCACTGAAATGTAAAACCCAATAGATGAATTAAATAGCAGATTAAATGCAACTGAAGAGATAACTGGTGAGCTGGAAGATAGCTCTGTTGATAATGCATTTTATTGCTTCTTACGCAACAGAATGTTTTTTAAATTTAATTTTCTTCATTTCTTTTATTTTTAAAAATTAATATTTTTAATTGAAAAATCATAGTTGTATATATTTGTGGGGTACAATGTGATGTTTTGATATATGTATACAATGTGGAATGATTAAATCAAGATAATTAACATACCCATCATATCACCTCACTTGTTTTTGGTGGTAAGAAATTTGAAATTTACTCTTAGTTTTTGTTTTTCATTTTTTGAGACAGTCTCACTTTGGCCCCCAGGCTGGAGTTCAGTGGCGCAATCTTGGCTCACTGCAGCCTCAACTTCCTGGGTTCAAGAGATCCTCCTGCCTCAGCCCCCCACAAAGTAGCTGGGACTACAGGCATCCACCACCACACCTGGCTAATTTTTTGTATTTTTTGTACAGATGGGGTTTCGCCATGTTGCCCAGGCTGGTCTCGAACTCCTGAGCTCAAGCAATCCACCCACCTCAGCCTCCCAAAGTGCTAGAATTACAGGTGTGAGCCACCACGGCCAGCCCACTCTTCGTTATTTTGAAATACACAATACATTTACATTATAATTGACTTTAGTCATCCTGCTATGCAATAGACCTCCAAACTTATTCCTCCTACCTGAGGAATTCCAGCTCACCAGTTATTGCTTCAGTTGCATTTAATCTGCTATTTAACTCGGACTGTACAATTTGACCAATAACTTCCCCTTTCCTGCCCCCACTCCCAGCCTCTGATAACCATCATTCTACTCTCTACTTCTATGAGTTCAGCTTTTTAAAATTTCACAAACAGGCATATCTCAGAGATATTGTAGGCTTGATTCTAAACTGTCACAAAAAAGCAAGTATCACAATAAAGCAAATCACAAATTTGGGGGTTTCCCAGTACATATAAGTTTTGTTTACACTGTACTGTAGTCTATTAAGTGTGTAATAACATTATGTCTAAAAATGTGCATACCTTAATTTTGTTTTGTTTTGTTTTGTTTGAGACAAAGTCTCGCTCTGGTTGCCCAGGCTGCAGTGCAATGGCACCATCTCGGCTCACTGCAACCTCCACCTCCCGGGGTTCAAGTGATTCTCCTGCCTCAGCCTCCTGAGTAGCTGGGATTACAAGCGCCTGCCACCATGTCCAGCTAATTTTTGTATTTTTAGTAGAGACGGGGTTTCACCATGTTGGCCAGGCTGGTCTCGGACTCCTGACTTCAGGCGATCCACCCGCCTCAGCCTCCCAAAGTGCTGGGATTACAGGCATGAGCCACCGTGCCTGGCCACATACCTTAATTTCAAAATACTTTACTGCTAACATGATAACACAGAAATACAAAGTGAGATTATGCTGTTGCGAAAATGGTGGTGATAGACTTGCTCAACAAAGGCTTGCCACTAACCTTCAATTTATTTTTTAAAAAAAGCACTATCTGCAAAGCACACTGAAGCAAGGTACGCTTGTATAAGTGAAATTATTTGGTATTTGTCTGTGTCGGCCTTATTTCACTTAGCATAAGGTCCTCCAGGTTCATCCACATTGTCACAAATGACAGGCTTTCCTTTTTCAAGGCTGAATAGTATTCCATCATGTATATGTACCACATTTTCTTTATCCATTCATTTGTTGATGGACACTTAGGTTCATTCCATATCTTGGCTATTGTGAATAATGCTACAATAAACATGAGAGTGTAGATGTCTCTCCAATATACTGATTTCATTTCCTTTGAATATATACTCAGTAGTAGGACTGCTGGATAATATGGTAGTTCTATTTTTAGTTTTTTGAGGAACATCCTTTCTGTTTTCTGTAGTAGCTGTACTAATTTACATGCCCCCCTACAGTGTACAAGGGTTCCCTTTTCTCTACATTCTCACCAACACTTGTAATCTTTTATCTTTCTGATAATAGTCACCCTAACAGGTGGGAAGTGATAGCTCATTGTGGCTTTAATTTGTATTTCTCTAATGATCAGTGACGGTGAGCATTTTTTCATGAACCTATTGGCCATTGGCATGTCTTCTTTTGAGAAATGGCTGTTCAGGTCTTTTGTCCATTTTAAAATCAGGTTATTTATCTTATTGCTATTGAGTTGAGTTCCTTATATATTTTTGATATTAACCGCTTATCAGATGTATGGTTTGCAAACATTTTCTCCCACTTTGTGGGTTGTCTCTTCATTTTGTTAATTGTTTTCTTTGCTGTGCAGAAGCTTTTGGGTTTGATGCAATCCCATTCATCTACTTTTGCTTTTGGTGCCTGTGCTTTTGGGATCATATCCAAAATATCATCACCCAGACCAATGCCATGGAGGTTTTTCCTTATGTTTTCTTCTAGTAGCTTTATAGTTTTAGGTCTTTTAATAATCTTTAATCCATTTTGTGTTGATTTTTGTATATGATGTGAGATAAGGATCCAATTTCATTCTTCTGCATGTGCGTAATTGATTATTTCCAGTTTTCCAAATGCCATTTATTGAAGAGACCGTTATTTCCCCATTGTGTATTCTTTTGTGCCTTTGTCATAAATCAATTGACCATAAATGCCTGGGTTTATTCCTAGGCTTTCTATCCTGTTTCACTGCTGGGTCTGTTTTTATGCCAGTACCATGTTCTTTGGATTACAGTTGATTTATAATGTACTTTGAAATTAGTAGTGTGATGCTTCCAGTTTTGTTCTTTTTGCCCAAGATTGTTTTGGCTATTCAGGGTCTCCTGTGGTTCCATATGAATTTATGAATCTTTTTTTTCTATTTTTGTGAAAAACTGACATTCAAATTTTGGTAGAGAGTGCACTGAATCTGTAAATCACTTTGGGTAGCATAGACAGTCTAATAATATTAATTCTTCCAACCCACCAATGCAGGATATTTTTCCATTTATTTGTGTTTTCTTCAATTTATTTCATCAGTGTTTTATTTTATTTTATTTTATTTTATTTTATTTTATTTTATTTTATTTTATTTTGAGATGGAGTTTCACGCTTGTCGTCCAGGCTGGAGTGCAGTGGCATGATTGTGGCTCACTGCAACCTCTATCTCCCAGATTCAGGTGACTCTCCTACCTCAGCCTCCTGAGTAGCTGGCTCTACAGGTGCCTGCCACCATGCCCGGCTAATTTTTCCTGTTTTTAGTAGAGACGGGGTTTCGCCATGCTGGCCAACTCCTGACCTCAGGCGATCCGCCTGCCTTGGCCTCCCAAAGTGCTCCGATTACAGGCATGAGCCACCGCACCCAGCCCATCAATGTTTTATGTAAGTTTTCAGTCTTTAGGTCTTTCACCTCCTTTGATAAAGTTACACATAATTATTTTATTTTGTGTGTTTTCCTACTGTAAACGGGATTGTTTTCTTAATTTTCTTTCCAGATAGTTTGCTATTAGTGTGTAAAAATGCTGCTGATTTTTATATGTTGATTTTGTCTGCTGCAACTTTACTGAATTTATTTATCAGCTCTAACAGGCTTTTTGGCAGAGTTTTTAAGGTTTTCTATATATAGATTGTGTCACCATAAAACAGAGAAAATTTCACTTGTTCCTTTCCTATTAGGATGCCTTTTATTTCTTTCTCTTGCCTGATTGCCTACAATAGAACATTTTAAGAATAGTATTACGTTGTTATAAGTTGCAGTGTTATTTTGAGACCAATCATTCAAAGGATAAAGAAAGAGAGATTGATTATTTTAAACATAGATATAACAAGCTTTTAAACATTAACTTCAAAACATATCTGTATCTCACATTTGAACAGACTAGCTTTTGCCATCATACATCTCAAACCTTACGTCTCCTTTAACAACCATATGCATCTAATGCTGAACATCATAGGCCTGTTATCCTAGTACAACATCTGATCTCTGTACCTTATGCCACAATCTCAGGTGAACTGACAGGGTTAGTGGGGAGTAGTATTATTCCTGGAAGCCATTCCCAAACCAGGTGGCTAGCAATGCCTTACCTACACACGGAAATAACTGAGATCAATATAAATATATAGCACTGGGCTAGATAGTCCATTGTCCACTTGGTACCACCATCACTTCTTTTAAGTCAGATAATTACTTTTACTACTATGACTCCAAGGTAGAGTTAGCCAATAAGAAAACTTGAACAAGATTGGAAGGTGGGTAGAAGTAAGGTAAAATAATAGCCATTTTTTTCAGGTTGTGACAGTCAGACATGGATTTGCAATTTTTCCGCAAGCTCCCACTCAGAGGTTGTACAGAAACTGCATTTCATAGCCTTTCCACAAACTTACTTCACAGTCATAATGGCAAGATATGGTAGTTTCTTAGACTGTCTCATAATCAGTGGCTTCTCCCAGCCCCACCCCCAGGCTGGAGGTATGGATGTATGGATATTACCTGGATTCCTAGACAGAGGCTAATGGTTTAGCTGGAAGGGCAGGGACTTTGAAAGAATAAGATTACCAGGCATGGTGGCTTACGCCTGCAATGCCAGCACTTTAGGAGGCCGAGGCGGGCACATCACATGAGGCCAGGAGTTTGAGACCAGCCTGGCCAAGATGGCAAAACCCCATCTCTATTAAAAATACAAAAATGGGCCAGGTGTGGTGGTGCATGTCTGTAATTCCAGCTACTCCTGGGGCTGAGGCACAAGAATTGCTTGAACCTGGGAGGTGGGGTTGTAGTGAGCTGAGATCGCACCACTGCACTCCAGCCTGGGCAACAGAGAATCCATCTCAATAAATAAATAAATAAAATATGTAGGAAAGATGACAGGGCCATAAAAACCTAAGCCATTCTTGAAGAAGAACAAGAGGGGAAGATTTGCCCTAGTAGATATGAAAATAAAGGCTGCCCTACCAGCTATCAAGACAAAGCTACAGTAATAAAAAAAATAGTATGGTATTGGTGCAAGAGTAGACTGATGAAATAGAAGAAAAAGCCCAGAAACAAATGTAGAGAGATATGGTGCTATGGTCTAAATGTTTATATCCCCCCGAAATGCATACGTTGACATCCTCCTCCCCACGGTGATGGGAAGTGGGGCCTTTGGGAAGTGATGAGGTCAAGGAGGTGGCACCCTCATGAACAGGATTAGTGCTCTCATAAGAAGAGGCTTGCAAGACAACCCTCACCCCTTCCACCATGTGAGGACACAGTAAGAAGTTGCCATCTAAGAGCCAGAAAGCAGGCCCTCACCAGACACCAAATTCGCCTTGATTTTGGACTTCCCAGCCTCCAGAACTACGGGAAATAAATTTCTGTTGTTTTTAAGCTACCAGTTTATGGTATTTTGTGTTAGTAGCCCAAGTGAACTAAAACATATGGAAGCTGGATTTATGACAGAACAGATGTTATAGTTTAATAGGAAAAGGATGGACCACAACAAATGATACTGGCACAATTGGTTGTCCATATGTAAAAAAGTTAAAATTAATTCCTCCTACATGCCCTACATAAAAAGCCATTTAAAGTAGCTTAAACACAAATGTGAAAGGTGAAACTATAACAAAAATTAGGACATGATATAGGATAATATAGAACAATAATTTCATAATTTAGGTCCTCAGGGTAGAGAGAGACTTCTTAAATAAAGGACAAAACGGCACCTACCTTAAAAAAAAAAAAAAGGTCAGGTGAGCACAGTGGCTCACACATAACCTCAGCTACCCACGAGGCTGAGGTAAAAGGATCGCGTAAGCCTAAAAGTTCGAGGCTGCAGTGAGCTATGATCACACCACTATACTCCATCCAGCCTGGGTGATGGAGTGAGACCTCAACTGTAAAAAAAAAAAAAAAAAAAAAAAAAAGAAAAGAGAAAAGGAAAAAGAAAGAAAGAAAGTGCATGAAGTAATTAAGAGCTTCTGGTTTTCAAGAGACTTCATAAAGAATGAGAAAAAATAAGACACAAACTTGAAGATGACAATTGCAACACATATTACAAAGGATTAATTTCCAGAACGTAGAAAGAATGCTTATAAATCAATAAGAAAGAGAAAAATAGCCCCAAAGGAAATAGATGAAAACCCGGAATTCCACTGAAGATCAAAGGCAAATGTGTAATAAATATGAGAATATGCTTAACACAATTGAGAATTAAGGAAATGCAAATTAAAATCACAAAGCCAAAATTAAAAGTTTAAACAAACAGACTCAAAGCCCTACCATTCCATGCTTACCAACTGGGCAACAATTAAAGCACTGACAGTCCCAAGTGCTAGTGAGCATGTGAAGCAAAAGAAATTCAAATATTGCAAATGGGAATGGAAACTGATATCACCACTGGTTGTTAGGTACTAATTAATAATGTTGAACATGTGTACACTCTATGACCCCCAGTCCCAGTGATAGGTATATAATTACTAAAAAAGTGGAAACATTCTCTGTGTCCATAATAAGTAGAGTGGATTTATGTATTGTGATATATTCAAACACTGGGCTACTATACCACAGCTGAAATAAATGAACAACAGTGATATTCATCAACATTAATTAACTTCAAAAATATAAATTTGAAGGGGAAAAAATCAGGTCACTGAAGCATATATATAATACAATATGATTCCATTTGTGTACATTCTAAAAGCAGAAAAAATAATAATAAATTGTTTTAAAATACATGTGGTAAAAACTATACGGAAGAGTAATCGAAAAATCAACATAAAATTCAGAATAGCGGTTACATGGAGACTGCAACAGAATACACTTAAATAGCAGCCAAAGGGAGCATCCCAGGCATTAAATAATGTTCAAACTGTTCACCGAAGTGCTGGGCACCATATTCTTTAACATATGTTTTGTTTTGTTTTGTTTTGTTTTTAGACAAGGTTTGCATTGTTGCCAGGCTGGAGTGCAGTGGCATGATCAGGACTCACTGCAGCCTCGACCTCCCCGGCTCAAGTGATTCTCCCACCTCAGCACCCCCCAAGTAGCTGCAACTACAGGTGCACACCACCACACCCGGCTAATTTTTTTTTTAATTTTAGTAAATTAAATTAAATTTTTAAAAAAATTTTTAGATTTTAGTTGCCCAGGCTAGTCTCAAATTCCTGAGCTCAAGCAATCCTCCTGCCTTGGCCTCCCAAAGTGCTAGGATTACAGGCATGAGTGGTAGCTAACATATGTTTTATGTATTATTTATGTATGACACACAATAAAAGCAAATACACAAAGGGTTGAAGCAAGCGTTGGAGACTGAGGGCCCAAAAAAGTTCCATTTACATAATAAAACTGGTGTGTTTTAACAGTAACTATGCCAGCTCTAAAGGGTATTGGCAGGCCAGACAATTTGAGGAGAAAAAGGATATATTAATCTAATCATATGTTTATTAACTTATTTTCTTAATATACAATTTTAAATCAGAGGTTTTTATTTGTAGACTTATTAAAAAGAGAACATGGCTTAAAATATCCAGAATTGATGAATCATCAGATACAGAAAGCACAATTAATCCTTAGAAAGGGAAGTAAAAATGAAATTCCAGGCCGGTCGCAGTGGCTCACGCCTGTAATCCTAGCACTTTGGGAGGCTGAGGCGGGCGGATCACGAGGTCAGGAGATTGAGACCATCCTGGCTAATACGGTGAAACCCCGTCTCTACTAAAAAAAAAATACAAAAAATTAGTCGGGCTTGGTGGCAGGTGCCTGTAGTTCCAGCTACTCGGGAGGCTGAGGCAGGAGAAAGGCGTGAACCCGGGGAGTGGAGCTTGCAGTGAGCCGAGATCGCGCCACTGCACTCCAGCATGGGCGACAGAGCGAGACTCCGTCTCAAAAAAAAAAAAAAAAAATTGAAATTCCACCTAGGATGGCCACAAAATTTATCATTCTAACTAGGATATTTTTTAGAGTAAATAGAGCACTATTAATAATTCTGAAAGGGTGCCAGGTGTAAACCAGGACTGTCCAGGGAAAATCAGTAACATATCATCCTCTGGAGAAATAGCAGTCACAGAACGTGTTCCTGCGCATTCAAGGTAAACGGAGATGGACTTCCCAGAGGACGCACGCTCAGGGCAGTGGCCTTGAGGACTCCAAGCCGGGATGGTGCTAGGCCTTTCAAGTCGCCCGAGAGCAAAGTGGTATCAGGATAGCACAGAGCAAAGAAGATAAAGAAACTCAAGAGCCCATCAGGTGTCCCGCCCCCAGGTGCGACGGCCAGGGCCACATCACCGGGTAGTACGCGTCCCACTGTAGCGCCTCCGGGTGCCCCTTGGCAGCCAAGCGGACCTGAATGGCTCCCAGTTCTCCTGGAAGTCGGTCAGGACGGAAGGCATGTCCTGCTCCACGGCGGGGTGTAACGGCTAGGGCCACGTCAGCAGCAGCTTCCTCACACACCGCAGGCAGTTCCTGTCTGAAAAGCACCCCTATTTATACATATGGATCCCAGTGTCTCCCAGAACCCTGCATGAGGACAGGGGCCTTGGCTGCTCACCAGGACCCCTCAGGGCCCAGCAGGCCGGGGCAGGTGCACGGAACCCCGTAGCGTCAGGGAGCCGCCTCATCCTTCCCAGTGAGTGTGCTCCTGCGCGGGCCGCCCCATGTCCTGTCCAGGTTTGATGATTACAAAGAACTACATGTGAACTTCCTTCTGCACATAGCTCCATGCCCTTGTGCAATCAGATCTTCAGGATCTATTCCTGGAAACAAGAATGCTAGCTTTAAAATTTTGATAGATCGTGCCAAAAAGGCCTCCAAAAAGTTTCTACTTACCCTAACCTTTCGCCATTAACAAAATATTTTAAAACAAAACAAAACAAAACAAAAAAAAAGAAAGAAAGAAAAAGAAGAAGAAAAGAAAGAAACAGCAGTCACAGAGAAAATACTGATTGCCAGTACTGGCTGACAGCAGACTTCTCAACGGCAACAATAGATGTCAGGATAAGATGAGAAAATATTGGCCAGGTGCGGTGGTTCCCTGAGCGTGCATCCTCTGCGCCTGTAATCCCAACTACTTGGGAGGCTGAGGCAGGAGAATGGCGTGAACCCGGGAGGCGGAGCTTGCAGTGAGCTGAGATCGCGCCACTGCACTCCAGCCTGGACGACAGAGGGAGACTCCATCTCAAAAAAATAAATAAATAAAAAATAAAAAAGATGGGAAAATATCTTCAAGTTACTCAAAGAAAATAATGGTCACCTAGAATTCTATCCCCAGATAGATGTTATATGAAAGAAAATGACTTTTGCTCAAATGAAGAAAGAGTGTTTTTTACCATTACGTACCAATGTGCAAAGAACTAAAGGATATACTTCAGGGAGAAGAAAATTGAATATAGAAAAAGGAACAAGAAGCAATAAACAACGATGAGTGAACAGACTGGTAGAGTTAAAGATAAAACTGAATAAGCCATGCCATCATAAAACAATATGAATTTTTATAATAAATAATTTAAGGATATTGAAATAAGATACATTAAAAAACTGAAAAACAATATGTAAGCTAGGAAGAAAATGATCATACTTCAAGTATCAAATAGTTCCTACATTATCTGGGAAAAATATAAAGATGTTGAATAATTGCTACCCTGTCAAGTAAAGAATACGTATATATATATATGTTAAAGATTTAAGAATAACACTAAAAGGATAGAAATAGTATTCACAGGTTTCAAATTAGTAGAGGTGAAAAAAAGAAACAAAAACAACTAGATCAACCCAATAAGAGCCAAGAAATGGGGGGAAAAAAGAGGAAAAGCTGGCTGGACACAGTGGCTCATGCCTGTAATCCTAGGACTTTGGGAGGCCAAGGCGGGCGGATCACCTGAGGTCAGGAGTTCAAGACCAGCCTGGCCAACATGGTGAAACCCCATCTCTACTAAAAATACAAAATTAGCCAGGCATGGTGGCATGTGCCTGTGGTCCCAGCTGCTTGGGAGGCTGAGGCAGGAGAATCGCTTGAACCTAGGAAGTGGAGGTTGCAATGAGCCAAGATGGCACCACTGCACTCCAGCCTGGGTGACAAGAGCAAAACTCCATCTCAAAAAAAAAAAAGGAAAAGCAGAGCACTAGAAAGAACAAAAGTAATATAAATTAGTTCTATATGTCATGCATATTAACCAAAATGAGATAATCAATACAACATATCAGTAATCAGAGTACATTTTCAAATGTTAAAGGATTTACTCGGGAGATAGAGATTCTCTGATTAGATTAAAAAAATAAAAGTTGCATATATGCTGTTTATAAAAGACACACAACTAAAACACAAGGACTCAAAAAAGCTGAAACTTTTATTTAATGATAAAAGATAAACTAGGCAAATATTAATCAAAAGAAAGCTGTTGTAACAAATCTCTGGCAAAATATATTTTAAGTCCAAAGCATTATTAGAAATAAAGAGTCATGGCTGGGTGTGGCGACTCACACCCTGTAATCCCAGCACTTTGGGAGGCCAAGGCAGGTGGATCACTTGAGGTCAGGAGTTCAAGACCATCCTGGCCAATATGGTGAAACCCTGTCTCTACTAAAAATACAAAAACATTAGCCGGGTCTAGTGGTTCATGCCTGTAGTCCCAGCTACTCAGGAGGCTGAGGCAGGAGAATCGCTTGAACTCAGGAGGCAGAGGTTGCAGTGAATCGAGATCACGCCATTGCACTCCAGCCTGGGCTATCTCAAAAAAAAAAAAAAATTAAAAAAATTTTAAAAAAAGGAATAAAGAGTCACTATATAATAATTAAAGGAGTTAATCAAAAAGGTTGAACATCTCGGAACTTTTATGCTTCCAGTTAACACAACCTCAAAATATGTTAAGCAAAAATTAAATATAAAAAGCAAAAACTGATAGAATTACAAGATGAAATTTAAAATCTACAAGCATAGTGGGAGAGGTTAACATCTCTTAGAAACTGGAATTTGAAATTGAATTAGAAATAGAAATATCCAAGAGACAAAAAACCAAGTTAGGCTGTAGATTAAACACAGTAAGTTTAATCTAATGAACATATGGAGAACTCCACAACCAACAGCTACAGAATATACATTTTTAAGCTTCATGAACATTTTGAAAATTGATTTTGTACTACAATACAAAGCAAATCAAGAACCAATATTATGTAGACTACATTCTCTCATCACAATTCAATTAAATTCAAAATCAATAACAGCACAATTTTAAAAATTTAATGTGTTTGGGAAATGTAAAAACACACTTCTGAACAACAAATGGATCAAAGAAAAAATCATAATGAAGATTAGAAAATATTTACAACTGAATGATATAATTCTTTGTGTCAAAATTTGTGGAATGTAGCTAAAAGCAGTAATTAGAGGAAAAGCCATATAAGCGTATATTAAAAGAAATTGGAAAATTAATTGAATAAATATCAGATTCAAGATTTTCTATAAACTATGTCAGAGTAAATCCAAAGAAAATAGAAGGAAATAATAAAGAAAGGAACAGCTATTAATAAAATAGAAAACAAAGAAACAATAGAAGGGGTAATCAAGTCTAGTTATTTGAAAATACCAGTAGACAGAAATTTGATCTGATTGATCAAAATAAGAAAAGGTACAAATAAATAATATTAGCAATTAAATATCTACAGATATAATAGATACTTTAAAAATAATAAGTAAATACTATGAACAAGATTATGCCAATAAACTGGGTGAAATGAAAATTTTCACAGAACAAAAACACCTACCAAAACTGACTAAGGGCTGGGTGTGGTGGCTCATACCTGTAATCCCAGCACTTTGGGAGGCTGAGGCAGGAGGATTGCTTGAATCCAGGAGTTTGAAACCAACCTGGGCAACAGAGTGAGACCTCGTCTCTACAAATACATAAATTTTTTGAAATAAGCAGGGCATGGTAGTGCATGCCTGTAGTCCCAGCTACTTGGGAGGCTGAGGCAGGAGGACCACCACACTGCAGCCTGGGCAACAGAGCAAGACCCTGTCTCAAGGAAAAACAAAAAAAAACTGACTAAGAAATAGAGGATCTGAATAAACAAATAATCATTGAAGGAATTAAATTCCTGTTTTAGAAATTTATCCCCACATACACAAACACACAATATGTGGTCCAGGTGATTTTACAAGTTAGCTCTACTAAACATTCAAAAAAGAGATAACCAACTTCATGCAAACGATTCCAAAGAACGGGAAAAGAAGGAAAACCTTCAAACTATTTTATGAGGTAAATATAACCTTGATATCAAAAAGAAACAAGAAAAATATAAGAAAGGAAAATTACAGCACAATCTCACTTTTGAACAATTTGAGATGCAATAATCTTAAATAAAATGTTTTGAAACCAAGCGCTCACTACACATGTACTAAAATTAGAATGACACAGAGTAGATTATCATGGTCCCTGTGCAGGGATGATACACACATTCATGAAGGATTCCATATTTTTTCATCTCGCCCCAGTTAAAATGGCTTCTACGCAAAAGTCAAGCAATAACAAATGCTGGTGAGAATGTGGAGAAAAGGGGAACCCTCGAACACTGTTGGTGGGAATGTAAATTAGTACAACCACTACGGAAAACAGTTTGGAGATTCCTCAAAAAACTAAAAACAGAGCTACCATATGATCCAGCAATCCCACTGCTGGGTGTATTCCCAAAAGAAAGGAAAATAGTTCATTGAAGAGATATCTGCACTCCTATGTTTGTTGCAGCACTATTCACAATAGCTAGGATTCAGAGTGTCAATTAACGGATGAATGTACAAAGAAAATGTGGTACATATACACAATGGAGTACTATTCAGTCATAAAAAAGACTGAGATCCAGTCATTTGCAACAACATGGATGGAACTGGAGGTCATTATGTTAAGTGAAATAAGCCAGGCATGGAAAGGCAAACATCGCATGTTCTCATTTATTTGTGGGATCTAAAAATCAAAACAACTGAACTCATGAATGTAAAGGATGGTTACCAGAGGCTAAATGGTAGTCGGGGGCTGATGGGGAGGTGGTGATGGTTAATGCATACAAAAAAATAGAAAGAATGAATAAGGGCTGGGCATGGAGGCTCATACCTGTAATCCTCATCTCTACTAAAAATACAAAAATTAGCTGGGCGTGGTGCCAGGTGCCTGTAGTCCCAGCTACTTGCAGGCTGAGGCAGGAGAATTGCTTGAACCCAGGAGGTGGAGGCTGCAGTGAGCCGAGATCATGCACTGCACTCCAGCCTGGGTGACAGAGCCACTATTTTGATAGCACAACAGGGTGACTATAGTCAATAATAACTTAATTGTACATTTTAATTAAAGAGTGTAATTGAATTGCTTGTAACTCAAAGGAGGAATGCTTGAGGGGATGGATACCCCATTCTCCATGACATGCTTATTTTACATTGCATGCCTGTATCAAAACATCTCATGTACCCCATAAATATATACCTACTCTGTACCCACAACAATTAAAAATTAAAAAAAATTTCTTTTAAGTTCACAAACCAATACAGCATTATGTACTATAATAACAACAACCAACATAAACCAGCAAAGTTTATTTCAGGAATAAAAGGATGGCTTAACATTAGAAAATCTGTTAATATAATTAACAGGAATAGATCAAAAAGGGAAATTATATATAGAAAAATTATTTGAAAAAACTAAGGGCTGGGTGTATATCCATTTGTGATCTATGCTATGGTTTGACTATCTCTGCCAAAACTCATGTTGGAACCTTAATTCTCAGTGTATCAATATTGGGAGGTGGTACCTTTAAGAGGTTTATTAGGTTATTACTGTAGATTAATATCTTTCTCTAGAGACTCAATTAGTTCTTGGGAATGGATTCATTTCCCCAAGCAGGCTTTGTTTTTGTTTTTGTTTCTGAGACAGGTCTCATTGTGTCACCCAGGCTGGAGTACAATCATAGCTCACTGCAGCCTCAAATTTCCGGGCTCAAGTGATCTTCCTGTCTTAGCCTGTAGAGTAACTGGGACTACAGATGCACACCACCACACCTGACTAGTTTTTTTTTTAATTTTGTGTAGAGATGAGGTTTTGCCATGTTACCTAGGCTGGTCTCAAACTCCTGAACTCAAGCAATCCACCTGCCTCAGCTTCCCAAAGTGCTCCCAAAGGGATTACAGGTGTAAGCCACTACGCCCGGCCTAGCAGGTAGTTATAAAGCAAGGTTGCCTCTCATGTTTGGTCTCTCAGCACATACCCACTTCCTCTTCCGCTTTCCCACCATGCTATGACACAGCACAAGGCCCTCACCAGAAGCCACCCAGATACTGGTGCCATGCCTCTTAGACTTCCCAGCTTCCGGAACCATGAGTCAAGTAAACCTCTTTTCTTTACAAATTACCCATTCTCAGGGATTCTATTATAACAACACGAAATGGACTAAGACTATATATATAAATATATATTTTTTTAATTCTTAGCAAACTAAGACTTGAAAAAAACTTTATAACTTTAAAAGGGTGTATCTATAAAAACTTAAAGCAAACATCATACTTCATGGGCAAAATACTCCTCAAAGCATTCTCTTCAAAGTTAGGATCAAGAGCTGCCTATTCTTACCTCCTCTATTGACCATTATTCTGGAGGTCATAGCCAGTGTGTAAAGACCAGAAAGAAAATCAAAGCTGAAAAGTCTTGAAAGGAAAAAATGAAACTGTCATTGTCTACAGTTTATAGCATTGTCCATAAAGAAAATCCAAGAGGAGGCCAGCATGCCCATAGTCCAGCTACTCAGGAGGCTAAGGTGGGAGGCTTGCTTAGGCTCAGGAGTCCAAACTTGCAGTGAACTATAATCATGCCACTGCACTCCAGCCTGGGAGATAGAGTGAGACCCTGTTTCTTAAAAAAAAAAAAAAAAATCCAAGAACAGCGCTTTAGAAAAGTGAGAAAAGTCTGGGTGCTGTTGCTTACGCCTGTAATCCCAGCACTTTGGGAGGCTGAGGTGGGCAGTTCCCTTGAGGCCAAAAGTCTGAAACCAACCTGGGCAACATGGCAAAACCCCATCTTTACCAAAAATACAAAAATTAGCCAGGTGTAGTGGCATGCACCTGTAGTCCCAGCTACTCAGGAGGCTGAGGCAAGAGAATCGCTTGAACCTGGGAGGCAGAGGTTGCAGTGAGCCGAGATTGTGCCATTGCAGACAGAATGAGACTCTGTCTCCAAAAAAAAAAAAAAAAAAGTGAGAAAAGGGCTGGATAAACTATTCGTGTGCAAAAATCAACTGTGCTCCTATAATAAGTACGAATGATTTTAAAATGTAATTTTTTAAAAATTTCATTTACTATAGCCAAAAACCTGTAAGATACCTAAAAATGAATTCAACAAAAGTTATGCAAAATATTTCCAGAGAAAAAAATGTATAACTTTATTAAGACTTTTAAAAAACTAAAAAAAAAAAAAGAGAGAAATTATGTTCATGAATGGGAAGTCCCAGGTTCATAAAGATGGCAAACCTCTCTCCAAACAGTGGATCAATATAATGCAAATGCAAACAAAATTTCAACTCTGTGTGTGTGTGCACACAATCTGACAAACTGCTCTTACAATTTATATGGAGGAGCTCAGGCCCTAAATAGACAAGTCAATTTTGGAGAACAAAGTGGGATGACTTACCCTATGAGATAGCAGAACATTTTATAAATTATAGTAATTAGCACAGTGTGCTATTGGCATAGGAATAGAAAAATAAACCAATGGCACAGAACTGAGCCCAGAAACAGGTCTTAGTCTTTGAGGAAACCTCGTCTATGGCAGAGATGGTATTACAATTGAGGCTGGGAAGGGGTGATAGTCTAGTCAATAATAATGTTGGAAATATTGGTTCCTCAAATGAGGAATAGAGGGAAAAAATAGATTCTTACATCACACAATAGACAGAAAGCAATTTCAGGTGAATTAAAGACCCAAATGTAAAATGCAAAGTTTAAAACTTCTAGAAGAAATCATAGAAAAAATATCAGAGAAAGATTTTTTTTTTTTTTTTAACAGAGTCTAACTCTGTCACCCAGGCTGGAGTGCAGTGATGCAATATCGGCTCACTGCAACTTCCGCCTCCTGGGCTCAAGCAATTCTCTTGCCTCAGCCTCCTAAGTAGGTGGGATTACAGGCGCACGCCACCACGCCCAGCTAATTTTTGTATTTTTTGTAGAGGTGGGATTTCACAATGTTGGCCAGGCTGGTCTCGAACTCTTGACCTCAAATGATTTACCTGCCTTGGCCTCCCAAAATGCTGGAATCACAGGTGTGAGCCACCGCACCCAGCCAGAAAAAAGATTTTTTTGTTTTTGTTTTTTTTTGAGACGGAGTCTCGCTCTGTCACCCAGGCTGGAGTGCAGTGGTGCTATCTCGGCTCACTGCAATCTCCGCCTCCCGGGTTCACACCATTCTCTCTCTTCAGCCTCCCGAGTAGCTGGGACTACAAGAGCCTGCCACCATGCCTAGCTGATTTTTTGTATTTTTACTAGAGACAGGATTTCACCATGTTAGCCAGGATGGTCTCGATCTCCTGACCTCGTGATCCGCCTGCCTCGGCCTCCCAAAGTGCTGGGATTACAGGCCCGGCCCAGAAAAAGATTTTTTAAGTAATCATAAAGCAGAAAGGAAAAGATTGTTAAATCTGATGACAATGTCCTTAACAGAGTGAAAAGATGAAGCATGTTGTTTCTTATAAAGTTAAATATGCACCATCCCTATGATCCAGCAGTTCCACTTTGAGGTATTTACCCAAGAGAAATGAAAACACATGTCCACAGAAAGACAGGTACAAGGATGTTTATAGCCATGTTCCTCACAGTGGCCAAAACCTGAAACAATCTACATGTCCAGCAACAGAAGAATGGATAAACATATTGTGGTATATTTATACAATGGAAATCTTCTTAACAATAAAAATGAAATCTACATAACAACATAGATGAATCTTAAAAACATTATGCTGAGCACAAGAAGCCAGACAGACTTACTGTATTCTTTCTATTACATTAAGTTCTAAATCAGGCAAAATTACTACATATTAATAGTAAAAGAAGTCAAACCAGTAGTTGTCAGGGAAAGGGCACGAAAGGCCTTGCTAGGATGGTGGAAATGTTCTATAACATGACAGAGGAGTGGGTTCATAGCTGCATGTATTTGTCAAAAGCCATCAAACTAGGCAGGGCGCAGTGGCTCATGACTGTAATCCCAGCACTTTGGGAGGCCGAGGTGGGTGGATCACCTGAGGTCAGGAGTTCGAGACCAGCCTGACCAACATAGTGAAACCCCCATCTCTACTAAAAATACAAAATTAGCTGGGCGTGGTGGCGCATGCCTGCAATCCCAGCTACTTGGGAGGCTGAGGCGGAGAATCGCTTGAACCTGGGAGGCAGAGGTTGCAATGAGTGAAGATCGTGCCCTTGCACTGCAGCCTGGGCAATAAGAATGGAACTCTGTCTCAAAACAAAACGAAACAAAAACACAAAAACAAAAACAAAAAGCCATCAAACTGTAGCAATTAAGATTTGTGTAATTAACTGTATTTGAAAAATCAGCCGGGCATGGTGGCTCACGCCTGTAATCCCAGCACTTTGGGAGGCCGAGGTGGGCAGATCACGAGGTCAGGAGATTGAGACCATCCTGGCTAACACGATGAAACCCCGTCTCTACTAAAAATAGAAAAAATTAGCCGGGTGTGATGGCGGGCACCTGTAGTCCCAGTTACTCAGGAGGCTGAGGCAGGAGAATGGCGTGAACCCGGGAGGCAGAGCTTGTAGTGAGCCGAGATCGCGACACTGCACTCCAGCCTGGGCGACAGAGCAAGACTCTGTCTCAAAAAAAAGAAAAAAATATCTCTCAAATCCACTTCCCCAACCCACTGCAAAAAGACAAACTATAGTCTGGGAAAAGGCATTCGCCTGATAAGAGATTCATGTGCAAAATCCACAAAGAACTGCCATAAATCAATTCTGAGGAAAAAAATATCAAATAGAATAGTCACAAGAATACAAACAGGCAATTTACAGAAGAGAAAACATTTGGAAAGATGCTTAACCTCACCACTAATCAGGAAAATAACACAATAGCACTTCATACCCATTGGATTCACAAAGTTGTTGAAATCTAAGGATACTAAACACTGGTGAGACTGTGGAGAAACTGGAATTCAGACAGTGTACTCTGCTTGTGGGAATGTGGACAGGCAGTGCCTAGGAAAAGTGAAGAGGTCCCTCGCTTGTGATCCAGCCATTCCTGGCAGGTGTGTCTTTAGCTGGGGGGCATTTGTATCTCTCATATGTGCACAAGGGGAACCCTCACTGCACCACTGTTTGTAACCAAAAAAAAAAAAAAAAAATGGAGGATGGGCAGAAATACAAAAAAGAAAACACAGAAGCCACGTGTGGTGGCTCACCCCTGTAATCCCAGCACTCTGGGAGGCCAAGGAGGGCAGATCACAAGGTCAGGAGTTCAAGACCAGCCTGGCCAACATGATGAAACCCCGTTTCTACTAAAAATACAAAAATTAGCCAGGCATAGTGGTGCATGCCTGTAATTCCTGCTACTCGGGAGGCTGAGGCAGGAGAATTGCCTAAATCTGGGAGGCGGAGGTTGCAGTGAGCCAAGATCACGCCATTGCACTCTAGCCCTGGGTGACAGGGGAAGACTCCATCTTGGCGGAAAAAAAAAAAAATTAGCCAGGCATGGTGGCAGATCCCTGTAATCTCAGCTACTTGGAGGCTGAGGCAGGAAAATCGCTTGAATCCCGGAGGCGGAGGTTGCAGTAAGCGAAGATAATACCACTGCACTCCAGCCTGGGCGACAGAGACTCCGTCTAAAAACACACACACACACACACACACACATATGGGTCTAGGGGAAAGGCAAACTAAATGTCTATCATGTCTATCAACAGGGGAATGGATACAGTATGGTATGTCCACGTAACAGAATAAAAATCATCAGGGAAATGAATTACAGGGTACACACAATGTCATAACAAAATGTGTTAAAAAACAGGTTACAGTAGACTACAAATTGTATGTTTCCATTTATATAAAGTTTGAAAACACAGCAAAACTAAACAATCTATTGTTTAGGGATACAAATATATTTGGTATAAGTATAAAGAAAGCATGAAAATCACACACACAATTTGGGATAATGGTTACTGAGGAAAGGGGAGGGGCTGAGGAGGGCCTCAGAGGGGACTTTCAAACGAATGGTTATATTCTTTTTCCTAAATGGAGTGGTGGGTACGCAGGTATTTGCTGTTGTCGTTAATCCTTAGACACTGCACACATTTTATAAATATATCTAAACATTTATACACGTAATGACAGCAAGTTCTATAGATGTGTATTGAAACTTAGAAGCTTTCAATCATCTTTATATCTTCAAAAAAACATCTGAAGCAAATATGGCAAGTGGTAAGATTGGACAAAGTTGGGTCATGGATAACAGGTGTTCATTAGTCTTTTAAAATATATAATAGGGGCTGGGCACGGTGGCTCACACCTGTAATCCCAGCACTTTGGGAGACTAAGGCAGGTGGATCACCTGAGGTCAGGAGTTAGAGAGCAGCCTGGCTAACATGGTGAAACCCCATCCCTACTAAAAATACAAAATTAGCTGGGCATGGTGGTACATGCCTGTAATCCCAGCTACTTGGGAGGCTGAGACAGAAGAATTACTTGAACCCGGGAAGTGGAGGTTGCATGAGCCAAGATTGCGCCATTGCACTCCAGCCTGGGCGACAAGAGTGAAACTCCATCTCAAAATAAATAAATAAATAAATAAATAAAAATAGAATTTTTAATAGTAAATGTTCTTTAAAAAGAAAAACAATATCCCTATTTGAAGATAAAGATTTATCTGTTCTCGTTAGTTTCCAGCCTGGTGGGGGAGATTAAGACAATAATCAAATAATGGTTTTTATGAAATAAAACTACTAACTAAAGCAGTGTTCTAAAGACAATGGAATCACTCCATGGGAGCATAAAATAAAGGAATTTGATCCGGGCTGGAGTGTCAGGTCGGTAGGTAGAGTGGGAATCGGGGCCAGTGAGGGAAGCACACAGATGGTTCAGCAGTGGGCAGTGAGGAAGACGCCAGGGGAGGAGAGGAAGGGCTGCTCCCTGAAGCCTTCTGCCAAAGGGGATGACCTAGCAGAATTCCAAATTATAGGGCTCAGACAAAGAAGAAGGCAATAAGAGTGTTCTGTGCAGTGAGAGCATCATGTGCTAAGGCAAAGAGATGTGAGAGAAGAAAGTCAATCTGGAGGCATCTGAGTAGTCCAGGAGGCTGGAAAATGGGGTTGGGGTGGAGTGTGAATAAGGGGCAGAATACGAGGCCAAGAGCCAGCCAGGACTGGTCATTAGGGCCTGTATTCCATGCAAGGTAGGGACTTAAGCAGGGGTGTGACATCATCTGATGACAGAGAGTGGATTGAGAGGGAGAGCCCGAAGGCAGGGCATCCAGCTGGTGGCTGTGTAGTGATGTAAGGGAGAAAAGATGGAGGCTGAAGTGGAGGCATAAATGAGAAGGTTATGGAGCCTAGGGCTGTTCCTGAACCAGGAGAGGGTGGCGTGTCAGAAGCCAGGGAGGACCGAGCTCAACCATGTCAAAAGCTGCAGAGAGACTGCTGAAACTTGGGACTTAAAGGATCACCTTGATGTGTCAACTAGGAGATGAGAACAGTTGCTGTGGAATGAGGTGGGGTGGATGCAGAAGTCAGCCTGCAGTGCTGTGGGTGTTTCATGTCAAAGGCTGAGAGACAGGGTTGGAGAAGGCAGCCTCAGGCCAAGGATGGGGGCTCAGAGCTCTCTTCCAGAGTCTTCCACTCCCTGCCCCAGTCCCAACCTGAGCTCACTCCAAGCAATCAACATGAAAACAAAGGGAGAGTGTCTAGCAGAGGCCTTCCCATCTGCAGAGCAAGGAAGTCTCGGTCCCAAGGTCAATGCTGAAGAGGAACTTGCTTGGTGGTGCAGGTCATGGAGCCAGCAAGATTCTTGATAAACAGGAGAGGATGGTGGCACCGGAGGTGGATGTAGGGGGTTTCGTGAAGTGATTTGGCACTAGGGTCAAGAGGAGGCCAAGGATAAACAATGTTGTGGAAATGAAATGGTGATAATTTACAAGGGCAAATTGTTTTACATTCCAGCGGAGTTGGCTCCCAAGCCGAACTCTTCCTGCAGAAGTTGAGGTGGTGTGTGAGTCATTGTTATAAATAGACCGGCCAACTGAATGTCATCGGAAAGGACACAGTCCCATGAGTATAACCTTGGAGGGCGCAAATGGCACTGCATGGATTGAGAGCTTGTTCCAAGAAGAGGGCAGAGGGAGAGCTTGGGGCACGGGGGGCTGTCCAGGAGAGGAAGCAGATGCTGAAGAAGGGGGTTCCAGCTCAAGCAGCAGGCTGATGCAGAGGACTGGCCAGGAGCAAGCTTCCTGCATGGCTCAGTGGAGCCCAGCTCTCAGCTGCCTAGCTGCTAGCTCAGGCTGGGTCGTCTCACTTTCTCCATCTACTTGAGCTGCCGTAACAGAATACCACAGACCTAGGGGGCTTACACAGCAGGAATCGATTTCTCACAGTTCTGGAGGCAGGCAGTCCAAGATGAAGGTGCCGGCAGCGCTAGTTTCTGGCAAGGGCTCTTCTTTGGCTAGCAGGTGGCCACCTTCTCACTGTGTCCTCACATGGCCTCATCTCTGCGTGTGGAGAGAGAGCTCTCTGGTGTCTCTTCCTCTTCTTAGAAGGACACCAGTCCTATGGGACTAGGGCCCCAGCCATATGAATTCATTTAACCTTTATTACCTCCTAAAAGCTGCTGTCTCCAAATGTCGTCCCATGGGGAGTTAAGGCTTCAGCAGATGAACTTGGGTGGGGGACACAATTCAATCTATAATACTTGCCTTCTAGAAATTCTTCCAAAGAATTCCAACTCTTCTAGAATCCCAAGACACTCCATTAACCAAAGCACAAGAAAATACAATTCCCAACCGGCACCAGCTCATTCATTCATTCATTCATTCATTCATCACCATGGATGTGCGGGTCCTGATGAACACTAGGGACAGAGAAGGGCCTTGCCTTCACATTCATAATGACTTCAAAACAGGGGCCCTGAGCTCTTAGGAAACTTCTGGAAGAGGAGAACGTCATAGACATCAAGCACTTTCCCCTGAGGAAATCTGAGTCCAGCCACACCTGGCGTGAAAGAGGTCGCCCAGAGCCTTTCCTGCCCCCGCAGTCAGGCTGACTGCCCCCATCTCAGCTCCCACGAGCCCCTGTACTTCATCCTTTTTTTTTTTGAGATGGAGTCTTGCTGTGTTGCCCAGGCTGGAGTGTAGTGGCACGATCTCGGCTCACTGCAACCTCCGCCTCCCAGGTTCAAGCAATTCTCCTGCCTCAGCCTCCTGAGTAGCTGGGACTACAGGCGCATGCCACCACACCCATCTAATTTTTGTATTTTTAGTAGAGACGGGGTTTCACCATATTGGTCAGGCTGGTCTTGAACTCCTGACCTCGTGATCTGCCCACCTCGGCCTCCCAAAGTGCTGGGATTACAGGCATGAGTCACTGTGCCCAGCCGATCTTATAGGTCATATAAAGGACTTAACTACCCAGAACTAAGAGAAGGCCCAAAGCCAAGAACAAAAGGCACTAAGAACCCGGCACCTCTGTGCCCCAAAGATGAGGCTGGGCCTGCCCAGCCACACCCCCGAAAGGGACCACGAAGCTATGGAATCTGCCCCAAATGTGTCAAAGGACAGGAAAGGGAGGACTCTCATCGCATCATGGAAAGCAATGTGAAAAAATAAAACCATTTCCTGTTTAGACTTTCATGAATGGACATTCCGCGATAAACCACAAATCATGGGATTATTGTATCTGCTCCCACAATGAGGCCTGTGAACTCTTTGAGGGGTAGAGATGTCATCCCCTCTGTCCCTGGCGCCTGCAGCAGCGTCAGTCACAGTCATGCTTGGTGTCAATGCCCAGGGGCCTGTGTTCTCAGTATAGGGGGCACCTTGGCTTTGACCTTGTATTTCTTTTCTGCGGGACAAGCCAGCCCCTCAGAACCAGAAGCAACCACATCTCACACCAGGCACCAAACACAGGGTCCTCCCCCATCTTGGGGCTCTGGTCTCTGAGTGCAACTTGCTTTTGGGGAGACTCCACAGCCTGTCTGGGAGCTTCCAACTCCACCTCGGGGTTGCCCCTCTTTCCTTTTGCGGTGTGGGGGTCCAGGGTGTGCAGTGCTTGGCCAGGGAGGGAGCTCCCTTTAAAGATCACTAGCCTGAGGTTATCAAGAATGAGCCAGCAGGGAAGCACAGCCCTCCCGGCCGCCCAGACAAAGCTCAAACCCAAGCTAGTCTGTTTTGGTGGAGCGAAGAAGAAGCAAGAGGCAGTTCCTAAGAGTGGGCAGCCCTGGCCTGGACAGGATGACTAAGAGGCTGGAGCTCGTGCAGGCTGTTTGCTGACCCACTGACTTGCGGGGATTTTCCAGCCAATGTCCTTCTAACACTGCCCCGAAGCGAGTGGGGGTGAAGGGAATGAGCTCCTGAGCCACCAGCCCCTCAGGTACCCCAGACAGCAGGCAGTAGGCAGCACCACCCAGGTCTCATTCCACAGTTGGGGAAACCAGTGAGAGGTGAGGCCAGCTGGTATTCCTTGGTGTAGTGGGGACTTGGGGAGCTTTTCCTATTTTACAAGAGGTTTGTAAAATGCACCAAATCAGGAACTTTCCTGTCTTACAACCGGATTGTAAAATGCACCAATCAGTGCTCTGTAAAACACACCAAACAGCGCTCTGTAAAATGTACCAATTGCCAGGATTCTAAAAGTAGCCAATCACGGGGTGGATTGAAAAAAGGGCACTCTGATAGGACAGAAACGGAACATGGGAGGGGTACAATAAGGGAATAAAAGCTGACCACTCCCTCCTCCCCTGCAAACTAGCAGGGGTAACCTGCTCGGGTCGTCTTCGGCTCTGTGGAAGCTTTGTCCTTTCGCTCTTTACAATAAACCTTGCTACCCCTCACTCTTTGGGTCCATGCCATCTTTAAGAGCTGTGACACTCGCTGCAAAGGTCCGTGGCTACATTCTCTAAATCAGCGAGACCACGAACCCACTGGCAGGAACCAACTCCAGATACACCAGGACCAGAGAGGAGAAGGACCCTCCCAATATGACACAGGGAGTCAACGCAGCACGAAGGAGTCAGTGCTAAGTGCAGCAGGCATGGGAGGCAGTGAAGGTTTCAGGGAGGCGGTGATGAGCCCAATGAGGGGGTGGCTCAAACTGGCCACATAGAGGGAGGATATGGGAAGAACTCAGTGGGCAGCCCAGAGGAAGGAGAGGCAGAAACAGATCTGCACTGAACTCCCGGATAGAGATCTTGGGTCGTATCAACAAAATTGACACGGAAGGGTGGGGCCTGCTGAGGGGAGGGGAGGGAGGGGCCGAAGATGACCTCTTATGGGGGGGGTGCCTGAGTGGCTGGCAGCATCATTGGCAGAAATAGAGAAGTTGGGCGTGGGTGGGGGGGGCGGGCTCAAATTCAGGCAGGTCATTTTGAGGGACGGGAAGGACAAGCCCATTTCCCATGGAAATAAGAACAGTAGGGGGGTAAGGTCCAGTTTTGTGAATGGGGCTTTGAAGTGAGCTAGACGTGAGCTCTAGTCTCCCAGGCTCTGCCATCCACTTACTGTGTGACCCAGTCAAACCATTAACCTCTCTGAGCCCAGGTTCCTCACCTGTAAACTGTAGGGAATCATTGCACTCCCCCATAGGGTTGTCATAACGACCAAGATAGGGTGTTACAAGGACTAATAAATATTTGCTGTTGCTTTCATTATTCTTTTCCAAATGCTTAATATATATCAACTCAATTAATCCTCCCAGAAGCCTGTAAAGCAGGCACTGTTTTTTTTTTTCCCAATTTGCAGATGAAAAAAACTGAAGATTCAGAGAGGTTAAAGAAATTGCTTAGGGTCACACAGCAAGGATGGGAGTCTGTTCAGGAATTTGAACTCAGATTCTTTTTTTTTTTTTTTTTTTTTGAGATGGAGTCTTGCTCTGTCACCCAGGCTGGAGTGTGGCATGATCTCGGCTCACTGCAACCTCCACCTCCCAGGTTGAAGCGATTCTTCAGCCTCAGCCTCCTGAGTAACTGGGATTACAGGTGCCTGCCACCATGCCCTGCTAATTGTTGTATTTTTAGTAGAGGCAGGGTTTCACCATGTTGGCCAGGCTAGTCTCAAACTCCTGACTTCAGGTGATCCACGTGCCTTGGCCTCCCAAAGTGCTGGGATTACAGATAAGCCACCGTCCCTGGCCTGAACTCAGCTCCTTCTAAAGCACAAACTTCCCAGCATGAGGTTGTCCCTCCACTGCCTTCATGGAGCTACAGGGCTGCCTCCCACTTCCAGGAAGAGGGGGAGTCAAGAGGCTCAGAGAGTAGGAGATAGGTTTGAACCCATAGAACAAGAACCCAGAACCGCCTGGACATGATTTAGACAATATTATTTGTCTTCAATGCACCTGATCACATTTTCTTTTTTTTTTTTCCCTCCCCACTTTTTTTTTCTCCAGTCAATAAGACTACTCTCAAATCCAGTGAGTCACCGGAAAATGTAAATTAAAAAAAAAAAGTAAGAGGAACATTGCTCCTACGTAAGCTCTTGCCATCTGTGAATCATTCCGAGACAGGTATAATGGACATAATTACAGCTCATCCACAAGCTAGACCCCAAATCAGTCCTTAAGACTGAGTTCAGAATCCAGTGGTTTCCCCAGCAGGACCTGGGGCAGTGAAAGCTAGCCTAGAGGAGAACACAAACCTGAAATGTGCTTAGAGGCCTTGGTGATCTCACAGGGGGCCCAGGCGGGGTGGAAACCTGGATATGTATGCCCTGATTCCAGAGACCCAGCAATTCCAGAACTTTCCTCCCACTCATGTTCTCCCCATCCCACACACTCAAGGCACCTCCTCCTGTTTGAATTCATTCTCCTTTTACCAGATCTTTATTCTTCTGGTCACTGCAAAACCATTCAACCTAGCCAAAAAGTGGGAGGGATAGTCAATTTATTATACTACAGGCTGAGTGCGGTGGCTCATGCCTGTAATCCTAGCACTTTGGGAGGCCAAGGCAGGCAGATCATGAGGTCAGGAGATGGAGACCATCCTGGCCAACATGGTGGAACCCCATCTCTACTAAAATACAAAAAAGTAGCCAGGCGTGATGGTGTGCACCTGTAGTCCCAGCTACTCGGGAGGCTGAGGCAGGGGAAATCACCAACCCAGGAGGCAGAGGTTGCAGTGAGCCAAGATCATGCCACTGCACTCCAGCCTGGTGACAGAGCAAGACTCTGTCTCAAAAAAAAAAAAAAAGCTGGATGTGGTGGCACGCACCTGTAATCCCAGCTACTTGGGAGGCTGAGGCAGGAGAATTGCTTAAACCTGGGAGGCAGAGGTTGCAGTTAGCTGAGATAGTGCCACTGGACTCTAGCCTGGGTGACAAAGCGAGACTCTATCTAAATATATAAATAATATATATATAATATATATATTATATAATATATATTATATATATAGGATAGTCCCTTCTGTGTACAGACTGCCTGGACCTTTGCTAATCACTCTTTGCTTCTCTTTCCTCATCTGCAAAATAGGAAAACAATAGCCCCTTCTTCATGGGGGTTTTGTGGCAATTAAATGAGGTAATGTATGTAACACCCTTAAGAACAATGCTTGTGTTCAGTCAGTACCTAGCAATTATTATCATCATCATCTTCTTCATCTCGGGAGGTGGGAACATCGAAAGCTCTCATGTAAGATGGCAACTACGATGACCCCAGGGCCCTCCCATTCTGATGGCCAGTATTAGGAATCACAGGAGCACCAGAGTGAGAATGCTGGAGCTAGAAGATCATCCAGCCTCAGCAGGGAAACTGGACCCAAAGAAGAGCAGAGACCAGCCCCGAGCCACCCACTTGGTTAGTGTCAGAGGCAGGACAGGAACCCTGGCCTTCTGTGTGCAGGCCATTTTTCTCACTCTAGCACATGTGATTCCTCCAGTCCCAGAGGTCAAGGTCAGAAGAGCAACTTAATACATCTCTGTAATCAGGGGAGATGAGCTCCTTGGACATTGGAAACATTGTGCTAATCCACTCCAAAATATTCTAGCTCAAGGCCAAGTGCAGGGGGCTTATGTCAGTGGAAGCCCCACTCCTTCAATGTCAGTACAAGCACCAAAAGGAAAAGAAAATACCCCAAGATATTCTAAGTGGCTCAGCCTTGGGAGAGACCTTACCCTGGAATTTCCCTGAAATGTCATCAGGATGCAGGGTTTGAAGCATGTTCCTTTCCAACCGGCCCTCCCAGTCCCCTCTACATGGCTGTACCCTTAGACCCATCAGCTCACTGCCTCCTCACTGTCCTGGGGACTCCTGCACCTGGGGACTCACATTTCTTATGGTTTTTCCTTTCCCCCAGCAGTGATTCAGCAAATGCCTGTTGCACTCTAGGCTACAGAGATGAAGGCATGGTCTCTACCCTTCCAGAGCTCACAGGCTGGCCAGGAGACAGACAAATGGATAACCAGAATATAGTAGGAGAAAGACCTTTCTGGGCTGGGGGTAGCATAGTAGAGAAGCTCAGAGAAGCTTTCACAAGGGTGGAGAGAGTCCCACTAGGCTGTGGAGGGTGAGTTGAATTCACTGTGCACACAGAGAGGGATAAGCCAAAGTGAGGAGTCACATGGGGAGACTGATGGCTGCTGTGTTCTCCCAACCAAACCAGGTGCATCCTTCAAGGACCTGACCAAGGCTGACTCCTACAGGAAGCCTTCTTTGATACAAAGGTTGCAATCTCACTTCTCTGAACCTCTGTCCTAATTGGTCTATGACCATTCCATGCCCTTCCCTCCCCCACTGCTGGGGCCCCTTGGCCAAACTTGCCAATCTACAGTACCCTGTGCTAGAGCCAATATTGACCTGAGGCAGGAATTAAAGGCAGGTCTCAGGCCGGGGACTGTGGCTCATGCCTGTGATTCCAGAACTTTGGGAGGCCGAGGCGGGCAGATCACTTGAGGCCAAGAGTTTGAGACCAGTCCGGCCAACATGGTGAAACCCCATCTCTACTAAGAATACAAAAATTAGCCATGCATGATGGTGCCTATAATCCCAGCTACTCGGGAGGCTGAGGTGGGAGGATCGCTTGAACCCAGGAGGCAGAGGTTGCAGTGAGCTGAGATCATGCCACTGCACTCCAGGCTGGATGACAGAGCAAGATTCTGTGTCATAAATAAATAAATAAGGCAGAGCTCAACCCCAGACTGTCCCCAACTGCAACCATTGTCATTTCCCCAAGCTGCCTTTGGCTGCTGCCTTCTGCCAGTGATCTGGGGCAGCAAGAGGTTTAAAGAGAAAGCTTGCCATCCTAAGTCCCAGGAAGTCAGCTCCTGGGACTCAGGGGAGCCCTTGGTTCTGCATCTATGGGAAAGCATCAGAAGCAGCTGCCCTCACCTGCCCCTGCTACCTTGGAACACAGTGCCCCACCCCCATCAGTCAGGAATATATCCACTTGGCTGCAAGTAGCAAAAAGCTTAGTTAACACAGGCTTCAGCACATAAGGGTCTGTTTTGCTCAGGTCAGATGTCCTAAGATAGACAGTTTCAGCAGATGCAGCTGTTCAAATTTGTCACCAAGGACCCAGACTCAGTCTGTGTTCCTAACCATCACCCTTAGAATTTGAATTTCATTCTCACAGTCGCAAGATAGCTGCATTATATCCACACTGGGGTGGGCCAGCCACGTCCATCCCTTTAAAAAAGCCATCCTGGAATTCCACCTTGTGACTTTTGGTTGCATCTCATTGGCCAGAACCAGGTCCATGTCTACCCCTGGCTGCAAGGGGGTCCGGGAAAGTCAGTATTTTTACTTTTCTGCTTTTATGGTAAAGCAGTGGTGCTTTAACTTGAGAACAACAAATCGGCTGGGGAATCTTGTTAAAATACAGATTGGGGACCCAAATTCGACATTTCTAACCAATGCTGCTGGTTCTTCTATCACACGTGGAGTAGCAAGTTACATAAGAAGCAAGAAAGGGCCTGCGCGGTGGCTCACGGGTATAATCCCAGAACTTTGGGAGGCCGAGGTGGGCGGATCCCCTGAGGTCAGGAGTTCGAGACCAGCCTGGCCAACGTGGTGAAACCCCCATCTCTACTAAAAATACAAAAATTAGCCAGGCGTGGTGGTGAGTGCCTGTAATCCCACCTACTTGGGAGGCTGAGGCAGGAGAATCACTTGAACCTGGGAGGCAGAGGTTGCAGTGAGCTGAGATCGTGCCACTGCACTCCAGCCTCGGTGACAAGAGTAAAACTCTGTCTCAAAAAAAAAAAAAAAAAGAAGCAGCAGCAGCAAGAAAGAAGGGGGCTGTGAGTGGCTTCTGGAGAGATCATCTATAGAGTCTAAAACACCCCTAGCACCTGCGGCTACTTCAGGAGCTGGGAGCTGTGCCCAGCATCCCACACTTGGGACAAAATTCACCCAGGATAACATCTACCCAGCACCTCCACAGCAGCTGCAGCCTATAACAAGATCAAGTAAGGTTGGTCCCTCACTCAGGGACTCCTACACACCAGCGACTCCTGGACACATAAAAGGACGGGGACTGGGGCCTTGGCTGGGATGGGCTGCACTTCCAGACCTTATGCTACCACTGGCAGGAGGTGGCCAAGCGTGTGCACTCTGGGGATGGCCTAGGGCTTGTTAGGGGCACCCTGGCCTGGCAAAGGGTAGAATAGAGCACACAAATCCGAGGCTCACCTCCAAAGCCTACTCTTTCTTACACAGCCAGGAATTCACAGAGCCAGGGCTCAAACCTCAGCCTTCTGATGCCAAAACCAGAGTCCTTCCCACTTTCCCAGGCTGCCTCTGGCTGTCCCCTGTAGCCAACAATCTGAGGCAGCCAGACTCCAGGGTGAAAGAGGAGCTTGGGCTCTGGAGCCTGGATGGGACCAATCGCAGGAAATTTCTGGAACTTCTTTGGTTCCAAGGCAGCTGCAGAAGAGCCACCTACCAGGAGAGGAGGTTGTGGAGCCCAGGGCAGCCCATGAGGAGCCAGGCCATTCCACAGCCTCTCAGGCAGGGCTCTGAGACAGAAGTTCAGGGCAAAAAGTGATTCAAATGAAATGCTGGTGAGAGGTGAAGCCAGCTGGGCTTCTGGGTCAGGTGGGGACTTGGAGAACTTTTCTGTCTAGCTAAAGGATTGTAAACACACCAATCAGCACTCTGTGTCTAGCTTAAGGTTTGTAAATGCACCAGTCAGCACTCTGTAAAAATGCACCAATCAGCACTCTGTGTCTAGCTTAAGGTTTGTAAATGCACCAATCAGCACTCTGTGTCTAGCTTAAGGTTTGTAAATGCACCAATCAGCACTCTGTAAAAACACACCAATCAGCACTCTGTATCTAGCTAAAGGTTTATAAATGCACCAATCGTCCTCTGTAAAAATGCACCAATCAGTGCTCTGTGTCAAGCTAAAGGTTTGTAAACGCACCAATCAGCACTCTGTAAAAACGGACCAATCAGCACTCTGTAAAATGGACCAATCGGTGCTCTGTAAAATGGACCAATCAGCAGGATGTGGGTGGGGCCAAATAAGGGGATAAAAGTTGGCCACAAGAACCAGCAGCGGCAACCTGCTCAGGTACCTTTCTATGCTGTGGAAGCTTTGTTCTTTTGTTCTTCACAATAAATCTTACTGCTGCTCACTCTTTGTGTCCATGCTAAGTTTATGAGCTGTAACACTCACAGGGAAGCTCTGTACCTTTGGTCCTGAAGTCAGCAAAACCATGAACCCACTGGGAGGAATGAACAATTCCAGACCTGCCACTTTTAAGAGCTGTGATGCTCGCTGCAAAGATCTACGGCTTCACTCCTGAAGTCAGCAAGACCATGAATCCACCAGAAGAAAGAAACTCTGGACATATCTGAACATCTGAAGGAACAAACTGGATACACCATCTTTAAGAACTGTAACACTCACCGCAAGGGTCTGTGGCTTCATTCTTGAAGTCAAGAAGGGTAAGAACCCCCTGGAAGGAACCAATTCTGGACACACTGGGGCCAAAGTGAAGCTGCCGTCAAGTTTTGGTTAACACCCATCTGGGGATGCAGAGCTGGTGAATGAGTTGGCCTGGGCTAAGGAGTTGTGGCCCTCGGGACAGCCAGGCCTCCAATTCCCCCTCAGCCTCCACCTACCTCAGATCCTGCCCTCACTTGTGCATGCCCTCTGCATGTGGAGCCCCCAGCATGTGCGTACTCTCTGCTATCTGGTACCAGCAGCATTGGGCTAGCTGTGCAATGGAAAATTAACATTACATTCTTACACACCTAAAGCCTATAGGCTGACACTCAGAGGTCAATCACAGTGTCTACCCCAGTGGGCAGTGGGTTTTATGCTGGGTGACCCTGTCCCCCTGCCCCCTACCCCACCTGCTGCTGCTAATCGGTGCAGACACTGGCCACCAAGGTATAGGCGGGCAAGCCTGGGATAAACTGAGCCAGTCAAATTTCCTCTTTGAAAATCTGAACCTTCCAGGAAGACTGAAATGTTTTCCAGAGGGACTGAAGTGAGAAACCAGAATGTAGAAAGCTGCTCGGCTACAAACTGTGAGGAAAAAGAAACTTTGAGATAAAAGGTGTGAAGTAAAAGCAGGGATTCTCAAATGATAGCAAATGTAAGACTCACCAGATGTATTTGTTGAAAATGCAGATTCTGGGGTCACACCCTTAGAAAATCTGATTCAGAAGAGTGGCCAGGGATGGGTCTAAACCCCCAGGCTGGGAGAGTCTGAGGCAGGGGACTCAGCGACCACACTTTCATAGCCGGCGGGATAGGTCAGGGAGCCAGGAACAGCAGGATGCTTGACAGCACCTGGTGGCCTGAGTCCCACGAAACCCCATGGTAAAGTCCTTGGAGCTCACAGGCCTCCTCCGTATGCATCCACAATACTCCTCCGCTACAGAAGACAGAAATGTATCTCTGGGCTTTGCAACCACAAGGGGCCTGCCAGGACCAGGCCACACTTCTCCATGCACAGTGGCTCCAGGGAACGGGATCTTAAGAGCCTCACTTCCCCTGCTGGAGTCTGTGCGTAGTGAAGCTGACAGCCTTGGGGGCCCGCACACCTGCCTCTGAATCCTAATCCACAGCTTGCTTCTGAGCCCTGCTGGCCACGTTAATTCACCCCCTGGAGACTTAGTTTCTCCTTAAAATACCAAGTCAAGAATGCCCACCTTATAAACTTATGAGGGCAGTTGAGCTTCGATATATACTGGCTTTCTCCCCCAGGCCTATCCAGAAGCTATTTTCAAAATCAGAGACACGGTTTGGGTAGGCGCAACCGCTCCAATCTGCCCCGCAGGGAAGTTGTAGTGTTAGATGCCGTTGTCATCCCCAGGAGCTACACAACACAGAGGCATCGATGCCTGAAGTGGTGCTTTTTCTGTAGAGGCTGGGGGTTTAAAGTGTGTGTGAGTATGTGTGTGTATGTGTTGTGTATGTGTTTTGTGTGTGTAAAATGACATGGGAAGAAGAGCACAGGAATATCAAGACAGGATCTATAACCAGTTGCTAAAACAGGCTTATTTTTTCAAAATGGAAATATCTTTATTATATTATCCTATTATTAAAGTAACACTTGTTCATTGTAAAAAAAAAAAAAACATCAAACATTACAGAAGTTTATGTGGTAGAAGGGTCAAGTTTCCACAAAATCTTAACCCAAAGAGAAAACCATGGACAGTGGTTTAAACTATGTCCCTCCAGGTGCTTTTTAAAATGCATATATATGAAAAAAATTTTAATAAAACGCATATATGACTTCTTAAAACATAAATGGAACCATATTATGGTGTCCATATTCTGCTT
This sequence comes from Homo sapiens, assembly GCF_000001405.40. Taxonomy (NCBI): domain Eukaryota; kingdom Metazoa; phylum Chordata; class Mammalia; order Primates; family Hominidae; genus Homo; species Homo sapiens. Next base: position 31,734,334 of record NC_000017.11, read on the forward strand.
TTTTCTATTTATTGATCATTCTTCACATTTTAAGTGCACTCCTTCTGCCTTGGGTCTCCAGCCCTTGTTCCTGGAGGGAAAACAGCCAGTTCCCAAGAAAGATGCTGTGAGCGACTCAACAGAGACTACCCTGTTGTCTCACATTATACAATAAATACGTTTTTCTTTTCTTTTTTTTCTTTTTTTTTTTTCTGAGACGGAGTCTCACTCTGTATCCCAGGCTGGAGTGCAGTGGCACAATCTCAGCTCACTGCAACCTCCACCTCCCAGGTTCACGCGATTCTCCTGCCTCAGCCTCCTGAGTAGCTTGGATTACAGGCATGTGTCATTACACCTGGCTAATTTTTTGTATTTTTAGTAGAGATGGGGGTTTCACCATGTTGGCCTGGCTGGTCTTGAACTCCTGACCTCAAGTGATCCACCCGCCTCGGCCTCCCAAGGTTCTGGGATTACAGGCTCAAGCCACCACGCCTGGCACAATGTATATATATTTCAATAAGTGCTAGAAAAGGAGAGCTCTTAGACACTGGAGTGACTGCCCTCATTTTAAAGTCTGCTTCTATTAAAGACATACTGTCTGCATAACAAATAATTTTACTAAGAGGGGGACTGCATTAAAGACGTAGTGCAAAATGCAAGTCAAACACAAAGGGATACCATGTTTTACTTGCCAAATTAGCCAAAATGTTTTATTTTAATTATATGCTTGGTGGTGGTAAGCAATATAGCTGGCTGTCTTGTATGCCTCTGCTGCACATATTAATTGGGATATACTTTCTAGAAAGTAATTTGGCAACATTGTCAAAAGCCTGACAAATGTTCGTACCGTCTGATCCATTGTTAAGAATCTACCCCAGTGAAATAGCTCAAAATTCTGGCAAAGAGCAAGGCACAAGATGTTCATTATAAATATTTAATAAAAAGGGGAAAATACCAACAGCCTAAATATGCAACATTAGGAGAAGGATCAAAGAATCATGGTCCATTCAAAGCATTACATATTACCTGCCCATTCCCTGACCAGTGATTTTTCAGTCTTTGTTCACATGGGGAAGATCAAAATCAAATGTTGCAATTGAGTAGTGTGTCTGTTACTTGTGGAATTACGTGGGCAGGTTAGGGAAGTCATGCCATTTACACAGGCAATTTGGCGGAGGCCTGGAGGTTTCCAAGTGGGAACTGGGGGCTGCAACCTCTGTGGTCTGTTCTGGGTTCAAGTAGAGATGGGTCTCCCTTAGCACCTTTGCCTTCTTCACACAAGGGCTAATCTGCCACCCATGTCTATCGACCTCAGAGAACTGGAATCTCCTCTGTCAATGGGCTCTTCACATGTGCAACCTCAGAGACTGAACAATCTGTCTCCTTTATTATTTGCACAATTATTTGTCCTAATTTAAAGTAGTGTTCTACAATTTAGTGCGTAGAAATTTTAGAAAGGACGGGGCAGGGGTTGGGAGGAATTAGAAAAGAAAATCACAAAGCTCCCAGGGCTACATCCCAGGTTAAAGATGAATAGGAAGTAAAGGAGCTCTTGCGAGGACTGCCACTGTGCTTCAGGAGCCCAGGAATCTCAACCTGAAAAATTGGCTGCAGATTACTTCAGATTCAGCTGGCTTCAGATTCAGGTGGCTCAGGCCTGTAATCCCAGCACATTGGGAGGCCAAGGCTGGAGAATCACTTGAGCCCAAGAGTTCAAGACCACCCTGGGTGACATAGTGAGACCCCTGTCTCTACAAAAAAAAATTTTTTTTTTAAATAGCCAGGCGTGGTGGTGCTCAGCTGTGGTCCCAGCTACTCGGGAGGCTGAGGTGGGAGCATCATTTGAGCCCAGGAGGTTGAGGCTGCAGTGGGCTATAATCATGCCACTATGCTCCAGCCTGGGCAAGAGAGCAAGGCCCTGAAAAAGAAGAAAAGAAGAGAAAGGAAAGAAGGGAGAGAGAGAGAGAGAAAGAGAGAAGTGAGGGAGGGAGGGAGGGAGGGGAGAAGTCTCAGATTCTAGAGCCCTGTGAGACGCCCGCAAAACAAATAAAAACCTTTTTTAGAGGAAGACAAGGCCGGGCATGATGGCTCATGCCTGTAATCCCAGCACTTTGGAAGGCCAGGGTGGGCAGATCACTTGAGGTCAGGAGTTCAAGACCAGCCTGGCCAACATCTCTACTAAAAATACAAAAATTAGCCAGGCATGATGGCGCATGCCTGTAATTCCCAGCTACTCAGGAGGCTGAGGCAGGAAAATCACTTTAACCCAGGAGACAGAGGTTGCAGTGAGCCGAGATCGCACCACTCCACTCCATCCTGGGCGACAGAGCAAGACTCCATCTCAAAAAAAAAAAAAAGTCAACTTTATCCCAGGCCTTGAATTATTCCCACACACACTTTTTTCAGACACAATATCCTGCACTCAAAGATAACCAAGTACACAAGGAAACAAGACATCATGAGTGAAAACCAGTATAAAAAATGGACAAAAGACAGACATGAACAGGGACTGTAGCTCCTGGCACTGTCAGACAGGACTCTAAAACAGCTATGCCTACTTCAAAGAGGGAAAAGTCAAAACTTGAAAAAATGGGCCATGTAGCAGAGTTGAAAAAGAACCTGGTAGAATAACCAAATTTACTAAGCTGAAAGTATAACAACCAGAGTATCTGAAGCTGCCGCCAGCACTGGAGCCTGCCCCTCCCTGGTCTATGCAGGGAAGCTGACACCCAGCCAAAGCTGAAATTTATTTCTGTCTCCCACTGAACTATGTGAGACATGCCACCACCACCCCCTTGGTGAGGTCAGAAGGTTCTGTTTGCTTCTCCGCCATTAGCTCTGGCTCCAGAAGTTGTTTTGATATCAAAAATGGCAGCAATTATGGCACCATAGGGCAATAACTGGTGGCTTGATCGACCCTGATGTTTGAGGAAGGGTCTGTCCTATCAGGAGGCTATTTGCTAAGGCAAAGAAGAGCGGGATGAAGTTTAGGAAGATCTACTTCAAAATGTTTTCAAATTTTCTTTAAATGGCTCAACTCCTCAGGAAATCTCACCTGTGAAGCAAGATGAAGTCTCCCTGAAGGCTTACTTGAGCCCGTTGTCAGTGAAACCCTGTCTCTTCTGTTGCCATAGTGACATTCCAGCATGTGGGTGAGAGTTTCACTGGGGATATTTAAGGACATAATATATATTTTAACAGACTATTGCTCCCATTCCTGAGAATAAATTTCCAAGAACTGAAGTCCCTTCCAGAAATTTTGGGGCTCTCTAGGAAAGACATCCCTTTTAACCTAATAATTTCACTTTAAGAAACTATCTTAACAAATAAAAAAACACATGATTAAGTTTATACTCAAACATCACAATGTCTTACTTATTATGGAAGCCACCTAGGTACCCAGCAATAGGGAATGGCTATGTTAACAGGGACATAGTTGCTTATGAACTATTTATTATGCAGTCATTTAGAAAGAATATAATAAAGACAAGGGAATAACATGATAAAACATCAAGAGTAGGAAGTGAATTTGTGTTCATTAAGATTACTCATTAGTTTTTAAAAAATATATTTAGGAAAAAAAGGACCTACAACAAAATTATATTTGTAGTCTGTTAGAGTGGTGATATTATACGGGTGATTTTTCCTTTTCCCATTTTGTAAATGTTCTATATTTTTAGAATGGTTTATTTTAAATGTTTTGAAAGAAACAGATACACCCTAGCTCACCTCAGCCTAATTTCTGGGTTAATCATGAGTACAGGACAGGGTTTAAGATTCTGGTGTTAGAGACTCTGGGTTCTCCCATCACTACAGCTGTGTGAAATTAATCAGGTTCTTCCACCCCTTGGAGCTCTGGTCAGTCAGCCAACAAATATTTATTGAGTACCTGATAAATGCCAGACACCCAAGTGCTAGGGATACAGCCTTAAATAAAACAGACAAAGTCACTGTCCTCCTGACGTTTACAAATAGGGCGGGGAGACAGAAGAAAACACACAACCACACTGCCATGTAAATATACAGTGCGCCAACTGGTGGTAAGTGTTCCGATTTCCTCCCAGAGCTGGGGTGAGAGTTAAATGAGATAATACACCTAAAGCATCGAGCACGTGCTAGGCACATCGTACATGCTCATAAACAAAGGTCACGTAGCAGCTTTCCTGCCGCTGCTCAAACCCCCTGGGAAAAGAGAGGAGGCCAGAACTTCAGCCCCTCAGCCCTCCTAAGAGCCTGCAGAGCTCCCCAGATCCCAACTGCAGCTCCCAAGTGCAGGCTTGGGAATAGATGAAGATAAAGAGCTCTAAAATGTGCAACAATGCCAGGACTAGCCTGCCAGGGAGGTCTGTGGGGTGGCTGACTTTGATTTCAGGGTTGCTGACCTTTTCTTCATTGAGATTGGCCAGAACACAGAGCCCAGCTGCCAACAGAGTGGCATTGTAGTTCTGAGCCTCTGGGGCCAAGGGTTTGGGGCTTTACTTCCAGGTCTCTGTGGGGAAATCATCTGTTCCCTATCAGGAAGCTGGCTTCCCAACCCAACACACCATCTCCAAACCCTGTTTTAATGCAGCCTTGAATGTCACAGGGAAGACCCTGAGTCCCTCCAAGGTCTCTGAGACATGAATCTGAATAGGGAAGACTAAAACATAAATTGAGCTCCCATGAGATACCAAGCATCAACTCTAACCTGGGCCACATGAAAACCTTACCGAGTGTGTATGGTCATTCACCTGCTACAGGTGGAAATCACAGTGGCAGTCAGAATGTGGCAGAGTGGAGATTTTAAACTAGGTCTCATGACAATGATCCTCCTCTTTCAGTCTCCCAGCTATGCCACTTAGGGTTGGACCCCACTCTCCCTCCCACACCCCAAAGCTGATTCATGACTTCTCTAAACTTTTTAAGAAAAAGAGAAAGTAGTGACAACATGGTTGCTTTGCCTAAGAATTCAACAAAAAAGATGTAGTAATTCATCCCAACATACCCAGCCTGGAGGAAAATATTGCATGACTTATAAAATCCTTCCTTAAACACATTATCTGTACCTCTTCTTCCATGTGCCTGGAATTTTCTTTAAGATGTTTTTTCCCCAGAAGGAGAGATACTTACTCATTGCATGATTAATCTGTGCCAAGCACTGAAGGAGGCATCTTTGGTGAATTACCTCATTTAAATCCAATTGCCAGATGAGAATACTAAGGTTCAGACAGCTTGGCCCTCTCAAAGCTGTCATGTAAGTAGCAGAGCCAGTAATCACACCAGTCAAAGCTCACTCTGTTAGAAGGCCTTTCTCTTTGGTTACCAGCTGGCCATGAGAATGAACAATTCATCCCAGCTTACGTAGACTTTCCAGGACTTTCCAGATTTTAGCACTGAAAGTCCCAGGTCCCAGGAAACTCTTTCGTCCTGGGCAAACTGGGATAGTCGGTTACCCGATAGGCCATTATCAGAGGCTGGAGGAGATGTCATGAGATCTGCTGCTTCTCATACCATTTTGGTTTGAATCAAAGATTTTTCTTCTTGGTATATCCGACAATGAACCACAGAATAGTGGCAACATGTCTTATCCTCATTTCTAGATTTTCTCAATTCTCCTTCTCTTCCTTCTTTTTAACAGCATCTAAAACACAAACCTCATCTTGAAGTCTACTGGACTCTACTCATGAAGGGAAAGAGTTTGAAAATTATACAGGAATCAGGCCAGGTGCAGTGGTTCATGGCTGTAATCTCAGCACTTTGGGAGGCCAAGGTGGGTGGATCATCTGAGGTCAGGAGTTCAAGACCAGCCGGGCCAAAATGGTGAAACTCCATCTCTACTAAAAATACAAACATTAGCCAGGTGTGATGGAGCACGCCTGTAATCCCAGCTACTTGGGAGGCCGAGGGAGGAGAATCGCTTGAACCAGGGAGACGGAGGTTGCAGTGAGCCGAGATTGTGCCATTGCAATCCAGCCTGGGCAAAAAGAGCGGGGGAAAAAAAAAGAAAAAATTATACAGGAATCATTGTATATTGACCCCATATTTCTTTCTCAGAGAAAGTAGGGTTTCTAGTGAATAGAGGGCTGTCCTAGAAGCCAGAACCCCTTACCCAGTTCTGCCCGTTAAATGGCTGTGTGCCCTTAGGTAAGACTCTTCCCTTCTCTGAGCCCCAGTTTGAAATATGGGAGTTCTATATGATCTCCTGCCCTTGAGGAGTGCACAGGCCTTAATGTTCAGCCCTCTCATTCTACAGATGAGGACATGAAAGCTCAGAGAAGTCAAGGGGCTTGGCCAAGGTCACACAGCAAGCTAGAATAGTACAGAAAGACACACAGCAGTCTCTAAAGTTTTCTCTTATGAGACAAAATGTTGCCCCATGTGCCACCCCCCAGCACACACCAGAGAAAAAGCAGAGTACACTAAGAAACATAATCTGTTTAATGTTGCTTTCTAAGCCTGTAAAGAAAATGAGCCAAATGCTGAAAGATTAAGATTCCGATCTTTAAAAACAAATCAGGGTTTAATTTGGGTTTTCTTAAAGCCTCATAAAAAAGGGAAGCTGAATCCTTGACCAAATACTCAGCATTCCAAAGTGGGACGATGAGACAGATTTTAATTCCCTGCATGAGGAGCAGGCAGATTGGAGGATGTGTATTTCCATTGGCCTGCATATTTTTCAGATGTGTAAATGGCAGGCAGCCTGGAGGGAAGAGAATAGCCCCAAAGGGGCACGAGGGGAAGGTGACGCCTTGGAGGAGGGCTGCTTCTGCAAAGCCATAATGAAAGCTAACTGGGCTGCATCCTGATGGCTGAGAGAGGGCAAGTAACTTACTTAAAGTCATTCAGCTAGTAGGTGGCAGAGTTAGGAATTTAACCCAGATCTAAGTTCAAGCTCAAGTGCTCACTGGTTATGCTATGTAAAATTGGGAGCGGGAAGAAAAATGGCAAAATCAGGACCCCTTTCCATTATCCAGAGAGCCTGCTGTGGACTCTCTGCGATCCCCTCTGGATCTCTTTCTTGCTTCAGTCTTACAGGGCACTTCACTGTTTCCTTAGACCCCCTGTACTGGATGAAAATGTATTCATTCAGTTGTTCAACAAACGATTAATAAGAGTTTACTATGTGCTGGCTGACACTCCCCATCAAGAAAAGAAACCAATCAAACTAAACAGAAAGATATGTCCAGGTCCTGGGATTAAGGAGGGATTAAAAAGGGCTTCCTGGAGGAGGCAATGTTTGAAGTGAGCCTTGAGTTGGATTTGGGCATATCAGTTGTGTCCAAATAAAGCCTGGCTGAATAGTTCTTTAGTCATTACTTATTTACTAGCAGCCTGGGTCCCCTTTGGATATGGAGGGCTCTGGGTCAGTACCATTGACCAAAGCAAACTTAGAGATTGTCTAGGAATGCCAGTTATCCCCAAATATTCCAGACCCCAACGTATCAATCTCTCAACTGTCTCTGCATCTCGTCTGTGTAATAGCTGCCTCCACCAGCATTGGGAAGGCAGGGGAAGGAACACACATCTACTTAGCACCGCTACACCAACTATTTAAAAAAAATACAAGGTCTGTGTGGGAAATATTGTAGCTTCATGTTACACTGAAGAAACAGAAGCTGATAGAACTTAGGTGACTTGCCAAAGGTCACACAGCTCTACAGGGCAACACAGGGATTTGAATCTAAAGCCCACACTGTTCTCATGGCCCTACCTGCCTTTCTGTGTGCCAGACAGTGTTAGATGCTTCAAAAACACAACCTCTGCAAAAAAAAAAAAAAAAAAAAAAAAAAAAAAAAGGCCCATAAGGACACCGAACAGGAAATATGGATTCTGCACCTCCAGGGTACTTAGACCATGCTAGACACCAAGGATTCACAGAGGCCTAACCTCAAAGAAACACTCACTCTATTGAAAACACCTAAATAGCCCACTAGAAGCCACAGAGGCCCACATATAACCAGGAGTTGAACTGGGTGGTGTCACTGATGTCCTGGGTTATAGGTACCAATGAGGGCTGGAGGGGTCAGTGATCAGAGTCCCAGAGGAAGCGATTTTGTGCTGGTCAGGAAGGTCAGGAAGGATTTGGACAGAGGGAGGAGAGAAGGAACCCAGGTAGCAGCAGTCATTCTAGCTGGGGGAAACAGTGCTCCAACATTGGCTGGGACCAGGTTCTTTCTCCCTAGCTCAGCTCTGCTCCCTCGGGATGGTGCCTTCTCAGACCTGATCCTGCAGTTCAGCTACCGCAACCACATCCTTCCAAATTCGAATCCAGCTGAGCCAGGCACGGTGGCTCACCCCTGTAATCCAAGAACTTTGGGAGGCTGAGGCAGGTGGATCATTTGAGGTCAGGAGTTCGAGACCAGCCTGGCCAGCATGGTGAGACCCCATCTCTACTAAAAATACAAAAATTAGGCAGGCGTAGTAGGTGCCTGTAATCCCAGCTACTTGGGAGGCCAAGGCAGGAGAATTGCTTGAACCCGGGAGATGGAGGCTGCAGTGAGCTGAGATTGCACCACTGCACTCCAGCCTGGGTGACAGAGGTGAGACTGTCTCAATAAATAAATAAATAAATAAATAAATCCAGCTGAAAAGAGCAAGTATCTGTGTCCAGCATTTCCAGCACAAGCCCTGAGATTCACCACCTTAGGTCACCTGCCCACCAACCAACCGATCAGGGAGAATGGAAGCTGGGGCTGCACTGTTTAGCTTTAGACTAGATTACAGATTCTATTCTTGAAGCTGAGCATGAACTAACTCCACCCAGAGGTCCATGGACCAAAAGTCAGGTGGGGATGTTCCCAGAGGAAAATTAGGGTATGGTTACCAAAGAAACAGTACAGATGGAAATAGATGCCGTGCTTGTAGAACTCAGTAAATATCCACTTGTTCCATTGCCTGAAGAGAACCCAAGGCTTACAATGGTTATAGGGCTTGCCCCAAATCTAGAGCAGGGAGAAGTGGGCTGAAAGGTTCAGATCTTCTGTTCAAACCCAGTGAAATAGAATGTGTGTGTCTGTGTTGGGAGTGTAAGATGAAAACAAAAGCTAAGGGTTGTGTTGGGTGTTAATAGTGATAAAGGTGTTCTTGGCAGGATGCAACTAGATTATGGAGAGTTTTGCAAGCCAGAAAGAGGTTGACCTTAATGAAGAAGGACGCCAGGCGCAGTGGCTCATGCCTGTAATCCCAGCACTTTGGGAGGCTGAGGCAGATGGATCACAAGGTCAGGAGATTGAGACTATCCTGGCCAACACGGTGAAACCCCGTTTCTACTAAAAATACAAAAAATTAGCCAGGCGTGGTCACATGCACCTGTAGTCCCAGCTACTCGGGAGGCTGAGGCAGGAGAATCGCTTGAATCTGAAAGGCAGAGGTTGCAGTGAGCCGAGATCGTACCACTGCACTCCAGCCTGGGCAACGGAGTGAGACTCTCTCTGAAAAAAAAAAAGAAAGAAAGAAAAGAAAGGAAACAGGGAACTTCTATGGGTTTTAATAGAGTAACAGGATGGAAGCTAAAACTCACTCAAGGCTGAAGTCAAGGGGTCTACACTCTTAACCATTGAGACCGACACTCCCTTTTAGGCCTCCAGGGTACTCCCAAGGGATGGACTCTGCAAGATGTACCCACCCCCATCCCCACTGCCTGGCTCCAGCTTGTCCTCCCAGATCCGGAGTCCCCTCCTCCCTCCCAATGCTGTGGCTTTGGCAGCCACTTTGCAAACTGAAAGTTTTAAGTGCATTTCCACCCCAGAGGAAGCTGAGAAGCAGGCATGTTGCAGCAGCCACTTCTGAGCTCCCAACATTTATCTTTCCCCTTCAGAAAAGGGATCAAACACTTTTTCACAATGGAAAGAGGAGAGGGTGGAGGGAGGGAGGGAGGAACACAGAAAAGAGAGCAAAGAGAAAAAAAGGAGGATGAATAAGAGAATTTTATTTGATCTCATTTGATCTTAATCAGACAAAGTTTATGTTTCAATTATGCATTTTTCTCTTCCATGCTGAGACAATGAACACATAAGGGAAAACAAATCAACAAATCACGTTATTTATTTACTTCCCTTGAATTTACTCTGATTCCAAAAACATTTAGGAGGCTCACAAAACTAAACACAATGGTGACTGTGATTATTAGGGACAAAAAGGAACAAAGACCATAAAGGTAGCAGAGAGAGCAGACACCAGCAGACACCTGAAGAATGCCAATTTCCGACTTGGATGCTATATTTGGCCCTATGTGGAAAAAATGTTCACTTTACATTGGTTTTGTCCTCTGGTGACAGAAAGCATTCGCATGCAGCTGTGGCCACAAGCTTTTTTTTCTGGGACTAAACTCAAGCTGAAATATATCACATGGGGCTGACAAGTTATATTTGAGTTACAGAGAATAACAAGGGCAGTAAGCCCAAAGGACTTTTCAAGGAGGCATTGTCCTGAATGGCAATGAATGTTCTAAACAGCATTTTTATTGCCAAGAAAATAAACACACTGGTTAATTGAATCCTGTGTTCCTTGAGTAGGAGGATGTCAATCTCATCCCAGGTCTGGAGGAGTTAACTGCAGCAGAATGGGCAGCCTGGGAGGCCCTGAGACCCAGAACTAGACCTGCAAACTCGGCTGAAGCAGATGCTAGGAGAGGAGAGGGACCAGAGCGAGGTGCCTGCTGTCCCTGGCCCTTTAAGCCAGCCCAACCAGTAACACATCACATCGTTGGTGGTCAAGGCAATTATCAGCACCCCTTCCTCTCTATGCACTGATCCTTGCATGCTTTTTCCTGATTTTAAGATCCTGCCAAAAGGCCAGGCATGGTGGCTCATGCCTGCAATCCCAGCACTTTGGGAGGCCAAGGTGGGCGGATCACAAGGTCAGGAGTTCGAGACCAGCCTGACCAACATGGTGAAACCCCATCTGTACTAAAAATACAATAATTAGCTGGGTGTGGTGGCATGCTCCTGTAGTCCCAGCTACTCGGGAGGTTGAGGCAGAATCACTTGAACCCCAGAGGCAGAGGTTACAGTGAGCCGAGATTGCGCTACTGCACTCCAGCCTGGGTGACAGAGTGAGACTCCATCTCAAGAAAAAAAAAGATCCTGCCATTACCATACATGCCCAGCTGTGACCCCCAAGTTCAACTCCAATAAGGATGAACACTTATGGGCTGCCTCCCCACATCCACTCTCTCCTCCCATTAGCAATGCCCCTGAATATCCTTTAGAAGCATACTTGCCTCATTTTCAGCCATGTGGTGTGGGTGGGAATGACACTACCCCCAAGTCTAGGGTTGAATCCTGTAACCCAACCTTTAACCAAGCCACTTATCACATTTACCTGGCCCTTGTGGTTGGTTTCAGGGAAGCGCAATGAGCCCCCCATCAGGGCTAACACATCTCAATTCTGGGACTTTGGTTTGTGCCATCAAGGAAGAGGATTTTCTTTTTCTCCTCTGGAAAGAAAATGAGAAGAATGTACACCCTAGAACTGCTGGCAGTCACCTTGTGGCCATGAGGGCACAGCCAGTTTGAGAAAGAAGTGAACACAGAGGAAACCAAACTGAAAGATGGAAAGCTGGAGTCTTGTGAAACCATTTGAACCAATGCAATGAGCCATGCTTAAGGCCAGGCTTACCCCTGGACTTCCCACTTAACGTTTTTATTTGGGTCCAGTTTTCTTCACTTGACACTGCTAGCATCCTACCAGATAAGGCACCTTCGACCCCTCTGGAGTTAGGTTACCTCGCCCTGCCCTGCACCGCATGTTGGCACTTTATTACAGGCACTGCTTTAGCCCATTCCTCTGTGCCTTTGGTATTTCCTATCTTCTGAGATGGGAACTCCTCCTCCCATTTCCCACTCCAGATGGTGCCAGTTGAGCCAGCCCTGGCCTCCAAGGAAGGTTACAAGTCATTCAAACACCAGATATAAACAATAAGAGAAAGCTGGATCAGCAGGCAAAGTGCAGCACCCCATCAATCCAGGCAATCCTGCAAAGGTTCTGCCATCCCAACCCACCCCGCTGTCAGGGGGCTTTGGCAGCAGCTGAGAGACATCTCGGGGAAGCCAGATGGCACTCAGCATGGCTGCTAATGTGTGGCAAGATTCACAGCTCTAGACTCCTATCTGGGGATAGGATTCCTAACCAGGAGAAGAACTGGCAGAAGCAAGCAGAGTTCTCAACTTAGAGAGACTCGGGCCAATTATTTCATCAGGCATTCAGGCGAGAAAGTGTCCAAACACCAGAATAGGGGGCCAGTCCACCCTTTGTATCAGAAACACGGCAGAACTCCAATCACTTCAGTGAGGCCAAAATCAGAACCTGCTTGGAGGCCAAGCTGCCTTGAAACTGGGTTCTTCTGAAGGATATCCTGACAGGGGACATCACTGGGCCTGTGGCTGGGAGTCCGGGGGCCCACACTATCCTCCTTTCCACATCATGCAGGAAAGCCCTGAGGGCAGAGACCATCTGTGAACCAAAACCCACCCTCTCTTCTTTATCAGATGTTTGCTTACAAGTTGCAGTCAAAGCAGCAATGTGCCCAATCCTGTTAAAAGACAAGCCTCTTCCACCAGCCCCCTTCTTCCTGCTTGGAATGTTAATGTAACTATAAATGCTTAGAGCTATGGCAGCCACCTTGCAGTCCTGAGGACAAAGGCCAGGAGAAAAGTAAAGACTTGACCCAGATCCTGATATTACTGAGCTGTTAAACCAAGCCAGAGACTGCTCTCATCTGGACTTTTTGTTCTATGAAGTAATTTATTTTTATGTATTTACTTCTTTTGAGACAGGATGTCACTCTGTCACCCAGGGTGGGGTACAGTGGCACAGTCATAGCTCACTGCAACCTTGAACTCCTGGGCTCAAGTGATCCTCCTACCTCAGCCTCCCATGTTGCCAGTACTACAGGCACTTGCCACCACACCTGGCTGTTTTTTGTTTTGTTTTGTTTTGTTTTTGTAGAGACCAAGCCTTGCTTTATTGCCCAGGCTGGTCTCAAATTCCTGGCCTTGAGCAATCCTCCTGCTTTGGCCTCCCAAAGTGCTGGGATTATAGGTGTGAGCCACCATACCTGGCCTTATGAGGTAATTTAATGTTTTAGTTGCTTAAGCCAGTGGTTCTCCAAGTGTGTCCCCAGACCCACAGCTTCAGCACCACTTGGGAGAGTTAGAAATGTACATTCTCAGGCCCTGCCCAGACCAATAGAACTTGACTCTTTAAAGTGGGACCCTAAGGCAGAGGTTGCAGTGAGCTGAGATCACGCCACTGTACCCAAGCCTGGGGAACAAAGCAAGGCTCTGTCTCAAAAACAAAAAAACAAAGCAAAACCAAAATGGGACCCTGAAAATTGAGTTTTACCAAGTGCCCCCAAGTAATTCTGGCATGTGCTAAGTTTGAGAACCACTAGCTTAAACCACTATTTTATCAGATTTTCTGTGAGGTGCAGCTGAAAGCACCTCTAATTTATACCTTTCTCCACTGTATCTCTGAACTGTTTGTGAGATATCAAGAGGCTGAGAACAAGGCAGGATAAGCCAACTGTCACAAGCCCAAATAGCAATGTTTCAAGGAGAAAATGAAACTCACAAAGGAAAAGATAAATGCAAATTAAGCACCTCTATCCATGGGAATAATCATAAATACAATCAAAAGGCAAAATGAAAGACTGGGGAAATAATTGCAACAAATATGACAACATTTAAAATCCTTTCTTTGTTAAAAGGCCATGCAAAACCAAAAAGGAAAAAACAAGATCTCAGAGAAAAAGAACACACAAAAAAAATTCAGAATAGGAAATATAAATGGATAATAAGAAAAATGGCCAGCTTGTTAGTAATCAAAGCAATGTGAATTTATTTATTTATTTTTTTGAGACAGAGTCTCACTCTGTCGCCTAGGCTGTAGTGCAGTGGCATGATCTCAGCTCACTCCAACCTCTGCCTCCCAGGTTCAAGTGATTCTCCTGCCTCAGCCTCCTGAGTAACTGGGATTACAGGCACCCACCACCACGCCCAGCTAATTTATGTATTTTTAGTAGAAACGGGGTTTTGCTATGTTGGCCAGAATGGTCTCCAACTCCTGACCTCAAGTGATCCGCCTGCCTCGGCCTCCCAAAGTGCTGGGATTACTGCGCCTGGCTGGTTTTTACATGTTTTAAAGGTTGGAAGAATAAGAAGGGAGAAGAAGGCCAGGCGCGGTGGCTCATGCCTGTAATCCCAGCACTTTAGGAGGCCGAGGCAGGCAGATCACGAGGTCAGGAGATCGAGACCATCCTGCCTAACACGATGAAACCCCGTCTCTACTAAAAATACAAAAAATTAGCTGGGCGTGGTGGTGGGCGCCTGTAGTCCCAGCTACTCAGGAGGCTGAGGCAGGAGAATGGCATGAACCCGGGAAGCTGAGCTTGCAGTGAGTTGAGATTGCACCACTGCACTCCAGCCTGGGCGACAGAGTGAGACTCCGTCTCAAAAAGAAAAAAAAAAAAAAAAGAAGGGAGGAGGAAGAAAAGGAATAAGGGGGAAGAAATGGAGGAAGAAGACAAAGGAGGTTGAGGAAAAGGAGTAGGGAGAGGAGGGGGAGACATTCACTGCAGTGGCAGAGACCGTATTTGGCACAGCCTAAAATATTTTCTATCTGCCTTTTACTGAAAAAATCTGCCAGTCCTGGACTGCTTCTAATCTAAAGCAGGGTCAGGAAACTACGGCCCCAAATCTAACCAGCCACCCGTTTTTGTGAATGAAGTTTTATTGGAACTCACCACATGCGTTTGTTTACAGAGTTTAGAGCTGCTTTTGTGCTTCCATGGCAGAGTTGAGAAGTGTGACAGAGACTGTGTGGCCCACTAAACAGAAATATTCCTTATCTGGCTCTTTACAAAACATTTCCCAACCCCTGGTCTAATAAATAATCAGAAAGAAAATAAAAATGCTTGCACAAAGATGTTTATTATTACATTATTTATCTAGAAGGCCAGTTAAACAAATGATAGGATGACATTAAATTGATATAATGAACATGAGTTACCCCAGCACCTCAAATCCTAAGGATTCAATAAACATTTTTAATTATTATTGCCTATGGAATAGTCATTTTCTCATTTTTCAAAGACCCAGTAATAAAACAGGAAGGCAGGATATAGTGTAGCAGATACAAGAGGCTATGTGCTTCTTTTGTAGAAAGGAGCAATGTCTGTTTTTATTTTCTATTATTTCAATTATGTTTTAAGACATAGATATGCAAGATAAAAGAAGGTAAAGGAATGAATCAGAATCTCGGCTGTTCTCCCTGGGCTAAGGGGTTCTGGATAATTTTCATTCTTCTCTCATATGCTTTTTAGTAATTTCCAAGTTTCCTGCAATGGAGGATTATTGCTCCTATTATCATTAAAGTTAAAATTCTTTCTTCTCATACAGTAATTGAGTTCAGAAATACAGCTGAGGGCCAGGGGCAGGCTTTGGGAGTTGTTGCTACAGAAGCTTAGCATGAAGGAAAGGGCCAAAGGCAGGAAGGAAACGCAGAACGAGGAGCCAGGGTGGGCGGGAGGTGGCCACCATGCACAGCCAAGCAGCCTGTGGCAAACCCCAGGGGCCACAGCGCTTTGAAGGACAAGGAGATCTGGCCTTGCTTCCCAAAGTGCGGCCCCCAAACCAGCAGCACACGCACCTCTTGGGAGCTGATCAGAAATTAGACTCTCAGGCCCCACCCCAGATCCACTGAATCAGAGCCTGCATTGTAAAGGATCCCAGGTGATATGTGGGCACACTCCAGTTTGAGAAGCATGGGCTGCTCTGGAACCCTGTGGCACTGTTAACCCTCCTGCAGCCATGGCCCTCCACCCACGATCTTTTTCAGTAACAGCCGCTACACTGGAAATGCATTCCAAGAGAGACCTGTGACTCCCTGGCAAGAAAAAAAGGATGGCTGGGTGCGGTGGCTCATGCCTGTAATCCCGGCACTTTGGGAGGCTGAGGTGGGTGGATCACCTGAGGTCAGGAGTTCAAGACCAGCCTGGCCAACATGGTGAAACCCTGTCTACTAAAAATACAAAAATTAGCCAGGCATGGTGGTGGGTGCCTGTAACCCAAGCTACTAGGGAAGCTGAGGCAAGAGAATCACTTGAATCCGGGAGACAGAGGTTGCAGTGAGCCGAGATAACACTACTGCATTCTAGCCTGGGGGACAGGGTGAGACTCTGTCTCCAAAAAAAAAAAACAAACAAACACACACACACACACACACACACACAAGACAAAAGGGGGCCTTAAAAGGAAAAACAGAAAGATAGATGGGTAAGCCACTGCCACCACCTTTGCACCCCTGTGCTCACGGCACACACACACACAGAGCCAGGTGTGTGTGAACATGAGGTTGGAAAACACTCAAAAGGCAGCAGGCAGCCTTTCCAGAGGCCCTGAGAGGCCTGTCCCCCACTGTGGAGTACCTACTGTCCTCAGGTAGAGACAGAGACTGTGTGCTGCAACAGGGGGAGTGTCCCAAGGCGACCTATTTACCCAATTCCTGGAAGAGATTTTATTTCTTGTTAAAATATCCTGGCTAGGCATAGTGGCTCATGCCTGTAATCCCAGCACTTTGGGATGCCGAGGTATGAGGTTTGCTTGAATCCAGGAGTTTAAGACCTGCCTAGGCAACCTGGTAAGATCCCATCTCTATTAAAAAAAAAAAAAAAAAACTTTAAAAATAGCCCAGCGTGATGGCATGAAACTGTAGTCCCAGCTACTTGGGAGACTGACATGGGAGGATCCCTTGAGCTCAGGAGCTGGAGGCTGCAGTGAGCTATGATTGCACCACTGCGCTCCAGCCTGGGCAACAGAGCGAGACCCTGTCTTTAATATATATATACTGAAGAACCACCAGACGCTAGTTGAGAGGGGCACAGAGGTGGAGAACCATGAGCCTGACTGGGCCCGGGGGCTTTGGCTTGCATGGTCTCCACCAGCCTTCTGAGCTGTCACCGAAGCAGGTAACTGCAGCCCCTCCATGTGCTGCATGTGCCTTGTCATGTGCCAGTGCTGCATGTGCCTTGTCACCCTGCATCTGCACAGCAACCCTTTGGGGTGGGCACCATGGCTCATCCCATTTGATAGGCGTGGAAACTGGGGCTCAGAGAGGTTGAGCAGCTTATCAAGGGAGAGGCAGAGCCAGGCGTCATTGTGAAGAATGTGACCCCCAAGGCCGAGTGTCTTCCTGGACACCAGGCTGTCTTCCAGAAGCATCACCTTTGATTCTCACTGTCATGCCAAAGAGGCTGCTGAGTGATCTCATCAGATTCGAGCAGCTCTGCTCAGAGATGTCCAGCTGTCCACGGCCTGCCCTGGGTCAGGAGCAATAAGCATACTTGATCAAACAAGAAGTCCTGCTTCCTGCCCCAGCAGCAAGGGGCCTGCCCAGGGCCCATGCAGCTACTCGGATGCAGTGGCTCTCCAATTCCAACCAGGTGGGCTCCAGGACTAAGTGAAATGAACCCATCGCAAAAGGGCAAATATTGTACAATTCCACTTATAGGAGGTGCTGGCATGGTCAAATTCATAGAGACAGAAAGCAGAACAGTGGTTACCAAGGGCTGAAGGAAGAGAGGAATGAGAGCAATGGGTGCAGAGTTTCTGTTTGGGATGATGAACATTCTGGAGGTAGATGGTAGTAGTGTTTGCACAGCAATGTGAGTGTACTTAATGCCCCTGAACTACACTTAAATATGGTCAAAATGGTCAGTTTTATGTTATGTGTGAATATATTTTGAGACTGAGTTTTGCTCTGTCACCTAGGCTGGCTCACTGCAGCCTCAAACTCCTGGGTTCAAGGGATCCTCCCCCTCAGCCTCCCAAGTAGCTGGGACTACAGATGTCTGCCACCACACCCAGCCAATTTTTTTATTTTTTGTAGAGATGGGGTCTCACTCTGTTGCCCAGGTTGGTCTCCAACTCTTGTACAACTCAAGCGATCTTCCCACTTTGGCCTCCCAAAGTGCTGGGATTACAGGCATAAGCCACCACACCAGGCCTATTTTGTGCATTTTAACACAATTGTTAAAGTGGTAAATTTTATGTTATGTATATTTTATCACAATTTAAGGAAAAAAAAAAGCAGGAGAGAAGGGAAAAGAAAGAGAGACTCTTAGGCCCTGGGAAGAGGAAACAGGAATATTTATTGAGCACCTACTGGATGCTAAGCTCTGTGCTGGGCTCTTCACATGTGTTCTCAAAATAACCCTTGAAGTAGGAACTGTTAGCAAACTGAGTGAGGTTTAGAAAGTGGCTTGTCCAGCATCATGAAGCCAGACAGTGGTAGACAGGGACTCATACCTAGGTCTGCGGCCTCAAGGACACTAGCTCAGCCCACAGCCATCCAAACACCATCAGAGAGAGGACATGTTGGGAAGGCCTGGTCCTCCATCACTCATTCATTCAGGGTCACCAAGCAACACTGCAGGACTGGACAGAGGTGGCGGTAAAGGGGTTCACAGTCCCTGACAACTGCGCCAGCTGGAGAGTGTGGGGGCCCACAGAGCAAATCCCTGTGTCACTTCTCACCCTCAGAACCTTGGCCTGAGGTACATTCTGCCTTTGGCACCGCCCAGCCTAACTTCCTCTGAGCAGGGAGCTGCAGCAAGCTGAGGTGAAGGGAGTTAGGGCTAGGGTCAGGGTGAGACCCGAATTTAACTTTGAACATCCCAGAAATGGCTCGCTCCCAGACATTGCACAAAAGCACAGTGACACAGGTTCAAATCCTGTCCTGGGCTTGGCAGCAACTTGGTAGAATAGAAAATGCAGGGGCTTTGGAGTCAGATGGGCTTGGGTTGAAATTCATACTCTGCCACTTGCTGTATGATCTAGGCTGGGCCTCAACTGAGCCTGTTTTCTCATGTGTCGAAGGGGCGTGGTAATACCTTCTTTACCACTGTCATCCCATGTGGACTTTAGAGCCAAACTACCTGTTTCCCCACCATTTATTTGCCATGTGAACTTGAATAAGTTACTTAACCCCTCTGTGCCTCAGCTTTCCTCATCTGTAAAATTGGGATAGTTATTACCTTGATGGGTTTTTGTAAGGATTAAATGAGTTAATACAGGTAACATGCCAAGCACAGTGCTTGGCACAAAAGAAAGTATGTACATATATGCGCTTTATGTGTATGTGTGTGTGTGTGTGTATATATATATATATATATATATATATATATATATATATATATATGCTATTATGAAACATATATAAGCCCCTGGCACATAGTAGGGGACTCACAAAGCATACTTCCCCCTTCCTTTCCTGCCTCCTGTTTCCTCCTGTATGAGGCTCAGAGAAGCTGTTAATGGTGTTTGTCCTGGATTTTTTCCTAAATATCCAGGTTGGACACAGCCAGTGCTGGCAGGAGCCCCTTGCCTTTCCTGCCCTTCCCCTCTCCCAGATATCAACAGGTGCTTCCGAGGAATGAGAAGGAAGCCTATCGAGCCACATTCTCCAGAAAAGAGGCGCAGCACAGTCGCTCCAAAAATGTGCAGCCTCTCAGCTGCCTGTGCCAAACCCACCCCATCTGTCCTCAGCCTGTGTTCCCAGGTCCCAAGGCAGTCCTGAGAGACCTCAGAGCACTGGAGGAGACTCCAACCTTGCCTCTGGGCAGACACGAGCTGACACAATAGGGAGAGACCCTTACTCCAAATGAGCATTACTTGATCATCTCCAGCCACTGTGCACGAGCAGTATTTACTTTCTCCATTTTACAAGACACAAAAGCACAGAGAGGTTAAGACAATTGGCCAAAGTTAACCAGCAAGCCAATGCAAAGGTAAAAAGTTAAATCATGGCCTTTCTAGGCTGGCTGCAGTGACTCATGCCTGTAATCCCAGCACTTTGGGAGGCCAAGGCAGGCGGATCACTTGAGGTCAGGAGTTTGAGACCAGCCTGGCCAACATGGCAAAACCCTGTCTCTACTAAAAATTCAGAAAAGTAGTTGGACGTGGTGGTTCACGCCTGTAATCTCAGTTACTCAGGAGGCTGAGTCATGAGAATTGCTTGAACCAGGGAGGCAAAGGTTGCAATGAGGTAAGATTGTGTCACTGCATTCCAGCCTGGAGCAAGACTCTGTCTCAAAAACAACAATCATGGTCTTTCTTGATCCCAAACCCAGCAGCTGGCCATTATCACATTCTCCCCCTCACTGCTGAACCACATCACCATCAGCTCTGTTACTCACTGGTCACAGGAACTTGTGTGAGTCCCTTCACCTCTCTGAACCTCCACATCCACAGTTGTAAAATAGGCAAACTACTGTACCAGGCTGTTTGTTCATTCGACAGTCATTGACTGAACCCAGAGCCATACTTACGGTGAAACTATTAAAGCTTCCTGTTCAGGGCCTCTCCTTCACACAGGGAAGGGCCTAGTAAGCATCTCACTTTTCTTAAAAAAAGTTCCCAGCCCCACAAAACCTGGGCCTGCCCCTGCTAACTGTGGTGTGTCAGCATCATGCCAAGCTCTGGATGTAGGACAAGATAGGAACAAAACGGCCAGGGGAGTTCCCCGGCCTGGTGCGGTGGCTCACACCTGTAATCCCAGCATGCTGGGAGGCCAAGATGAGAGGATCCCTTGAGTCCAGGAGTTTGAGACCAGCCTTGGCAACATGGCAAAACCTTATCTCTACAAAAAACACAAAAGTTAGCCGGGCATGGTGGCACATGCCTATAGTCCCAGTTACACAGGAAGCTGAGATGGGAGGATCACTCGAGCCCAGGAGGTCGAGGCTGCAGTGAGCCATGATCACACCACTGCACTCCAACCTGGGTGAGAGAGTGAGACCTTGTCTCAGGGGAAAAAAACAGAATCCCTGCATAGGGCTTGACTCTTGACTCACAGTAGGTGCTGAATAAATGGTAGCTGGCATTATTACTTATTGTCTCTCTCTTTCCCATTAAAATGCAAGCTCCCCAAGGATAGGGAACTTTTTCAATTTTGTTCCTTGCTGTAGCCCAAGAGTTTAGAACAGTTCCTGGCATGTGGTAAAAGCCCAGAAGATATTTTCCGACCCTTGAGATGGTTTTGTTCAACTCTTCAATTCACAGGTGAGGAAACTGGCCCAGACAGGTGTGTCTTTCCCCCAGTCTCACTGTGCTGAACAGGGCCAGGCCCCAGGGCCCCTCAAGCCCTGAAGAAGGTTTTCTTCTACTTCCTGCTGCCTCCTTTGATGATTCACACTAGGGCCCAAGAGATACTTCTGGAATAAAAAATCAAGGGGTCAAGCTGGGTGCAGTGGCTCATGCCTGTAATCCCAGTACTTTCGGAGGCCGAGGTGGGTGGATCACCTGAGGTCAGGAGTTTGAGACCAGCCTGACCAACATGGTGAAACACCCATCTCTACAAAAATACAAAAATTAGCTGGGCGTGATGGTGGGCACCTGTAATCCCAGCTACTCGGGAGGCTGAGGCAGGAGAATCACTTGAATCCGGGAGGCAGAGGTTGCAGTGAGCCAAGATCATGCTACTGCATTGCAGCCTGGGCAATAGGGCAAGACCCCATCTCGAAAAAAAAAAAAGAAAAAGAAAAAAAATCAAGGGAAGGCTGGGCACAACAGCTCATGCCTGTAATCCCAGAACTTTGGAAGGCTGAGGTGAGAGGATCACTTGAGCCCAGGAACTCAAGACCAGCCTGGGCAACATAGCAAGACCCCGTCTCTACTAAATATACAAAAATTACCCAGGCATAGTGGTGTGCACCCATAGTCCCAGCTACTCAGGAGGCTGAGGTGGGAAGATCACTTGAGCCTGGGAGGAAGAGGTTGCAGTGAGCTGAGGTCACGCCACTGCACTCCAGCCTGAGTGACAGAGTGAGACACTATCTCAAAAAAAAAAAAAAAAAAAAAAAAAAAGGCCAGGTACAGTGGCTCACGTCTGTAATCCCAGCACTTTGGGAAGCCAAGGTGGGCAGATCACTTGAGGTCAGGAGTTCGAGACCAGCCTGGCCAACATGGTGAAACCCTGTCTCTACCAAAAATAAAAATAAAAAAATTATCTGGGCGTAGTGGTATGCGCCTGCAATCCCAGCTACTTGGGAGGCTGAGGCACTAGACTCACTTGAGCCTGGGAAGTCAAGGTTGCAGTGAATCGAGATTGCACCACTGCACTCCAGCCTGGGTGACAGAGCAAGACTCTGTCTTGAAAAAAAAAGAACAGCAAGGAAATTGGTAGAGTGTAGACCTTGCAGTGAGGTTGCCAGACTTAACAACAACAATACAGGACCACAGGTTAATTTTAAAATTTAGATAAACAAAAAATAATATTTTTCTATTAGTGTATCCCATGCAATCTTGGGGGCATAGTTATAATAAAACACTATTCATTGCTTATCTGAAATTCAAACTTAACTGAGCATCTTATATATCTGCTGGAAACTCTGCCTCAGATTTCCACTGAAATTAGTTCAAATTCCTGCTCCACTACTTACTGTGTAATCTTCGACAAGTATCCTAACCACTCACTCTGCCAGAGTCTGAATGTTTTCAAAATTCATATGTTAAAAACCTAATCACCAATGTGATGGTATTAGGAGATGGGGCTTTTGGAAAGGGATTAGATCATGAGAGCAGAGGCCTTATGATTGGGATTAGTGCCCTATAAAAGAGACCCCAGAGAGCTCCCTGACTCCTTCCACCATGTAGGGACACAGTGAGGAGGCACCATCTATGAACCAGGACAGAAGTCCTTACCAGACACCAAATCTGCTGGTGCTTTGATCTTGGACTTCCCAGCCCCCAGAACTGTAAGAAAGAAATCTCTGTTGCTTATAAGCTACCCCATCTATGGTATTTTATTACAGCAGCTCAAATGGACTAAGACACACTGTAATCCTCAGTTTTCTCATCTGCAAATTAAGGATAGCCCCACCTTCTTCACAGAGTGGCTGTAAGGATTAGAGATGATACCTTAAGTATTGGACACACAGCAGACAGACACTCCCAATGTTGGTTTCCCTCCCTGGTTTCAGAAGCCCTTAGGGGACTCGGGAGGGAGCATGACTTGCCATTTGTAGGATAATATGGTAACTACGGTGTTCAAGTTCTTCCAAACAGCATTCTAGTATATAGAATAGAATATTGTGAGTGCTGCCTTAAGGCAAACTTCTCATCCCTTCAAACCCAAACTCCCTTTTCATAAGCTTTTTTTTTTTTTTTTTTTTTTTTGAGACAGTGTCTCACTCTGTTGCCAAGGCTGGAGTGCAGTGGTACAATCTCGGCTCACTGCAGCCTGGCCTTCCCAGGCTCAAAGCAGCTTTCCACCTCAGCCTCCTGAGTAGCTGGGATTATAGGCACCTACCACCCCACCACCACACCTGGCTAATTTTTTGTGTTTTTAGTGGAGACAGGGTTTCACCGTGTTAACCAGGCTGTATTCAAACTCCCGGCCTCAAGCGATCTGCCCACCTCGGCCTCCCAAGATGCTGGGATTATAGGCATGAGCCACCACGCCTGCCTTCATAAGCATTTTAAATGCCTCTTTGACTTTATTTAAATGCAGTAATAAACTATTTATATGACAACACAAAAGAATTAATATAATGATATACCTGCAACTTAAATGAAAAATAAAAGGGATAAAGTAACATTTCAACACATAAATACTTGGGCACGTCGTAGTGTGATACTTGCATGGAATAAGAAGAAATACATTTAGATTCAGAAGTTAGACAATATTCAATATTAAGTTGAACTCTATGAAATTTCCAATATGGAACTTTGATCTACAAAAATGGTAATTTCATGATTCAACCTAATACCTGATATTCAAAAATACAAGCAAATGGGGTGGGGGGTATCTTTTCCTCTACTCACAAACTAAACTACCTGTCATGTACATGTGTGTTGCACCATGAATCAATAGCTACAAATGCAGGTAGGTATAAATGTATCAGCAACTCAAATATCGTGTCATTACCATGCAGGTTGCGATTTTCCAAAATGGTGACATGCTCTTGTTAACATTGCACACAATGCAAAGTATAATCTTTCCCTTTTTTCCCAGTATTTGCACTTTTGAAAAATTGTTTATATTTGAAAAAATTCAAAAACATGACATTGCTTTATATATAAAACAGCATTCATTTCTGGGATCAGCAAATTATAAACAGGTTTTGGGGTGTTTTCTTTGTTTGTCTGTTTTGTTTTGTTTTATTGGGGGTTTTTTTCCTATATGAATTTCTTCCAGGACATTCAGAAGTTCAGAGGAGGCAGGAAAGCTTCTTGTTGCCTGGGTCTGTACCATATTGCACACGCTACAGGACTTGCCCTCTTAAATGGAAGTAGTTGACTGCAAAATCATTATGACAACCAAAAATAATCCCCCTAGTTCCAAAACCACCACTAAAGAGATGATATATCCCCATTGAGAACCACCAATCTAATAACTTCTGCCTGAATGCTTTCAGTGATAAGAAATTGACTCTACAATACCATCTCATTGACTCACCTGTCAGGAAGTAATAATTCCTTCTTCTATCTCTGGTGGGTACCCAAGTTGGGCCCCATCTCTGTACTATGGTCACCATGGAGCCTCTACCAAAGAAGCTGCTTTCTAGACCTTTCCATTGTGACTCACGCTCCAGACTCCACTGGGGGAAAAAGACAGATGTGGGAAGCTCTGCCCAGTCAGGATGAGGCTGGGGAATAATCTATTATGCTCTTCTTGCCCCATCTTGTAGTGGGTTAGTGAAAAGAGGGAGCTACAAAACAGCATATATGAGATTCTTTCATTATTATAAAAATGCATATGAGTGTGTGTGTGTGTGTGTGTGTGTGTGTGCAGAAGGAAAGACCACCTGCTCAGTGGTTAGGAACTCAGACAGACCTGGGCTCAACACCCAGATCTGCCACTTATTAAATGGTAAACCTTATTAAGTGGTTGGGAAAACAACCATCCTGAGACTTAGTTTCTCTGTCTATAAGGTGGGAATAATAAGGGCACCTACTTCATAGGAATAAATTAAGATAACACATGTGGGGCACTTAGCAGAATGCTTGGTGCCCAACAAATGTTGGCTTACGTGACTTTGCAATGATAGTGGATGAAACAATACATTTTTCCAGGGAAAACCCATATATGCACCCAAGGTGCAAAATGAGCCCCATGACCCCTTTGGCCTCACCAGGATGGCTGAGCACAAAATGAGATTAAATCCCTCTGATGACCTTGTGCAGTGGCAAGCCAGACTGTACCCTTCAATCTGGGGACCACCACACGGAAGAGGTCTGCAGAGAAAAGGCCCCATAGGCAAGACATAGCACAGGTTCAGCCCATACTTGTGCGAAAGACCCAGAGCTTATTCAGGCAGCATTTTGGTAGAACAAAGAGAAATGCAAGATTATTGGAGACCATAAAACAAAAAAAAATAGGGAGAAGATAATCAGCCAAGCAACCCACACTGGAAAAGTCAGGGGACAGAAAATTAAATGAAGCAGGGTTTTATCGTACATACTTGAGCAGGTCTTCTGAAATTTAGCTGCAAAATGTACCTGTTCATCCTTCATAGTCCTGCTGTCTGAGGTCTCCATCCTCACAAACAAACCAGCCCTCAGTGGGTTAGCTGCCTGCTGAGCTGGAGTATACTTGGGAAAAGGTTCCCAAATGTCTTCACACAAGGAATAAGATGAAAAAACTCCTGTCGATGTTTTATGGAATATTTTTACATTTTACTAGCATTCATCAGTCTTTTACTATTGACAAACATATCCCTTATATCCTATTTCAGGATTTTGAATTTTTAGGCATTAAATTTGGTAAATACTATATGTTCATTTTCTCAAGATATTTTATTTACATGTTTTTGTTTTCCAGTTTTCACAAGAGTTTCTTTAAATTCTTACTAGAATTTCTTTAAACTTCCAAGCTGCTATATCTGTTAAAAATTAATTGTATTTGTTCATTTGGATTTTATCTCTTATGTTTTAGAGAGCCAGCATAAACACACAGAACTTTTATTCTCATCAATGTCCTCTTTTTTTTTTTTTTTCTTTTTGTAAGAGATGAAGTCTTGCTTTGTCACCCTGGCTGGAGTACAGTGCACAACCATAGTTCACTGAAGTCTTGGACTTCTGGGCTCAAGTGATCCTTCTACCTCAGCCTCTTGAGGAGCTGGGACTATAGGTGTGAGGCACCACACCCAGCTAAAGTGAGACCCCATCTTTTTTCTTTAAAAGTACCACTCCAGGGGCTCCCAGGAGCAAGATCTAGGGTTGCACACAAGGCCCCACTCTGCACTCATTCCTCGCCTCAGCCTCCCAAGTAGCTGGGATTACAGATGGGAGCCACGGAGCCCAGCGTCAATGTCCTTTATAAGTCAGCATTACAAGTTATTGATTGATATCATTCATAATCTCTTGGTCAGAACTTGCCACATCAGTACTGGCAATTAGGATAACTTCCTATATGAATGAGGCTATTCCATGCCTTCTTTTTTCATCTGACTCTGATTCTAATTATACTGTGAGCTCTGAGAAAACATTCTTACTTGGTTACAATTTGTATTCCTTCAACTAATCACCCACTTACTTAAGTACAGATTCTAGCCTGTACTTAGATAAATATTCACTGGTTGTCCATGGTCAACAGTTTCCTGATTGCCACAGTTCCCTGGTTCAAGTATCACAAGCTTACTTTAACAGACATCAGCTGGGCGCAGTGGCTCACTCCTGTAATCCCAGCACTTTGGGAGGTGAGGCAGGCGGATCACGAGGTCAGGAGTTTGAGACAAACCTGGCCAACACGGTGAAACCCTGTCTCTACTAAAAATACAAAAAGTAGCCAGGCACGGTGGCGGGTGCTTGTAATTCCAGCTACTCAGGAAGCTGAGGCAGGAGCATTGCTTGAACTCAGGAAGCAGAGGTTGCAGTGAGCTGAGATCATGCCACTGCACTCCAGCCTGGGTGACAGAGCAAGACTCTGTCTTGGGGAAAAAAAAAAGAGAGACATCGTATGACCAGTGGATTCATTTGCCCATGGGTCACACGACATTAATGAAATGCAGCTGTTGTCAATGAAATGCAGCTTCATTACACTTACAATTCATAATATCTAGCAGACTGAAAAGTCTGTATCAGTAATGATTTGTCAATATGTTGCCATGTTACAATTAATCAAAACTTGCCAGGCACAGTGGCTCAAGCTGTAATCCCAGCACTTTGGGAGGCTGAGGCAGGCAGATCACTTGAGCCCAGGAGTTCAAGACCAGACTGGGCAACATGACAAAACCCTGTCTCTACAAAAAATACAAAAAGTACAAAAAATTAGCCAGGCATGGTGGCACATGCCACCATGTCCCAGCTACCTGAGAGGCTGAGGTGGGAGGATCACCTGAGCCCGGTGGTTGAGGTAACAGTGAGCCATGATTACACCATTGCACCCCAGCCTGGGTGCCAGAGTGAGACCCTGTCTCACAATATTAATAATAATAATAATAACTTACAATTATAGTCAAAATAATTTTATAAATGAGAAGGAAAGCTCCGGCTATATGCAAATGCTAAGTTAGGTGAATGGATTATACATTGATATAGCCTAGTGGTGACTGAAATCTTGATTCTCAAAGATTTTAAGGACTAGATATGAACTGAAGTCTTCCACCAGCCTTCTTACCTTTTCAGAATGTGTCTTTGGGGGGTGATGGTATTATTTATTAAGCAATGGTTTTGGTTTTTTTTTTTCTTTTTTTGAGATGGAGTCTCACTGTGTCACCCAGGCTGGAGTACAGTGGCGCAATCTCAGTGAGAAGTGAAGCCAGCTGGATTTCCTAGGTCGAGTGGGTACTTGGAGAACTTTTCTGTCTAACTAGAGGATTGTAAATGCACCAATCAGTGCTCTGTGTCTAGGTAAAAGTTTGTAAATGCACTAATCAGCACTCTGTAAAAATGCACCAATCAGCTCTCTGTGTCTAGCTAAAGGTTTGTAAACACACCAATCAGCACTCTGTAAAAAACGCACCAATCAGCACTCTGTGTCTAGCTAAAGGTTTGTAAACGCACCAATCAGCACTCTGGAAAAATGCAGCAATCAGCACAGCACTCTGTAAAATGGACCAATCAGCGCTCTGTAAAATAGACCAATCAGCAGGACATGGGTGGGGCCAAATAAGGGAATAAAAGCTGGCCACCGGAGCCAGCAGAGGCAACCCGGTCAGGTCCCCTTCCATGCTGTGGAAGATTTGTTCTTTCACTCTTCACAATAATTCTTGCTGCTGCTCACTCTTTGGGTTCGCACTACCTTTATGAGCTGTAACACTCACTGCGAAGGTCTGCAGCTTCACTCCTAAAGTCAGTGAGACCACTAACCCACCAGAAGGAAGAAACAACTCCAGACATGCCACCTTTAAGAGCTGTAACACTGCAAAGGTCTGCGGCTTCACTCCTGAAGTCAAGCGAGACCATGAACCCACCAGAAGGAAGAAACTCCAGACCCATCTGAACATCTGAAGGAACAAACTCCGGACACACCACTTTTAAAAACTGTAACACTCACCGTGAGGGTCCTCAGCTTCATTCTTGAAGTCAGCAAGACCAATAACCCACCGGAAGGAACCAATTCTGGACACATTTTGGCAACCATGAAGGGATTATCGCCTATCGCCAAGGGGTGAGTACCATCAGACCCTATTCATTTGCTATTCTGTCCTATTTTTCCTTAGAATTCAGGGGTTAAATACCGGGCACCTGTTGGCCAGTTAAAAGCAACCAGCATGGCTGCCAGACTGAAGACACGGGTGTCTGGCTTTCTGGGAAAGGGCTCTCTAACAACCCCCGACTCTTCAGAGTTGGGAGCATTGGTTTGCCTGGAACCAGCTTTCACATTTCCTGTACTTCTGGGCTGAGCCAAGGGTTGACAGAGAGGAAAGCCCTTCAGCTCCGGGGTCCTGATAACAAGTTGGTTGACCCTGAGGCCATGAGCGGAACTCTCAGTCATGTCACCCAAGTGACACTTGCCCATCTATCCTATCTATCCTGATGCTTGCCTCCTGGGTCCTAATTCCTGTCAGACAAACTTCCTCTCTCCTCTTCTCTCAGGCTAGTCCTGCTTCTAAAAACCACTCCCTGTCTCTGGTGCTTTTCTAGTTTCTCCTGTAAGTATGATTTCTAGTATAAACTTCAGGACTCTGTTACCTTCTTTAGGAACCCGGGCTCACCAATAAGAAAGACATAATTTTTGCCCTAAGCCCCATCATAGGGGGGATAATCTGGAATTTTAGGATCCCTCCTCAGACAAGCAGGCCTAATAAAAGCTATTCCTGAAGCTAAGATATGGGGAGCCTCAGAAATTGTATCATTCCTATTCATACAAGTGAGGACAAAAGGCATGACTCTTCCAACTCTGGAGATCCCTTCTCTCCCTCAGAGTGTGGCCCTCCACTTCATTTTTGGGGCATAACATCTACATAGGACACAAATAAAGTCTCAACACTAACAGGAAAACAGGACTGTAACAGGTTTTCAAGAATGTGTTGGTAAGGTCCACTAAATCTGATTTTTTTCGTTCCTCTTTGTGGTCTAGGAGGACAGGCAAGGGTGCAGGTTTTTGAGGATGTGTCAGTAAGAACCACTAAATTCAACCTTCCTCAGTCCTCCTTGTGGTCTAGGAGGTCAGGCAAGGGTGCAGGTTTTCAAGGATGTGTCAGTAAGGGTCACTAAATCTGACCTTCCTCAGTCCTCCTTGTGGTCTAGGAGGAAAACTAGTGTTTCTGCTGCTGTGTTGGTGAGCACAACTATTCCGATCAGCAGTGTCTGGGGACCATTGCAGATTCTTGGGCAAAAGGTATTTCTGCTGCTGTGTTGGCGAGCATGACTATTCTGATCAGCAGGGTCCTGGGACTGTTGTGGGTTCTTGGGCAGGGGGAGAAACAAACAAACCAAAACTGTGGGCGGTTTTGTCTTTCAGATGGGAAACACTCAGGCATCAACAGGCTCACCCTTGAAATGCATTGTAAGCCATTGGTACCAATTTGACCCACAAACCCTGAAAAAGAGGCAGCTCATTTTTTTCCGCACTATGGCTTGGCCCCAATATTCTCTTTCTGATGGGAAAAAATGGCCACCTGAGGGAAGTTTAAATTACAATACTATCCTGCAGCTTGATATTTTCTGTAAGAGGGAAGGCAAATGGAGTGAAATACCTTATGTCCAAGATTTCTTTTCATTGAAGGAGAATACACAACTATTCAAAGCTTGCAGTTTACATCCCACAGGAGGACCTCTCAGCTTACCCCCATATCCTAGCTTCCCTATAGCTCCCCTTCCTATTAGTGATAAGCCTCCTCTAATCTCCCCTGCTCAGAAGCAAATAAGCAAAGAAACCTCCAAAGGACCACAAAAACCCCTGGGCTATTTGATATGCCCCCTTCAAGCTGTAGGGGGAGGGGAATTTGG
This sequence comes from Homo sapiens, assembly GCF_000001405.40. Classification (NCBI taxonomy): domain Eukaryota; kingdom Metazoa; phylum Chordata; class Mammalia; order Primates; family Hominidae; genus Homo; species Homo sapiens. The sequence goes on from NC_000017.11 coordinate 31,764,687, forward strand.
CCCAACCCGGGTACATATCCCCTTCTCCCTCTCTGATTTAAAGCAGATCAAGGTAGACCTGGGGAAGTTTTCAGATGATCCTGATAGGTACATAGATGTCCTACAGGGTCTAGGGCAAACCTTCAATCTCACTTGGAGAGATGTCATGCTATTGTTAGATCAAACCCTGGTCTTTAATGAAAGAATGCAGCTTTAGCTGCAGCCCAAGGGTTTGGAGCTACCTGGTATCTTAGTCAAGTAAATGATAGAATGACAGCCAAAGAAAGGGACAAATTCCCTACTGGTCAGCAAGCCAACCCCAGTATGGATCCCCACTGGGATCTTTACTCAGATTATGGGGACTGGAGTCGCAAACATCTGTTGACCTGTGTTCTAGAAGGACTAAGGAGAATTAGGCAAAAGCCCATGAATTTTTCAATGATGTCTATCATAACTCAGGGAAAGGAAGAAAATCCTTCCGCTTTCCTCAAGCAGCTACAGGAGGCCTTAAGAAAATATACTCCCCTGTCACCCAACCCACTCAAGGGTCAGTTGATTCTAAAAGATAAGTTTGTTACCCAATTAGCCACAGATATCAGAAGAAAGCTCCAAAAGTGAGCCCTGGACCTGAACAAAATCTGGAGGCATTATTAAACCTGGCAACATTGGTGTTCTATAATAGGGACCAAGAGGAACAGGCCCAAAAGGAAAACCAAGATCAGAGAAAGGCCGCAGCCTTAGTCATGGCCCTCAGACAAACAAACCTTGGTGGTTCAGAGAGGACAGAAAATGGAGCAGGCCAATCACCCAGTGGGGCTTGATATCAGTGTGGTTTACAAGGACACCTTAAAAAAGATTGTCCAACAAGAAACAAGCTGCCCCTTCACCCATGTCCACTATGCTGAGGGAATCACTGGAAGGCACACTGCCCCAGAGGATGAAGGTTCTCTGGCCCAGAAGCCCCCAATCAGATGATTCAACAACAGGACTGAGGGTGCCCGGGGCAAGCGCCAGCTCATGTCATCACCCTCACTGAGCCCCGGGTACGTTTAACCATTCAGGGCCAGGAAATTGACTTCCTCCTGGACACTGGCATGGCCTTCTCAGTGTTAATCTCTTGTTCTGGACAACTGTCCTCAAGGTCCGTTACCATCCAAGGAATCCTGAGACAGTCTGTAACCAGGTATTTCTCTCACCTCCTCAGTTGTAATTGGGAGATTTTGCTCTTTTCACATGCCTTTCTTGTCATGCCTGAAAGTCCCACACCGTTATTAGGGAGAGATATGTTAGCCAAAGCTGGAGCTATTATCTACATGAATATGGGGAAGAATTTACCCATGTGTTGTCCTGTACTTGAGGAGGGAATCAACCCTGGAGTCTGTGCATTGGTAGGACAATTTGGAAGGGCAAAAAATGCCTGCCCAGTCCAAATCAGGCTAAAAGACCCCACCACTTTTCCTTATCAAAGGCAATATCCCTTAAGGCCTGAAGCTCATAAAGGATTACAGGGTATTGTTTAAACATTTAAAAGCTCAAGGCTTAGTAAGGAAATGCAGCTGTCCCTGCAACACCCCAATTCTAGGAGTGCAAAAATTGAATGGTCAGTAGAGACTAGTGCAAGATCTTAGACTCATCAATGAGGCAGTAATTCCTCTATACCCAGTTATACCCAACCCCTGTACCCTGCTCTCTCAAATACCAGAGGAAGGAGAATGATTCACTGTTCTAGACCTCAAGGATGTCTTCTTCTGTATTCCCCTGCACTCTGACTCCCAGTTTCTCTTTGCCTTTGAGGATCCCACAGACCACACATCCCAACTTATGTGGACAGTCTTGCCCCAAGGGTTTAGGGATAGCCCTCATCTGTTTGGTCAGGCCATGGCCCAAGATCTAGACCACTTCTCAAGTCCAGGCACTCTGGTTCTTCAGTATGTGGATGATTTACTTTTGGCTACCAGTTTGGAAGCCTCATGTCAGCAGGCTACTCTAGATCTCTTGAACTTTCTAGCTAATCAAGGGTACAAGGCATCTAGGTCGAAGGCTCAGCTTTACCTACAGCAGGTCAAATATCTAGGCCTAATCTTATCCAGAGGGACCAGGGCCCTCAGCAAGGAATGAATACAGCCTATACTGGCTTATCCTTGCCCTAAGATGTTAAAACAGTTATGGGGGATCCTTGGAATCACCGGCTTTTGCTGACTATGGATCCCCAGATATGGCGAGATAGCCAGGCCCCTCTATACTCTAATCAAGGAGACCCAGAGGGCAAATACTCATCTAGTAGAATGGGAACCAGGGGCAGAAACAGCCTTCAAAACCTTAAAGCAAGCTCCAGTGCAAGCTCCAGCTTTAAGCCTTCCCACAGGAGAAAACTTCTCTTTAAACGTCACAGAGAGAGTAGGGATAGCTCTTGGGGTCCTTACTCAGACTCATGGGACAACCCCACAACCAGTGGCACACCTAAGTGAGGAAATCGATGTAGTAGCAAAAGGCTGGCCTCACTGTTTATGGGTAGTTGTGGCAGTGGCCATCTTAGTGTCAGAGGCTATCAAAATAATACAAGGAAAGGATCTCACTGTCTGGACTACTTGTGATGTAAGTGGCATACTAGGTGCCAAAGGAAGTTTATGGTTATCAGACAACTGTCTACTTAGATACCAGCTGCTACTCCTTGAGAGACTAGTGCTTCAAATGCATACATGCGTGGCCTTCAACCCTGCCACTTTTCTCCCAGAGGATGAGAAACCAATCGAGCATGACTGCCAACAAATTATAGTCCAGACTTATGCCACCTGAGATGATCACTTAGAAGTCCCCTTAGCTAATCCTGACCTTAACCTATATACCGATGGAAGTTCATTTGTGGAGAATGGGATACAAAGGGCAGATTATGCCAGTTAGTGATGTAACCATACTTGAAAGTAAGCGTCTTCTCCCAGGGACCAGCGACCAATTAGCAGAACTAGTGCACTTACCCGAGCCTTAGAACTGGGAAAGAGAAAAAGAATAAATGTGTATACAGATAGCAAGTATGCTTATCAAATGTTACATGCCCATGCTGCAATATGGAAAGAAAGGGAGTTCCTAACCTCTGGGGGAACCCCCATTAAATACCACAAGGAAATTATTGAGTTATTGCACACAGTGCAAAAACCCAAGGAGGTGGCAGTCTTACACTGCCAAAGCCATCAGAAAGGTGAAGGACAAAAGGCAGAAGGAAACTGTCAGGCAGATGCTGAGGCCAAAATTGCTGTCAGGTAGAACCTCCCACTAGAAATACCAGTGGAAGAACCCTTGGTATGGAACAACCCCCTCCAAGAGATTAAGCCCCAGTATTCCCCAACTGAAACAGAATGGGGACTTTCATGGGGGCATAGTTTTTTCCCCTCAGGGTGGTTAATGACAGAAGAAGGAAAGATACTTATACCTGAAGCCAGCCAGTGGAAAATACTTAAAACGCTCCACCAAATTTTTCATATGGGTATTGAAAACACTCATCAAATGGCCAAATCCCTGTTTACAGGGCCAAATCTCCAGACCATCCGACAGGTAGTCAAAGCCTGTGAGGTGTGCCAAAGGAATAATCCCTTGGTCCATCGTAAGGCCCCTTTGGGGGAACAAAGAATAGGTCACTATCCTGGAAAGGACTGGCAGTTAGACTTCACCCATATGCCTAAGTCAAAGGGATTTCAATTCTTGTTGGTCTGTGTTGATACCTTTACAAATTGGATAGAAGCTTTCCCCTGCAAGCCAGAGAAGTCTCAGGAAGTGATTAAAGTCCTAATTCATGAAATGATTCCTAGATTTGGGCTTTCCCAAAGCTTACAGAGTGACAATGGTCCAGCTTTTAAAATCACAATAACTCAGGGAATTTCCAGGGCACCAGGGATACAATATCACCTTTACTGCACCTGGAGGCCACAATCCTCAGGGAAGGTGGAGAAGGCAAATGAAACACTCAAAAGGCACTTAAGGAAACTAACACAAGAAACTCATCTCCCATGGCCTACTCTTTTGCCCATGGCCTTGTTGAGAATCCGAAATTCTCCTCACAAAATGGGGCTCAGTCCATATGAAATGTTGTATGGATGAACTTTTCTCACAAATGACCTCCTACTTGATCAGGAATTGGCCAACTTGGTCAAAGATATAACTTCTTTGGCAAAATTTCAACAAAACCTTAAAAAACTACCTAAAGGATGTCACAGAAAAAAGGGAACAGAGTAGAGTTGTTTCAACCAGGAGATCTAGTGTTGGTCAAATCTCTCCTCTCTACCTCCTCATCTATGCACTCTTTGTGGGAAGGACCATACTCGGTAATCCTCTCTACCCCCACTGCAGTTAAGGTGGCAGGGGTGGAATCTTGGATTCACCACACCTGAGTTACATTTTGGACACCCCTTGAGGAACCTGCGGGACCATCAGATCAGGAGTCCCAAGATCAGCCAGACCAGCCTCGATACACCTGCGAACCATTGGAGGACTTTCATCTCCTATTTCAGAAGGAAACATCCCAGACTAAAAAGGCTCCTACCACTGATCCTGAAGAAACACCCCTTCCTACTTAAAAAAGATAAGTGAAGGCCTACATAATCTTTATCTTTAACATCTCTCCTTGCCCCTTTAATGGAATCCTTTTACTATTTCATCATATTATTAAGCAGCATACTAACCATACTCTTTGCAATAGGATTATACTGTAGCTCCTGCCAGGATGAAAATCCTAATCACATCAACCTTCTTTCTTTCTATCTTCCTTCCTTCTGACAGCAATTTACTCCTACCTTTAACTCAGACTGAATAAAATGATCTCATCTTCCAGAGCACCCTCTTTACCTTCCAATTTACTCTTTGCCTGTCTATTCCTCCTGCTTCCTTGGATACCTCATACAATCACCCCTCCCCTTCCACTAGCTCCTAATTACCTCTATAAGACTCTCAACTTAACCCACTCTCTGTTAAACTAGTCCAATCCTCCCCTGACAAATGACTGTTGGCTTTGTATCTCTCTATCAACTTCTGCTTATGTTGCCACTCCCATTCCTGCAAAAAACTGGGTCTTTACCAACTTAACCTACCACCCTCGTTATGAAGGAAAAGACCCTTTCCGAATTCTAAATATGCAATCATTAGCCAACTTCCCCATCTCTGATAGGACCAAGAATACCCTAACAGGACATGCAATCCAACTTTTACATTCTTACATTTCCAACCTCACTTATTACACAAGCAATGAAAAGCCCATACATGGCCCTGTAACTACGAATACTATCTTAACTTTCCAAGCCCCTTTATGCATCCAACGCAACATGTTATCAGGCCTGCCCCTGGGGCACCTACTACCCCATCAGTGTAATTACATCCTACAACTTCAAGCCCCAACTGATCATAGTAACTTCCGAGTCACCCAAACAGCTCCATTCAGATGGCTTGTCCACTTCTCAGGGCCCCCAAAAATCATCACCTCCTCCCTACTTAACAAACAGTCCAGGTTGTAATGGCAAACATGCTCCCTGCATGACCATTCACCCCTGGACCCCCTGCAGCAGCACCCCCACCACTAGTGAATGCCTTCTCATCCCCTCTTTCAATCACTCTCAAATGGTTCCTAGTAGATACAAAATGGTTTTGTCTCCAATGGGAAAATAGAACACAGGGAGCCACTCAGTTTGCTCCCAACACCCGTTTCCAGCCACTCACCAGAGCTACCTTGACAAGTACTCTGGGAGTATGGGAAAATGAAAACAATAAACTCACACACCTTTTTAACATACACAAACCAGTTATCTCTACCCAGCCGAGGTATAGTCTTTTGTGGAACGTCGACCTATATCTGCCTCCCGACTAACTGGACAGGCACCTGCACCTTAGTCTTTCTAAGTCCCAACATTAACATTGCCCCAGGAAATCAGACCCTATCAGAATGCCTCAAAGCTCAAGTCTGTCAGCGCAGAGCCAGACAACTAATACCCCTACTTATAGGGTTAGGAATAGCTACTGCTACAGGAACTGGAATAGCCAGTTTATCTACTTCGTTACCCTACTACCACACACTCTCAAAGGATTTCTCAGTTTGCAAGAACTAATGAAATCTATCCTTACTCTACAACCCCAAATAGACTCTTTGGCAGCAGTGACTCTCCAAAACTGCTGAGGCCTAGACCTCCTCACTGTGGAGGAAGGAGGATTCTGCACCTTCTTAGGAGAAGAGTGTTGTTTTTACACTAACCAGCCAGAGATAGTACAAGATGCCACCCAGTGTTTACAGGAAAAGGCTTCTGAAATCAGATGCCTTTCAAACTCTTATACCAACCTCTGGAGTTGGGCAACATGGCTTCTTCCTTTTCTAGGTCCTGTGGCAGCCATCTGGCTATTACTCGCCTTCAGGCCTTGTATTTTTAATCTCCTTGTCAAATTTGTTTCCTCTAGGATCAAGGCCATCAAGCTACAGATGGTCTTACAAATGGAACCCTAAATGAGCTCAACTAACAACTTCTACCAAGGACCCCTGGACTGACCCATTGGCCCTTTCACTGGCCTAAAGAGTTCCCCTCTGGAGGACACTACAACTGTAGGGCCCCTTCTTTGCCCCTATCCCACAGGAAGTAGCTAGAGCATTCATCACCCAATTCCCAACAGCAGTTGGGGTGTCCTGTTTAGAGAGGGGATTGAGAGGTAAAGCCAGCTGGACTTCCTGGGTCAAGTGGGGACTTGGAGAACTTTTCTGTCTAGCTAGAGGATTGTAAATGCACCAATCAGCACTCTGTATCTAGCTAAAGGTTTGTAAACACACCTAATCAGCACTCTGTAAAAATGGACCAATCAGCACTCTGTAAAATAGACCAATCAGCGCTCTGTAAAATGGACCAATCAGCAGGATGTGGGTGGGGCCAAATAAGGGAATAAAAGCTGGCCACCTGAGCCAGCAGCAGCAAGCCGCTCAGGTCCCCTTCCACACTGTGGAAGCTTTGTTCTTTCCTTCTTCACAATAAATCTTGCTGCTGCTCACTCTTTGAGTCCGTACTACCTTTATGAGCTGTAAAACTCACTGCAAAGGCCTGCAGCTTCACTCCTGAAGTCAGCAAGACCACGAACCCACCGGGAGGAACAAACAACTCCAGATACGCCACCTTTAAGAGCTGTAACACTCACTGCGAAGGTCTGCGGCTTCACTCCTGAAGTCAGCGAGACCACAAACCCATCAGAAGGAAGAAACAACTCTGGACATGCCACCCTTAATAGCTGTAACACTCACTGCAAAGGTCTGCACCTTCACTCCTGAAGTCAAGCAAGACCACGAACCCACCAGAAGGAAGAAACTCCAGACCCATCTGAACATCTGAAAGAACAAACTCCAGACACACCATCTTTAAGAACTGTAACACTCACCGCGAGGGTCCATGGCTTCATTCTTGAAGTCAGCGAGACCAATAACCCACCGGAAGCAACCAATTCTGGACACATCAGCTCGCTGCAACCTCTGCCTCCTGGGTTCAAGCAATTGTCCTGCCACAGCCTCCTGAGTAGCTGGGATTACAGGTGTGCACCACCACACCCAGCTAATTTTTGTATTTTTAGTAAAGACGGACTTTCGCCATGTTGGCCAGGCTGGTCTTGAACTCCAGACCTCAGGTGATCTGCCCGCCTAGGCCTCCCAAAGTGCTGGGATTACAGGCATGAGCCACTGCGCCTGGCCTAAGCAATGTTTTTTTAAAAAACATTCACACACTAATTCCAAGAAGGTTTTTTACAACAGTTCAGGAATGTAGTGCATTACAAATAGAAACTTGTTTTTAACACAGAAGTGGAATGCGGTTGATACTTGGCTGTATTAATATTTGTGTTACCCAAAAAAGTACTGGATGCAAACTATATATATAAATCTGAGATCTAATGTGGATGCTTAAAAACGAACTTTTAAAAGTTCTTTTAAACCAAAATTTTAAAAGTAAGTCCATTTTTATAAAAATTAATCTATACGTATATGCGTAGAAAAATCTGGAAGGAAATATTCCAAATAGTAATATCAAATAGCTCTGGATTATATGATTATAGAGTGTTGTTTTTATGTTGTTAATTTTTTTTTTTTTTTTGAGACGGAGTCTCACTCTGTTGTCCAGGCTGGAGTGCAGTGGCACAATCTCAGCTCACTGCAATCTCTACCTCTCAAGTTCAAGTGATTCTCCTGCCTCAGCCTCCCAAGTAGCTGGGACAAGAGGCGCACACCACCATGCCTGGCTAATTTTTGTATTTTTATTAGAGACAAGGTTTTGCCATGTTGCCCCATCTGGTCTCAAACTCCTGGCCTGAAGTGATCCACCCGCCTCAGTCTCCCAAAGTGCTGGGATTACAGGTGTGAGCCACTGTGCCTGGCTGCTGTTAATTTTTTTGGCAAAATGAGTTTTGCCAAACTCATTTTACTGCTAGAGAGTTTTCTTTTTTTTACGTCTTTCTATAATATCTGACTTTTTTACATGAATATAAACTTCCTTTATACTCAAAGGGAAAATAATCAATAATCCTATTTTTATTTTTCAAAAGAGAAAAATAAAGGAGGGAAAAGTCTAATAGAATGAAAGTAGATAAGAGTTGCTCCCAGGCCAGGGAGCTGGAACTAACCAGAAGGACTAGTTCGGAAATGGCCCAGGCTGAGTGAGATACCAGCTCCCTAAACAGCCTCTGACAAGAGGAAAGGCAGCCATGCACATGAGCAACTTTGAAGTCAGATGGTTCCAGAAAGCGCCAGGCATGGGCACCAGATGCTGGTGGTCCTCAGAGGAGAGCTCTGCACTAGACACAAAGGTCACATGGCCCCAGTCCTAGGAGAAGCATCCAGTCTAGACAAGCTAATGAAAACCATGGTGATGTCAACAGAGAGCCACAACTGGTTTCACAAACCACTAGTAAAACGTTCAAGTTCCAGAAATTGAAGGAACACACAATAAAACAATAAGTCCTCCCTCTTCACCTATCAAAAGAGTAAAGAATTTTTAAATGCTGGTGAGGGTGTGCTGGAATTAGTGCTCATTCACTGCTGTTGGGAATTATTGCATTGCTAATGTGGTTTGAAAAGCAATACGGTGGCTGGGTGCTGTGGCTCACGCCGGTAATCCCAACACTTTGGGAGGCTGAGGTGGGTGGATCACCTGAGGTCATGAGTTTGAGACCAGCCTGGCCAACATGGTGAAACCCCACCTGTACTAAAATACAAAATTAGCCAGACGTGGTGATGCATGCCTGTAATCCCAGCTACTTGGGAGGCTGAGGCAGGAGAATAGCTTGAACCTGGGAGCTGGAGGTTGCAGTGAGCCAAGATCGTGCCATTGCACTCCAGCCTGGGTGACAGAGTGAGACTCCATCTCAAAAAAGAAAAGCAGCATGGTGCTATATATGCCGATTGTTTTAAGATATTCATATCATTTTGTAATTTCATTTCTAGAAGTCTGTTGTAAGGCAAAGAAATATAAAACTTTATTATCAAAGATACTCATTGCAGTATGATTTATAATTTTTTTAATGAAATAACCTGAAAACTGTCCAACAATAGTTGGAGTGGTAAGTTCTGATACAACCTGTCAGTGGAGCATTATGTAGCCATTAAAAAAAATGTTTAGAGAGCGTTTGTCTTATCACTCAGGAAAATGTTTATGTTACCATGTTAAATGATACAGTAGGATATAAAATTGTATGTAGAGCATGATTTAAACTACATAAAAATTCACACACACGACTGGAAAGAAATGCTCTAAAATGTTACACAGTTACGCATGGATTGGTCAAATTATGAGTGGGCTTTTTGTATCTTTTAAAAAATAACTGGGCCAGGCACAGTGGCTCACACCTGTAATCCCAACACTTTGGGAGGCCGAGGCAGCAGATCATGAGGTCAGGAGCTCAAGACCAGCCTGGCCAACATGGTGAAAACCCGTCTCTACTAAAAATACAAAAACTAGCCAGGCATGGTGGTGCATGCCTGTAATCCCATCTACTCGGGAGGTTGAGGCAGGAGAATTGGTTGAACACGGCAAGTGGAGATTGCAGTGAGCCAAGATTGTGCCACTGCACCACAGCCTGGGTGACAGAGCAAGACTCCATCTCAAAAAAATAAATAAATAAATAAATAATTTATTTTGAAATAATTTCAGATTTACAGAAAAATAAGGAATAATACAAAGAACTGCCATATTTCTGTTTCCCAAGTTTCCCGACGGCTATATCTTTCCACATTCACTTCCATGTGAGTTCTCCCTCTCTAGACACAGAGTGGATAGAATCACTGGTCGTTTTCTGAGAGAGAGCTTCAGATACAATGCCCGTTGTGCCTAAATACCCTGAGTGTATTTCCTATAAACAAGGACACATGACCGAAACTTCCAAATCAGGAAATTGACATTGACACAACCTCACCATCCAATCCACCATCCCCAGGCAGATTTTCCCAGCAGGTCTTTTTTTTCATTTCTGATACACGATCTGATCATCTAGGAACACATTGCATTTAGTTGTCACAGCCCTCACACCTCCTTCAAACTGGAAGTTTCTCCTTCTCTTTCACAATTTTCCTTTATAGTTTTTAAGTTTACAGGTCTTTAATTTTATAAGATAACTCTCAACTGGGGACAACTGCTCAATTTCCCAATGGGAAGACCCAGGCCATGCATTCTTGGCAGGAATAGAACAAAAAAAACAAAACAAAACAAAAAAAAGCCCCGATGCTTCAGTCAGGAGGTACGTGATGTCAACTCACTGCACTGCCAGCGAGGTTAACTTTGATCACCTGCTCAAGCTGTTGTCTGCCAGGTTTTTCTACCAAAAAGTTACCATATTTCTCTTTGTAACTAACATATTCTGGGGAAATATTCCAGTACTACATCAATATCTGCTTCTTCAAATCTTCACCTGCAAGTCTCAGCATCGGTTGACAACTCCAGCCTGAATCGACCACCACTACGATGGCTGCCTAATGTTGATTTTTCTTATTTCCACCATTCCTTCTGCATTTATTAGTTGGCAATCTGTTGCAAGAAAAAGCTTTCCCTTCTCTCTCCATTTACTTACTCGTTAATTTAATTATTTCAACATGGACTCATGGATTCCTATTTTACTCAATGGGTTTTATTCATTACTATCATTATTTATATTGATTCTCAAATTGCCCAGGTTTGGCCAATGGAAGTCCTTTCCATTTGACCCCTATATCCTTTCCATAAGTCCTCATCCATCCAAGCACTCCCTCACTTTCTGGCACAAGAAGATGTTTCAGGTTCATCTCATCCTTTTCCTGCTGCATCTCTGGAAGCAGCTGCTTCTCCAAGAGGCCCTGGCTCATTTCAATGGAGGATGGTGTTTAGAAACCAAGATCTAGGAGCTTGGCATGGCTGGGTGCAATGGCTCATGCCTGTAATCCCAGGTTAAGAGTGTGGGAGCAAGCATAAGAGACACACAAGCCTGCTTTGGCAGAAGGGATGACTTTGCTGGGAAGCTTGAATGTCAGTGTGTCACGTATGGATGATCAGAAAAGCACAGTGGGATGGTAGCAGCAAGAGGCAAGATATGGCAGGCCCAGGGTCAGAACCTAAGGGCAGGGGATGGTTGGGCAGGGGTCAGCAAGTTGGGACACCCTACACAGAAACAGCCAGAGGAGTCCTGTGTACCCTAATCCTCCCCCAACTGACTGACCCTGGATAGCGGAGATGCCCCTCTAGACAATGCCCAGGCAGGACTTGGCCTCCTTCCATCCTCTGATCACACTAGGTTCCAGTCCCTTGTTCCTGGGCAGCCTTTTGTGGGAGAGTTAGAACCCAGGAACACAGCACGACCCTCCTCTGGCCCAGGAGCTCTGAAGGGAGATTCAGCTGTGACTCCCAAGCTGTGTCCCCACAACACTCACCTGGGAAGGGAAGCCAGGAGCAAGTAGAGAATGTCACTTACCTCCCTGACTGGACAGCTTTGCCTGGGCCTCATTTCACTCCTGGAACCACCCAGAATAGGCCAAGCAGAGCACAGGGTGGCAAGGTGGTTAATGATGCCAGTGAGAACAGGTATGGCCAGCAAGAAACTCAAATGACTTACAGCTGTGAACAAATAACGGTGCCTGTTATTGTCCTGGGACTGCTGTGTGCCAGGCCAGGAAAAGCTCAGTGATTCCCATAAACTCCTCAGCCTGGACAGTCACCTGCCACTGGCTTACATTCCTCTACTTTTCACTAAGGGGCTGTGAGTCAAGTTTATGCATCAACTTTACTGGGCCACAAGGTGCCCAGATATTTGGTCAGACATTACTCCGGGTGTTTTGGGATGAGATTAACATTTAAATGGGTAGAATGAATAAAGCAGATTGCTTCACTAGGGAGCATTTTCCACCGGCCGTGCTCTCAGAAAATTAAGTTGGAAGGACACATAAGATGGCCTGGGACAGAGTACGTGCCTGGTCAAAGGCCAGCTCCCCGCATTGCCTTGCATTCTTTGGAAATGTACTAAATGCCACTGAATTACACACTTTAAAATGGTAAATTTTCTATTATGTATATTTTACTACAATAATTTTTTTAAGGAAGCAGTGGAAATCTTATCTACATGAGGCTTGGGTGGAGGGGATAATTTAGTGAAAGAAATAAATCAGAGCCAGAGATCCCTCAGAGAAACCTGAGCCCCGGGAACCCCGCCACAAGTGAACTAGACTTGGAGGACAATGCCACAGGGCTAGAATCAAGTTATAGAAAGAGAAGCAAATAAGTGAATTATTGTCATCGTTATGATTTTTATTCCATGCTTTATTCCACTAGCATAGCACTGACTACAAACCTATCATAAAGCTGGGTGCAGTGGCTCATACCTGTAATCCCAGCAATTTGGGAGGCCAAGGTGGGTGGATCACTTGAGCTGAGGAGTTTAAGACCAGCCTGGGAAACACGGTGAAACCTCATCTCTACCAAAAAAAATGCAAAAAATTATCCGGGCATGGTGGCACGCACTTGTAGTCCCAGCTACTAGAGAGGCTGAGAGATGAGAGGACTGCTTGAGCCCAAGAGGTCGAGGCTGCAGTGAGCCATGATCACCCCACTGTACTCCAGCCTGGACAACAGAGTAAGACCCTGTCTCAGAAAACAAAACAAAACAAAACAAAACAAAAACTATCATAACACATCATACAATGGTATTATGAAATAAGAAAATAATACTGCCAGGTGTGGTGGCTCATGCCTATAATCCCGGCACTTTGGGAGGCCAAGGTAGGTGGAACACCTGTCAGGAGTTTGAGACCAGCCTGGCCAACATGGTGAAACCCCATCTCCACAAAAAATACAAAAATTAGCTGGGCATGGTGGCATGCATCTGTAATCCCAGCTACTTGGGAGGCTGAGGCAGGAGAATCGCTTGAACGAGGAGGCAGAGGTTGCAGTGAGCCAAGATCGCACCACTGCCTTCCAGCCTGGGCAACAGAGAGAGACTCTGTCAAAAAAAAAAAAAAAAAAGAAGAAGAAGAAGAGAGAAAAAGAAAGACAGAGAGAGAGAGAGAAAGAGAGCGAGAAAGAAAGAAACCATATTTCATTGGTTGTGAGATGTCCATCCTTTCACAATTCAACAATTCTGAAATTGGGGTACATCTTATAATTAATACTATATCATAGATGGCAGCATTTTTTTCTTTTTTTGTTGTTGGCACGTGAAAAACCAATGCTTCTTACAATTATTATGTGACATCTTGGAATCTCTGAAATACTGTAAATAGAAGAACAAGGACCATTTAGTCTGTTTCTCTGTGGTCCATCTCAGGAAAGTAAACTTGGACATGCCCTCAGCTCTGCATCCACACAGAACATAGGGATGTTCTGATGGTGGAGTGCAACACTGGGGGCCATGAACGGCCTGCTGCCCTGACTGCCTCTATTTTATTAAGTCCAACCTCAGCCCTCCAAGGGCCTGCACAGCTGGGCAAGATATATCTAGAAAAGGAAATTAGTTTCTCAGATGTGCGGTGTTTGCAGAGGAAGTAAAACATGGTGTTTATTCCAGGAGCCCTGCATCCTGCACTTAGGAGCTGCCTTTCATGCTTGGAGGGCCACACAATGACTCAAGGCTCATGGCCCCCCAGAGCTGGAGGACAGCCCATCTTTGTAGGGGGTGGAGGACGGTTAGCAATTACCTAGGAAATGTTGTGCAGTACTTTTAAGGGAGTGTTGTTATCCTTGAGATCAGCAAACCCAGTCCTCTTCCCCAGTCACCTTGGAGGTCTCTCCCCGACTGCCTTTAAACTCAGGCCCAGCTTCTCTTACCCTGGCTGCCTACCTGAGGCCTGGCTGGGAGTGGAATGACTGTGGTGGGGCCGGGGGGTCCCATCTAGGCCCAGGAGGCTAAGTCTAAGCACTACCCCTTAAAGGCATATGGTATACCACAGGAATCAGGGACATGGTGGCCAGATAAGACATCTCGGTGTCCTGTATTTTTATTTCCTAAATATGGCAACCTTCATCAGGAGGCAGCCCAAAGACCTTGAATTTCTGGATCCCCATGGCCACTGAACACAGCTCTCCTCTCACTGGAGCCAGCATGGAGGCTCCAGGCTGGGTGTTGCCCTCACTCCCTCACATCACTGTGGCCCCAGGCACCTTGCAGGCCACTCACCCTTTCTGCCATGAGCCTCAAAAGCTGCCTCTTTCAAACCAGAGATTTCAGCTAAGGAGCCTGGCAGGGCTTCAGGGCATGTGTGGGAGGCAGAATAATGATCCCCAAAGATATCCAAGTCCTAATCACTGGAACCTGTGAACTTTGGTCTTATATGCAAAAGGAATTTTGCAGATGTGGTTAAATTTAGAAGTTTGAGATTATCTTGGATTATCCAGGTGGGCCCTAAATGCAATCACAAGTGAATTTACAAGAGAAAGAAGGTTTAACTACAGAGGAAGCAGGAGATGCAGAAGCAAGAGGCTGAAGAGATGCAAGGAAGGGGCCCTGAACCAAGGCATGCCGGCAGCCTCCAGGAGTTGGGAGAAGCAAGGAAACAGATTCTCTCCCCGACAGCCACCAGAGGGTTGCAACCCTGCCAACACCTTAATTTCAGCGCAGTGAAACCCATTTCAGACTTCTGGCCTCCAGAACTATGAGAAAATAAATCCATGTTGTTTGAAGAAGCCCAGTTTGTGATAGTTTGTTACCAGTTGCACAGGGCCCATGCTCTGAAGGGCCCCATGCTCTTTTTGATGCTCAGCTCATGCTTCTTTGAAATTCCAATTTTTGAAAAGGGAGCCCCACATTTTCATTGTGTGCTGGGCACTGCAGTAACTGGTCCAGGAGCCTCCCACCCACCCCCCACCCCCACTAAATCAAACACATCACCTGGAACATTAGCATTGCTGAAAAATAAATGAGTCAGAAAGGCCTTCTTTTCATAATAAAGCAATCATAGACATTGTGGGAGAGAGTACAAAATTCACATAAATTTAAGAGGTAAAACAAGAGACTTCAATTGTTTTTTTAACCTCACAAATGTTACTTCTGGCCAAATACCCAGGCCCACAGGGAGAGGCACTAGCCCTCCTTCGCCATCAGGGTGGCCACCCTGGAGCAGCCACAGCATTTCTCACTCTCCACCCAGTCTTCTCGTGATGCCACCTCCAGGAATCTTCTGAGAATTGGTCACAGAGTGTTGGTGCCTCCACTCCAGCCCACTCTTTCTACATCAAAACTCCTTGGATTCTCCTGCCTCTCTCATGGCTTCTGTCCCCAAAAAGCGTAGCTCCACTGGCATATTTGTAGCACAGACCCTGTCGGGGACTCACTGGTCAGCTGTCCCAGCCTGGGCCCCTGGGTTAAGGTCATGGCTTGTTCAGCTGGTGTTGAAATGAGTCTGCCTGGGATTTGAAGTCAGACAGCTGAGGGTTCAAATCTTGGCCCCACCAAAGACCAGGGACATATTCTTTCAATTATTCAACCACTACAGATTGCTACATGGGTGGTGCTGTCACAGACAAGGATGACACAGCAGCTTGTTGGATTATATCTTTCCAACTCAGTATGGTTGCCACCCCTTCTACTGCCTTCTTTGTAGAAGGAACACCAAGAAGCACATTACCCAGGACTTCCTCCTTTGTTTGTTTCTGGGTTAAAGGCTGTTAATGAGAAGTATTCAAACAAGTTTTGGAAGGCAAAAGAGAAGCCATTTTTCTCCAAAAGTTGTGGGCTGACTTATGGGCAGATGGCGGGCATGAAGTTTGCAGAAACTTAGCTTCTTGAAAGTTATTTAAGATTTGCACAGCTTTGGCAGTTCCAAGATGGATGAATAGGAACAGCTCCAGTCTACAGCACCCAGCATGAGTGATGCAGAAGACAGGTGATTTCTGCATTTCCAACTGAGCTTTGAACAGAGTAGTTGTTCTCCCAGCATGGAGTTTGAGATCTGAGAACGGACAGACTGCCTCCTCAAGTGGATCCGTGAACCCCAAGTAGCCTAACTGGGAGACACCTCCAACTAGGGGCAAACTGACACCTCATACAGCCAGGTGCCCCTCTGAGATGAAGCTTCCAGAGGAAGGATCAGGCAGCAACATTTGCCATTCTGCAATATTTGCTGTTCTGCAGTCTCCGCTGATGATACCCAGGCAAACAGGGTCTGGAGTGGACTTCCAGCAAACTCCAACACACCTGCAGCTGAGGGCCCTGACTGTTAGAAGGAAAACTAACAAACAGAAAGGACATCCACACCAAAACCCCATCTGTATGTCACCATCATCAAAGACCAAAGGTAGATAAAACCACAAAGATGGGGAGAAACCAGAGCAGAAAAGCTGAAACTTCTAAAATTCAGAGCACCTCTTCTCCTCCAAAGGAACGCAGCTCCTCACCAGCAACAGAACAAAGCTGGATGGAGAATGACTGACAAATTGAGAGAAGAAGTCTTCAGACAATCTGTAATAACAAACTTCTCCGAGCTAAAGGAGGATGTTTGAACCCATCGCAAAGAAGCTAAAAACTTTGAAAAAAGATTAGACAAATGGCTAACTAGAATAAACAGCAGAGAGAAGACCTTAAATGACCTGATGGCGCTGAAAACCATGGCACGAGAACCACGTGACACATGCACAAGCTTCAGTAGCCAATTCGATCAAGTGGAAGAAAGGTATCAGTGATTGAAGATTAAATGAATGAAATGAAGCAAGAAGAGAAGTTTAGAGAAAAAAGAGTAGAAAGAAATGAACAAAGCCTCCAAGAAATATGGGACTATGTGAAAAGACCAAATCTACTTCTGATTGTTGTACATGAAAGTGACGGGGAGAATGGAACCAAGTTGGAAAACACTCTGCAGGATATTATCCAGGAGAACTTCCCCAACCTAGCAAGGTAGGCCAACATTCAAATTCAGGAAATACAGAGAACGCCACAAAGATATTCCTCGAGAAGAGCAACTCCAAGATACATAATTGTCAGATTCGCCAAAGTTGAAATGAAGGAAAAAATGTTAACGGCTTCCAGAGAGAAAGGTCGGGTTACCCACAAAAGGAAGCCCATCAGACTAACAGCTGATCTCTTGGCAGAAACTCTACAAGCCAGAAGAGAGTGGGGCCAATATTCAACATTCTTAAAGAAAAGTATTTTCAACCCAGAATTTCATATCCAGCCAAACTAAGCTTCATAAGTGAAGGAGAAATAAAATCCTTTACAGACAAGCAAATGCTAAGAGATTTTGTCAACACCAGGCCTGCCTTGCAAGAGCTCCTGAAGGAAGCACTAAACATGGAAAGAAACAACCAGTACCAGCCACTGCAAAAACATGCCAAATTGTAAAGACCATCGATGCTTGGAAGAAACTGCATCAACTAACGAGCAAAATAACCAGCTAACATCATAATGACAGGATCAAATTCACACATAACAATATTAACCTTAAAGGTAAATGGGCTAAATGCTCCAATTAAAAGACACAGACTGGCAAATTGGATAAAGAGTCAAGACCCATCAGTGTGCGGTATTCAGGAAATCATCTCACATGCAGAGACACACATAGGCTCAAAATAAGGGGATGGAGGAAGATCTACCAAGCAAATGGAAAACAAAAAAAGGCAGGAGTTGAAATCCTACTCTCTGTTAAAACAGACTTTAAACAACAAAGATCAAAAGAGACAAAGAAGGCCATTACATAATGGTAAAGGGATCAATGTAACAAGAAGAGCTAACTATCCTAAATATATATGCACCCAATACAGGAGCACCCAGATTCATAAAGCAAGTCCTTAGAGACCTATGAAGAGACTTAGACTCCCACACAATAATAATGGGAGATTTTAACACCCCACTATCAACATTAGACAGATCAATGCGACAGAAAGTTAACAAGGATATCCGGGAATTGAACTCAGCTCAGCACCAAGAGGACCTAATAGGCATCTACAGAACTCTCCACCCCAAATCAACAGAATATACATTCTTTTCAGCACCACACCACATCTATTCCAAAATTGACCACATAGTTGGAAGTAAAGCACTCCTCAGCAAATGTAAAACAACAGAAATTATAACAAACCATCTCTCAGACCACAGTGCAATCAAACTAGAACTCAGGATTAAGAAGCTCACTCAAAACCACTCAACTACATGGAAACTGAGCAACCTGCTCCTGAATGACTACTGGGTACATAACGAAATGAAGGCAGAAATAAAGATATTCTTTGAAACCAATGAGATCAAACACACAACATACCAGAATCTCTGGGACACATTCAAAGCAGTGTGTAGGGGGAAATTTATAGCACTAAATGCCCACAAGAGAAAGCAGAAAAGATCTAAAATTGACACCCTAACATCATAATTAAAAGCACTAGAGAAGCAAGAGCAAACACATTCAAAAGCTAGCAGAAGGCAAGAAATAACTAAGATCAGAGCAGAACTGAAGGAAATAGAGACACAAAAAACCCTTCAAAAAATCAGTGAATCCAGGAGCTGGTTTTTCGAAAGGTCAACAAAATTGTTAGACTGCTAGCAAGACTAATAAAGAAGAAAAGAGAGAAGTATCAAATAGACGCAATAAAAAATGATAAAGGGGATATCACCACCGATCCCACAGAAATACAAACTACCATCAGAGAATACTATAAACACCTCTATGCAAATAAATTAGAAAATCTAGAAGAAATGGATAAATTCCTCGACACATAGACCCTTCCAAGACTAAACCAGGAAGAAGATGAATCTCTTAATAGACCAATAACAGGCTCTGAAATTAAAGCAATAATTAATAGGCTACCAACAAAAAAAAGTCCAGGACCAGATGGATTCACAGCCGTATTCTACCAAAGGTACAAGGAGGAGCTGGTACCATTCCTTCTGAAAATATTCCAATCAATAGAAAAAGAGGGAATCCTCCCTAACTCATTTTAAGAGGCCAGCATTATCCTGATACCAAAGCCTGGCAGAGACACAACAAAAAAAGAGAATTTTAGACCACTATCCCTGATGAACATCGATGCAAAAATCCTCAATAAAATACTGGCAAACCAAATCCAGCAGCACATCAAAAAGCTTATCCACCATGATCAAGTGGGCTTCATCCCTGGGATGCAAGGCTGGTTCAACATACACAAATCAATAAATGTAATCCAGCATATAAACAGAACCAAAGACAAAAACCACATGATTATCTCAGTAGATGCAGAAAAGGCCTTTGACAAAGTTCAACAACACTTCATGCTAAAAACTCTCAATAAATTAGGTATTGATGGGACGTATCTCAAAATAATAAGAGCTATCTATGACAAACCCACAGCCAATATCATACTGAATGGGCTAAAACTGGAAGCATTCCCTTTGAAAACTGGCACAAGACAGGGATGCCCTCTCTCACTTCTCCTATTCAACATAGTGTTGGAAGTTCTGGCCAGGGCAATCAGGCAGGAGAAGGAAATAAATTGTATTCAATTAGGAAAAGAGGAAGTTAAATTGCCCCTGTTTGCAGATGACATGATTGTATATCTGGAAAACCCCGTCGTCTCAGCCCCAAATCTCCTTAAGCTGATAAGCAACTTCAGCAAAGTCTCAGGATACAAAATCAACGTGCAAAAATCACAAGCATTCTTATACACCAATAACAGACAAACAGAGAGCCAAATCATGAGTGAACTCCCATTCACAATTGCTTCAAAGAGAATAAAATACCTAGGAATCCAACTTACAAGGGATGTGAAGGACCTCTTCAAGGAGAACTACAAACCACTGCTCAACGAAATAAAAGAGGATACAAACAAATGCAAGAACATTCCATGCTCATAGGTAGGAAGAATCAATATGGTGAAAATGACCATACTGCCCAAGGTAATTTATAGATTCAATGCCATCCCCATCAAGCTACCAATGACTTTCTTCACAGAATTGGAAAAAGCTACTTTAAAGTTCATATGGAACCAAAAAAGAGCCTGCATTGCCAAGTCAATCCTAAGCCAAAAGAACAAAGCTGGAGGCATCACGCTATCTGACTTCAAACTATACTACAAGGCTACAGTAACCAAAACAGCATGGTACTTGTACCAAAACAGAGATATAGACCAATGGAACAGAACAGAGCCCTCAGAAATAATTCCACATATCTACAACTATCTGATCTTTGACAAACCTGACAAAAACAAGAAATGGGGAAAGGATTCCCTATTTAATCAATGGTGCTGGGAAAACTGGCTAGCCATATGTAGAAAGCTGAAACTGGATCCCTTCCTTACATCTTATACAAAAATTAATTCAAGATAGATTAAAGACTTAAATGTTAGACCTAAAACCGTAAAAACCCTAGAAGAAAACCTAGGCAATACCATTCAGGACATAGGCATGTACAAGGACTTCATGTCTAAAACACCAAAAGCAATGGCAACAAAAGCCAAAATTGACACATGGGATCTAATTAAACTAAAGAGCTTCTGCACAGCAAAAGAAACTACCATCAGAGTGAACAGGCAACCTACAGAATGGGAGAAAATTTTTGCAATCTACTTATCTGACAAAGGGCTAATATCCAGAATCTACAATGAACTCAAACAAAGGTACAAGAAAAAAACAACCCATCACCAAGTGGGTGAAGGATATGAACAGACACTTCTCAAAAGAAGACATTTATGCAGCCAAAAGACACATGAAAATATGCTCATCATCACTGGCCATCAGAGAAATGCAAATCAAAACCACAATGAGATACCATCTCACACCACTTAGAATGGCGATCATTAAAAAGTCAGGAAACAACACGTGCTGGAGAGGATGTGGAGAAATAGGAACACTTTTACACGTTGGTGGGACTGTAAACTAGTTCAACCATTGTGGAAGACAGTGTGGCGACTCCTCAGGGATCTAGAACTAGAAATACCATTTGGCCCAGCCATCCCATTACTGGGCATATACCCAAAGGATTATAAACCATGCCGCTATAAAGACACATGCACACGTATGTTTATTGTGGCACTATTCACAATAGCAAAGACTTGGAACCAACCCAAATGTCCAACAATGATAGACTCGATTAAGAAAATGTGGCACATATACACCATGGAATACTATGCAGCCATAAAAAATGATGAGTTCATGTCCTTTGTAGGGACATGAATGAAGCTGGAAACCGTCATTCTCAGCAAACTGAGAAATGGACAAAAAACCAAACACCGCATATTCTCACTCATAGGTGGGAATTGAACAATGAGAACACATGGACACAGGAAGGGGAACATCACACACTGGGGCCTGTTGTGGGGTGGGGGGAGGGAGGAGGGATATCATTAGGAGATATACCTAATGTAAATGACGAGTTAATGGGTGCAGCACACCAACATGGCACATGTATACATATGTAACAAACCTGCACGTTGTGCACATGTACCCTGAAACTTAAAGTATAATTTAAAAAAAGGAAGTGAAGGACAATAAAAAAATAAAAAAATAATAATAAAAAAAGAAGTTGGGAAGAGGCAGGGACCCCTGACTGGTTTGGGAGACTCCAGGGCTTTGCCATCAGGGTTACAGCCTTCCACCAGGGTCAAGCTGTGGACACAATGATTGGTCTGTCCACAATACCTGAGTCTATGATCTGCCATCTGAACCCACTATACTATGAAATGGATTATTATTTCAAAGCATGAAGAAAATACAGGAGAGAAGTCATAGGGACCGAACATCCAATCCATTCCCCTGCCTCTAAGGAGGACTTCATCCAACCAACTCCAAGAAGCGCAAATCAATGGAGCAATGAAAATTGGACACAATTTTTAAACCATAAGCAGAGATCTCTTAAGACCCACCATGTCCTTTCAAATCCAAGTTCCCTTTTATTTCTTTCAGAGATGACTTGAGGCCTGTGTGACCCAATCACATCACTGGAAAACACCCTCATCTCCCCTGTGCTGCTCTGGAAGAGTCATCACCGGCCTGGACAGAGTCTCCACTGTGACATTTGGGAGTTTATTCTAGATATTTCTCATATTTGAAAATACAAAGCCCGTTGTTATCAAATTGGCCCAAGGCTTCCAAGACGAAGAAGCATTTAATCCTGGGGCTGCTTCTATAAATGTAACAATTATCCCAAGTCATGTAAGTGTCTTGGAGAAGTAATAGTAATAATGATGATGATGATGATGATGATGATGATGATGATGATGATGATGATAAGAGCCAATATTCATTGAGTGTGCCGGTCTCACAGTGTTTTACTTGTTTCAACTCCTTTGATCCTCCTAACTGCCTGGAGAGGCAAGAATTATTATCGCCCTCATTTTACCAAGATTGAAAGAGAAGCATCAAGAGATTTAGTAATTTCCCAAGGTACACACAATAGTAGGCAGAAGAGCCAGGATATGAAGCTACACAGTTTCAGGGTTTGAAGTCTTACGGAATTCAAGTTCAAATCCGGGTCTGCCACTTCACATACGCATGATCTAAAGAAAATGATTTCATGTCTTTGAGCTTCAGTTTCTCCCTAAAGAAAAAAAAAAGAAAAAAATCTCAGTTTATCCTAAAATGGGGGTGGCAATACCTACTTCTCTAGAAGTTGTTGAAAATTAAATAGAATACTCTGTAAATTTCTCAGCATGGGCCTGACACATAAAAGGGCATGGGTTCCCTTCCCTTCCCCTGTGTGGATGCAGGAAGTGAAGGCAGAGGCTGGGGAAGAGGGGGATTCTAAGGTCCTGGAACCCTAGAGAGGAAGCTTGCTGACTGCAGGAAATTTCAGACAAGGAGACAATTCTTGGGGTCTATTGAGATATGACAGGAACATTTCTAGAACAGGATCCCAGACGTCTCATACAATAGTAGTAAGAGGAATAGCCTAACCTTCATGCAGTTTACAGAGTACTTATATGTGCAGTAAGACTGTGATTGACACCATGGGTGCCTGAGGCAGGGCTCCTGTGTACAGTTGTGTAGGTTGCACACTGAAGCCGCCCAGATGGAGCCTACTTTTAGGGAGTGGTGGCATGGAGGGCTTGCCTGGTCACTTAAAGGAATCTTCGAGGGTCACAGGGGAATGAAACAGGGGGCTGAGCAAGTAGCAGTCAACATGCCCTTCCCAGTACAGGATAAGTGCTTGATAGATACTTGCTGAGTGATTAAATGATGGCTGGGGGAGTTGCCAGACTGGAGGCAGGGAATCGTGATTACAACAACTGAGGTGCAGGCTGGGCACTGGAATGCTTTCATCCTCTCCTTTTTGACTGCTGAGCACTTGCATCACTTCCAGTGTCTTGCTGTTGGAAACACTCAGCCTCACACGTTTTGCCCGGGCCTGTGCCTGGCTCCATCTGCCTCTGGCATTTCTCCCCACTTTCTGAGTCAGACTGGGGTGGGGAAAGGCTCCTTTAAAGGTGCCTAAGGAGAAGTGGCTGAGAAGCACTTCCTGGCACAGCCCTCGCCCTGGAATCAGAAAGGGCAGAGAAGACACAGCTCGTCTGCCCCAACTCCACCCCAGCTCAGGTCCAGGTTGCCTATGCATGTGAAACATCATCCTGCATGGAAAGCCACCTGATAAAAAGTGGTTCCAAGCAAAATTCATTTTTATTTGCCCACATCCACTTTAATACAAGTCATCACTCAGCATTCACACCCCACAGCCACCATCCATCTCGATGGATACCAGCTACCATCCTCCTAGAGCCACGGGCCAGAGCCAAAGCTCACTGCCCCAACATGCCCAAGTATCTCAATGTCACCTTTATGGCATTTAATCTATTTAACACTTATGAAGAACCAGAGGCTCCTAGGGCCTAATATTCAAACTAAATCTTGAACCCCAAATGAGAAAGAACCAGCCTCTCTGAACCCTGAAATGAAAATCTAAAGACAATTTTTTTCCTGAACCACGAACCAAAGCCAAATGTTCCCAAGAAATATCCAATGAACTATTTTGACCATGACTGTGAGCTTTGAAGTTAGTAAAACTGAGCCTCATTTCCCTATCTGTAGAATAAGGATAAAAGTGACCTCATAGAATGGTTTTGAAGGTTAAGATGAGCAACAGCTTATGGTCTCCAGATGGTCCCTGATACAGACTCAGCCCATCAGCATTCTTCTCCTAAAGCATTCCCCTTCTGTGTGGCAACCATTATTAGAGTGAGAGAAGGATGGCTTTGAATTTAAACACATCTCATGACCAGACACAGTGGCTCACGCCTGTAATCCCAACACTTTGAGAGGCCGAGGCGGGCAGATCACTTGAGTTCACAAGACCAGCTTGGGCAACATGGTAAAACCCCGTCGCTACTGAAAATACAAAAAATTAGCAGGCATGTTGGAGTAGGCCTGTAGTCCCAGCTACTAAGGAGGCCGAGGTAGGAGGATCACTTGAGCCGGGGAGGCAGAAGTTGCAGTGAGCTGAGATTATACCACTGCACTCCAGCCTGGGCAACAGAGCAAGACCCCATCTCAATAAATAAATAAACAAATAATAAATAAAAATACAAAAATTAGCTGGGTGTGGTGGTGCACACCTGTAATCCCAGCTACTTGGGAGGCTGAACCCACAGGCAGAGGTTGCAGTGAGCCCAGATCATGCCAATGCACTGCAGCCTGGGCAACAGAGTGAGACTCTGTCTCAAAAAATAAATAAGTAAATAAATAAAAATGAAAAGACACCTTGCTTCCTGGTTGCGTGACTCTTCCCTCCATTTGAACTCAGTTCTCACACATGGAAGGTGGGGTAATAAGAACCTTCACAGAGTCGTGTTCAGTACTTCCCTACCTTCATCAAGTAGCTTGCATTCCCCAGGGGCCATCTCCAATGTGCTCACAAACAAGCGGGGTAGTGTCTGGGTGGTGTTTGAAGGGATTTCCCCTCCTCTGGCTCCAGGGATTCCCCTGTGATGACACTGCACCTACAGAAATCCTGCCCCCTCCTCTGCCCACCTTACCAGTCTCTGACCAAGGGGGTCTGGTGGAGAGCACCACACCACTCCCCGCCTTTCTCTTATGGGGGTACCAACTCTACTCCGCTCATGCCCCCAACATCTTAAACAGTTTTAGAATTTGTCCTCACAGTTTTCACTCAAAATGAGACAAAGCCAAGGGACAAATCAGAGGGACAGTGGCCACACAGTACCCAGCATCACTCCTTGCTCCGCTTGCTAGGCCAAGCTGTCAAGGCTGGTTCCTGACACTTCCTTTAACGGGTTCACTGTGCAGAGATGCCCCACTAGTTCACCAGATGTGCTTGAACCCAACTCAGTGCGAGATGGGACCAGTGCTGTAACTCGTTACTTCCACCATCGTCAGTGAAACTTCCAAAGTCAGTGAACCGCAACACAGTAGGAAGACCTAAATGTTCCCTGAGCCGAACTTGAGCTGGTCTCTAGATGAGTGTGACATCTTCTTAGATGGAAGAAGGAAACTTAAAGTGTTTTAAAACAAATTTTATGTGTAAAAGTCATCAAAATTATAATACAATTAGAATATGAACATCTTAATAGAGATTTCATGATATTAGAGAATATGTTCATTTTTTGTAGGTGTGAAAATGGTATTGTGGTTTTGTTTGGTTTTGTTTGTTTCTTTGAGACAAGGTCTCACTCTGTTGTCCAGGCTGCACTCCAGCGCGATCATAGCTCACTGAAGCCTCAACCTCCCGAGCGCACGCAATCCTCCCTCCTCAGCCTCCTGAATAGTTAGGACTACAAGTGTGCGCCACCATGCCTGATTAGTTTTGTTCTTGTTTTTTGTAGAGACAGGGTCTTGCTATGTTGCCCATACTGGTCTCAAACTCCTGCCTCAGGTAGTCCTCCCACCTCTGCCTTCCCAAGTGTTGGAATTATAAGCATGAGCCACTGCACCTGGCCTATAATAAAAAGTTTTTATACCAGTTCTTTTAAGGTATCCACTAGATCTCAACTTCTGAAACCAGCCCTAAAACTGGACCTTTGAACTATACTGAGGCTAGCTCTTCTGTCAAAACTACTTGCCTGGCAGGCAAAAAAAAAAAACCATGCTATTCCCCCTCTCTACTCAAGAACCTTCCATGGCTCCCCATTGCCTTCACAATACAATATTTTTTGCCTCTCCTTTAAGACCTGCCACATTCCATCCCAGTGTAGCTTTCCACTGTTCTCTGCCTAGCCCCACTGAGAATGCCAAGCCAACGCAATATCAGACAGCATATGCCCCTCTGAAAAGGCCTGCATTTTCCCGTCTCTGATTCTGAGCCTTTGATCACCCTGTTCCTACCATCTAGAATTCTTTCCCTATTTTTTTTTTATTTATTTTTATTTTTAGACAGAGTCTTGCTCTATTGCCCAAGCTGGAGTGCAGTGGGAGTGATCTCGGCTCACTGCAACGTCCGCTTCCTGGGTTCAAGTGATTCTCCTGCCCAGCCTCCCAAGTAGCTGGGACTACAAGTGTATGCCACCATGCTTGGCTAATTTTTGTATTTTTAGTAGAGACCAGGTTTCGTCATCTTGGCCAGGCTGATCTCAAACTCCTGGCCTCAAGTGATCCACCCGCTTCAGCCTCTCAAAGTGTTGGGATTACAGGCGTGAGCCACTGTGCCCAGCCAAACTTTCTTAAATAATTCTTATATAGAAAAATGAAATAGAAGGACTTTCACTTCCAATCAAGGTGAAATAATAGAGACCAGATTTATACTCCTGACTGAAGCAACCAAAAAACAGACAAAATATATGAAACAAGAGTTTTCAGGGCATTGGACATGGTTAACAAAGGACAGTGATTCCTGAGTAGGGGGAAACAGACCAGGCAAGCCCCCCAGTTGTCCAGTTACAGCTCGGGTTTTCAGGCCACAACGCAGCAAAGGAAAGGCAGCTGGATCTCACAGGACAGAGTACCAGAGAGGAGAGAACTGTGCAGAGAGAGCTCCAGAAATGCTCAGTCTCTTGACTCTGTCCACTTCTCTCCATCCCCACTGTCACTACCTGATCCCAGACCACCATCATCTCTCATGAGGATGCCTGCAGCATCCCTTCCATCTAGTCACACTGCACAGATAAACTCATCCCTGAAGGCACTGCTCTACTTCCGGGAGCTCCCCATTGTCATCGGGATAAAGTACAGACTCCCCACTTCGGCTTTTAAGGCCTTTTATGATCTGGCCCTGCCTGTTTTTTCCAGTTCTCTTTTATCCCTCCCCAACGTCACATTTCACATAGAGTCAATACTTGCTATTTCTGAGTTCTCCATACTCACTCTTGCCTCTAGGCTTTTGCACATGTAGTTTCCTCTACTTATGTTTCCATCTCTTTCCTCCACTCCTTTGTGGTATCTCCTTGCGGCCACTTCCTCTGAGAGGAAGTCTCCCTAACCCCACAAGACTGCACCAGATACCCCTCCTGGGGGCTCCCGTAACTCTGTGTCCCTCCTTCTAACACTGCCTGAGAAATGTATGTCTATCCATCTTCTGCCATAGGCAGTGAGCTCCCTGAGAGCAAGGACTTGATGATATTCCCTGCTGGGTTCCCAGCACCTAGCACATAGTAAGCACTCAATAAACACTTATCAAATTATCGACTGCCTCGATGGTCACATGCTATCTTACAGCAGTCAGCACATGATCCGTCTGCCTCCAAAACCCATGTCCTTTTATTCCTCTGGAACACACAGGAGGGGCTGGGGAGAAGGCTATGGACTGACAGTCTTTGGAAGTTTACCTTCAAGCCTACCCTAATTGTGTGTGTGTGTGTGTGTGCACATTTAGGCAACCTCTACTTCCATTCCCCTAATGCATGGTTTCCAACCATGGCTGCTCTTTGGAATCATCCGGGAAGCTTTAAAAAACACTGATGCCTGGGTCTCACCCCCAGAGGTCCTTATTGGATGGTCTGGACTGTGGCCTGGGCCCCCCCACCAGGTGCTTCTACTCATCCGGCAAGGCTGAGAAACGCTGCCTTGAGAGTTATGATCCCTTTTCAGCATGGCTCCTATTCACCCTTCAAGACCCAGGACAAATGTCACTCCTTGGAGAAGACTTCCCAAGACACTCACGCACATCCCAGAATTAATTCCTCACTTCTCTGTTCTCCTTTAGTGTTTTAGGCGTATCTCTAGAATGGCAGCTTTTACACTTTAACACCTGGTGCAGTGTCCAGAACATAGAAGGCACTGACAGAGATTTGTTGAATGAACAAACACACGAATGAGCGGATTCCTAAATCTGACATTCCGGCTGTGGTCCCAAAGCCCACACAGAGGCTGGACATCAGCATGCAGTAAGTGACAGTCCCGCAGAAGGAGGGAGGGAGACTGATGTTCCCTCTAAACCAGCTGGAAGGATGCTGCACTCAGAGGAAGAACAGCCAGACACAAGGTAATTGTCGCTCCCCCAGAAATTATGGTAACAAAGTCAAAGAGATGCATGATCATTAAACAAAGTTTTCTCCTTGGCATTTTTACCAATTGACTGATGGATCAGTTACAAAAACACTGAATACATAATGAAATGATGGCCTGGAGAGGGCCTCTGGTGGGGAGGCCTCTTGTAGCCATTTTTAAGAGCAGAAGTGCAGGTTTATTGAATCTGGCGGTTGTGCTAAATTCTGACTCTTAAAACCAAGGCTGTTAAAAAGGCTGTCCCCCACATGCACACGTATGTTTATTGCGGCATTATTCACAATAGCAAAGACTCGGAACCAACCCAAATGTCCAACAATGATAGACTGGATTAAGAAAATTTGGCACATATACACCATGGAATACTATGCAGCCATAAAAAAGGATGAGTTCATGTCCTTTGTAGCGACATGGATGAAATTGGAAATCATCATTCTCAGTAAACTATCGCAAGAACAAAAACCAAACACCGCATATTCTCACTCATAGGTGGGAATTGAACAATGAGATCACATGGACACAGGAAGGGGAATATCACACTCTGGGGACTGTGGTGGGGTGGGGGGAGGGGGGAGGGATAGCATCGGGAGATATACCTAATGCTAGATGACGAGTTAGTGGGTGCAGCGCACCAGCATGGCACATGTATACATATGTAACTAACCTGCACAATGTGCACATGTACCCTAAAACTTAAAGTATAATAATAAAAAAAAAATAGTTACAGCTTAAAAAAAAAAAAAAAAAAAAAAAAGGCTGTCCCCGCCTGTCATCAGAGGTTTACAAACGCTTCAACTGCGGCTGCTTCTGCACCATCCAACTTACCTTCCACATGCACCCATGCTCCGAGGACCTCACCCTGGCCACCTGTCAGAGACACCCAGGAAGCTTTTCAAAGAGAATAAGGCTGGGCCTCTCCACTCTGCCCTCCCACCCCCGCCAGGTAGGTTCTAATTTAATTGGTCTAGGTGGAGCCTTGGGTATTGGGAGTTTAAAAGCACTCCCAGGTGGCTCTAATGTACAGCTAGCTGTGAGGAACACTGATCCACAGCACATGACTTGAGGGGTGCTGGGGATCCACCTGGGCTACAATGCCCACCAGCCTGCCAGAAGGGCCAAAGTCCTAGGCGCTTGCAGTAGTCCTCAGCCCTGAGCACATACCAGAATTATCTGGGGAGCTTGCGAGGAAAACAGATACTGGGACCCCACCTCAGGCCATTTTACAGCTCCTCAGGACCCTAATGAGCAGCCAGGCTTGAAACCCACTGGGCTGAAGCAATGCGCCCCCCAACCAGTGTGATGGAGAGCCCATTAAACACAACGCCTCCTGCTCTGAAGACTCGGCAATAGGTTTGAGTGGATTTCAGGACCTTTATTTTTTTTTAGTGATGGGGTCTTGCTATGTTACCCAGGCTGGCGTGCAGTGGCATAATCACAGTTCACCGCAGCCTTGAACTCCTAGGTTCAAACGATCCTCTCACTTCAGCCTCCTGAGTAGCTGGGATTACAGGTGCATGCCACCATGTTCTGCTCATTTCAAGGACTGGGTTTTTGTGGGGTTTTTTTTTTTTTTTTGGCTTTTTTGAGACAGGGTCTCACTCTGTCACTCAGGCTGGAGTGCAGTAGCACAGTTGTGGCTCACTGTAGCCTTGACTGCCCGAGATCAGGCGATCCTCCCACCTCAGCCTCCCAAGTGGCTGAGACCACAGGGGCACACCACCGTGCCTGGCTATTTTTAGTATTATTATTTGTAGAGATGGGGTCTCCCTATGTTGTCCAAGCTGGTCTTGAATGCCTAGGCTCAAATGATCCTCCCACCTCAGCTTCCCAATGTGCTAGGATGACAGGCATGAACCACCGTGCCTGGCAAGAGTATGTTTTTGTTTTGTTTTGTTTTTTGAGATGGAGTTTCACTCTCGTTGCCCAGGCTGGAGTGCAGCGGCATGATCTCAGCTCACCGCAACCTCCACCTCCCAGGTTCAAGTGATTCTCCTGCCTCAGCCTCCTGAGTAGCTGGGACTACAGACGCATGACACCACGCCTGGCTGATTTTTGTATTTTTAGTAGAGATGGAAGGTTTCTCCATGTTGGTCAGGCTGGTCTTGAACTCCCAACCTCAGGTGATCCACCCGCCTCGGCCTCCCAAAGTGCTGGGATTGCAGGCGTGAGCCACCGCACCAGGCCCAAGAGTATCTATTTTTAATAAGCACCCAGGTCATGCTTACCTTCCTGCTAGCAGCAGTCACCCAAACTTGCCCGATCATAAGGACTTTCTAGGACATGTGTTCAACAGATTCTGGATCCCACCCCAGACCCACTGAATCTGAATCTGCATGAAAGAGACCCAAGAACCCCATAGGTAACAAGCTCCACAGTTGACTATAGGACAAGGCATGTATGGGAAAATTGAGCAAAAATATTGTGAAACCTGGGAGGCCATCTAAAATTAACCAGGAGAGGCCGGGCATGGTGGCTTGCACCTGTAATCCCAGCACTTTGGGAGGCTGAGGCTGTCGCTTACTTGACATCAGGAGTTCAAGACCATCCTGGCCAACATGGTGAAACTCTATCTCTACCAAAAACACAAAAATTAGCCAGGCGTGGTGGCGCATGCCTGTAGTCCCAGCTACTTGGGAGGCTGAGGCTGGAGAATGGCTTGAACCTGGGAGGCAGGGTTTGCAGTGAGCCATGATCGCCCCATTGCACTCCAGCCTGGGCGACAGAGCGAGACTCCATGATAAGTAAGTAAGTAAATAAATAAATAAATAAATAAACAAAATTCACCAGAAGAAAAATGAGTTATGATTATTCTCCACCCTTAAAGAATTAAAGAGTTCATTCCGTCAGTCACTTAGTTGGTCAACAAACATTTTCTGCACATCTATTCCACAGCAAGGATCGCTAATACCTGGGATACAGGTTGGTGAGACACAAGTCTGCATTTTCCAACTACATGGGCTGGTCCACCTCACCATGCAGACAATCTCCAGTTCCTCCCCAAGAATCCCTGGGCCCACAAATCTGCTCATCTTTCAAGACCTTGCTCTGACCTGACTGTGCTAAAAGGCAGCACCAACCTCTGCCCTTTGTTCCTCATTGTCCCTGGACATGCAGCTGCTGGCCCATTTATAATAATGCTGGCAAGTACTTGTTCTTCTAGTGGGAGCTGTCCCCGAAGTCTGGGACTGTGGTTCGTTTATCTTTGCAACCCTGGTCGCTTGCACCTGGTAGGCCCTCAATGGAGGCTTACGGTTTATCAGGACAGAAAGACACGTAAACAGATACACACAGTGAAAAGTGCCATAATAGAGGTCAGTGTTGACAATGAACATGCAGGCATTGGGGTCAGACACTGTGCTTGACCCTACAGGGCCCTATAGGGCTGAGACAAGGATCAAGCATGATCCCGTCCCGGGTTACATCCTCCAGTCTAGGAGGAGAGGTGGAGAGCAACAACCACAATACAAGGCCAAAGAGGGGAAGGGAGTGGATGCCAGGGAAGCAGAAACAAGGCATCCCCTAAAGGGCACATAACTCTGGTTATTAATCAGGGGCTGCTTCAAGGAGAAGTAATGTCTGAACTTGGACTTAAAGGGGGGATGTGTATGTTTGAATGAGCAGACATGGGATAGAAAGACATCCCAGGAGAAGGCAATGGTGTGAGCAAAGGTAGGAGACAGAAGGGCAAAAAGCATGTCTGGGAGGGTCCAAAGCTAGGAGATGGCGTGGCCCAGAGCCCAGGAGCAGAGTGAGTCTGGAGAGTCCCAGGCAGGAGTGTAAAAGGACCCTGGTCTTCCTTTGTCTTCATGGCTCCCCCAAGTGACCACCAGAAGACTGTTGGCCCCCTTTGACTGTTATTTCCACATTTTCTGGATTTTTTTTTTTTTTTTTTTTTTTGAGATGAAGTCTCACTCTGTTGCCCAGGCTGGAGTGCAGTAGCACAATCTCGGCTCACTGCAACCTCCACCTCCCAGGTTCAAGTGATTCTCGTGCCTCAGACTCCCGAGTAGCTGGGACTACAGGCACGCATTACCATGCCCAGCTAATTTTTTTGTTGGTTTGTTTTTTGTTTTTGAGATGGAATTTCACTCTTGTTGCCCAGGCTGGAGTGAAATGGCACGACCTCGGCCCAGCGCAACCTCCACCTCCCGGGTTCAAGCAATTCTCCTGCCTCAGCCTCCCGAGTAGCTGGGATTACAGGCATGCGCCACCACGCCTGGCTAATTTTTGTATTTTTAGTAGAGACAGGGTTTCTCCATGTTGGTCAGGCTGGTCTCGAACTCCCGACCTCAGGTGATCTTCCCGCCTCAGCCTCCCAAAGTGCTGGGATTACAGGCATGAGCCACCGTGCCCGGCCACGGCTAACTTTTGTAATTTTAGTAGAGACAACGTTTCAGCATTTTGGCCAGGCTGATCTCGGACTCCTGACCGCAAGTGATCCACCCCCATCGGCCTACCAAAGTGCTGCGATTACAGGCATGAGCCACCACGACTGGCCCGATTTATATTTCTTAATTCAATTTCCTTGATTCACACATTCCCAGTATTTACAACATTTCCCCTGGGCCTCAGGAATTCATCACATGAAAGTTGAGTTATCTGTGCTGAACAGCAGCTTGACATAGCTACATACACAAGGTCAAGAGGTGGCTAACTAGAGTCTCATTGGGGACGCTGGATCCTGCATTTGTTTCTTTACGGGATTAGTTCAAAATAGATCACAGGTTCCTTCAAGTAAGGGGGCTGCCACTTTTTCCTGGCCTTCTCTCCCAGTCCCACGGGCTGAGGTCAATGTCTCGTATCCTGAACAAGAGCTCTATGAGCCCCAGGTGACCTGAGTCCAGCTCCCTGGGGTCCTGGATGGAGTCTAGTGGAGACAGACTAGGGGGGCAGGGCACGAACCTATTGGACAGTCCTGGGCCCAGGAGAACCTGGGAGAAGGAGCCAGAAGTCTGTTCTTGGAATCCCCAGCCAAGGGAGAGGGAGGCAGGAACAATAACCAGGCCATAGGGCAGTGGTCAGAGGTCTGGGAGTAGCTAATGATCACAGCCACGAAAAGAACAAAAATGTAAACAGGCAAGAGCAGGGTTCAGGGGTCGTCATCAAGTAAAGATAAGATACAGGCCATGTGCGGTGGTTCATGCCTTTAATCCCAGGACTTTGGGAGGCTGAGGCGGGTGGATCGCTTGAGGTCAGGGAGTTCGAGACCAGCCTGACCAACATGGTGAAACTCTGTCTCTACTAAAAATACAAAAAATTAGCCGGGTGTGGTGGCGGGAGCCTGTAATCAATCCCAGCTACTTGGGAGGCTGAGGCAGGAGAGTTACTTGAACCCAGGAGGCGGAGGTCGCAGTGAGCCAAGATTGCACCACTGCACTCCAGCCTGGGTGACAGTGCGAGACTCCATCTCAAAAAAAAAAAAAAAGAGAAAAGGGATTTAGAAAAAAAAAAAAATACAAGCTGGGCGTCCACCAGGGGACTCCTTCAACAGGGACTAGAGACTTGGATTCCCCTCAAAGGCAAGGACCAGGTCTCAAACTTTAAGTCCTAAGCATGTGGTGACTGCCTGTGACCCTCCGGAGAGCTGGCTGGCAACTGGCTGGCCAGGCTTATGCCCTCTTTATAGCAGCACTGTCCAGAAGAAATATAGTACAAGCCACTCCATAAGTGTAAATGTTCTAGTAGCCACAGTAAAAAAAGTAAAAAGAATCAGGTGAAACGGATTTTAAAGATATATTTATTTAACTCAGTGTATCCAAAATATTATTTCAGTGTGTAATCACTATAAAAACTAATAAGATTTTTGCTTTTTTTAACCTAAGTCTTTATGTATTTTGCACTCACAGTGTATTGCAATTCAGACAAGCCACAAGTCAAGTGCACAGTAGCTGCGTATGGCTGATATTCCTGTGCTGGATGGCACAGCTTCAGAATGTCTGATTTGGGATCTGTCTTGCAGATGCGAGAGATGAATATCCTTCTCATCCATGGCCAAAGTGGACGCAATTTCTATGGCTGGCAAGAATAGTGTCCCCTTCTGTCCTCATCACCACTTCATGTCCCTCCTGAAGCCACACACCTGATGGAGATATCCTCCCAGATAAAGAATGGGTGCAAATGTAGTGTGCTCCCTTCTAGATTCTCTAAACCAGTCCAGTCCACAAGGCCCATTTGCAGGCACATGCATATTAGGTCTTAGGACCTGCACAAGCCAGGCATGGTGGCTTATGCCTGTAATCCCAGCACTTTGAGGTCAGGAGTTCGAGACCAGCCTGGCCAACATGGTGAAATCCCGTCTCTACTAAAATTACAAAAAAATTTAGCTGGGTGTGGTGGGGGTGGGGGGTGCCTGTAATCCCAGCTACGTAGGAGGCTGAAGCAGGAGAATCATTTGAACCCGGGAGGTGGAGGTTGCAGTGAGCTGAGATCACATCAGTGCACTCCAGCCTGGGCAACAGAGCAAGACTCCATAAAAAAAAATTTTTTTTAATACTTGCATGGTATTTATTAATACTAGGGGAAAGGCTTTTGCAAAGACAGCTGAAGGGGAAGACATATTGGTGCACTAGGGCTGCCATAACAAAGTACATCAGATTAGGTGGTTTCAACAACAGAAATTTATTTTCTCACAATTCTGGAGTCTGGAAGTCTGAGATCAAGGTGCCAGCAGGGTTGGTTTCTTCTGGGGCCTCCCCTCTTGGCTTGCAGATGGCCATCTTCTTCCTCTGTCTTCATGTGGTCTTTCCTCTGTTTATCTGTGTCCTAATCTCCTCTTCTTATAAGGACACTAATCACGCTTGTTTAGGGTCCACCCTGATGGCAGCATTTCAACTTAATTACCTCTTTAAAGACCCTAACTCGAAATATAGTGACATTTTGAGGTTCTGGGGGTTGGGACTTCAACATATGGATTTGAGAAGGACACAATTTGGTCCATAACAGAAGAAAAGCATGGGACACTCTGAGATTAAACACTAAGGCTGTGCACAGTGGCTCATGCCTGTAATCCCAACACTTTGGGAGGCCAAAGTAGGAGGATTGCTTGAGCCCAGGAGTTCAAGACCAGCCTGGGAAACATAGTGAGACCCCCATCTCTGCAAAAAATAAAAAATTAGCCAGGTGTGGTGGTATACTCCTATAGTCCCAGCTACTTGAAAGTCTGAGGTAGGAGGATCATTTGAGCCTGGGAGGTCGAGGCTGCAGTGAGCTATGATTGCGCCATTGCACTCCAGCCTGGGCAACAGAGCAAGATCCTGTCTCAAAAAAACAAACAAACAAACAAAAACCACACTAACTAAAAGCTCCTCCCAAGATCCTTCAGACCTCAATAGGTCTAGGAGTGAGAAAGAGCCTATATTTTCAAAGCTTCAAGCAGGCCTCTCTTTTACAAGTGTTGAATTAACCCCTGGGAGAAGATAGCCTTTTATTTTAGGAAAAATCCACTCTGTGTGACTCTTTCTTGTGAAGATGTAAAGCAAATGTTCCTGTAGCTATGGAGATAGTGGAGACAGCTGGGCTCCTGGGAACCAAATGAGTCCACAAGGTGCCAGGGAAGGTTATCTGTGTAAGTAGAAAATGCTTCTTGGAGTAGGCATGGCTTTGGACTGTCCTGTGCTAGAAAACAATTTCTTCCACTTAGGAAAATGTATAGTCTTACGTAGGTAACACCCACAGGAGATGAGAATCTGAGGCAGGCCTAGTTTTTACCAAGAGCTGGAGAAGAGCCTATAGAAAGAACCTGAGCCACACTTCAGTGCAGTGCTGCCCAGACCGCACCATTAACGTCCCCAAGATGCTATTCAAGATGAGGCCGCTGAGACTGAGGCTGGATCACTGAGTCTTGAGGTATAATCATGTTGTGCTTTGAGTGCAAAAACACACCAAGGAGGGTGTGTTCCCATACGGGGAGTAGACATTCCCACTCTCGATCATCCTGGGAAGAAGTCGTCCCAGAATATACAAGACTGGGGCTGCAAGTTTTCACCTAAAAGGGAAAGAAACTCATCTCCTCCATTTATCTGCAGAAGTGGGAGAGAGACCAACTGGGCAGAGGTCAGCTGGGCTCTATGACATGCCCACTGACATATTCTGTT
This sequence comes from Homo sapiens, assembly GCF_000001405.40. Taxonomy (NCBI): domain Eukaryota; kingdom Metazoa; phylum Chordata; class Mammalia; order Primates; family Hominidae; genus Homo; species Homo sapiens. The sequence goes on from NC_000017.11 coordinate 31,801,547, forward strand.
TAGGATGGCAGGGGTGGCAAGTGACAACCAGGACGGAACAGCTGAACACATAAGCATCCTCTAGAGAATCCCAGAAATACTCAGAGAGGAGAGGAGAAACAAGATGAGGCTTAAAGGGCAATATGAATATTAAATAAGCTTTTTCAGTAGCTACTAGCTGAGGCTTGGATCTGTTTGCCCACTTCCACTAGGCTATGAGTTCTGAAGGCCAAACCTGTTACTCATATTTGTGTCTCCAGAATGATCCTAGCAGAAAAAAGGGGCTCAATAATCATGTGATGCATGAACCTGGAAACCAAGCCCACTCCTGCAGAGGGAAAGCTGAGGCACAAGGGTATTCGGGACCTCACGGATCAGAAAGGAACTCTGGGGAATCTTGAATGATGTTTTTTCTCGGTACCTCCCAACAGAAAGAGAAAAACCTGCCTCCCATCCTCCAATGTGCCTCTCAACAGAGAAACAATATTGAAAAGCCAGCAGAAAGCTTTAACAGAAAAGAAAAGCGAGTGGCTCATGGTAAGCCTTGTGTCCACGCAAACATTCTGTGGATGAAGAAGAAAATAACCAGGAGCCAACATCCACACAGGCCAGGCACCAGGGCTCCCTTCTCCTGGCACCAGTTTCTGAAAATGACTTCTCTCCCAAGGACCCCAAAAATAAGGGGGAGCTAATTGCATCCCAGAGCCCTCCCCATCTGGACTGAAGTCAAGGAGAGACAAGGAAAGAGCTGGGGCTTGACAAGTTCATTAGAAGAGGGCTCAAGAGCAATGTGGCTCTGCCAACAGCATCCAACAGCAGGAGGATCTAAACAAACCTGGTTTCTCTGTTCTCAGCAGTCCTTCTGATGAAAAGGACTGGCATGGTTTTACTGCCTAGCTGGTTAAGCAAAAAAAGAAATGTATTTAAGAGCAGACTGGAGATGAAACATTCAGAGAGTAACACCCATGGTTTGATAAGGAAACTGTCACTGAAGGCAAGTCCTAAGTGCCAGAAACCTGGTCCTGCTGCAATCACTACTGTAGCCAGCACTGATTTCATGTCAGCACCAGGAACATGAACTTGCTACCACCGGCAGTCACCACCAAAAGCTGGGCACCCTTGTTGCCATCCACACCAGCAAACATGGCTGCTCCAGCCACAGCCTGTTTCTCCCTGGGGCTCCCACTTGAACCAGTGTCAGTATGGACGCATCTGATTGGTGGAGCCTGGCCCAGGTCTATGTCCCAGACCCAGGGCAGGCTGGGAACTTGAGTTCTGACTTCCTCATAAGACATAAGAGGAACTTCCCTGGAAACAGAAAGACAATTCAAAAGGGCATTTCAAGGTTAAGAAAAGTTCATGGTGGTGATGGTAGCAAAACAGTGTGACTGTATGTAATACCACTTCAAAATGGTTAAGAAAGGTCAGGCATGGTGGCTCACTCCTGAAATCCCAGCACTTTGGGAGGCTGAGGCAGGAGGATCCCGCTTGAGCCCAGGAATTCGAGATCAGCCTGGGCAACATGGTGACCCCTGTCTCTACAAAAAATTAGGCTGGGCGCGGTGGCTTATGCCTGTAATCCCAGCACTTTGTGAGGCCAATGCGGGTGGATCACCTGAGGTCAGGACTTCAAGACCAGTCTGGCCAACATGGTGAAACCCTGTCTCTACTAAAAATACGAAAAATTAGCCAGGCGTGGCGGGGTGCGGTGGCTCATGCCTGTAATCCCAGCACTTTGGGAGGCTGAGGCGGGCAGATCACGAGGTCAGGAGATCGAGACCATCCTGGCTAACACGGTGAAACCCCGTCTCTACTAAAAATACAAAAAAAAAAAAAAAAAAGTATCCAGGCATGGTGGCACGTGCCTGTGGTCCCAGCAACTCGGGGAGAAAAGCTTGAACCTGGAAGGCAGAGGTTGCAATGAGCCAAGATCGCGCCACTGCACTCCAGCCTGGGCAACAGAGCAAAACTCTATCTCAAAAAAAAAAGAAAATACAAAAAATTAGCGAAGTGTGGTGGCAGCTGCCTGTAGTTCCAGCTACTCACGAGGCTGAGGCAGGAGGATCACCTGGGACCAGGGAGGTCAAGGCTGCACTGAGCCGTCGTCGCACTACTGCACTCCAGCCTGGGTGACAGAGTGAGATCCTATCTCAAAAAAAAAAAAAAAGGGTGGTTAAAACGCTATATTTTGTTATGTGTGTTTTACCACGAAGAAAATTTTGAAGTTAACTACAAACAAACAAAAAAAGACATTGGACAGCTGTGTGACAAACAGCCATGGCTGATATCAATCACTGTTGGTGAATAAGTAAATAAAGGCATTAGGCAGAGACATAGGATCCTCAGACCCACAGTAGTAATGACCAGTCACTGTTTAACCTTTCTCAGTTTACTGAGCATTTTCAGCGTACTTTGTACTTCCTGCTATCATAGCTCACACCACACAGGAGGACTGTTGTTTACGTAATCACAGCTCATTTGTGTGAGTATTTAGTGTGCCTGGTGCTTCCACCCATTATGTGTTACTCCTCACTGCAACCTGGAGGTAGGTGTTGGGTGCCGGTATTGCTCAGAAGCAGCAATTCATTTGTTATACTTGGGGAGGGGAGGCTCTCGGAATAAGTCAACAGAAATAGAGTGTGAAGTTAGCAAATTCAAGGTAAAGATCCAGAAGAAACTATAGAAAACTAAAGAAACAGAGAAAATAAGAGAGAAAGTTCAACATATTTATTTTTTGTGACCACAAAGTGAGAAGCCTAGAATAGCCTGAAACACAGAGAAATTTAACCAAATAGGCATAGGACTAAAATGCTAAAACTAAAAACTAAAATGGCATAATGCCCTACATCTGGTAGCCCTGGCAACAGGCCTCCCACCTTAGAGTATGATGTTATAATGAGAAAAAAACACGTGCAAATAAAGTAAATAGTCATTCCACGGCTGTGGAGAGAATTGGATTTGATGAATGTCAAGTCTTCGCACATTTCCAGGCCCCCACTAAAGGAGAATCAATCAGCAACAGTTCTATTCCCATTTTCAGATGGAAAATCTCAGCCTCATATGAGTGAAGGAACATTGCCATTTGCTATCAAAGACAGATCTTGATCCTATTTTTTTCAACCCCAAATTCCAAGCCTTTGGCTCATCTGAAGGTTTGGGTGGGAGTGTGAGGAGGACTAAATACAGTGGACCTGTATTTTAAAAATCAATATAGTCTGGATGCGGTAGCTCACGCCTGTAATCCCAACACCTTGGGAGGCCGAGGTTGGGCGGATCACCTGAGGTTGGAAGTTCGAGACCAGCCTGACCAACATGGTGAAACCCTGTCTCTACTAAAAATACAAAATTAGCCGGCTGTGGTGGTGCATGCCCATAATCCCAGCTACTTGGGAGGCTGAGGCAGGAGAATCACCTGAACCCAAGAGGTAGAGGTTGCGGTGAGCCCAGATCTCACCATTGTACTCCAGCCTGGGCAACAAGAGCAAAACTCCATCTCAAAAATAATTAATTTAATTTAATTAAAAAATCAATATTATTTTACTGAGAACAAGACTGTGTGCCTCTACTCCATGGAAGTAACTATGGCAGGCACTGCAGATTGGAACAAGATGAGCGGGAACCCCCTGTCCTCAGGGCAGTGGTGTCGCCAATGAAATGGGCCTGATGCCATGTTTATAGCGTGAGCTGCTTTCATTTCTCCTTCCGTCAGGGGAACAGGTTTGGCTAAGCCAGCGATTCTCAGCCTGGGCTGCACCTTGTTTTGTTTGTTTGTTTTTGAGTCCGAGTCTCACTCTGTCGCCCACGCTAGAGTGCAGTGGCGTGATCTTGGCTCACTGCAAGCTCCGCCTCCTGAGTTCACGCCATTCTCCTGCCTCAGCCTCCGGAGTAGCTGGGACTACAGACGCCTGCCACCACGCCCGGCTAATTTTTTGTATTTTTAGTAGAGACGGGGTTTCACCTTGTTAGCCAGGATGCTCTCGATCTCCTGACCTCGTGATCCGCCCACCTTGGCCTCCCAAAATGCTGGGATTACAGGCGTGAGCCACCTCGCCTGGCCGGGCTGCACCTTGTTAGCTCCTGGTCTGACTTAAGTGGTCAGGCATGCAGCCAGGGCATTAGTGAATGGGCAGCCAAGTGAAGCAGCCCCAACCTAAGCTGAGATAAGCTCTTGGGCCAACTGGGGCATGGAAGGGAGGAGGGAGTGTGGGGACTTTTGTATCAGGGAAGTAAATGGGCCTTCCAGGAGAATGGCCAGGGCTGTGGTCTCTGTGGCTGTAGATACAAGCCCCAGGGAACTGACAGAAGGAGGAGCGGGGAGCCCTGCCTCTCAGCAGGCACCTGCAGAAGTCACAGCCACAACCTCAAACATCAGGCTGCTCTCAGGGTGAAAATGCTTCCCGCAGCCTAAGATAGGTCCTTTATTGTCAGAACCAGGAAGCCAGGTGTGGTAGCTCACACCTGTAATCCCAACACTTTGGGAGGCCAAGGTGGAAAGGGGTGGTTGCGGGGGAAGTGGGTAGCACTTGAGGCCAGGAGTTCAAGACCAGCCTGGGCAATATAGTGAGACCTCATGTCTACAAAAAATAAGCAAAATTAGCCAGGTGTGGTGATGTGTGCCTGTAGTCTCAGCTACTCAGGATGCTGAGGTGGGAGGATCACTTGAGCCCAGGAAGCGGCAACTGTAGTGAGCTATAATCGCGCCACCACACTCCAGCCTAGGCGGCAGAGTGAGACCTTGTATCAAAAAGAAATCAAAAACAAAACAAAAAATAACTAGGGCTACATGGAAAGGAAAAGACTCCAGTGAATACACACTTGACTACAACCAGAGTGGCCTTCCTGACCATGGGAGGTGAGATGCACAACTACCACTGCTACCTAGAAACAGTCTATTGCAGGGGTCCCCACCCCACCCCTGCCATCATACCGGGTGCACAGCAGGCAGTAAGCGTCAGGCAAGCAAGCCAGCGAAGCTTCATCTGTATTCCCAGCTGCTCCCCATGGGTCGCATTACTGTTTGAGCTTTGCCTCCTGTCAGATCAGTGGTGGCATTAGATTCTCATAGGAGTGTGAACCCTACTGTAAACTGCACGTGTGCCGGATCTAGGTTGCTCGCTTCTTATGAGAATCTAATGCCTGATGATCTGTCACTGTCTCCCATCACCTCCAGATGGGACCATCCAGTTGCAAGAAAACAAGTGCACAATTGGCTGGGCACAGTGGCTCACGCCTGTAATCCCAGTACTTTGGGAAACTGAGGCAGGTGGATCACGAGGTTAGGAATTCGAGACAAGCCTGTCCAAGACGGTGAAACCCCGTCTCTACTGAAAAATACAAAAATTAGCCGGGTGCGGTGGTGGGTGCCTGTAATCCCAGCTACTCTGGAGGCTAAGGCAGGAGAATTGCTTGAACCCAGGAGGCAGAGGTTGCAGTGAGCCGAGATCGTGCCACTGCACTCTAGCCTGGGTGACCTGGGTGACAGAGCAAGACTCCATCTCAAAAAAAAAAAAAAAAGTGTACAATACATGTAACGTGCTTGACTCATACCAAAACCATGTCCCCCACCCCCAATCCATTGAAAAATCGTCTTCCACAAAACCAGTCCCTGATGCCAAAAAGGTTGGGGACCACTGGTCTATTGCATTTTCAAGCATAGTCAGATAAATAAAATGCATTCTTATTTTATTAGCAACTCTTTTTTTTTTTTTTTTTTTTGAGACATGGTCTCCCCTGTCACCCAGGTTGGAGTGCAGTGGTGAGATCACATCTCATTGCAGCCTTAATCTCCTGGCCTCAAGTGATCTTCCTGCCTCAGCCTCCTAAGTATCTGGGACTACAGGCGGCATGACAATGTCCAGCTAACTTTTTTTAATTTTTAATAGAGATGAGGCCACACTATGTTGCCTAGGCCGGTCTCAAACTGAGCTTAAGCGATCTCCCTGACTCAGCCTCCCAAAGTGCTGAGATTACAGGTGTGAGCCACTGCACCCAGTGGTTTTTTTTTTTGTTTGTTTGTTTGTTTGTTTGTTTGTTTTGAGACAGAGTCTCACTCTGTCGCCCAGGCTGGAGTGCAGTGGTGTGATCTCGGCTCACTGAAACCTCTGCCTCCCAGGTTCAAGCGATTCTCCTGCCTCAGCCTCCTGAGAAGGTGGAACTACAGGTGCCCACCACCATGCCCGGCTGATTTTTGTATTTTTAGTACAGACAGGATTTCCTCATGTTGGCCAGGCTGGTCTCGAACTCCTGACCTCAGGTGATCTGCCCACCTCGGCCTCCCAAAGTGCTGGGATTACAGGCATGAGCCACTGCACCTAGTCTATTTTATAAGCAACTCTTAAAAGCTCCTGCAGTGTGTGAGTTACAGCAGAGACAACTAGTTTCATCTATTTATTTTATGTGTTTAGCACTTAATTCACATGAGCATACATTGCAAGACACTCAGCTGTAACACATTTTTACTATGCTATGTTCTTACACATTAACCAGATTTCATTGATTACTCACAACCAACATTTGTGAGAGCAGCTGTCTTGTTTCCAAGAATTCCTCTCTTTCTCAACATTTTCTGTCCATCTTTGCTATTGTGAGGTTTGGTTTCCACATTGAAATCTCTTTTATCTCCAATCTTTCACTAGTATTTCTTCTGTAGTTTTTCAGAGTTCTTACATACCTTTTCTACCATTTTTGTACTTCTTTTTTTGTTTTGTTTTGTTTTGTTTTTTGAGACAGAGTCTCACTCTGTCACCCAGGCTGAAGTGCAGTGGCATGATCTCGGCTCACTGCAAGCTCTGCCTCCCGGGTTCACGCCATTCTCCTGCCTCAGCCTCCTGAGTAGCTGGGACTACAGGCACCCACCACCACTCCCGGCTAATTTTTTGTATTTTTAGTAGAGATGGGGTTTCACCGTGTTAGCCGGGATGGTCTCGATCTCCTGACCTCGTGATCTGCCCACCTCGGCCTCCCAAAGTGCTGGGATTACAGGCGTAAGCCACCGCGCCCAGCCCATTTTTGTACTTCTTAAAATATTTTACACAAGTAAATAAATACAAAGAAAAGATTATTCGATTAGGTGAAATAGACAACACAATTCTTGTCAATATTTTAATGCTCTGTAATAAGTTCAAAATGGATGGCATGTTGAACATTATTTGATGTGGAAACTCTAAGCTTAACTTTTCAAAGATTAAATCAAAGCTCAGAAACATGCACAGATTTTCTCATCAATAGTCACTGCCTATGTCAATCTGGGTCCTCCAGGAAGCAGATGCTGAGATGGAGTGAAGAGGAAAAGATTTATTGGGGGGCAATAATTACAAAAGATAAGGGGGCGGATGACGTAGGTCTGTGAAGGGAAAACATTCCAAGTGCAATGCAGATCTAATCATGTGAAAAGAAAGAGGGGAGGAAGAAAAATAGGGTAGAATACAGAATTTTCAAAGCTTCCGGCAGCCCAATGGGGGAGTGAACCAAAATGCCCAGTGGAAGACTCCCACATTGGGCAGAAATGATGAGGCTCTGGTACCCCTGGCCATGTTCAGCCATTGGCTTGGGAGCTGCCTGGGAAGAGAGAGACCTCAGCTCAAATGCTGCTACTGGCTGAATGCGGTGGCTCACCTATAATCCCAGCACTTTATTTATTTTTTTTGTTTGTTTTCTTTTTCTTTTTTTTTTTTTTTTTTTGAGACAGTCTCGCTCTGTCATCCAGGCCAGAGTGCAGTGGCACGATCTTGGCTTATTGCAACCTTTACCTCCCAGCTTCAAGCAATTCTCCTGCCTCAGCCTTCTGAGTAGCTGGGATTTTTTTTGCGGGGTGGGGGACGGAGTCTCGCTCTGTCGCCCAGGCTGGAATGCAGTGGCACGACCTCGGCTCACTGCAGCCTCCACCTCCCGGGTTCCAGTGATTCTCCTGCCTCAGCCTCCTGGGTAGCTGAGATTATAGGCACATGCCACCATGCATGGCTAATTTTTTGTTTTTTTGGTTTTTTTTTTTTTTAGTAGAGATGGGGTTTCACCATGTTGGCCAGGCTGGTCTCGAACTCCTGACCTCAGGTGATCCACCCGCCTCAGCCTCCCAAAATGCTAGGATTAAAGGGGTGAGCCACTGCGCCTGGCCTAATTTTTGTATTTTTAGTAGAGATAGGGTTTCACCACGTTGGCCAGGCTGGTCTCGAACTCCTAGACCTCAAGTGATCCATCTGCCTCAGCCTCCCAAAGTTCTGGGATTATAGGTGTAAGCCACCATGCCCAGCCTAATCCCAGCACTTTAGAAGGCTGAGGTAGGAGGATCGCTTGAGGCTAGGAGTTCAAGACCAGCCTGGGCAAAATGGTGAGAACTCATCTCTACAAAAAACAAATGCTACTATGGAGGACCCCAAAGGTGCTGCAGCTGCACGCTATCTGCTAACCTCATTCCTTGCAGCTGAATGGCAAGTTCGTTCTTGAAAGGAGATCCCAGCAATGTTCTTCCATGGCTCCCATGCTGCCTCCTCCCATCTGCCAATGTAAGCCTTTGTAAGTGAAAAGGCACAGCCTCCTAAGGTTACTAAATGCTTGTCTATTCTTGGCCTGGAGTGATCAAGTGAATAACATGCCCAGCTGAACTCGGGGAATGCAATCAAACTTTTTTTTTTTTTTTGAGACGGAGTCTTGCTCTTGTTGCCCAGGCTAGAGTGCAATGGCGTGATCTCAGCTCACTGCAACCTGCACCTCCCGGGTTCAAGCGATTCTCCTGCCTCACCCTCCCAAGTAGCTGGGATTACAGATGCCCACCACCATGCCTGGCTAATTTTTGTATTTTTAGTAAAGACGGGGTTTCACCATGTTGGCCAGGCTGGTCTTGAACTCCTGACCTCGTGATCCCCCTGCCTCGGCTTCCCAAAGTGCTGGGATTACAGGCGTGAGCCACCATGCCTGACCAACAATGAAACATTTTACATAGAGATATAGTTGATGAACAGTGGTGGAAACATGGGTAACTTGTTTCTTTCTGCTTTACTTTATATCCCAGATTTTTAAAAATGACCTTTTTCTTTTTGAAGAGAAAAATATATAAAAAATATTTTTAAATCAGTCACCATAATAACACTTTTTAATCTAAAATTATATTCCCCAACTTAGTAGCTCAACAAATTGCTTCCTAGAGAAAGAACATGGTCAAGGACCAAGCAGAGGCTTTGCGTTCAGACAGACCAGAGTTTGAACCCCAGCCCTATTACTGCAACCCTGCACACTGGGCAAGCCCTTACCCTCTCTCAGCCTCAATTCCTTCCTCTGGAAGGGAACTTATGTGTCTTCCTTCTTCACACTCCTTTATTAGAAGATGCAGTGTGGGTAAGCCCTCTCATTCCATTTTGTGCTGGGAGTTTCTAAAAATCAAATCTACATTCAGAAGACAGACAGTGGCCATAGCTGAAGAAATTCAAAATAATGACCTGGGAAAGTCCCCAAAATGAGTTCTAAAAAGCTCTTTGGCAGCAATTCCTCTTGCAGGCATATGCCCAAAATAATGGAAAGCAAGGACTCAAATATCTTTGTACGCCCATGTTCTTAGCAGCATTATTCCCAGTAGCCAAAAGGTAGAAACAATCCAAATGTTTATTGACAGATGAATGGATAAACAAAATATGATATGTACATACAGTAAAATCGTATTTGGCCTGAGAAAGGATGCATGTTGACACACACTAGAGCATAGATGGAGCTTGAGGACATTGCGCCAAGTGAAATGAGCCAGACAAAAAAGGACAAATGGTATGATTCCATTTACATGAGGAACAGCACATAGTCAAATTCATAGAGACAGAAAGTAGAATAGAGATTGCCAAGGACTGGGGGGAGGAGGAAAAGGGAAGTTAGTGTTGGATGGGTATCAAGTTTCAGTTTGGGATAAGAAAAGTTATGGAGATGAACAGTGGTGACGGTGGTACAACTATGCGAATGTACTTAATGCCACTCAACTGTACATTTTAAAATGATTAAGGCTGTGGTTCACGCCTATAATGCCAGCACTTTGGGAGGCCGAGGCGGGAGGATCACGAGGTCAAGAGATTGAGACCATCTTGGCCAACATGGTGAAACCCCGTCTCTACTAAAAATACAAAAATTAGCTGGGCGTGCTGGCGAGCGCCTGTAGTCCCAGCTACTCAGGAGGCTGAGGCAGGAGAATCGCTTGAACCCAGGAGGCAAGCTTGCAATGAGCTGAGATCTTGCCACTGCACTCCAGCCTGGTGACAGATTGAGACTGCATCTAAAAAAAAAAAAATTATTAAAATGGGCCGGGCATGGTGGTTCACGCCTGTAATCCCAGAAGTTTGGGAGGCCGAGGTGGGCAGATCACCTGAGGTCAAGAGTTCAAGATCAGCCTGGCTAACATGGTGAAACCCCGTTGCTACTAAAAATAGAAAAAAAATTAGCCAGACATGGTGGCGGGCGCCTGTAATCTCAGCCACTCGAGAGGCTGAGGCAAGAGAATCACTTGAACCTTGGAGGCAGAGGTTGCAGTGAGCTGGGATCATGCCACTGCACTCCAGTCTGAGCAACAGAGCAAGACTCTGTCTCAAAAAAAAAGGGGTGGGGGTTAAAATGGTACATTTTATGTTATGTATATTTTACCAAAAATTTTTAAATAATTTTTTAAAGCCTCCTTGCAATGCAGCATTATTATTAATATTATTATTATTGAGACAGTGTCTTTCTCTGTCACCCAGGCTGCAGTGCAGTGGCACAATCTCAACCCACTGCAGCCTCCACCTCCCCAGGCTCAAGTGAGCCTCCCACCTCAGCCTCCTGAGTAGCTGGGACTGCAGGCGCAAGCCACCACGTCTGGCTAATTTTTGTTGCTTTTCGGTTTTGGGAGGGGTGGGTTTTGGTAGAAGAACGGTTTCTCCATGTTGCCCAGGTTGGTCTCAAATTCCTGAGCTCAAGTGATCCTCCTGCCTTGGCCTCCTAAAGTGCTGGGATTACAGGCATAAACCACTGCACCTGGTCACAACACAATATTATTATTTGAAACACATGCAGGAAATAAAGCTGAGCTACAAAAGATGTTTCTCATATAGAGAAGCAACTTGTGAAATTCGTTGCATTTTTTATAAATTCAATTATAAAAATAAGAAAGTCATATGATTTGGCTCTGTGTCCCCACCCAAATCTCACCTTGAATTGTACTCCCATAATTCCCATGTGTTGTGGGAGGGACCCAGTGGGAGATAATTGAATCACGGAGGCAGTTTCTCCCATACAGTTCTTGTGGTAGTGAATAAGTCTCATGAGATCTGATGGTTTTAAAAAGGAGGCCAGGCACAGTGGCTCACACCTGTAATCCCACCACTTTGGGAGGCCAAGGCAGGTGGATCACCTGAGGTCAGGAGGTCAAGACCAGCCTGGCCAACATGGTGAAACCCCATCTCTACTAAAAATACAAAAATTACCTGGGCATGGTGGCACATGCCTATTATCCCAGCTACTTGGGAGGCTGAGGCAGGAGAATCACTCAAACCCAGGAGGTGGAGGTTGCAGTGAGCCAAGATTGTGCCACTGCACTCCAGCCTGGGTGACAGAGCAAGACTCCATCTCAAAAAAGACAAAAAAAAGGAATTTCCCTGCACAAGCTCTCTTCTCTTCTCTGCTGCCATGTGAGACGTGCCTTTCACCTTCCACCATCATTGTGAGGCTCCCCCAGCCAAGTGGAACTGTAAGTCCAATAAACTCTTTTGTAAGTTGCCCAGTCTCAGGTATGTCTTTATCAGCAGCATGAAAATGGACTCATACAAGTCACATGACAGAAAATTTTAAAAATTAATAAAGAACCTTATACCTTCATTTCTTCCTTACAAGATGTTTTTAACCTACTTGTAATCATCACCTATAAACCCTACGCCTTCTGAAGACAAGTCCCCAAAATCCAGATGCCCCACTGGCAAGGCACAGGAGCAAAATGGACACTGTGATTCTTCTCCAGACATTCAGCTGTGCTTCCCCCAGGGTGGGAAGCCTCCAACACTCTTGTAGATGTGAAGGCAGGGCAGCCATGGCATGGTGGTGGTGGGAGAGGAGGCTTGGAAAAGAGAAAGCTAATGGCTGTCTATGTTTCCTCTATCCTGGTGTGGGGACATTGGTGCACCCATGCACACGTGCACAGTCCCTCCATGCTGAGGCTCTATTACCTCCCATGGCTCCTTCAGAATGGAGTCCACCAAGAAGAAGGAACTGGTTGTTGAGGCAGCCCCAGGCCCTTGGCCTGAGAAGCATCTGGCTGATCGCTGAGGCCCCCTGTGAGGAGCCCAGGACCAGGTCCCTGGGGGAAAATGAGGCAGAACTATGGCCTCTAGTTCAGTCTCACTCCCATCAGGATAGCAGAGGGCAAGTCTGGAACTGGGCACATTCAGGTTTGAGTCTTGGTACAGCCTTATGCAAGTGACTTCAGTTCTCTTGAGCCTCGGTTTCCCTAGCTTTACAATGGGAATTCTATTTCCTACCTCTTGATGGTATGACAAGGGCTGAGAGAAAAATCTATATGAAGTGCTAACCAGATGGAGTGTGTGCTCACTAGATGGAGGCTCCATCAGCTACAGCCCTCCTAAGGCTCCAGAAGCAACTTCATTGAACCAACCCATGAACAAATTCTGAGAACATTTCCACCATGAACCTGGTTGTGAACTCATTAGAAGAACTCACTGAAATGGGCAGGGTGTGGTGGCTTGCACCTGTAATCCCAGCAATTTGGGAGGCCGAGGCAGGCAGATCACTTGAGGTCAGGAGTTCAAGACCAGCCTGGCCAACATGGTGAAACCCCATCCCTACTAAAAATACAAAAATTAGCCGGGTTTTGTGGTGGGCACCTGTAATCCCAGCTACTCGGGAGGCTGAGGCAGGAGAATTCCTTGAACCTAGGAGGTGGAGGTTGCAGTGAGCAGTGATGGCACCACTGCACCCCAGCCTGGGCGACAGAGCAAGTCTCCATCTCAAAAACAAGAATAAAAGAAAAAGAACTTACTGAAATTATTTTAACATTATAAAGGAGGGTGGGTGCAGTGGCTCACACCTGTAATCCTAGCACTTTGGGAGGCCGAGGCAGGAGGATCACTTGAGCCCAAGAGTTCAAGACCAGCCTGGGCAACGTAGTGGGACACTGTACCTACAAAAAAAATAAAAAAATTAGCCAGCCATGGTGGCATGTACCTGTGGCCCCAGCTACAAAGCAGGCTGAGGCAGGAGAATCACCTGAGCCCAGGAGGTGGAGGCTGCAGTAAGCCATGTTCGTGCCACCGCACTCCAGCCTGGGTGACAGAGCAAGATCCTGTCTCAAAAAAAAAAAAAAAAAAAAATTTGCAAAGAAACACTTGAAAGACTTAATAAAATGTTTAAATATATATTTCCCCAAACTAGATTATCATCAATTTCTTAACAAATAAATTGATCTGGTTGGAAGAACAAATTCTGGAAATTGCTTCAGATGATCTCTTGAAACAAAATATATTGAACAGAAGTCACATGTATCAGTGTGATTAGAAATTTATTTATTTATTTATTTATTTATTTATTTAGAGACAGAGTCTCACTCTGTCACTCAAGCTAGAGTGCAGCGGCACAATCTCAGCTCACTGCAACCTCCGCCTCCTGGGTTCAAGTGATTCTCATGCCTCAGCCTCCCAAGTAGCTGGGATTACAGGCACGTACCACCATGCTCAGCTAATTGTTTGTATTTTTAGTGCAGACGGGAGTTTCACCATGTTGGCCAGGCTGGTTTCAAACTCCTGGCCTCAAGTGATCCGCCCACCTCCGCCTCCCAAAGTGCTGGGATTACAAGCATGAGCCCTCGTGCCCTGCCTAGAAATTTATTTTTAGTCTCTATGTAGACTGACACATAGACTCCAGAATGTCAGTGTCTTAACACAATAGAAATGTATTTCTCACTACTGTTAATTTCAGTGGCCCTGGTGGACAGGCAGCTTTTCTCCACGTGGGGTTTAAGGGACACAGGCTCCTTCCTGTGGCTCTACTGTCCCCTGGGGCCTCTTTATAGCCAATGTAAAGATAACAAACAAGTGGAAAAGCTTCATTATGTCTTAAAAGTTGACCTAAGAGTCACACATATCACTTCCACTCACATGTCATTGATGGTTCCTGAACTAGTCCTATTGCCACAGTAGGAGGCAAGACTAGGAGAAAATATTACAAAGCATATATCTGACAAAATTTTTATATCTAGGATATATAAAGAACTCTGGTAACTCAATAATAAGACAGACAATTGAGTTAGAAAATGGGCAAGAGAGGCTGGGTGCGGTGGCTCACACCTGTAATCCCAGCACTTTGGGAGGCCGAGGCAAGCAAATCACGAGGTCAGGAGATAGAGACCATCCTGGCTAACACAGTGAAACCCCGTCTCTACTAAAAATACAAAAAATTAGCCTGGCGTGGTTGCGGGTGCCTGTAGTCCCAGCTACTCGGGAGGCTGAGGCAGGAGAATGGCATGAACCCAGGAGGCAGAGCTTGCAGTGAGCCAAGATCGTGCCACTGCACTCCAACCTGGGTGACAGAGCGAGACTCTGTCTCAAAAAAAGAAGAGAGAAAATGGGCAAGAGATTTGAACAGACACTTCACCAAAGAAGATATACAGATGGCAAATAAGCTCATGAGAAGAGGCTCAACATCATTTGTTATTAGGTAAATTCAAATAAACCACCATGAGATACCACACACACCACTAGAATGACTAACATTAAAAATACTATTTCAAGCCAGGTGCGGTGGCTCACACCTGTAATCCCAGCACTTTGGGAGGCCGAAGCGGGTGGATCACGAGGTCAGAAGTTCAAGACCAACCTGGCAAGATGGTGAAACCCCGTCTTTACTAAAAATACAAAAAGATTAGCTGGGTGTGGTGGCAGGCACCTGTAATCTCAGCTACTTGGGAGACTGAGACAGAGAATTTTTTGAACCCGAGAGGCAGAGGTTGCAGTGAGCCAAGATCGCGCCACTGCACTCCAGCCTGGGCAACAGAGTGAGACTCCGTCTCAAAAAATAAATAAACTAATAATAATAATAATAACTATTCCAAGTGTTGGCAATGATATGGAAAAACTGGAACTTTCATATGATGCTGGTGGGAATGTAAAATGATGCAACCTCTTTAGAAAACAGTTTGGAAGTTTTCTTATATATAAGATGTTTAACTTTTTAAAGTGATATAAATCACTGCACCCATCTATTTTAGAATATACATTTCCCAGAAATACATAGAATACTTAAGAAATTTAATTACATTCAGGTCTCAACAAATTTCAAAGGACTGGTATACTGGTATCCTATAGACCACTTTCTCCAACAACAATTAAAAATGCAGAAATCTAATTTAATGGTGAAGCATTGAATACTCTCCCTTTGAGACCAAAGAAAAGAGTGCCTGCTTATAACATTTTTATTCAATATCATATTGGATGAAGAGAAGAATAATAAAGGCATAAGAATTAGAAAAGAATAAAATATTCGTTATTCATGTATATGATTGGGCTACATAGAAAACACAAAAATCTATAAAGAAATTATTAGCTTTAATAAAAAAGTTTAGCAAGTTGCTGAATAAAAAAATTAATATACAACAGTCAATGAATTTCTACAACCAGCATCAAATTACAAAAGTAATTTTTAAAAAGATAATCATCGGTTGGGCATAGTAACACATGCTGTTGTCTTTACTCAGGAGGCTGAGGTGGGAAGATTGCTTAAGCCCAGGAATTTGAGTACAGCCTGGGCAGCATACAAAGACCCCATCCCTTGAAAATAAAAAAAAAAGATAGTCATGCTAAAAAGATAAACTGAAATGAATAAATCTAACAAAAGTGATTTATGGAGAAAATTATAAAATCCTTTTGAAAATCATTAAAGAAACCTAAATAAATGGGGAGCTTCCTGGATATCTTTTAATTTTAATATACTTTCTTCTAAAATATTCAAAATTAAAGCTAGGCATGGTGGTTAACGCCTGTAATCCCAGCACTTTGGGAGGCCGAGGCAGGTGGATCATGTGAGGTCAGGAGTTCAAGACCAGTCTAGCCAACATGGTGAAACCCCATCTCTACTAAAAATACAAAAATTAGCCAAGCATGGCGATGCACACCTGTAATCCCAGTTACTGGGGAGGCTGAGGCAGGAGAATCACTTGAACCCAGGAGGCAGAGGTGCAGTGAGCCAAGATTGTGCCATTGCACTCCAGCCTGGGAGACAAAAGCGGAATTCCATCTTGAAAAAATAAAATAAAATGAAATATTCAAAATTAACTTTTGAAAACACATATTAAAACAATTTTAAGTTTTTATGTTTTTATTATATTCATTCAAACATCACTGGTCCATTTACAGAACATCCAGACACAACTATGATTAAGTTTGGTCATGTTGATTATCTTTCCAATTTCAGTAATGTGAATTACAGAACTTTATATATTGTTTCTTTTTTTTTTTTTTTTGAGACAGGGTCTTGCTCTGTTGCCCAGGCTAGAGTGCCATGGTGTGATCATAGCTCACTGCAGCCTTGACCTTGTAGGCTCAAGCAATCCTCCCACCTCAGCCTCTTTGAGTAGCTGGGACCACAAGTGCACACCACGATGCCCAACTAATTTTTCAATTTTTTGCAGAGACAAGGTCTCGCTATATTCATCAGGCCTCAAACTCCTGGGCTGAAGCGATCTGCCTACCTTGGCCTCCCAAAGTGCTGGGATTACAGGCATGCACCACTGCGCCCCGCCTAGCTAACGAGTTTGGGGTTCATCATCCCATTCATTTTAAGGGCGAAGGAGTGACATGAAAAGCACAGCCTTAAGCTTCATTTGTCTCCTCTGTGCCAGGTGAATGGAGGGGGCACAACTAGGGGCAGGGTGACAGTGGGCCAGTGAGGAAGTGCCCAGCATGCAATGATCTGGCCTTATGGCAGGCTGTTGGCAGTCAAGATAGGAAAGAAAGGATGGTTACAAGAGCTGGGAAAAGATGGATGGAATGGGCTCACAGCTGGTTGCCTAGTTGAGGGAAACTAGTTAAGATAAAGACTAGAGGCCAGGCCTGGTGGCTCACACCTGTAATCCTAGCACTTTGGGAGGCCGAGGTGGGCTGATCACTTGTGGTCAAGAGTTTGAGACCAGCCTGGCCAACATGGTGAAACTCTGTCTCTACTAAAAATACAAAGATTAGCCAGACGTGGTGGCAGGCACCTGTAATTCCAGCTACTAGGGAGGCTGAGATGTGAGAATCACTTGAACCCAAGAGGCAGAGATTGCAGTGAGCCAAGGTCTCACCACTGCACTCCAGCCTGGGCAACAGAGCAAGACTCTGTCTCAAAAATAAATAAATAAATAAAGACTCGGAATAATACTAGGGTACTGCCACAAAGGCATTGTAGCCTTTACAAATGATAGTTATAGGCTTCCCTGGTCACACTGCCTATGGGTAGCCCTGCTCCAGAAGGAGCAGTTAGAAAAAAAAATGATAGTTACAAGAACTACATAGCAATATGACTGGGCGTGGTGGCTCATGCCTGTAATCCCAGCACGTCAGGGGGCCGAGGTGGGCAGATCACTTGAGGTCAGGAGCTCGAGACCAACCTGGCCAACATGGTGAAAACCCGTCTCTACTAAAAACACAAAAATTAGCCAGCATGGTGGCATGCACCTGTAATCCCAGCTGCTTGGCAGGCTGAGGCAGGAGAATCGACTGAACCTGGGAGGTGGAGGTTGCACTGAGCCAAGATCGTGCCACTGCACTCTAGCCTGGGCAACAGAGTGAGACTCCATCTCAAAAGAAAAAAAAATGCTACATAGCAATATGGGAAAATGCTTATAATATACTAATAAATGAAAAGAAGAGAGTTTTTTAAATCACATGTACCTATGGTTACAAATATCTTTTTAAGACATGAGAGAAAAATAAACTCAAACAAATTAATCATTCTACCCCAAAAATGTATTCCTACTTTGTTAGTGTCAGGGTTGAATTGTGTCTCCCCACAAATTTATATGTTGAAGCACTAACCACTAACGTAACTGCATTTGGAGAGACCACCTTTAAGGAGGTACATGAGGGTTAATGAGGTCATAGGGATGGGGCCCTAATCCCACAGAACTGGTGTACTTATAAGAAGAGGAAGAGACACCAGTGATCTCTCTCCACACAAGCAGTGAGAAAAGGCCATATGAGGACACAGTGACAAGGCACCACGTGCAACCTGAGGCGTCAGCAGAAACCAACCCTGCCGGCACCTTAATGTTGGACTTTCCAAGCCTTCAGAACCATGAGAAAATGAATTTCTATGATTCAAGCCACCTAGTCTGTGGTATTTTGTGATGGCAGGCTAAGCCAACTAATACAGCTAGCCAGCCAGTCACCAAGTCCTACCAATTATTCCACTGCAATTCTCCTTGCAACCATTCCTCACCATTCCGCACCGTTCCACTGCCAACCTGGCTCAAGATCGTCTTGTGCTCAGATGAATACAATAGACTCCTTTCTCTTCCCTGCCTTTATACTTCCTGACTTGCTTCTCATATTCCCAGCACCAGTTCTTATCTTGCCTCATCCTATCATTTCAAACGTCTGAGATGTTTGAATCTGACAAGGGATATTTTCTCCTAGTACCAACCCTTGGTTCCCTCTCTCTGGAATTCGCTGTGCTCATCTCAGACGTGAAGTTCTCTGGCCTCCCCTGGTGCACCAGAGTTCTTCCATTATAAGTGCAGAAGGAAATCCAGGTCGATGAGCACTCAGATGACTAGCATAAAGACCATCCCTTTCCCCCTGTCCTGCCTCGCCTGTGTGTCTTTTCTTAGTTTCATATTCCCAGGCTTCTACTGCAGGCAGCTTTTTCCACATGGAGGAAAAGAGACCAGCCAGGCACGGTGGCACATGCCTGTAATCCCAACACTTTGAGAGGCCGAGGCGGGTGGATGGCTTGAGCTCAGGAGTTCGAGACCAGCCTGGGCAACATGGTGAAACCCTGTCTCTACCAAAAAAAAGAATACAGAAATTAGCTGGGCATGGTGGCACACACCTGTAGTCCCAGCTGCTTGGGAGGCTAAGGTGGGAGGATCACTTGAGCCTGGGAGGTAGAGGTGGCAGTGGGCTGTGATCATGCCACTGCACTCCAGCCTGGGTGACAGAGCCAGATCCTGTCTCAAAAAAAAAAAAAAGAGGGAGACCACCAAGAGCTTAGGCCTAAATCATCCCCCATTACCAAGCTTCATGGGAAATCTAAGTTTCTTTCTCTCAGCATACGTATGTCAAATCTCAGGAAGGACTGACTGGTCATTCTTGGGTCATACCCACCCATGAGTCAGTCATGCTAGCCAAGAAGAAAGGGGATTCTGGTAGGTCAGGGCTAGCTCATGACACAGTAGTTCGAAAGGAAGAAAGACACCCCTCTCAAGAGAAGAGGAAAGAGATGTCGAGCAGATATAAACAAGTATCTGTTCTTTCAGGTAACACCCATTCTGATGCAGCCCAGCACACAAGACCCTTCCCAGTGTCACCCTTGCTGACTTTGCCACGTCCCATTGAGAGTGAATCAGACAGTACCTTCCTAGGCAGAGTGCCGCCCCACACCTCCATGGACATAGGTAATCTATTCCAATTGGTAATACAGTTGAGAAGCATTTGAGCACTTGTTGGAACAATGGCAATCTTTTTTTTTTTCTGTAATGATTCATACAAACTTGGCCATGGGACTTTACAAAGGAAGGAAAATAGACATCAACATTTCTGATGCAGAACTCCTAAGTTCTTCCAGAATAAAGTCAGGCCTCAATTTGACAGGAAGGATTTGTTTTGCAATACAAACCTGGCTTTGAAGGTTAGGTTAATACTGGATTAGAGGACAGAATAAATCTACAGAAGCTACATCCTGGGAGATTTTTTTTTAAATATGGTAAAGCCAATGCTGGCAATGGAAAGGGAATTGAGTACACATGTACGTCGTTGGTGGAGTTGTAAAGCAGTATAAGCCTTTCCAAGAGCGATTTGGCAATCGTGTCTTTAAAAGTCCAATACCATTTGATGGGCTAATTTCATTTCTAAGCATCTGTTCTAAGAAAATGGGCTGGGCACAGTGGCTCACGCCTGTAATCGGAGCACTTTGGAAGGCTGAGGCAGGTGGATTGCCTGAGGTCAGGAGTTTTGAGACCAGCCTGGCTAACATGGTGAAACCCCATCTCTACCAAAAATACAAAAATGAGCCAGAAGTGGTTGCGCACACCTGTAGTCCCAGCTACTTGGGAGGCTGAGGCAGGAGAATCGCTTGAACTTGGGAGATGGAGGTTGCAGTGAGCTGAGATTGTGCCACTGCGCTCCAGCCTGGGTGTCAGCAAAACTCCGTCTCCAAAAAAAAGAAAACGATCCAGGCCAAGATGGGTGGATCACCTGAGGTCAGGAGTTCGAGACCAGCCTGGCCAACATGGTGAAACCCCATCTCTACTAAAAATACAAAATTAGCTGGGTGTGGTGGTGCACGCCTGCAGTCCCAGCTACTCGGGAGGCAGAGACAGGAGAATTGCTTGAACCTGGGAGGCAGAGATTGCAGTGAGTCGAGACTGTGCCACTGCATTCCAGCCTGGGTGAGTCAGAGTGAGACTCCGTCTAAAAAAAAAAAAAAGAAAGAAAAAGAAAATGATCCAAAAAAACAGAAGCAGACAGAAGATATATGCAAAAAGATGACACTAGGTATTATTGATAACAGTGAAAGTTTTGAAACAACATAAAAGAATTATTAGATACACTTTGGTAAATCTCCACGGGCTATTTCTCAGCAGTTAAAAATGATGTCTAGTCAGTTCACAGAAATCAAAATGTAAGTGGCTTTGAAAGATTATTCAGCCTTTTTTTTTTTTTCCGAGATGGAGTCTTGCTCTGTTGCCCAGGCTGGAGTGCAGTGGCGCGATCTCAGCTCACTGCAACCTCCACCTCCTGAATTCAAGCAGTTCTCTGGCCTCAGCCTCCTGATTAGCTGGGATTACAGGGCACGTGCCACCAAACCTGGCTAATTTTTTTTTTTTTTTTGAGATGGAGTCTCACTCTGTTGCCCAGGCTGGAGTGCAGTGGCTCTGTCACCCAGGCTGGAGTGCAGTGGCATGATCTCTGCAACACCTCCTGGGTTCACACCATCCTCCTGCCTCAGCCTCCCGAGTAGCTGGGACTACAGCTGCCCGCCACCATGCCCAGCTAATTTTTTTGTATTTTTAGTAGAGACGGGGTTTCACTGCGTTAGCCAGGAATGTCTCGATCTCCTGACCTCATGATCTACCTGCCTTAGCCTCCCAGAGTGCTGGGATTACCGGCATGAGCCACTGCACCCAGCGACGCCTGGCTAATTTTTGTATTTTTAGTAGAGACGGGGTTTTGCCATGTTGTCCAGGCTGGTCTTGAACTCCTGACCTCATGATCCACCCACCTCGGCCTCCCAAAGTGCTGGGATTACAGGCGTGAGCCACCGTGCCCAGCCTATTCAGCCTTTCCTATAAGAAAAACTTATATTAAAACAAAACGGGAATACCATTTTTACCTTTCAGTTTGTCAAAGATCAAAGATGTTGTTTACCCTCTGCTGGTATGGAGAAACAGGCACTTTTATACATTATTGGGTAGAGTTTGAAGGCAATCTGATAGTGTCTTCCAAAATAAAATGTACATTTTAAAATGCATTTGCTGACCTAGCAAAATTTCAGTGCTAGGAATTTATCCTACAGAGACTACTCACACACGTGCCTAAAGGGCAAGACTGCTGCTTGCAACATAGTCTATAGAAACAAAAGCAAGGACTGGATAATACATTATGGTACATCCACACAATATATACTATTAACTATTAAAAAGAAAGTCCATGTTAAAACCGTATGTGCTGTTATGGGATGGTGTCCAAAATATATTAAGTGAGAAAGACAAGAAAGCAAAGTGCAAAGCAAGATGAATGGTATTCCAATCTTTATTTGTGTAGAAAAGCTCGCTTCTGTTTGTATTTGCATAGAACATCTCTGGATCCACAAGGAAATGGTGACCACAGGACTGTGGGGAGGATTACTGAAGCCAAGGGTGGAAAGGAGACTTTTCATTGTTCTTTCTGCACTATTTGAATTTTTTAAAATCATAGGTATTTTCTTTCCAAAAAGAAAATAAAAAATAACAAAATACGTGGGCTGTCAAAAGGATATCTATATATGCTTATAATTATATAAATACCTGTATTGTTATGTTAAATGGAAAAAGATAAATTGAAAATTGTTTATATAGTATAGTCACAGCTATACGAAAGGAGAAAAATGTTTGGAGAAAAAACATTGGAAGGGGGCTGGGCGAGGTGGCTCACACCTGTAACCCCAGCACTTTGGGAGGCCAAGGCAGGTGGATCACTAGAGGCTAGGAGTTCGAGACCAGCCTGGCCACCATGGTGAAACCCCATCTGTACTAAAAATACAAAAATTAGTCAGGTGTGGTGGCATGCACCTGTAATCTCAGCTACTCGGGAGGCTGAGGCAAGAGAATCACTCGAACCCAGGAGGCAGAGATTGCAGTGAGCCGAGATTGTGCCACTGCACTCCAGCCTGGGCAACAAAGCGAGACTCTGTTTCAAAAAACAAACAAAAAAAATTGGAAGAAAATGAGGATATGTGCCAAAATGTTAGCCTTGGGATGATCAGTGATTGCATATCTTTCAACTTTTTCTATAGTTTCAACATGTCTTTACTAATCACATTTTACTCTTTTTTTTTTTTTTTTTTGAGTCAGGGTCTTGCTCTGTCGCCCAGGCTGGAGTACAGTGGCACAAACACAGCTCACTGCAACCTCTGCCTCCCAGGCTCAAGCTGTCCTCCCATCTCAGCCCCCAAGTATCTAGGACTACAGGCACACACCACCGCACCCAGCTAATTTTTGAATTTTTTGTAGAGAAGGGGTTTTGCCATATTGTCCAGGCTTGCACATTTTACTCTTGTAATAGAAAAAAATAAACTTTTTAAAAATTATGTTAAATTAAAATATAACATCCATCCACCTTTATAGTTCAATTGCAGATGGTAAAAATCAGGGGGAAGAAAAAGTTAATAGTCTGCTCAAGATCTTTTTCAACACCATGATTCTGCACTAATGAAGTTTGTTGTAGTTTCTCAACTCCTTTTAACTTTTTTCTGGTTTGGCAACTGATGCTGATAAAGACAAGACATAGCACATAAGTCAGCCCCCCCCAAAAAAAAACTGTATTTATAATACCCAATACCAATAAATATGCAGCTGGATGAGCATTTACAGGCATGACTACACTGCAAATTGATACCACCCTTTTGGAAAGCAATTTGGCTATACGAATCTGAAGCTATAAAAAGTGTTTACACCGTCTGACCCAGTAACTTGACTTCTGGAATCCATCCTCAGGAAAAAACGGGAAATGCTGGAGAGCTTTATTCATAAAGGTCATAATTAAGGATGGTATGCAGCCATAAAAAAAATCACAATTGCCAATAACATGTAGCCACATGGGGTAACATTTATGATATGCCGCTAAGTAGAAGAAAAAGAATACAAAACTGCGTATATCCTGTAATTACGACCACTTAATAAAATGCATGTGGAAACCCTGGAAGGAAGTGCAGCAGCATGCTTGCTCACAGTGCTTACATTCAGGTGGTGGGATCGTGAGTGAGTTTTTCCCCCTCCTTTTCTCTTCTCCAAAATGTTTATCATGTATTCTTTTTTAAAAGAATAATGTTTATAAAAACTTGAATATGTGAAGTCTGGACTGTTCCACAGGAAATGAGTCTTCTCTATGTCCCCTGTCTATATCCTTTGAGAAAAAAAAGTAAGTCCTTGCATCTCATATAATAATAACATTCACTAATATTTATTGAGCAACTCTGTACCCTTTACATATTTTAGATCAATGAGCCAAATGAAGTAAAAATCCTTACTACCATTTTGCAAATGGGAAACTGAGGCCCAGACAGGCTAAATGACACAACTCAGAGGTGACAGCATCAGAACTGAAACCCAGGTCCACCACATCACAATAAGCACCCAAAACAGTTCTTGGGGTCCTGGGTGTGCCAGGAAGGGTGCTAACACTCTGTGCACATTTTCTCATTCAATAATCCTGTAGATGTAGATGGTATCCTCATTTTACAATGGGGAAACAGCAGCTAAGGGAAGTCATGTTACCAGTACTAGATGCCAAAGTTAGTCAGAAGTCGAACTGGGATTCGAACCCAGGTTGGTCTGTGTTGGTAGCCACTATGCTGTCGTGGTTACCAAGACAAGGAAAACCCAGAAACTCTGAGCCTGGGACACAGGGAACCATCCCTGGTGCAGGCACCATCAGAAAAAGGAGCATCTGGGCCAGCCACAGTGGCTCATGCCTATCATCCCAGCTCTTTGGAAGGCCGAAGTGGGAAGATTGCTCGAGGCCAGGAGTTTGAGACCACCCTGGGAAACATAGTGAGACCCTCATCTTTACAAATAAATAAATTTTTTTAAAAAAATAGGAGCATCTGATAGGAAGGTGAAGGCAAAAGGAGTGGGCTCTGGGGCTGTCCTGAACTGGGTGGGGCCTGGCTCTGTGCACACCCGTGCACCTGACGCCTGGGGCCGGATGAGCTGGCTCTGTGCAGAGACGTCCATGTGGCCTGGCCTAGGGCCAGCACAGATGTCACGTCCTCCTGCCAGTACTGACAGTTCTGGTGTTCACCAACCAAAAGGCCTCAAAAAAAACCATGAAAGCCCTCTTAAGGATTCCTGGTTCTCAGGGCAGGAAGAAGGCAAGGGGATGGGAAGACACTGTCTCCTGCATGATGGAAAATTCCAGTGCCACCTTGCTTGGGTCTAACTTCCTTGACCACTCTGGAGACACAGAGCCCTACCAGGACCCAGAATCTGGAGCCAAGGCTGGAGCTCTGTGCCCGGACCCAGGGCTGGAGCCAACAACACAAGCACGGGCTTAAACGCTCAGGGAAGCCGGAAGTCCAAGTGACTAAGCTAGAGATACTCAGGCCAGAGGCCAAGTAAGGCCTGAGCGCTGAGTACGGCCAATGGCCTCTGAGATGTCGACATAGCTGAGGTGAAAGACAGACCAGCACCAAAGACGGCTCTGAGGATATGGAGGGGTGAGGACCCTCATACATGACTGGTGGGAGTGGAGACGGACCCAAGCCTTTGGAAAACAGTTTGGTATCACCTGGAACACATACTCTATGATCCAGTAAATCCACTCTTCATAAGACAGCTGGAGAAACTCTCCCACCCATGGGCCGCAGAATGTTCTTAGCAGCACTGCTTATAAAGGCAAAAACTGCAAACAGCCCAAACCCCCACGGCCATGAGAATGGATTAAAAAATACAGACCATATTCATACAATGAAATACTGTATAGTGGTGAAAATGAATAAGCTAAACTGAATGAATGAATCCCATAAACACAATGTTGACTGAAAGAGGCAAATCATAACATAATGTGCATTGTGACCTCACTCAATAGAAGCCCAACAATCTCTCCAGACTAAACAACATATTGACGTATGGGGCATATGCCTATGTGGTAAAACCACAGAGAAAAGAGAATGACAGACACAAAATTCAGGATGGTGATGACCTGCCAGGGACAAGGGGAAAAGGTGGGACTTAAGGGGAAGGGAGCACCCAGGGAGGTTTAGAAAGTATTGAAAACATGGAATTGTTCGGTTAGGTGCTGGGAACATGGGCATTTATTTTCATTATTATCCTTCAAACTGACCCCATGCGTTATATACACTCATGTATGTATAAAATGTTTCAAATTGTTTAAAATTAAGAAAAGTTTTTAAAGACCAGGCACAGTGGCTCACACCTATAATCCCAGCACTTTGGGAGACCTAGGTGGGAAGATTGCTTCGGCCCAAGAGTTCAAGACCAGCCTGGGCAACATGGCGAAACACCATCTCTATGAAAAATACAAAAATTAGCTGGATGTGGTGGCATGCGCTTGTAGTCCCAGAGACTCAGGAGGATCACTTGAGCCAGGGAAGTTGAGGCTGCACTGAGCCATGATCATGCCACTGCACTCTAGCCTGGGTGACAGAGGGAGACCCTCTCTGATAAATAAATAAATAAATATTTAAGAAAAATCTCGGTGGAGAGCTACTGCCTGCTCCATGGAGGTGGCCCAGCACCCAGCACCTGCCTGGCTCCGACCCACCCAACTGACTGTGAATGGTCCAAGAGGAGGGTAGGGACACCAGCTCTGGTTGGCCTGCATAAAAGGAGTGTGGAGGAGAAGGTGCAAGTCTAAATCAGAAGGATAAGTTCAAATCCCATCTTTGCCATTTATTGGCTATATGACCCTGGGCAAGTAACTAAAACTCTCTGAGAGTCAAGTCCTCATCTGCAAAATGAGCACAAGCTAAGAACCTAGGCTTTGTTTATGAATTCCTAGCACTTAGCATCTTACTTGGCAGACAGTAAAAAATAGACATCAAGCATCGGTCTTGTCGTGAGAAAAACAGACAAATTCCAATAGTGGGAAATCTTACAAAATATCTGACCAGCACTCCTCAAAACTATCAATTTCAACAAACAAAAGAAGAAAAAGAGAACAAATCTGCAATGATTCCACTTATATAGGATACCTAAAATAGTCAAAGACAGCAGAAAGAGGCATGCTTACCATGGGAGGGGCAGGAGGAAACAGGAGTGTTTGATGGGTACCAAGTTTCAATTTGAGATGATGAAAAAGTTCTGGAGATGGATGTGGTGATGGCTCTACACAACATGAATGTGCCACTGAACTCTACACTTAAAAATTGTTAAAATGGTAAATTTTATGTTATACATGTTTTACCCGATTTTTTTTTTTTTTTTTTTTGAGAGAGGGTCTTGCTCTGTCACCCTGGCTGGAGTGCAGTGGCACCATCTCAGTTCACTGCAACCTCCACCTCCCATGTTCAAGTGATTCTCATGTCTCAGCCTCCCAAGTAGCTGGGATTACAGGCACGTGCCACCACGCATGACTAATTTTTGTATTTTTATTAGAGACAGGGTTTCGCCCTGTTGGCCAGGCTGGTCTCGAACTCCTGACCTAAAGTGATCCACCCGCCTCGGCCTCCCAAAGTGCTGGGATTTCAGGTATAAGCCACCACACCCGGCCTAAATTTTAAAAATCAAACAAAACAAAATAACCAATTAAAAAAAGTCTGAGAAGCCACCACAGGAGGCTAAAGGGATACAACAAATTGTAATGAGGTATCCTGGACAGGATCCTGAAAGTGAAAAGAGACCAGGTAAAATGTAAGGAAATCTAAATAAACCATGGACTTCAGTTAATCATAATGTATCATTCTTGGTGCATTAATTATAACAAATGTATTATACTAATGTAAGATATTAATAATAGGGGAAATTGGTGTAGGGTATATGGGAACTCTGTGTGGTGGTTTCTCAGACTTTTCTTCATTGTTTTGTCTGAATTTTTTTCTTTTTTTTGAGACAGGGTCTTGGTCTGTTGCCCAGGCTGGAGTCCAGTGGCACAATCACGGTTCACTGCAGTCTCAGGCTCAAGCAAACCTCCCATGTCAGCCTCCCAAGTAACTGTGACTACAGGTACATGCCACCACGCCCAGCTAATGTTTTTATTTTTTGTAGAGATGGGGTCTCACTATGTTGCCCTGGCTGGTCTCAAACTCCTGGGCTCAAGCAATCCTCCTGCCTCAGCCTCCTGAAGTGCTAGGATTATAGACATGAGCCACTGTGCCTAGCTTTTTGTCTGATTTTTGAAAACAATGGTAAAACATATGTAACATAAAATTTTCCGTTTTAACCACTTTCAAGTGTACAGTTCCGGGCATTACGTACATTCACATCGTTGTGGAGCTATCTTCTCAATTTTTCTGAAAATCTAAAAATCTATTCATTAAAATTATATATGAATATATATCATTTTTTTTGAGACAATGTCTCACTCTGTTGCTCAGGCTGGAGTGCAGTGGTGTGATCTCAGCTCACTGCAACCTCTGCCTCCTAGGCTCAAGAGATCCTCCCACCTCAGCCTCCTGAGTAGCTGAGATTACAGGTGCACGCCACCATGCCCCTCTAATTTTTGTATTTTTAGTAGAGACGAGGTTTCACCATGTCGGCCAGGCTGACCTCAAACGCCTGACCTCAAGTCATCCGCCTGCCTCAGCCTCCCAAAGTGCTGGGATTACAGGCATGAGTTACCATGCCCAGCCTAATATATATAATTTTAATAAATATATTTTACTTTAGATTTTCAGAAAAAATCATTTAAATTATATATGCTTAATAATTTTATAATTCATTCATTAAATATTCACATTTATTAAAATTCATATTCATTAAAATTATATATGTATATAATATATAAAATTATATATGGATATATGGATATAATTTTAATGAATACATTGTATTTATATATTATTATTTTATATATACATATATTTCAAATGAAAGCTAAAAGAGACTAAAGACTAAAGAACTAAGGGGAGGGCCAGGCACGGTGGCTCATGCCTGTAATCCCAGCACTTTGGGAAGCTGAGGTGGATGGATCACCTGAGGTCAGGAGTTCGAGACCAGCCTTGCCAATGTGGTGAAACTCCGTCACTACTAAAAATACAAAAATTAGGAAGGCGTGGTGGCTCATGCTTGTAATCCCAGCTACTTGGGTGGCTGGGGCAGGAGAATTGCTTGAATCCAGGAGGTGGAGGTTGCAGTGAGCCGAAATCGCACCACTGTACTCCAGCCTGGGCGACGAGTGAAACTCCGCTCAAAAAAAAAAGAAAGAGAAAACAAAATAAAACAAAACTAAGGGGAGGAGCAGGGGGGTGGGGGGATGTTGGGTGAAACTCTTTGGCCAGGCCCTGAGCCTGAGTTCCAGGGGCCTGGGTTACAAGGCTCCCTGCCCAGTGACAGACCCTCACCCACAGACTTACCATGCCCATACTCTTGTCCCCACCCACCCATGAACAGTGGCCTTTGTCTCATGCATGATGTCAGCTCTTCTCTGCTTCTCTCAAGATCTTGGAGGAATTAATTAGTTGTTCTTTATTTTCTATTTGTTACCTTTGATATTCTATATCTGCCATCTCTTCTCCTGAACCAGGGCCTGGTAGGTCACTGAGAAAATACAAAATGGCCACCTGAACTGGGAGATTTTGCCTCGCACAGTCACGAGCTCCATTAAAACAGAGAAACACTAACCCTAACTTACAATCACCGAACCCATGAGGTCACCCTATCTCCCAGCCCTCCTTCACCAGGTAAGAAACTGAGGCCCAGGGGTCCACGTGACTTGTCTAAGATCACAGCTGTTGAGACTGAGCTGGGATGGGGACCCGGGGCTCCTGAGACCTGCCTGGCATTTTCTCCTGTAACATGCTGCCTTCCTAAAGCGGTATTTAATGGACTTCTGTTTCTGGCAATGGAACAGACTGGGCGCTCTGTTTCCTGCTGAAAACATTAACAATGCTGGGTAAAATGTTTTCAGTCCTATAAAGGCACCAAATGAGCTCGCAAAAGGGTTGAACATAGGAATAGGCCAAGAAAGAAGAGAAAGCAGGAACCCAGAGAGGATGTGGAAGCTGGCTTTCTCCCTGAGGAAATGGACCAAAGCCAAGCGATCCTGAGCTTCAACTCTTAATCCCCCATAGAGTGCACGAAAGAGGAAACAAACCCCAGCCCATCAAGCTGGAGATGGAACAGGAGAGCCCGCCTATAAAGCTGGGCCACATCTCCAGTACAAATAAGGGCAGGCTAGAAATAGACACATGTCCCACAAAAGAGCAAGGAAAATGGCCCATGTCAAACTTTGAAAATATATGGAAAGAAAAACATGTTTACCCTTATGTAAACCACAAGCCAGCCCTTATGTTTAAATTCACAGATACAGGCAGAAACCCTCAAGCCAGCTGAGCAAGGCTTTACGGAGGCAAGGGAGTTAGCCATAAGACTATCTGTGGTTGAGCATTCCAGGCAGGCAGCAGCAAGAGCCACCACGAAGGCCAGAAGGCAGGGTCATGCCTGGCTCGCTCCAGCAACACGAAAAAGGGGTGGAGTGTGGAGAGCCAAGCAAAAAAGATGAAGTCACATAAGTAGCAGAAGACCCGGTTGTACAAGGCCTGGTGTGCCACCGTAAAAACATGGACTCCTCCTCGGAAATATGGAGCCACTGGGGGAGTTTGAGCAGGGGAAGAAGATCTAACAAAGAACTTTCACACTTCCTGTGGGAGTGCAAATTGGTACAATCTTATATAGCAAAACGATCACCCTGGCTTCTCTGCTAAGAATACATGAATGGAACAAAGACCAAATAGGAAGCTATTCCAGTAATCCAGGTGAAAATTAATAGTGGCTCTGGCAAGGATGGTAGGTAGCAAGAGAAGGATGAGATTGTATTGGGATGTGTTGAAAGGCAGAAACAAATCGATTCCTGACACTGGATTTAAGGTATGAAAAAAGGGGGGCCAGGCACGCTGGGCCACACCTGTAATCCCAGTGTGTCCAAAATTGGTTCCTTCTGGTGGGTTCTTGGTCTGGCTGACTTCAAGAATGAAGCCACAGACCCTCGCGGTGAGTGGCACAGTTCTTGATGTATCTGGAGTTTGTTCCTTCAGATGTGTCCCCAGTTTTTTCCTTCTGGTGGATTCGTGGTCTTGCTGACTTCAGGAATGAAGCCGCTGACCTTCGCAGTGAGTGTTACAGCTCTTAAAGGTGGCGTATCCAGAGTTGTTTGTTCCTCCGGATGGGTTCGTGGTCCCGCTGACTTCAGGAGTGAAGCACAGACCTACATAGTGAGTGTTACAGCTCTTAAAGGTGGCGCGTTTAGTGTCACAGCTCTTAAAGGTGGCATGTCTGGAGTTGTTTCTCCCAGTGGGTTCGTGGTCTCACTCACTTTAGGAGTGAAGCTGCAGACCTCCTCAGTGAGTGTTCCAGCTCATAAAAGTAGTGCGAAGCCAAAGCGTGAGCAACAGCAAGATTTTTTTTTTTTTTTTTTGAGACGGAGTCTCGCTCTGTGGTCCAGGCTGGAGTGCAGTGGAGGAATCTGGGCTCACTGCAAGCTCCGCCTCCTGGGTTCACGCCACTCTCCTGCCTCAGCCTTCTGAGTAGCTGGGACTACAGGTGCCCACCACCACACCCGGCTAATTCTTTTTTGTATTTTTAGTAGAGACAGAGTTTCACCTTGTTAGCCACCATGGTCTCCATCTCCCGACCTCATGATCTGCCTGTCTCGGCCTCCCAAAGTACTGAGATTACAGAGCAACAGCAAGATTTATTCCGAAGAGCAAAGGAACTAAGCCTTCACACCACATAAGAGGACCCACCGGGTTGCTGCTGGGGGTCTCTGGTGGCCAGCTTTTATTCCCTTATTTGGCCCCGCCCACATTCTGCTGATTGGTTCATTTTACAGAGCGCTGATTGGTCCATTTTACAGAGCGCTGATTGGCCCGTTTTTACAGAGTGCTGACTGGTGCATTTACAAACCTTTAGCTAGACACAGAGCTAACTGGTGTGTTTACGATCCTTTAGCTAGATATAAAAATTCTCCAATTCCCCCCACCTGATCCAGAAGCCCAGCTGGCTTCACCTCTCTCCAGCATTTTGGGAGGCCGAGGCAGGAGGATTGCCTGAGGTTGGCAGTTCAAGACCAGCCTGACCAACATGGAAAAACCCCATCTCTACTAAAAATACAAAATTAGGACGGGAGCAGTGGCTCACGCCTGTAATCCCAGCACTTTGGGAGGCTGAGGCAGGTGGATCACAAGGTCAGGAGATTGAGACCATCCTAGCTAACACAGGGAAACCCCCTCTCTACTAAAAATACCAAAAAAAAAAAATTAGCCGGGCGTGGTGGCACGCGCCTGTAGTCCCAGCTGTTCGGGAGGCTGGGGCAGGAGAATGGCATGAACCCGGCAGGCGGAGGTTGCAGTGAGCCGAGATCACACCACTGCACTCCAGCCTGGGCGACAGAGCAAGACTCCATCTCAAAAAAAAAAAAAATACAAAATTAGCCAGGCATGGTGGCACATGCCTGTAATCCCAGCTACTCAAGAGGCTGAAGCAGGAGAATCACTTTAACCCGGAAGGCAGAGGTTTCGGTTAGCCAAGATAATCATGCCATTGCACTCCAGCCTGGGCAACAGAGCAAGACTCCGTCTCAAAAAAAAAGAAAAGAAGGTACATTTTAGACTTGCTGAATTTGAGGGGTTTTTTTTGTTTTTTGTTTGTTTTTTGTTTTGTTTTGTTTTGAGACGGAGTATTACTCTGTTGCCCAGGCTGGAGTGCAGTGGCGCAATCTCGGCTCACTCACGGCAACCTCTGTCCCTCAGGTTCAAGCGATTCTCCTGCCTCAGCCTCCCGAGTAGTGGGATTGCAGGCACCTGCCACTGCACCTAGCTAATTTTTGTATTTTTAGTAGAGACGGGGTTTCACCATCTTGGCCAGGCTGGTCTTGAACTCCTGACTTCATGATCCACCCGCCTCGGCCTCCCAAAGTGCTGGGATTACAGGCGTAAGCCACCACGCCTGGCCAAATTTGAGCTATTAAACATTCAAGGCGAAATGCCAAGTCAGCAGTTAGATATATGGAATTGACTGGGCACAGTGGCATATGCCTGTAATCCCAGCATTTTAGGAGGCCAAGGCACGAGGATCATTCAAGCTCAGGAGTTCAAGACCAGTCGGGGCCATACAGCAAAACCCTGTCTCTACAAAAAAAATTCAAAAATTAGCTGGGCATGATGGCATGAGTCTAGTCCCTGTAGCTATTCAGAAGGCTGAGGTGGGAGGATTGTTTGAGCCTGAGAGGTCAAGGCTTCAGTGAGCTGTGATCATGCCACTGCACTCCAGCCTGGGTGACACACTGAAACCCAGTCTCAAAAAATAAAAATAAAAAAATATATATATGGAATTAAGGAGAGAATTCCAGGCTACAGATGTAAATTTGGGAAATGTCAGCATACGGATGGTATTTAAAGCCATGAGGCTGCAGGAGCTCACCAGCAGAGTGAATATAGAGAAGAGAGTTAAAGGCTGAGCCCTGAAGCACCGCCAACAGAGAGAGGTCAGAGAGAAGAGAAACCAGAAGAGGGGGTGAAGAGGGGAAGCCACTGTGGTTAAAGGAAAACCGAGAGAGTATGGGGCCCTGGAAGCCACACTGAGAGAACTGAGACAAGGAGGAGATATGCAAGGCTGTTCAGTGAGCGCAAGCTAAGAACCTAGGCTTTGCTGGGCACGCTGGCTTACAACTGTAATCCTCGCACTTTGGGAGGCCAAGGCGGGTGGATCACCTGAAGTCAGGAGTTCAAGACCAACCTGGCCAACATGGTGAAACCCTGTTTCTACTGAAAAAAAAAAAAAAAAAAGAGCCAGCCATGGTGGTGCGCGCCTGTGGTCTCAGCTATTCGGGAGGCTGAGGCAGGAGAATCACTTGGAACTGGGAGTTCAGTGAGCCCAGGAGCCCAGATGGCACCACTACACTCCAGCCTGAGCAACAGACTGAGACTCCGTCTCAAAAATAAAAAGAAAAGAGGCTTTATCTCTGAAACAGGACTGAGCATCATATTTAGCACACAGTAATAGACATCAAATATCCAGTCTTGCGGTGAGAAAAGCAGATGAAATCCCAATAGCAGGCTATCCTACAAAATACCTGACTAGCACTCCTCAAAACTGTCAAGGTGGTGGGTCAAACGAGACGATGACTGAGCACTGACCATTGGCAAGAGCAGTCTTGGTGGAATGGAAGAGGTGAGAGTCGGCCTCAAGTAAACTTAGAAAATTGCCAGCCATCAGATTTTTTAAAATTAAAAAAAAAAAAAAACTGAAATACTGTGTGTTGACAAAGATGTGGAGCAACTGGAACTTTCACACACTTTTTTTTTTTTTTTTGAGACAGAGTCTTGTTCTGTGGCCCAGGCTGGAGTGCAGTGGCACAATTTCAGCTCACTGCAACCTCTGCCTCCCAGGTTCAAGCAACTGTCATGCCTCAGCCTCCCGAGGAGCTAGGATTACAGGTGCCCACCACCATGCCTGGCTAATTTTTGTATTTTTAGTAGAGACAGGGTTTCACCATGTTGGCCAGGCTGGTCCTGAACTCCTAGCCTCAAGTGATCTGCCTGCCTCAGCCTCCCAAAGTGTTGGGATTACAGGCGTAAGCCACTGCACCCGGCCCACACACTTTTTTTTTTTTTGAGACAGAATCTTGCTCTGTCACCCAGGCTGGAGTGCAATGGTGCGATCTTGGCTCACTGCCATCTCTGCCTCCCAGGTACAAGCGATTCTCCTGCCCCAGCCTCCTGAGTAGCTGGGATTACAGGCGCCTGCCACCACGCCTGACTAATTTTTGTATTTTTAGTAGAGATGGGGTTTCACCATGTTGGCCAGGTTGGTCTCAAACTCCTGACCTCGTGATCCACCTGCCTCAGCCTCCCAAAGTGCTAGGATTACAGGCATGAGCCACCACACCCGGCTGCCCACACTCTTCTTATGGGAGTGAAAATCGGTTCAATCTTAAGAGAACCCTTTGGCAGTATCTACTAAAACTGAACATGTTTATAATCTATGACCCAGCAATTCCCTTCCTAGGTATATATCTAATAGCAATCCATACATATGTTCACCAGATAGTAGTGAACAAAAACATTCATAGCATTCTTCATAATAACCGCAAACTGGAAATTATCCATCAAAAATAGATTAGTAAATGGTAATATATTCACATAATGATGTATTACCCTGCAATGAAACTGAGAAAACTACTGCTATCTGCAATAACGTGGATGAATCTCACATTAGAGAGTATAATATTGATGCAGGAGAAAAGAGGCAGGTTAATGGCTACAGACAGACAGTTAGGAAAAGGTGTAAGTTCTGTTGTTTGACAGCAAAGCAAAGTGACTATAGTTAACAACTGTCTATTGTCTTTTTTTTTTTTTTTTTTTGGAGACAGGGTCTCGCTCTGTCACCCAGCTGGAGTGCGGTGGCACAATCACAGCTCACTGCAGTCTCAATTTCCCAGCCTCAACCAATCCTCCCACTCAGCCTCCTGAGCAGTTGGGACTACAGGCACACACCACCACGCCCAGCTAATTTTTTTTTTTGTAGAGATGGGTTTTTGCCATGTTGTTCAGGCTGGCCTCGAACTCCTGACCTCCTGATCTCATATTAGGGAGTATAATATTGTCCTCTCTTCTAGCTACTTTGGAATACACAATAGAGACCAGTTGTGGTGGCTCACACGTGTAATCCTAGCGTTTTGGGAGCCCGAGGCAGGTGGATCACTTGAGCTCAGGAGTTTGAGACCAGCCTGGGCATCATGGCAAAAACCCATCTCTACAAAAAATAAAAATAAATAAATAAACAAAATGTGGTATAGCCATGTGATGGAATATTATTCAGCCATAAAAAAGAATGAAATATTGAGGCTAGGTGTGGTGGTTCACGCCTGTAATCCCAGCACTTTGGGAGGCCAAGGGAGGCAGGTCACTTGAGGTCAGGAGTTCAAGACCAGCCTGGACAACATGGTGAAACCCCATCCCTTCTGAAAATACAAAAAAAAACTAGCCGGGCTTGGTGGCAGGCACCAGTAATCCCAGCTACTCAGGGAGGCTGAGGCAAGAGAATTGGTTGAACCCAGGAGGTTGCCTTGAGCTGAGATTGCACCACTGCACTCTATCCAGCCTGGGCGACAGAGCAAGACTCCATCTCAAAAAAAAAAAAAGAAGAAGAAGAAGAAGAATGAAGTATTGATACATGCTACAACATGAATGAACCTTGAAAATATTATGCAGAGTGAAAGAAGCCAGACACAAAAGGCCACATATTACATATTACATGATTCCATTTATAGGAAATATCCAGAATGGTAGGTCCATAGAGATAAAAAACAGATGAGTGGTTGCCAGGGGCTGAGGCCAATGGGGAATGGAGAGTGACTGCTAATGGATATGGGCTTCCCTTTTGAAGTGATGAAAATGTCCTTTGACTAGGGAGTGGTCATGGGTGCTCAATACTGTGAATGTACTAAATGCCGCTGAGTTGTGCATTTTAAAATGGTTAAAATGGTAACGTTTATGTGTATTTTACAATAAAGTAAGATAAAATGAATCCATGGTGTAATAAATCAGGATAGTAGTTATCTTAGAGTATAAAGAAGTGTAAGTGATGGGGAGGGGGGCTGGATTTCTGGGGAACTGGTAGTATTTTTTAAAATCTGGGTGGTCCTTCCTTAGGTACATTCATTTTGTAAAGATTCATTGAGCCATAAGAGACAATGAATAGAGATGATTCTTTCAAGGAGTTTTGCTGCAGAGTGGAGCTGTGAACGTGGGCAGCAGCTAGAGGGAGAGTGGAATCAAGGGAGGGTGGTTTTAAGATGGAAGAAATGATACTGTTTTTGTGTATGTGAGAGTAATCTAGTAGAGAGACGGAAATGGGTGGTGTGGGAAAGATGAGAGAATTGCTTGAGCAGTCCTTGAGCAACGTGAGAGGATAAGGCCTCACGCCTAAGAGGGGAGATACTCGACTGGCCATCGAGAGGACCAGCAGGAGGCGGAGGCACAGGGCTGCCTGTGGTGGCAGGTCGGTAGAGCAGTGGGCATCTGTGGCAGCTCACTTCTGGTTTGGTACCAAGATTATTACCCCCAAATTACCGACGCACAATCTTAGACTCAAGGAGAGAAGGGGTTTGCTCACCATCACACAGCTGAAGCCAGAAGTGGAGCCAAGCTCTCCCGGATTCCAGGTGCACTACACCAAACTGCCCGAGTGCCTTGAGCTCAGCTCCACCATGGAACATGGCGCTTTCTATTGTTTGCCCTAAAACAACTTCTCAAACTTTCAGAAGTGCCTCTCTTTATATAGATTATACACACACACACACGCACACCATATATGTGTGTATATATATACATATATACATGTATATGTGTGTATATATATATACACTATATATATGTGTGTGTATATATATGGTGTGTGTATATGTGCGTGTATATATATATATATGGTGTGTGTGTGTGTGTGTATATATAGTGGCTGTGCTGCTATATTTGGCTACTATATATATATATATATGATAAGGATTCTGGAATTGGGTGAGTCTGGCCCACCTTGTGGATATGCTGTACCATAGAAAAGGATTTAGTTACACTCCCTGCTCAGCCTCCATCTTTCCTGGCTGGAGAACTCTAATTGCAGAGCTTGCCCTCATGGTAAAAGCCCTTCATCACTCCATTGTCTGGCCCTTTTCCAGTCCTATTACATCTTTCTTGGAATGCAGAAGCCATACAACAGAAACCACAGTGGCTTCCATTTTGAAGAGCCTTTTGCAGGGACAAGGGCCCATTTATATATTCAAACTGATGGTCAGCAAAGCTGTGGTTTTCCCACGGTCACACGGAGTGTCCACAATAGAGCCCAACCAAGAAGAATTCCAATCTCCATCACACCCCACTGCCTGCATGCAGGACTCCAGGTGGGCACGGTGTATCAGTAGGGCACATTCAGCAGCTGGTGATGGGGGCGTGGCAGATTGTGTTGAAGTGGCTTAAAGCACTAAGGAGGATTTATTGAGTTATATAACGTGAAGCCCTGAAGCAGTCAGTCTTCTGGATTGGTTGATAGGGGCTCAATGGTGTCATCACAGTCCCAATTTTGTCCTACTTTGCCATCCACAAAGGCCATAGTAGGTTGGATGGCACCCTGATACAGTTTGGCTGTGTCCCCACCCAAATCTCATCTTGAATTGTAGTTCCCATAATCCCCACGTACCATGAAAGGGACCCGGTGGAAGGTGATTTAATCATGGGGGCAGTTACCCTCATGCTGTTCTCATGATAGTGAGTTCTCACAAGATCTGATGGTTTTATAAGGGGCTTTTTCCCCTTTTTGCTCGGCACTTCTCCTTCCTGCAGCCATGTGAAGGAGTGTTTGCTTCCCCTTCCACCATGACTGTAAGTTTCCTGAAGCCTCCCCAGCCCTGCACAATGGTGAATCAATTAAACCTCTTTCCTTATAAACTACCCAGTGTCCAGCAGTTCTTTTTAGCAGTGTGAGAAGGGACTAACACAACCCCTCCCAAAATTATGTCTACTTCCTAACCCCTGGAACCTGTGAATGTGACCTGATTTGGAAAAAGCATTTTTCCAAGTGTAATTAAGAGTCTTGAGATTAAATCCTTCTGGATTACCCAAGTGGGCCCTAAATCCAGTGACAAGTATCCTTGTAAGAGATAGAGAAGGCTGGGCACAGTGGCTCATGCCTGTAATCCCAGCACTTTGGGAGGCCGAGGCTGGTGGATCACAAGGTCAGGAGTTCGAGACCAGCCTGGCCAACATGGTGAAACCCCATCTCTACTAAAAATACAAAAATTAGCTGGGCATGGTGGTGGATGCCTGTAATCCCAGCTACTCAGGAGGCTGAGGCAGGAGAATTGCTTGAACCCGGGAGTCAGAGGTTGCAGTGAGCCAACATCACACCACTGCACTCCAGCCTGGGTGACAGGGTGAGACTCAGTCTCCAAAAAAAAAAAAAAAAGAGAAAAAAAGAGAGAGAGGAGAAGACGGAGGGGAAAGCCACGTAAATATGAAGCAGTGATTGGAAGCAGCCATAAGCCAAGGAGGGCCAGCAGCCATCAGGAGCTGAAAGAGGCAAGAAACAGACTCCCCTAGAATCTCCGGAGGGAGCACAGTCTTGCCAATACCCTGATTTCAGATTTTTGCCCTCCAGAACTATGGGAGAATACATTTCTGTTGTCTTAAGCCACCAAATTTGTAGTAATTTGTTATGGCAGTCCTGGGAAATGAATACAGAGGACAAGGACTGCAATTATGAGAGTTAGCTGAGTCCTGAGCCCTGTGCCCTGCCTCTATGTGCAGGGGTGGGATTAGCTTTCCCCAAAGCTCAAGGGCTGCATGGGAAAGGGATGGTCACCAACAGAAGAGGAATGAATATGGGAGAGGCAAGCAGAGTGTCCACTCCAGGCACCCTGTGTAAGAAAAGTGCCATTCCCTGAGCATCTGCTCTGGGAGAGAGGAGAGCATGGGAAAAACAGGACCCTAGAGGCCAGACCTGGACAAGGTCAAGGCGCAGGACTACACCATCCTGGAGGTGGGGGCGGGTCTTCCAAACGCTGAGAATGCAGCAGTACATCTGGAACATGGAGCACCATCCTCTTGAAAGAGTGGATGTGAAAGTGCATATGAGTCTGGGCGTAGTAGCTCATGCCTATAATCCCAGCATTTTGGGAGGACGAGGCAGGCGGATCAGAAGGTCAGGAGTACAAGACCAGCCTCCAGCCTGGCCAATATGGTGAAACCCCGTCTCTACTAAAAATACAAAAATTAGCCGGGTGTGGTGATGTGCGCCTATAATCCCAGCTACTTGGGAGGCTGAGGCAGAAGAATCACTTGACCTGGGAGGCGGAGGTTGCAGTGAGCCAAGATTGCACCACTGCACTCCAGCCTGGGCGACAGAGCAAGACTCCGTCTCAAAAAAAAAAGAAAGTACATAATAATTATAAAAATCATTCACACTTAAGAGGTTATTCCATCCACCTGGTTGCTCCACTCAGGACCTCAAGCTCATCCCAGAGTCTTCTCTCTCCCTTGCCCTCCCCTCACAGGCAATCTATTCCCACTCCTGCCAGCTCTACCTTCTATAAATAGTTCCAATCTGTCCACCTCCTTCCATCTCCATAGCCATTACCCTAGTTTAGGTCACCATCCTCTCTTGCTAGACTATAGCCTCTAGCTTGGCCTCCCTGCCTTCAGTCTCAGCCTTTTCCTGCCACTCCCTGCCAGACACTAGAATAATCTTCCAAAAATGAAAATCTGCCCATGTCACATACCTGTTAAAAACCTTTCAAGCCCCTCAGCATGACTTTCAAAGCCCTGTGATTACCAGACTTCATCCCTCACCACCTCCCTTGCCAGTTCCCCCTGAACACTTCAACTCCTCTCACACCTGGGAGCTTTGCACACACAGCTCTCTCTGCCTAGATGACACCCCCACCACTACTTGCCCAGCAAGTCCTCAAGAATTCAGCTGAGGCTGGCGCAGTGGCTCAAGCCTGTAATCCCAGCACTTTGGGAGGCTGTGGCAGGCGGATCACTTGAGGTCAGGAGTTCGAGACCAGTCTGGCCAACATGGTGAAACCCCATCTCTACTAAAAATACAAAAATTAG
Organism: Homo sapiens; assembly: GCF_000001405.40. Lineage (NCBI taxonomy): Eukaryota > Metazoa > Chordata > Mammalia > Primates > Hominidae > Homo > Homo sapiens. The sequence goes on from NC_000017.11 coordinate 31,841,714, forward strand.
CTGGGCATGGTGGCAGGAGCCTGTAATCCCAGCTACTCGGGAGGCTGAGGCAGGAGAATCACTTGAACCAGGGAGGCAGAGGTTGCAGTGAGCCGAGATCATGCCACTGTACTCCAGTCTGGGCAACAGAGAAAGACTCTGTCTCAAAAAAAAAAAAAAAGAAAAAGAATTCAGCTGAGAGACCGTCTCCTTTGAGGGGTCTCCTTTATCCCCCAACCCTTCTAGGTTCCCCCACACCCCGGGCTTACCCTCTCCATGGTTATGGATGGTGTTGTGATGACCTGTGTGCCATTGCCTCCCCACTCCACTCCGAGCTCCATGAAAGCAGGAACTACAGCCTCTACCTCTTCCTCCTCAGTACACAGCATATGGCAGGTGCCCAGAAATACGTTAATGAATAAAGATCACACCTACACTAAATTCCCTTGCTTTTCTAAAACTAAGTTCATCCTAGACTCTCGCTGAATCTAAATGTTTCCCACCTCAGTACGGCAAGCATACAAGGCTGAAAACTTGGAGTCAGCTGACTTGGGTCACAGCCTATCTTTGTGACCTTTGGTCAGTTATTTCACCTCCCTGAGCCTCGATTTCTCTTTCTGAAGTGGGAATTATAAACCCTACTTCATAAGAAAAACACCTGGCATGTGACCCGGTAGAGGGACGCAGCACAATGCCTTCCACCTTCCTTCCCATATGCACACACTTTGGCTGATGTCGGCAGGCATCTGTGAAGCGCTTACCACGTGCCGGATTCAGGCAGGTGCTGGGAGGAATGATGATGACCCTGGCCCTAGATTTCACAGTAACCGCTTCTGAGAAAACTCAGCTGTAAATCCGGAGTAAATCCTGAGGATTCGCAGGTGGGTTTGCCAGCCAGCAGGAAGCCAGCTAACAGGAAGGTAACGCTGAACCAGACTCAGCCTCTCCTCCAAAGCCCCTGGATGTGGGTCGCACCAGAGACAGCAGAGTCGGTGGGTCCTACGGAGACAGCGGAGTCAGTGGGTCTTTACTGCCACCTGCTGGACAAACAGAATAAGGCCACAGGCAGCAGCCCAGAGAAATTCAGGCGCCTGCCTGAATTCAGCTGCCAAATGCACGGCTCTAACTTGTATCTGCCACATTTGTTCAACAGCTAATGAGAGGGTATCAGAGGAGATTGCTTTTGAAATAAAAACCACCTGACCAGAAAAAAAGAAAATAAAAGGAAAACCAACTGCACCTTGCAAAGGTTACAACGTGGAGCGTGCCTCCGGGAGAAATTTCTCTTTCTGACTCAAAGGCGAGAAGGACTAGAAAACCCTGTGAGGTGGGAGGAAGTATCTTCTTTTAAAACCATGGTCATACTTTACTCCATGGGCCATCACAGAGGGCAGATCCTGGTGACATTCTCCAAACCTTGGTGCGCAGGAATCCAACTGAACTGTCCTGCCCATAAACAATGCAGGATCTAGCTCAGTCCTGGAAAACTGCCCAAAGCAGGGAGGCCGTTCTTTCCGAAGGCCTTGGCTTTGCAGCCAGACTTGCTAAGTCAACAACGTGGGAGCCAGCCCTGCCTCCTGCCTTCCTATTCCACCCTCCAACTTCTCTTCCCTCCACCCGATAGTTCTCCTCCTTGGCCTGCCACACTCAGGAGTGCACACACACACACACAGTCCTCCATTCCATTATTCTCATTTATTTGGGTGGAAAATCTTTTCTGGGAAAACTAGGAGGCAGAATCCAGATGGGCCACAGCCAGGGTTATTTTTTCTCTTTCTCCATATTCCAACCATCCTGTGAAAAGTTGGGCCCAAGAATGCAAACTCCGGAAAACCAAGGGCAGTGCAGCGCCAAGATATTTACTTAGCCCATGAGTTTACTTCCATCTCCCAAGGAGACAGTCTCAGATTTCCTCAAGGCAGCAGGGCTTTGCTGAATCCAGCAGGTTGCTTCTGGACACAGAGAGCCTGGTCTCTGCAGCCTCTACACAGTCTGCTTGTGAGAAGGCAAAGAAAGCCTCTCTGGAAAGGCCCGTCTTAGCCCAGGCACACAAGTGTGGAGAGTAAAACTTGGGGAAGCACTGCCCATCATAACCTCCGGAGGTCTTATGACCACCAACCCTACTGGAAACACAGCACCAAGCTAAGCTGGGGCTGGGATGAAGGGCTACATTGCCCCAGAATTTCCCAACAGGAGAAAAGCCATAAAACAGACAGAAACAAGTGGGAGCCATCAAAAACACATAAAACTGGCAGGATGCAGTGGTTTATGCCTGTAATCCCAGCACTTTGGGACGCCAAGGCGGGCAGATCACCTGAGGCCAGGAGTTCAAGACCAGCTTGGCCAACATGGCAAAACCCAGTCTCTACTAAAAATACAAAAATTGGCTGGGTGCGGTGGCTCACACCTGTAATCCCAGCACTTTGGGAGGCTGAGGCGGGCAGATCGCCTGAGGTCAGGAGTTCAAGACTAGCCTGGCTGATATGGTGAAACCCCATCTCTACTAAAAATACAAAAATTAGGCGGGCGTGGTGGGGGGGGCGCCTGTAGTCCCAGCTACTTGGGAGGCTGAGGCAGGAGAATCGCTTGAACCCGGGAGGCAGAGGTTGCATTGAGCTGAGAACCCACCACTGCACTCCAGCCTGTGCAACAGAGCGAGACTGTCTCAAAAAAAAAAAAAACATAAAACTACCTATACAAACTGTGAACAGCACAATCCTGTTGGTTCCACTACAGTACAAAAATTGCAAGTTTTTCATCAAAATAGAAAATAAAAACAAAAATTATTAGCACTCTGGTATTAATCAACCAATGATGATACCTCAAATACATCATCTTGATCTAGTTGATGATGCCCCCAGAACCCCAGCTGTAACACTCATGTCCAGGCTTCTGCAACTTGGCATCTCTTGCATCTTGGGGGTTCACAAGAAGCAATTCTGTCCTTCTAACTATCCTAATTTCTGACCCTGAGCTTCCATCCAGGCCTTCTGGGTTCTCCTCACTTACTTGGAGTCATGCTAGGGAGGCAAGTGGGGGTGGGCATCAGGTCATCCACCGTCCATCTTCAGAAGTCTTCCCTGGGCCCTCTGGGTCCATCAGCTTCTTAGAATGCTTAGGGTGTCTTTTTTTTTTTTTTTTTTTTTTTTTTTAAACAGAGCCTTGCTCTGTCATCCAGGCTGGAGTGCAGTGGTGTGATCTCGGCTCACTGCTCACTGCGAACTTTGCCTCCTGGGTTCAAACATTTCTCCTGCCTCAGCCTCCCGAGTAGCTGGGATTACAGGCGCCCACCACCACACCCAGCTAATTTCTGTATTTGTAGTAGAAACGGGGTTTCGCCATGCTGGCCAGGCTGGTCTTGAACTCCTGACCTCAAGTGATCCACCCACCTCAGCCTCCCAAAGTACTGGCATTACAGGCGTGAGCCACCGCGCCCAGCCAAGGCCTGGGCATTGCAAGACAGTCCCAACTGCCTACAAGCACTAACATCTATCACTCTCTGAAGACCTAGCTCCCCAGGGACACTCCAAGAAGCAGCGCTCCTGTTCCACCTGCCCTTAGCATCCCCCAATCTCTCTCTCTTCTCTACCATATCTCACAACCTAAGACTTTTTTTTGTTGTTGGGGGTGGGGGGATCCTGGGGAAAATTCTTTTCTTCCAGATTTCTTCAAGATGCACAGTCTGTTGGCCCAAAACCCCTTTGCCTCCTTACCAAAAAACAAATCAGTAAATCCATTTTGTAAAACAAAAGCCAGAGAGATTTCTTGGCTCCTTTAGACTCTGCTGCATGACTCCACTCAGGCAATGACAGAGAGCCAACTGACTGCTTGCATGGAGAGGAGAATGAAGGAGGGAAAGCAAATACACGTCTCAAACGATCATCCAGACACTGGATCCACACACATATCCTCTCCCATCACTCAAGATTTTGGCTGTGGTCAGTTGTGGTTTCTTTCTTGATGAACGATACTGTTTGAAAAAAAGTCAGAATAAAAGTTACTCTTTTGTTCCTCCTAACAGGCCCTTAGTACCTGTATTTCTCAACAGCCTCTGTCGACCTTTGTCCTTCTCCCGTTCCTTCCTTTTCTCTCCCATCACTGTCTCTTCTCAGTCTGACATTCTGAGAGGAGCTGGCCAGAAGTCACCATTGCCCAAGTCAAGAGAAGCAATGATGACAAAGGCAGCAGCTCAGGTGGCCACACATATCCCCTGTTTCAGCCCACAATGTACCTGTTCCCCCCTCCCCAGTCATGTCATCATGTGAGCACTTCCTAATTTCCACATCCCAAAATACCCCTTTTAGCCTTCATCTTACTTGGCCTGTCTCTATCAAAGATGGCCACTCCCTCTTCCTTAAAAATCTTATTATTATTAGATTTGGCTTGAAAGGCACCTTCACCCACCTGGTCTTCCTTCTCCTCTGCTGCCACAGCCTGCCTTTGTGGCCAGATCCTTCCACCTACCTTTTCACTGCCATTGCTCCCCAAAGTTCTGTCCTCGACCCCCTTCTCTCTCCGTGTGCCCTCACTAAACACCCTCAACCTCTCTTAATGCTCTAACACCTACTGAGACATCAACAATTCCCAAATTCACACCTCCAGTATCCCTCTCCGATTCTACACATGTATATGCAACTGCCTGTTGACTGTTTAACCTGGAAAACGAAAAGCTAGAGAGTGGATAAGATGGTTAATTTCCAATATTTGAAAGAGTGTCAGACCACAGAGCAGACCAGGACTAAATGGGTAGATTTCAGCTCAGCACGCTGAGGACTTTCCTTTTTTTTTTTTTTTGAGACGGAGTCTGGCTGTGTCACCTAGGCCAGAGTGCAGTGGTGAGATCTTGGCTCACTGCAACCTCCGCCTCCCTGGTTCAAGCAATTCTCACGTCTCAGCCTTCCTAGTAGCTGGGATTACAGGTGTGCACCACCGTTCCAGGATAATTTTTGTATTTTTAGTAGAGATGGGGTTTTGCCATGTTGGCCAGGCTGGTCTCGAATTCCTGACCTCAGGTGATGCACCCGCCTCGGCCTCCCAAAGTGCTAGGATTACAGGGGTGAGCCACTGCGCCTGGCCTACACCGAAGACTTTTCTAACAAACAACACTAGCCAGGGGCTAACGCAGGGCATCCTTCTGAGGTAGTGAGATCCCTGCGACTAGAAGTAGGCACAGAGGATTTCTGCAGATGGCACAAGGCCAAACTAAGCAACATCTATGTTTTCCCCAGTTCTCAGATTGAGACTTCTCAGCTCAGTAGAGGTTCAGATAAATAAAAGATTTTTTTCATTTTATTGAGTATCTAAAATTACAATTCTTCAATATAGGACACTGGTTAGAAATTACTGTGATATTTCCTTTTCATTGATTTTTTTAATAATCATGATTTGTTGTTTATCAAATAAATACTTTGGTTTTGGGGTGTTTTATTTTATTTTTTTGAGATGAGATCTCATTCTGTCACCCAGGCTGGAGTGCAATGGCACGACCTCGGCTCACTACAACCTCTGCCTCCTGGGCTCAAGTGATCCTCCCACCTCAGCCTCCCAAGTAGCTGGGACTACAGGTATGCACCACCATGCCCAGCTGATTTTTTTTTTCTCTATTTTTGGTAGAGATGGGGTTTCACCATGTTGCCTAGGCTGGTCTCAAACTCCTGGGCTCAGGAGATCCACCTGCCTTGGCCTCCCAAAGTGCTGGGATTACAAGGGTGAGTTGAGCCACCACGCCCAGCCATACTTTGCATAACAAACTCATTTGTCTTGTCATACATACACTAGTTTTTAGAGAACAAAATTTTCTTGGTCACTGACTGGAGGGTTTCAGATTAAAGCACAGTTGCAAACACACCGCTTCTAGACATTTCTCTTCATTATGTTCCCATACACTGTTTTTAAAAATAGTAAATTAGGCCAGGTGTGGAGGCTCTCGCCTGTAATCCCAGCACTTTGGGAGGCCAAGGCAGGTGGTTCATGAGGTCAGGAGTTCAAGACCAGCCTGGCCAAGATGGTGAAACCCTGTCTCTACCAAAAATACAAAATAATTAGCTGGGCGTGGTGGCAGGCGCCTGTAATCCCAGCTACTCGGGAGGCTGAGGCAGAGAATTGCTTGAACCTGAGAGGCGGAGGTTGCAGTGAGCCGAGATCGCACCACTGCACTCCAGCCTGGGCAACAGAATGAGACTCAGTCTCAAGAAGAAAAAAAAAAAGGTAAGTTAATAGATAAGGAATTATAATTAAATCCAAATCATATTTAACACAAAGACTTTTTAAAGGTTCTTCAAATACCTTGTTATTTTTTCATCACCAGCCTGGGATGTTATCAGGCAACCCTAAATACAGTTAAGGCAAATACTGCACCATTACTAAAGGTAAATGAATTTGTGGCGATATTCACTGAACATTTTCATGCTGGGCCCCATGCCCAGCATGTATGAAACAGGGATGTTGAGTAAGTCATAGTCCTGCCCTCAAAGAGCTCTTGGCCTAAAGAGGGAGGCAGACGCATGAGCCAATGATCACAGTAGAATAAGGTAAGTATTGTGATATTTGTCAGCGAGAACAGGGAAGCCTAGACAAAGGACACTTACGACTAAGGTCTTGGCCGGGCGCGGTGGCTCACTCCTGTAATATCAGCACTTTGGGAGGTCGAGGTGGGCAGATCATATGAGGTCAGGAGTTCGAGACCAACCTGGCCAACATGGTGAAACCCCGTCTCTACTAAAAATACAAAAATAAGCCGGGTGTGGTGGCACATGCCTGTAATCCCAGCTACTTGGGAGGCTGAGGCAGGAGAATTGCTTGAACACGAGAGGCGGAGGTTGCAGTGAGCTGCCAAGATCATGCCACTGCACTCCAGCCTGGGCAACAGAGCAAGAACCTGTCTCAAAAAAAAAAAAAAAAAAAAAAAGAATAAGGTCTTGTTTAAATACCTAACTGCAGGGGGGTGAGGGATAAGAGACTACACATTGGGTAAACTGTACACCGCTTGGTGATGGGTGCACCAAAATCTCAGAAATCACCACTAAAGAACTTATCTATGTAACCAAACACCACCTGTTCCCCAAAAACTATTGAAAGGTTTAAAAATAATACCTAATTGCAAAATCTTAAAATAACAAAAATGTAAAAGCAAAATTTTTACACTTCCATCATCTAATCAAATTGTTTCCACTTCTCCATCTTACCTTCTAATCTTTATACATATACATGCAATTATTTCATACATGCAATATTATGAAAGTAGTTTGAGAGTCCACCTTTTCATGCCTTATATCATTAGTATTTTTCCATTTCACTTTTTTTTCTTACTCCCACTTCATCCCCTTGAGATAACCAATACTCTACATCTTCTTTCTCTTGATCGAATCACCCAGTGGTAGGGCACCAGAATAATATTCAAATTAGAACAATTGGGCCAGGCACAGTGGCTCATGCCTGTAATCCCAATACTTTGGGAGGCTGAGGCAGGCGGATCACCTGAGGTCAGGAGTTCGAGACCGGCCTGGCCAACATAGTGAAACCCCGTCTCTACTAAAAATACAAAAATTAGCTGGGTGTGGTGACAGACGCCTGTAATCCCAGATATTTGGGACGCTGAGGCAGGAGAATCGCTTGAACCCAGAAGGCGGAGGTTGCAGTGAGCCGAGACAGTACCACTGCACTCCAGTCTTGGCAACAAAAGCGAAACTCTATCTCTAAATAAATAAATAAATGGCCCGGCGCGGTGGCTCACACATGTGATCCCAGCACTTTGGGAGGCTGAAGCGGGTGGATCACCAGGTCAGGAGATCGAGACCATCCTGGCTAACATGGTGAAACCCCATCTGTACTAAAAATACAAAAAATTAGCTGGGCGTGGTGGTGGGCACCTGTAGTCCCAGCTACTCAGGAGGCTGAGGCAGGAGAATGGCGTGAACCCGGGAAGCAGAACTTGCAGTGAGCCGAGACCATGCCACTGCACTCCAGCCTGGGCGACAGAGCGAGACTCCGACTCATAAATAAATAAATAGCAAAACTGAGGCCTAGATTGACAACTCCTCCATGGATCACAGCAGCAACATTGTGTGAATTTTCTTTGCTTAGCTACTTATGCACGTATGCTCTTCATACTATTTTTTTCTTCTCTCCCTCCCGCCCCCCTATATATATAATACCCCAACTCACAGCTTCCACCTTTACTCATAGTTTCAGCTGCCTCATAACTCCTGCTCACACATGGGCCAACACAACCTTTCAATAACATGACATTTCCATTTCAGCAATTCTGCCGTCCTCCTCAAGCCCCTAATATCTCTTGGCTCTGTTTCTCAAGTTTACCTTTTTATGCCAGACATACTCATGGTCTCATCATCTATGACCTTGAGAGGAGGAAGAAAGGGGGGTGTGGTGATATGATCTACAACTGCCCTTTTAGCAAAGACAGTGGAAGGGGCATTTTTTTCCTCCCTCCGACAGCCTTGGCCATGACTCCCCTCACCGCCAAAGCCACCACATTCCCTCACAAGGTTCTGCCTTGTTCATACACCTTGTGGGGCCTTTGAAAAAGTTTAAATGGTTAAATGCTCAATTAACTGCTATGGAGTATACTAAAATTTCACATCTGAAAGCTTTTCTTGTGTCAGCTTCAATAAGGAGGCAGGAAGAAACAATCCTTGAGCCCGTCAGACCCAAAGGTGACTTACTCTAGTGGATCCCAGACCTGCCAAGGCGAGGCCCCAGATGGTGTTGCTATTTTCTCATACATGCAGGGCCAAGAATGGACCTCAGAGTCACATATGCACCTAGGTCCCAGTTCTGCCACTCTGTGTGATCTTGAAGAGGTCAAAACCTTTTTTTTTTTTTTTTTTTTTTTTGAGACGGAGTCTCGCCCTGTTGCCCAGGCTGGAGTGCAGTGGCATGATCTTGGCTCGTTGCAACCTCTGCCTCCCAGGTTCAAGCTATTCTCCTGCCTTAGCCTCCAAAGTAGCTGGGATTACAGGCACACGCCACCACGCCCGGCTAACTTTTGTATTTTTAGTAGAAACAGGGTTTCACCATGTTAGCCAGGCTGGTCTCGAACTCCTGACCTCAGGTGATCTGCCTGCCTCAGCCTCCCAAAGTGCTGGGATTACAGGTGCGAGCCACCATGCCTGGCCTGGTCAAAACATTTTGAGTCTTGCATTCCTCATCTCCAAAATGAGGTAAAGTTTTTTGTTTTTTTTGTTTCTTTGTTTCTTTCTGAGACAGTTTCACTCTTGTTGCCCAGGCTGGAGTGCAATGGCATGATCTCGGCTCACCGCAACCTCTGCCTCCCGGGTTCAAGCGACTCCTTCTCCTGCCTCAGCCTCCCGAGTAGCTGGGATTACAGGTGTTCACCATGACACCCGGCTAATTTTTGTTTAATAGAGACAGGGTTTCTCCATGTTGGCCAGCTAGTCTTGAACTCCTGACCTCAGGTGATCCGCCCACCTCAGCCTCCCAAAGTGCTAGGATAACAGGTGTGAGCCACCGCGCCCGGCCAAAGTGAGGTAAATTTTTAAAAGTGACTTCATACAAGTAATTGTAAGGATTAAAATATTAAATGGAAAACCGAGTTTAGTGTCAATTAAGGATTATGCAATTGCTGGTTTAACTAATTTCCCATTTAGTTTTTGGCCTAGGGAAAAGCCTGTTAACTAAGTAAATGTTCCATTTTCTATCAACAGGAAAACAATCAGCTACAAAATCACCAGTGTCTCCTGGATTCCAATCCTTGGTCAACAGTGCTAGATCTACAGAAGCAAAACTAAAATTTTTTTTCTTTCACAGAGTAGTTTTAAGCCTCCAAGCGTTTGAATCTTTAAAATGTCATTCAGGGACTTTAAATGAAGTAGTGAAGGCTGGGCACGGTGGCTCACACCTGTAATCCCAGCACTTTGGGAGGCCAAGGCGGGTGGATTACTTGAGGCCAGGAATTTGAGAACAGCCTGGCCAACGTGGTGAAACCCCATCTCTACTAAAAATACAAAAAATTAGCCGGGTGTGGTGGCGAGCACCTATAGTCCCAGCTACTCAGGAGGCTGAGGCACAAAAATCGCTTAAACCCAGGAGGTGGAGGTTCCAACGAGCCAAGTTCGCGCTGCTGCACTCCAGCCTGCGTGACACAGTGAGACTGTCTCCATAAATAAATAAATGGGAAAAAAGCAGACGAAGCATACTGGTTTCTCTTTTTAACCTTTATTTACAAAGAACACAACTCCTCTTGACACAAACACACACACATTTCAAGGAGGAGCCCATTAAGAACAACAACAGACTGGCGAGAATGACGGGGCCTTATTGAACACTGTCAATAAGGAACACTGGTCTGTGTACCCCAGACTAGGGGTCACTGCAAACATTTTCTCAGATATGACTTTTCACCTCCAAGACAGGAAAAGAGATCTTGACGTGGAGGCCCGCCCACCTACAAGGCAGAAAGCTCCACACTCAATCTTCAGCATCGTCAAACTGTCCTGTTTCAAAGACCATCTTGGAATAATAGGGTATCAGTGGAGGCGGATGGTGCCAGCTGGGGTCATAGATCATGTCTCCTTGTGGGGCACAGCACACCCAAGGTTTAAGCTCTTGAGAAATGCTCTCCTGGATGTCGTCAGCATCTGCAGGCAGTTTTAAAAGACAGATTAAGGGAAGGAAGGAGGGAAGGAAGGAAGGTAAAAACGGACAGCCAAAAAGGTATGTCTAGGGGACAGATCCTTGCACTTATTTTGTTTAAAAACACACACAGTTCTCCTTTCCTGAAGAATTGTAAATGCGTTCATTCGGAACAGCTGAGAAGCTATGCTTCTCAGACAAGGGTTCTTAGCAGTGAAGAAGCAAACTGGATAACACAGCACTTCTATCTGCAGCTGCTCAATTCATAGCAGAGATTTTTGGAGAGAGTAACAGTTTTGACTTTAAAACAGTGATACATTATGGAGTCAAATGCAAAATTTGGATTTTTTCAATATAAAAGAGAAGGTGTCACAGAAATTGGAGACCTGTAACAGATACCAGCCTAAGCTCATAGATGTGGACCCCTGTTCCAAACTGCCTTCAGGGCTGGTCTGACAGGTGTGTCTGAGAAGGCCTAGTTCAGGACCCCCAGAGACTCCACACCTACCATATGGATTCCCTTGATCTGCTTTCAACTCCGAGTCCCAGTCCTCATTAAAAAGATCGCCAGGCTGTTCCTTGGGTGGACAGTTTGTCCCTTCTGACAGCTCCCAGGTATTCAGTTCTCCATCAGAGTCCTCCTCATCCATGGCAAAGCCTTCCTCTTCAGAATGGGTGCCCTCACCCCGGGCAGGACTGTCATTAGGAATGCTCTGTGTTCCACGGGCTAAATTGACAAAGAGAAGATGGCCTTAGTGACAAACCAAAGAGGACCTGCTCTGTGCTCAGTAAATTTTGGGCAGACTTACTACGAAGGTAGTAAAACAAGTGCACAGAGTCTTCTTTAGCCACCGAGCACTTTTTTAAAAATGCACTTCTTTGTATGTTTTTAAAAGAGCTGATAATTTATTTTCAATAAGACGTTTTGTCTTATACAAGGCATTAATTGTCAGGTCCTTTAATTTACAAAGAGGGCTAGGGACAGTTAACATTTTCAGGTGGTTTGTATGTCACTGAGGCAAAGGGCCTCTGATAAATAATACACTTTCACAATACAAGCCTGAATTAAGTTTTTGCTCTTTTTTTTTTTTTTTTGAGACAGAGTCTCGCTCTGTCGCCCAGGCTGGAATGCAATGGCACCATCTCGGCTCACTGCAACCTCTACCTCCCAGGTTCAAGCAATTCTCTGCCTCAGCCTCCTGAGCAGCTGGGATTACAAGCGCCCGCCACCACGCCCAGCTAATTTTTTTGTATTTTTAGTAGAGACGGGGTTTCACCATCTTGGCCAGGCTGGTCTTGAACCCCTGACCTTGTGATCCACCCGCCTCGGCCTCCCAAAGTGCTGGGATTACAGGCGTAAGCCACTGTGCCCGGTTGTTTTTGCTCTTTTATTCCTCCCTTCAGCCTCAAAGAGCATGTTAGAGGTGAGCACAGGGACAAAGGGGAGCAGGGGCACTGCAGGCAGAAGACCAGAACCCATCTAATCACAATGGGCAGCACCTAGTGCCTCCCTCTGACATCAGGGAGGCCGGAAGGTACATTTTCAAAAGGCCTCACAATAACGGAGGAAAGACTGGGGAAAGATAATGGATTTCCGAGCACATAGTGCTTTGGTGATGCCAGGTCCCAGGAGAGAAGGCAATCAGCCTAAAACAGCCATGCTCTTAATACTGGAACAACAGTAACAGTGATAAGCAATAAAGTGATAGTTCAGAGCAAGGGGTCTAAAGCCAGACTGTCTGATTTCAAATCCGTGTTTTGTCAATTACCAAACATCGGACTGGGCCGGGCACGGTAGCTCACCCTTGTAAACCTAGCACTTTGGGAGGCCAAGGTGGGTGGACTGCTTGAGCTCAGGAGTTCAAGGCCAGCCTGAACAATGTCGCAAACCCTGTCTCTACAAAAAATTCAAAAAATTTAGCTGGGTGCAGTGGCATGCACCTGTAATCCCAGCTACTCAAGAGGCTGAGGTGGGAGGATCGCTTGAACCTGGGAGGTGGAGGCTGCAGTGAGCCAAGATCGTGCCATTGCACAGAGTGAGACCCTGTCTCCAAAAAAAAAAAAAAAAAAAAAAAAAAAAGTGTGATTGAGCTGAAATTTACTTAACTAGTTCCATAACATAAATATAGAATTACCATATGACCCAGCAATCCCAGTCCTAAACATATACCCAAAAGAACTGAAAACAGCTGTTCAAATAAAACAAGGATACTCACAGCAGCACTATTTACAATCACCAAAAGGTAGACACAACATCAAATGTCCATCAATGGATGAATGGAAAAACAAAATGTGGTATATGCATATGATGGAATTATTCAGCCATAAAAAGGAATGCAGTGCTGATACATGCTACGGCATGGATGCACCTTGAAAATACGCTAAGTGGAAGAAGCCAGACACAAAAGGCCACATATTGTTATGATTCCCTTTACAGGCAACTCACATTTGCCTATCCAGAACAGATAAACCCACAGAGACAGAAAGCAAATTAGTGGTTGCCAAGAGCTCAGAGAAGGAAGGAATGGAGAATGACTACTTGGTGAGCACAGGGTTTCCTTTTAGGGTGATGAAAAGATTCTGGAACTAGGTAGTGGTGATGGTTGCACAACACTGCCATTGTGCTAAAAGGCTACTGAATTATATGCGTTAAAATGGTTACATGGTAAATTTAGGTTATGCATCTTTTACCACAATTTTTAAATTGTTTTTATTTAACTGTTCTGTGCCTCAACTTCCACATCTGTAAAATGAAGATAGGGTTGTTGTGAGAGTTAAAAGAAAAAAAAAGGCCAGGCACGGTGGCTCATGCCTGTAATCCCAGCACTTTGGGAGGCCGAGGTGGGCGGATCACCTGAGGTCAGGAGTTTGAGACCAGCCTGGCCAACATGGTGAAAGCCCCTCTCCACTAAAAATACAAAAATTAGGCCGGGAGCAGTGGCTCACGCCTGTAATCCCAGCACTTTGGGTGGCCAAGGAGGGCAGATCACGAGGTCAGGAGATCGAGACCATCCTAACAAGGTAAAATCCTATCTCTACTAAAAACACAAAAAATTAGCCAGGCGTGGTGGCGGGTGCCTGTGGTCCCAGCTACTCGGGAGGCTGAGGCAGGAGAATGGTGTGAACCCAGGGGGCAGAGTTTGCAGTGAGCCGAGATAGTGCCACTGCCTGGGAGACAGAGCGAGACTCCGTCTCAAAAAATAAATAAATAAATAAATAAATAAATACAAAAATTAGCCAGGCGATATGGTGCACGCCTGTAATCCCAGCTACTCAGGAGGCTGAGGCACGAGAATCACTTGAACCCGGGAGACAGAGGTTGCAGTGAGCCAAGATTGCGACACTGCACTCCAGCCTGGGTGACAGAGTGAGACTCCATCTCAAAAAAAAAAAAGAAAAAGAAAAAAAGGGGCCAAGCGTGGTAGCTCACACCTGTAATCCCAGCACTCTGAGAGGCTGAGGCAGATGGATCAGGTGAGGTCAGGAGTTCGAGACCAGCCTGGCTAACATGGTGAAACCCCATCTCTACTAAAAATACAAAAATTAGCTGGGCATGGTGGCATATGCCTGTAATCCAGCTACTTGGGAGGCTGAGGTAGGAGAATGCTTGAATCCAGGAGGCAGAGGTTGCAGTGAGCCAAGATTGTGCCATTGCACTCCAGCCTGGGCAACAAGAGCAAAACTCCCTCTCAAAAAAAAAAAAAAACGGCAGGGGGCTGGGCACAGTGGCTCATGCCTTTGTAATCCCAGCACTTTGGGAGCGTGGGCTCACAGTAATCCCAGCACTTTGGGAGGCCTAGGTGGGCAGATCACTTGAGATCAGGAGTTCGAGACCAGCCTGGCCAACATAGTAAAACCCCATAGCTACTAAAAATACAAAAGTTAGCTGGGTGTGGTGGCGCGTGCCTGTAGTTCCAGCTACTCGGGAGGCTGAGGCAGGAGAATTGCTTTAACCTGGGAAGCGGAGGTTGCGGTGAGCTGACATCGTGCCACTGTACTCCAGCCTGGTGACACAGCGAGACTCCGTTTCAAAAAAAAAAGATATTTTGAGAGAGAACACATTCACGTAACTTTCAGTATACTGGCATAATTGTTCTATATTACTATTGTTATTAATCACATATGCATAATTTATAAGTTAAACCATATCAGAAATAGTATATATAGGAGGAAAAAAAAGCAGTTTCAGGCATCCATTGGGGCGGGGGGGTCTTAGAATGTATCCCCTAGGAATAAGGTGAGACTGCTGTACTATTTTCACCGTTTCAAGCTGTTTCTCTCGGTAGAAGGATGGATTTGAACATAAGAAAAGTTCAGGACTTCCCTTAAGGAAGCTCCAAGCAAGGCTTCCAAAGGAGGTTACTGTTCAACTGGGCAGAGAAGGCCACTAAGCAGCAGAGAGGACTGGCTAAAAGAGAAGGTAAATGAGACAGAGGGACTATTCCTCTCCTCACATCCTTGGTCTCCCCAACTTCCGTCTCTGCCATCTACTTGCCTAGTCGATCCATAGCCTTCTCAGTCTCTCTCTCCTGACTGGAGTGGTCAGCTGTAGCAAAGCCAGCCTGCAGGAAGAAGAAATGATTACCAAGGACTTGGGTATCTGGGGTATGCCCAGTATTCAGCTATTGCATCTCAACCCCACCCACTCTTCCATACTCCCCTTGGTGATGCAGGGCTGGGACTCTGCCACCCACATTTCTACTTTGCCCTGTTAAACTGAGCAAGGCTGGAGGGAGATGGGCCTTGTTCCTTCCTATTCATGTAGGCATCACCTCATGACACTTCACCGTGGCAGCAGGAATGCCTTCCTATAGTGGCCACAGAATCCAGTATACAGTTCTGCGAACTCTTGCAGAGCCAGTCTTATCACTGCACCTTCTCTTTAGAGGTCTGGGTCTCAGGACTCTCCTCCAAGCTCAGAGACCCCCTACCATCAGCTGGGGCAGTGCCTTCTCCTTAAAGGTTGGAATTTCAGCTCTGCAGAGCCTTTTCCCTAAGCTTTTAAATTTTAATCAACTTCATCTCTTTGTTCCTTCAGCCATAGGTTGGTAGCTGTTCCCTGCGGTTGCCACCCCCAGGTACACGTTTTACCTTTTCAGTTACTTAACAACTTTATAGCTAGTAAACAACTCTATCAAATTCTCTGTTTCCTCACCAACACACTGAGGTGGGGGAAGCTTTATAATTCCTCTGCAATGCTGAGCACTGAAGGCAGTATTTCTAATCTAACTGAAAATCTTCCCGCACAGCCAACCAAATGCTTCTCTGCTCCCATCACTCAGAAGTTCCTGAAACCCTATGACCTCCAAGACCTCTTTCTAATGAATCACGAAATGTTCCCTGCCTGCATAAAAGACCTGATTTTGATCCCAGCTCTGCCATCCATTCAGAGTGTGACCTTGAACACATCACTTCAATTACTGTGCCTGAGTTTTCTTCTCCAGAAATTAGGGGTGACTGTTCTGACCCTGCAGGGGACTTATGATTAGACACCATTTATGAAAACACCTGGCATGTGGCAAGAATGTAACATTTCTTGAATTTAAATTCATCTTTTCTGCTACATCTAAACTGTACTCGGCACCTGCTCCAATCAGCATTCATTATCTAGTCATGTCTGGGTTTAATAATTCAGTTCCACTCCCTGTAGTTAGTGACAACCTCTGGTCACTGCCGCCCAAGGAGAAGTCAGACCTCTCACCTAAACCACTGCCACGGCCTCCTAACCACCTTCCCATCCAGCCATCTGGCCCAGCCTTACAGAATTAATCACTACTCTGCTCAAAACCTTCAACAGCCCTCCACTGAGAGAGCACAAAATTAGCCATGGCATTCGCACGTCCCCTCTTCTCCCACTCCCATCAACCTGTTGAGCATAGTTCTCTGCATGCTCTGAGACCCAACTCCAGGCCATGTGCCCTGCACTTTCTCATCTCCACGCCTCTGCAGACACCACCAGCCTCTCACCTTGATCCTTTCCTGCTATGCCCTGACAAAATTAGTCCCATTCTATTCTGCACTCCAAAGTAATTTTCTTTGTAAGTGTCGCTGCATTTTTCATATCTTACTTTGGCTAAGTACCATCTTTGAGGCATCATTCATCCAGTCGGTATGTCTATCTCCTGTGCCAGGCACTATGCTAGGCTGTGCAAACAGCCCTAACAGAGGGTTCCTACCTTCAAGCCGCTCAGCACCTAGCCGGTACAGACTGTAAACAAGGACAGGTAAGAACTGTAATAACGGTCTGTAACGTTCTCGGGAAAACCAGGAGCTGTCTAGCTTACATGAAAACAAGTTTCTGGAAACCCTGCGTCAAACAGGGCCTTTCTGGTTTCAGTAAGGAGAAGGGGGAGCGCGCATGTGACATCTGGGGCTCAGGGTTAGCTGGCATCCCCACCAACGGACAGAGGTCCACAGGTCTGTAAAGTCAAGTCCCTCTCCTCGCCGCCCTCACCTGGCCCTCGCCCAGGCTCCTGGCAGCGGGCCCCGGCTCTCGGTCACCAGCGTCACCTCCCATTTACCAAATCCGCAGCGGCGCCCAGCGGGCGGACAGCCGTCTCTGCTGACCCAGAGCGCCCACCCACGCCCTCGGCTTTCCCCGCCCCGCAGCCCCGCGGCCCCGCGGCCTGGCCGTTTTCAGCTCGAGCGCGAGCCCAAACAGCGCTCCGTGTCGCGGGGCGGCCCGAGGCCGGCCAGAGGCGCTTCCCCGGCCCCGCGGCCCCCGCCCAGCCCGGCCCCGCGACTTCCCGCCCCAGGCTGCGGCTGGCTGTTGCTCCTGGCCCCCACGCGGCGCTCACCTCCGGGCTGGGGGGCGCCCCCCGCGCGCTAGGCAGCGGCGGGCCCCGAGACGGCTCCGCGGCCCCCTGCGCCTGGGCCCCGGCGGCCTGAAGGTCCATGCCCTGCGGCCCGCGGCTGGTCGCCCTGGACGCCGTGGGCCACGTGACGCGCCGGCCCGGCTGCCCGCCCGAGGATCCGCCGCAGAAGCGCCAATCAGCCTGGGGAGGGGGTGGGTACCGGCCAAGAGGGCGGGGCGCGGGGGTGTCACGAGCAAGCGGGGGCGGGGCGGCGCAGGGGGCGGGGCGCGCGGCCTCGCGGAGCCCGCCCCTCCCTCCCAGCGCGAAATCTGAAACAATCTCGGAGACGGATTTTGGAAACTCCTCTCGGTGCATATCCTAAGGCTGCACGACTAGCTGCGTGTGAAACGCCAAGCGTACCCTACTCGGCCACTCGGGGTGTGCTCCAGCTTCAAAACCCCGCGTGGGTAAGACACATGAGCAACCCAGTGACCTCCACCTTGAGCTAATGATCGTCTTTGAAGTTAATCCATTAGAAACCAAGATAGATGATTAAGACACAAACTGCAATATGCAGTGGACACAGAATACAGGCCACGACGCTTACTCATAATAATCCTGAACATTCGGGATTCCTGTATTTCCATGCTCAACGCCTGATACCGACAACCTAATTATTTCCCATTTTGCCTCGAAAGGTGGCTTCTGGGGATAGGCAGGGCCTGAGCTGGGAACAGCCCAACTGGAAAGACAGCCTTCCCTGCCTTCCCCACAGTGCCTAACCTCTAATAACAAACCAGCTCAAGGTGTGCTAATCACGTCAACATCAGGACATGAGACCCTCTTCCTTCATCCCCCTCAAAGACTGTGTTGTTTGTACAACACAAAAGGCATTTGAAAAAATTTAGCATAAAACTGACACACAATATTCGATATTATTTTTGTTCTATATGTAGATGTTCCTACACAGGAGTCAGTATCCCCAAGGCTAACTGCCTCTAGGTCAGCAATGTCCAATAGAACGTTCTTTAATGGTGGAAGTGGAAATGAAAGTTCTACTATCTGTACTGTCCAATATAGTAACCATATACCTACTGAGCACTTGAAATGTGGCCAATGTGAATAAATTGAATAATTCTAATAAATTTAAATTGCTACATGTGCCTTGGAGCTACTGTTTCTAACAGTGCAACTCTAGGTGTACTAGCTAGATGTGTTTTCATAACCTGCAATATTGAGAATCAGATACAGGGATGTGATGACCCCAGGTGACCACCCTTATAGCCTTGTGTTAAGGAGACTACCACTATCCTCTTTGCTCCCTAATCTACATATCTCTTTCGTAAAATTAAAGTGCCAAATAAGATTAAGAATGTTAAACATCCCAGGACTTAAGGGACAGGAAAAAGAGGAATTTTTTTCTTATTTTAAAACAAATGACAAGAAAACAGGGGCTGGCCGCGGTGGCTCACTCCTGTAATTCCAGCACTTTGGGAGGCCGAGGCAGGCAGATCACTTGAGGTCAGTTCAAGGCTATCCTGGCCAACATGGTGAAACCCCATCTCTACTAAAAATACAAAAATTAGCCAGGCGTGGTGGCACACACCCATAATCCCAGCTACTCGGGAGGCTGAGGCAGGAGAATCACTTGAGCCCGGGAGGTGGAGGGTGCAGTGAGCAGAGATTGCCCCACAGCACTCCAGCCTGGGCGACAGAGTGAGACTTGGTCTAAAAAAAAAAAAAACCAGAAAGAAAAAGAAAACAGTACAAAAGCTTAAAATAAAAATGTTCTAAAGTAGACTCTAATACTCATAGAAATTTAATATATAATAAAGGTAACATCACAAATCAGCAGAGAGAAACATAACTGCCCAAATAGTGTTGGCAAAATTAACTGCTTGGGGAAAAAGAGTTGTTCTCAGCACCAGGAAGAGCTTCCAAAGCATTTTAAAAACAGACATCACACATACACACACAAAATACCTCTGGGCATCAAAAATCGCCACAAAAGGTGCCTATAATCCCAGCTACTTGGGAGGCTTTGGCAGGGAGAACTGTTTGAACCTAGGAGGCAGAGGTTGCAGTAAGACCACACCACTGCACTCCAGCCTGGACCACAGAGCAAGACTCTGTCTCAAAAAAAAAAAATCACCACAAACAAGGCTGGGGGTAAAATTATTTGCAACAAATGAGAAACAAGATATTAATATTCTGAATATGTTTTTAAAAACTCTGGCCAGGCACAATGGCTCATGCCTATAATACCAGCACTTTGGGAGGTTGAGGTAGGAGGATTGTTTGAGCCCAACTGTTTAAGAGACCAGCCCTGGCAACATAGCAAGACCAGTCTCTACAAAAAAAAATTTAAATTAACCAGGCATGGTGGTGTGCACCTGCAGTCCCAGCTACTCAAGAGGCTGAGGTGGGAGGATCTCTTGAGCCCAGAAGTTAAGGCTGTAGTGAGCCATGATCACACCACTGCACTCTAGCCTAGGTGACAAAGCAAGAACTTGTCCAATTTAAAAAAAAAAATTAACTCATAAATTAGTAAGAAAAAAAATTTTTAAATAGTCTAAGGATGTAAAAAGATGAGAAACATAAAATACACTAACTTCACTAATATCAAAGTATGGTAAAACAATGACATATCACATTTCACCTATAAAATGGTAAAAATAAAAGATATAATTACACCAGTACAGGTAAGGGTACTGACACTTTCATGTATTGCTTGAAAGAAGGAGCAAACCAGCAATACATATCAGTATTCTCTAAAAGCAGTATCCTTTGATCCAGTAATTCCACTGTCGGATGTCAATCTCCTAAGGAAATGGCCAGGGATGTGAACAAAGATTGACAAGAATCTTCATCAACAGCATTTATCTAATTTTTAAAAAAATTAGAAATGACAGTCCAGGCCAGGCTTAGTGGTTCACGCCTGTAATCCCAACACTTTGGGAGGCCAAGGCGGGTGGATCATGAGGTCAGGAGTTCGCAACCAGCCTGGCCAATATGATGAAACCCCCGCACTACTAAAAATACAAAAATTGGCTGGGCGCGGTGGCGGGTGCCTGTAATCCCACCCAGCTGCTCGGGAGGCTGAGCCAGAACCACTTGAACCCGGGAGGTGGAGGTTGCAGTGAGCCGAGATGGAGCCACTGCACTCCAGCCTGGATGACAGAGCAAGGCTCCATCTCAAAAAAAAAAAGACAGTCTAACCAGAGGATTAGTAAAATATATTATGGCTCATTTTTACAATGTAATGTTACGAATTCATTAAATGTTTTTAAGGCTATTTAATGACACAGAAAAACAATACTAAGTGAAACGTAACAATAAGCTACACTGAAAGCTTCTCCCAGTGACAGGATGCTTTTTTTTACCACACTATTCTATTTCCTCCATATTTTCCAGAACAAATGCATACCACGTATCTTTTATAATGAGAATAAACCAACAAAACTGTACTTTCTCCTTTTTTTTTTTCCTTGAGAAGGAGTTTCGCTCTTCTTACCCAGGATGGAGTAGCAATGGCATGATCTCGGCTCACTGCAACCTCCGTCTCCCAGGTTCAAGCAATTCTCCTGCCTCAGCCTCCCAAGCAGCTGGGATTACAGGCACCCACCACCACACCTGGCTAATTTTTGTATTTTTAGTAGAGACGGGGTTTCACCATGTTGGCCAGGCTAGTCTCAAACTCCTGACCTCAGGTGATCCGCCTGCCTCAGCCTTCCCAAAGTGCTGGGATTACAGGCGTTGAGTCACCATGCCTGGCCACTTTCTCCTTCATTTTAACTGGCTCTTAGGTCGAGATTAGAGATACTCATGCTTGACCTGGGATAATTTTAAAAAAACCCAGTCGTATGCTATCCATGTATTTTGGGAAACATTTAGGACCTGTGGAAGATCGGGCCTCAACATTAAATCAGCAATTCTCTTTACTGGAATCAGATTAGCACATCAAACTGAGCAGTGTCATGCACCTATAATCCCAGCTACTCAGGAGTCTGAGGTGAGAAGGTCACTTGAGTCCAGGAGTTCAAGACCAGCCAGGGCAACAGAGCAAGACCCAGTCTCAATCATAAAAATTTTTTAATTTTTAAAAAGATTTAACAAGTTAACATAAAATTAAAGTGTGTCTCAAAACCAGACAGCCATCTTGTCTGCCATCACTGAGCAAATTACAGATGGACTCAATACAAATTTGCCCACGGGGCTTGCTTGCAATACTATTTCACAAAGCTGACTGTATTCTTCATCTTCATAAATGGCCAGTCTGATGCATAGCATGTTTAGCTACAAATGCCTCTGCTGACTCTCCCTGCAACATTTTCATCGCTCGCCAGTAGATCTGTCCACAGTTCTCAGGTCTACCAAGGGGGTGGTTCAATTCTTCTTTCATATAATCCATCCAAAGATCTTTTAAAAAAAAAACATACAATTAGATAACTGACAGAGTGTTATTAGGTAACCTTATTAAATATCAATTCAACTCAAGATTTCTAAGAAACTTAACTTCTCATTGTTACTTCCCTAGGACGCTTTGTTTAACAATACCTCTCTTAGCTTCTTTAAAGTATAGTGGCAGGTTTTGGTTTGTTTTTGTGTGTTTTTTTCTTTTTTGAGACAGGGTCTCACTGTGTTGCCCCGGCTAGAGTGTAGTAGCGGGAACATGGCTTACTACAGTCTCAACCTCCTGAGTTCAAGTGACCCTCCTGCCTCAGCCTCCAGGGCAGCTGGGAACACAGGCACACCACCATATTAGGCTAATTTTTTTATTTTTTGTAGAAACAGGGTTTCACTATATTGCCCAGGCTAGTCTTGAACTCCTGGGCTCAAGCAATCCTTCTACCTTGGCCTTCCAAAGTGCTGGGATTACAGGCGTGAGCCACTGTGCCTCATCAGTTTTGTTTTTTTGTTTTTTGTTTTTTTTCCCAGTAGAAAACCTTCACATCAATCATAAAAGTCTATTTTATTCAATGAACTCAAAAATACTAAACTTTTTGGCTAGGCACAGTGGTTCACACCTGTAATCCCGGCACTTTGGGAGGCCAAGGCGGGCGGATCACCTGAGGTCAAGAGTTCAAGACCAGCCTAGCCAGCATGGCGAAACTCCATCTCGACTGAAAATACAAAAATTAGCCGAGCATGGTGGCACGCGTGCCTGTACTCCCAGCTACTTGGGAGGCTGAGGCACGAGAATCGCTTGAATCTGGGAGGCAGAGATTGCAGTGAGGCAAGATTGCGCCACTGCACTCCAGCCTGGGTGACAGAGTGAGACTCTGTCTCAAAACAAAATAAAAATAAACAAATCAATGTTTATGAGTTCACAAAGTCCACAGATTTTACATGACATACCTATACCCAGAAGTATGTTGTACAAGTCCTACAAATGAGGGCAATGTGGAGATAGTCAACAACAGACGCCAATTAGCATCTCACGTTTACCCCTTTCATGTAACTCTAAATACATTTTTTTTAAGAAAACAAAACCATGCAAATCTTTCTCTAATCCAGAGGGGGTGTTTTTGGTTTTTGTTTTTGAGACAGGATCTCATTGTATTGCCCAGGCTGGAGTACAATGGTGGCATCACAGTCATTGCAGCCTCAACATCCTGGGGCCCAAACAATCCTCGCACCTCAGCCTGCTGTGTAGCTGGGACCACAAGCATGCACCACCATACCCAGTTACTTTTTTTTTTTTATTGTTTGTAGAGATGGGGATCTAAATATGTTGCCCAGGCTGGTCTCAGGCTCCTGAGAAATCTAGGGTTCTTAACAGACGACCCATGGACCCCTGAACTTATGATCCTGAAATGATAGTATACACAAAGCAAGTGAGGAGGCAGAGGAAGGAAACAAGTTTTATTTTAAAAGAGGGTTATGATGCAAATCAAAAAACTAAGAAACAGTTTTGTTTGTTTGTTTGTTTGTTTTTGAGACGGAGTTTCACTGTTGTTGCCCAGGCTGGAGTGCAATGGTATAATCTCAGCTCACTGCAACCTCCGTCTCCCAGGCTCAAGCGATTCTCCTGCCTCAGCCTCCCAGGCAGGGATTACAGGTGCGCACCACCATGTCCAGCTAATTTTTATTTTAGTAGAGACGGGGTTTCACCATATTGGCCAGGCTGGTCTCGAACTCCTGACCTCAGGTGATCCGCCTGCCTTGGCCTCCCAAAGTGCTGGGATTACAGGCATGAGCCACTGTACTCAGCCAAGAAACACTGTTCTAACCATACTAATTGGTCACAAATTAAGGGTTTACTTACCAGAATCTGCGGATCCAAACTCTCTCAAAGCTCTCTCATAATATTCTCTTATGTTCGCCATATTGCAGGATTCCTGACAAAGATAGACAATCTTGTCTCAAAAGCCTGATTTATAACATAACAAATTCATTCCAACCATATTGTTAAGCAGCTACTGTCTGTCAGGTATTTGAAGGGAAGAGTTTAACATGAACACAACTTGGCTCTCAACTTTTCTAGGAAAAAAATCAAAGCCACTCAACAGAGTGAAGTACATATGTGAAACATAAAAGCACTTTGCTGTAGTAGCATGGAGAAAAGTGCTATTAGAAAAAAGTGGGGGACATGGGCAGCTTCACAGAAAACAGTATTTGAAAGTCTTGAGGAATGAGTGGGAATTAAATAAAGAAACAGCGAAGGTTCTATTCGCTTTGAGTAAGGATTTCTTCCTTTTGAATATCTGGGCTCTGGTACTTATTTGTTATATCCACCTTAAAATAAATACTAGTTATATGACCTTCAGCAAGTTTTTGAACCCTTTGACCTTAAACATTTCCTCACCTATAAAACAAGCTTTAATATCTCTTAGCACAACTATAAGTATTAGATTAAAATGCTGATGAATTATGTACCTAGCAGAATAGCTGTAACTAACTTTACAACCAAAAACTGCTCATTCTCCACCTATTTTTAAAAATGTATTCTTGCCGGGCACGGTGGCTCACACGGTCAGGAGATCGAGACCATCCTGGCTACAACAGTGAAACCCCGTCTCTACTGAAAATACAAAAAATTAGCCAGGCGTGGTGGCGGGTGCCTGTAGTCCCAGCTACTCAGGAGGCTGAGGCAGGAGAACGGCGTGAACCTAGGAGGTGGAGCTTGCAGTGAGCCGAGATCGCGCCACTACACTCCAGCCTGGGCGACAGAGCGAGACTCTGTCTCAAAAAAAAAAAAAAAAAAAAGTATTCTTGCCGGGTGCAGTGGCTCATGCCTGTAATCCCAGTACTTTGGGAGGCCAAGGCAGGCAGATCACAAGGTCAGGAGTTGAGACCAGCCTGGCCAACGTGGTGAAACCAGTCTCTACAAAAAATACAAAAATTAGGGCCAGGCGCGGTGGCTCACACCTGTAATCCCAGCACTTTGGGAGGCTGAGGCAAGGCAGGTGGATCACAAGGTCAGGAGTTCAAGACCAGCCTGGTCAACATGGTGAAACCCTGTCCCTACTAAAAATACAAAAATTAGCCAGGCATGGTGGTGCATGCCTGTAATCCTAGCTACTCAGGAGGCTGAGGCAAGAGAATTGCTTGAACCTGGGAAGCAGAGGTTGCAGTGAGCCAAGAGTCCAGCCTGGGCGACAGAGAGAGACTCCGTCTAAAAAAAAAAAAAAAAAATTAGCCAGGTGCGGTGGCAGGGGCCTGTAATCCCAGCTACTCGGGAGGCTGAGGCAGGAGAATCGCTTGAACCTGGAAGGCAGAGGTTGCAGTAAACCAAGATCGCGCCACTGCACTCCAGCCTGGGCAACAGACAGCAAGACTCTTGTCTCAAAAAAAAAAAAAAAAAAAAAAAAAAGTCAATTTAACCTCATATTTTAGACATGCATGAAAAACAGAATCACACCTGTTTAATGGCTCATATGTGCACGGCATTATGCAACGTCCTTTCTATCCAGTATCCCATTTGGCCTTACAACTCTCATACCCCTGAAACAGGTATAATGACCTCCTTTACAGATGAGGATGGGAAGCTTAGAATTAAGTGACTTGCTCAAGGCACCTAACTATCATGTTATAAATCCAAAGCCTGGCTATTACATATTAGGCTAGACTATCTCCTATACTATAAAACTGTTCTATACTGTAGAATAAGAACAGATACTTGGCCTGCCAGGCGTGCTGGCTCACACCTGTAATCCCAGCACTTTGGGAGGCTGAGGGGGGCGGATCACCTGAAGTCAGGAGTTTGAGACCAGGCTGGCCAACATGGCAAAACCCCGTCTCTATTGAAAATACAGAAATTAGCAGGGCGTGGCAGCCCGTGCCTGTAATCCCAGCTACTCGGGAGGGTGTGGCAGGAGAAGCACTTGAACCCAGGATGCAGAGTTTGCAGTGAGCCGAGATCACACCACTGCACTCCAGCCTGGGCAACAGAGTAAGACTCTATCTCAAAAAAAAAAAAAAAAGTAACATGTAAGTTTTCTATTCCCCAAACATATACTTTCTCTTTGCTTGATTACCGTTCTTAAACCAGCTCTATGGAAAAGGGATTAGACCAAGGGATCAGAAATTTATACTGTATTATAATGAGAGCTTTTTACATAACAAAACACTCCCGGGCCAGGCACGGTGGCTCACGCCTGTAATCCCAACACTTTGGGAGTCTGAGGTGGGCACATCACGAGGTCAACAGATAGAGACCATCCTGGCCAACATGGTAAAACCCCATCTCTACTAAAAATACAAAAATTGGCTGGGCATGGTGGCGTGTGCCTATAGTCCCAGCTACTCCGGGGGGCTGAGGCAGGAGAATCACTTGAACCTGGGAGATGGAGGTTGCAGTGAGCCAAGATCACGCCACTGCACTCCAGCCTGGCAACAGAGCGAGACTCTGCCTCAAAAAAAACAAAAAAACAAAAAACAGTCTGATAGATTAGTAACCACTAATCCATTTTCCCAGACAAGAAATGCTGAAACAGAACACTTACTTGCTCCTTTTCAAACTGAATCATTTTCCTGAAAAAGTCAACTGAAAATGGTCGGCTCTCCTGTAAACTAAAAAGGAAGGAGAAAACGTTATCTTCAACAATGACAAAAAGCCTCTTACATCTCATAACTGTAAATACCGAGACCAGTGCCTCCACAACACATGGTTTAATAAAGACTTGACTTCAAATCAATGCAAGGACTTGACCTGATGGCCAGTCATTCTCACGATTCTATGACCACTAATGACTTTCTCTTCATACCCAGTTCTTAGTTTTTTGGTTTTTTTTTTTTTTTTTTTTTTGAGACAGGGTCTCACTTTGTCACCCAGGCTGGAGTGCAGTATTGCAATCATAGCTCACTGCAGCCCTGAATTCCCAGGCTCAAGCAATCCTCCTGCCTTAGCCTGTAGAGTAACTGTGACTACAGGCATACATAACCACACACAGCTTATTTTTGAAATTTTTTGTAGAGAAGAGGTCTCACTAGGTTTCTCAGGCTAGTCTCAAACTCCCGGGCTCAAGCAATCCTCCCGCCTCAGCCTTCCAAAGTGCTAGGATTACAGGCATGCACCACCATGCCTGGTTTAATTTTCTTACTGTACTCTTCTTTATCAATTGTAGAGTTTTCAAGTTCCCTCAACTACATGTCAAAGTCTTTTGGGAAATCAGTAATTCCATTTCTAGGAATATATTCTAAGGAAATGATTTCTAATATGGACAAATATTTGTGCAGAAATATTCATCAAAACAGTATTACTGTGGCCAAAAAAGTTATACTGCATCCACGGCCGGGCATGGTGGCTCACACCTGTAATCCCAGCACTTTGGGAGGCCAAGGCAGGTGGATCACCTGAGGTCAGTTCAAGACCAGCCTGACCAACGTGGTGAAACCCTGCCTCTACTAAAAATATAAAAATTGGCTGGGTGTGGTGGTGGGCACCTATAATCCCATCTACTTGGGAGGCTCAGGCAGGAGAATCACTTGAACCTGGGAGGCGGAGGCTGCAGGGAGCCAAGATCAAGCCACTGCACTCCAACCTGGGTGACAGAGTGAGACTCCATCTCAAAAAACAAAAACATAAAGTTATACTGCATCCACAGAGTGGTATATCATACAGCTTTCTCTTTTATTTTTTCCTTTTAGACAAAGTCTCCCTCTGTCACCCAGGCTGGAGTACAGTGCTGAGATCATGACTCACTGCAGCCTAGAATTCCTGGGCTCAAGCAATACTTCCACCTCAGCCTCCAGAATAGCTGAGACCATAGGTGCAAACTGCATCTGGCTAATTGCTTTTCATTTTTAGTAGAGAAAGGGTCTCGCTATGTTGCTCAGGCTGGTCTTCAACTCCTGGGCCCAAGCAATCCTCCCACCTCAGCCTTGGCTTCCCAGAGTTCTGGGATTACAGGAATGGCATGAGCCACCACGCCTGGCCTCTTTATTTTTTTTTTTATTTTTTGAGACAGGCTCTCCCTCTGTTGCCCAGGCTGGAGTGTGGTGGCACAATCATAGCTCACTGCAGCCTCAAACTCCTGGACTCAAGCAATTCTCCCACCTCAGCCTCCTAAAGCACTGGGATTACAGGTGTGAGCCACAGTGCCTGGCCCATCAGCCATGTATTGTTTTAATTTCAACTTTTATTTTAGATTCAGGGGAGTACATGTGCAGGTTTGTTATGTGTGTATATTGCGTGACACTGAGGTTTGGGATAGACTGACCCTGTTACCTGGGTAAGGAGCACAGTAATCGATAGGTAGCTTTTCAGCCCTTTCCTCCATTCCTCCTACCCTCCTTCCCCCTATCCTGTAGTGTCTACTATTTCTGTCTTTATATCCACGTGTACCCAATGTTTAGCTATAATTGCAAGTGAGAACATGTGGTATTTGGTTTTCTGTTCCTGTGATAACTTGCTGAGGACAATGACCTCCAGCTGTATCCACGCTACTGCCAAGAACATGATTTTGTTGTTCTTTATGGCTGCATAGTATTCCATAGAGTATATTTACCACATTGTTTTTTTTCCAATCAACTGTTGATAAGCACCTAGGTTGATTCCATGTCCTTACTATTGTGAATAGTGCTGTGATGAACATACGAGTACATGTCTTTTTGGTAGAATTATTTGTTTTCCTTTGGGTATATATCTAGTAATGGGATTGCTGAGATAAATGGCAGATCTGTTTTAAGTTCTTCCAGAAATCTCCAGCTGATTTCCACAGTGGCTGAACTAATTTACATTCCCACCAACAGTATATAAGGTTTACCCTGCAGCCTTGCCAATATCTATAATTTTATGACTTTTTAATAGCCATTCTGACTAGTGAGATGGTATCTCATTGTGGTTTTGATTTGCATTTCTCTAAAAGTTAGTCATCTTGAACATTTTTTCACATGTATGCTGGCTGCCTTCAATACAGCTATTATGTTTGTTTTGTTTTGGGTTTTTTGTTTTTGTTGTTGTTGTTGTTTTGGTTTTTTTTTTTGGTTTTTTTTTTTGAGACGGAGTCTTGATCTGTCGCCCAGGCTGGAGTGCAGTGGCGCAATCTCAGCTCACTGCAAGCTCCGCCTCCCGGGTTCATGCCATTCTCCTGCCTCAGCCTCCCAGGTAGCTGGGACTACAGGCGCCCGCCACCACATCTGACTAATTTTTTTTGTATTTTTAGTAGAGACAGGGTTTCACCATATTAGCCAGGATGGTCTCGATCTCCTGACCTCGTGATCCGTCTGCCTCGACCTCCCAAAGTGCTGGGATTACAGGCATGAGCCACCGCACCTGGATGTTTTTGTTTTGAGACAGGGTCTCACTCTGTCACCAAGGCTGGAGTGTACTAGCACAAACACGGCTCACTACAGCCTCAACCACCTGGACTCAAGTGATCCTCTGACTTCAGCTTCCCAAGTAGCTAAAATCACAGGCACATGCCATGACACCCAACTTTTTAAGTTTTTTTTTTTTTTTTTTTTGAGATGGAGTCTTGCTCTGTCGCCCAGGCTGGAATGCAGTGGCGCGATCTCAGCTCACTGAAAGCTCCGCCTCCCAGGTTCACGCCATGCTCCTGCCTTAGCCTCCCAAGTAGCTGGGAATACAGGCGCCTGCCACCACGCCCGGCTAATTTTTTGTATTTTTTTTAGTAGAGACGGGGTTTCATCGTGTTAGCCAGGATGGTCTCGAACTCCTGACCTTGTGATCCGCCCGCCTCGGCCTCCTAAAGTGCTAGGATTACAGGCATGAGCCACCGCACCCGGCCTTTTAACTTTTCATAGAAATGAAGTCTCGTTGTGTTGCCCACGCTCGTCTCAAATGCTTGGGATCAAGCAATCCTCTTGTCTCAGTCTCCCAAAATCCTGAGATTAGAGGCCTTGAACCACCGTGCCCAGCTCATATAGCTATGTTTAATAAATGATGTTTATAAAGAATTTTTGGCTGGGCACAGTGCCTCATACCTACAATCCCAGCCCTTTGGGAGGCCAAGGCAGGAAGATCACTGGAAGCCATAAGGTCAAGATCAGTTTAAGCAACAAGGCGAGACCCTGACTCTGCAAAAAAATTTAAGAATTAGCGGGGCATCGCCAGGCATGGTAGCTCATGCCTGTAATCCCAGCATTTTGGGAGGCTGAGCTGGGCAGATTGCTTGGGCCCAGGAGTTCAAGACCAGCCTGGGCAACACAGTGAAACCCCATCTCTACTAAAAATAAAAAATTACCTGGGTGTGGTGGCACACACCTGTAGTCCCAGCTACTTGGGAAGCTAACGCACAAGAATCACTTGAACCAGGAAGGCAGAGTTTGCAGTGAGCCAAGATGGCGCCATTACACTCAGCCTGGGCAACAGAGCAAGACTCTGTCTCAAAGAAAAAAAAAATATTTAGGCCGGGCACAGTGGCTCACACCTGTAATCCCAACACTTAGGGAGGCCGAGGCGGGCAGGTCACCAGAGGTCAGGAGTTCGAGACCAGCCTAGCCAACATGGCAAAAACCCTTATCTACTAAAAATATAAAAAATTAGCCGGGCGTCGTGGCACATGCCTGTAATCCCAGCTACTCAGGAGGCTGAGGCAGGAGAATCGCTTGAACCCGGGAGGCAGAAGTTGCAGTGAGCCGAGACTGTACCACTGCACTCCAGCCTGGGCAACACAGTGAGACTCCATCTCAAAAAAAAAAAGAAATTTTTTTTAAATCATAAATAAAATTACAGTTATACTATAATCTCAACTACATAAAAACAAATTTTAAAATTATGTGTTAACAGTAATTTTTCCTTCGATGATGTAATAAATTATCATGGTTATGTTTTCCCCCACCACAATGAACTGCTTTTATTGTTCAAAAAAAAGAAAAAGAAGGCCAGGCATGGTGGCTTACACTTATAATCCTAGCACTTTGGGAGGCTGAGGCAGGAGGACTGCTTGAGCCCAGGAGTTTGAGACCAGGCTGAACAATGTTGTGAGACTCAGTCTCTACCAAAAAAAAAAAATGTTTTAAGTTAGCTGGACATGGTGGTACATGCCTGTAGACCCAGACATTTGGGAGGCTGAGGTGGGCGGACTGCTTGAGCCCAGAAGGTCAAGGCTTCGGTGAACCATGATTGTGCCACTACACTCTAACCTAGGTGACAGAGCGAGAACCTGTCTCAAAAAAGAAAAGGAAACATTACTTTTTGAAAAAGTTCACTGGAGGCCAAATGCACTGGCTCATGCCTGTAATCCCAGCACTTTGAGAGGCCAAGACAAGCAAATCACTTGAGATCAGCAGTTCGAGACCAGCCTGGCCAACATGATGAAACCGTCTCTACTAAATTACAAAATTAGCCGGGCGTGGTGTCACACATCTGTAATCCCAGCTATTCAGGAGGCTAAGGCGGGAGAATCACTGTCTCAAAAAAACAAAAAAAAAACAAAAAAAAAGGAAAATGAAACAGTGTATTGGGTCAGGTGTGGTGCCTCATGCCTGTAATCCCTGCACTTTGGGAGGCTGAGGTGGGCAGATCACCTGAGGTTAGGAGTTTGAGACCAGCCTGGCCAACATGGTGAAACCTTGTCTTTAAAATCTAAAATTTAAAAATTAGCCAGGCGTGGTGGCAGGTGCCTGTAATCCTAGCTACTCGGGAAGCCGAGGCAGGAGAATCACTTGAACGCAGGAGGCGGAGATTGCAGTGAGCAGAGATTGTGCCACTGCACTCCAGCCTGGGCAACAGAGCAAGACTCCATCTTAAAAAAAAAGAAAAAGTGTATCAGATTACTCCCTCAGATGCTATCTGTGATTCAAATAATCTGGGTATGAGCGGCTGAGCATGGGGTAGAGGGACTAGTAACAACTATGAACGTCTGTGAGTACCTTTTAAACACAGCTCTGGCCTTTTTGTAGCCACCACTTCGATAAGCCCAATCCAGGTACTTATTCTTCAGGGTTACTGAGTCGGCACCTATGACAGCTAAGAGAGCTTTCTACAATTTAAAAGAAAAAAGAAAGAAGCTATGTGAGAAAACTTATAGATACCAAAACAGATTTTCCCAGAACCACCTGAGGCCACTCCATAGTGCTTTAGGCGCACCTGCAACACTAGAGCTGACCAACCAGGGAACCTTCTGCCATTCCCCACACCACAAGACTTGGAACACGGAGCCTATACCTTAAAGACTGCCTCAGTGTCTTCTTGGCTTTTGGCACCTTCACTCCACTCTGCCCAGGAAATCCACAATGGCAGACAAACCTACTCCCAGTTTAAAAAATGTTAGTTAGAGAACAGCATATAACAAAACATCGCATGTACCCTATAAATATGTAAAATATTATGTATCAATTTTTTTATGCTATAAAATGACAGTTTAGTCCTATGCTCTGAAAACTAGTTAAAAAGGCAGGTTCCTCCTAAGATAATCAACATGTAAAATAGGGATTCATTCCCAAACAGTCCTCATTGTGACAGAATTCTCATTGCCCAGCAGGAATGGCACTCCAGAACACAGCCAGCCTTCTGACCAAGTCACTCAGAGCAACACTCTTCTGTGAATTTTAGTTCCTTTCTATTGGGAAATATTTCATGTAGTTATCATCAATCATCTTTTAGTTAAGTAAGTAATTAACAGCCCACACAGTTAGACCCACAGCTACCCAGGTCATGTCTCTGCTGTCTAAGACCCACAACACAAGAACTAATTAATCTAGGCTGAACTATCTGATCTTCATTCATGTCCCAGAGGTACGTACAAATGAGCAGCAAAAGCGAGGCATGGTGGCGCACATTTGCAATCCCAGCACTTTAAAGACGGAGGCAGGCGGATCACTTGAGGCCAGGAGTTCAAGACCAGCCTGGCCAACATGGCAAAACCCTGTCTCTACTAAAAATACAAAAATTAGCTGGGCATGGTGGTGGGCACTTCTTATCCCAGCTACTTGGGAGGCTGAGACAGGAGAATCGCTTGAACCTGGGAGGTGGAGGTTGCAGTGAGCCAAGTTTGCACCACTGCACTCCAGCCTGGGCAACAGAACAAGACTTCATCTCAAAAAAAAGGAAAAACCACCAAATGAGCAGTAGTTTTTTTCCTACTTTATCTTCTGGAATACGTTTTACCTACTAATATAAAAAATTCACTGCAAAGTGAATCTGGCCATACACCGTGGCTCACGCCTGTAATCTCAGCACTTTGGGAGGCCAAGGCGGGCAGATCACTTGAGGCTAGGAGTTCCAGACCAGCCTGGCCAACATGGAGATATCCTGTCTCTACTAAAATAGAAAATATTAGTCAGGTGTGATGGCATGCGCCTGTAGTCCCAGCTACTCGGGAGGCTGAGGCAGGAGAATTGCCTGAACCCGGGAGGCAGAGATTGCAGTGAGCTGAGATCACGCCACTGCACTCCAGCCTGGACAACAGAGCGAGACTCCATCTTAAAAAAAAAAAAAAAAAAGGTTGGGCTTATATTCAGCAAGTGACATTAATATTCTACTGGTATTTCTAACTTTATAAGATATCTAAATAGAATAGGAAGTTTTATTTAATTTGGTTAACTTTCAAATAAAGGATATTAAATAGAAGCAAATTCTTCTACTCTTAACCTATGAACCATCACCACTGAATAGCAAATGCCACTCTAGAGTTGGCTCTCAATAGACAAGTACATTCCAAATGAGCCTTGGCTAGTCTTAAAAGGTTTCCCAAATATAATGAATACAAAAGATCCAGCTCACTGACCTGGGGTTTCAGGTGCACAAAGGCTTCTTCAAAAAGCATGGCTATGTCAGGGCTCTTTGACTCGATCAGCACCTGCAGCTTCAGCTGCCACATTGTCCCAGAGTCTCTAAACAATTCAGTTCCAGCTACTGCCACTTCCAGAGCTTCCCTCAGGAAGTTATAACACAGCAACGAAACACTCTAGACAAGATGAAGGATGACTGGAAAATTAATTACTGAAACCCAAACAATCTATGTAAATGTAAACCTATGCCTCATTTGAGGCAAGAATTTCACCAACCTTTCCACTACAATTTAAAATAAAAAAGAGGCCAGGTGTGGTGGCTCACACCTGTAACCCCAGCACTTTGGGAGGCCCAGGCGGGCACATCACGAGCTCAGGAGATCAAGACCATCCCGGCCAACATGGTGAAACCCCGTCTCTACTAAAAACACAAAAATTAGCTGGGTGTGGTGGTATGCATCTGTAATCCCAGCTACTCGGAAGGCTGAGGCAGAAGAATCGCTTGAATCCAGGAGGTGGAGATTGCAGTGAGCTGAGATCACACCACTGCACTCCAACCTCGGCGACAGAGCAACTCTATCTCAAAAAAAAAAAAAAAAAAGAAAAGAAATGAGCTATGTGATAACTTATAGGTATCAAAACAAATTTTCCATGGCTGTTAAACAGGCACGAAGTGAACAATTTAGAATTTCTCCTATTTTCACTGCTCCTACCCATGAGGGTTATCCAAAAACAGGGAAGACGTAAAAACCAGAGAACCTAAAGAATTTAGACTGTAAGTTAGGTTTTTTTGTTTTTCTTTTTCTTTTTTTTGGAGACAGAGTTTTGCTCTGTAACCCAGCCTGGAGTACAGTGGCGCAATGATCTCGGCTCACTGCAACCTCCAACTCCTGGGTTCAAGCAATTCTCCTCCCTCAGCCTCCCGAGTAGCTGGGACGACAGGCGCCCATCGCCACGCCTGGTTAATTTTTTGTATTTTAGTAGAAATGGGGTTTCACCATGTTGGCCAGGCTGGTCTTAAACTCCTGACCTCAGATGATCCACCCACCTCGGCCTCCCAAAGTGCTGGGATTACAGGCGTGAGCCACCATGCCCAGCATATAAGTTTTTAATAAAACAGTTCACAGCCAGGCATGGTGGCTCACGCCTGTAATCCCAGCACTTTGGGAGGCTGAGGCAGGCAGATCACCTAAGGTCGGGAGTTCAAGACCAGCCTGACCAACATGGAGAAACCCTGTCACTACTAAAAATACAAAATTAGCCAGGCGTGGTGGTGCATGCTTGTAATTCCGGCTACTCGGGAGGCTGAGTCAGGAGAATTGCTTGAACCCAGGAGGCGGAGGTTGAGGTGAGCCAAGATCATGCCATTGCACTCCAGCCTGGGCAACAAGAGCGAAACTCCGTCTCAAAAAAATAATAAATAAATAAAAACAAAACAGTTCACTATGCCAGAACACATGCTCACCAAACAGAGGATGAAAATTAACAAATAGGCTGCGCTCAGTGGCTCACGCCTGTAATCCCAGCACTTTGGGAGGCCAAGGCAGGCAGATCACCTGAGGTCAAGAGCTCAAGACCAGCTTAGCCAACATGGTGAAACCTTGTTTCTACTAAAAATACAAAAATTAGCTAGGTGTGTTGGTGCACGCCTGTAATCCCAGCTACTCGGGAGGATGAGTTGGGAGAATCACTTAAACCTGGGAGGAGGAAGTTGCAGTGGGCCAAGATCATGCCACTACACTCCAGGCTGGGTGACAGAGCAAGACTCTGTCTCCAAAAAAATTTTAAAAATCAATAAACAAAAATCAATCCACAAAATCAGTATTTGTGGAGTGTCAAGGAAACAGGTATATTCAAACAGAGTTGGACATAACATAAACTAAAGCAAATTTTTCTGAAATTCAATTTGACAGTTTGTAGCAAGAGTCATGAAAGTGCTCAACGCTTCAATTTGGGACTTCTACATTAACAAATATGGTCCAAAAAATACATGAATGAAAGGAAATTTTACCTGTTCAAAATGCTTATACCTACATTATTTGAAAAAGAGAAAAAACCTAAAAACAATCCAATTGTACAAATTTGTGAAAAATTAAATGACAGTATATAATCAGTACATTCAGCAAGCATTTTTATTGCACACTATATGTGCTAGATTCAATAGTGAACAAATCAGATGCATTCCCTACCACCCATAGAGCCTCCAGTCTAAGAGACAAAACGGTTTGATATGTTTCTTCCGACAGAAGATGAATCATCTAGGCTGGGCACAGTGGCTCACGCCTGAAAGACCAAGTTAGAAAGCCAGGCACGGCCAGGAGCAGTGGATCATGCCTGTAATCTCAGCACTTTGGGAGGCTGAGGCAGTCAGATCGCTTGAGGTCAGGAGCTCAAGACCAGCCTGGCCAACATAGTGAAACTCTGTCCCTACTAAAAATACAAAAATTTGGCCAGGCATGATGGCTCATGCCTTAGTCCCAGCACTTTGGGAGGCCGAGGCAGGGGGATCACTTGAGGTCAGAAGTTAGAGACCAGCCCAGCCAAGATGGTGAAATCCCGTCTCTACCAAAAATACAAAAATTAGCTGGGCGTGGTGGCATGCACCTGTGATCCCAGCTACTTGGGAGGCTAAGGCACAAGAATCACTTGAACCCAAGAGGCAGAGGATGCAGTGAGCTGAGATCGCGCCACTGTGCTCCAGCCTGGGCAACAGAGTGAAACTCCGTCTCAAAAAAAAAAAAAAAAAAGGAATGGGTGGACAAACAAAATAAACCCAAATCATGACTCTTGTTCTAAGTGCTTTTCACTGTATAATACTCCTCCCTTTGCTAGTACAGATTTCATTTTTTGCATAGGCCAAATACTGGGAAACACATATAAACACACTTCACATACCGAACTCCCAAGTGGCCTTCATCTTAAGACTATATATATTTAAAACATGACTCTGGCACAAAACAACTGGAATAAGGTATTTGTAACTGGCACAGAATATTTTCTCTATGTTCTTACCAACTGCTTGTATTGGCATTCTGACAGAAGCTTCAGTTCATGTGCCTTCCTGAATACAGTCATGGTTCTTTCCAACCTCTGAAAACAGAAAAATCCCTCAGTTCATTACAAAGATCCCAGCAGGGGCCTCTGGCCTCTGACATGAACAAAAGCAGTTTTGCGCATTTCTTAAAATTCAAAGAAGCTGACTTGCTCCTGCATGGTGGTTTCACTTATGAATAGATGCAATGGGCAGCTGCACCGAACAGAGCCCAGTTACACGAGAGCCCCTCCTAACCTGGCGGCAAACCAGACTCAGACCTTTAGAATGTCACGTCACCCACAAGGAGAGAGAGAGTGGCTAAACATAAAAGTTCTCAGAAACTGTGCCAGACACCAAAAGATCTGTGCTTCTGTTCTTTCAGAAGGCAGTCACTATCTAGTCAACCACTGTAACCATGTAACAACCTCACCTTCCCTCTAAGGAACCCACTATTTGACTTCTTAGTAAATCTTTCCAAGCAAAAGGTGATGTAACACTTCCACATGGCCTCTGGAAAAGTCAGAAAGATTGTGTTGATCAGATCACTTAGTTCAACATTCATCACATCAAAGTTATTAAAAGATAAGGAAAAAAACAGTCATCCTACACCTTTACTTCAAGGGGAAAACTCTCCTCTGAAGAAGAGTTTAAATCAGCCTGATTTTAAGAAGTGTTATGCTGACTACAGCCAATCAAACACCTCAAATATTGGGGGAAAACAACTGAGTAACAGCTTAAATATAAAAATTGAAAGCCTTATCCAGGTTATATATCCCCTCTGCCTTTATTCTACATTATTACAAAATAAAAATTAAATCACTTTCCAAAGATAATTAAGGGCGAGGCAGTGGTTCACATCTGTAATCCCATCACTTTGGGAGGCTGAGGCAGGCTGATCACCTGAAGTCAGGAGTTCAAGACCAGCCTGGCCAACGTGGTGAAACCTCATCTCTACTAAAAATACAAAAATCCATGGGGCATGGTGGCATGCACCTGTAATCCCAGCTACTCGGGAGGCTGAGGCAGGAGAATTGCTTAAACCTGGGAGGAAGAGGTTGTAGTAACCCGAGATCGTGTCACTGTACTCCAGCCTGGGCAACAGCGTGAGACTCTGTCTCAAAAAGATAATTAAGGATGTCGGTAATCCTAGCAAGTTGGGAGGCCGAGGCATGCAGATCACTTGATTCTAGCAGTTCAAGACCAGCCTGGGCAACATGGCAAAACTCCATCTCTACAAAAAATACATTAAAATTGGCCTGGCGTGGA
This sequence comes from Homo sapiens, assembly GCF_000001405.40. Lineage (NCBI taxonomy): Eukaryota > Metazoa > Chordata > Mammalia > Primates > Hominidae > Homo > Homo sapiens. The sequence goes on from NC_000017.11 coordinate 31,879,538, forward strand.
GGCATGCGCCTGTAGACCCAGCTACTCAGGGGGTTGAGGCGGGAGGATTGCTTCAACCCAGGAGGCAGAGGTTGGAGTGAGCTGAAATTGCGCCACTGCACTCCAGCCTGGGTGACACAGCAGGATCCTGTCTCAAAAAAAAACATAGATAATTAAGAAATAATAATTGAAGAATCTTAGAAATTATTTCCTAAGCTTCCCCCAAAATAGATGAACATAAATACCACTACTATGGAGGAAGGTCATAAAAGTTAGAAAGCCAAGACCAAGTTAGAAAGCCAGGCACGGCCAAATGCGGTGGCTCATGCGTGTAATCCCAGCACTTTAGGAGGCCAAAGTGAGCAAACCACCTGAGGTCAGGAGTTCAAGACCAGCCTGGCCAACATGGTGAAACTCCGTCTGTACTAAAAATACAAAAATTAGCCAGGCATCGTGGCACACGCCTGTAATCCCAGCTACTCGGGAGGATGAGGCAGGACAATCGCTTGAACCTGGGAGGTGGAGGCTGCAGTGAGCCGAGATCACACCATTGCACTCCAGCCTGGGCAACAGAGTGAGACTCTGTCTCAAAAAAAAACAAAAAACAAAAAAAACCCAGGCACGGTGGCTCACGCCTGTAATCCTGTAACCCTAGCACTTTGGGAGACCAAGGCAAGTAGATCGCCTGAGCTCAGGAGTTCGAGACCAGTCTGGGCAACACAGTGAAACCCCGTCTCTACTAAAATACAAAAAAATTAGCTGGGCATGGTGGCGGGCACCCGTAGTCCCAGCTATTTGGGAGGCTGAGGCAGGAGAATTGCTTGAACCCGGGAGGTGGAGGTTGCAGTGAGCCGAAATCGAGCCACTGAACTCCAGCCAGGGTGACAGAACAAGACTCTGCCTCCCAATAAAAAAAAAAAAAAAAGGCCAGGCTCATCGTAAACTATGTTACAGAGACATCCCCAATATTGATTTTGGCAATGGGAACAGGAGCTTAAGTTTCACAATCAGGGATACTATTCCTTCTATATCACACCATGGTTTGGTGAAGTTCACCTGTTGGCAGAGTCTTCACTGCCTCTTCATACACAGCACAGCACCTCTCCTCCTTCCGGCCGACCTCCACTGCTTTGGCTTGTTTCGTTGTAGGCTGCTCTTCTGTCTGTGACTCAATCTCTAATTCTCGCCTTGCCACATAATCCCAAGTGAGAGGATCATCTGTGTGTAGAGCCTGAAGGCTGAAAAATACAATTTACTGTTATCAATCCCACAACAAGAAACTGACTCAGAATATCAGAGAAACAGTTACCTGTGCTTAAAAAATCTACACAGGACATCCCTGTAACAACTGCAGTACCATAAAAACTATTTCCCAGGCCGGGCCCGGTGGCTCACGCCACTGGGAGACCAGCACTTTGGGAGTCTGAGGTGGGTGGATCACCTGAGGTCGGGAGTTCGAGACCAGCCTGACCAATATGGTGAAACCCCATCTCTACTAAAAATACAAAAATAAGCCAGGCATGATGGCATGTGACTGTAGTCCCAGCTACTAGAGAGGCTGAGACAGGAGAATTGCTTGAACCCAGGAGGCAGAAGTTGCAGTGAGTCGAGATCGCATCACTCCAGCATGGGCGACAGAGCGAGACTCTGTCTCAAAAAAAAAAAAAATATATTTCCCAACAGGCTCTCCAGAATATGTTCACTAACTGTAGAAATTTTGTCAATGGATCAGAATTGTCCCACTTTTTCACTTTTTTTTTTTTTTTTTTTGAGCCAGAATCTCATTGCCACCAAGGCTGGAGTGCAGTGGCACAATCTCAGTTCGCTGCAACCCCCATCTCCTGGATTCAAGCAATTCTCCTGCCTCAGCCTTCCAAGTAGCTGGAATTACAGACGCATACCACCACGCCCAGCTAATTTTTGTATTTCTTTGGGAGAGATGAGTTTTCACCATGTTGGCCAGACTGGTCTCAAACTCTTGACCTCAAGTGATCCTCCTGCCTTGGGCTCCCAAAGTGCTGGGTGGGATTACAGTGTGAGCCACTGCACCTGGCCAGAGCTGTCCCACATTTATTGAGTTTCAGAATATTTCAGGTATCATTCACAAATGTTAACTTTCAAGTTAGCTCTCAAAGTCAAATCAGCAGTTATCTGTGACAACACAAGACTCCAAGAGACCTGAAGAACTTTTTTTTGTTTTTGAGATAGGGTCTGTCACCCAGGCTGGAGTGCAGTGGTGCCATCATGGCTCACTGCAGCCTCCACCTCCCAGGCTCAGGTGATCCTCCCACCTCAGCCTCCCATGTAGCTGGTACTACAAGTGCATGCCACCATACCCAGCTAATTTTGGTAGTTTTATTGTACAGAGTTTTGCCATGTTGCCCAGGATGGTCTCCAACTCCTGGGTGCTCAAGCAATAGTCCATCCCAAAGTGTTGGGATTACAGCCCCTGTGCCCAGCCTAAAGAACTTTATTATAGCTGAGCTCTTCATTTTCGTTTGTGTGTGTGTGTGTGTTTGTGTGTGTGTTTTAAGACAGAGTTTCTCTCTTGTTGCCCAAGCTGAAGTGCAGTGGCACGATCTCAACTCACTATAACCTCCGCCTCCTGGGTTCAAGCGATTCTCCTGCCTCAGCCTCCGGAGTACCTGGGATTACAGGCATGTGACACCACACCCAGCTAATTTTTGTATTTTTAGTAGAGGCGGGGTTTCACCATGTTGGCCAGACTGGTCTCAAACTCCTGACCTCAGGTGATCCGCCCGCCTCGGCCTTCCCAAGTGCTGGGATTACAGGCATGAGCCACTGCATCTGTTTTTTTTTTTTGGAGACAGAGTCTTCTCTGTCACCAGGATGGAGTGCAGTGGGACGATCTCAGCTCACTGCAACCTCCACCTTCCAGGTTCAAGCGATTCTCCTGCCTCAGCCTCCTGAGTAGCTGGGATTACAGGTGCATGCCATCACACCAAGCTGATTTTTCTATTTTTAGTAGAGACGGGGTTTCACCATGTTGGCCAGGATGATCTCAATCTCTTGACCTCAAGTGATCCGCCCACCTCGGCCTCCCGAAGTGCTGAGATTACAGGCGTAAGCCACCACACCCAGCCCAGGGTTCTTCATTTTCTAAATAATAGAGAAAAAGCACAACCTACTCCTCTCTCAAAACCCTGAAGATATCCAAACAACAGATTGATTCAAGTTCCATTTCCCCTCCTGTCAAAGGAAGAGGTGTTACCAAAAAACGGAAGTACCCACAAGGTAGGCTAAAAATATTTTTTTTTTCTTTTTTTGAGACAGGGTCTCACTCTGTCACCCAGGCTGGGGTGCAGTGATGCAATAACAGCTCACGGCAGCCTCAACCTCACAGGCTCAAGGGATCCTCCCACCTCAGCCCCGCAAGTAGCTGGGACTACAGGCACATGTCACCATACCCAACTAATTTTATTGTTATTTTTTGTAAAAACAGGTCTCGCCATGTTGCCGAAGCTTACAAATAATTGTTAAACCATATAATCAGACATTAAAGAATAAAATTACCAGCCAGGTGTAATGGCTCACACCTGTAATCCTTGCACTTTGGGAGGCTAAGGCAGGAGGATCACTTGAGCTCAGGAATTCAAGATCAACCTGGGCAACATAGTGAGACCTCATCTCTATAATTAAAAACATAAATAAATAAAAATATAATAAAGAAATAAAAAGAATAAAATTACCAGCACTCAACTATAAACATATGAGTATAACTCTCATTTTATGGATAAATGCCAGGAAAATAGAATTTAGAATTTTATATAAGCTTTAGATTTTTTTTTTTTTTTTGAGATGGAATTTTGCTCTTGTTTCCCAGGCTGGAGTGCAATGGCACAATCTTGGCTCACTGCAACCTCCACCTCCCGGCTTCAAGTGATTCTCCTGCCTCAGCCTCCCGAGTAGCTGGGATTACAGGTATGCGCCACCACGCCCGACTAATTTTGTATTTTTAGTAGAAACGTGGTTTCTCCATGTTGGTCAGGCTGGTCTCAAACTCTCGACCTCAGGTGATCCATGCATCTCGGCCTCCCAAAGTGCCGGGATTACAGGCTTAAGCCACCGTGCCTGGCTAGATTTTTTTTTTTTATTGAATAAACTATTTCCCCCAGTAAGTGAATCAAAGAACTCAATCAGGAAGATACTTTTTTTCTGAGACACGGTCTCACTCTGTGACCCAGACAGGAGTGGAGTGGCAGGATCACAGTTCACTCCAGCCTCAACCTCCCAGACTCAGGTGATCTTCCCACCTCAGCCTCCAGAGTAGGTAGGACCACAGGCATGCACCACCACACCTAGCTTATTTTTTGTAGAGACAGGGTTTCACCGTGTTGCCTAGGGTGGTCTCAAACCCCTGAGCTCAAGGGATCCACCTGCCTTGGCCTCCCAAAGTACTGGGATCCCAAAGTGTGAGCTACTACACTGGGCCAGGAAATTTTTTTTTAACGTAATATGATATTAATTTTTTTTTTTTTTTGAGATGGAGTTTTGCTTGTCACCCAGGCTGGAGTGCAATTGTGGGATCTTGGCTCACTGCAACCTCCGCCTCCCAGGTTCAAGCGAGTCTCCTGGCTCAGCCTCCCAAGTAGCTGGGATTACAGGCATGCACTACCACGCCCAACTAATTTTGTATTTTTAGTAGAGACGGGGTTTCACCATGTTGGTCAAGCTGGTCTCAAACTCCTGACCTCTGGTGATCCACCCACCTCAGTCTCCCAAAGTGCTGGGATTACAGGTGTGAGCCACTGCACCCGGCCAATATTAGCTTTTATTCCAGGGATTTAGTGTGGTATCTTCTTTCTCTTCTACTAAATATCCAACCTCAAACCCTTAATCTCAAGATCAGAAATAGATATATTCACCTTTCTACTAACTTTACTTACTCATCATAAATCTCTTTTTGTAGATCTTTGGCAAAGTCAAATAGCTGTGCAATCGAAAGCAGTGACACGTGAAATTCTGCACCTAAATTTAAAAAGCAGGGGAGGGGAAGTTTATTGCCAATAAGAATCACTTTACTTTAAAAGTAGCATTCTTTTCATGTACTGGAGTTAATCTTCTTGTTTTTTGAAATGAGAAATAGAATAAAATAGAAGAAAAGTCATCCCATAGTCCCCTCACCCCAGTGTCCCCCTACTCAAGCAAAGCTATTGTTAATCTTTGGAGTATTCATAAAAAAAGAACTAATTTTCAACTCCCCACGATTTAATTACTCCATGAGAACTTACTGAGGATTGGTGCAATGGCTCACACCAGTTATGCCATCACTTTGGGAGGCCAAGGCAGGAGGATCACTTGAGCTCAGGAGTTCAAGACTAGCCCGGACAACATGGTGAAACCTCATCTCTACTACAAGTACAAAAACTAGCCAGGCATAGAGGTCCATGCCCAGCTACTCAGGAGGCTGAAATGGGAGAATCACCTGAGCCCATGAAGTCGAGGCTACAGTGAGCCATAATTGTACCACTGCACTCCTGCGTGGGTGACAGAGTAAGACCCTGTCTCAAAAAAAAAACATGGAAGGATAAATGAGTACACGCTGGGTACAGTATACACTGCTCGTTGATGGGTGCACCAAAATCTCAGACATCACCACTAAACCTGTTCCCCAAAAACCTATTGACATTTTTATTTTTTTGAGATGAAGTCTCGCTCTGTTGCCCAGGCGCTCTCAGCTCACTGCAACCTCCACCTCCCGGGTTCAAGCAATTCTCCTGCCTCGGCCTCCCAAGTAGCTGGGATTACAGGCGCCCACCACCACACCCAGCTAATTTTTGTATTTTTAGTAGAAATGGGGTTTCACCATGTGGGCCAGGCTGGTCGCAAACTCCTGACCTCAGGTGATCCACCTGCCTTGGCCTCCCAAAGTGCTGGGATTACAGGCATGAGCCACCATACCCGGCCCAAACCTATTAAAATTTAAGGGAAAAAAATGGGAGTAGAATATAAATTTTAAAAAGAGACTTATGCCAGGCATGGTGGCTCACGCCTGTAATCCCAACACTTTGGGAGGCCAAGGCGGGCAGGTCACAAGGTCAGGAGTACGAGACCAGCCTAGCCAACATAGTGAAACTACGTCTCTACTAAAAATACAAAAATTAGCTGGGCAGGGTGGCACACACCTATAGTCCCAGCTACTTGGGAGGCTGAGGCAGGAGAATCACTTGAACCCAGGAAGCAGAGGTTGTGGTGAGCCGAGATCACGCCAATGCACTCCAGCCTGGGCAACAGATCAAGACTCCATCTCAAAAAATAAATAAGTTACTGAAATGTTCAATTATAGCCTAGGAAAAATAAGTATTTTCTGAAAGAAACAGGACACTATTCCTACAGAGTTTTATACACATTCTAATGGAAAATTTCAAAACTAGCTAAAGATCTTCATTAAGAAAAGAATGTTTCACTTTCCTACCAAAAATAATGTTCAAAAGATACCTACCTTTAATTATGCTTACAGAATTTTTGTAGATGATCCATGCCAACTCGCCCTTAAGGATTTCTTCAGAATAATCAGGATTCTCCTAAAGAGTGTTATATCAAACGTAACTTAACAGGTAGTACAAGGAGGAAAAGCACTAGGACGAAAATTAACAATCCTAGACTACCTGTGCCATATGACCACTGGTAAATCATGTCTCTCTCTCCGGGCCAGTTCCCTCACTTGTAAAGTGTGCAGCTTGAACAAGATCACTGACCTTCCAACTGTGTTCTCTGAGGCTCCAAGAGTGGTGGCAAGATCACATGGCTTAAGGCCTCACTCTCCATTTGGACCAAAACAGGTCAGATTTTACATGTCTTGTTTGCGCTTCTCTGTAACATTTTATTTGAATAAAAAAGTCCTGGCCTGGCGTGGTGACTCATGCCTATAATCCTAGCACTTTGGGAAGCCGAGGCAGGCGGATCACTTGAGATCAGGAGTTCATGACCAGCCTGGCCAACATGGCAAAACCCCATCTCTACTAGAAATACAAAAATTAGCCGGGAGTGGTGGCGGGCACCTGTAATCCCAGCTACTTCGGAGGCTGTGGCAGGAGAATCACTTGAACCCGGGAGGCGGAGGTTGCAGTGAGCCAAGATCGTGCCAGTGCACTCCAGCCTGGGCGACAAGGAGCAACACTCCGTCTGAGAAAAAAGTTCTAAGCTGGAAACCACAATAACAGACAATAGCAAAGTTTCTTCTCAGCTCTAACATTCTAAATCTTTTAATTATTCTGTCATATAAAAAATTATATAAAAAGGGAAAGAAAGAAGGCCAGGAAACCACACATTTCACAACCTTTCTCAAGCTCCTTGAATCCATTAATATATCACTTTATGAGATCATACAGCGTTAAAGAATAGTATTTGGCTATTCTGTAAGTAACAATTTTGAGAACCACATTAATTAGTCCAAATATCTATTTTTATAGCATAAAGCTTCATTTTCCTAACTAAGTCCATTTATAAGTAACACTAACTCATCTGGAAGTTTCAAAATGTAACAACATTAAACATTAAAGCTTGAACCCGGAGGCAGAGGTTGCAGTGAGCCAAGATGGTGCCACTGCACTCCAGCCTGTGTGACAGACCGAGACTCCGTCTCAAAAAAAAAGAAAAAAAAAGAAAAATATATTCCAAATATTTTCTCTTACTCCTAAGCAGGCTCAAAATGTTATACATCGTTAGCAAGTGAGAATAAAATAATTAGAACCTTACCACATCCATACTGGCTTTTTCAAATTCTTCCTTCTCCTTCCTCAGTTTTTCAGCATGCATCAGCTCCATCCTAAAGTACTACAGAAGAGAAATAAACTGAAAATCTTTGGAGATGCTTTTTAAAATTTTTTTGAGACAGGGTCTTGCTCTGTCACCCAAGCTGGAGTGCACTGGTGATGACAGCTCATTTCGGCCATGAATTCCTGCACTCAAGTGATCCCCTTGCCTCAGCTTCCTGAGTAGCTAGGATTAGAGGTGCATTCCATCACACTCAGATAATTTTTTTATTTTTATTTTTTGTAGAGACAGGATCTTGCTACGTTGCTGCCTGGCCTGAAACAACTGACCTCAAGTGATCCTCCTGCCTCAGCCTCCCAAAGTGCTGGGATTAAAGGCATGAGCCACCACACCCAGGCTTAACTTTCATTTAAGAATTAAATAGCAGGCTGGGCACGGTGGCTCATGCCTGTAATCCCAGCACTTTGGGAGGCCAGGCGGGCGGATCACTTGAGGTCAGGAGTTCGAGACCAGCCTGCCCAACATGGTAAAACCCCATCTCTACTAAAAATACAAAAGTTAGCGGGGCATGGTGGTGCACACCTATAATCCCAGCTACTTCGGGGGCTGAGGCAGGAGAATCGTTTGAACCCCGGGCGTGGAGGTTGCAGTGAGCCAAGAACACACCATTGCACTCCTGCCTGAGCAACAAGAGTGAGACTCCATCTCAAAAAAAAAAAAAAAAAAAAAAAGAATTAAATAGCAGTTTCTCTTTTATCCTGACAAATGACTCAGAAAACAGTGCAGCTTCCAATACATTCTTTCTCTTATTTGGGATTTTATCTAAAGCTTGGCCCTCAAATGTTCTAAGGCACCATCCATAAGGGAGTAAGTCCCCGAAGAGAGAAAGGAAGTACTACCAGGTATCTATCTCAAGAAAAGGAGACAGAAAGAACATGGAGAAAAGAGGAAGACAAGGCAAAGAAGCCAGAAGAGGGCTTCTTTGGAGAACCAAGGGAACAAGAAAAAAAAATAAAAACAAAAGTATAAAGAGGCTAAATCTGGCTCCCAGCTAAAAAAATGTTAGAGTCTAGTTCCCTATTCCTTCCAACCACAGGAAGGAGGCGGGGGTTCCAACCTCTCAACTAACTTAGAAGCTGCAGTGTCAACACCTACAAAAAGATGTTTTTCCCTGGCCGGGCATGGTGGTTCACACCTGTAATCCCACCACTTTCAGAGGCTGAGGCAGGCAGATCACCTGAGTTCGGGAGTTTGAGACCAGCCTGCCCAACAGGGCGAAACTCCATCTCTACTAAAAATACAAAAATTAGCCGGACGTGGGATCCCACCTACTCAGGAGGCTGAGGCAGGAGAATTGCTTGAACCCAGGAGGTAAAGGTTGCAATGAGCCAAGACCGGGCCACTACACTCCAGCCTGGGAAACAGAACGAGACTCCATCTCAAAAAATAAAAAAGATGTTTGTCCTTACCCACACCTCCACACTTATTCCTAGCCTCCATAAATTGAAGCCTTTTTTATTTAATAAAGAATACATGGGCCGGGCGCAGTGGCTCACGCCTGTAATCCCAGCACTTTGGGAGGTGGAGGCGGGCGGATGACCAGGTCAGGAAATCGAGATCATCCTGGCTAACATGGTAAAACCCCATCCCTAATAAAAAATACAAAAATTTAGCCAGGCATGGTGGCAGGCACCTGTAGTCCCAGCTACTCGGAAGGCTGAGGCAGGAGAATGGTGTGAACCCAGGAGGCAGAGCTTGCAGTGAGCCGAGACCGTGCCACTGCACTCCAGCCTGGGCAACAGAGCAAGACTGTCTCAAAAAAAAAAAGTGAAACCAGCCTGGCCAACATGGCAAAACCCCGCCTCTACTAAAAATACAAAAAAAATAGCCAGGTATGGTGGCGGGCACCTGTAATCCCAGCTACTCGGGAGGCTGAGGCGTAAGAATTGCTTGAATCCAGGAAAAAAAAATATGTCTCCAGAGGACCAAACTGAAACATCACTGTCTCATCCTATGTGCATACACACTCACTTCTTTATAAAGTTTTGGGCACTCTGGATGAAAGCGCAGTGCGCGAAGAAATAGTTGCCTTGCGCTTTCTGAAGACAATCGATCTTCCATTTCCCATTTGGCTGCCATAATCCACAAAGCTGTAAGTGAAAAACCATCAGATTTCATTTCAATAAATTAATCAAGTCAGACAAGAAAAGAACCAAATGATCCAATTTTAATACTCGCACAATTTTTTTTTTTTTTTTTTTTTGAGACAGTCTCACTCTGTCGCCCAGGCTGGAGTGCAGTGACGCAATCTCGGCTCACTACAAGCTCCGCCTCCCAGGTTCATGCCATTCTCCTGCTTCAGTCTCCCGAGTAGCTGGTACTACAGGCACCCGCCACCATGCCCGGCTAATTTTTTTTGTATTTTTAGTAGAGACGGGGTTTCACCATGTTAGCCAGGATGGTCTCAATCTCCTGACCTCGTGATCCGCCCGCCTCGGCCTCCCAAAGTGCTAGGATTACAGGCATGAGCCACTGCGCCCGGCCCACTCAAACAATTTTTTAAAAAAACCTTTAACAAAAGGGGAAGCAGTTCGGACAGACAGTTTCTAACTGCAAAGCTTGGCTACGTTATCTAAAATTAGAAACAGTATTCTGAAGCAAATGAGTAAATGATAACAAATGTTCAATTTAGAGGATGAGTACCTAAGTGTCTGTTACTGTTTTCATCAGATCTAAGGACATTATTGTAAGTCACATACAATTTTTTTCTTTTTTTGAGACAGGGTCTTGCTCTGTTGCTCAGGCTGCAGTGGCACAAACAACAGCTCACTGCAGTCTTCACCTACCAGAATCCCACCTTAGCCCCTCAAGTAGCTGGGACCACATGCATACACCATCACGCCCACCTAAATTTTGTAACTTTGTAGAGATGGGTTTTCACCATGTTGCTCAGGCTGGTCTCAAACTCCTGATCTCAAATGATCTGCCTGCCTCGGCTTCCCAAAGTGCTGGGATTATAGGCATAAGCCACCGTGCCTGGCCCACATACAAATTTTAAAGGTAGTAAAATGCCAGAAAAAGGCCAGGCACAGTGGCTCACACCTGTAGTTCCAGCACTTTGGGAGGCCGAGGCAGGCAGATCACTTGATGTCAGGAGTTTGAGACCAGCCTGGCCAACATGGTGAATCCTCGTTTCTACTAAAAAATACAAAAAATTAGCCAGGCGTGGTGGCACCCTCCTATAGTCTCAGCTATTACGGAGACTGAGGCAGAAGGATCACTTTAACCTGGGAGGCAGAGGTTGCAGTGAGCTGAGATCACACGACTACACCCCAGCCTGGGCGACAGAGCAAGACTCCATGTCAAAAAAAAAAGTCCAGAAAAAACTGCTTATCTTACCACAAATAAAATTATTTTTTGCTCTTTTCTCAATATTTAGAGAAATTATAGGGCAAGCCACAGTGGCTTACTCCTGTAATCCCAGCACTTTGGGAGGCTGAGGTGCACAGATCGTTTGAGGCTGGGAGTTCTGAGACCAGTCTGGCCAACATGGCGAAACCCCATCTCTACTAAAAATACAAAAATTAGCCAGGCGTGGTGGTGCACATCTGTAATCCCAGCTACTTAGAAGGCTGAGGCATGAGAATCACTTGAACCCAGGAGACAGAGGTTGCAGTGAGCTGATATCACACCACTGCACTCCAGCCTGGGCAACAGAGGCAAGACTCTGTCTCAAAAAAATAAAAAATAAAATAAATTATAATTCATAATTTTCTCTAAAACCCTTTGTCCTTCTACATGGGAAATTAACCCTGAGTTAACATTCTAGCTATTTCCCTAGACATTTAATAAAGGTCACCTATCTTATCAAGATTGCTTTTGTTAAAAATGACGCCTGATTGGTAACCACACCTGGAATAGAAGGGTCAGCAATGGTGGCAAGCAATTGCTTTGGGCTTCCTTGAACATGTGACTCCTAAAATTGAGCATGACCTTTCTAGGATCTGTAGAAGCCATGCCCATCCATGGGGCTTCTAAACCAGACTGGATCCCCTACCTACTGATATGATCTCATCTCCTCATACCTGAACAGTCACCTTAGGAACCAGAGGCTACCTCCATTCTGCTAAGAGCATTCTGCAGAAGGAACATACCTAAGGCTATCCTGCTATATTTCTGAGTAAACTGGTGCCAAATGTAGTCTATTTGAGTCTTGTGTGGTATAAGATATCTGATTAAGCCTAATACCCTGAGAATAGGTGCTGAGGCCCCTCCACTATCAACTAGACCATTTATACATTATTCACAAGAGAAATATTTCTCTTACAAAACATGAGTCTACTCTGTACCAGCACTCTTCTAAAATTTATATTGATATTTTCCCCTTTAAGCTTCTAAAATTCCTCAGATTTGACTGCCTCCAAATAAAATGTCCCACAAAGGATTCAAAAGTTTATTTTGCCATCATCTAAAAAGAAATACAGTCTGGCCGGGAGTGGTGGCTCACGCCTGTAATCCCAGCACTTTGGAAGGCCAAGGCGGGTGGATCACGAGGTCAGGGGTTCGAGAGACCAGCCTGACCAACGTGGTAAAACCCAGTCTCTACTAAAAATACAAAAATTAGCTGGGCGTGGTGGCGGGCACCTGTAATCCCACCTACTCAGGAGGCTAAGGCAGGAGAATTGCTTCAACCTGGGAGGCGGAGGTTGCAGTGAGCCAAGATCACACCACTGCCCTCCAGCCTGGGCGACAGAGCGAGACTCCGTCTCAAAAAAAAAAGAAATACAGTCCTTCTTGCCTGCAGATACAACACCTAGGACAGTAACTAGTATATAGTAGGCAGGGGTGAACTATGAGGCAGCTATTCAGTAAGAAAAACTGCTGAGGCCAACTGCCTAAGCTCAAGTCCTCAAAATAATTTCTCTTAGATTCATCAATCGAAATAAAATCCAAAATGGCTTGAGTCTAAATAAAACATAGAAAAATTGACAAAGATTTCACCATACCTGGTTTGTTGGAATGAATCGCCAACATGGCAGAGAATACCTTGCTAAGTCGAGTTTTAGTAGCCTGTAAAAAAGGAAAATATTTCTACTTCCTGCACAGATAAATCATTGATCTTACTCTCTAAGTAATATGTACCCTAACTTTACCAACTGTAAAATCCAATGGAGCATGACATGCTATTGCTAGGGATATATAAACGAACACAGACCCTCAAAATTTTCTACCTCAATTAAACCACTAAACACTTTAAATATCTTTTTAAAAAGTCAACTGTATTGAACAAACACACGTAAAAATTATATTCTTTTCAATTGAATTGGAAACCATAGTCATTCAGATATCCAATGTTATATTGATGTTCCGCCTTCTTGGGTTCTTTTTTCATGTTAACCCTACACTTCAGGAAAAAACATCTGGCATGAAGCTTAAAGGGCAGATTAACAAAAAGACGGTCAGAGGAAGCAAGACATGCATGGCTTTACTCACCCACTTCTTACAAAAAGCCACATAGGAGAGCCAAAGTTGAACATCGTCCTGCAAGAAAAGCAATGTAGTAAGCTGCCCAAATTTGACCTTTACATATAATACACCTTTGCATTAATTAATTTTGCTAAAAACAAGCAAATTTCAGGTTGGATGCGGTGGCTCACACCTGTAATCCCACCACTTTGTGAAGCCGAAGCGGGCGGATCACTTGAGGTCAGGAGATTGAAACCAGCCTGGCCAACATGGTGAAACCCCACCTAACCTAAAATTACAAAGATTATTGGGAGGCCAAGGCGGATTGATCACTTGAGGTCAGGAGTTCAAAACCAGCCTGTCAAATATGGTGAAACCCCGTCTCTACTAAAAATACAAAAAAATTAGCCGGACTTGGTGGCAGACCCCTGTAATCCCAGCTACTCAGGAAGTTGAGACAGGAGAATCGCTTGAAGCCGGGAGGCCGAGATCGGGCCACTGCACTCCAGCCTGGGCAACATAGGGAAGCTCCAACTCAAAAAAACAAACAAAAAAAATTAGCCAGGTGTGGTGGTATGTGCCTGTAATCCCAGCTACTAGGGAGGCTGAGGCAGAAGAATCACTTGAACCTAGGAGGCGAAGGTTGCAGTGAGCTGCCGAGATTGTGTGCCACTGCACTCTAACCTGGGTGACAGAGCAAGACTCCACCTCAAAAAAAAAAAAAAAAAAAAGCCAGGCACAATGGCTCAGGCCTGTAATCCCAGCACTTTTGGAGGCTGAGGCAGGTGGATCACCTGAGGTCAGGAGTTTGAGACCAGCCTGGCCAAGATGGTGAAACCCTGTCTACTAAAAATACAAAAATTAGCCAGGCGCGGTGGTGCGTGCCTGAAGTCCCAGGTACTGGGGAGGCTGAGGCAGGAAAATTGCTTCAATCTGGGAGGCAGAGGTTGCAGTGAGCCAAGATCACACCACTGCACTCTAGCCTGGGCAACAGAGCAAAACTCCATCCCCCACCAAAAAAAAAAAAAAAAAAAAAGAAGCAGATTTCAGAAAATCCAGTCACCTCTCATCCTATCTGGCTCTTCCTCACAAAGGCCTCCGATCTCTTAACTATGATAATTCAACCTTTCCCCCAACTCCCACTCACAATGCTCCAAAAAAACTTTGTTATCTATCCAGTTGGTTTAATGCAGTTCTTAAAGAATCTCAATCTGGGGTAGCAATATAAAATTTGTCATTACCAAGAATCCAAAATACTTCTCATATAATATACCCAATCCCAAACACTCCCGTAATCCCAGCACTTTGGGAGGCTGAGGTGGGCAGATCACTTGAGCCCAGGAGTTCGAGACCAGCCTAAAAAACATGACGAAACCCTATGTCTACCAAAAATACAAAAATTAGCCAGGCACGGTGGCATGCGCCTGTGATCCCAGCTACTGGGGAGGCTGAGGTGGGAGAATCATTTGAGCCTGGGAGGCAGAGGTTACAGTGAACCGAGATCACCCTACTGTACTCTAGTCTGGGCAACACAGTGAGACCTTATCTCAAAAAAAAAAAAAAAAGAAAAAAAAAAAAATCAAGTTTCTGAGGTATTGCCCCTACATAACCATTTATTTTCTAGCTCTAAGTCTTCAGTGTACTTACAAATATATACAAATATCTCCCAAATTTCCAATCCTTAGTAATGTATCAAATACACTGTTTTCAGCACTGTCCTCATAGAATAACTATAAGGTAATAAGATCAATTTTCTTACTGGTTTGTTAAGTGGCTCAAAAAATGTTTTGAGTAATGATACCATCATTAGAGTAAGTATAAAGATACCCAAGATAAAAATAGAAAACTGCATTTGAATCCCTAATACAATATGTATAATACTTATCTTCACATCTCATAAAGTTAAGGATGCCTTGATCACTCACTTTCCATTTTGCTGAGGCACGCTGGAAAACACCTTGTACCCGGTGTACAATAGAATTCTCAATCTCATCCTTCTTAAATGAATATCCAATGCGCTAAAGGGGGACATAAAAAAACAGAGCCTCAACTTAATCATATTTGTCCAAAACAGCATTCCTACTTGACCACTTAATGGTACTGATGAAGCAAACAAATAATTACAAATATCCATTATAGGCATATCACCACAGTTTTATCAACACTGTCTCCCAAACACAAGTCCTAACTATACAGCCATACTGCTTAGTTCTGTATTTTTCTCCAACTTCTAGAAAATCTTCTACTTACTGTTCTTCTTCTCTGGATCAGCTCCAAAAGATTAATTTCATACTATGAAAGAAAAACATACAAAAAAATGAGAAGCTAGAAAATCTAAAACCTTTTAAATACTGGAAATTTAGTTAAAGTCATAAAACAAAAATCGAGAATATAAAATAAAAAATAATGTGCTATCACATAATTTACAATAAATGTCTAGAACTCACTTAAAATTCACTTAGCTATAAAACTTAAACAGAATTAACAAGCTTATAATTACATGCTTCACTTAAAAATTATTCCATGAAATATTTCAAGCATATAAAACACCCCATGCAGCTACAATGCAGCTACACCAAACCTACATTGCACTACATTTGCTTCAAATCTTTTTTAGAAATAAAACAGTTCGTATAAAAATGAAGCTACCTATGTACCTATCTCTGATTCTACTCTTCTCCCTCTCCAGAGGCAGCAATTACCTTGACTTTGTTATCATTCCCAAACATGACTTTGGACTTTATTATAATGATGTCTTGAATGCCTTTAAATTTTACATAAATGGTATCATGCTACATCCATCAATCCATAGGTGTTTTGTTTTGTTTTTTTGAGACGGGGTCTCCCTCTGTCGCCCAGGCTAGAGTGCAGTGGCATAATCTCGGCTCACTGCAACCTCTGCCTCCTGGCTTTAAGAGATTCTCCTGCCTCAGCCTCCCGAGTAGCTTGGATTACAGGCGCCTGCCACCATGCCCGGCTAATTTTTGTATTTTTAGTAGAGATGGGGTTTCACCATGTTGGCTAGGCTGGTCTTGAACTCCCGACCTCGAGTGATCCACCCACCTTGGCCTCCCAAAGTGCTGGGATTATAGGCATGAGCCACCGTGCCCGGCCCATCAATCCATATTTCTACTCAACATTATCCCTTTAGCTATATCCCTATTCACCGAGGCTGGTGGTGTGTGCCTGTAATCCCAGCTACTTGGGAGGCTGATCAGGAGGTAGAGGTTACAGTCAGCCGAGATCATGTCACTGCACTCCAGCCTGGGTGACGGAGCGAGACTCCATCTCAAAAAAGAAAAAAAAAAAAAAGTTTGCTCTTATAATGAATATAAAGCAGTCCTACACCTGGTTTTTTTTTATTGTTTGTTTTTTTGAGATGGAGTCTCGCTCTGTCGCCCAGGCTGAAGTGCAGTGGCGCAACCTAGGCTCACTGCAACCTCCGCCTCCCGGATTCAAGCAGTTTTCCTGCCTCAGCCTCCCCAGTAGCTGGGATTACAGGTACGTGCTACCGTGCCTGGCTAATTTTTGTATTTTTAGTAGAGATGGGGTTCCACCATGTTGACCAGGCTGATCTCCAACTCCCAACCTCAAGTAATCCACCCGCCTCAGCCTCCCAAAGTGCTAGGATTACAGGCATGAGCTACCGCGCTCGGCCCCTACACCTTGTTTTAATCTTTATTTAACTAATTACTGATAAGGCTGATGTCTTTTCATAAGTTTAACTACAAGTGATGTTTCCCCTTTGTGACTTTCACGTTCACATGATTTGCCCATTTTTCTTTTTAGTTTTCATTTTCTTCTCGATTTACAGTTCTTTATATATGTGTATATGTAGTTCTAATTATGTGTTGTAAATATTTTCTCACATTTTGTGGCTTGTATTTTCACATTATTTGTAGTGTCTTTTTTGCACAGAAAAAAATTTTTTTTTTTTTTGAGACAGGGTCTCTATCACCCAGACTGAAGTGCAATGGCGCCATCATGGCTCACTACAGCTTCCACCTCCCAGGTTCAACTGATCCTCCCACCTCAACCTCCAGAGTAGCTGGGACTACAGGTGTGCACCACCATGCCCAGCTAATTTTTGTATTTTTTGTAGAGATGGGGTTTGCCATGTTGCCTAGGCTGGTCTTGAACTCCTGGGCTCAAGCGATCTGCCTGTCTCACACGTGAGCCGCCACGCCCCTCCAGAAATTTGTATTTTGAACACAATCAAATAAATCAGTCTTTTCTCTCATGGTTTGTGCTTTCACAGTCTAATTTAGCTTTAAGAAATCTTTTGGCTGGGCACACTGGCTCAAGTCTGTAATTCCCAAAACTCTGGTACGGCAAGGCAGGAGGATCACTTGAGCCCAGGAGTTCAAGACCAGCCTGGGCAACATAAGGAGACCCTATCTCTACAAAAAATAAGAAAATTAGCCAGCCATCTGGCACAAGCCTGTAGTCCTACCTACTTGGGAGGCTGAGGCAGGAGGATCATCTGAGCCTAGAAGTTCGAGGCTGCAATGAGTGCTCGCACCATTGCACTCCAGCCTGGGCAAGAGTGAGTGTATTATTTGGAAAAAAAAAAATCTATTTTTGACATAATATGGTCTTGGCTCATTTTGAGTGAGCAATCTACTCATAGGACCTCTTCCAAAAACAATAGCTTAGCCAAGGTTCATATATTGTTTGTTCGGCTGTCTTTTGTCTTTTTAAATCTAAGCTCAAAACTTCTAGTCTTTTTTTTTTTTTTTTTTTTTGAGATGGAGTTTCGCTCTTGTCTCCCAGGCTGGGAGTGCAATGGCACAATCTTGGCTCACTGCAACCTCCACCTCCTGGGTTCAAGCAATTCTCCTGCCTCAGCCCCTGAGTAGCTAGGATTACAGGCACCCAACACCACACCCGGCTAATTTTTGTATTTTTAGTAGAGATGGGGGTTTCACCATGTTGGCCAGGCTGGTCTCGAACTCCTGACCACAGGTGATCTGCCTGCCTCAGCCTCCCAAAGTGCTGGTATTACAGCATGAGCCACCATGCCCAACCAAAACTTCTAGTCTTATAAACATGTGATCTTGTTATTGGTTCTTTCTGAATCCTGATTCCGTCATCCAACATATTAGCTATTCTCCCCCACTGGAAAATTGGTCTGACATAATTTTTCTTTATTCAAACCTTCCATGCATTTACAAGATGAAAAAATCTTGCAGTACACCTCTTTCCAAGTGGACAGACAATAGATAAACAAGCAGTAACTTTTCAATTCTCTACACTCATCACATTCACTCTCCTCTATCTTGCTCACCAAGAGGCAAATCTCTTGCTGAAGTCCTGATACACACTATGTCTCTGACAATCTCTGATCTACAAACCCAGTAGAAAAAAAAAAGAAAGAAAACGACAAGAGAGAAAGAGGAGGGGAAAAGTAAGTTCAGTTTGGCCAGGACTACAGTCTTAGTGGAGTAATGCTACTCCCAATGCTACTCCTGTTCAGAAATATCTATCTAATGAACGTTTCTGGAATTCTTTTAATTTTTTTAAAAAACTGATGTTGGCCGGGCGTGGTGGCTCATGCCTGTAATTCCAGCACTTTGGGAGGCCGAGGCGGGTGGATCACCAGGTCAGGAGTTCAAGACCAGCCTGGTCAAGATGGTGAAACGCTGTCTCTACAAAAATTAGCCTGGCGTGGTTGTGGGCACCTGTAATCCCAGCTACTCAGGAGGCTGAGGCAGATAACTGCTTGAACCCAGGAAGCGGAGGTTGCAGTGAGCCGAGATCGCACCACTGCACTCCAGCCTGGGCAATAAGAGTGAAACTCCATCTCAAAAAAAAAAAAAATTTGATGTTAAGCTCATCATTCTAGAACTGATTTTAAATTTGTGAAGGAATGGGAGGCTGAGGCAGGAGAATCACTTGAACCCAGGAGGCGGAGGTTGCGGTGAGCGTGAGCAGAGACTGTGCAACTGCACTCCAGCCTGGGTGACACAGAGAGACTCTATTTCAATTAATCAACCAATCAATCAATTTGTGAAGGGATTAAAAAGTAAGGCTAGGACCGAGCATGATGCCTCATGCCTGTAATCATAGCACTCGCTTTGGGAGGCCGATGCTGGTGGATTGCTTGAGGCCAGGAGTTCGAGACCAGCCTAGCCAACATGGCAAAACCCAGTCTCTACTAAAAGTAGCTGGGTGCGGTGCCATACGCCTGTAATCCCAGTTACTGAGGAGGATGAGACTTGAGAATCACTAGAACCCGGAAGGCAGTGGTTGCAGTGAGCCAAGATCGCGCCACTGCACTCCAGCCTGGGTGACAGAGCAAGACTCTTGTCTCAAAAACAAAAATAAAAAAAGTAAGGCTGGGCCCGGTGGCTCACAAACACTTGTAATCCCAGCATTTTGGGCGTGGGCAACATGCCGAAACCCTGTCTCTACAAAAAACACAAAAGCTAGCCAGCCATACTGGCACACACCTGTAGTCCCAGCTACTCCAGAGGCTGAGGTGGGAGGATGGCTTCAGCTCAGGAGGTGGAAGCTACACTGAGCCATGATGGCACCACTGCACTTCAGCCTGGGTGAAAGGCGAGCCCCTGCCTCAAAAAAAAGTAATGAAATTATTAATTATTGGCCGGGCACTGTGGTTCACACCTGTAAGCCCAGCACTTTGAGAGGCCAAGGTGGGTGGATCCCTTGAGATCAGCCTGGGCAATGTGGCAAAACCCAGTCTCTACCAAAAAATTAGCCAGGCATGGTGGCATGCATCTATGGTCCCAGCTACCCAGGAGGCTGAGGTAGGAGAATCGCTTGAGCCTGGAGGGCAGAGGTTGCAGTGAGCAGAGATCACACCATTCACACCACTGCACTCCAACCTGGGTGACAGAGTGAGATGCCATCTCACCAAAAAACAAAAAAGAAAAAAAGAAAGAAATTATTAATTACACACTTACTTGAACATAATTGATAAAGTCTTCCTTGAAAAGGGTTCTTCTCTGGATTTTGTACTCTAGATCGGAAGCCTTCTTAATGATAGCCCTGAGGAGAAAGCCATTTAAACTTCACTTGAAAACTGCAAAAATTAAACGTTTAAGTTTATTTTGAATATATTTAAAACATGTTTTTCAAAATACGAAATTCCTAGAGTTATCTTTCATAAGAAAGTATTATCGGCCGGACACAGTGGCTCATGCCTGGAATCCCAGCACTTTGGGAGGCTGAGGCGGGTAGATCAAGAGGTCAAGAGACTGAGACCACCCTGGTCAACATGGTAAAACTGCATCTCTACTAAAAATACAAAAATTAGCTGGGCGTGGTGGTGCGTGCCTGTAGTCCCAGCTACTCGGGAGACTGAGGCAGGAAAATTGCTTGAACCTGGAAGGCGGAGGTTGCAGTAAGCCGAGATCGCGCCA
The DNA here is from genome assembly GCF_000001405.40 of Homo sapiens. Taxonomy (NCBI): domain Eukaryota; kingdom Metazoa; phylum Chordata; class Mammalia; order Primates; family Hominidae; genus Homo; species Homo sapiens. The sequence continues at coordinate 31,900,105 of NC_000017.11, forward strand.
CTGCCCTCTGGCCTGGCGACAGAGCAAGACTCCATCTCAAAAAAAAAAAGTATTCTCTTACACAATTACTTTTGTGTTCTTAAGGGTTCATTTTTAAACTTTCAGGAAAATCATCTTAATCAACTCCCAAAACCAATGACATTCCCACCAGCAAAGCAAATACAATTAAGAACTTTATACCATTTATGTATGGTGTTTTTTTTGTTTGTTTTTTTCTCGCTCTGTCGCCCAGGCTGGAGTGCAGTGGCATGATCTTGGCTCACTACAACCTCGGCCTCCCGAGTTCAAGCGATTCTCCTGCCTCAGACTCCCGAGTAGCTGGGACTACAGGCGCTCACCACCACGCTCAGCTAATTTTTGTATTTTTAGTAGAGACGGGGTTTCACCATATTGGCCAGGCTGGTCTCGAACTCCTGACCTCGTGATCCACCCACCTCGGCCTCCCAAAGTGCTGGGATTACAGGCGTGAGCCACAGCGCCTGGCTGGTATTAATAAAGACTTCTTTTACTCCAAGTTCAGGTCACTTAAATTTTAATAATAAATTTCTTTCCGAAATTCCTCTTATTTCTGAGTTCTCAACATGTAAATTTTTTTAAAAATCTAAATTGCGTCTGCCTTAAAAGACTTATTACTACGAAGGACTTACGGGAGAAGATTCAGAGTCCTTAGCTAAGGAATGAACATATGACAAATATATATTAGGAGAATTTAATGCAAGATGTGCAAGACAGGTGTCTTTAGTAATGGTAACATTAACCTTAACTGAGCACTTTCTAAGCGTCCACACTGCTTTGTTTTGTGTTTCATTAACGAATGCTTACTTTGAAGCTCTGAGTCACATTACTACATTCAGACGTTGCAAAACAAAGCAACAGTCACAGAAACCATTAAAAACTATTAAACATAATTTTAACACGCTACTGAATGTCTACCATGTGCCAGGCGCTGTAGTTAGGCTCTGGAGTAGCATATGAAACTGATTTCAATGGTCCCCACCTTCAAGTCTAGTTAGGAATTTATCCACTCCCCCTGGGCTCTCACAGCACTCTGTTCCCATCCCTACAGCAGTACAAGGTACTACAATCAACTTACAGTACACTGTTATCAAAATATTTAATTTGTCTGTCTCCCCCACCACACTCTGCCCAATTAGCTCCTAATGAGCAGGAATCCTGGGTTTATCACCTTTACAGCCCTAAGACCCGGCTCCATGAAGGGCTGTCAAAACGTCTGATGGGTAAGTAGACGGACGGATTACCTTGCAACGAATGAAAAATTAATTCTGGACATCACCGAAAACGAGAAATGGGCTTCCACCACGTTAGGAAAAGTAAACACAGGTCGAGCGTCCCCACATCTAGCCCCTGCCACACACTCCCAACCTCCCCTCAGGCCGCCTCAGCTCTTCCCTCTCCCCAACCCTCTCTCACTTAATCTCCGCATGACTGAACAGTCCAATGCGCTCCAGCTGTTCCAATTCCGGGAGCCGATCTTCTATGCGTTCCTGAATTATCTCTGCCATGAGGTCCGAGGTCTACAACCCCGCGGGTAGCTTCTCAACAGCGAACACGAGCAGGAAGCTCCCGGTTTCAGGTTCGGAGACCCAGCCCTACCACCGACGCGTCCGGACGTAACGTGCTCCCTAGGTCCCGCCTTTTCCGCTTCCGCCACCTCCTACTTAGGGGAAGGCCCTTCGGCTTCTACAGCCACCGTCCCCTCCCTGTGGCCGATTGTGGGATTGCAGCGAGAACCCGCCCTGGTCTTGGGCAGGACGACTCTAGCGGACAGGAGTTGAGGGGCGGGGCTAGACGGGAGGGAGGGGTTAAGTGCGCGCGCCGCTAGACTTGGACAGCCATCAGGAAAAGCGCCTCCAGGTGTAGAGAGGTGGGCTGCTCAAGCCTGAAAGGGACACGAGATGCATTTTCTTCAGAATATTGTCTCCCATCCCACGTCCTGACTTCCCAACACCAAGAACAACAACAAAAAAAAAAGCAAAGGAGGAGGATATTGTACAATTAAACATTTTTGAAAGCCGGTCGCGGTGGCTCATGCCTGTAATCCCAGCAGTTTAGGAGGCCGAGGCGGGCAGATCACCTGAAGTCAGGAGTTCGAGACCATCCTGGCTAACATGATGAAACCCCGTTTCTACTAAAAATGCAAAAAAATTAACTGGGCGTGCTGGCACGCGCCTGTAATCCCAGCTACTCGGGAGGCTGAGGCAGGAGAATCGCTTGAACCTGGGAGGCCGAGATCGCGCCATTGCACTCCAGCTTGGGCAACAAGAGTGAAACTCCGTCTCTAAATAAATAAATAAATAAAATAGAATTGTTTATTATTTAAATCAATATCCTGTCTTTGTAAGCAATAGCTTTCAAAATATATGTCCCTAGGTGAATATCAGACACTATAAATTCTTTTTAGAAAAGGAGATTTTTGTATTGAAAAGTTTGAGAATTACCAAAATAAATCACTAAGGTATAGACACCCTCCTTAAACCATTGCCCAAGCAACTTAGCATTTCTAAGAGAAACACCAGGCAACACAGCTTGGAGGCAATATTGCTGGTATAGTTAGTAAACCTCAAATGATAACTACATGGTTCAGTTCTTTTTTAGTTCTGGATATAAAAAAGCCAAAGCAGCAGTTCTTGCTAAATCTGCTTATTTCAACATTCACATTAGCACCTGGATCCTGTGTGTGATTTATGAAAGGAGAATGGGCTCAGCAAAACCATGTTCCACCTCTGTGCCTTGCATTTCTTTCTTTCCTTTCACATTTTACCCACTCATCTCAGAACTGAGACGAGGGTTGGCTTGTGCTACACCATTTCTTGAATCCTTCAGCTGTAAGACATGTCAGAAGTGGAAGGAAATCACGAATGTAAGACAAAGATAGAATTTATTTGTAAAAGTAAAATCTCTGGGGCTGTGTTAACAGTAAGAGTGGAGATGACACTAGATAGTAAACTCCATATGGGCAGGGAATTTTTTCCTTTTTGACTGGCTAGATACTCTACAGCTTATAGCAGTGCCTACCATATAATAAGTACTCAGTTAATAAATGCATGACACTAAGAAAAGGTACTTGCTAAATTTCTTTAGGTACAAGGAAGTCAGCAAGTTATGACAGACTGTAATCATTTCAAAGTAAATTTGATAGAGACCTTCATAAATTAACCATGATTTTTATTTTATTTTATTTTATTTATTTATTTAGAGACAGAGTCTCGCTCTGTCACCAGGCTGGAGTGCAGTGGCGCGATCTCGGCTCACCACAACCTCGACTCCCCTGGTTCAAAGGATTCTCCTGCCTCAGCCGCCCGAGTAGCTGGGACTACAGGCACGTGCCACCACACCCAATTAATTTTTGTGTTTTTCGTACATACAGGTTTTCATCATGTTGGCCAGGATGGTCTCAATCTCCTGACCTCATGATCCACCCGCCTCAGCATCCCAAAGTGCTGGGACTCCAGGCGTGAGCCAACGCGCCCGCCCAATTTTTAAATCAAACTAACTATAAATACGCTCCTCCTTTATATTGTTTTGTTTTGTTTTGTTGTTCTTTTTAAGACCGAGCCTCGCTGGCCAGGCACTGTGGCTCACACCTGTCATCACAGCACTTTGGGAGGCCGAGGCCACGGATAACCTGAGGTCAGGAATTCAAGACCAGCGTGGCCAACATGGAGAAACCCCGTCTCCACTAAAAATACAAAAAAATTAGCTGGGCCTGGTGGCCTCTCTCTGTTGCCTAATGGGGAGTGCAGTGGTGCGCTCTCGGCTCACTGCAACCTCCACCTCCTGGGTTCAAGCGATCCCCCGAGTAGCTGGGATGACAGGCGTGAGCCACCATGCCCGGCCTAATTACGTTTTTGTTTTGTTTTGAGACAGGGTCTTACTATATTACCCAGGCTGGAGTGCAGTGGTGTGACCACAGCTCACTGCAGCCTCAACCTCCTGAGCTCCAGCAATGCTCCCACCCCCGCCTCCCAAGTAGCTGGGACTACATGTGTGCCCCACCGCACCTGGCTAATTTTCCTTTTTTCTTTTTTGTAGAGACAGGGGTCTCACTATGTTGCCGAGGATGGTGTTTTTGTTTTTGTAAATAGAGACAGGGTCTCACTGTATTGTCACCATGGTCTTGAACTCCTGGCCTCAAGTGATCATCTTGTTTCCCCTTCTCAAAATTCTGGGATTACAGGCATAAGCCAGCACGCCCAGCGATCCTCCCTTATTTTGAAATTTAGCTTTTTTTTTTTTGAGATGGAGTTTTGCTCTTGTTGCCCAGGCTGGAGTGTAGTGGCGTGATCTTGGCTCACTGCAACCTCAGCCTCCCAGATTCTAGTGATTCTCCTGCCTCAGCCTCCCGAGTAGCTGGGATTACAGGCGCCCACCACCACGACCAGCTAATTATTGTCTTTTTAGTAGAGACGGAGTTTCACTATGTTGGCTAAGCTGGTCTCGAACTCCTAACCTCAGGTGATCCGCCCACCTCGGCCTCCCAAAGTGCTGGGATTACAGGCATGAGCCACCACGCCTGGCCAAAATTTAGCGTTTATGTATATATTCTTGTTGTTGTTGTTGTTGTTGTTGTTGAGACGGAGTGTCAGTTTGTTGCCCAGGCTGGAGGGCAGTGGCATGATCTCGGCTCACTGCAACCCCCGCCTTCCCGTTTAAACGATTCTCCTGCCTCAGCCACCTGAGTAGCTGGGACTACAGGCGCACGCCACCACGCCCAGCTAATTTTTGTATTTTTGGTAGAGACGGGGTTTCACCATGTTGGCCAGGCTGGTCTGGAACTCCTGACCTTGTGATCGATCCACCCGCCTCCACCTCCCAAAGTGCTGGGATGTGAGCCACCCCGCCCTGCCTAGCTTTTATATTTACCTTCAAGAATTATTATGATGGGCCAGGCGCAGTGGCTCACATCTGTAATCCCAGCACTTTGGGAGGCCGAGGTGGGTGGATCACAAGGTCAGGAGTTCGAGACCAGCCTGGCCAACATGGTGAAACCTCCGTCTCTACCAAAAATACAAAAATTAGCCGGGCATGGTGGTGCGTGCCTGTAGTCCCAGCTACTCGGGAGGCTGAGGCAGGAGAATCGCTTGAACCCGGGAGATGGAGGTTGCAGTGAGCCAAGATCACGCCACTGCACTCCAGCCTGGGTGACAGACCGACACTCTGTCCCAAAAAAGAAAGAATTATTATGATGTTTTGGAGGCCAAGGCAGGTGGATCACCTGAGGTCAGGAGTTCACAACCAGCATGGCCAACATGGTGAAATACCCCCCCACTAAAAATACAAAAATTAGCTAGACATGGTGGCGGGAATCCCAGCTACTCTGGAGGCTGAGGCAGGAAAATTGCTAGAACCTGGGTGGCGGAAGTTGTAGTGAGCCATGATCACACCACTACACTCCAGCCTGGGAGACAGAGCGAGACTCCGTCTCAAAAAAAAAAAAAAATACTTGGGAGGCTAAAGCACAAGAATCGCTTGAACCCGGGAGGCAGAGACTGCAGTGAGTCGAGATCGTGCCACTACACTCCAGCCTGGGCAACAGAATGAGAATCTGTCTCAAAAAAAAAAAGAATTATTATGACAGAAATGACAAAGCCTTCTTTTCACTTCTGCATCTCATAATAATAGCTGTCATTGGCCCGGCGCAGTGGCTCACGCCTGTAATCCCAGCACTTTGGGAGGCCAAGGTTGGCAGATCACAATGTCAGAAGTTCAAGACCAGCATGGCCAGCATGGTGAAACCCCATGACTCTGTCTCAAAAAAAAAAAAAAAAGCTGTCATTATGTAGGGCTTATTGTGTGCCCAGCTACTATGTGCACTGTTCTAAGTCCTTTATGTTTTTTTGTTTTTTTTTTTGTGAGCCGAAGTTTCGCTCTTGTTGCCCAGGCTGGAGCACAATGGTATGATCTCAGCTCACTGCAACCTCGGCCTCCCAGGTTCAAGTGATTCTCCTGCCTCAGCCTCCTGAGTAGCTGAGACTACAGGCGCCCGCCACCACGCCTGGCTAATTTTTGTATATTTAGTACAGACGGGGTTTCACCATGTTGACCAGGCTGGTCTTGAACTTCTGACCTCAGGTGATCCACCTGCCTCGGCCTCCCAAAGTACTGGGATTACAGGCATAAGCCACCATGCCTGGCCAAAGTCCTTTATGTATTAACTCACCTAATAGCATCACATAAATATTTTGAAATATCAACTCATAGAAGGAGCCCTCAAAAAGAGAGATAGTACCTGAGATTGCACCACTGCACTCCCACCCAGGCAACAAGGCGAGACTCCCCTCAAAAAAAAAAAAAAAAAAAAAACTACCTACTGGAGAAAGCCCAAGACAGAAGAAGAAACTGTTTGCATAAAGCCCGCAATGTCTCAAAATCCTGGCCAGGTGCGCTGACTCAAGCCTGTAATCCCAGCCCTTTGGGAGCCCGAGGCCAGTGGATCACCTGAGGTCAAGAGTTTGAGACCAACCTGACCAACATGGTGACACCCCATCTCTACTAAAAATATAAAAATTAACCGTGTATGGTGGCGTGCGCCTGTAATCCCAGCTACTCAGGGGGCTGAGGCAGGAGAATTGCTTGAACCTGGGAGGTGGATGTTGCAGTGCTGGGATTACAGGCATGAGCCACCATGCCACTACGCTCCAGCCTGGGCGACCAAGTGAGACTCCATCTCCAAAAAAAAAATCTACACTTTATGGAAGTTACACTTTAATTAACAAAAAATTACTTACCAGACTCTCTCTTTCAACATATTGAAGCTCTTCAAGAGCTTCAATTGTTATTTTTATGTGTGTGGCAGGGTCAGAAATATTGAAACTCAAATGGTCAATGTCTTTTTCCCTTTCCAAAAGAGTTTATGATAATTTTGCTTTCTAGCCCATGATATATTAGTATTTGCTTTAATATAAATTATTTTTTTTCCAGATTGTAAGATTGATCACAGAAAGATGTACCCTGATCACCCCATGGTGACCAAACACTTGGTCCCCACTGTGGTGCTCACGAGCCAGTCTGGAAAATGAGAGGGGTCTCAGGGTGCCAACAGAATCTTTTAAGAAGATTGCCAGATGAACACTAGCCAGATGTTTGCAAATTAAGTTAAAATTTCTGTTCTTGCCTTCAAAGTACTTAAAAGTAAACTTCAAAGTAAACTTGAACTTTTCCTTGGAATATTCACATTGTCACATTTGAAGTTCTCAGACAGCTCCGTGGTTAAAAACAGCAGAGAAAGAGATGCTCATCTTTTTTTTCATTATTATTATTTGATAAAGGGAAGTACCTAGTTTGAGCCATAATAAGAGGCAAGGCACCTGGAATCCCATCCCCCTGCCTTGTTCCAAGTCCCCTGCCTGATTCTCCCATACAGAGAGCGCTTGTAGACTTCAAAGTCAGAGAAGTGATAGACGCAGACTGGTCTTTGATGCCTAAGAACATCAGAGCCCTCAGTTTGATGCGAATGCAAAGCATCTGTACTTTTCAAACCTTTCATGTTATCTCACATTGCCAACAACAAAAGCTGAAAAGTTTGAGGTGACACACTTTACACACATTAAAATATTTGGAACCAGTAACTTTTCATTTCTTTTTCTATTATTTATAGCTTCTTTTACTTTGCAAACCGCACTGGATAGTAAATTACTTCTGGCACGCAGCCTTGTCAGCTTGCCAAATTTCAACTGGAGCAAGTTTCTACAGCCAGGCTAATATGCCCAGAAAAACAGGAGGTAAGTATAATGGAAATAATGACATGATTTTTAACTGCAAAGAGCGTTGAATGATAACGCAAGATCTTAATAGATTCTATTTTTAAGCTTTTTTTATTCTAATGAAATCTTTACCTTTTTTAAGGCTATTTTAGTTTAAAACACATGTAAATAGAAAGGGTTCCTTTTAATTGGTGAAAAACAGTTTTGTGCTTTTTTCCCTGTGGCTTAAGTTACTGCTTTTTGCAAACTTGAAAAAAAAATACAAAAAGGAAAACTAAGAATATGGTAGTTTGGGTATAACAACCTACTATTAAAACAAACTGACATCTTGAAAAAACATATTCTGAAATGATTGGGCTTCCAGAATGGTGCCTGGGGATTGTTGTGTGCGTGAATATGTCTCATGAAAGCCATAGCTGATTAGCTACATCAGCTTACCTCCAGTTTGCCCTAGTCCAGATAGAAATCCAGCTCCAGCTTAAATAACTTTTAGGTTTTATTTGAACAAGACTTCCTAAAATTAAAAATGGCTATCACATCTGATTTCTATCACTGAAAAAACTTGTTAGGAGGCAGTATTTGTTTCCCTAAATTTAATGCTTACATTTGTTCCCATTCACAATTTACAAGTGACAAGGAAAATTCTTTCTCCCCTTCTCATTCTGCCTTCCAATTAGACCTAAACTGATTAGCCTCAGCACCACATGCTCAGTCCCAAAGTGTTGAAGCAAAGAAGAGGTTTGGAGTTGGGTGTGTGTGGGTGTGTGTGTGTGTGGGTGTGTGTGTAACTATACTAAAATAATGTGGCCTTGCTCCAGAAATGCCAGCTTTCTTACAGTTCCCCAATCATATCATTTTATACCTCTATTAACACACACTATTCCCTTTGCCTGGAATGTCTTTTGCCCCCTTATCCACTTAGTAAGCACAGTTCATTTAAAAAAATAAATAAATAAAAAGGAAGCATGCCCTTACCACCTCATCATCCCACCCTCACCACCAATTTGTATATTTAAGTACAGAAACATAAAGGCTTCAGTCTTTGAATCTCTTTTTCCCTTAATATCAATTTTATAAGTGATCTTTTACAGACTCATGACTTCAAATGTCACCTACATCAGTGCTGTTCAATAGAATTTTGTGTAATAATGGAAGTGTCCCACATCTGCACTATCCAATACAGTAAATACAGTAGCCATTAGCTACATGTGGCTATTGAGTACTTGAAATATGGCTAGAGCAACTGAGAACTGAATTTTTTTTTTTTTTTTGAGACAGAATCTCACTCTGTCGCCCAGGCTGGAGTGCAGTGGCATGATCTCGGCTCACTGCAACCTCTGCCTCCTGAGTTCAAGTGATTCTCCTGCCTCAGCCTCCTGAGTAGCTGGGATTACAGACACCCACCACCACACCCAGCTAATTTTTGTATTTTTAGTGGAGACAGGGTTTCCATGACCATGTTGGCCGAGCTGGTCTCAAACTCTTGACCTCAAAGTGATCCGTCCACCTCGGCTTCCCAAAGTGCTGGGATTGCAGGTGTGAGCCACTGCGCCCAGCCGAGAACTGAAGTTTTAATTTCATTTAATGAATTTAAATTTAAATTTAAATTGTCACATGTAGCTAGTGGCTGCCATGTTGGACAACACTGACCTATATAACTTCCAAATATATTAGTAGTGCCAATCCATAACTGTCCCCTGAACTCCAGACTCATGCCAGTATATCCAGCTGCCTACTCAACATCTGCACTTGGAGAGCTTACAGGCATTCCAAAATTAGTATGTCTAAAAACAAGTACCTGATGCTCTCCCACAAACCTGTTCTTTCCGTAGTCTTCCCCATCTCAGTGAAAGGCAACTCCGTTCTTCCAGTTTCTCAGCCCAAAAGCCTTGGAGTTGTCCCTGACTCTATATTTAATTAATCAGCGATCCTCTCTGCTCTACAAAATATAGCCAAAATATGACCACTCCTCATCACAGCTACTGCTGTCACCCTAGTTCAAGTCACCATTATCTTTCACCTGGATTATTCCAGTAGTCTTCAACTGGTCTCCCTGCTTTCACTCTGGCCCCTTTAAGTCTATTCTTAACACAGCAGCCAAAATGATTGTGTTAAAATATGTCAGAGGACAGCATTCTCTTGCTTAAAACCCTGCTGTGGTTGACTCACTCAAAGCAAAAACTAAAACCCTTTCATGGCTGGGTGCGGTGGATTACTCCTGTAATCCCAGCACTTTGGGAGGCCAAGGCAGGCAGATCACCTGAGGTCAGGAGTTCGAGACCAGCCTGATCAACATGGAGAAACCCCGTCTCTACTAATACAAAATTAGCCAGGCAAGGTGGCAAATGCCTATAACCCCAACTACTCGGGAGGCTGAGGCAGGAGAATCGCTTGAACCCGGGAGGCAGAGTTTGTGGTGAGTCAAGATTGCGCCATTGCCTGGGCAACAAGAGTGAAATGTTGTCAAAAAAAAAAAAAAAATCTTTTTGTTTGCAGAAAAGTTCCCATATGATCTGGTCCCGGTACCACACTCCTGCCATATCTTACCTTATTTCCCACTCTGATCCCTTGCTCCCTCCACTCCAGATCCACTAGCCTCTTTGGTATCCCTTCAACATGGCAATGCAGGGCCTTTGCCCTGGCTATTCCCTGCCTGGAATTCTCTTCCCCAGATAAATGTATGGCTCATTCCCTCACCACCTTCAGATTTTTCTCAAATGTCACTCTCTCAGGGAGGCCTCTCCTATTACCAATTGCAGCCCCTCACCTCAATACTTCTTATTCTACATTCTTACTTTTTGTTTCTCCATATCACTGATCGCCATCTAACATACTATAATAGTGTTTATTATTTGTCTCTCCTCATATGTACATTAAAGCATAAGCTCCATGAAATTGAAATTTTTTTTTTTTTTTTTGAGACAGAGTCTGGCTCTGTCGCCCAGGCTGGAGTATAGTGGCACAATCTTGGCTCACTGCAAGCTCCGCCTCCCGGGTTCACGCCATTCTCCTGCCTCAGACTCCTGAGTAGCTGGGACTACAGGCGCCCCCTACCATGCCCAGCTACTTTTAGTAGAGACAGGGTTTCACCGTGTTAGCTAGGATGGTCTCGATCTCCTGACCTCATGATCCACCTGCCTTGGCCTCCCAAGATACTGGGATTACAGGCGTGAGCCACCGTGCCTGGCTTTTTTTTTTTTTTTTTTGCAGAGGGATTTTTGCTGTTGTCACCCAGGCTGGAGTGCAATGGCGCGATCTCGGCTCACTGCAACCTCCGCCTCCTGGGTTCAAGCAATTCTCCTGCCTCAGCCTCCCGAGTAGCTGGGATTACAGGCACCTGCCACCATGCCTAGCTAATTTTTGTATTTTTAGTAGAGATGGTTTTCACCATGTTGGCCAGGCTGGTCTCAAACTCCTGAGCTCAGGTAATCAACCCGCCTCGGCCTCCCAAAGTGCTGGGATTACAGGCTGAGCCTCCAAGCCTGGCTGGAACTGAAATTTTTGAATGTATATTTGTATAATTGTACAGTACTACTTAGCTTGTATTATAACATTTCTTTTTTTTTTCTTTTCTTCTTTTTTTTTTCTTTTCTTCTTTTTTTTTTTCCTGAGACGGTGTCTTGTTCTGTTGCCCAGGCTGGAGTATAGTGGTTTGATAACAGCTCATCTCCTCCCAGGTTCAAGCAATTCTCCAACCTCAGCTGCCTGAGTAGCTGGGTTACAGGCATGCACCACCGTGCCTGTCTAATTTTTGTATTTTTATAGAGATGGGGTTTCACCCTGTTGGCCAGGCTGGTCTCGAACTCCTGACCTGAGGTGATCCACCCGCCTCAGCCTCCCAAAGTGCTGGGATTACAGGCATGAGCCACTGCCGATTACAACATTTGTGGTTTTTTTGTTTGTTTGTGTTTTTGTTTTTTGTTTTTTCAGATGGAATCTTGCTCTGTAGCCCAGGCTGGAGTGCAGTGGCACGATCTTGGCTCACTGCAACCTCTGTCTCCTGGGTTCAAGCAATTCTCCTGTCTCAACCTCCCGAGAAGCTAGGATTACAGGTGCCTGCCACCACATCCAGCTAATTTTTGCATTTTTAGTACAGACGGGGTTTCACCATGTTGCCCAGGCTGGTTACAACATTTCTTGAATCCATATGTCTGTATTTAGTGACACTGTGACTTCCATGGATACTTTATTTATCTTTGAATTCCCCAAAACCTAGCATTGGAAAACATTAGGTATGTACTCAATAAACACTATCTGAAAGGAAACTACTGGACATTTAGCATGCCACCTATTGTAAGAATCCCAGTGTCTAATATGCCCAAAATGCTTCCTGAAGGAAACTGATGAACCTACAGCTACTTTAATCTGACCACTTGATCCTGGGCAATTTGCCACTATGGCTAAGATCACAAGTAAGCTCTTGGCTCAAGGGCAACCAATCCACTGGTTGGCCAAAATCCTATAATGTACCCTGGTATGAAAAGATGAACTGAACTAATCTAACTCTCCCTCTCTGGACTCCGAATTACCATTAGTTAGAGATAGGAGATTGAGGAGCTTGACAAGGCAAAGATGTAACGGAGCAATAAATATGAGTATGTAGGAACTATGAAGTATAGAAAAGATATACAGGGCAAAGTGCAGGAAAAAGGAACACGGTACCTAAGAGAAAATGGAGAGTCAATGAATCACATTAATAAGAGCACCCTGGAGTGAAGATCCACAAACTGCAGTTAAGGTCTCATTTGAGCTGTCTTGAATCCAATTCTCTTGAAGCTTTGTGCTTCTTGTTATTCTCTGTGTCAATTTACAATAATGCCAAATTGCTGAGGTGCCTTAAGGGAGTGTCTTTTTTCTTTACAACTCCCAAAACCTAACAAAAATGCCATTCTTAGTTTATATAATTGCTGTCACATCTAGAAGAGCCAGGGTATTTCATTTTCGTATTTTCTGCCAAATGATACATTGGCGATATTCTTCACATCCTAAGGTGATTGACCCTTGGAGCTTTGAACAATTATTAGGAAGCACAAAGGAGTGTTCTTTTTGTAGCCATTTGGTTCTCCTTTAAAGGTTGCCCTCCTGTGGCAAGCTAGAATACAGTTACAGTGTGAATGCAGCTTGCTTTATTTTTTTATTTTTTTTTTTTTATTTTTTTTTGAGACGGAGTTTCACTCTTGTTGCTCAGGCTGGAGTGCAATGGCGTGATCTCGGCTCACCACAACCTCCGCCTCCCAGGTTCAAGTGATTCTCCTGCCTCAGCCTCCCAAGTAGCTGGGATTACAGGCATGCGCCAACACACCCGGCTAATTTTTGTATTTTTAGTAGAGGTGGGGTTTCTTCATGTTGGTCAGGCTGTTCTTGAACTCCCGACCTCAAGTGAACGCCCGCCTCGGCCTCCCAAAGTGCTGGGATTACAGGTGTGAGCCACCGTGCCCGGCCACCTTGCTTTAAATAAGTTCAAAACTCTGGATTTACAGCAACAGATCATTCAGCCACTTTTAACAATTATTTATTTATATTACCACAAAAGTAGCATACTGTTAGAAATTCAAATACTGGCCAGGCGCAGTGGCTCATGCCTGTAATCCCAGCACGTTGGGAGGCTGAGGCGGGCAGATCATGAGGTCAGGTGATGGAGACCAGCCAGACCAACATGGTGAAACCCCGTCTCTACTAAAAATACAAAAATTAGCCAGGCATGGTGGCAGACATCTGTAATCCCAGCTACTCAGGAGGCCGAGGCAGGAACATCGCTTAAACCCGGGAGGCGGAGGTTGCAGTGAGCCGATATCGCGCCACTGCACTCCAGCCTGGGTGACAGAGTGAGACTCTGTCTCAAAAAAAAAAAAAAAGAAATTCAAATACCATGTATTTTGAATAGTGAGAATTTACGAACCACAAGAAAGCCACAAACCCAAAGTTAACCTGCAAAGTTTCAGTTAATACCATTGCCTTGGATAAACACAAAATATCTAAGGAAAAGGGCTTTCTGCTTCAAAGACTTGTTCACAGTCTTTCTCTTTTTCCTTCTCCATGAGAAGCTCACCCCTATGAGTCCACATAGCTGCCACCACCACAAAGGAAGCCAGCTATTTTAAAATGTATTCACTACTTTGCTTGAGGGGCAGTGGGGCATAACGGTTAAGACCACCAGCTTTATTTTAAGTATACTTTGGCAGTATCTACCAATATTTTAAACATACATACTTTAAGGCCCAATAATTCCAACATCTACAAATCTGTTCTACAGAAATACTAACAAAAGTGCACAAACATATATAAGGATGGTCACTGAAGCAATGTTGATAAGAGCAAAAAATCTGAAAGATCCCAAATGGTGTATAAGAAAAGTGGTTAAATAAATTATAGTACATCCATGCAATAGTATACTATGCAACTATTAAAGAAAGTAAGGAGTGTGTGTATCTAATGGGATGGAAATAGGCTTAATTTACATTGCTTAATTTTAGAAAGGCAAGTTGCAGAACAGTATATTGAATAATCCATTTTAAATATGTGTATGTGTATGTGTCATAAAAAAAAAAAGAAAGAAAAAGCAGCCAGGCACTGTGGCTCAAGCCTGTAATCCTAGCACTTTGGGAGGCTTAGTGGGGTGGATCACCAGGTCAGGAGTTCAAGACCAGCCTAGCCAAGATGGTGAAACCCCTCTCTACTAAAAATACAAAAATTAGCCGGGCGTGGTGGCAGGCGCCTGTAATTCCAGCTGCTAGGGAGGCTGAGGCGGGAGAATTGCTTGAACTCGGGAGGCAGAGGTTGCAATGAGCTGAGATCTCACCACTGCACTCCAGCCTGGACAAAGAGTGAGACTCCATCTCAAAAAAAAAAAGGTTGGAGGATTGCCCACCAAACCATTCATATTGATAAACTCTGGGAAGTGGAAAAGGGACTTTATACCTTGCTATATTGTTAAGTAATATAACAAAGGCATATCATATTTGTAATTTCTATTTATTTATTTATTTATTTTTTGAGATGGAGTCTCACTCCATCTACAGGTTGGAATGCAGTGGCACAGTCTCGGCTCATTGCAACCTCTGCCTCGCAGGTTCAAGAGATTCTCCTGCCTCAGCCGCCCGAGTAACTGGGACTACAGGCGTGCACCACCATACCCAGCTAATTTTTGTATTTTTAGTAGAGATGGGGTTTCACCATGTTGGCCAGGATGGTCTCGATCTCTTGACCTCGTGACTCACCCACCTTGGCCTCCCAAAGTTCTAGGATTACAGGCATGTGCCACTGCGCCCAACCTATTATTATTATTTTTTTTTCGAGATGAAATTTTGCTTTTTTTACCCAGGCTGGAGTGCAATGGTGCTATCTTGGCTCACCACAACCTCCGCCTCCCAGATTCAAGTGATTCTCCTGCCTCAGCCTCCCGAGTAGCTAGGATTACAGGCATGCACCACCACGTCCGGCTAATTTTGTATTTTTAGTAGAGACAGGGTTTCTCCGTGTTGGTCAGGCTGGTCTCGAACTCCTGACCTCAGGTGATCTGCACCCCCACCTCGGCCTCCCAAAGTGCTGGGATTACAGGCATGAGCCACTGCGCCTGACCTGTAATTTCTATTTAAATAAAACATTTTAATGGAGACCAAAAAAAAAAAGTAAGAAGAGGCTTCAGAATCAAACTCTGATTCAAATCCTAGTTCCATCAACTTTTTAGGGTTCAGTGGAATATTAAGATGAAAATTTCCTTTACCTTAACTTCTGATTGTCACTTCACAGCAAATGACTGAAATATCTGAGCTTTTCTCTTATACATTGTTTTTAAACACCAGAGACAACTCCCTCTTAAGAGGCTTGTGATTCATCTTCCATTTTTTGTAAAGTGAATCATTTCCCTAATTTTTCTACTTGCTAATAAGATAATAAATATAGCATATTCTGTCTCTTTCACAAATTCCACCCCCTTTTCTCCGTATCTGACTTCAAGAGTCCACAACCTGGGAGCTGTCCAGGTACCAATTAACATTTAAAAAGCCCTCAAGTTGTTCACACAAATAGTTCTATTATTGCTTTCCTTTACAGCCTTGGTCTGCTCAAAAACCCACATTCAAATTGGATCACATAAACTCCAGCCCTTAAGCACACAGGTATTGTAGGCTAGAGGCCGCTTTTGGCTACAAACCCCCTTATTCATTTAAAATAACTTCATTCACAAGGTTCATTGAACAGCTGGTTTGTGCCCATCACAGGCCCTGACAAAACACTTCGCCTAACTTGTCACTAATCCTTACAGCAACTCTGGTTGAGTGTT
The DNA here is from genome assembly GCF_000001405.40 of Homo sapiens. Classification (NCBI taxonomy): domain Eukaryota; kingdom Metazoa; phylum Chordata; class Mammalia; order Primates; family Hominidae; genus Homo; species Homo sapiens. The sequence goes on from NC_000017.11 coordinate 31,916,110, forward strand.
ACTAGTATCATTTAACAGATAAGCAAACCAAGGCTCCAAAGGATAAAATGGCTTGACCAAGATCTCACAGCCAATGAGTTGGGGAGCCTGCTGGGAAATCTAGGATTCGGGGTAACTAAAGGTCACTACGGTTCTTTTTTAAAGAAAATTTTATTTTTATTTTATTATCTATTTAGAGACACGGTCTCACTGTGTCATCCAGGTGGGAGTACAGTGGCGGGATCTCGGCTCGCTGCAACCTCCGCCTCCCTGGTTCAAGCCATTCTCCCTCCACAGCCTCCGGAGTAGCTGGGCTTACAGGTGCCCGTTACCACGCCCAGCTAATTTTTGCATTTTTACAAAATGCACCATGTTGGCCAGGCTGGTCTCGAACTCCTGATCTCAGGTGATCCGCCCACTTCGGCCTCCCAAATGCTGGGATTACAGGCGTGAGCCACCGCGCCCCACCAGGAAACTTTTAATTAACTAGTTTTAAAAGCCAAACAGTAAAGAAAAACAGCATTCCCCTCCCCCATGCATCCCCTCTCTGGAATTTTAACTTTCCTGTGCAATCATGTGGTATTTTTTTCAGGTATTTCTGCTGGTTTCCCGCCGTCTTTCTAAATAACCGGTTTAACTGGTGTGTGGCACAGACTTAACTACGATGTAACTAAAACGCCACTCTACAGTTAACTCCCTCTATTCCTTAGATTTCATTCCCGGGGTCACCTCTTTGGCCTAGGTGCACACACCGCGGGCTCCGCTCTAGGTGGGGCACAGGCCTTCGCCCGCCGCATGCACCCTGGGCTGCGCAGCCCCAGCCAGCCCGACCCGGGCTCAGCGACCCCTGCCCCCGGGACCCCGCACCGGGGCTGAGCGCTCGCCTCCTGCCGGCCGCGGCTCCACGCCCTCGCCCCAGACCCTTTGTCAGAGAGCGAGGGTCGGGGAGCGAGAGCCAGGGTCCGAGGTGACCGTCGTAGTTGGGGCCGAGGTCCGTGTGGTAGGGGACTGGGACAGGAGTCGGAGTCGCAGGGCGAGGGCCCAGATCGGGGCTGGAAGCCACAGGCCTCTCACCTCGCTTGGCCGAGCGGCCGGGACTCCGGGCCCGCAGCGGATGGAAGCGGGCGCTGCCCTGCCCGGCGGCGGCCGGGGCCTTCTGGGGTTTTCCCGCGGGCGGCTCGGCAGGGCGGCAGCAGCTGCCGCGGAGAGGACGACCGCCACCGGTGCAACCAGGTCCCCGCGCCCCTGCCCGGCCTCTGGGGCGCCCAAGCGGGCCGTCCTCACCGCGGCAACTCCACGCCCGCCCCTCCAGCCCAACCTCACAGCCTTGTCCTGTCCCCAAGCAAGGAGTCGGCCTCCCTGTCCACAGGGAGGGAATCCGGCGCAGGTCGCAGCCGGCCTCTGGCTTTCGTGGGGAGGGCACCAAGGCTTCAGGTTTCCCAGCTCGCGCGTTACCGTTCAAAAGCCCCTCCTGGAGCTCTGAATTGAGGGGAGCACTCCATGCCCCTTCCTCCAAAGAGGGCGGGAGTCGCAACACTGAAGCCTTGCTCCAAACAAACCCCCCTACCAACCCTCTCTACTCCTCCCTCCTGACCCCCTTTCTCTGTCCATTATCCGTCTGAGGGGGTCCAGGACTTGAGCAGTTTCTGATTTCCTTTATCTTTATGGTGGGGGATCTGTTTCCCACTAAGTATGGTATCATCCTCTTTTTGGCCTCTCACCAACTCTTCCTGCCCCCTCCCTACACACATTCATCCCCCAACCTCCCCAAATTGCGGGTTAAACCGATTTTGAACTTACGTTATTATGAGTTTGAAAATACTTTTCCCCGCCGGGCGCTGTGGCTCATGCCGGTAATTCCAACACTTTGGGAGGCTGAGGCGGGCGTATCACCTGAGGTCGGGAGTTTGAGACCAGCCAGACCAACATGGAGAAATCCCATCTCTACTAAAAATACAAAATTAGCTGGACGTGGTGGCGCATGCCTGTAATCCCAGCTACTCAGGAAGGCTGAGGCAGGAGAATCGCTTGAACCCGGGAGACAGAGGTTGTGGTGAGTCGAGATCGCGCCAGTGCACTCCAGTCTGGGCAACAAGAGCGAAACTCGGTCTCAAAAAATAATAAAAATAAAGAAAATACTTTTCCCAGTTGGTTTGTGTAATATACTATGATTACATTTCCTTTTTTGTTGTTGTGGAGACGGAGACTCGCTTTGTTCCCCAGGCTGGAGTGCAGTGGCTGGATCTCGGCTCACCACCTCCCGGATTCAAACGATTCTCCTGCCTCAGCCTCCCAAGTAGCTGGGATTACAGGGGCCCAGCAGCATACTCGGCTAATTTTTGTATTTTTAGTAGAGATGGGTTTTCACCATGTTGGCCAGGCTGGTCTCAAACTCCTGACCTCAAGTGATCTGCCCGCCTCGGCCTCCCAAAGTGCTGGGATTACAGGTGTGAGCCATCGCCCCCAGCCATATTTCCTTTCTTATCAGACTTTTTTTTTTTTTTTTTTTCCTTGTGGTTAGTGATTGTCTCAATGGTTGGTTTGTTAAGGCTTCTATGTACCCATCATTAATTTCCACCCCCCACCCCACAAATGCTTTGCCAGAATTGCAAGGCTCCATTCATTCAAACTCATCAAATAATACACCTATTTTGTTTTTTCTTGGAAATATCCCTCCCATGCCAATCTTAACTGTTGCTCACTAGACGAACTGCACAGCTGTTCTGGGAATTCCCTTCTTCACCATCCTGGGAATTTTCTTTACTTCTTTGTGTGAGTCCCCTTTGTCCTGGATTCCATGTTTGTTTTTCTCCCTCACTTTGGTAGAATATGTCCTCCAGTAGCTTTCTGACAAAGGGTGTGGTGAAGGGGAAAATTTTTTGAGATGTTGCGTGTCTGAAAATATCTTTTTTTTTTTTTAAGGGACGAAGTATTGCTATGTAGCCCAGGCTGGAATGCAGTGGCTATTCACAGGCACCAGCATAGCCACTGCAGCCTCAAACTCCTGGCCTCAAGCCGTCCTCCTGTCTCAGCCTCCTGGGTGAAAGATATCTTTATTTGATCTCACTTGATTAATGTGATAATTTGTCTGGTTACATAATTCTAGGTTGGAATCCATTTTTCCTTAGAACTATGACTTGTCTTCTCATTTCTGTGTTATTGCTGAGAAATCTAAGGAAATCCTTACTTACAAAAGAACATAACTGTATACCTTTTTTGTTTGTTTGTTTGTTTTTTGAGATGGAGTCTCACTCAGTCACCCAGGCTGGAGTGCAGGGGCGCGATCTCAGCTCATTGCAACCTCTGCAGCCCGGGTTCAAGCGATTCTTCTGCCTCAGCCTCCTGAGTAGCTGGGATTACACACGCCTGCCATCACGCCCAGCTAACACAACTGTATACCTTTTGTATGACCCTAATTTTATTATTAATTCTGGAAACTCTGAGGATCTTCTATCTTTGATGTTTTGAAAATGCAAGTGACAGGCCAGGCGCAGTGGCTCGCGCCTGTAATCTCAGCACTTTGGGATGCCGAGGCAGGTGGATCACCTGAGGTCAGGAGTTTGAGACCAGCCTGGCCAACAAGGTGAAGCCCCATCTCTACTAAAACTACAAAAATTAGCTGGATGCGGCGGCAGGTGCCTGTAATCCCAGCTACTCGGGAGGCTGAGGCAGGAGAATCGCTTGAACCTGGGAAGAGGTGGTTGCGGTGAGCCAAGAGCATGCCATTGGACCCCAGCCTGGACGACAAAAGCAAAACTCCATCTCAAAAAAAAAAAAAAAAAAAGAAAAGAAAAAGAAAATGCAAGTGACATGCCATGCTTTGATGTGCATTTTCACTCATTGTGCTAGACAGAGAGCCCTTTCAATTTAGAAACTGTTGCCCTCGGTTCTGGAATTTTTTTTGCTTTATTTTTCTTGCATTACTCATATCTTCCACCTCCACACACTCATACCCCACTCCGCTCCACCCCATGCATCTTTGTTCTTTCTTTCTTAAATTCCTGTTACTTGTATATTGGAATCTCCAAGTAAGTCTAATCCTCTCAACTTTTCTCTCACACTTAACTTTCTTTTTTCCCCCACGGTCTGCAAATTTCCTCAACTCTATTTTCCAAACTTTTCATTGCCCTTTTATCAATGTTGCCTTCTAAACAATAGTGTGCTAGGCCGGGTGCTGTGGCTCATGCCTGTAATCCCAGCACTCTGGGAGGCTGAGGTGGGTGGATCAACTGAGGTCGGGAGTTCAAGACCAGCCTGACCAACATGGAGAAACTCCACCTCTGCTAAAGATACAAAAATTAGCCAGGCATGGTGGCCCATGCCTGTAATCCCGGCTACTCAGGAGGCTGAGGCAGGAGAATTGCTTGAACTCAGGAGGCCGAGGTTGCGGTGACTCGAGACTGTGCCATTGCACTCCAGCCTGGGCAACAAGAGTGAGACTCTGTCTCAAAAAAAAACCAAAAACCAAAAAACAAAAAACAGTGGTGTGCTACTCAATTTCTAACAACCAACTCTCAGAAGCAGGGGGAAGAAAGCCTTGATTTGTAGTGTTTGCCTATTTTGATAGTACAAATATTTCCATCATGGTTGCTTTCAAGCTACTAACATTATATCACTAAAGATGGAGTCAGGAAGAGATGCACAGTAGCATATCATAGCATTCCCACCATATAGATAGAACACACATAAATAATCTCAAGAGCATAGATAATAATAAAATGTAGAAAAATAATCTGGGGCCCGACGCAGTGGCTCACGTTTGTAATCCCAGCACTTTGGGAGGCCGAGGTGGGCGAATCACCTGAGGTCAGGAGTTCGAGACGAGCCTGGCCAACATGGTGAAACCCTGCCTCTACTAAAAATACAAAAATTAGCCAGGCATGGTGGCGGGTGCCTGTAATCCCAGCTACTCAGGAGGCTGAGGCAGGAGAATTGCTTGAACCTGGAGGCAGAGGTTGCAGTGAGCCAAGATCATGCCATTGCCCTCCAGTCTGGGCAACAACAGTGAAGCTCCGTCTGCAAAAATAATAATAATAATTTGGAAGTAATGAGTTTTGAGTATTTATTTTGGTTTTTAATATAACTGATTTAATTGTAACTTTACATAATAATTTAACAGTGACAGTGTTTTAACAACTGGCTTTTAAAATTTCTAAAAATTCAACAGTTGATTCTTACAACCTGGTATGAGCCAGCTCTTGTAAACTATTGCTTCAAAATAATCATGGTCTCTAATGTAATAAAGGTAAATCAGGGGTCGGGCACGGTGGCTCACACCGGTAATCCCAGCACTTTGGGAGGCCGAGGCAGGCAGATCACGAGGTCAGGAGTTCGAGACCAGCCTGGCCAACATGGTGAAACCCCGTCTCTACTAAAAATACAAAAATTAACTGGGCTTGGTGGTGCATGCCTGTAATCCCAGCTACTGGGGAGGCTGAGGCAGGAGAATGGCTTGAAGCCAGGAGGCAGAGGTTGCAGTGAGCCGAGATGGTGCCACTGCACTCCAGCCTGGGTGACAGAGCAAGACTCCGTCTCAAAAAAAAAAAGGTAAATCAGAATAATCTTCCAAATGCAGTTCTGATCATGTCACTCCCTTGAGTAAAGCTCTATATTGCTTCTGTGCTTACTGAAACCCTCAAGGCTCAATTCACATTCCACCTTTTTTTTTTTTTTTTTTTTTTTATTTGAGAAGGAGCCTTGCTCTATCACCGAGGCTGGAGTGCAGTGGCGCGATCTCGGCTCACTGCACCCTGCACCTCCCAAGTTCAAGCAATTCTCCTGTCTCAGCCTCCCCAGTAACTGGGACCACAGGTGCCCGCCACCACGCCTGGCTAATTTTTGTATATTTAGTAGAGATGGGGTTTCACCATATCAGTCAGGCTGGTCTCGAACTCCTGACCTCAGGTGATCCACCCGCCTCAGCCTCCCAAAGTGCTGGGATTACAGGCGTAAGCCACCGCACCCGGCCCACATTCCACCTTTCTTATTAGTTACTCAAACAAATATTGATTAGGTATCTGCTATGGGCACGGTCTTAAGCAAGCTTAAGCAAGCTGCTGAGGATACAAGGATGAGTAATATACATTTCTTTTCTTTTTTTCTTTTTATTTTTTTATTTTTTTGAGACGGAGTCTCACTCTGTCACCCAGGCTGCAGTGCAGTGGCGTGGTCTCGGCTCACTGCAACCTCTGCCTCCCAGGTTCAAGCAGGTCTTCTGCCTCAGTCTCCTGAGTAGCTGGGATTACAGGCATGTGCCACCACGCCCAGCTAATTTTTGTATTTTTAGTAGAAACGGGGTTATACCATGTTGGCCAGGCTGGTCTCAAACTCCTGACCTTGTGATCTGCCCGCCTTGGCCTCCCAAAGTGCTGGGATTATAGGTGTGAGCCACCGCGACCGGCCATTTCTTTTCTTTAAGGCACTCCATGATGTAGTAGGAGAAACTTAAGTATATATTACTCAATGTGATAAGAACATGAAAAATATATGCACAAACTATTATAGGAATGACTAGCAAATGACTAATTCAGTCTGGGGGAATCTGCCATGGAAAAACCTAGCATGTCTTCCCTTGTCTTTTAGGTCTCCTAGTGGGTTGGGGTTTTTATCTTATTTTATTTTATTTTTTTGAGATGGAGTTTTGCTCTTGTTGCCCAGGCTGGAGTGTAATGGCATGATATCGGCTCACTGCAATGTCTGCCTCCTTGGTTCAAGCGTTTCTCCTGCCTCAGTCTCCCGAGTAGCTGGGATTACAGGCATGCGCCACCATGCCTGGCTAATTTTGTATTTTTAGTAGAGATGGAGTTTTTCCATGTTGGTCAGGCTGGTCTTGAACTCCCGACCTCAGGTGATCTGCCTGCCTGGGCCTCGCAAAGTGCTGGGATTACAGGCATGAGCCACCACACCCAGCTGGAGTTTTTATTTTATTAAGCGTTATATACTTAATACAAGCCATAAAGGTAAAGTATAGTGTTCATTTCAAAGACTGCTAGTCGATTTTTTTTTAATCTACAAGATATGTCCTCAGAAAAAACTGCTAGTTTATTCAGTTTAGTGCCAACTTTTTTTTTTTTTTTTGAAACGGAATCTTGCCCAGTGGCCAGGCTGGAGTGCAGTGGTGGGATCTTGGCTCACTACAACCTCTGCCTCCTGGGTTCAAAAAAAAGGTAAATCAGAATAATCTTCCAAATGCAGTTCTGATCATGTCACTCCCTTGAGTAAAGCTCTATATTGCGGGCAGATCGCAAGGTCAGGAGATCGAGACCATCCTGGCTAACACAGTGAAAACCCGTCTCTACTAAAAAAATACAAAAAATTAGCCGGGCATGGTGGCAGGCGCCTATAGTTCCAGCTACTCGGGAGGCTGAGGCAGGAGAATGGCGTGAACCCAGGAGGCGGAGCTTGCAGTGAGCCGAGATTGCGCCATTGCACTCCAGCCTGGGTGACAGAGTGAGACTCCGCCTTAGAAAAAAAAGAAAATGTAGAAAATGTTCACGGAATAATGCTGAATGATCAGAGAGCAGTATGGCCAGGAATGGAAGGAGTTAAGGTAGGAAGCACTCATTCTGCAATGCCTTTATCTGAGAAATTAGGGATATTTATTTACTTGCAAAAGGCTCCATCTTAGTGTTCTTTGAAGGAGGAGTCAGTAGCTTAGGCTCTTGAAAAGGTCTTTAAGACTCAGATTTCCAAACTATTTATTATAAGCCATGCTTCTCTCTGAAAAACTCTTGATGTAACAAGAGTTTCAGAATATAACAAGTTCCCCAATTCTGTTTGGGAGTTTTATGGTGAACTCAATGTCTATTCATGACATATTCTGTTCTCCCTTCTTCCGCTCAGACACGTTGGTAAAATTTAAAGATTTCTAAGTAATGAAAAGTAGCTTCTAATGAGGAAAAGGGAACTGTGCTTTTTTTTTTCTCTTGGTCTCACTCTGTTACCCAGACTGAAACACAGTAGTGCAATCATGGCTCACTGCAGCCTCAAACTCCTGGGCTCAAATGAGTTTCTTACCTTTTTTTTTTTTTTTCCTGAGATGGAGTGTTGCTTTGTTGCTCAAGCTGGAGTGCAGTGGGGCAACCTCGGCTCACTGCAACTTCCGCCTCCCAGGTTCAAGCAATTTTCCTGCCTCAGTCTCCAAAGTAGTTGGGATTACAGGCATGCGCCACCACGCCCAGCTAATTTTTGTATTTTTAGTAGAGACAGGGTTTCACCATGTTGAAGGCTGGTCTCGAACTCCTGACCTCAGGTGATCCGGCCATCTCGGCCTCCCAGAGTACTAAGATTACAGGCATGAGCCATTGCACCCGGTCCCTCATCTCCTCTTTCAACAACATTTGCTGGGAAGGGCAATGAGCAGTGCCCCCTTTCCTTTTTTTTTTTTGTTTTAATTTTATTTATTTATTTGTTTTTGAGATAAGGTCTTGCTCCATCATCTAGGCTGGAGTGCAGTTGAGTGATAAAGGCTCACTGCAGCCTTGACTTCCTGGGCTCCAGATATTCTCCCACCTCAGCCTCCCAAGTAGCTGAGACTACAGACATTGAGCCACTGCACCCAGCCTTCTTTTATTTTTTGTAGAAATGTGTGTCTCGCAGCTGGGTACAGTGGCTCATGCCTGTAATTCCAGCATTTTGGGAGGCCAAGGCGGGCAGATCACCTGAGGTCAGGAGTTTGAGACCAGCCTGACCAACATGGAGAAACCCCTCTCTACTAAAAATAAAAATTAGCCGGGCGTGGTGGCATGCACCTGTAATCTCAGCTACTCGGGAGGCTGAGGCAGGAGAGTCACTTGAACTCGGGAGGCAGAGGTTGCAGTGAGCCGAGACTGCGCCATTGCACTCCAGCCTGGACAACAAGAATGAAACTCAGTCTCAAAAAAAAAAAGAGCCGGGTAAGGTGGCTCACGCCTGTAATCCCAGCACTTTGGGAGGCCGAAGCGGGCAGATCACGAGGTCAGGAGATCGAGACCATCCTGGCTAACACGGTGAAACTCCATCTCTACTAAAAATACAAAAAATTAGCCAGGCATGGTGGCGGGTGCCTGTAGTCCCAGCTACTCGGGAGGCTGAGGCAGGAGAGTCACTTGAACCCGGGAGGCAGAGGTTACAGTGAGCCGAGACTGCGCCATCACACCCCAGCCTGGACAACAAGAGTGAAACTCAGTCTCAAAAAAAAAAAAAGAGCCGGGTGAGGTGGCTCACGCCTGTAATCCCAGCACTTTAGGAGGCCGAAGCGGGCGGATTACGAGGTCAGGAGATCGAGACCATCCTGGCTAACACGGTGAAACTCCGTCTCTACTAAAAATACAAAAAATTAGCTGGGCGTGGTGGCAGTCGCCTGTAGTCCCAGCTACTCAGGAGGCTGAGGCAAGAGAATGGTGTGAACCTTGGAGGCGGAGCTGGCAGTGAGCCGAGATCATGCCACTGCACTCTAGCCTGGGCGACAGAGCGAGACGCTGTTTCAAAAAAAAAAAAAAAAGAAAAGAAAAGAAAGAAAGAAAGAAATGAGGGTCCTGCTGTGTTGTCCAGGCTGGTCTCAAACTCCTGGTTTCAAGTGATCCTCCCGACTTGGCCTCCCATAGGCATGACCCATGGCACCTGGTTCCAGCTTTCCTTTTCCTCTAGTATTTGGTTGTCATCTCTTACCTCCCTAACATTTCAAGGTTCCTGGGAAAATGAAATTAGTTCTTCCTCACTAAAATGTGGCAACAGGGCCGGGCACGGTGGCTCATGCCTGTAATCCCAGCACTTTGGGAGGCCAAGGCAGGTGGATTGTTTGAGATCAGGAGTTCAAGACCAGACTCACGAACATAATGAAACCCCATCTCTACTAGAAATACAAAAATTACAGGTGTGCCATGGTGGTGCGCGCCTGTAATCCAAGTTACTCAGGAAGCTGAGGCAGGAGAATCGCTTGTGCCTGGGAAGCGGAGGTTGCAGTGATCTGAGATCGCGCCACTGCAATCCAGTCCGGGCGACAGAGTGAGACTCTGTCTCAACACAAATAAATAAATAAATTAATTAATTAATTAATTAAAATGTGGCAACAATTGTTAAACACATGAGTAATTATATTAACAGCACAAACTTGGATCCCCTGGATTAAGTACTCTGGAAAAAGACAGACAGATTGAAAAAGAATATGACTACTCACATTAAAAAACCAAAGACCACAGCTGGGCAGGGTGGCAGTGCACAACAGGAGCCTGAGTGAGGCAGAAGGATCCCTTGAGCCCAGGGTTTGAGGTCAGCCTAGTCACCATACTGAGAGTCTATCTCAAAAAAAAAAAAAAAAAAAGGCTACTGGATTACAACAATTCACGTTTAGCTTACTATAGATAGAGATGGATATTTACAGAAATAAATATAGATTTGTGTGTATATATGGGTTAGTATACATACATATATCTTAGCTCTGTCTACTGGGAGAGGCTGGAAGCAATGACACCCCAGAAGCAATGAGTGTACCCAGCAACCACATCTTGGTTTCTTTTTCTCTGTTTTTTTTTTTTTTTTTTTTTTTTTTGAGATGAGCCACTGCACCAGGCCTTGGTTTCTTTTTAATTTTTTTTTTTTTTTTTTGAGATGGAGTCTTGCTCTGTCGCCCAGGCCGTAGTGCAGTGGCGCGATCTCTGCTCACTGCAAGCTCTGCCTCTCAGGTTCACGCCATTCTCCTGCCTCAGCCTCCCAAGTAGCTCGGACTACAGGCGCCCATCACCACGCCTGGCCTGACTTGAGGTCAGGAGTTAAAGACTAGCCTGACCAATGTGGTGAAACCCTGTCTCTACTAAAAATACAAAAAAAAAAAAAAAATAGCTGGACGCGGTGGCTCACACCTGTAATCCCAGCACTTTGGGAGGCTGAGGTGGGTGGATCACCTCAGGTTGGGAGTTCAAGACCAGCCTGACCAACATGGAGAAACCCCGTCTCTACTAAAAATACAAAATTAGCAGGCCATCGTGGCACATACCTGTAATCCCAGCTACTTGGGAGGCTGAGGAAGGAGAATCGCTTGAACCCCGGAGGCAGAGGTTGTGGTGAGCTGAGATTGTGCCATTGCACTCCAGTCTGGGCACCAAGAGCAAAACTCTGTCTCAAGCAAAAAAACAAAACAAAACAAAACAAAAAATAGCTGGGCGTGTTGGCAGGAGCCTGTAATTCTAGCTATTCTGGAGATTGAGGCAGGAGAATCACTTGAAGCTGGGAGGCAGAGGTTGCAGTGAGCCGAGATCATGCCACTGCCCTCCAGCCTGGGCTTCAGAGCTAGACCCTGTCTCAAAAAATATATATATATATAGTATTAGATTATACCCCAAAGTATAAAATAAATACCCATGAATCCATACTGATATAAAGTATTGAATAAATATAGAAATGGAAGAGAAGGTAAATATCCACTTCACGAAAGAATTCCAAATTATTCATACAGATACTTAGCCATCAAGGTGGTAGAGCTTAATTCACCACAACCACTATTACCACACCTTGAGTGTAGTGCTATACTTGGGGACTTGCTTCAAAAGAATATAGGAGAGAAAAAGTAGGAGAGAAAGAGTACAGCAGAGAAAAAGAGTACAGGAGAAAAAAGTATGGAGAAGGTTGAGAAATGTTGGACAGGTGATCAAGATTAACGTCATCAATAACAATCATATGGATATCAACCTGGATATGGTATGATAACAATGGTACTTCCCTTTTGTGATCTCCCTCCATAAAACCTATAAGTGAACTCCAATCATTAGAAAAACATCAGACAAGGCCGGATGTTGTGGCTCATGCCTATAATCACAGCACTTTGTGAGGCCAAAGTGGGTGGATCACCTGAGGTCAGGAGTTCGAGACCAGCCTGGCCAATATGGTGAAACTCCATCTCTACTAAAAATACAAAAAATTAGTCTGGCATGGTGGCAAGTTCCTTTAATCCCAGCTACTTGAGAGGCTGAGGCTGGAGAATTGCTTGAACCTGGGAGGCAGAGGTTGCAGTGCGCCAAGATGGTGCCATTGCACTCCAGCCAGGGCAAAAAGAGCAAAACTTCCTCTCAAAAAAAAAGAAAAAAGATAACTTTTAAATTACTATATGGTAAGTGTAATGCAAAGTTTAGTTTTTAATTTTGTTTCACTTCCTAAGTGTTGTATATTTTCTTACCAGGAACTCTTCTTGTGTTTTTTTTTTTTTTTTTTTTGAGACGGAGTCTCGCTCTGTGGCCCAGGCTGGAGTGCAGTGGCGCGATCTCCGCTCACTGCAAGCTCTGCCTCCCGGGTTCACGCCATTCTCATGCCTCGGCCTCCCAAAATGCTGGGATTACAGGCTTGAGCCACCGCCCCGGCCGAACTCTTCTATATCACTTGACATGTTTTGAGCTAAATTTGTAACCCTTTTTTGCACCCATTAGAAGATAACACCATTTGCCTTTTATTTTTGGATAATTCAGGAATAAAAAATGGATCTCAAGCTTTATAAAACTTACAATTCTAGGCTGGGCGCTGTGGCTCACACCTGTAATCCCAGCACTTTGGGAGGCCAAGGCCGGCGGATCACACGGTCAGGAGGTCAAGACCATCCTGGCCAACATGGTGAAACCCTGTCTCTACTAAAAATACAAAAATTAGCTGGGCGTGGTGGTGCGAGCCTGTAATCCCAGCTACTCGAGAGGCTGAGACAGGAGAATTGCTTGAACCCAGGAGGCAGAGATTGCAGTGAGCCGAGATTGTGCCACTGCACTTCAGCCTGGCAACAGAGTGAAACTCCGTCTCAAAAAAAAAAAATTATAATTCTATAGAAAAATAACATTTGTATAAATTTAACTTTGGTGTAAAAAAGTGAATTTAACTTTGGTATTGCACACTGGTAATTTCTGTGAGTTCTCAGAATTAAAGAACTGAGGTAACTTTAACAAGAACCTACATTAAAGCTTAGACTTTACCACTACATAATATATGCCTTTAGGAAATATGTACTTCTACACCCTAAATACGTTTTTTGCTTTCTTTTTGAGACAGTCTGGCTCTGTTGCCAAGGCTAGAGTGCAGTGGCATGATCTCCACTCACAGCAATCTCCACCTCCTGGCTTCAAGCGATTCTCCTGCCTCAGCCTCCCGAGTACCTGGGACTACAGGCACGTGCCACCAAGCCTGGCTAATTGTTTGTATTTTTAGTAGAGACGGGGTTTCACTATGTTGGCCAGGCTGGTCTCAAACTCCTGACGTTGTGATCTGCCCGTCTCGGCCTCCCAAAGTGCTGGGATTACAGGCCTAAGCCACCATACCTGGCCCTAAATATGTTGTTGTTGTTGTTGGTTTGAGAGAGAGTTTAGCTCTTGTTGCCCAGGGTGCAGTGCACTCCAGCCTGGGCAACAGAGTGAGACTCTGTCTAAAAAATAAATAAATAAATAGATAAATAAATAAATAAATAAAATCGTATTATGAAAATAAGAACAATATTTGTAATAATAACAACTAGCTGGCCGGGTGCGTTGCTCACGCCTGTGATCCCAGCACTTTGGGAGGCCGAGGCGGGTGGATCACGAGGTCAGGAGATCGAGACCATCCTGGCTAACATGGTGAAACCCTGTCTCTACTAAAAATACAAAAAAATTAGCCAGGCATGGTGGCGGGTGCCTGTAGTCCCAGCTACTCGGGAGGCTGAGGGAGGAGAATGGCGTGAACCCGAGAGGCAGAGCTTGCAGTGAGCCGAGATCGCGCCACTGCACTCACTCCAGCCTCGGTGACAGAGCGAGACTACCTCTCAAAAAAAAAAAAAAAAAAAACTAGCTAAAAATAAAGGTCTGCATCTCTTAATATGTTCTGCTTAACAGCAGTAAATTAGCAATTGCAAAATAAAGGTTAATTTATAAACTCTGAATGGAAATCCAGATATCCAGACTATAGTAGTATTATAGAAGTGATGGCTGGGCACAGTGGCTCATGCCTGAATCCCAGCACTTTGGGAGGCCGAGGCGGGCGGATCACCTGAGGTCAGGAGTTCAAGACCAGCCTGACCAATGTGGTGAAACCCCGTCTGTACTAAAAAATACAAATTTAGCCAGGCGTGGTGGCGCATGCCTGTAATCCCAGCTACTCGGGAGGCTGAGGCAGGAGAATCGCTCGAATCTGGGAGGCAGAGGTTGCAGTGAGCCAAGATCGTGCCACCGTACTCCAGCCTGGGTGACAGAGTAAGACTCGGTCTCAAAAAAAAAAAGAAGTGATGATAATACCTGACAGGTTGACCCTAATAATCATGTTGACATGATTTATGAAGTATGATGACATAATAATGCTGTTTTTTTCCCTAGAAAATGAAGAAAACATAAGTTCACACAAAGATTAGCGGTATTATCAGCAAAACTAATTTTTTTTTTCTGGGCAGGGCATGCATGAAATATTTACAGAATTATCTTTTTCATTTTCTTTTTCTTTTTTTGAGATGGAGTTTTGCTCTTGTTGCCCAGGCTGGAGTTCAATGGTGTGATCTTGGCTCACTGCAACCTCCGCCTCCCAGGTTCAAGCGATTCTCCTGCCTCAGCCTCCCCAGTAGCTGGGACTACAGGCATGCGCCATCACGCCTGGCTAATTTTGTACTTTTAGTAGAGATGGGGTTTCTCCATGTTGGTCAGGCTAGTCTTGAACTCCTGACGTGTGGTGATATGCCCACCTCGGCCTCCCAAAGTGCTGGGGTTACAGGCATGAGCCACCACACCCAGCCAGAATGATCTTTTTCATCTGCATTTCATTACCATGAAACAAAGTAATCTTCATTAGTCTTGTCATAGGTTTTTATTTTTTATTTTATTTTATTTTATTTTATTTTATTTTATTTTATTTTATTTTGAGACAGAGTCTTGCTCTGTCACCAAGGCTGGAGTGCAGTGCTGCAGTGGCGCGATCTCAGCTCACTGCAACCTCTGCCTCCCAGGTTCAGGCGATTCCTCTGCCTCAGCCTCCAGAGTAGCTGGGATTACAGGCGCCTGCCACCACTCCCAGCTAATTTTTTTTTTTTTTTTTTTTGAGATGGAGTCTCGCTCTCTCGCCCAGACTGGAGTACAGTGGTGTGATCTCGGCTCACTGCAAGCTCCGCCTCCCAGGTTCACGCCATTCTCCTGCCTCAGCCTCCCCAGTAGCTGGGACTACAGGCGCCCGCCACCATGCCCGGTTAATTTTTTTTTGTATTTTTTAATAGAGACAGGGTTTCCCCTTGTTAGCCAGGATGGTCTCAATCTCCTGACATCGCGCTCCACCCACCTCGGCCTCCCAGAGTGCTGGGATTACAGGCGTGAGCCAACACGCCTGGCCTAATTTTTTGTATTTTTAATAGAGACGGGGTTTCACCGTATTAGCCAGGATGGCCTTGATCTCCTGACCTCGTGATCTGCCTGCCTCGGCCTCGGCCTCCCAAAATGCTGGGATTACAGGCGTGAGCCACCATACCTGGCCAGGTTTGTTTTTAATGCTGTCAAATTTTGAGATGAGTATATCCCAGAATACACTATTGGTGCTATTTTAGCTGGTTATTTCTCATTATCAGACTTGGGAAGACAGCATAGTATACTGTGGTGATTTTCAAAAAAAATTCTTTTTAGCAAGTAGAACCATTATGTTCAAACAAATTATAAAACAGTCACAAGTAGAACATCTCTGATGAAAGACAAATGGGAATGCAGAGCCCACCATATTGCAGCTTCCTCTTCTCCCGGAGGGTAGCTTCCTGAAACTCTGGGGTTCCAGAAAGACAGCTTGGATACTTTAGTCATACTGGAAAACATGGGGTTTTGAGCCCCCTATAGCTGGGTTTAAACTCCAGCTCTCTCATTTGTGGGATGGTGTAATGGTGGGGGAGTTACTTAATCTCTTTGAGATTCAGTGAGAAGTATCTGAGGGGGTTGACTAATACTAATAGTAACTAACATTACTGTTTATGATTGTTGTGTGGACAGGTTGCTCAATAAATGGCAACTTACTTCACATTTGTTTAAAGTTAAATGTAAAACAACTTGTCCCACAGTCTGAAAAACAGCCATAATAGTTTTTTTTCCAGACATAGGCCTCCAGAAATTCAGGTTTAGATATTTCCACTTTGGCTCAGGTGGTTTTTTTTCTCCCCAGGTTATTAGTGTCAAGTTTCTTCCTGTCCCAGGAGTTCTAACTATGGCTTACTAACATCCTTATTATATCTTGTTAACTCTAGATAAACACACATACACAAATCAGTGGTTTATTATGAAAACCCTATAATATACAGTGAATGTTCCATGGTTCTCATGCTTTTCTTTCTTACACAAAGAAAACAAAAATGAGTAAACTTTTGGTTTTAAGAGTTGAACAGGACTGTTAAAACTGTTCCTTCAAACTACATTTTATTAGGCAGGTCATTACTATTTTTATCTTGGAGGCCTTTTTTTACTTATTATTATTTTTGAGATGGAGTCTTGCTGCATTGCCCGGGCTGGAGTGCAGTGGCACGACCTCAGCTCACTGCAACCTCTGCCTGCCGGGTTCAAGAGATTCTCCTGCCTCAGCCTCCTAAGTAGCTGGGATTACAGGCATGCACCCCCATGCCCAGCTAATTTCTGTATTTTTACTAGAGATGGGGTTTCACCATGTTGGCCAGGCTGGTCTCGAACTCAGGACCTCAGATGATCCACCTGACTTGGCCTCCCAAAGTGCTGGGATTCCAGGCATGAGCCAACACACCCAGCCTTTTACTTATTTTTATTTCTTTTTCTTTTTCTGTTTTTCCTATTCAGATAATCAATCACCAGTTGACATTCTTTTTAAAAAAAATCAAATTTGATTCTATTTCTTTAAGAACTTATCAGCTAATATAACATGTCAGTTTCCTCAAGCAAGACAAAATTTTTTTTCGGATATAGCCTTTGTTGACTTTTTTTTTTTTTTTAAGATGGCATCTCACTCTGTCGCCTAGGCTGGAGTGCAGTGGCATGATCTCGGCTCACTGCAACCTCTGCCTTTCGGGTTCAAGCGATTCTCCTGCCTCAGCCTCCCAAGTAGCCAGGACTACAGGTGCATGCCACCACACCCAGCAATTCTCATGCCTCAGCCTCCTGAGTAGCTGGGATTACAGGCACCCACCACCATGCCCAGCTAATTTTTGTATTTTTAGTAGAGACAGGGTTTCACCATATTGGCCAGGCTGGTCTCGAACTCCTGACTTTGTGATCTGCCCACCTTGGCCTCCCAAAGTGCTGAGATTACAGGTGTGAGCCACCACACCTGGCCTTGTTGACTTATTTTAATAGTCTCAGCGCTAAATTTTAAGGAAATGAGGATGAATGGAGGATAGACACTGTACAAGTAAAAGGGAGGCTTGATACCTTGGTTATTTTAAGTCAAGTGCATTCATACTGATGATTATTCATTTCAGCACATCAGAGGCAATTTTTTTTTTTTTTTGAGACGGAGTCTTGCTTGTCACCCAGGCTGCAGTGCAGTGGCGCAATCTCGGCTCACTGCAAGCTCTGCTTCCCGGGTTCACACCATTCTCCTGCCTCAGCCTCCCGAGTAGCTGGGACTACAGGTGCCCGCCACCACACCCGGCTAATTTTTTTGTATTTTTAGTAGAAACAGGGTTTCGCCATTTTATCCAGGATGGTCTCGATCTCCTGACCCCGTGATCCACCCGTCTTGGCCTCCCAAAGTGCTGGGATTACAGGCGTGAGCCACAGCGCCCAGCCTTAGAGGCAATATTTACTGATTTTTTTTTTTTTTTTTGTGAGATGGAGTCTCATTCTGTCCCCCAGGCTGGAGTGCAGTGGCGTGATCTCGGCTCACTGCAAGCTCCGCCTCCTGGGTTCACGCCATTCTCCTGCCTCAGCCTGCTGAGTAGCTGGGACTACAGGCGCCCGCCACTACACCTGGCTAATTTTTTTGTATTTTTAGTAGAGACAGGGTTTCACTGTGTTAACCAGGATGGTCTCGGTCTCCTGACCTCGTGGTCCGCCCGTCTTGGCCTCCCTAAATGCTGGGATTACAGGCTTGAGCCACCGTGCCCGGCCTTTTTTTGTTTTTTGTTTTTTGAGACGGAGTCTTTCTCTGTCACCAGGCTAGAGTGCAGTGGCACGATCCAGGCTCACTGTGACCTCTGCCTCCCGGGTTCAAGTGATTTCCCTGCCTCAGCCTCCCCAGTAGTTGGGACTACAGGCACATGCCACCATGCCCGGCTAATTTTTTGTATTTTAGTAGAGACAGGGTTTCACTGTGTTGGCCAGGATGGTCTTGATCTCCTTACCTTGTGTTCCAACTTAGCCTCCCAAAGTGCTGGGATTACAGGCGTGAGCCACCGCACCCAGCCTACTGATCTTTCTTGACTTAGACATGACATATGCTACAACTTTTTTTTTTTTTTTTTTGAGACGGAGTCTCACTCTGTCGCCAGGCTGGAGTGCAGTGGCATGATCTCAGCTCACTGCAACCTCCGCCTCCCGGGTTCAAGCAATTCTCCTGCCTCAGCCTCCCGAGTAGCTGGGACTACAGGCAAGCACCACCACGCCCAGCTAATTTTTGTATTTTTAGTAGAGATGGGGTTTCACCATGTTGGCCAGAATGGTCTCAATCTCTTGAACTCGTGATCCGCCCGCCTCAGCCTCCCAAAGTGCTGGGATTACAGGTGTGAGCCACCGTGCCCGGCCTGACATATCCTACATCTTTTATCTTTAAAACTCTTGGCAAGGTGTGGGGCTCACTTCTGTAAGCCCCACATTTTCGGAGGCCAAGGCTGGTCGACCACAAGGTCTGGAGATCCTGACCATCCAGGCTAACAAGGTGAAACCCCATCTCTACTAAAAATACAAAAAATTAGCCAGGCATAGTGGCATGCACCTGTAATCCCAGCTACTTGGGAGGCTAAGGCAGGAGAATCACTTGAACCCGGGAGGCTGAGGTTGCGGTGAGCCGAGATTGTGCCACTGCACTCTAGCCTGAGCCACAGAGTGAGGCTCCATCTCAAAACAACAACAACAACAATAACAACAAACAAAACTCTTTATTTTTCTGGCATGATAGTGAAGCATGAGGGCTCCAGAGACACTGCCTGGGTTAAAAATCCCGGTTTGTGCAAGCTTCTTAACAAGTCTTGCTGTTATTTCCTCATCTATGAAATGGAGATATTAATAAATGTCTACCTCAGAGGATTGGTGTGAGAATTGAATGTTAAGCTTGTAAAAACTTAAAGTATTGCCTGGCACATAGTAAGCACTCAGTCATTATTATCCTAATTTATATTTGTGCGCTGGTGTCCAACTTTATTCATCAAGACTCATTGGATGAATCCTGATTCTATGCCAGGCACAGTGATAGACACCTCAGCTACCAAAGCATCCATCATCCGTGCCCCAAGAGCTTAACAGTAAAGTAGAAAGAAAAAGACTTGCTGCTATAACACAAAGGTTCTTAACTTGAACAGGCTTCAGGAAGTCTGAGAACTTGAATGACAAAAAATATATATATTTATTTACACTAACCTCTAGCTAGAATTTAGCATCTCCTTCAACTACTAATAGGTGACAAATCATAGTAGTGTTAGCAGTGCCTGTGGCTTTGTTACCAAGAGAACTTACTGGTATTTCTCTCGGGAGGCCAAGGTTGCAGTGAGCCAAGATCGCGCCCTTGCACTCCAGCCTGGGTGACAGAGCGAGAATCCGTCTCAAAAAAAAAAAAGACTACAGAGGATAGTGTAACAAACAAGAGGGGATTCTGAACTTTTTGTCTGAATATAAAATATAGCTTGTCCTTAACAACAGGCATTCCTTATTTCAGGTAAGAAGGTATACCTAATTTCAGATGTGTTCCTGAAATGCCAAATACTATATACGTCATTTGCAGAGATCACTTTCTTAAGTAGCAAAGGCTTTGATAAAACCTGTACTTTAGGTATTTAA